>NC_000003.12:12510000-13760000 GCF_000001405.40 Homo sapiens | reverse complement strand
TACCCAGTGAATGGTAATTCTGTTTTGAGTTCTTTAAGAAATCATCACACCACTTTCCACAACGGCTGAACTAATTTACATTTCCACCAGCAATATATAAACATTCTCTTTTCTCTGCAACCTCACCAGCATCTGTTATTTTTTTACTTTTTAGTGATAGTCATTCTGACTGGTATGAGATGGAATCTTATTGTGATTATGATTTGCATTTCTCTGATGATTAGTGATGTTTAGCATTTTTTTCATACGTTTGTTGGCCACGTGTATACCTTCTTTTGAAAAGTGTCTGTTCATGTCCTTTGCCCACTTTTTAATGGGGTTGTTCATTATTTTCTTGTTAATTTGTTTAAGTTTCTTATAGATTCTGGGTATTAGACCTTTGTTGGATACATAATTTGCAAATATTTCCTCCTATTCTGTAAGTTGTCTATTTACTCTGTTGATAATTACTTTTGCTGTGCAGAAGCTCTTTAGTTTAATTAGGTCCCAATTGTCCATTTTGGTTTTTGTCACAAGTGCTTTTGGCATCTTTGTCATGAAATCTTTGCTACAGCCTATGTCTGGAGTAGTATTTCCTAGGTTATCTTCCAGGGTTTTTATGGTTTTCAGTTTTACGTTTAGTCTTTAATCCATCTGAGTTGATTTTTGTGTATGGTATAACGAAGAGGTCCAGTTTCAATCTTCTGCATGTGGCTAACCAGTTCTCCCAGCACAATTTATTGAATAGGGAGTCCTTTCCCCCATTGTTTGGTTTTGTCACCTTTGTAGAAGATAAAGTGGTTGTAGGTGTGCGGCATTATTTCTGGGCTCTGTATTCTGTTCCATGGTACACCAGATTTTGAAGCAGGTTTTTCAGCAAGAGAAATGTGGCGAGACTTTTCAGATGGAGGAGACAGCATCATGAAGAGGGATGGACAAGAAAGGACTTGAGAGCAGCCTGGGCAACATAGCGAGATCCCCATTGCTACAAAAATTAACATTAAAAAATTAGCCAGGCATGGTGTTGCACGCCTGTAGTCCTAGCTACTTGAGAGGCTAATGTGGGAGAACTGCTTCAGCAGCCCAGCAGTTCAAGAGTGCAGTGAGCTGTCATCACCTCACTGCACTCCAGCCTAGGTGACAGAGCAAGACCTTGTCTCAAAAAAGAAAAAGCAATTTCAAGTGATTTATTAGAATGGTTGAGAAGTGAAAGGAGCTAAGACCTGGAAATTCAGGGGAAATCCAGACAGAGCCCCTCTCTTTCTTTCTCCCTGGGGCTTTCTCTGTTTCATATTCTCTATTCCTGGCTGGGAAGTCATATAGTACAGCCATTGAGAGCCAGGGTTCTAGAATCTGCCCCTGCTCTGCTGCTTACTAGATGGTGACTTTAAACCTGCCCTTTTATTCCTCCAAGCTTCAGTTTCCTCATCACACAAACAGGGATAATATAATAGAATAGTAAGGATGTGGGCAGGATGAGATAAGCCCTTGGAGTAAAAGACTTGGAACAGGACTGGGTCAGAGTAAGTGCCCATTAAATGGTAATTCTAGAATGCAATGTGGATTGTGTATCCAGATTGAGTTATGCAAGGCAATAGCCCTACCTACTTCCTCAATTCAGGCCTTAATTCCAAATTCAGGGTGCTCTAGGTCTTGGCTTGGTGAGTGGAGGATTATGTCTTCTGTCTTCTCACTCAGACTCACCCATGCCTGTGGACTGTGGCCCCCGAAATCTCTGTACCAGAAAATAGGTTTGTTCAGTGGCTTTGAGGAGTAGTCTCTTCCTGCTTGAGTGCAAACACAAAATGAATCCTCCATTGCATGGTGCCATGACAATTCCTGTCTAACTCCATTAACTGCCCCCCTCAACTTTTACTAGGAGAAATTCAGGGCCAATTCTGCTCTTCCTGTTCTGCCCTCTGTAGACTCTGCTTCCACCCATGATGAGGATAAGCTTCTGCACCTCTTGAATTACATCCAAGCCCATGATCAATAAAAGAACCAATAGAGATGAAGGTTTTAATAGCATAGACCATGCTATTGCATGGCTTACTGTGTTTAAGTTCAGTGTGATGCCATCAGGAAACAAATAATATTTTACTTAAATTGACATCAGTTTTGTTCTTTCCCTTTGTCCTATTCTCAAATACACAGAATCTGATTAATCTTAATCCTGGACTCTTTGTAACTCAAAGAGTCTATAGATAAATTACTAAACATAATGTAAAAGCTTAGCAAGGTTACTAACTATAAGATCAATATGAAAAAGGCAATTGTATTTTATATACCAACAAAAAACATTTCAAAACATTACCTTTTTCAAAAAAATAACAGATACTGGCAAGGTTTCAGAGAAAAGGGAACACTGATACACTGCTGGTGGGAATATAAATTAGTTCAGCCATTGTAGAAAACAGTTGGTGATTTCTCAAAGAACTTAAAACAGAACTACCATTCAACCCAGCAATCCTGTCAATGGGTATGTACCCAAAGGAATATAAATTATTCTACCATAAAGACACATACATGCATATGTTTATCGCAGCACTATTCACAATAGCAAAGATGTGGAATCAACCTAAATGCCCATCAGTGGTAGACTGGATAAAGAAAATGTGTTATATATACACCATGGAATACCATGAAGCCATGACAAAGAATGAGATCATGTCCTTTGCAGGGACATGGATGGAGTTGGAGGCCATTACCACAATTGAACTAATGTAGGAACAGAAAACCAAATACCAAATGTTCTTACTTATAAGTAGGAGCTAAACATTGAGTACACATGGACAGAAATAAGGGAGCAATAACAGTGGGGCTTACTTGAGGGTGGAAGGTGGGAGGAAGGAGAGTATTGAAAAACTACCTATGGGCTACTATGCCTATTACCTGGTGACGAAATAATATGTACACCAAAACCCTGTGACACGTAACTGTATGACACTATATGACAAACCTGCACATGCACCCCTGAAGCTAAATGGTTTTTTAAAAGTTGCCTTTTAAGACACATTTGTAAATGTGTAGAAAAAATACAAACTCCCGAGGAATAAATCTAAGAAAATATTTCTATGTGCAACACTTGTATGCAGAAAATTAAAATGTTGCTAAAAGATATTAAAGATGACCTAAATAAATGGAGAGATATTTTATGACCATAAATAGGGATATATAATATTGCAAAGATGTCAATTTAACCACAAACTGTCTATAGATCCAATACAATTCCAATTAAATCCCAACAGATTTATTTGGGGACCTTAGCAAGCTGATTCAAAATATTATTTGGCCCACAAAAAATAGAGCTAATAAACAAGTTAAACAAAATTGTAAGAAACAAGATCAATATACAAAAACCAGTTATGTTTTTATAACTAGCAATGAATAATCCAAAAATGAAAATATGATAACAAGTCTGTTTTTAATAATATCAAAAAGAATAAAATACTTAGGAATACACTTAATAAAAAAAAGTACAAGACTTGTACACTGAAAACTATAAAACAGTGTTGATACTGAAAACCTAAATTAACATAAAACATCCCATGTTATGGACACAGGAAGGGGAACATCACACACCGGGGCCTGTTGTGGGGTGGGGGGAGGGGGAAGGGATAGCATTAGAAGATATACCTAATGTTAAATGAAGAGTTAATGGGTGCAGCACACCAACATGGCACATGTATACATATGTAACAAACCTGCATGTTGTGCACATGTACCCTAAAACTTAAATAAAAAAATGAAAACATCCCATGTTCATCTATCAAAAGACTTAATACTGTTGAGATGGAAATAATCCTCAAACTGACATACAGATACAACACAATTCCATAAAAACTCTAACTTCCTTTTTTGCATAAATTGACCAGGTGATCCCAAAATTTATATGGAAATGTAAGGAACCCAAATAAATGTAAGGGACCCAAAATAATCTTGAAAAATAACGAAGTTGAAGAATTCACACTTTCCAATTTCAAAACTTACTGTAAAGCTACAGTAATCAAGATAGTGTGGTACTGGCATAAGAACGATACATAGATAAATGGGAAAAAGTTAAAAGCCCAGAAGTAAATCCATGCGTCTATGATCAATTGATATTTAGCATGGATGTCAAGATAATTCAAAGGAGAAAGAATAGTTTTTTCAATAAATAGTCCTGGGGCAACTGCAAATCCACATGCAAAAGAATAAATTTAGACCCCTACCTCACACCATATACAAAAATTAACTCAGAATGGGTCAAATTCCTAAATGTAAGAGCTGAAACTCTAAAACCCTGAGAATAAAACATAGGAGTAAATTCTGGCAATCTTGAGTTAGGTGACAGTTTCTTATATGTGACACCTAAAGCACAAGTAACCAAAGAAAAAATAGATACATTAGATTTCATCAAAATTTAAAACTTTTATGCTTCAATGGATACCATTTTAAAAGTGCAGCCAGGCACAGCTGCAGTTCCAGCTACTTGGAACATCTGCAGTTCCAGCTACTTGGGAGGCTGAGGTGGGAAGGTCACATGGACCCAGAAGTTCAAGGCCAGCCTGGGCAATAGAGCAAGGCCTCATTTCCCCCACCCCAAAAAAGAAGGAAAGAAAAAAAGTGAAAAAGACAGCCCACAGAATGGGAGAAAATATTTGTAAATCACATATCTGATAAGGGTCTTGTATTCAGAATAAATAAATAAAGAACTTTTACAATTCAACAATAAAAAGACAAATAGTCTAATTTTAAATGTGCAAACAATTTGAATAGACATTTCTCCAAATAAGACAAATGGTCAAAAACACATAGCAAGATACTCAACATCATTAGTCATAAGAAAAATGCAAATCAAAACCATAATGAGATACCATTCACACCCACTAGGATGACTGCAATAAAAAAGACAAACAATAGCAAGTGCTGGCAAGAGTGTAGAGAAATTAGAACCTTCATATATTCCTTGTGGCCGTGTAAAATGGTGTGACAGCTATGAACAACAATATGACAGCTCTTCAAAAGTTAAACATTAGAGTTGTCATATGACCCAGCAATTCCACTCCTAGGTGTATACTCAGGAGACATGAAAACACATATTCACATAAAAACTTGTACATAGATGTTCATAACAGCACTATTCACAATAGCCAAAAGGTGGGAACAAGCCAAATGTGCATCAACTGATTAATGGGTGAACAAAATGTGGTCTATCCACACGCTGGAATATTATGCAGACATGAAAAGGAATGAAGTATGGCACATGCTGTGACCAGGAAGAACCTTGAAAACATGATGCTGAATGAAAGAAGCCTGACACAGGGGCCATGTATTACATGATTCCATTTATGTGAAATGTCCAGGATAGGCAAATCCATAGAGGCAGAATGTAGATGTATGGTTGCTTGGAGCAATGGAGAGTGTTGCTAATAGGGACAGGGTTTCTTTTCGGGATGACAATGTTCTGGTTGTGGTAATGCTAACACGATCTTGTGAATATGCTAAAAGCCCCTGAGTTGTATAATATCTCTCAATTTTTTTAAAAAGGATAAATACCAAAAATACATATATATGTATTTACATATATAAAATTTTATTTATATATATTTTTATATAGCATTTACATATATAAAAATACACATATATGTACACACATATACATATACATATGACAAGAAGAAACAGGACAGGACATACCTGAAGAAGATTAAAGGCTTGCCTTATCAGATATGAGAAAGTGTTCTAAAACTCTCGTAATTAAAATAGTGATGCCTGAGTTTTCGTTAAAATCCGGCAATGGTATTATCACAGTACTGCACATATTTTCATTTCTGATGGGCCTTCTTGAAAATACCATTGATGACATTCCACAAATGTTTGTGTGCATCTCTATTCCAGTGACCCACAGAGTAATCAATCATCCTGTCAGTGGTGCAGTATATTAAAGACCCCTCCCCCAGACCTTTAATGGGCTAAACGCACCCAGTACTGAAGGAAATATAGACAGGAGTTGGCAAATAGCTGTTTCCCAAAGTGTGGTTTGCGGGCCTCCTGCCTAAGAATCACTAGGAGACTTGGGATAAGCTGCAGATTTCAGGGCCCCACTCCAAACCTCCTGTATCTGAAATTCTGAAGGTGGAAATTACAAATCCCAACATAGTGGGCTCACTGTGTGATTCTTCTGAAAGGCACAAAGAACAACTGCTATGAAGGTTATACCCATGAGCCACTGGACAGCCAAGTTCACCCTGAATGTCCCAGAGCTAGAACTCCTCTTCAGATCATCCAGGAAGAGTGTAGCTTGCCTTGATTTCTTTGAGGTGCAAAGAGGTTGCATGTATATTTCTCCAGCATGTTGAAGACCTAAAGCATTGAGTAGCCTTCGAAAATATTAGAAAAGACAAACTGCTTCAGATGTAACAGCTGTTGGACAAGACATTTGAATGAAAGGGTGGACAGGACTTTTTTGGAATCGTGGATCAACGCCTAAAGAATAATATTATTATCTTCCTACGAGCTACATGAAAAGGATCTTTTAAACCTCGTGTTTCCCACATCCCAGATTCCCCGGGCCAAAATTTTGATGGGCTCTGATGATGTCACAGAAATTTTTTGCATCATCCAAGCCTGCCCATTACTCCAGAGAAAGCCAGGATGCCAAAGCCCTGATTTGGGGCTGATTTTTAAAGGTCCTTTTCACTGAGTGTTTCATATTGTAAGTACTCTAAGTGTAAATACACTTAGAACAAGATTTCAAGGGCAAAGTATTCTTTTACAATGTTGTTTCAATCATATTTGCGTGAAAGCCTAAGAAATGTTTTCAGTCAAACTGTCAGGATCACCACAGATGCAATGAGTGCTTTGCATAAAGTCATTTTAAAAATCACTCGGAGGCCGGGCATGGTGGCTCACGCCTGTAATCCCAGCACTTTGGGAGGCCAAGGCAGGCAGATCACCTGAGGTCAGGAATTCAAGACCAGCCTGACCAACATGGCAAAACCTCATCTCTACTAAAAATACAAAAATTAGCCGGGCATGTTAGTAGGTGCTTGTAATCCCAGCTACTTGGGAGGCTGAGGCAGGAGAATCGCTTGAACCCAGGAGGCAAATGTTGCAGTGAGCCAAGATCATGCCACTGTACTCCAGCCTGGGTGACAAGAGCAAAACTCCATCTCAAAAAAAAAAAAAAATCACGTGGAAAAACTTCAAACCACTCTGGAGTATGCTTAGACTGTTCTCATGATACCAAGTGCCAGGCTCCCATTTTCTTCAGTGTGTTCCTAGTTTATTATTGACAGCTCCCATCAAGGGACCTGCAGGATGCCCTTTCGCCCAATTAAAAATTATTTATAATGGACTAATGAGGGAGGAACGGGGTTACCAAGGCCAGGCTCCTTCACTGAGGGACTCTAGGCAATTAAAGACCTAAATACTGGGGAGGGGGGAGGGATAGCATTAGGAGATATACCTAATGTAAATGATGAGTTAATGGGTGCAGCACACCAACATGGCACATGTATACATATGTAACAAACCTGCACATTGTGCACATGTACCCTAGAACTTAAAGTATAATAATAAAAAAACCTTCAAAAAAAAAGAAATTAAACAAAGGGCATATTGTTTTATAATTTATCCACCTAAAATTTGAAGGAACCATGTTATATTTCCTAATCAACAAAATAAAATTTCTGAAAAATAAAAATAATTAAAAAACCCTAAATACTTTAGAGTTGCTATATCTATCCATGATTTTGCTAGTATCAAATTATGCTAAGGCCATTTTAAGTTTGCTGAAAAGTTAAAAATGTGTTTGCATTGAAGAATAGTGTCTGTGTTTCAATATATGGCTGTCTTATTTTCAGCCTTTGATTCTGTGTATGTAGTCATTCTTTTATTGCAAACAAAGAGGAGGCAATTAATGGGTTTTGACACCTGCGCACAACACATGACACTGTTACAGTCATGCGAAGGTGGAGGAAGGATTCAATTTTGCTTTGAGGGTTCTCTCTACCTGTTTAGCAAATGGCTTACATGCTGTTTTGCTCTGAACTGGTGGCAAAGGGCTTTTTCTTCTGTGACATCTAAGCTCTTACCTTTTCTGAATTTAAATTCCTGGAAGAAATATTTTACATGTAATACAACAATAATAACTACTAACGATGATGATGATGATGATAGCAATAACCGTGCCTCCTTACATATCAAGCCCTTTCCGACACAGACCTCTGCCAGAAGAATCAGACCTCATTTTCTAGAAAAAATATGTGCTCTTACTATTCCCATCTTACAGGTGAAAAAACTGAAGCTGAGGCCAGGTGCAGCGGCTCATGCCTGTAATCCCAGTACTTTGGGAGGCCAAGGCAGGTGGAATGATTCAGCTAAGGAGTTCAAGACCAGCCTGACCAACATGGTGAAACCTTGTCTCTACTAAAAATACAAAAATAAGACAGGCATGGTGGCTTGAGCCTGTACCCCCAGCTACTTAGGGGGCTGAGGCAGGAGGATTGCTTGAGCCCAGGAGGCGGAGGTTGCAGTGAGCCAATATCTAGGCACTGCACTCCAGCCTGGGTGACAGAGTGAGACCCTGTTTCAAAAAAAAAAAAGAAAAGAAAAGAAGCTCAGAGCAAGAAATAAAATATCCAAGATCATACTGCTAATAAAATTTGAACTTTAGCCTTGTCCAACCCTGACCACTGGTCCATAACCCCTCATAGAGAGAGATTCCTAGTCTCTCAAAAATCATAAAGCAGGTAATATGAATTATGTAATACAACCATTTCCAAATCAGCCATGCTGTAGAGTTCCTGGGAGAACTTGTTATAAATAAAGATTTCTGAGCCCTAACTCCTGTGATTCCAATGGGCTGGGACAGGACCTGGGATTCGTTTTGTTTTTGTTTAACAGCCCTCTAGGTGATTCTCATGTAGCCTGCCCACAGATTAGTCAGGGGGAAAATGTTTTGAGACAGTCTCTCTATGTTGCCCAGGCTGGCCTCAAACTCCTAGCCTCAAGGGATCCTCCCGCCTCAGCCTCAGAGGCCTCCTCCTGGGACTACAGGTATGCACCACTGCACCCAGCTCCAGGGCCAGCAATTTGGACAAAGGGTAAATAACTTATGGCCCTCACAAGAAACATACTTGGCCAAAAGCCACTCAGGTTTGCAGCTCTGGCTTCCAGAGCCCCCACCTCCTCCTCAGGCCAGCAAAGCCCTTTCACTCCCATTAGGCCATCCACATCTCCCAGCCCAGCCACTGTGCACTGCTCTCCCATTGTGCAGATGGGGAAGTTGGTCTGGTCACACACAACCTAGTCCACCCACTCTTGTCACATGCTGACTGAAAAGAGGGCTTTCACTCCAGGTGCACATCAGCATTAACAAGGAATTCAGGGAACTGATGACAAGCTTTCTTTCCTGAATTCTCAGTCTTTCCCTTTCTGACTGCCGCTATTTTTTTCAGCCTTATTTCCAGGATGAAATATTTTCCCAATAGCAACACCTAACAAGATTCCAGGCCCTGTTTCAAGCACCTATATAAATGATCTCATTTAATCCTCACCACAGCCCTCTGAAGTTGAGGCTATTACCATGCCCACTGAGAAAGCCGTGGCTCAGAGAGGTTAAGCAACATGCCCAAAGACACACAGCTAATAAGTGACGAAGGCAACAAAGCAATCTGGTTCCAAAGCCTCTGCTCCTAAACACCATGGTTCACGCGCATTCACTCCTGCCCTCACTCCTTGCTTCACCTTTCCACAGCATATTGAGCTCCAAAATGGGATATGCAGGCCCAGAGGCTGGGCATGATCCATGGTGGAAAGGAAGAATACATAAGTACATCTTTCTCTTTATCCATCTCTTTAATATTATGTTTTATGCAATTGTTTGTATAGCTATTAGCACCTATTTTTACAAATATAAATGTTTATTCAATGTTTTAATATATTATTTGATAAAATAAATATAAACTGTATACATATAAATAAAAACTAGCACATAATTTATAAATGAATAGATGGCAGAACATGGGGATCTATATCAAGTTGGATTTTTTTTTTGCTGATAAGCGTGTGCTATCAAAATAGTCTGGACCCCACTGGCTAAAAGAGCCTCTGTTTTTGGCAAAATGGGGATGATGGTAATAATGCCTCTCTCATGGGGTTACTTTGAGATGAAGTGAGAGGATTCAGGTGGGCCCACAGCACAGTGCCTGGCCGTGGGACACTCTCCATTGAGAGTATGCTGGTTCCTAGAGATACAGAGGACACTCGGCCTTGGATCTGCCCCAGAGGAGGCCACAGCAACAGGCTCAGGAACAGATAATGGCTGAGGGGAGAGCAGGCAAGTGTTCCCCATGGGAGATTCCAGGCAGGCTTCCTGGAGGAGAGTGCCTCTGCATGGAGGCTCGGTGGTGACCAGAACTTTCAGTGAAGAAGGGGAGCATGTGCTGCGAGTGAAGTGAGTTGTGTCATTTATTAAGCACCTACTACGTGACAGGCACTGTTTTCACCACTGGGGGTACCGCAGTGAACCAGCCAGAGAAAAACCTCTGACCTCATGGAGCTGACAGCCTTGTGGGGAAGAAAGTTATGAGTAAAATATATGGTGAGTTAGGGGTGAGAACTACGAAGAAAAATGAAGTAGAACAGGGAAATAGGAAGTGCTGGAGGCCCGAGTGAATGCCCCTGAGAAAGGAGCATCGAACCAGGACCTGAAGGAGGTGAGGGAGCAAGCATCTGGAGAAGAGGCACCACCGGAGGAGGGAGCAGCCCGTGCAAAGGCCCTGAGGTGAGGATGAGAGGGCACGTGCTCAGGAAATAGGACGCCGTGGGCCTGAGGCAGAGTGAGCCAGGGGAAGTAGATAGAGAGGGTCAGGCCAGATGATGTGGGCCTGCAGCCTGAGGGAGGGTTTTGTCTCTGCCTCCGAGGAAGGTGGGAGCCATGGAGGGTGTGGAGCAGAGGAGGAAGGTGCCGTGACTTCCAGTTTAGCTGCATGCATTCTGGCTGCATCAGGAAAAGGGATCATAGGAGGGTGGTGGGAGCACAGGAGGGTGAATTGAGAGGCTGTGGCAACGATCCAGGCAGGGGCTGGGGGCTTGGACCAGAAGATAACCAGGAGTGGGGCAGAGAAGTTCCTCATCCCACCTCTTAGGGAGGCTTCTCCAGACTTGTCCCCACCCCCACCCCTCCCTGCACCCCGGCCCAGGCAGTGTTCACTCAGAAAGCCCTGCCAGCCACCCCCAGGAAAGGCCCAGGCTAGCGGAAAGAGACGTTCAGAGACCGCCAACCCTACAATTACCTGTAAGATGGATTCTTCTCCCTGACAGGGCGCGGGAGCGACCGAGCCTGTTATTACAAAGCCTAATTACAGCGTCTCGGGCTGCAGTGCTCATTGCAAGAGAAATACCAGCGGCCTGCAAAGCGGGGCAAATTGTTCCCTCCTCCCTCTTTTTTTTTGTCAGAGTATTCAATCGGCAGAAATAATTACACATCTTCTCCCCCAAGGGGCTCGGAGACAGGCTTTGCTCTTCTCCCAGGGCTGGAAATTCAGCTCCCTGAATCTGGAATTACCAGCAGGCAGCTTGGATGCTCACATAGAGGGTGGGTGGCCCTAGGCGAGGCTGTTCTCCCTGGGCCTCTATTTCCTGGGTCCCAAGGTCCATATCTTAGTCTCAGAGCTACCTCTGCCTGCCAGGAGCCTCCAGCTTATTTACTGTCCAGAGCGCCTGTTCATGCCTGAGCACACGACTTCATGAATGGGAGCCTCAGTTTCCTCATGGGTTAGATGGTTAGATGGCACCCAGCATAAGGAGTGGCAGACAAATGAGCACAGGCAGGTAAAGCCTTGGCCATGTGCTGCTGCAGAGTGGGCGCTGATACCTGGTGCTTCATAGGTCAGAGCCTCTTTTGAGAGGTGAAGGAGGTTCTGTATGTTGAGCACCTACTACATGCCTCACACCCAATGTCCAGCAAGTATTTGTTGAATGACCCAATGACAGCTCACGACCAACCTAGAAAAGGGAGAGTTATGGTTCCTATTGTACTGATGAGAAAACTGAGTCCCAGAGAGGGCAGGCGCTTCCCCCAGGGTCACGGTTACGTGGTGTGTGTGTGTGTCTGTGTGCCTGTGTGTCTGTGTGTGTATCTGTGTGCATCTGTGTGCATGTGTCTCTGTCTGTGTCTGTGTGTGTGTCCATGTGCATCTGTGTGTCTGCATCTGGTTGCACCTGTGTGTGTGTGTGTGTGCATGTGTGTGCATCTGTGTGCTTCCATGGATGTGTCTCTGTGTGTGCGTGACTGTGTCTGTGTGTGTTGGTATCTGTGTGTCTGTCTGTGTGTCTCTCTGTGTGGTCACCAGCACCTGGTGGTCTCTGGAAAGCGGAGCCAGCCCCCTAGCCATGAGTCTTTCAGAACCAGCCTCCTGCTGTGGGTCTTTAAGAACTTGCCCCCTCTTCTTTGGGCCTGGGTTCCCCAAGTTTCCCAAAATATGCCATTAGATGGGACCAGAACACTAAGTAATGTGAGCCTGCCTGATGAGAAGGTCCATGATCTCCTCCTCCCGCTGACTGCTGCATAGGGAAGGTCTCGGTTGCTGCCAGCCTGTCTCTAGTGCCCTCCAATGTCCGCCCACCACCTTTATTAGCCAAGGGAATGGACCTCAGGCTTGGCATCCTGAGACACATGCTCGCCAGCATTCGTCACCACTCCTTAGAAATCACTGGGTTCATTGTTCAGTGTGTTCATCACACACTGCCTTGCATGCATGGTGTGTGATGCTGGGTTTGGGGTTGTTGTTGTTGAAGGCAGTTTATCAAGTTTCCATTTGCTTAAGTGGAAAAACGTGAGTGTGCTTGAAGTAAGATGAGCCCAAAGACAAGTCTCCCGAGGATATGGCAAAAATAGGAAGGGGCAGGGCAGCTCCAGAACAACTCAGGAGCATCTGAACCAACCAGAAGCCCTCTCGTATGGGTTCCCAAAGACTCTGAGCACTGAAATTCTATGAACCCCTGAGCTGAAACCTGGTCCATTCCATCTCTGCCATTGAATCGCTGCCACTCTTTGAAGCACCGTCCCCTCTCTTGGCCTCAGTTTCCTCATCTGTAGAGGGGAAAGGACTGTCCACTGTAGCTGCCCCTTACCGGCCTTTTCAGACCCCAGGCCAGGGCCCCAGGCTGGACAGCTCTGGGCCTGGGTCCTCTGCCAGGTGCCACAGCTGAGTGAGATGTCAGTGCTCAATGGCTCCATTTAGGCTGATGGGCTAATGAGGGGGCATCTGACAGCCCCGAAGACCTGACATGTCTATTTTCAGGAAATGAAACATCTGGTTCCCAGCCCTGTTCTTCTCCTCTGCACCATCTGCCCAGCTTCAGCAAGGCCCAGTAGTGTCTGTGCCTGACAGATTGCCCTTCTGATATCTTTATTATTGCTTTGAAAAGACACCATGCGGGCTCCTGACCCACCATCCTTTCCTGGAGAAATGCTCCCCCCAGGGTGTTCCGATGTCAGCCAGGTTAAGGATGTGACACCACCGGCAGTTCCTGGCCAGAAGTTCCCCCTGTCACTCCGACATCTCCATAAATAATGCCCAGCCTCTCTGAGAAGTCCAGCTCAGGACTGGGATTGCAGATGCTTGCACGACACGCTGCCAGTTCCACGTTTCCTGCCAGAAGTCAGCTCCTTCCACGAGTTTTGGGAAATAAGGATTTCCAAAAAACAGTCAATAAGTAAATTCAAGTACCATGGGTTGCACACATCCTTGAGGCCTCACGTTGAACTCAAAACTTGCCCACTTTTCCTGCAAAGAGAAATGAGTGTGAGCCGTCATGCATTCACTCACTCCACCATTCATTCATTCATTTCCAAAGCATGTCCATAGGACACACTTTGACCCTGCTTGTTTAAGAAATAAATGGCATGGAAATGAAAAGCAGGAGGAGCACATGTTATAAGGGACACTTAAGAGACTTATCAACCAAAAGCACTATGTGGATCTTACGGGGATCCTGATTTGAATAAATTGAGTGTGAAAAAACACCCTTGAGAGGACCATGGGTGGCTGAACATGGACTAAGCTAGAAGATAGCAAGGAATTATTGTCAATTTTTTTGGATGCCATGAGAGTTTTGTGGTTACTTTTTTTTTTTAAATCCTTATCTGTAAAGTCCAGGATTTCCTTAAAAACATTCCAGCCCCTCCCCCTAGGCGCACGCACGCGCGTGCACACACACACACACACACAACTAAGGACTTTGGGATGAAATGAGAGCAGCAGAATGGGACAACAACGGCTGCTGCTGGGGCAGAGGTGCGGGAGAGTTCGCGTCTGTATAATGATTATGCTGGGCCCTCCAATTCTCAGCTGTTTCTTAATGTCAATAATAATCATAATAAGTTAAAAGGAATGTCAGCCTGCAATGTTGGAAGACTCATTCTGCTGGGTGTGAAAATTAACTGGCACCCAGTAGGTGCTTATTAAGGATAATTCCCTCATCCCTTTTCATGTAATCATCCCCACAACCTTTGTGGTGAGCAGCTGAGTCTTGGAGACATGCAGTGATGGTCACGGGACCAGAACTGAGGCTACCTGGTATCTGAATCTTAGGGGGCCCAAGGCACTCCCCATGTTCCCATGGAAGTCAGCCTTGAGCCTGCCTGCAGGAGGTCAGAATTCCATATGAATATAAGTAATAGAGCACATAATACAATATATCATTCTATATCATCATCACATATAATTTATTATATCATATAATTATAATTACCTACATGTTATATAACATATTGTATTATATGTCATATTACTGTATTACACTATATTACAGTGTTATAACATATAAATATAACAAGGGATGTATTGTCTGTAATATTAGAATGAATATGACATGCAATGTGTTATATTTTATTTTTCTGTAATACCCCTGGGGAGATATGTACATGATTTTAAATTGCAGCTGGTCCTCCCAGCACTTTCTCCCCCTCTCTGTTTTATTTCTAACATAGAGGAGCTGTTTTATCATAGAGGATATTAAATGACAGTATATAATGGAGTTATTTATTGTGTTTGCCAAAGCTTCAGGAAATTCAGTCAGTTTTGATTCACTCCCAGCACATCATAGGCCACCAATAAAGCTTTCTGGGCAATTAGACACAGCCTGGGTTTACACACATGTGAATCCCTGGTTCTCAGCAGGGGGCAGGCCCAAATGCCCCCTCCTCTTGCCCCCACCCAGGAGCTTTACATCAAGGTGCTCTAAGATCACAGGCACTAATCACTGACTCATTTATTCATTCCCTCTCTACCTCCCTTATTCACTTACCCATTCCCTCTGCATTTGTTAGCATGGGTATTAGCTCTGCACCAGTCCCAGTGCAATGTGAAGGATAGACAGGTCCCCAAGGGATATGGTTTTGCTGTGTCCCCACCCAAATCTCATCTCAAATTGTAGCTCCCACAATTCCCAGGTGTTGTAGGAGGGACCCAGTGGGAGGTAATTGAATCATGGGAGTGGGTCATTCCCATGCTGTTCTCGTGACAGTGAATAAGTCTCACAAGATCTGATGGTTCTATAAGGGGGAGTTTCCCTCACAAGCTCTCTCTTTTCCTGCTGCCATCCATGTAAGACATGACTTGCTCCTCCTTGCCTTCTGCCGTGATTGTAAGGCCTACCCAGCCATGCAGAACTGTAAGTCCATTAAACCTCTTTCCTGTATAAATGACCCAGTCTCACAGGTATGTTTTTATTAGCAGCATGAAAACAGACTAATACACTGAGCCTGTGGGGTTTCCTTTTATAAAGGAAGAGGCAAACCAGAAACAAATACTTATGTAATTTAAATAATTGCAGATGGGGATTTGAGAAATAAAAAAGAGGAAGTAGCAGACATTGCTGTGATGGAGAATGAAGGAGATCCACCTTAGACTGGGTAGTCAGGAGCAGATAACATTCGAGGCGAGAGCTGTGAGGAACTGGGTAAAGAGCACCCCAGGCAAGAGAAGAGCGGGTGCAAAGGCCCTGAGGCTGGACCAAGCCCAGCTGTGCAAGGATTAAAGACAGGCTAGAGCCAAGCTCAGGGAGGTGGAGGGGCTGGCAAGATGGGCAATGGGGTAGCTGGCCTTGAGGGAAACAACCAGGATGCTTGTCCTGCGCCTCATTTAAAAAAAGATTACCTTCCTGAATGCTTGTGCACTGTTAGTGGGAATGTAAATTAGTTCAGCCCCTATGGAAAGCAGTTTGGAAGTTTCTCAAAGAACTGAAAATAGAACTACCATTAGACCCAGCAATCCCATGACTAGGCATATACACAAAGGAAAATAACTTGTTCTACCAAAATGACACTTACACTGGTATGTTTATCATAGCACTATTCACAATAGTAAAGGCATGGAATCAACCCAGGTGCCCATCAACGGTGGAATGAATAAAGAAATGTGGTACATATACACCATGGAATACAACACAGCCATAAAAAGGAATAAAATCCTGGCCTTTGCAGCAACATGGATGCAGCTGGAGGCCATTATCCTAAGTGAATTAACACAGAAATAGAAAACCAAATATAATACATTCTCACTCGTAAGTGGGAGCTAAACACTGGGAACACATGGGCAAAAAGATGACAATAGTAGACAGCAGGGACTCCAAAAGGAGGAGGGAGAGGGCAAGGGCTGAAAAACTTCCTATTGGGTACAGTGTTCACTATCTGAGTGAAGGGATCAATAGAAGCCCAAACCTCAGCATCATGTAATATATAACAAACCTGCACATGTACCCCCTAAATCTAAAATTAAAATTAAAAATAATTCCTTTCCCTTTGATGGGAAATGAGTTTCGCACAGCAATGAGTTGAGTGCTAAGGTGATACAAATGGCATTTGTGCTCTCAAGAGGCAGCCTGGGGGAGCTTCTCACCAATCAGATGGAATTGTTTCTGCCAGGAAGACATAGAACCTCATAGGCCTTCAAAGGAATCCAGTTCCCTGTCTCTCATACCGCATTAAATGCCCAAATTCCCCTCTGCACTTCCTCCAGCACCCAAACCCTGCTCCCCACCTGCCATGGTAAAGTGCTTCCTCCCACCTGGGAAACCCTCCCTGGACAGCTCCAGGGGGAGGAATCTTTCTCACACTAAATTGGAAGCTGCTCCTTTTGGTTCCCTCCCTGCCAAGTCTGCTGGTGTTGGCTCTGTCCTATGGTCTCCCACCCCTGGTGCTGCCCCTGCCTCACCTTAACTCATACTAACTGGCCCATGGGAGGTACCAGTTCAAAAAGCAAACTGTATATGTGGATTGCATTAACAAAGATCTGATGCGCAGAAGTGAACAGGAAGTTGGCGAGTCCAGCTTCCAGTCATCTGGACACCCAGAAGCTCTCAATCTGTGAAACTGCATTGAGGTGATGCCAAATTCTAGTGTCCACTAGGATACCGGTAGAAGCAAACACAAATATTCTCTGAAAGAGAATACCTACAATCCTAGGCCTCGAGTTATTTTGGCAAACAATTTAGCATATAAAATATCTACCAAATAGCTAAACATATCTAAGCAAATGAAGAGACAAGACAACATGAATGAAACCAGCAGTCAACAGACGATAGAAATAGACACACAGAGGTTCTGGATATTGAGATGATCAGGAAAAGTCTTTACAATTACTATGTTTATAAGTCCCAGGAGACAACAGAAAAGATTGATAATTTCAGCAGAGAATTGAAAACTATATTTTAAAAAATGAATGGCAGATTTGAGCTAAATATAAATAAATTCCCCAATTTCAAAATATAAACACTGAAATTAAAAAACACAATGGATGGGTTAACAGTGGATTAGACACAGCTAAAGAGAGAATTAAGTTAGATGATAGATTAAAAAGAAAATGTCTTAAATGAAGCACAATGAGATAAAACTGTGAGAGGAAAACAAATGAGGGAATAAAAGACAGAGAGAACACAGTAAAAGGTCTAAATACATTTCATTGGAATCCAGTAGAAGCTATGAGATAGAGGGGCAATAAATGATGATAAAATGGCTGAGAATTGTCCAAAGGTGATGAAAAAAATCCATCTATAGATTCAAAAATTCCAACAAATCCCAAGCACAATTTTTCAAAGCCTACACAAATATTTCAAAATAAAACTGCCGAAAACTGAAGACTAAGAGAAAGTCTTAAAAACAGGCAGAAGTACCCAAAAATTACCTTTAAAAAGTAACAATTAGAATGAGTGCTAGCTTTTCCACAAGAAATACAAAAGACAGAGGACAATAGAATGATAATACCAATGTGCCAAAGAAAATAACTACCAACCCAAGAACTTTATAACCAGAGAAAATATCTTTCAAGAACAAAGATGAATAAAGGCAAGTTCGGATACATTTTAAATTACAGAATTGTCACTAGCAGACATGAATAAAGGAAACACTAATAGGTTTTCTTCAGGCAAAAAGGAAATAATTTCAGATGTAATTTCATCAGTTCAATTTTTTAAATGAAGGGTAGTAATAAAAATAATATGCTGTGGTGGGAATGCATAAGACTTCCAGCTATGGTTGTGTGAGGATGTGAGCAAACACTCTGCTCGAAGAGCTGGATAAAACCGACAGACCAACCATTTAGGCATGCTGAACACGGGCCATATACATACAGCCATTTGAGAGCTGTCATGCTTGAAAACTTACTGATATTCAACTAGTAACAGGGTAAGACTGTGACTATAGTGCCTAGGGCTGTTCCCAATCCCCCCATCCAGTTGACACAGAGGGTTCTCTAGGGTATGAGAACCAGAAATGAGGCTGCCATGGTTAAAGGTGGCTCATTCAATGTGGAGCAGTGTGTGATGGCTACTTGGTGAAAGTGATAATCTCAGAATGGGGAAACAGGCGGGCCAATAGCTCTACTATTCTGAGTTGTCGTTGTGACTGGGGCAAAGAGAGTCCCAGCAGCATGTGTGAAATAAAGAATGGAGAAGGCTATGCACACATGTTGGCCAACCCTGAGTCTATGCACAGTTGTCTAAGAGACATGACAGTGCCCAGAAGAAAGTGAAAACCACAGCAGACTTGAAAACATCCTGAACTTTGAATGCACTCTTTCCCCCACACACATACATCAGCAGAAGACAAAAGCCATACTGGCTCAAAGTGTGTGAGCGCAACCTCTGCACGATCATTTTAAGCTACCCAGACACAGGGATGACCCCTAGGAAATCAGGCTTAAGAGTAAAAACAAGAATAAAAAACTGGACAGAGACATCAGCGGCCACACTGTGTAAGGGAGACAGATTTCACACTTTTAACTAGGCAATTTACTAAATAAACAAGCAGACAAACAGAGTGTCAACAACTGTCAGAGTGAACAAATCAGAATCCAGAGTTACTACAATATTTTATCTAAAATGTCTAATTTTCAACAAAACTATGAGACATGAAAAGAAACAGTAAAATGTGACCCATACTCAGGAAAAAGACTCTCACTAGAAACTATTGCTGATGGTTCCTGGATGTTCGACTTAGCAGAAAAATACTTCAAATACACTATATGTTCAAATAACTAAAGAAACCATATTTAAAGAACTAAAGGAAAGTATAACCACAACAAATCAACAAAAAGAGATCACTGATTAGGAGATATGAGTTATAAAAAAAGAACCAAAATGAAATTCTGGAGCTGTTTATTTAGTAACTTGCCTGGTTAAAAGTGTGATATCTGTCTCCCTTACACAGTGTGCCTTCTGATGTCTCTGTCCAGTTTTTTATTCTTGTTTTTACTCTTAAGCCTGATTTCCTATGTCTGGGTAGCTTATTGCACTCTTGTGAGATAACTGAAATGAAAAAACATCATTAGAAGGGTTCAACAGCATATTTGAGATAGAAGAAATAATTCTTAAACTTGAAGAAAGATCAGTAGAAATTATTCAATCTGAAAAACTAAGAGTTAAAGAGACTGAAAATCATAAAGAGAGCCCCAGAGACCTGTCAGACAATATGAAGCACACAAATATATGCATAAAGGGAGTCCCAAAAATACACAGAGAGAGAGAAAGAGGCAGAAAGAATTTTTTAATATATTAATATATTGGCCAAAACTTCCTAAATTTAATTTAAACATTTTTAATTACACATCCAAGAAGCTCAACAAACCCCAAGCTGAAAATATACAAAGACATATGCACATAGGTACACCACAGTAAAACTGTTGAAAGCTAAGGAGAAAGTGAAAATCTTAACAGCAGCAAGAGAAAATAGACTCATGTATAGGGGAGCAAGAGTAAAATTAATTTTCCTGACTTCTCACTAGAAACAATAGACACCATAAGGCAGTGCGATACCACATTCCAAGTGATGACAGGAAAAGACCATCAACCAAAATTACTGTACCCAAAAAAACTATCCTCCAAACATTAATGCAAAATAAAAACATTCCCAGAAAAACAAAAACTGACAGAATCTATTGCTGACTGGCTTACCTTAGAAGAAGTTCTCTAAGAAGTCTACCAAACTAAAAAGAAATGACTTCAGAGAGTTACTAAAATCTGCAGAAAGAAATGAAAAACACCAGAAACGGTAAATAAAGGCATACATAAAAGATATTGCAGGTTTAATTCCAGACCACTGCAATAAAGCAAATATCACAATAAAGGAAATCACACAAACTTTTTGGTTTTCCAGTGCATATAAAAGTTATGTTTAATTATACCTTTATACCGTAGTCTATTAAGTGTGCAATAGCATTATGTCTACAAATGTACATACCTTAATTTAAAAATACTTTTATTGCTAAAAGATGCTTTAAAAAAACCATCTGAGTTTTCAGCAAGTCATAATCTTTTTGCTGGTGGAGGATCTTACCTCAATATGATGGCTATTGACTGATCAGGGTGTTGGTTGCTAAAGGAAGGGTGGTTGTGACAATTTCTGAAAATAAGACAACAGTGAAGCTTGCTGCATTGATTGACTCTTTCACTAAAGATTTCTCTGTACCACGTGGTGCTGTTTGATAGCATTTTACCCACAGTAGAAATTCTTTCAAAATTGGAGTTAATCTTTTTAAGCCCCGCTGCTGCCTTAATCAACCAAGTTTATGTATTAGTCTAAATCCTTTGTTGCCATTTCAACAATGTTCACAGCATCTTCAAATGGAGTAGATTCCATTTTAAGAAACCACTTTATTTTACCACCATAAGAAGCAACTTCTCATCAGTTAAAATTGTATTATGGGATTGTGGCAGTTCAGTCACATCCTCAGGCTCCACTTCTCATTCTAGTTCTCTTGCTGTTTCCACCACAACTGCAGTGACTTCCTCTACTGAAGTCTTGAACCGCTCAAAGCTATCTATCAAGATTGGAATCAGCTTCTTCCAAACTTCTGTTAATGTTGACATTTTGACCTCCTCCCATGAATCATGAATGTTCTTAATGGCATCTAGAATGGTGAATTCTTTCCAGAAAGTTTTCAACTTACTTTGCCCAGATCCATCAGAGGAATCACTATCTATATCAGCTATAGCTTTATGAAATGTATTTCTTAATTAAGAAGACTTGAAAATCAAAATTACTTCTTGATCCATGGGCTGCAAAATGGATGTATTAGCAGGCATAAAAACAATATTAATCTACTTATACAACTGTATCAGAGCTCTTGAACAACCAAGTGCATTGTCAATAAACAGTAATATTTTGAAAGGAATATTTTTTGCTGAGCAGTAGGTCTCAACAGTGGGCTTAAAATATTCAGTAAGCCATGCTGTAACAAATGTGCTGTCATCCAGGCTTCGTGGTTCCATTTCTAGAGCACAGGCAGAGTAAATTTAGCCTAATTAATAACATAATTAGTAAGAGCCCTAGGATTTTTGGAATGGTAAGTGAACACTGGCTTCAACTTAAAGTCACCAACTTCATTAGCCTCTCACAAGAGAGTCAGCCTGTGCTTTGATGCTTTGAAGCCAGGCATTGACTTCTCTCTAGCTGTGAAAGTCCTAGATGGCATTTTCTACCAGTAGAAGTATGTTTTATCTCCATTGAAAATCTGTTGTTTAGTGTAGCTACCTCTATCAATTACCATAGCTGGATCTTCTCAATAACTTGCTGCAGCTTCTACATCAGCACTTGCTGCTTCACCTTGCACTTCTGCTATGAAGATGGTTTCTTTCCTCAAACCTTGTGAGCCAATCCCTGCTAGATTCAAACTTTCCTTCTTCAGCTTCCTTACCTCTCTCAGCCTTCATAGAATTGAAGAGCATTAGGGCCTTTCTCTGGATTAAGCTTTGGCTTAAGGAAGTGTTGTGGCTGGTTTGATCTTCTATCCAGACCACTCAAGCCTTCTCCATATCAGCGGTAAGGCTGCTTCACTTTTTTATCATGTATGTTTGCTGGAGCAGCACTTCTACTTTCCTCCGAGAAGTTTTCCTTTGCATTCACAACTTGCCTAACTGGTGTAAGAGACCTTGCTTTTGGCTTATCTTGGCTTTCAACATACTTTCCTCACTAAGCTTAATCATTTCTAGTTTTTGATTTAAAGAGAAAGATGTACAACTCTTCCTTTCACTTGAACACTCTCAGGCCATTGTAGGGTTATTAATTAGTGTAACTTTAATATTGTTGTGTCTCAGGGAATAGGGAGGCCAGAAGAGAGAGAGAAACACAGAATGGGTGGTTGGGGGCGCAGTCAGAACACACGTATTTATCGATTAAATTCACTGTATTATATAAGCACAGTTTGTGGCACTCCAAAACAATTACAATAGTAACATCAAAGATCACTGATTGCAGTCACCATAACAGATAAAATAATGAAAAACTTTGAAATAGTGTGAGAATTACCAAAATTTGACACAGAGACATGAAGTAAACACAGGCTGCTGGAAAAATGGTGCCAATAGACTTGCTCAACACAGGGTTGCCACTAACCTCCAATTTGTCAAAAAACACAGTATCTCCAAAGTGCAATAAAACAAGGTATACCTGCACATTAATTAATATAAAAGACTATAAATATATATTTCTCATTTCTTTAACGTCTTTAAAATACATAGTATTGCATAAAGCAATAATTGCAACACTGTATTGTTTGCTTTATAACATATATGAATATAATAGGTTTTGAAATATTAGCACAAAGGAGAGATATGAAAATAGAGCTATGCTGGAACAAAGAGTTTATATTTTACCAGTATTAATAATTTGAAGTAGACAGGAGATTTCTGCTGGCAAGACAGCTGAATAGGACCAGCTCCGGTCTGCATCTCCCAGTGAGATCAACGCAGAAGGTGGGTGATTTCTCCATTTCCAACTGAGTTACCTGGTTCATCTCATTGGAACTGGTTAGACAGTGGGTACAGCCCATGGAGGGCAAGCCGAAGCAGGTTGGGGTATCACCTCACCAGGGAAGCACCAAGGGTTCAGGGAACTTCCTCCTCTAGCCAAGGGAAGTGGTAAAGGACTGTACCATGAGGAACAGGGCACTCTGGCCCAGATACTATGCTTTTCCCACGGTCTTCATAACCCTCAGACCAGGAGATTCGCTCCGGTGCCTACACCACCAGGGCCCTGGGTTTCAAGCACAAAACTGGGCAGCCATTTGGGCAGACACCAAGCTAGCTGCAAGAGTTTTTTTTTTTTTTTTCATACCCCAGTGGTGCCTGGAACACCAGTGAGACAGAACCGTTCACTCCCCTGGAAAGGGGGCTGAAGCCAGGGAGCCAAGTGGTCTAGCTCAGCAGATCCCACCCCTACAGAGCCCAGCAAGCTAAGATCCACTAGCTTGAAATTCTCACTGCCAGCACAGCAGTCTGAGGTCGACCTGGGATGCTTGAGCTTGGTGTGAGGAGGGGCATCCACCATTACTGAGGCTTGAGTAGGTGGTTTTACCCTCACAGTGTAAACAAAGCCGCTGGGAGGTTCCAAATGGGCAGAGCCCTCCACAGCTCAGCAAAGCTGCTGTAGCCAGACTGCCTCTCTAGATTCCTCCTCTCTGTGCAGGGCATCTCTGAAAAAAAGTCAGCAGCCCCAGTCAGATAAAACCCCCATGTCCCTGAGACAGAGCACCTGGGGGAAACGACACCTGTGGGTGCAGCTTCAGCAGACTTAAACATCCCTGCCGGACAGCTCTGAAGAAAGCAGCAGATCTCCCAGCACAGCATTCAAGCTCTGCTAAGGGTCAGACTGCCTCCTCAAGTGCATCCCTGACCCCCATGTCTCCCAGCAGGGACCAACACACACCTTATACAGAAGAGCTCCAGCTGGCATCTGGTGGGTGCCTCCCTGGGACAAAGCTTCCAAAGGAAGGAACAGGCAGCAATCTTTGCTGTTCTGCAGCCTCGGCTGGTGATACCCAGGCAAACAAGGTCTGGAGTGGACCTCCAGAAAACTCCAGCAGACTTGCAGCAGAGGGGCCTGACTGTTAGAAGGAAAACTAACAAACAGAAAGGAACAGCATCAATATCAACAAAAAGGATGTCCACTCAGAGACCCCACCCAAAGGTCACCAACATCAAAGACCAAAGGTAGATAAATCCACAAAGATGAGGAGAAACCACCACGAAAAGGCTGAAAATTCCAAAAACCAGAATGCCTCTTCTCCTCCAAAGGATCACAACTCCTTGCCAGCAATGGAACAAAACTGGATGGAGAATGAGTTTGACGAATTGACAGAAGTAGGCTTCAGAAGGTGGGTAATAACAAACTCCTCCAAACTAAAGGAGCATGTTCTACCCAATGCAAGGAAGCTAAGAACCTTGAAAAAATATTAGAGGAATTGCTAACCAGAAAACCACTTTAGAGAAGAACATAAATGACCTGATGAAGCTGAAAAACACAGCATGAGAACTTTGGGAAACATACACAAGTATCAATAGCTGAATCAATCAAGCTGAAGAAAGGATATCAGAGACTGAAGATCAACTTAATGAAATAAAGTGAGAAGACAAGATTAGAGAAAAAAGAATGAAAAGGAACAAACAAAGCCTCCAAGAAATATGGGACTATGTGAAAAGACCAAATCTACGTCTGATTGGTGTACCTGAAAGTGACAGGGAGAATGGAACCAAGTTGGAAAACACTCTTCAGGATATTATCCAGAAGAACTTGCCCAACCCAGCAAGACAGCCCAACATTCAAATTCAGTAAATACAGAGACCACCATAAAGATACTCCTTGAGAAGAGCAACCCCAAGACACACAATCATCAGATTCACCAAGGTTGAAATGAAGGAAAAAATGTTAAGGGCAGCCAGAGAGAAAGGTCAGCTTACCCACAAAGGGAAGCCCATCAGACTAACAGTGGATCTCTCATAAGAAACCCTGCAAGCCAGAAGAGAGTGGGGGCCAATATTCAACATTCTTAAAGAAAAGAATTTTCAACCCAGAATTTTATATCCAGCCAAACTAAGCTTCATAAGTGAAGGAGAAATAAAATCCTTTACAGACAAGCAAATGCTGAGAAATTTTGTCACCACCAGGCCTGCCTTACAAGAGCTCCTAAAGGAAGCACTAAACATGGAAAGGAACAACTGGGACCAGCCACTGCAAAAACATACCAAATTGTAAAGACCATTGACACTATGAAGAAACTGCATCAACTAAAAGGCAAAATAACCAGCTAGCATCATAATAACAAAATCAAATTCACACAAAACAATATTAACCTTAAATGTAAACGGGCTAAGTGCCCCAATTAAAAGACACAGACTGGCAAATTGGATAGAGTCAAGACCCATCAGTGTGCTGTATTCAGGAGACCCATCTCACTTGCAAAGACACACAAAGGCTCAAAATAAAGGGATGGAGGAAGATGTACCAAGCAAATTGAAAGCAAAAAAAAAGCAAGGGTTGCAATCCTAGCTCTCTGATAAAACAGACTTTAAACCAACAAAGATCAAAAGAGACAAAGAAGGGCATTACATAATGGTAAAGGGATCAATGCAACAAGAAGAGCTAACTATCCTAAATATAGATGCATCCAATACAGGAGCACCCAGATTCAAAAAGCAAGTTTGTAGAGACCTACAAAGAGACTTAGACTCCCACACAACAGTAGTTGGAGATTTTAACACCCCACTGTCAATATTAGACAGATTAACAAGACAGAAAATTAACAAGGATATTCAGAACTTGTACTTGGCTCTGGGCCAAGCAGATCTAATAGACATCTAGAGAACTCTCCACCCCAAATCAACAGAATATACATTCTTCTCAGGACCATATCGCACTTATTCTAAACTTGACCACATAATTGGAAGTATAACACTCCTCAGCAAATGCAAAAGAATGGAAATCATAACAAACAGTCTCTCAGACCACAGTGCAATTAAATTGGAACTCAGGATTAAGAAACTCACTCGAAACCGCACAACTATATGGAAACTGAACAGCCTGCTACTGAATGACTACTGGGTAAATAACAAAATTAAGGCAGTAATAAATAAGTTCTTTGAAACCAATGAGAAAAAAGACACAACGTCCCAGAATCTCTGGGACACATTTAAAGCAGTGTTTGAGGGAAATTTATAGCACTAAATGCCCACGAGAGAAAGCAGGAAAGATCGTATATCAACACCCTAACATCACAATGAAAAGAACTAGAGAAGCAAGACCAAACAAATTCAAAAGCTAGCAGAAGACAAGAAATAACTAAGATCAGAACAGAACTGAAGGAGATAGAGACACAAAAAAATCCCTTCAAAAAAATCAATGAATCCATGAGCTGGTTTTTTGAAATGATCAACAAACTAGATAGACTGCTAGCAAGATTAATAAAGAAGGTAAGAGAGAAGAATCAAATGGACGCAACAAAAAATGATAAAGGGAATATCACCACTGATCCCACAGAAATACAAACTACCATCAGAGAATACTATAAACACCTCTATGCAAATGAACTAGAAAATCTTGAAGAAATGGATAAATTCCTGGACTCATACACCCTCCCAAGTCTAAACCAGGAAGAAGTCGAATCCCTGAATAGACCAGTAACAAGTTCTGAAATTTAGGCAGTAATTAATAGCCTACCAACCAAAAAAAGTCCAGGACCAGACAGATTCACAGCTGAATTTTACGAGAGGTATAAAAAGGAGCTGGTACCATTCTTTCTGAAACTATTTCAAACAATAGAAAAAGAGGGAATCCTCCCTAACTCATTTTATGAGGCCAGCATCATCCTGATACCCAAACCCAGCAGAGACACAACAAAAAAAAAGAAAATTTCAGGCCAGTATCCCTGATGAACATTGATGCAAAAATCCTCAATAAAATACTGGCAAACCAAATCCAGCAGCACATCAAAAAGCTTATCCACCACAATCAAGTCAGCTTCATCCCTGGATGCAAGACTGGTTCCACATATGCAAATCAACAAATGTAATCCATCACATGAACAGAACCAATGACAAAAACCACATGATTATCTCAATAGATGCAGAAAAGGCATTTGACAAAATTCGACACCCCTTCATGCTAAAAATTCTCAATAAACTAGGTATTGATGGAACATATCTCAAAATAACAAGAGCTACTTATAGAAACTCACAGCCAATATCATACTGAATGGGCAAAAACTGGAAGCATTCCCTCTGAAAACCAGCACAAGACAAGGATGCCCTCTCTCACCATGCCTATTCAACCTAGTATTGCAAGTTCCGGCCGGGGCAATCAGGCAAAAGAAAGAAATAAAGGTATTCAAATAGGAAGAGAGGAAATCAAACTGTCTCTGTTTGCAGATGACATGATTGTATATTTAGAAAACCCCATCGTCTCAAGCCCAAAATCTCCTTATGCTGATAAGCAACTTCAGCAAAGTCTCAGGATACAAAATTAATGTGCAAAAATCATAAGCATTCCTATACACGAATAATAGACAAACAGAGAGCCAAATCATGAGTGAACTCCCATTCAAAATTTCTACAAAAAGAATAAAATACCTAGGAATACAACTTACAAGGGATATGAAGGACCTCTTCAAGGAGAACTACAAACCACTGCTCAAGGAAATAAGAGGGGACACAAACAAATGGAAAAACATTCCATGCTCATGGATAGGAAGAATCAGTATCATGAAAATAGCCATACTGCCCAAAGTAATTTATAGATTCAATGCTAACCCCATCAAGCTACCGTCAACTTTCTTCACAGAATTAGAAAAAACTACTTTAAATTTCATATAGAACCAAAAAAGAGCCTGTAAGCTGAGACAATCCTAGGCAAAAAGAACAAAGCTGGAAGCATCACCCTACCTGACTTCAAACTATACTACAAGGCTACAGGAACAAAAACAGCATGGTACTGGTACCAAAACAGATATATAGACCAATGGGACAGAACAGAGGCCTCAGAAATAACACCACAAATCTACAACCAGCTGATCTTTGACAAACCTGACAAAAACAAGCAATGGGGAAAGGATTCCCTATTTAATAAATGGCGTTGGGAAAACTGGCTAGCCATATGCAAAAAAACTGAAACTGGACCTTTTTCTTACACCTTATACAAAAATTAACTCAAGATGGATTAAAGACTTAAACATAAGACCTAAAACCATAAAAACCCTAGAAGAAAACCTAGGCAATACCACTCAGGACATAGGCATGGGCAAAAACTTCATGACTAAAACACCAAAAGCAATGGCACAGGAGCCAAAATTGACAAATGGGATCTAATTAAACTAAAGAGCTTCTGCACAGCAAAAGAAACTGTCATCAGAATGATGAGGCAACCTACAGAACGGGAGAAAATTTTTGCATCTATCCATCTGACAAAGGACTAATATCCAGAATCTACAAAGAACTTGAACAAATTTACAGAAAAAAACAAAGAACCCCATAAAAAAGTGGGCAAAGGATATGAACAGACATTTCTCAAAAGAAGATATTTATGCAGCCAACAAACATATGAAAAAAAGCTCATCATCACTGGTCATTAGAGAAACGCAAATCAAAACCATAATGAGATACCATCTCATGCCAGTTAGAATGGTGATCTTAAAAAGTCAGGGAACAACAGATGCTGGAGAGGATGTGAAGAAATAGGAATGCTTTTACACTGTTGGTGGGAGCGTAAATTAGTTCAACAATTGTGGAAGACAGTGTGGTGATTCCTCAAGGATCTAGAACCAGAAATACCATTTGACCCAGCAATCCCATTACTGGGTATATACCCAAAGGATTATAAATCCTTCTACTATAAAGACACATGCACATGTATGTTTACTGCGGCACTGTTGACAATAGCAAAGACTTTGAACCAACCCAAATGCCCATCATTGATAGACTGGATAAAGAAAATGTATCACATATATACCATGGAATACTATGCAGCCATAAAAAGGATGAGTTCGTGTCCTTTGCAGGGACATAGATGAAGCTGGAAACCATCTTCTCAGCAAACTAACACAAGAACAGAAAACCAAACACCACACATTCTCACTCATAAGTGGGAGTTGAACAATGAGAACACATGGACATAGGGAGGGGAACATTACACACTGGGGCCTGTCAGGGGATGGGGGGCTAGGGGAAGGATAGCATTAGGAGAAATATCTAATGTAGATGACAGGTTGATGGGTACAGCAAACCACCATGGCATGTGTATACCTATGTAAAAAACCTGCACGTTCTGCACACGTACCCCAGAACTTAAAGCATAATTTTAAAAATTTTTTGAAGTAGACTGTGATAAGTTAAGATGCATATTGAAATCTCTATAACAATCATTAAGAAAATAACCAAAAATATAGAAAAAAATCGGTGAAATTAAAATGGTACACTAAATAATATTCACTTAACATGAAGGAAAGCAGTCAAGGAAAAACAGAGAAATAAAAAAGACAGGAGACAGAAAACAATAGTGAAATGGCCAATCTAAGTCTAACCATATTAATAGTTACATTAAGCAAATGATTTAACTACCCAAATATAAAGGCACAGATGGTTAGACTGCATTAAAAAAGTGAGATCTAACTATAAACTGTTGATAAGAGACAAAGTTTAGAGTTAAAGACACAAATTAGTTGAAAGCAAAGGGATGGAAAAAGATCCATACTGTACAATAATAACTATACAAAGCCACAGTGGCTACATTAATATCAGACAAAATAGACTTCAGGCTAAAAAAATATTGCTAGAGACAAAAAGGACATGTTAGAATGAAAAAATTAAGTACATCAGAAAGATATAACTGCCTCACTTTTAAAATTATAAACATATAGACATCTAATAAGAGCCTCAAAATGAAGGAAAAACTAATAAAATTGAAAGAAAAAATAGACAATTCAACAATAATAATTGGAGACAAAGAAGGACATTTTTATGATAATAGATGGATCATTCTATCAGGAACATGTAACTGTAAACATATTTTTTCCAACAACAGAGCCCTAAAATACACAAACCTTAACTGACGGAAATGAAGAGAGAAATGGGCAATTCAACAATAGTTGGACTTAAAACTCCACTTTTAATCATGGATAGAACACTCAGGAAGGAGATTAACAAGGAAATAGCAGACATGAACAACCAACTGGATCTAACAGACATCTATAGAACACTCCACCCAACAACAGCAGACTATACATTCCTCTCAAGTGCACACGGGACATTTTTCAGGATAAACTATATGTTAGGCCACAAGCAAGTCCCAATACATTTTTAAAATTGAAGCCATACAAAATATGTTCCCTAACCACAAAGAAATTAAATTAGAAATCAACAACAGAAAGAAACCTGGGAAATCCTCAACTATTTGGAAACTCACACACTTCCAAATAACCCATGAGTGCAAAATAAATAATGAAGAAAGTTAGAAAATATTTTGACCTAATTTTTTTAATATCAGAATTTATGGGATGCACTAAACTAGTGTTTAGCAGGACATTTAAACTTTCCATCTTAAGAAACTAGAAAATGAAGAGTATGCTAAATGCAAAGAAAACAGAAGAAAGCAAGTAACAAAGGTTAGAACAGAAATCAATAAGAAATAAACAGTAGAGTAAATCAATAAAACCAAAATTTGGTTCTTTGAAAAGATTAATTAAATTGATGAACCTTCAGCTAGACTGACCCGGAAAAAAAGACAGAAGGCACAAATCACCAAAATCAGGAATTAAAGAGGAGACATCCCTACTTACCCTGAAATGGATTATAAGAAAATGTTATAAGCAACTTTATACCAACAAATTAGACAACTTAGAGGAAATAGGCAAATTTCCAACAGACACAAATAAACAAAATTGATTAAAGAAAAAATAGAAAATCTGAATACAACTATAATAAAGAAATTGAATTAAGAATGAAAATCTTCACACAGGACAAGATGGAGTAGTTGCAATTTGGCCTATTCTTCTCTTAACTACAGCTTAAAAACCTCATTTCATATGTAAAACAATGGTAAGACGCCAGAAAGTGGAGAGAAGAGAGCAGACAGCTAAAGACCTTGAGACCCAAGAAGCAACATTAACAGTGTGCTCCCTGAAGTGTCCTTTTGCCTCCTAGATCTCGGACTGTGTGCTAGAAAAACCAGAAACACCAATGGTTATAGAAATTTTAAAGTCCTACTTAAAGCCTGATTTCTGTAGCCAAAGGACCAGGAAAGAAGCAACCTAGCCAGACAGAAAATTTTAAGAAAATAACTGCCCTCCAAACAGCCCTATTCCTACATGGCAAAACAAAAAACAAAAAAACCTGTGTACTCAGCCCCACTCTTATCAGCAAAAGTTGAGTAGGGAGCCAGGACATTTGTCCCCACCCAGTAATAATAAGTTGTCCCTCCTTCTCCCCTCTGGGTGTTGTCAGAGAAGGCCAAGTGGAAAACAAGATTTTCACCATTGCCTAGTGGTAATGAGAAACCTGCCCCATTATGTCAGTGGAAGCCACATGAGAGGTAACAAAGTGTCCCTCTCCCTCAAAGCCATATTGTGTCGGCAGAGGCCTACTGAGGACTTTCCGCGCCCAGCAGTAACAAACTGTCAGCTCTGGGGGATGTCCATGGAGGCCTATTAAAAAACCTGGACCGGCCGGGCACAGTGGCTTATGCCTGTAACCCCAGCACTTTGGGAGGCCGAGGTGGGCAGATAACAAAGTCAGGAGATGGAGACCTTCTTGGCCAACGTGGTGAAACCACGTCTCTTCTAAAATACAAAAAATTAGCCAGGCATGGTGGCACATGCCTGTAACCCCAGCTACTTGGGAGGCTGGGGCAGGGGAATCGCTTGAATCCGGGAGGCGGAGGTTGCAGTGAGCTGAGATTGCACCACTGCACTCCAGCCTGGCAACAGAGCAAGACTCTGTCTCAAAAAAAAAAAAAAAAAAAAGCAACAACAACAAAAAAACCTAGACCTCCACTCCTAATTGAAGATTCAGAGCTTCTTAATGTATCACACAAAATGTTCAGGATACAATCACACCAAGAACCAAGAAAAACTCAACTAGAATGAGAAAAGACATTAACAAATGCCAACACTAAGATGACACAGAAATTAGAATGATCTGACAAGGATTTTAAAGCAGCCATCATAAAAATTCTTCCACTAGCAATTATAAGCATACTTGAAACAAGTGAAAAAATAGAAAATTTCAACAAAGAAATAGAAGACATATAGAAGGACAAAATGGAAATCTTATAACTGGAAAATACATAACTGAATTAAAAACTCAATGGATAGGTTCAACAGCAGAATGGAGGGAGTAAAGGAAAGAATCCATGAACTTGAAGATAGAGCAATAGACATTGCCTTATCTGCATAAAGAAAGAAAATAAACAGAAAAAAAAAAAACAGCAGAGCCTCTGCAACCTATGGGACTATCAAAAAAAAAAAAAAAAAAAAAAAAAAAAAAAAAAAAAAAAAAAACTAACATGTCATCAAAGTCCCCAGAGGAGAGGAAAAAGTGTGAGGATGAAAAAGTATCCAAAGAAATAATGACTGAAAATACTCAAGAGCTGAGCTGATGCCAGATAAGATACACTCAAAGATATCCACACCAAGACATACCACAATTAAACTCCTGAAAACAAAAGACAAAGAAAAAATCTTGAAAGCTGTGAGAGAAATATGACACTTTCCTATGTGAGAAAACCATTCAGATGACAGTAGATTTCTCATCAGAAACCATAGAGACCAGAAGAAATTGGCATGACATTTTTCAAAGTGCTGAAAGAACAGAACACTTAACTCAGAATCCTATACCAAACAAAATTATTCTTCAGAAACGAAGAGAAAATCAAGATATTCTTAGATGAAGTAAAACTAAGAGATTGTCACCAGCAGACCTAACCTAAAATAATGGCTAAAGGAAGTTCTTGAAAGAGAAAATAAGTAATTTAAAAAAAGGAATTTTGGAACATCAAGAAGGAAAAGAAAGAATGAAAGTATGGGTAAATACAGTAGATGTTCTTTCTCCTCTTGAGTTTTCAAAATTTTGTTGGAGTCACAAAACTTTTAAAATTATCTGATGTAGTTCTCAATGTATGCAGAGCAAATATTTAAGACAAATTATAAATGAGAGAGGGCAAAGGAATGTGAAGAGAGATAGGTTTCTGCACTTTACTCAAGTTGGTAAAATGTCAATACTTAGTAGGCTCTGATAAGTTATGTATGTACCATATAATATCTATAGTAACCACAAAAAATCTATACAAAGAGATACACACAAATACACTGTAGATAAATCAAAATGTGATTCTAATAATTGTCTAAGTAACCACAGGAAATGAGGGAAAAAATGGAGAAATAGAAACAGAGGGAAAAAACGAAAAGCAAATGGCAGACATAGCCCTTACCAGGCAAAAATTAATTACATTAAATTTAAATGTCATTATATTAAATGTAAATTACAGATTGGCAGGGTAGATACTAATATGATCCTATATGCATACAGCTATATGCTTTCTACAAGAAACAGATTTACCTAACACATACAACATTGCATCTACAAGTACAAAATGTTTGTTTTTTTCAAACACAGATGGAGCATTGATAAAAAAATTGATCATATCTTAAGCTGCAGAGCAACTTTTAACACAGGTCAAAGATTTGAAATCACCTAGAATACATTCTGTCACCAAAATACAATTAAGGTAGAAATCAATAATTTGGGAGGGAGGCAGGGGGTAATATATTTCTACCTTAATTGTATTGTAAATTATCACTTTTTTTGAAATTAAAAAATACACTTGAAAATAACCAATAGATCAAAGAAGGAATCACAATAAAATTCGAAAATATATTTAAGTGAAAGGTAATGAAAATGCTACATATCAAAACTTTTGGCTAAAGCTAATGCAATGATTAATGGCTAATTTAATACTTCTAGTATTTGAAAAGAAGAAAGGCTGAGAAATCAGTGACCCATCACAAGAAGTTAGAAAAGGATAACAAAATAAACCCAAAGAAAGTAAGAGAAGGAAAATAATAAATACCAGAAATTAATAAAACAGAAAACATAGCAAAGATGATCAATAATGCCAAAAGTTTATCTTTTTGAAAAAAGCAATAAGGTCAATAAACTCCTTACAAAACTGATCAAGAAAATGAGAGAGTAAATACACAAATTATTAATAATAGGAATTAAAAAGGAGATATTTCTATAGATCCTATAGACACTTAAAAAATGATGTTACAAACAATTTTATACCTATAAATTTGAAAATTAGGTAAAATGGACAAATTTTTCTTTAAAAGGCAATGTATCAAATGGTGACAAGAAGAAATAGAAATGTCATTTAACCATTTTCAAATTTTCATCTGTATTTAAATATTTTTCATGCAGAAAATAAATATACTGGCAAATTCTACAAAAACCATGGAGAAACAAAATAATTTTCTGCAAATTTTCCAGAAAATAGAAAAAGAGATAAACTCCCCCATTAGTTTTATGAGAGCAGTATAATGTTGATGTCCAAACCCTAGACTCAACAAGGGAATCATAAGAAAGAAAACTACAGCCCAATCTTATTTATGAACAAATAAGCAAAAATCTTAAAATAATAGTAATTAAAATTCAGTGATATGGTCTCTTTCACATGTTATTCTTTTCATATAAAAAAGTCTCTTTAAAAATGAAAATGATGCTTAGCTCCAGGGTCATACAAAAACAGGCTATCAGCAAGATTTGACCCACTAGTCATGGTTTGCCAACTCTTGACCTAAATAAAAGGAGATAAAAGCATGTTCAAGAGTTTACACCTAAGTAATCTAAAGAATCAATCAATGCAATTCCAATAAAAAATACAACAGGTTATTTTGTGAAAATTGATAAAATAATTCTAAATTTTGTACGAATATATAAGAGGCTAAGAATAGCCAAGTTCAATATAAAAATTGATCACAAAGTTTTTATAATTAACACAATGTGCTCTTGGCACAAGAATAGATAAATAGATCAGTACAGCAGCATACAAAGTTTAGAAACAGTCCCAGCCATATTTGAACATTTGAGTTATGACAAAGGAGACTCTTCTGGGCAATGGGGAAGGGATGGTCTCTTCAATACAGGAGAAAAAGGAAACCTGACCCCTACCTCACATCATATACAAAAATATAAATTCAGGAGAATCGTAGACCTAAATATGAAAGGTGAAGTAATGTAGCTTCTAAAAACTATTATGAGGCAATATCTTTGTGAGTTCTACTTCCTGCATGATAGTGTGAGATATCCTATGGACCACTCCCAGAGTAACTGGTGAAAAAAAAATTCTTAACAATCATTTAATGTATCTGGAAGTAATTCTAAGGGTGTACAGCTAATTAATAAACATTTATTTTTTCAAATATACTAAAATTCAGGAAGAACAGCAAGAGTCTGTTGTGTTTAAACCCACAGTAACTGATACAACAAAAAGACAAAAAAATCACTTTATTCCTCCTCTCATCCAGCTCAGTGAGACAGAAACTTTACTCCATATGGGTACAGCCAAGAACACAGGGTTTCCTCTCCTTCCAGCTCCTAGTCAGGAGCTAGCTTCCCGAGAGGCGCACAATGTCAGCATTTCTCATCCTGTTCGCAGCTGCCTGTTGCTGATTCTATGTTCCAGGCAAGTTCAGCCAGGCAGTGAGGGCTCCCTTCTTCTATCCGGCCCAACTCATGGCATGGAGGTTCTACCTTGGGCACAGATCCACAGAGACTACTGGAGACCCAATCACTCTTGCCCCACTGATGGAGCAAGGATTCCATACAGAGAGGCAAGCTGAGGAGACCTGAGGCTGTTTCCCCTATACACTGAGCACTCAATTCCTAAATCTGGTGTGTCATTCAGAGAAAAGTTTACCATTGCCACACTTCCAGCACTAGAGCTTTGCTTCAGAGATTTTTGCCTGGAGGAAGAAGCAGACCATAGAAGAGAGAGCTCTAAATTTCTCCCCAAAGGAACTGACTTCATTTGCAACCAAATGTGGACAAGTTTAAGCCTAAGACCCCTCTCAAAAACATTGCAGGTTGTGGTGAAAGGCAACTGGGAGGAAATTGATGGGTTCATTGGAGATATAGGCTAAACCATAAACAGCTATTTTACTGGAGAGAATCAAGGAAAGAGACAGCTGGAAAGAGTCCTCCTGGGGGTCACAACAGATCTCAAACACTGACCTCAGGAACTATCTGCTCAAAGGAGTCTGGCTTTGATGGGATCAGTCTTTAAAGAAATATATGTAGTGTTGAAAACAATAGGGCAATCAGCCACCAATTAGTGGAACTTAACAGATGAGTGTGGTCAGAGAAAGATAAAATTAAAGACAGCCCTGCAAAAACCACTGTCATCTCAGGGTGACTGTGGGCATACCCAAGGATGTACCCTCTAAGAGCAATACCAGAGCCTTCATGCAGGAAAATCAACTTAACTAAAATAATCCAGCAAGTCACAAAAAAGTAAACAAGTAAATAAGTTCCAGAAGGAAGGACTAATTTATCCAGAGTTGCTACATTATTTACAATGTCTACTTTTCAACAACAAAAAACTTAAGAGACATACAAAGAAACAAGAAAGTATGACTCATACACCAGGAGGTAAAAAAGCAAGCAAAAGAAACTGCCTGTGAGAGAAATCATATGTTGGATTTAACACACAAAGACTTAAAAGTGGTAATTGTAAATATGTTCAAATAACTTTAAGGAAATCATGATTAAAGGAGTAAAGGAACATATGATGACAAAGCCACATTAAGTGGAGATATTAATAAACAGATAGAAATTATTTTTTAAAATAATCGAATGGAAATCGGGAGTTAAAAGTACAATAACTGAGATTTTCAAAAAATTAACTAGAGGAGCTCAACAGTGTATTTGACCTGGCAGAAGAATTAGTGAAATTGAAGAAAAGTTGATAGAGCTTATGAAATCTAAGAGCAGAGAGAAAAAAATGATGAAAAATGAACAGAGCCTGAGAGAAATGTGGCACATCATTAAGCACAACAAATACATGTAGTGGGAGTATTAGAAGGAAAGAAGAAGGAGAAAGAATCAGAAAAGATATTAAAAGAATTAATGGCTGAAAGCAACCCAAATTTACTGAAAAACATTAATCTATACATCTAGGAATCTCAATGAACTCTGAGTAGAATAAACACAAAGAGATCCACAAACAGACAAATCAGAGTAAAAATGTTGAAACCCAAAGACAAGAAGAAAACCTCAAAAGCAATGAAAGAAAAATGACTCAGTTTACAAGAGAATCCTGATAAGATTAACAATGAACTTCTCATCAGGAATAATGGAAGTCAGAAGGCAATGGGATAACATATTCAGAGTGCTCAAAGAAAAAAACTGTCAACTAAACATCCTAGATCCAGCATAGCTGTCTTTTGAAAATGATGGTTAATTCAAGACATTACAAGATAAACAAAACTAGGATAATTTATTTACTAGCAGATCAGCCTTAACAACAGATACTAAAGGAAGTTCTTCAGACTGAAAACAAATGACCCCTGATGATTATTTGATTCCACATGAAAAAAAGCAATTATGCAAGTATAAAAGGCACTACAAATGCGTACTTTTTCCTTCCATTAATTGATTTAAAAAGTAATTATATGAAGCAATTTGCATATAATGTATTATTGGCCCTATCATACAGACATATAATATATTTACCAATTACAGCACAAGGAGATGTGTGAGAGAAAAGCTGTACTGGGATAAGAAAATGACTCCAGATGGTAACCCAAATCCACAAGAACCAATGAAGACAACCAGAAATGCCCACCAGAAGGGTAACATAACAAAAGCTATACGATATACTTGTTCTTCTTTCTACTCTTAGCTTCTTCAAAAATATAAAATTGTATAGAATAATAATTTTATAATAATGAACTATTGTGTTTGTACTATTTATAGATGCAATATGTGTAACAACAATATCACTAAAATAAAGGGAGAAATAGAGCTGCATTGAAGTAATATTTCAATTTCTAACTGAATTTAAGGTAATATAAATCTAAAAGTGATTCTGAAAATTTAAGATGATATATTGTCTTCAAAAATATAAAATTACATAAAATAATAATTCTATAATAATGTATTATTTTGTTTGTAATATTTATAGATATGTATAACAATATCACTAAAAGAAAGGGAGGAATAGAGCTGCATTGAAGTAATATTTCAATTTCTAGCTGAATTTAAGTTAATATAAATCTAAAGCTGATTCTGAAAATGTAAGACGTATAGGGAAAGCCCTAGAGCAATCATTAAGAAAATAACTAAAAAATATGTAGTAAAAATAATTAAAGAGGTATACATGCTACATTTTAAAAATCACTTAATAGGAAATAAAGTAATAATGACAGAGGAACAGAAAAGACATGAGAAAACAAAAAGTAAAATGGTGGAATGGTGGATGTTAATTCAATGACATCAATAATACCATTAATGTGACTGGATTAAACAATCCAATCAAAAGGCAGAGATTTCCAGACTGGATTTAAAAAAAAAAAAAAAAAAAAAAAACACCAAGATCCAACTATATGCTGTCTATAAGAAATACTCTTTAGATCAGGAAGATATAACAATTATAAACATATGTGCAGCCAACACCAGAGCCCCAGTGTACATGAAGGAAAAACTGACAGAATTGAAGGGAAAAATAATTCAACAATAGAATTAGATATTCTAATTCTAGAATATCTAATCTAGAAAGATAGTTCAACAATAATAATTATAAATTACAATATCTTATTTTTAATAATGTACACAAAAAATTGGCAAAAGATCAAAAAGGAAACAAATGACTTTAACAATACTATAAACCAACTAGCCCTAACAGGCTTCTATCAAACACTCTACCCGGCCAGGTGCAGTGGCTCACGCCTGTAACCCTAGCACTTTGGGAGGCTGAGGCGGGCAGATCACAAGGTCAAGATATGGAGACCATCCTGGTCAACATGGTGAAACCCCGTCTCTACTAAGAATACAAAAATTAGCTGGGCATGGTGGTGCATGACTGTAGTCCCGCCTGTAGTCCCAGCTACCTGGGAGGCTGAGGCAGGAGAATCGCTTGAACCCAGGAGGTGGAGGCTGCAGTGAGCCAAGATCACACCACTGCACTCCAGCTTGGCAACAGAGTGAGACTCCGTCTCAAAAAGCAAAACAAAACAATACACTCTACCCAACAACAGCAGAATATGCGTTCAAGGGTACATGGAACATTCTCCAGGATAGACTGTATCTTAGGCCACAAAATAAACACCAATACGTTTAAAAGGACAGAAATCATAGAACGTATGTTCTCTAACCATAAAAGAATAAAATTGGTTAACATTAACAGAAAGAAATTTTGGAAACTCACAAATATGTGGCTATTAAACAACACACTTTAATGAATCAAAAGAGAAATCACAGGGGAAATTAGAAAATACTTTTAATGAAATGAAAATATTTAAAATGAATGAAAATTAAGACACAGCATCACAAAATTTATGAGATACAGTTAAATCAGTGGTTAGAAGGAAATTTATAGTTGTAAGTTCCTAGGTTCAAAAATGAGAAAGATCTCAAATTAATTATCTAAGTTCCACCTTCAAGACAGTGAAAAATGAAAAGCAAACTAAATTTAAAGCAAGCTGAAGGAAGGACATCATAAAGATTAATTAAAGGAAATTAATGAAATAGAAAATAGAAAAACAAAAGAGAAAATCAATGAAACCAAAAGCTGAAAAAAAGATTAACAGAATGTATAAGATTGACCAAGAAAAAGTATATAAGACTCAAATTATTAAAATCAGAAATTAAAGAGGGGACATTACTACCAACCTTAAAGAAATAAAATGGAATATTAAAGAAATAAAATGGAATACTACGAACAATTGTATGCCAACAAATTAGATAATCTAGATGAAATTGTAGAGGTTCACTAAATGAAAATTTGGGGTTGGGGAGGGGGCTGAGGAGGAGCAGGGATTGGGCACATTTGTTTCCAAACAAAGCCCATTTGCCTAGTCCAGGGGCTGTAGATAGGGTCCTGGGAACCTGAGGTGTTGCCCAGGCTCTGCACCAACTAGCTGCATCATTTTAAGTCCTCCACCCTTTCTGAGCCTCAGTTTACCCGTCTTTAAAGTGCCAGGGTTGTTGGACTAGATGAGGGTTTCCCAAAGTGTGGACTTACACCACTGTTGGAATGGCAATGCTGCTATACACCAGGACCAGGATGAGGAGAGGCATTTCCTGTCCAAATCTTTTTAGTCCTTTTGATTACTTCCCGGCCAAAGTGTCAGCTTGGTGTTGGGTGTCCTCAGTGTGCCATCAACAGTTGCTAGTCCCTCTGGAACTAGGGAGTAGAGGTCAGACCTTGAGCTCAGGGGCTCCCCAGACAACAGGACCCCACTGGAACGTAATGGTCTTGCTCCATCACCATGTGCTATTGTCATAGCTACCTTCTGTTTACAGAAGGTGGTGGTGTATTTTTTCATTTACACTCACTTAAGTAGAGAAGTTAAAAATACTAAGTGAGAAAAGCGTGTTGTAGGGCAGTGTGCATTGCATACTAAAAATTGTCTTTGAATTGGAAAAATATATCAAATACATATAGTTCATATTCGTTGATGTAAAATAATAATCATGGCTTTGGGGGAGGGGCCGGGGTGGGAGACAGGATGGGAGGCAGACTCCCCTGAAAGCACTTACTAAACTTTTGATTTCTGAACCATGTGAGCACAGCTCAGATCCAAACAAAAATTAAATGTAAAAATAAATTAAAAATTAAGACAACCATGAAATAAATTATAGTAATGCTCACTCATAAGGCAAAAATCTCAAAGGTGGCACCCAACTGACTGAGACTGGGGAGACGCCGGGCTGGCTGGGGGCTGTAGTCCCCTCCATCTCTGGCTGTGGTGGTGGGGCCGCATTCCCGGGCACAAGGCCCACTCCCCACCCTCCACTGCCGCCTGGTTCCCAGCGGGTGCCCGGGCACAGCTCCCTCAGCCTGTAGGACTCCTATCAGTGCACAATGTCCTGTCTGTTTCTGGTGCCTGGTCAGGTTGGGCCTGCCCACACCAGACATGCCCTTCAGACTCTAGAGGCCCCCACCTCACAGCAAACCCTGGGCTGGGACTTTGGCCTGAAGATAGGAGCTGGCTGGAGTCAGTGTTCTTTGTGGGGACCTCCCCTTCCAGGACAGGCTGCCTCCTCCCTAAGTTGGTTTTCTTGTGTTTCCCCTAGAAGATAATAACAAACAGCACAGCTCTTCCGTGCACTGCTCTAAGCATCCATCTTATATTCACTCACTTCATCTGCACAGCAGCTCCAAGAGGGAGTTCCCATTATCATCATCATCTTCTTCATCACCCCATTTTCCAGGTGAGCACATAGAGGCAGGCTAAATACCTTGCTCGGAGGCCACACATCTGAAAAGGCAGGGTCTGGATTTGAACCCAGGCCCCCTAACCCTGAATCCACCACAGAGCTGGGTACAGAGCCAAGGCTCTACAAGGCCCTTGAGTCTCAGCCCTTGGAGTTCCAGCTGGGGCACCACAGCCCAGAGAGGGAAGGACAATGCACAAAGTCACACAGCCAGGAGGCCAGATCCAGCCCTGCATGGTGGAATCCCTTGGAAAAGGCTGCCCCATCCACATGGATGTATTTGGTTGGTGCAAAAATAATTGCAGTTTTTGCCATTACTTTAATAGCAAAAACCACAATTACTTTGTACCAACCTAATAATTTGTGCACCTGTTTTCTTGAGAGAGAGAGAGAGAGCGTGCGTGTCTGAGTCTAGTGAGCCTACCTAGCAGGTTCTGCTGCCAACAGTCCACTCCCCCACCCCACCCACAGCCCCTGCCCTCATAGCCAGGCCCCCTCCCCGCATTGTTCCCATCTCACCTAAAAGAACATGCACATTTTTCTGCGGAAGACACACCTCTTTCCTTGCTGCAATCCAAGGAGGGCGAGGGGACTGAAAATAAATTTAAAAAACACACACACACAGGCAGGCCAGAGATTCAGATCGGACAGATGTTCTTAAGAGACCCAGTCGGGCAGCGGAAGAGGCTAAGGTTGAGGATCAGTTGGACAGATTGGGTCTCAGAGCCTGTTTTGTCATCAGTAAACAGGGTTCCCAGCATGTCTTTTGCATATCTATTGTCAGGGTTAAACAAGATTTATGTAAAATGGCCTAGCTCAGTGCCCAATCCAGAGTAGGTGCTAATATGCATGCATTTCTTTTCTCTGTGCCTCAGTTTCATCATCTGCAAAGTGGGGATAATAACAACCTTCTTTTTGAGGTTTTCAGGAGGATTAAATGGATTAATAATTGTCAAGCTCATGAGAGGTGCCATGTAATCTGTGTGACCAAATGTCTGGATTTGCACCTGTCATCCTGGGGTAGCTGTTAATCATGCCCCTGTTCATTCCCAAAATGCCCTAGCTTGGAGCAAAAACTATTTATGCCCTGAGTCAAACCATTGGCCAAACGAAGAGTGAATACAGAAGAGAACGTGGTCGCCAAAGCCACATCCCCCCATGCTGCTCATCTGCACAGGCCCTTGTCACCCCAGCCTATCCCTGTGTCTCTCCCAGGGCAGGGCTGCCCCTCACAGAGGATCAGGATCCTGAGAGGGTCAGGGGAGGACTCTGGGGCTGAGCAGCCTCATTGTCACTTCCCATTTTCACCAGGGTTAAATTGCAGAGATGGTTTCTCAGGCCACTCACTGCCCTCCCAGGTCCTGCAGTTCCCCGCTTCTGTCTCTTAGGCTGTCATTCCATCTTTTGCCTGGCTCCCATACCCAAGGATAAGGCAGACCCAGTGTTATGTCTCTGGCTGGGCTCACTCTGGTTTCTTCTTGCCTCAGGCCTGCACATATTTCCATTGCCTCTCTGGTTGGTGGACTCCTAAGCATCCTTCAAAGGCCAGATCAAATGACCCCTCCCAAAAAAAAGCCTTCCTCTTTCCTCCTGGCAGATAATCGCTCCCTTCTCTGGGCCTTTCTCTGGGCTGGGCTCCCTCGCTGCTCTGAGATCCACCACTTCCTAAGGAGAGTCGCCTAACCTCTCTGTCCCTCTGTTTCCTCATCTGTGAAATGGAAATGAACATAACAAGATCTTCTTCCTAGGGCTGCTGTGAGAATTATATAAGCTGGTACATGTGAAGTACTTAGAAGCGTGCCTGGGGCATGGTGAGCACATAACTTGTTATTATTACACTCTATTAACTATCGTGATAGTAATCATCCTCACTATCACCCTCACAGCCCACCTCACACTGTCATTGGTGGTTTTCCTGTCTGTCTCGCTTATGAATTGGGGAGTACATACAAGGATAGAGGCTGTGACCATCTCTGGATTCTCAGCCTGCAGCCCTGAGTTGGGCAGAAAATAGATCCAAATGAATGAGTTCATGAATAATCAGATCCCAGTCACCGGATCCCTGGTCCTCCCTTTGAAAGGGATGTCACTGATAGGCCAGCCTGCTGTGGGAACCTGGGTTCTCTTGCAAAGCCGGGCCTGCCTCAGGAGCTCTTAGTTTTCCAACTAGGAACATGGACCATGAGCAGTGACCTATTGAGCAACAAACCGCCCCCAAATGGGGCAACCTAAAACACTGATTTACCATTACTTTCTATTCTGTTAGTCAGCAAATACAGGTAGGTTTCTGGCTGGTCTTGCCTGGACTCACCCATGAAGCTCCATTCAGCTGGGCTGAAAATTTCAAGACACAATGGGTGTTAGCTGTCTTCTGGAGTGACAGTTCCTCTCCCATGGCCCCCACCCCAAAGGCCAACCAGGATCCTCACACAGGGGCCCCCTCAGTTCCTTCCACGTGACCCCCACAATGGGAAACCAACCTCCTCACATGGTCCCCAAACCCAATAGTAGACCAGCCCCCTCACATGGGAGTCCCCACAGTTCCCTCCAAGTGTCCCCCCAATGGTAGACCAGCCCCCTCACATGGTGGTCCCCTCAGTTCCCACCACATGGCCCCCCAATGTAGAGGTCTCCTCAGTTCCCTCCACGTGGCCTCCCAGTGGCAGATGAGCCTCCTCACAAGGCAGGGGTCCCCTCAGTTCCCTCCATGTAACCCTGTCAATGGTAGACCAGCCTCTTCACACAGGAGTACCCTCAGTTCCCTTTGTGTGTCCCAACCCCAGTGGTAGACTAGCCTCCTCACATTAGGGTCCCCACAGATTCCTACACGTGCCCCTCCACCTCCAGTGGTGGACCAGCCTTCTCACATAGGGACCCACTCAGTTCCCTCCACGTGGTCCCATCAATGGTAGACCAGCCTCCTCACACAAGAATCCCTTCAGTTTCCTTCCCAAGCCTCCACCCCAAAGGCAGACCAGATGACTCACTGGCCCCCACCACCTCAGTTCTCTCCATGTGCCCACCCCAGTGGAAAAACAGCCTCCACACACAAGGGTCACCTCAGTTGCCTCCACATGACCACTCAATGGTAAACCAGCCTACTCACACAAGGGTCCCCTCACTTTCTTCCATGTGCCTCCACCAGTAGACAAGCCTTCTCACACGGAGGTCCCTTCAGTTCCCTCCACCTTGGGCCCCTCAATAGTAGACCAGTCTCCTCAGATTGGGACCCCCTCAGTTCCCTAAATGTTTCCCCACCCAAATGATAGACCAGCCTCCTCAAACAGGGTGCCCATCAGTTCCCTCCACATAGCCCCATCAATGGCAGACCAGCCTCCTCACACTGGTACCCTCAGTTCCCTTTTTGTCCCCCAACCCCAATGGTAGACTAGCCTCCTCACATTGGGGTCTCCACAGATTCCTACACATGGCCCGCTCAAAGGTGGACCAGCCTCCACACAGTTCCCTCCGCAGCCCCCCATGAATGGTAGACCAGCTGCCTCACATGGGGGTCCAAGTTCCCTTTACATGCCACCACTAATGGTAGACTAGCCTCCTCACACAAGGGTCCCATTAGTTCCCGTCCATGTGGACACTTAATGGTAGACCAGACTCCTCATATAGGGGTCCCCTCGGTTTTCTCCATGTGCCCCCCCAGTGATAGACCAGTCTCCTCACACATGGGTCCCCTCTCTTCCCCTCCATGTGGCCCCCTCAATAAAAGATGGGTCTCTTCAAATGGCGGTCCCCTGACTTCCCTCCATGTGGCCCCCTCAATAAAAGATGGGTCTCTTCAAATGGGGGTCCCCTGACTTCCCTCCATGTGGCCCCTGCAACGGTAGACCAGCCTCCTCACATGGGTTTCCCCTCAGTTCTCCTCCATGTGGCCCTCTCAGTGGTAGACCAGCTTCCCCATATGGTGGTCCCTAACTTCCCTACACATGCCCCACACCACAGTGGTAAACCAACCTCATCACACAGGAGTCCCCTCGGTTACCTCCCAACCAAATAGTAGACAAGCCCCCTCAAATCAGGTACCCTCAGTTTTCTTAATGTGGCCCCCTCAATGGTAGACCAGCCTCCTCATACGGGGGTTCCCTCGGTTTCCCTCCATGTGACCCCCTCAACAAAAGACCACTCTCCTCACAGAAGCATCCCCTCAGTTCCCTTCACGTGCTCCCACCCCAATAATAGACAAGTGTCCTTACATGGGTGTCCCCTCCAGTTCCTCCAAAAGCCCCCACCACAAAGGTAGACCAGCCTTCTCACATAAGGGTCCACTCAGTTCCTTCCATGTGCCCCCACCCCAGTGTTAGATGAGCCTCCCCAGATGGGGGTTCTATCAATACAGCCTTCCCAATGGTAAACCACCCTCCTCACATGAGGAGGTTCCCTCAGTTCCCTCCATATGCCCCCACACCAATGGTATACTAGCCTCCTCACACGAGGGTTTCCTCTCTTCTTTCTACTCGGCCACCTCAAGGGCAGACCAGCCTCCTCACACAGACTACCCTCCACAGGTCCCCCTCAATTGTAGACCAGCCTCCTCAGATGAATGTCTTCTCAGTTTCTGTCATGTGCCCCACCATGGAAGACCAGTTGCCTCACATGGGGGTCCTCTCAGTTTCCTCCAGGTGGTCCGCCAATGGTAGATCAGCCTCCTCACACAGGGGTTTCCTCAGTTTCCTCCACGTGTCCCCACCGCTATGGTACACCAGCCTTCTCACATGGGTGTCTCCCCAGTTCCCTCCAAGTGCCCCCACCCCAATGGTAGACAAGCACCTCCACAAAGGGGTGCCCTCAATTTCCTCCAAGAACTCCCATTCCACTGGTATACTAGGCTCCTCACACAAGGATTTCCTCAGTGCCCTAGACGTGATTCCCCCATTGGTAGACCAGCCACCTCATATGGGGATCCCCTCAGTTCTCCCTAGGTGGCCTCCCAATGGTAGACCAGCCTCCTCACGTGAATGTTCCCTCAGTTCCCTCCACATAACCCCACCCAATAATAGACCAACCTTCTCAGATGGGAGTTCCCTCAGTTCCCTCCATGTGCCCCCACACCAGTGGTAGATCAGCCTCCTCATGTGTGGTTCCCATCAGTTTTCTCCACATGGTTCCCTCAATGGTAGGCCAGCCTCCTAATATGGGGGTCCTCTCAGTTCCCTTCATGATCCCCCACCCCAAAGGTAGTCAAGCCTCCTCACAAGGGGGTTCTCTCAGTTTCCTCCACATTCTCCCACCTCGATGGTAGACCAGCCTCCTCACATGGGTGTCCCCTCAGTTTCCTCCACTTAGCCCCCCAAATGGTAGACAGCCTTCTCAGATGGGGTCCCCTCAGTTTCCACCACGTGCCCCCACCACAATGGTAGACCAGACACCTCAAAGGGGGTGTCCATTCAATTTCCTCCACGTGGCCCCCCCAAAGGTATACCAGCCTCCTCACAACAAAGTCACCTCAGTTTTCTCCATGTGGTACCACCAGCCTGCTTATATGGCAACCCTCTCAGTTTTCTCCATGTGCCCTCTCAATGTTAGACCAGCCTCCTCACATTGGGGTCCCCTCAGTTTCCTCCACATGACCCCACCATAATGGTAGGCCAAACACTTCACATGAGAGCCTGTTCAGTTTTCTCCACTTGCCCCCATTCCCATGGAAGACCAGCCTCCTCACATGGTGATCTTCTCAGTTTCCTCCACGTGCCCCCTCAATGAAAGACCAGCCTCCTCACACAGAGATTCCCTCAGTTTGTCTTCTTATATCCCCACCCCAGTGGTAGACCAGGCTCCTCACACAAAGATCCACCCATTACCTCTCCAGGTGCCCCCACCTCAGTGGTAGAACAGCCTCCTCAAACGGGGGTTCCCTCAAATGTTAGATCAGCCTTCTCACTTGAAGTTTCCTGCAGTTTTCTCCACATGCCTCCACCCTAGTGGAGGCTCCACCCCAATGGTTAATCAGCCTCTTCACATGGGGGTCCCATCAGTTTTCTTCACGTGGCTCACTGAATAAAAATCAGCCTCCTCAAATGGGGGTCTTCTCAGTCCCCCCACCTCAATGGTAGACAAGCCTCCTCACATGGGATTTTCCTCATTTCCCTCCATGTGACCCAACCCCAGTGGTACACCGGCCTCCTTTCATGGGCATCTCCTTAGTTCCCTCAATATGCTTCCCCCAGTGGTAGACCAGACACTTAACACGTGGGTGCACTCAATTCCCTCCATGTGGCCTGTTCAAAGGTATATGAACTACCTCACGCAGGAGTTCCTTCAGTTTTCTTCTCAAGCCCCCGCAATGGTAGACCAACGTGCTCACAAGGGGTGGGGGAAGGGGTCGTTTCCCTTCACAAGCCCCTACCACAGTGATAGACAAGCCTCCCCACATAAAGGTCCCCTCAGTTCCCTCCACATGCTCCCATCACAGTGGTAGATCAGACTGTTCACATGGGGGTCCCCTCAGTTCCCTCCACATGCTCCCATCACAGTGGTAGATCAGACTCTTCACATGGGGGTCCCCTCAGTTCCCTCCCATGTGCTCACCCAATGGTAGACAAGCAGCTTCACTACCGAGTTTCCTCAGTTCTCTCCACATACCCCCCAATCGCAGTAGTAGACCAGCCTTCTTTCATGGGGTCCCCTCAGTTCCCTCCACGTGCTCCCAAGAATAATAGACCAGCCACCTCTCAAGGGGTTCCCCTCAGTTCACTTCATGTGGTTCACTCAAAGGTAGACCAGCCTTCTAAGACAAGGGTGCCCTCACTTTCCTCCATGTGGCCCTTTTAATGGTAGACAAGCCTCCTCACATGGGGATTCCCTCAGTTTCTCTTCACATGCCCCCAGCCCAATGGTAGACCAGCATCCTCACACAGGAGTCCCTCAGTTTCCTCCATGTGCCTCCACCACAATGGTGGACCAGATATCTCACAAGGGGGAAGTCCACTCCATTTCTTCCACATGCCCCCAACAATAGTAGACCAGCCACCTCACACAGATGTCTTAGTTCCTGTTCATGTGGACCCTTAATGGTAGACCAACCTCCTCAAATGCAGGTCCCCTCAGTTCCCTCCACATCCTCTTCCATGGTAGACCAGCCTCCTCACATGCTGATCCCCTCTATTCCCCTCCATGTGGCCCCCTCAATAATAGACCAGTCTCCTTACATAGTGGTCCCCACACTTCCCTCCTTGTGGCCGCTGCAAAGGTAGGCCACTTTCCTCACATGGGTTTCCTCTGTTTCCTTTCATGTAGCCCCCCTCAAAGGTAGACTAGCCTCCCCACACAAAGGTTCCCTTACTTCCTTTGAGGTGCCCCCAACCCCGTGGTAGACCACTCTTTTCAGTTCCCCTCAGTCCCTTCACACGCAGGTTTTCTCACTTATCTCTACAAGGCCCCAACCCAAATGGTAGACCAGACACCTCACACAGGGGATACCCCCAGTTTCCTCCATGTGCCCCCACCACAATGGTAGACTGGCCACCTCACATAGGGGTCCTCTCAGTTTCCTCTACATAGCCCACTGAGTGGTAGACAAGCCTCCTCACACAGGAATTTCTTCAGTTCCCTCAATGTGCCCTGCTCAGTGAAAAAGCAGCCCCCTTATATGGGGGTTCTCTGTTTTCTCCACATGCCCCCACCCCTATGGTAAACCAGTCTCTTCAGTTGGGTGTCCACTCAGTTCCCTCCACATCACCTCCATCCACAATAATAGAACAGCCTCCTAGCACAAGGGTCCTCTCAGTTTCCTTCACTCACTCCCAACCCAATGGTAGACCAGCCACCTCACAAGAGGGACCCCTCAGTTCCCTCCACGTGGCCCCATCAGTGGTGGACCAGCCTCATCACACAAGCATTCTCTCAGTTTCCTTCACATGGCCTTTTCAATGGTAGACCAGCCTCCTCACACGGGGGTCCCCTCAGTATCCTTGTGGCCCCCTCAATGGTAGACCAGCTTCCTCACCCAGGGTTTCCTCAGTTCCCTCCACGTGGTCCCCTCAATGATAGATCAGGCTCCTCACTCAGGGATCCTCTCAGTTTCCTACACATGACCCCCAGTGGTAGACCCACCTCCTCACACAGGGGTCTTTTTAGTTCCACTTCAAGTCCCCCCACCCCAATGGTAAATCAGTCTCCTCACACAAGGGTTTCCTCACTTCTATCCACATTCCCCATTCCTAATGGTAGGCCAGACTTCTTTCATTGGCATCCCCTCAGTTCCCTCCACATGCCCCCAACACCATGGTAAACCAGCCCTCTCACATGTAGGTCCCCTCAGTTCCATCCATGTGGCCCACTCAAAGGTATACAAGCCTCCTCACATGGGGGTCCCCTCAGTTATCACCACATGCCCCCATCCCAATGGTAGACCAGCCTCCCCACACAGGGGTCCCCTTAGTTCCCTCCACATATCCCCCTCAATGGTAGACCAGCCTCCTCACTTGGGCATCTTCTCAGTTCCCCTCACATGCACCCTCAATGGTAGATCAGACGCTTTACACAGGGGGATCCCCTCAGGTTCCCTCCACATTCTCTCACCCCAATTGTATACTAGCCACCTCACATGGGGGTTTTCTCAGTGCCCTAAGCATGATTACCTCAAAGGTAGACTAGACTCCTCACAAGGGGGTTCTCTGAGTTTCCTCCATGTGATCTCCAATGATAAACAGTCCTCCTCACAAGAAGGTTTCCTCCATTCCCTCCACATAACCACCCTCCAATGATAGACCAGCCTCCTCACAGGGGGGTTCCCTCGGTTACCTCCACGTGCCCCCACCACAAAGGTAAACCAGGCTCCTTACATAGGGATCCTCTCAGTTTTCCCCATGTGCCCCCACCACAGTGGTAGACCAGATGCCTCAAAAGGGGGTGCACTTACTTCCCTCCACATGGCTCCCCAAAGGTAGACCAGCCTCCTTACATGGGGATTTCCTCAGTTATGTCCACGTGGCCCCCTCCAATGGTAGACCAGCCTCTTCACACGAAGATCCACCCAGTTCCTCTCCACGTTTCCCCATCACAATGATAGAAAAGCCTCCTCACATGGGGCTCCCCTCAATTTCCTCCAGGTGCCCTCCACCCCAATAACAGACTGGCCTTACATGGGGGTCTTGTCAGTTTCCTCCTCATCCCCCTCCTCAGTGGTAGATCATCTGCCTCACATGAGGGGTTCCCTCAGTTCTCTTCATGTGCTCCAACTTCAGTTGTAGACAAGCCTCCTCACAAAGGAATCCTCTCTGTTCCCTCCGCATCTCCCCACACCAATGGTAGACCCACCTCCTCAGATAGGGATCCCCTCAGTTCCCTCAATGTGCCCCCATCAATGGTAGACTAGCCTCCTCACACAGAGGCTCTCTTTCCTTTTTATGCTTTAACCTCTATGGTAGACCACTCTCCTCACTTTGGTGTCCAGTCAGTTTGTTCCATATGACCCCCCCTAATGATAGATCAGCCTCCTAGCACAAGGGCCCCCTCAGTTCCCTTCAAGTGCCCCCAACCCAATGGTAGACCAGCTACCTCACAGGAGGGTCTCCTCACTTCCCTCCACATGATTCCCTCAATGGTAGACCTGTCTCCTCACACAGGAGCCCCTTCAGTTCCCTCCATGTAGCCTTTTCAATGGTAGACCAGCCTTCTCACACGAGGACCCCCTCAGTTCCCTCCATGTGCTACCTGCCAGTGGTAGACCAGCCGCCTCACATGTAGGCCCCCTCAGTTCCCTCCACGTAACCTCCTCAATGGTAGACCAGCCTTCTCACAGGGGGGTTCCCCCAGTTCCCCCCACGTGCCTCCATCCCAATGGTAAATCAGTTTCCTCCCATGTGGGTTCCCTCAGTTTTCTCCACGTGGTTCTCTTAATGCCAGACAAGCCTCCTAACACGGGGGTCCCCTCAATTTCCCTCATGTACCTCCACCCCAATGGTAAACATGCCTCCTCACATGGGGGTCTCCTCGGTTACTTCCCCATTCCCCCACCCCAGTGGTATACTAGCCTCCTCACATGAGGGTTTCCTTGGTGTCCTAAATGTGATTACCTCAATGGTAAACTAGCCTCCTCACTCGGGAATTCTCTCAGTTTCCTCCACGTGCCCTCACCTATATGGTAGACAATGCTCCTCACATGGAATTTCCTCAGTTTTCTCCACAGGGCTCCCTCAATGGTAGACCAGTCTCCCTACACAGGGATTCCCCTCAGTTACCTCTACTTGTCCCTACCCCAATAATAGACCAGCCTCCTTACATGGATGTCCTCTGAGTTTTCTCCATGTGCCCCCACCACACACAATGGTAGACCAACCTCCTTACATGGGAATCCATTCAGTTCCCCTTCACGTGCCCCCAACCCAATGGTAGACCAGCCTCCTCAATGGAAATCCTTTCAATTCCCTCCATGTACCCCCCAATGGCAGGCCAGCCTTCTCACACTGGAGTTCTTTTAGTTGCCCTCCGTGTTTCCTAACCCCAATGGTAAACCACCCGCCTCACATTGGGGTTTCCTCAGTTATGGCCATGTGCCCCGAAGCCAATCATAGACAAGCCTTCTCACGTGGGCATCCCCTCAGCTTTCTCCATGTGCCCCCCAATGGTAGACTGGTCTTCTCACAAAGGGGTCCCCTTAGTTTCCTTCAACGTGCCCCCACCCCAAAGGTAGACCAGCCTTCTCACACAGGAGTCCCATCACTCACCTCCATGTTACCCTACCCCAATGGTAAACAAGCCTCCTCACATGGGCTTCCCCTCTGTTCCCCACATGTACCCACCCAATGGTAGACCAGCCTCCTCACACACAGGTTTTCTCAATTATCTCCATGTGGGCTCTACCACAATGATAGACCAGCCTCTCCACACGAGGGTCCCCTCAGGTTCCTCTATGTGCCCTCACCATAATAGTAGACCAGCTGCCTCACACGGGGATCCCCTCAGTATTTTTCATGTGCCTTCCTTACAGGGGTCATTTCAATTTCCCTACACATTTCCTAACCCCAGTGATCTACCAATCCCCTCATATAGGGGTTTCCTCAGTTCCCTCCAAGTGCCCCCACCCTGATGGTAGACCAGTCTTCTCAAACGGGGATCCCCTTAGTTCCCCTCTATGTGCCCCCACCCCAAAGGTAGACCAGACTTGTCACACGGGGGTCCCCTCATTTACTTCAATGTGCTGCTACCCCAGTGGTAGATAAGCCTTCTTACGGGGGGGGTCCCCTCAGTTCCCTCCACATGGTCCCCCAATGATAGAACAGCCTCCTCACGGGGGGGATCCCCTCTCTTTCCTTCACATGTCCCCAACTCAATGGTAGACCAGCCACCTCACATAAGGGTCCCCTCAATTCCTTCCACATTGCCCCCTCAATGGTAGACCAGCCTCCATACACAGATGTCCCCTCAGTTCTCTCCATGTGGCCTTTTAAATGGTAGACCAGCCTCCTCACAAGGGGGTACCCTCAGTTTTCTCCATGTGCTTTCACCCCAACAGTAAACCAGCTTCCTCACAAAAGGGTCACCTCAGTTCTCTCCACGTGATTCCCCCAGTGGTAGACAAGCCTACTCACACAGGGGTACCTCAGCTTCCTCCCAAAGCCCCCATCACACAGGTGCCTCCTCAAACCAGGGTCCCCTCAGTTCCCTCCAAGTGCCCCAGACCCAATGGTTGGCCAGCCTCCCAACATGGGGGTTCCAACAGTACCCTCCATGAGACTCCCTAAAGGTAGGACAGCCTCCTCAACTGGGGGTTCTTTCAATTTCCTCCACATGCTTACACCTCAATGGTATACCAGTCTCCTCCCACGATGGTCCCCTCAGTTCTTTCCATTTGGCCCCCTCAATAGTAGACCAGCCTCATCACATGAAGGGCCCCTTAGTACCCTCTACAGGGCCCCCTCAGTGGTAGACCAGCCTTTTCTCAGTTTTCTCCATGTGCCCACATCCCGATAATAAAAGAGCCTCCTCACATGGGGGTCTCTTCAGTACCCTCCATGTGGACCCTCAATGATACACCAGCTTCCTCACTTAGGGGTCCTCTCAGTTCCCTCCACGTGTACTCCCCATGGTAGACCAGCCTCCTTACATGGGGTTTTTTTCATTTCCATTCCAAGGCACACACCACCCCAAGAGTAGACCAGCCTCCTCACATGGGGGACCCCTCAGTTTACTCCACATGCCCCTATCATAATGGTAGACCAGATGTCTCACAAGGGGGCCCACTCAGTTTCCTCCACACAGTCCCCTCCAATGGTAGACCAGCCTCCTCCCTTGCAGGGGTGTTTCCTCAGTTCCCTCTAGGTGAACCCCCCTCAATGTACACCAGCCTTCTTACACAAAAGTCCACTCATCTCCTCTCCAGGTGGCCCCACCCCAGTCATAGAACAGCCTCCTCACATAAGGGACCACTCATTTCCCTCCACGTGGCCTGCTCAATGGTAAACCAGCCACCTTACATGGGGGACTCCTCAGTTCCCTCTACGCGCCCCCACCACAGTGGTAGGCCAGCCTTTTTACATGGTGTTCCTCTCAGTTGCCTCCACATGCCCCCCTCCAATGGTAAACCAGCCTTCTCACACAGTGCTTCTGTCCATGTGCCCCATCTACAATGGTAGACCAGCCTCCTTACATAGGGATTTTCTCAGTTCTCTCCACATGCCCCCTCAATGAAAGACCAGCCTCTTCACACAGGGATTCCCCAGTTTCTCTTTATGTGCCTCTGCCCCAATGATAAAGCAGCTTTCTCTCACAAGAGTTTCCTCAGTTCCCTCCATGTGCTCCCACCCTGGTGGTAGACCAGCCTCCTCACAGTTGTTTTGACTCAGCCTCCTCTCAAGTGCCCACCCAATGGTAGACCAGTCTCCTCACACTGGATCCTCTCAGTTCCCTACCTTTTTAATGTTAGAACAGCCTCCTCACATGGGGGTCCCCTTGTTCTCACCACATAACTTACTCAATGGTAAACCAGCCTCCTCACACGAGGGACCCCTCAGTTCCCTCTATGTGCCCCCATCCCAGTGGTAGATCAGCCTCCTCACACGGGGTCTCCTCAGTTCCCTTCACATGGCCTCCTCAATGACAGACAAGCCTCCTCACACAGGCATCCCTTCAGTTCCCTCCACATGCCCCAACCCCAATGGTAGACCAGCCTCCTCATACAGGGGTCCCCTCAGTTCTCTATATGTGCCTCCACCCAAAGGGTATACATTCCTTCTACAATGGGTGTTTCCTCAGTTCCCTTCTATGTGGCGCCCTCAATAGTAGACCACCCTTCTTACACAGAGGTTCACTCAGTTCTCTCCACATGCCCCCATAATAGTAGACCAGTTCCTCACATGAAGGTCCCTCAATTTTTTCCTTGTCCCCCCACCCTAATTGCAGATCCCTCAATTTTTTCCTTGTCCCCCCACCCTAATTGTAGACCAGCCTCCTCAAGTGGGGGTCCCCTCAGTTCTTTTCACTTGGCCCCCAATGATAGACCAGTCTCCTCACACGGGAATCCCCTTATTTCTTTCCACATGGCGCCACCAATGGTACACCAGCCTTCTCACATGAAGGTCTCCACAGTTCCCAATAGTAGATCTGCCTCCCCACCAGTGGTTTCCTCTGTTTTCCTCCATGTGCTGCCACCCCAATGAAAGGCCAACCACCTCACACAGGGGTCTTCTCAGTTCCATCCACATGCCCCCACCTCAATGGTATGCAAGCCTTCTTACATGGCCATTTCCTCAGTTCTTTCCATGTGTGCCTCCCCACCCCGCCCCCCACCCCAGCAAATTGTGGACCAGCTGCATCACACGGTGGTTTCTTCAGTTCCCTCTATGGAGACCCTTCCAGTGGTAGACCCGCCTCCTCATATGAGGGTCCCCTAAGTTTGCTTTCGGTGACCCCCCAAAAGGTAGGCCAGTTTTCTCACATGTGCCTTTATTTCTCCCTAAGTTTCCTCCATGTGCCTTTACTTCAATGGTAGAACAGCCTCCTCATACAAGTTTTCACTCAGTTTTCTCCACATGCCTCTACCGGAGTTGTAGACCAGCATCCTAACATGGGGGCCCCCTCAGTTGCCTCAACTTGGCCCCCCAGTGGTAGATCAGCCTTCTCACACAGTAGTTTACTCAGTTATCTAGACACGGCCTCCTCAATGGTAGGGCAGCCTCCTCACACTGGGGTCCCATCAGTTCCCTCCACATGGCCCTCCCTAATGGTGGACCAGCCTCCTCACATGAGGTCCCCTCACTTCTGTCCACATTCCCTTCTTAATGGTAAACCAGCCTTCTCACAAGGGGATTCTTTCAGTTCCCTTCTCATGGCCCCTCAGTGGTAGAAAACCCTCCTCATCCCAAGGGTAGACCAGCCTCCTCACACACTGGCCTTCTCAGTTATCTCCATATTGCCCTTAGCCCAATGGTAGATGAGCCTCCTTACATGAGGGCTCTCTCAGTTTCCTCCACGTACCCTCACCTTTATGGTAGACCAGCCTCCTCACTTGGGTGTCCCTTCAGTTCTCTCCATATGTACCCAACCAACGATAGATGAGCCTCCTCACATGGGGGTCCTTTCAGTACCCTTAAAGTGCTCCCACCCCAATGACAGACAAACTACCTTACATGTGGGCCCCCTCAATTTCCTCCACATCCCCCCCACAGTAGACCAGCTTTCTCACATATGGGTTCCCTCAGTTCCCCTCTATGTGGCCTTCTCAATGATAGACCAGCCTCCTCATATGGGGGTCCCCTCATTTCCCTCCATGTGCCCCCCGAATGGTAGACAAGCCTCTTCACATGGGTTTCCCCTCAGTTCCCGTCCATGGGGACCCCTCAACGGTAGACCAGCCTCCTCACACTGGGATCCCCTCAGTTCCCTCCATGTGCTCTCACCCCAATGGTAGAATGACCTACTCACATTCGGGCCTTCTCAATTATTTCCACATGGCCCCCCACCCTAATGGTAGACCAGCCTTCTCACATGGGTATACCCTCAGTTTCCTCCACGTGGCCCCACTACAATGGTAGACTACTTGCCTCATCCAGAGGTCCCCTCAGCTCCCTCCATGTGACCTCCCCAATGGTAGACCAGCCTCCTCACACAAGAATCCCCTCCGTCCCTCTCCACGTGCCCCCATGTCAGTGGTAGACCAGCCTCCTCACATGGTTATCCTCAGTTAACTCCACATTGCCCTTTTCATCCCACGTTTCATGCCAATGGTAGACCAGCCTCCTCACCCAAGAATTCTTTCAGTTCTACTCTAAGTCCCCCTACCCCAATTGTTGACTAGCCTTCTCACGCATGGGTCTTCTCAATCATCGCCACGTGATTTTTGCCCCAATGGTAGACCAACCTCCTAACATGGGGGCTTCCTCAGTTTTCTCCATGTGCTCCCACTATGATGGTAGGCCAGCCTCCTCATACAGGGGTCCTTTCAGTTCAACTCCAAGTCCCCCTACCCCAATGGTAGACTAGCCTTCTCACACAGGGGTTTCCTCAGTTCTCTCCAAGTGCCCCCACCCCAGTGGTAGACCAGCCTGTTTTCATGGACATTCCCTCGGTTCCCTCTATGTGACCCCACCTTAATGGTAGACCAGTCTCCTCACATGGGGGTCCCCTCAGTTCCCTCCACATAACCCCCACAGTAGACCAGCCCTCTAATACGAGAGTCCCCTCAGTCCCTTCCACCTGCCCCCGCCCCTATGGTAGACCAGCCTCCTTACATGCGGGTTCTGTTTCCTCCACGTGTCCCCCTAAAGGTAGAGCAGCCTCCCCATATGGGGGTTCTCTCGGTTTCCTCCACCTTCTCCCACTTTCATGGTAGACCAGCCCCATAACTTGGGTGTCTCCTCAGTTTCCTCCATGTGCCCCCACCCCAATGGTAGGCCAGCCTCCTCACTCAGTGGTCCTCTCAGTTCCCTGTCGTGCGCCCACCCCAGTGGTAGACCAGCCTCTCACACCAAGGTCCCCTTTGTCTCCTCCATGTGCCCCAATCACAGCTTCTGTGCATGGCATCTGAGGCTGTGCTTCAAGAGTGAAGCAGAAGCCCCAAGGTGTCTTGAGGCACAGCCATCACTTCCCCCACCTTCTATTGGCCAAATAAAGTCATGTGTCCAAGGGGAGGGGAAGTAGCCCAGGCTATGGGTGGGAGGAAGGGACACGTCCCACCTTGGAGAGGCATGGTGGCCAGGAAGGGAGGAATTTGTGGGAGCTGTCTTTGCAAACACAGTACCACATTGGCTTATTTATTGTGGATTATCGAGCACATCATCTGACATAGACCTGATGATAGGTGCTGGGGGCACGTAGCAGGACAACACATGCCCCTGCCCTAAAGGAGTTCCCAATTTGTTTGGTGCAAGAAAGGTATAAAATGATGGTGATGAGGCATTTTAATGAGGGCCACATTAGAAGGTTCTTCATACATCTATTCACTCAGTCATCCAACGGCTGTTTCTTGAGTGGGGCTCCCATGCACTGGACACTGGGGGTACTAGCATCCCCCAGTGGACAAGACAGACATGGCCCCTGCCCTCCCAAGCTCCTGCTCCAGCAAGGGAGACAGGCAGTAAATACACATCAAGAAACCAATATACATAGGGAAAAATAAAACAGGGTAAGAGGACAGAGAGTGACCATGGGGTCTATTTTAGATACGATGGTCAGAGAGGCTATCTGAACTCAAGAACCTGAACTCAAGGAGGAGCACCTGCTGTGTGCTAAGACCTTTATCTTGCTTAATTCCCAGAGCTGCAACTTGAAGCAGGGACCATCATCAGCCCCTTTTCATGGATGGGGAAACTAAGGCTCAAAGGTTCCTGGTCTCCCCTGGAGCAGGGACCTTGGAGTGAAGGTCTGTGTGGAAGAATGCTCCCAGGGGAGAGAACTGCAAGTGCAAAGGCCCTGTGGCAGATGTGTTGGATGCTCTCAAGGAACAGCGAGAAGGGCAGAGTGGAGGGAAGGAGGGGAAGCGCAGTAGGAAATTAGACTGGAAAAGCTCCATTAGGTTGACAGAGGGAAGGGGCCTTCTGGGCTGGGCGCAGCATAAGCCAAGGCCTGGAGATGGGGAATGTAGGACGTGCTCCAGCAGGGAGCCTGGCTCAGTGGGACTGGGGCTTCAGGAACGTTGGGGTTAACAGCCTGGTACACTGGCCTTGGGAAGTCTCTCTGGCCCTGTAGGCAGGAGCACCCAGGACGGTGCCTGAGCAATGGCAGGCCAAAGCCCGCCTTGAGTTGGGCTGCCCTCCCTGTAAACCCTGAGCTCCTCCTCACCTGGGCGTCACCCCTGCTGGCAAGCCCCTGTCACTGAAGCCCTGGCTGTATCCTACCCTGATGGCACTCACAGTACCCAGACGCCTCGCCAATCTCAAAGGCCTGGCTCTGACTCTCAGCCCCACTGCTGGCCTACTCAGTGACTGCAAATGACTAATTTTCCTTTGCTGCGCCTCAGTTTCCCCACATCTAAAGTGAGTAGGGTCAGGGACTGTTGGCGGTCCTTCCAGTCATACCTGAACCTCAGCTCACATCACAGAGCTTTGGGAGCAACAGCTGTGTGCTTATAACCTGGAGCAGAGAAGCTGATGCCTTTGTACAGATAGGGAGACTAAGGGCAGGGAGGGTGCGGTTGGCTGAGGTGAATCTGTTGATAATATATGGGGAGGGAGCATGCAATGTTGCGTGATGCTTCAGACTCTCAGGCTGTGGGACACCTAGTCCCCACTGTTTGGACAGATGGTGATCTCCCTAGCGGAGGTTAATGGGATTCCCATTGTCTGAGAGCTGGGCCCGCCCGACAGTAACAGGATCCTTGACCCCTCTTCCCGCCTGCAGGGCAGCCTCTCTGACACCCGAGCCTCAGGATCCAGGCAAGGGGACATAGGCAGGCTTGCTGGTGGGGAGATGCAAACTCAAGGAGGACAAGCACCTGCTATGTGCTAAGACCTTTATCTCACTTAATCCTCAGAGCTGCAAAATAAAGCAGAAACCATAATTATCCCCTTTTCATGGATGAGGAAACTGAGGCTCAGGGAAATCACAGAGGCAAGAGGAGAAGGCATCCCAGGACTCCAAGGAAAACAGAATCTCAAATGCACAGGGGACCAAATTGCCTTTTGTAGAAATGCCTTTTTGGTTTTTTTTTAATGTTTCCCCTTCTCATATGCAGGCCCTTCTCAGATGAGCCAGGTAAAATGATGCCTCCCCAGACAGCCTTCCCACCCTCCTGGCAGGGATAACCACTCCTGTCTCTTGGCTCCCAGGATCTCAGCTCTGAGATCCACCACTTACCAGCTGCCTAACACAGGAAGTCTCCTAACCTCTCTGGGCCTCAGTTTCCTCATCTATAAAATGGGAATAAAAATAAGACCTTCCTAGGGCTGCTGAGAGAATCACATAAGATAGTAGGTGTAAAGCACCTAGAAGTGTGCCCGAGGGATGATGAACACATAACTTGCTTCTATTAGGATACTCTAATAACTATTATCATCGCCACTATCATCCTCACAGCCCTCACCTTCATATGCAGGCCCTTCCCAGAGGGAAACTCTTGGTGTTTGCAACAACTTGGGGATGCAATGTTGTTCCATTTCTTAGATGAGGAAACTGAGTCTCCGAGATGTTTGCTGACTTGGCAGTGGGCAGAGGAGGGAGAGAAAGCCAGAAGGATCTGACTCCAAAGCTCTGCCCCACCCCATCTTTCCAGCCATCCCGTGGCAACTACAGACAAGATGCTAACTGTGCTAACCAGCTCCTTGCATTCATGAATTTCTGCCTGGACCTAGGGAGAGACCCCTTGCTTCTCTTCCCCTGCAGCCAGGGGTGGAACAGAGGCATCTGAGGTGATGGGGTGTGGGTTCAGAACCCGAGCCAGTCTCCAACTGGGCCATGTCTGCAGCTAAGGGCAATAGCAGCTCTTCCCAACTCTAGATACCAGGGTCAGGTACAAGTCCAGCAGAAGCACCCAGCAGCCTCACTTACATACCTCCCCTGCTGGGCAGGTCAGTACTGGTCCCAGCTCTGCCCTCTGCCTCCCCCACGCACCCCAGGAGAGCCCTGCAGAGACTGGGGGACAGGAAGCCTGGGCAGACAATGGGGCTGACGGGGAGGGGCGAGGAGGGCACCCAGCCTCCCGAGGAGCTCTGCGCCTGCCCCCAACAGCTGAGCCACGGGAGGGCGGGGGATGAGGGGCGGCTGGCAGCAGTGCAATTGTTGGGGCGTGCCTTCAGGGACCAAATGCCTGTGTTCAAATTATTCCAGCTAGTAACTGCTGCCCTGGGGCATCGTCCTCTACCTCAGTTTCCTCATCCATAAAATGGAGCCAAAATGGAGCCAACATGGAAAGGGCTTCTGTGTCTGTCACAGAGTGAGTGTCCAATATACAAATGTGAGTTGTTGTTTGCATTGTCCCATATTTCTGGATTGAATGAATGGTGCACCCAGGCAGCGGCTGGCATGGGGTGGGATAGGGCAGGACCTAGGCAAGCCCCTCTGGAGCACATCGGGGAGCCCCAGGTCCCCTGGATGCGGCAGGAATTCCCATCCCAAGCCTGGCGATGAGCTCACCCACTCAGCCTGCACCAACAATACATGATCAGCCCATAAATGCCCAGGGGATGCTGGGGCTAGGCCAGTATTTGAATATGAAAGGGTGAGAAACCGAGCAGCATTCTGGGGTCTGGGGGCGGGGAGGGAGTGTGGCTGTGCACAGCCAGCCTGGGTGCAGGCAACACAGCATGCATGCCTTGCACACAGACACATAAAAACACACACATGCACGCAAAGACACATACACACAGTCATGCAAATACATGCAAAGGCAAATACAAACTCACAGGCACACACAAACACACACATACACACACAAAGGCATACATGCATGCGACAGGCACACACACAAATACAACTCCCTTTCGCCCTCGCAGCTGCACAGAAACAGCAGTAAGACCAGAGTAATGGACATGCATTGAGCACACCGCCTGAATGGCACTCCAGCCACAGCCTCAGGTGTTCAAGAAATTTTTAATAAAGATTTCTTTTTTTCCTTTTTTGTGAGACAGAGTCTCACTCTGTCACCCAGGCTGGAGTGCAGTGGTGCGATCTCGGCTCACTGCAATCTCCACCTCCCATGTTCAAGTGATTCTCATGCCTCCGTCTCCCAAGTAACTGGGATTACAGGCATGTGCCACCACACCCGGCTAAATTTTTTTTGTATTTTAGTAGAGACAGGGTTTCACCATGTTGGCCAGGTGGGTCTCGAACTCCTGACCTCAAGTGGTCCGCCCGCCTCCACCTCCCAAAGTACTGGGATTACAGGCATGAGCCACCGCGCCCGGCAAAAGGTTTCTTTTATATCTCAAATTCATTTCTTGAGTCCTGCTCTCATAGCAATTTAATCTTGGCCAGGCTGGTATGCCCACCTTTCCCCCAGAGCACCTGAGGTGGGAGCCATTCAGTCTGGCCTGGTCTGCTGAGTACCCCACAGGCCACCAGGCCGTCAGCCCTGCAACTCTCCTGCATGTGCCTACAGCCCCTGTGTGCCCCTCCAGGTCCCTCTGATCCTCCGGTGCCCCACCCAGGGAAGATCTCCACCAGCCACCACTCCCATGGAGTGGCAGAGCAAGACCTGCCTGCTATCAGAGCCCACAGCCCGCCTGAGCACCCAGAGCCCAGCCAGCTTCCCCCTGAGCCTCCTTCCTCGTCTCCACCACCCCCAAGTCTGGGAAACCTCCCTGTGAGCTGGAGCAGGCAGGGAGGAGACTGGGGAGACTCGGACTCCAGGCTCACCACAGTCTACGGCAGAAGGGCACGGTGGTGAAGAATCCAGGCCCCCGAAAGTCACCACCCTGTGACATCGCTAGCTGTGTGCCCCTGGGCAACACACATAACCTCTCTGGGCCTCAGTTCTCTCATCTGTGAAATGGAAATAATGAGAGCACCTGCCTCACGGACTGGCCTTAAGATTCCAGGAGACCACGTGTGCACAGCAGTGGGAACAGTGCTCAGCACCTGGTGAACTCTCATTACCTTTTTAAAGACCTCCTCTGGGATTTTCCGTTCCCATTGGGTCTAGGTTTTCGAAACCAAAAGCTAAGAAGAAGCTGGTTCACTGAATTGATGGAAAAAAGGAAAAGGCAAAAAGGGACCAAGGGGTAGCACAAGCTATTTGGGGAAAAAGAACTATTCATTAATATTTCAAAATAGAAGCCCTCCAACTCTTCTACTGTAGCCAACAGCACGCTAAGTTCTCTGTAAGCAGCTTCTTTAAGCCTCCTAGAAAATTCATGGGGTCAGTACTGTCCATCACTACCTCTGCTTTGGAGATGAGGCCCAGATGGGTGGCACACCTGACCCCAGGACCAGGGTCAGAGTTGGGAGTTAGACTCAGCCCTGAAGCCACTTGCCCAGGGCCACACAGCCAGGCTTTGGCTGAGCCTGGCCTGGAGCCCAGTCCAGAGCTGGGACACTGGACCACCAGCGTCATAGCACATAGGTATCTGGGGGTTGACCCTGGCCATGAGAACTCAAATGTCCCAGGAGTCTCATTCAGTCATATGTTTCTCTTTTACTGATAGAAAAGGTGCTTTAGAAGCCTCTGTTGTTCACTCCAAATTTCTGTAGGATTGTTCTGGGGTAGGGGGAGAATGGAGGGCAGAGCCAGGACTAATGGGAGGAGGGGACTGATCACAGGAGGAAAATCAGAGCTCCCTATGAGGAGCACCTCCTCCCAGTCAGGAGGCCAAAGAAAGGGACAGGTATCCAGGAGGGAGTGAGCTTCCCATCAGGGGAAGTATGCAAGCCAGGTTGGAGGAGCAGCTGGTGGGGCTGCAGAGGGGATCCAGGGACTCTGCCTGGTAAAAACATTCAGGAGAATCTCCCACAAGGTCCCATAATCAGGCTTCCCAGACTGAGTAAGAAGCCAACCTGCTTGCTAAAATTAACCACTCATTTGTGGTTCCCAGAAGACCTTCCATACCTAAACATGCTAGGCTACTTGTCTTGGGACGTCGTGAGGGAGATTCCCCTGGGCTGTACTGCGCGGCTTCCAATTCCCAGAGAAGAAGGCAGAGACCATGGTTGTCCATAAATCTCCACATTCTCCTTCTTCTGAACAATAAGGAACCCTCTACCAGTTTTCTGGGATCATGATGCCCCACCATCCCCCAGGAGATTGCATCTCCCAGCCTCCCTTGGGGCTAGACACGGGCATTGGAGGAAGTCCTGGCCAATGGGAGGTGAGCCAAAGAGGCGCACGCCACTTCCAGGTGCACCTGTAAAAAAAACTGTGCCTTCCCCATGTCCCCTCCTTTCCCAGCTGTCTGAGGGGAGGCGAGCACAGGAGCAGCCACCTTGAACTCAGAGACAGAGGTCTTGATACCAGAGTCCCCTCCTAGCCCTGAAACACCTTACTAGACCATAAAGTGAAAGAAATAACCTGTTCTCAACCTTGCCGTGTCTCCTATCTTGACCCTTTTGGTTAAGCCGCTGTGTTTGGGAGTCTCCTAATCACAGCAGCTAAGACTATACCCTATGTGATACCAAGAAGGATGCACAGGGGCGCCAGTGGACATAAGCTTTAGAAATCCAGGAAAGGTTGAGCCTCTGTTTCCATCCCCAGCTCAGGAACAGGCACGGAGAAGGGGTCTAGAGACAGTGGTGGAAGGAGTAGGAAGAACAAGAAAGCAGATCTCTCCTGGGCCCCAGACCAGCATATCCAAATGCCTGTCTCCCTCTCCCCTTGAAGCAAGGCGAATCTTGTGTGTTCCGGACTGAACTGCAAGTTTGTTCATGCTTTGGTCTTCCCTATCACAGTAAATGGCACCCCTCGCCACTTAGGGGTCCAGGCCAGAATCCTAGGGGGTCACCTTTGTCTCTCTCATCCCCTCCACCCTCCTCAAGTTATCACCAAGTCTTGATTTTACTTCTTAAATTTCTTCCAACCCATGGCTTCCCACTAGTTTCACCACCGTGTGTCCCAGCCTCAGCCACCATTGGTCTCCCTGCCTTCACCTTCACCCGCTACAGTCTCTCATGCACTCAGCAGCAAGAGTGACCTTTTTAAAACATCATCAGAGAATGTCCCTCCCTGCCCTCAACCTCCCGTGGCTCCCAATTCACTCAGAGGGAACTCTGCCTGGTCTGGCTGTGTTATCCTTGACCATGCATCTCCCTCACTGGATGTGCTTCTTCCACCGGGCCTGCACTTGGTCCTCAAACACAGGCAGTGCGCTCCCTCAGGGTTGCAGCCTTAGCCCAGCCAGGCCTTCCCCCAGGACCACTCTCGTCTCCACTCTGTTCATCTGACCTCTCCCTGCAGGATGGCACTAAGGGTGGCTTGGACCCACCCAACTCTCTCATGCCATTCTTACTTGAAGTTTTAAGAATCGCTGTAGAATGTGCTGGGGATGCAACATCCGGGGATAAGAAGGACCTGGCCAGAACACCCTGGGCTCTGTTCCTGTCCCTCCTAGAGCAGGATGTCCTACAGAGATTTAGCTCAGCAAGTTGCATTGTCCCGGGGATATGAAACCCAGAGCCAACTGCTTTCCAGAGCCCTTCAGCTGCAGTGCAAATGGGGCACATGCAGACAAGACTCCATCCACCCAGGGCAGCTTTCCCGAGCCTGGGGGACCAGCTCACCCTGAATCCTAGGCTCTGCTGTCCCTTGCTACCTATCTCTAATTAACAAGTCTGGTTTGTGTAACTTGCCGTAGGTGAGTGTTGTCTCACTGGACTCATGCAAGTGATAAATTAACACAACTCAAAGTGCAGTGGGCGAGGTGTTTAGAGTCCTCCCCTGGGATTGACATGGTGCACAGTGACCCTGCTTCACACTCCCCAACCTCCCTGCTTGAGCTAGTGTCGCCTGCACCAGAAGACTGCCTGGCCCTGCTCTGCACCTCTCTCCCCAACCTACAGCAAGTCTCCGGTTACTGTCTCTCTCTGCACCATTTCACTATCTTCATAGCCCTCCCCACACCTCCAGAGGTTGTAACTTCTTGTGTGTGTGTGTGTACCTGCGTGTGCATGCGTGTGTGTGCGCCTGTGTGTGTGCATGCATGTGTGTGTGTGACATCTGGTCTCCTCCCAAGACTGCTCCAGGAGGGCAGAATCATGGTCGATTTGGCTCAGTGCTGTGTCTCCAACACACGGCCCTGGGCCTGACACATTGTAGGGGCTCTGTATATGTTTGAGGATGAAAAACAGAAATATTGGCCCCGCCAAAAATCATGTTGAAATTAATCCCCAATATGGCAGTACTGAGAGATGGGGCCTTTAAGAGGTGATTGGGCCTTGAGAGCTCTGTCCTCATGAGTAGATGAATCTACTCATGGATTAATGAGTTAATGGCTTAATGGGTTATCATGGGGGTGGGACAAGTGGCTTTCTAAGAAGAGAAAGAGAGACCTGAGCTGGCACACTCAGCCCCCTCACCATATGATGCCTTGCACCACTCTGGGACTCTGCAGAGAGCCCCCAGCAGCAAGAAGGCCCTTGCCAGATGCAGCCCCTTGACCTCGGACTTCTCAGCCTCAAGAACTGTAGGAAATAAATTCCTTTTCTTTATAAATTGACCAGTTTCAGATATTCTGTTACAAGCAACAGAAAATGGACAAAGACAACCCTGTTTCCATGCTTTGCCAAATAGGGTTTTGGCCTTCCCTGGAGGTTGGCAGGCCAGGGCTGGGGCAGCTGCTTGTGGCTGTCATCTAGATCACAGGCTCTTTCCAGCTCGTGGTCCTCCATCCTTAGTATGTGGCTTTCATCCTCACGCAGGCAGCAAGAAGATGGGAGGGTAGAGAGGGAAAGGCCTGTGCCAGCCTTTTCAGGAAACAATAGCCTTTTAGGAACCCACCAAGCAGAGTGTCACATCCCTCTAGACAGAACTGGGTCTAGTGGCCACCTCTAGCCAGAAGGGCATCTGGGGAAGGAGCTTCAAGGACATATCATTCCTCTGAACTAAACTGGTGTCTGTTAGGAAGAAGGAAGGAGAGGAATGGATGCAGGGTAGATCAGCAGCAGCAACAGCTGCCACAACTGCCCAAACCTTTCTCTCTGCCCAAGCCAGAGCCATTTCTGGGTGATCGTAACTAAGATCCACATGGGGGGAACTCGATCCACCTGAAGGAACTGGGAATCTTCCCTGAGGAAGTGACATTTGAGCTAAGATCTAAAGGATACTAGGGGTGACCCTGACAACACAGGGCAAGAGAAGAATTCCAGGCAGAAGGAACAGAAGGGAAATGCTGAGGGAGAAGACAGCGTGGGATATTTGAAGGAGAGAAAGCAAGCCAGCATAACCAGAGAACAGACAACAAGAGGGAGAGGGCAAGGAGAAAGGGCTGGAAAGATAGGAGAGGGCTGGCACTGGGCCCTGTGGGCTGCAGTAAGGGTTTGTGACTGCTCTATGAGCAACAGGACCAGCCACAAGTTTTCCACAGAAGATTAACATGACTTTTAAAGATCATCCAGGCTTGGAGGGGGCCAAGAGAAGTGTGTATGAGTCAAAATAAATTAATCCTGTAACAAAGAGGCCCCAGATCACAGTGGATTGAAACTCCAAAGGTTTATTTCTCACTCATTTCACATCCAATGCAGGGTGGCCTAGGGGCTCAGCTCCACAAAGTCATTCAGGGATCTAGGTTCCTCCCATTTTGTGCATCTCCGTCTTTGACATGTGGCCACCAAGTTTACTTTGGCATCCTCCAGCTGGCGAATGAAAACAGAGAACATGGGGAGGAGGATGCAGGGTTTTGGAGGCCAGGCCTGGAGGTGGTGTGTGTCCCTTCTGCCCACATTGCTTTGGCCATAATTCAATCACATGACCCCTGCTAACTGCTAGGAGCAGGGAATGTGGCCTCGTTCAGTACCCAGGAGGAAAGGAGGCGACATGGATATTGCTCTCCACTAGCAGTCTCTGCCACAGTCCACCCTTGCCACCACATACCCATGAGGCCCTCCTTCCCACACATAGATAAAGCTCATTCTCTCCCCAAGGGATACAACCCAAAACTCATCCAGCCACCGCATTGTCTGGTGGCCTGTGAACTATAGAGAAAATGTGTTCATCATCCCCTTACACTCACACATGCACACATACACACACATACACATAGACACACACACACACACACACACACACACACACACACACACAATGTGATCGTGAGGCAGGGATAAGATAACCTCAGTAAAAACTCCCATTCCGAAGAGAAAGGAATGGCAACCACTCAACAGCAAGCAGTCCATTGTGCAGAGTCCATTGCACAGGGGCAGGGACTGAGAGATTTCTCTACCCTGGCGGCCAAGGGTGTCCCCTGACTAGACTCTGGCTCTGCTCTCCTAGAAAACCCCTTGTCGGAACATCACACACCAGGGACTGCTGTGGGGTGGGGGGACGGGGGAGGGATAGCATTAGGAGATATACCTAATGCTAAATGACGAGTTAATGGGTGCAGCACACCAACATGGCACATGTATACATATGTAACAAACCTGCACATTGTGCACATGTACCCTAAAACTTAAAGTATAATAATAATAATAATAATAATAATAATAATAATAATAAAAAGAAAACCCCTTGTCCAGCTGGGTGCAGTGGCTCATACCTGCAATCCTAGCACTTTGGGAGGCTGAAGCAGGCGGGTCATTTGCAGCCAGGAGCTCGAGACCAGCCTGGCCAATACATGGTGAAACCCCGTCTCTACTAAAAATATAAAAATTAGCTGGGGTTGGTGGTGTGCACCTGTAATCCCAGCCACTTGGGAGGCTGAGGCAAGAGAATCACTTGAACCCAGAAGGCAGAGGTTGCAGTGAACCGAGATCGAGCCACTGCACTCCAGCCTGAGTGACAAAGGGAGACTCTATCTCAAAAAAAGTAATAAAATAAAGTAAAATTTTCTCCATTCCCCCCTGACCCGAGTTCACCCTTTATGAGCTCTTCTTTGTTAATTTTCCTCCGCGGCCGCCTCTGATGTGGGAGTGCAGTGGAGTTCCCTCCTCAGATGCCACAGAATTTTCGGAACCTACTTCCTGCTTGTGGATAGTAGGGGACCCCAAGGGTATTTTAAGTTTCAGTCAAAGACTCTTCTGAGTCCAGGATCATTGTGTCCTTATCAATGCAATTCCCTCCATAGCTAACTTTCTGATCTATTCGCCTCCTGTCAGTCCTATATGCCAGTCAATGATCATACCCGTGGTTCTTTCCTAGGCTTAATTGTCCAGCCCCATTTATTTTTTCCCTGCTTCCTTGCCTCCCTGCCTTTTCCTCCCAACATAATAATGACAATCTCAAGGCTATGTAATTGAGTGGAAATGTCACATCCTTCTTCTAATCTTCACTGCAGTCTGAAGTGTCTCTCGCTCTTATTTCCTACTGTTTCAGTTCCAGATGTGCTTAATTTTCCAACCCTGAAAAGCCCCTCTTTCTGTTCCCTTTTGTTTCTGTTTCAAACCAGCTGTGACTCTCCTGAGCTCATCTCTTTCCTGTAAGACCTTGCCAAATGCAGCCCATGGTAGCCAAGACACACTAATCTGTTAATTCCTTCCAACCATTTCCCCTGGAGCTACAGGCTCAATGCTGGTATGCTCTGTCTTCCCAGCTATCATAGGCAACTGTTCTCCCAAATACTTTGCCACTTCATAACGTGGACTGCCATATTTCACAGCCTCTAATATCAATTTCCACACTGTCACTCCACAGCCAATGCCACACTTTACAGGTTCTTCTGGTAATGCCCATTTCAGATTACCAGTTTTTGTATTGGTTGGAGAAAGCTAACAGCCCCAAATCTCAGCAGCTCATCACCATGAAGATCTATTTCTCGCTCTTGTTGTAGTTCAAGGAGGCTTGGCCAAGGGGCTCAGCTTCACGCGGTCACTTCAGGACTGAGGTTCCTTCCATGTTGTGCACCAGTGTCTTCACTGTGCGGCTTGGAGGGCACCCTGGCATCTTCCAGCCAGTGAGTGGAGACAGACTGTCTGCAGGAGGAGTTCGCCTTTTCTGGGCCAGACCTCAAAATGGCAGGCATTACTTCCGTCCACAGCCCAGGGGCCAGAACTCAGTCCCTAACTGCAGGTCAGCCTGAGGGATGTGCTTATCTGTGTGCCCAGGAAGAATGGCAGCACCCCAGATTTCAGATCTGGGGTCTAGCAGGTGCCCACAGGGGCCTCAGTTCATGCTTCTTTGCCTGGATGCCTCCATTCTGCCTAGAGCACGCCTTCACAGCCTCCAGGGTTCTGATCCATGGGTGACACTTCCCTCCCCCAGGCAGGAGGGGAGGAGAACAGGTGCAGGGTAGATCAGCAGCAGCAGCTGCCACAACCACCCAAACCTTTCTCTCTGCCCAAGCCAGAGCCACTTTTGGGTGATTGTAACTAAGATCCACAATTGATATGGGGGGACCCTAACCACCCCATATCCACCCCAGGCAGAAATGGCAAGTCCCTGCTCTGTGCCTGCCCTGTAGTCTATACAGGCCTCTTCCCAGCACTCCTCGATGAGGATGGCAATGGTCCCCTTAACTGACGTCCAGAGCTCAGGATACAATAACAACACCTGACTCAGATCCACGTGCCCAGAGTGGCACAGCATGAAGCCTGGCATGGAAGAGACACCCGTTAGTGTCTGTGAAAAACCAAATGTCAGCCAGGACATTGGCTCCGAGTGACAGGTGGCTTCCATTAATTATACTTCCTGCCAGCTTGGAAAATGTATCTGACATCTCTTGTCTCCCACCTCACATGTGCTGGGCCATGCCTGCCCTCCAGCTGTGTCTGCAACAACCAGTTCTGCATAGGATCAACCTAGAGTGCCTCACATCCCAGCCCTGATGATCTCTCATGGGCCTGCTGAAGCCGCCAAATGGGACAGGGTACTTTCCCCCAGAGCCATGCTGACACATGGGCAAACCAGAAGTGCGGGGAGGGAAGGGACGCTCCACTCCATAAGGACTTAACCCCCTCCCTGGGAGGACAATCCTGAGGCACCCGACACACTCCACAGAGGGCCCCCAGCAGGCTTGAGCCCTCATTGCCCACAGCAGTGACTGGCTCAATAATGCCCCCTTGGACTGGCTTTGGGGGCTTCCATCTCACTCCCCTCAATCCTCCTTGTCCTTGGGATTGCGCCTCAAAATAAACTGCCAAGTCCTAAACCCTTGCCTCAGGCTCTGTGTTTAGCTGGGAGCCCAGGCTAAAAAACACATTTTTTAAGCTGACAAGAAATATAACCAACAGAAGCCACCTGCTGCTCAGAGCCAGTGTCCTGACCGACATCCGGTTTTTGACTGACACCAATCAGTGCCTCTTCCGTGCCAGGCTCCGTGCTGTGACAGGCTGGGCACATGGAGATGAGTCAGATGTTGTTCTTGCACCCTGAGCAAGACCGGTTACTTTTGCCAGACTGGAGGGCCCCTAAGCCCCCAGAAAACTGGCCTGTTCAGAGAAAACCCGACACTTGAGTGTGCTGCTCCTGGAAAGACAGCTGCCTCCCCTGGTACCCCCAACCCAGTCCAACCCAGCTGGCATCAGCCTAGTTGACTTCCAAAGTCCTTTTCATCCTGAAACTCCCTGCCATGGGGACTATGGCATGTGTCCATCACACAGGAGGAGAGGACCAAATCCTCAGCTTGTCAGGCAAGGCTCCCAGAACCAAGCTCTCCCCCATCCACTGTCTTACATCTTCCTTCCCTTCTCAGTGTTCCCACCAACACCCACATGACAATTTCCACTGCTTTGGGTGCATTGTGTCACCCTCCAAAATCCACATACTGAGGTCCTAACCCCCAGTATCTCAGAATGGAAACTATATCTCAAACAGGCCTTAAAGAGGTAATTATGGTGAAATGAGGTCCTTAGGGTGGGCCCTAATCCAAGCTGATTGGTGTTCTTATAAGAAGAGGAGATTAGAACACAGATGCCCAGAGGAAAGACCATGTGAGGACCCGGGGAGAAGACGGTATCTACAAGCAAGGAGAGAGGCTGCAGGAGAAAGCAACCCTTTCTCTTGTTTAAGGTCCCCTGTTGGTGGTTCTTTGTGATAGTGAATACATCCCCTCCACACCTCCGTCCTCACCCTGGAATGCCTTCTCCCCCCGCTCAGCTCACCAGGTCCTGTGCCTCTCCGGGCCTTCACACACTGTCACTTTCAGGAGCCCATGTCTTGCTGGAGCCCTTCCCTGGCCATGAAGCAAGTGACTTCCCTTCTTCATCTGTGGAATAGGACAACCACGTCTCACTCACGGGAGAATGCACCATAACATACATAAAGCACCTCGTGGTGCTCACAAAAGTCGAAGATTTTCATCTCAACAGCTCTGCTTAGAGAACATTCTGGCTGACTGAGCTAGAATCTGCTCCCCACCCCATTGAGCCCTGTGTCTGCCTGCATGCCCTGTCCTGGGGCAGCCTGCAGAAGCCAGGGCTTAGCCACAGGCCCCCTACCTCCCACAAGGCTCAGCAGCCGCAGACCCTCCCTTCTGATAACAAACAGCACAATTTTGAGACCTTTTATCCTGTCAAGTCAGGCCCTAGAGACAACACATTCACTGTGTCAGCTGGCCCATTTTGGGAGAATCCAGAAAAATTACTGGATATGCAAAGAGAATGCAAATGAGCTGCTTCTGAGCCCAAAGTGCTCCCTTTGGCATTCTTTAAGGGCCTGCTTTAGCGAGTAGATATAAATGCCTGTAAGTGGCACAGAGCAGCTGTTGGCATGGAAACGGTGCTTCCACGGTGCTTAAGGAGACTTCAAATCAGCCCTGGAACCAACTATGCTAAACATCCTCTCCCCCTGCGATCTTGTTCACACTCAAAGTTCCCACTTCAGCTGGAGAGAGGGTGAGCGTGGCTTCAGATGGTGAGTGCTGACTCGAGATTCAAGAGATTTGCCCCAAAACGGACACAAGCTTTAAAGTCACAAAGACCTAAGTTTAAACCTTGGCTACCAAAATGCCCAGCGGTGAGACTGTGGATGGATTGCCAGATGCCTCTGAGTCTTCGTTCCTCACTGTAAAATGGCTAAGTTGTGGGGGAGCTGTCCTGAGGATGCAACCAGTTAGAGGGGTCCTTACAACCCCACCCAGCCCTGGGCAGAGGCTGCCAGGGGCTCTCATGCGCCCAAAGCAAGGCCCAGGACATGTGAACACTCAACATTCCGTCCTCCCTCCACACAAGGAGGAAGGAAGAAACTTCTCTCAAGTCGATCCATACATCTTTTGGGCTATTTTTATTTGTGTTCCGGGTGAAATAAAACAAGTTAAAGCACAGCATGAAATCTGAAGATTCCACCTTAAGGGGAAAAAAATCAACCTTTGCAATAACAAATAGTTGGAGCTGGTGCACTACTTGGGTGAAATTGTTACCCCTCGAGACAAGTCTAAACTCTTCAGCGTTATGAAAAGTCTGAGGGTTGCTTTGCCACTGAAAATTTATGGCCCCCAAATCATTTCTAAAAGACAGCACACATTCCCAACTGAGGGTTTCCTTCTGGTACAACCAGCTCCCTTCTCTGGGCGAGCTGGGGAGGCCCTTGGCTGCCACATTTGGGGACACGAGGCAGTTGGTGCATTTCTGTCTGAGGTGTCTGCTCTGTGGGGCCCCACACAAAACCCAGCACATAGTAAACGCTTAACAAATATTCTGTCTTTGTGTATTTCTGCCTAGTGGCAGCACCGAAAGATGGATTGGGAGGGTTCCCTCTCCCTAGAATGCCCTTGCCACCCCTCCCCCTACCAGACACACAAATAGAACCTCAGCTCTGGCTGTACGCTCACCGCTCACCACTCACCAGCAGGGGACTGAAGGCAGTTGCCCCCATACCCCTCCTCTAAGGAACACATTCACCCTTGAAGATGAAGAACCAGAACTTGCCTACACTGAAGGAAACTTCTAGACCAAGTGGTTCATCCCTGAGTTTTATGGATGTGGAAACCAAGGCTTCAGGGGTGCAAGGGAATCTACCAGGGCCACATGGAGGTGAAGCTGAGACCCAAAGTCCTGGCTGACTCACCTGGGCAGGGACAGCTTCACATCCAGGGTGGGCAGGTTTAAAGACCCAGACCCGCCCTCCCCTGGCACTGGTCTGTCCATGGGCCCCAGAACCTCTGAGGAGAGGCGCTAGGTGACTGCATACTTTCGCATCTCTGTTGACTTTGGAGAGCAGAGGTGCCCCCAGCTCAAGAGCCTCCATGGGTCCCATCCCCACTCTGTGGTCGGAGGGCATTGGTGGCTTCCTCTGCCCTCTGCCAGCCACCCTGCCACCCCTGCGCCCCCTCCCAGATGAGCTGCGGTCTGACCAGCTCCTTTTTGTCCCCCCTTCAGGCAGGGTCATTCTCACACTATCCCCATTTCCTGGCCTCCCAGCAGCTCTCTCAGTGCCCAGCCTCCCTCCTCAATGGCACCTCTTTGGGTCTCTGATTTCCCAGGGTTCTACTTGCTGGTCCCTCTGGCTTCACAGCCTGAGCTGCTCCCCTTAGCCCACTGCCTCCATCTGATGCCATGCAGGAGGGCAGGGCAGAGGTCTCCTTCCTCTGTCCCCACCGAGCTCAGCAGCAGTCAGCCATGACGCCTCCTGAGCACAGACAAAATGCCAAGAGGCCTGTGCTGAGCCCGCTCCAGGCATCACATACTTTAGTCCACTCCGAAGCTCAGAGAAGCTAAGTGACTTGCCCAAGGTCACATGGCAGGTGAGAAACAGAGCAGGGAGTCCAAGAAGGTTAGTTCAGATGAGCTGGGAGTCACAAACAGAGGCAGCTAAGGGGCCAGGCAGAGCACATTAATGAGGGCCCTGGCTCAAAAGGGGTGTGGTGTGGGAGACACGTCCACCTCCTTAGTGGGGCAATGCCCCCAGCTCCAGCCTGAGGTTAGCAGCTTGGGATCACCAGTACAACCAAAGTTTCTAATTCTTCAAGAGAAGGTGGAAACCCAAATTTGTATGGGAAACCTCCTACATTTGAACGTCAACACCTGCCCTGATGTTTTACGTAACACAGGACAAAGAAAATACATCTGCAGGCCTGACCCAAGCACCACAGCTGCCAGTATGGGGCTTGGCGTTCTTTCCAAATAACAGTTTCAGAGCACGAACGTACAGGCCCTTTTTACAGACAAGGAAACTGAGGCCCAGAGATGGGGAAGGCGGCTGTGGTTACATGGGGCTCAGTGGCAAAGCGCAGCCAGCCCGTCCTTCAGCAAAAGGGATGAAAAACAGCAAACAGATGCTGCCTGGCTCCCATCCCTGTGTGCACAGGACCTGGGGCCGTTTCAGGCAGAGACTAGCGACGGGGCTAGAGGCCTCTCTGGGTGATTAGGAGGCGGGCCTAATGTCTCTGGGCCTCAATTAACCCACCTGCAAAATAGGGAAAGAAAAAAATATGAATTCTTCCCTTCATTTCTGACTTTGTGAAGATGATAAAGGAATCATGGGTAGAAGAAATACGTAAGCAAACCTAAAATCAGGAGAAGTGACAGGTCCCTCCGTGTCCTGATTAGAGCTTCCTAGACTAAGAAATTAGAACAGGTTTCTGGGTGTCACAGCCCTTGGCATTTAAAATAGGCCATGGAGGTAAATCTTGTCCTCTCAGGGGCTGGGAGCTAGGACCACATTTTACAGATGAGAGGATGGAGGCTTGGCAAGGCTTGGTGCGTGTCCATAAACCCAGGACCCGAGGCCTCTCCGGGGGACCAGGAGACGGACCCCCGAGCTCAGCAGGCTGTCACCCCAGTGTGGCTGCACTCAGTGCTCCCTTTGAAGTTCAAAGAATGGGCCTCACCCCTCCAAAGCAGGCAGTAAATCAGGCAGGAGAAAGGAAACTGTCCATCCCGGCTGAGTTATGGCAGCCACGGCGAGACAGCCCCCACCCTCCGGGACTGCCGGCCCCACCCTTACCTGCCCCTGCCCGCCCTCTCCTGCCCCCTCTGCCCTGGCCCATCTCCTCTACCCCCACCTCTGGCTCCCAGGGTGTCTGGCCGGAGGCTTCTGCAGGACTCTCCCTCCAACCCCATCTACCTCTAAGGCAGTCTGGAGGCCCCTCCACGCCTTCTCTATCAGAGAGTGGTTTGGCCAGTGCTTGCATACCTCCTGTGATGGGAAGCTCTCTCTCATGCCCAGCCAGCTTTGGCCTGGACAAAGCTCTCCCTTCGTGGGTTTGGAGCAGCTCCCCAGTGCTCTCCCATCTCACTCCCATGGGCCGGCCCTACACTCTCGGTCACAGGCCCCTCTCCTCCCCCAGCCCAATACAGCCCTGCAGAGATGGGGGGACGAACACTGCAGTCACCTCAGGTGGCTCTCGGTGTCCCAGGCTACCCAGGGAGGCAGACAGCGCCCTGCCACAGGGGCCTGAGGGTTCTGGTGAAAACTCCAGAGTGAAGGTGCATGTGAATGATTTGCACTTGGAATTGCGTAAACTCGTGGGTGAAACGCATGGATCGGAGCAGCGGGGTGTGCACCTGAGGGAGCTCAGCCAGTGTGCAGCTGTGTGTGACCCCAGCCTCTAAGGATGCGGCCATGAGGCAGTGCATCAGTGAGTGTGCATGCTCATGAGTGTGACTGTGCAGTGTGGGCACAGGGGGCTGGTGGGGCAACAGGGGAGCCCAGGGTGCGGCACAGTGAGGAAGCAGGAGTATGGGAGGCTGTGAGCCTCCGAGCATGTGTGAGAACACGGGACTGTGTTACGAGTGTGTGTGTGAGTGTGAGTATATGAGAGTTGTGTGGGTGTGAGGATGTGAGGGTTGTGAGAGAATGTGGGATGAGAGTTGTGTGTGAGAGTGTATGTGAGAGTGCACGTGTGAGAGTGTGAGTCTGTGTGTGTGAGAGCTGTGTGGGTGTATGCACCTGTGTATGAGGGTTGTGAGAATGTGGGTGTGAGAGTGGTGAGTGTGGGTGTGGGTATGTGAGTGTGTGTGAGAGAGTGTGTGAGAATTGTGTGGGTGTGAGGGTTGTGAGATAGACTGGATGTGAGTTGTGTGTGTGGGGTGTGAGTGTGTGAGTGTGTGTGTGAGAGTTGTGTGGGTGTGAGGGTTGTGTGTGTGAGAGAGAGTTGTGGGGTGTGTGTGTGTGTGAGAGCGTGTGAGTTGTGTGGGTGTGAGGGCTGTGAGATAGACTCTGGATGTGAGTGTGGGTCTGAGTGTGTGAGTGTGTGTGTGACAGTGTGTGAGAGTTGTGTGGTGTGAGGGTTGTGAGATGAACTCTGGATGAGTTGTGTGTGGGGGGTGTGAGTGTGTGTGTGAGACAGTGTGAGAATTGTGTTGGTGTGAGGGTTGTGAGATGGACTCTGGATGTGAGTTGTGAGTGTGGGTGTGGGTGTAAGTGTGTGTGAGTTGTGTGGATGTGAGTGTGTGCCTGTGTGTGAGGGTTATGAGAGAGAATGTGGGTATGAGTTGCGAGTATGTTTTGTGGGTGAGTGTGTGTGACAAGGAGGTTGGTGGATGAGGTGGGCTGCCTGCCCCAGCCCGGTGGGACAGCCATGGGCCGGTGGCAGGAACAGTGCTGAGCTCCTCCCTGGATGCGATCAGAGGAGAGGTGGCAGGGAAGAGGTGAGGCACTGGCCGCGAGTCTCAGGGTTGGGGGTGCTCAGCCACCCCAGGGCCCTCCTCTCCTACTCAGGGCCTCCTGGGGCAGACGGAGGGGGCTGGCTCCTGACTCACCCAGGGTCCCCGGGTTCCTAGGCTGGGGCAGCAGCCGAGGGGGCTGGTATAGTTCCTTCTTTGAGGCCTGACTGCAGGCCCTGGACAGACCGCTGCCCCTGGCACCCACCTCTGGAGAGAGGACAGCACCTTCCTTCCAGGCTGCCATGAAGGCCCGGTGCCTTTCTGCTGTAGTCTGGGTCCAGGGCCACCCTTCTCCCTGTGGGGCAGGCCCAGGGGACAGCCGGGGGACGCCCTGCTCCCTCTACACCCTCACCTGCTCAGCTGCAAGTCAGCCAGGGCCCCGAGACAGATGCCTGGGCGCTGTCCTGACCAGCCACTCTCTGGCCCCACATCCAACCCACCGCCAAATCCCTAGGTTCTTCTCCATCTCTCAGGGACCCATCCCCAGCTTTTGGTCTCCACCGCAACCATCGGGCCAAGCCACCACCACCTCCTGCCCGGACCACACAGCGGCTCCATGACACATTCCTGTAGACACGTGCATGTGGCAGTCCACCGATGTGTACATGTGCACACCCAGGCGCGTGCACACACACACGCACACGCACACGCACATACACATGCATGCACACACATGCACACTCACACACACATGCGTGCACACACGTGCGCATGCACACACACATACATGCACATACACACACAGACACGGGCCTGAAAGAGGAATTAAGAAATGCCACAAAGCTCAGAGCAGGGAAAGATATTTTCCGCGTAGAGTCCCTGGAAGAGGAAGAGAACCCCTGGCTAGAGCATCCGTCTCGCAGCCCTCTTCTCTGTTCCTGTCTTCCTCTCTCCTGGCTCCTCAGGCCCAGGAGGAGTACCCTTGTGGCCACCAGCCCTGAGTCCTGACGTCCTGCACAATGGGCTCTAGACACTGTGCCCTTTTCTCTGGAAATAGTCCCCTGATTGAATATCTCCCCTCCCCACCCCAGCCCATGCCCTTCCAGTTCAAGTGGGCCTCTGTTTCCCACTGTGGTCCTGCACCCGCTCCCAGGCCTTCTGCGAGTCACTCACACACTCCCCTTCCTAGGAGGGCTCCTCTCTGGCCTCGCCTGGGTCAGTTTCCATATCCCCACTAAGCCACCACAGGCCAGGAGTTGGGGGTACTATCTGGCCACAGTCTCCACAAGGCCTGGGGTCAGGGGAGGAGCCAGCAGCCCAGAAACACACAGCCCACTGTGGCAGGAGTGGACCCCACGCAGCCAAGTTCCCCCAGCCTCCCTCCTGAGCTCAGCCTGGGTGTGCTGGGTCTGGGGTGTTCATGGCACATCCCAAAGAAGATGCAAGGAAGCCACTGGATACAGAAGCCTGGGGTTCAGGACAGAGGTCTGTGCTCCAAGGGTCTCCAGGGTGTGGAAGATTCTATAAATAGTTCCTTGACGTAACTTCCCAAATCTGTGTACCTCTGTTACTGCCACCTGCTCCCAGCAAGTGGAAGCTTTGTGCAGGCAAAGGCAGAGAGTCACTTGCCACCTTTGGACATAAAGCAGCAGGCTGCAGTGCCACGCACAGTAGGTGCTCAGTAAAGAGATCGTCACTTGAAGCACAGAAACACAATGTCTGAGCCCAAGGGTCTTTAGAGATCAAAGACTCCCAGAGGAAGCTGAAAACTCAGAGGTCCACAGGGGCCCAACAGTTGCCATAAATGAAGGGAATGGGCTAGTGTGGGTCATGGGGAGCTGGAGAGCCCGTGTTCTGGAAGCAGGGACTCCACTGCCAAGAGCCGTTGACCATGGACCTGCAGGGTTGTGGGCCCCAGGTGCACAATGGACTCACATCAATGGCTTCTCCCCTCATCTAAGGCTCTCTTTCTATTGAAAACAAATTGGGGTCTCCACGAAACTTAGTGGCCCAGCTATGCACAGCACTAGGACAGAAGTCTAGCCCAGGTCCCCAAGGAGTATGGGAGTGGCCGGGCTGGTGAAGGCAGCAGGTGGTGTTGGTGCCAAGCCCAGATCCCCCTTGTCAGGAGGTACACCCATCCCTCAGCCATTGCCAAGGTCTCCACCATTGACTCACAGCCACGCTTAACTGGAGAAGCACCAAAAGCACTGGAAATACCACGAAGCTTTATGTATCATCCCACTCGCACCCCCAGGGCTGCCTGCAGCTGTTACAATATCCTGTAGGACTGGACTTCAGCTCCGCGGTGCCATTTACCCCCCAGCACCCCTCGTGAGGTCAGGCTGAGTCTAGACTTCTCCTGCACCCTCATGCTTGCTTGGTGTCATCCTCCGCCTCACCTGCTTCTCTCCATCAGTAACCACAGGCACCCAACCCCTGTCTCAGGCTCTGCTCCTAGGGAAGCAACCTGAGCAGCGAGGGTGGCAGCGGGAAGACTGGGTGGACAGAGCGAAGACCTGAGTACACCTGAAAGTGAGAGGAGGGAGACAGATGCAGTGTGTAGAGAAGGAAGCTGCTGGGGAGAGGGGGCCCCTTGCAGCCAAGACCTGCAATCTCCAGGGAAAGTGTCCAAAGACACAAAGTTGATTGACAGTCATTGTCAACGTGGAGGAAAACCAGGGAACTGTCGTTATCACCATCTTCCCTAAGGAATTCCATAGCCAGCCAGTCAAAAAAATTCACTGAGGGCCTGCTGGGTGCTGCAGCTGTGGGGGGCGCATACAGGTGGGTGAAGCCACAGCCTCTTCAGCCTCATGGAGGTGCCCGCCTGCTTCTATCCTTCCTTCCATCCACCTGTCCTTTCTCTCCAGATCGTCTTTCAGCCCTTACATTCTTCCACACTCTGTTTACAATAGACTTCATGTGTGCTGCACAGCTAAAGTTTCTTGAAACCCTAAGAGAGGAATCGAAGGAAAGAAGCTCTGGAAAAGCCCCAGAGAGGGAGGTACTGAATCAGAATGCAAATCCCAGAGGGCTTCAGAGAGGAGGAGACCCCCCGAGTTGCCCTGAGGGAGGAGCATATGAAGAGTAAAGGGGGATTTGATCTAGGTAAGGGAAAGGCTGTGATTTTTAGCTGGCAGCATCCAATCTCTCTCTTCAAGCCCCCAGATGTCTCTCAGAATCTCCCCTTTGCCATTCTAGGGGTCCTCTTGGCAGAAAGAGGTACTCCCCTCCCACCATGGAAGTCCAAGGCTCCAGCTCCCTGCTTTCTGCCCTATGGCAGCTCCATGCAGGCATGGATATGGGCTGAGCTGGCCAGATGTCCAGCCCAGGACTCTAGGTCTTGAGAGAGCCACCCACAGGCTTTAGAAGACTGAGGAAGGCTGGAGGAAGGCCACATGTCCCTGCCAGCTCCCCAGAGAGCGCTTCAGACTGGTCCCTTTTTTGTAAACATAATGCCAGATTCAGTGATGATTGAGCCCCTCACTTTTCTGTCCCTTTGCTCTCTGTAGACATATATCTGTGAATTATACACAGTATTATTTTGACTGATTTTGCATTTTATACAGAGGTATCAATTGCACCTTGCTTAGTCAGGCTCAGTGTTGTATTTTTTGAGATTTATCTATGCTGACCTTGGTAGCTCAAGTTCATTCATTTTAATAGCTGTATGGTTATTCCAAAGTATGACTACCACAGAACTGCCCAGATGAGCCACAGATTCAAGCATAATAACAAAAGTGGTTGTTTTTGTTTGTTTGTTTGTTTGTTTGAGAAGGAGTCTCGCCCTGTCGCCCAGGCTGGAGTGCAGTGGCGCAATCTCAGCTCAGTGCAAGCTCCACCTCCTGGGTTCACGCCATTCTCCTGCCTCAGCCTCCTGAGTAGCTGGGACTACAGGCATCCGCCACCACGCCCAGCTATTTTTTTTGTATTTTTAGTAGAGACAGGGTTTCACCGTGTTAGCCAGGATGGTCTGGATCTCCTGACCTCGTGATCCGCCCGCCTCAGCCTCCCAAAAATGTTTATGTTTTAAGCAAGCAAGTTTTGGGTTGTTTTGTCATGTAACAATAGCTAACTAATGCAGATGTCTTCAGATTTAGCCGCTACAGACAGAGAAAGCAGGCTTACGTGTCTCTTGGTGCCCACACATGTGAGCAATTCTTAGAAGTGCACTCAGAGTTGGTGTCACAGTGGAGGAGAGTTTGTCCATCATCAGCTAACCTGGATCTTCTGGCCACCTTCTGAACTGACCCCAGTGATTCTGTGCTCTCCCACTATCTCTTCAATGAATTCCCATTTCCTCAAGACAATGAGAAGAACCAACCAGCAGACTTGAACTTGTAAACAATAAATGATGGTTATTTTCTAACTTTGTTTTTAATTATTGTTACTGATTTGGGGGATGTTTTGTTACATGGCAATTGCTGATACAGCTACCTAAATCCAGCTGCAATTGAAAAGCACCCATCAGCCAGGCGCAGCAGCTCATGCCTGTAATCCCAGCACTTTGGGAGGCCGAGGCAGGCAGATCACCTGAGGTAAGCAATTTGAGACCAGCCAGGCCAACATGGCGAAACCCCATCTCTACTAAAAATACAAAAAAATTAGCCAGGGTTGATGGCGGCCGCATGTAATCCCACCTACTCAGGAGGCTGAGACAAGAGAATCACTTGGACCTGGGAGGCAGAGGTTGCAGTGAGCTGAGATCACGCCACTGCACTCCAGCCTGGGCTACAGAGCGGGATTTCATCTCAAAAAAAAAAAAAGAAAGAAAGAAAAGAAAAGAAAAAAGAAAAGAAGAACACCCATCCAGCTTCTTAGATCCAAGTCCTTTAAGATCAAGAGAAGGAATTAAAAGCAGTCACACTCACACTGGCTGGTTGGAGCTCATGCAAAAAAGTGACTGTCAGAGCTCTTTAATCCCTCTAAACTGGGGCTCAGAATAACTGGTCCCATTACTCCTGCCGGAATATCATGCAAAGTAGGGCAGCTCCCCTCTCATCTCTGAGTCTCAGTATTCTTTGTTGTCTGTAAAAAAGGGCACTAATTTCTGACTCACAGACATGTTGTGAAAATGGAGTAAAATGATAGGATCTGGCACAGTTGCAATTTTTCAGTTCCTCTTCCCCTGATGGACTGAGTGACCCGGGGTACACCTCTGTCACTTTTTGGACTTCTTCATCTACAGTTTAGGAATAGTCGCTACTATCTTAGGAGAATTTGTGGAGTAGATGACAGAATGGATGTCAGATATTACATCAGGAAGGATGCCTTTCGTGACAAGTCACAGAAGACCCATTTTAACTAGTCCAAACTGTAAGGGGAATTTATTAGATCACATAACAGAACATTCCAAAAGTAGATGGTTTCAGGCATGGTTTGATCAAGGCTCCAACTTCGTCTCTCTACAACTCTTTCTCCTCTACAGCCCTTTGGATGTTGGCTTTGCCTCAGGGTGACTGTCCTCATGCAGTGATTGGCTTAGACACTTACTATGGCTCCATCACTCTGACAAAAGAAATGAGACTGTGCCTCCTTGTTCAGGCCAAGCAGTGCTCGCTCATGGTAGAGCTAAGGTAAAGATAGTCACCTTCAATATGTCATGATCACTGCATAGTGGGGTGAGGACAGGATTGGGTGCTGAAGAGGCCACATGAGGACTCTGACAGGTGTCCAGCCCTATGTCATATGGGTTAAAGTACTACCTCCTCTATCACTGGCATGTCCCTACCTGGGCCTCAGTTTCCCCTCCAGTAATATAAGGGGGCTGCCTGGATGTTGCCTCTCGACTTCCACCCTGCCCTAACTCCCAGAGCCCAGGCCTTGATGGACTAGTTTGAGTCTTAGGTGGGAGGCTAGGGCCCACTACCTGCCACTTGGGTGGAGTGGGCTCCACGGGCAAATGCATCTGAACAGAACAAATTGCTAGGGCATTGTTTCTCATTCTTTCTCAGGGTGAATGATTTCCAGTAGATGACTGGGTGGGTGAATGATTTCCCAACCCTGCACAAGCCCTTTCCAAGACCATAATTGCATTTCTCGTGACAGGTTCCCAGTCGGGGCTCCCCCTCCAGGGCCAAGGTGTGGCAAACTCCGCTCACACGTTTTAAAGCCATCTATCTGTCTGCTGCCTGGCCACCTTCTGCCTGCAGCCTGGGGTCTGGATCCTTGGGCTACAACTGAAGAACTGAGAGTTCCAGTACTGGCTCTAACATTGCACCAGCCAACACAGGGTCGCCAGCCACATATGGCTGTTTAAATTTAAAACCCACTCCTCAGTTGCACTAGCTACATTCCACGTGTTCAGTGGCCATATGGCTAGTCTACCATATCAAACAGCGCAGCATGGAACATTTTCATCACTGCAGAAGGTTCTATTGGCCAACCTGTCTCCAGCAGAAATTCAGTGGGAGACCCCAGGCAGTCCCCTCTCCCTTCTGACCCCCGATGTATGCTTCCATCCTTTCCAGCTGTGACCCTCAGTTTCCTCCTCTGTAAAATGGGGGCGACAGTGCTAAGGGATACATTTGTGAGATAAGGGCTGTGAAATGCTAAGCCCTGGGTTCAGGCTCGGGACACTCCAGGGGAGGGGGAAGATGTCACAGGGGAGGGGGCCTTTGAGCAGGCTTCACACAAGAAACTTGCTTGGTGTCCAATGCAACAGTCATTCCTTCCTGTGGGGCTAAAATGCATAGTCCTAGGGAACAAATGATGATTGTCCATGCCAATCATGACGCCCATAATCATTTGTCTGCAATGGGACAAGGGGTGACCATGTGACATCAGGGGAAGTCTGCTGGAGGCTTCTGGGAAAACATGTCCTCCCTGATAACAGAGAAGCACATCCAAAGAAAGCCCCTTTGTAACCTGCACTCCCACTTCCTGCTTTGGCTTTACAATGTCTGGTGCTTTCACAGCCATTTTGGGGCCATGAAGCACCATCCCAAAGGGGAAAGTCAACACACCGGGGCAGCCGCATGGGAGGACGGCAAAGTCTGGGTCCCTGATGTCTTCGTCTGCCCCCTCATCTCCAGGCTACTTTAAGATAAAAATGAATGTCCTTGGTGGACGGATTATTGTAGCCAAAAGCATCCTAAGTGATTCTCTTTCAAGGGTGAGTCAGTTTGCAGGTGGGCAAGATGCAAAAGAACATTCCAGGCCAAGAGAGCAGTGCGCTGAGGACACAGGGGTGGGGGGCGAGTGCTGCGACCTAGGAATGGAGAGTGGTAGATGCGTGAGGCTGCTGGCAGAGCTGGAGGTGGGTGAGGGCGGCTCAGTGCCAAGTGGCAGAGTTCAGACTTTCCCTTGCAGGCTGGTGGTGGGGTGAGGAACACTGGAGGGCTTTAAAGGATGATGCTGAGTTACAGGGTGAACTGTGGGTCAGGACAGGTTGGCAGGAGGAGACTGGAGGCAGGGAGGCCAAGGAGGAGGCCGGGGGGGCTGATTATGTAAGGCCAGAGTGGGAAGGAGGTGAGGGAATTGGGAGGGAGGGAGAGGGGAGGAGCAGACAGGTGTTGGTGACTGCGCTACTGAGGTGATGAGGGGAGGAGGAGCTGAGGGTGGAGAAGGAACTAAGGACAGGGCCCTGGGGATGTGGACACCTGATGGAGACTCGGGGAGCAGAGGGAGTGGTCAGAGAAAGGCAGGAGATGAATGCAGAGAGGGTTTCCAGAAGGAGGGCTGGGTACCTGCGTGGAATACCGCTGAGCCCTGGGTGCTGTCTTCACAGTGCATCCAGAGCCGCCCTCACCAGCACCACCTCCCACCTGAGTCAACACCACCAGCCCCTCAAGCAGCTTCAGCCTCCTGCTTCCTCCCTCACTCCTTGCACTCAGTCCTCCCACAGCAGCCAGAGGGAGCCTAGCAAAACCTAAGCCAAGTCACACTCCTCCTCCGCTCCACAACCCACAACCCCTGTGGCTCCTACCTCCCTTAGAGTAAGCCCGAAAATCCTCACCACCACCTTCAACACCCTGAAGACCTGCCACCTCCCACCCCACCTCTCCAACTTCATATTCCCCTACTCTCTCCCTACTGTGTTTCAGCCACGCTGCCCTCCTCACTATTCTGTAAACAAGCCAAGCATATTTACACCTGCAGGACTTTGCACTGACAGTGGGCACTGGAGATTTTGCAAAGCTCCATCCCAACAATGAGCAGAAAAGACAGGTCTTCCCTAGCTACCTCATACGACACCCCTGCCTCCCCACAGCACTCTGCATCCTCTGCCCTGAGTTATTTCTCTCCATAGCGTAAATACTGGGCGATTTAGCAGCTGGAAGCAGCTCCACGTGTCTTTTCTGTTCATTGTTGTGTCCCATGCCTAGAAGATGCCTGGCCTATAGTAAGTGGTCAGTGAGATTTGCATAATGAATGAATGAATGAAGTTCAAGTAGGATAAGGTCTGCAAATAGTCCTCTCCGAGTTTGGCGATGAATCCAGAAAGTGGGAGGCGTAGAAGCTGAGGCAGCAAGTATAGAGGACTCATTTAGCAAGTTTGGTGGTGAATGGGAAAAAGAAACAGGATGGGGAAAGGAAGTGAGGGAGGGCTTTATGTTTCTGATGCATGTTGTTCACACATGTTTAAAGGCTGAGTGAAGAAGCCAGTAGAGAGAGAGAGTTCAAGACCCAGGAGGGGGGTAACTGACAAAGCTGGCCAGGGGTGGTGGGAGGGAGACAGACCCAGAGCCTTGGACAGTGGGCTGCATGCCTTTGGCGGGGACAGGAATTGGGGTGTAGGAGGCCCAGTTTGATAATTTACCTCTGAAAGTGGTTCCTGCAGTGGGAAGGGCACATAGAGGATGCACAATGACAAAAGTACTTCAGATTAGTTTGGTTTATCCAAAGGGGGTTTTGAGGGGCCACTTACATTCCACATAAACAGAAGAGTCAACAATAGCACCTAACAAACATTGATCAGGGCCCACTCTCTGCCGGGTACTGGGCCCAGACACTGGGGAAAATTCTGTTTGTGATGTAGCACGACTGAGTACTAGGAAAAACTGAAACTCTGAAACTCTATTTTCAACACCTCCTTTTTTTTTTTTTTTTTTTTTTTTGAGATGGAGTCTCTCTCTGTCACCCAGGCTGGAGTGCAGTGGTGCGATCTCCACTCACCGCAACCTCCTCCTCCTGGGTTCAAGCAATTCTCCTGCCTCAGCCTCCTCGTTTCAAGCAATTCTCCTGCCTCATCCTCCCAAGTAGCTAGGATTACAGGCGCACACCACTGCGCCCGGCTAATTTTATATTTTTAGTAGACGCAGGGTTTCACCATGTTGGCCAGGGCCAGGGTGATCCACCTGCCTCAGCCTCCCAAAATGCTGGGATTACAGGCATGAGCCACTGTGCCCGGCCCAACACCTCCTTTTTGGGGATGATGAGAATGAAATCCATGTTGGCCTTTCCTCCTTTACTTGGCCACTAGGAGGCTCAAAGCCAAATTTGCAGGTCAGCTTGTAAAGCTATGCAGAATTCTGTGACCCATGTGGGTGCATTCCTACGGCCTTCCCAGACTTGATTTCTAGTTAGATTTTTATTTTGCCTTTCCCTGAAGTTTTTGTTTGCCATTGCATGTCTGCGGGGCTGTATAGCATAGAAAACCTAAATAACAGTGGCTTAAAACATGATAGAACTAGAAGCCAGGAGGTATACAGACCAGACCTAGACACCTACTCTACACTATTCCCAAGTACTTGGGCTCCATTCCACCCTCCTCTGCCTTATTTCAGGTGTGCCCCTTTCTCATGCTCATAAGGCAGCTACAGAGTTCCAGCCATCACATCCACATCCCAGGCAGAAAGGGAAATAATTGCCAGGGAACAAACAACAAAATGAGTTTCCCAGAAGCCTCTCTCAACAACATCTGCTTAGAATTCATTGGCTACAGCTGTGTCCCACGTCCACTTCTAGCTGCAAGGGAGGCTGAGAAATGTTTTTACCTGGGCATAGGTAGCTCTGAACAAAATCAGAGCCCTATTACTGAGAAGAGGGGGAGATGGGTATCGGTTAGCTAAATAGCAATGTCTACCAAGGTTACCTATATTTTTGTTTTTCATCCTTTATAGAATAAAGAAACACACAAATGTTGGAATGAGCACATAAGCCCTATGGTTTTGGGGGCAGCTATAAGCTCAGTCTGCCTTGTTTGTGTCTCTGTCTTCAGTTTCTGCAGCAGGATCCGGCACATACAGCTGGCACTCAACAAATATTTGTTGATTTGAAAAGGAACCAAGCACCTCTTGTGTGGAGAAGAGTGTCACTATCCCCATTTTATAGGACAGAAAACGGCCTCTTCTCCAAACCTCAAAAAACATCAATCCACAGAGTCACTGGACTTAAGGTTCTTATTTCACAGAGGAGGAGATGTGGCCCAGAAATGTTAAATGACTTGCCCAAGATCACACAGCAAATTCATGGCAAAGGCTAGAACCCGGGTCTTCCGAGTTTTCTTTCAGATTAAACCTGGTCCAGACAGAACTCAGCCTGAAGGTTGTCTAAGACAGGGTTTCTACAGTCCCCAGGACACCAGAATTCCAGTATCCACAGTGAACTTAGACATGGGGCTCCATGAGGTGGGAAACTGGAGTCATCTTTGAGTCATACAGCCGCCACAACGCCAAAGGAATGGTGAAAATAATTAAAAAATCACTTTCGATCAAATTCAGGGTGAAACTCATAAACAATGAACTTGAGACAGAGGGGGGTTGTTTTCCACTAAAAGTCCATTTCCTTAGGTCAAAAACATTTTTGGCAGGATGGTTTTCCAGTAGACCATGAAGACCTGCACATGCCCAAAATATGTAATCCCTTAATAAGTGCCAGAGAAACCCCACGTTGGCGTCCTGACAAGTTGCCACCTGAATCACAATACAGTTTCAGCCCCCAGAGAGGAATCAAAGTCCCCCTTATTAAAATGCATTATTTATGGCTTCCAGAAAGTCTTCCAGACCCCTGACAGCTTAGGAATGAGCTCAGAAATTAACTCTTTGATATTATCAGGGTCAATCCATCTCTCTGGATTCTTTGCACCATGTTCTCTTTTTTTCTGAAAGGCATGTACTGGAGAGGAATTTCATTCAAGGCACAAAGGAATGACGAAGTCAGCTGGGGAAGTGCATTAGTCCCTTTGCTGAACAACCCTCTGATTCATCTGTCCTTTCTGTAAAGACAGAAATGACTTCTTGTTTCATTAAAGGTAACCATGAGGACAGGAGAACCCAGGAGGCGGCCGGGGATGCAGAGAGTGAGCCTGGTGCACTCCTAGAGACCACCTCATCCCACAGAAGCTCAAAGGGGGCCTGAGGTCTTGCCTTTGTCACATGGCGAGCCAGCGCACCAAGGCTGTGGGAGGGGAGAGAAAATCAGAATCCCAGAGCCAGTATTGCCCTCTTGGAAGTCCTTGGCAAAGTTCTGACTGCATGGAGCCTCAGTTTTCCTCTCTGTAAAATGGCTGTAGACCCAAGCCCAATGTATTAGAATTGAACCCCTATTTATTTTTCAAGCAAAACCATTCAAGGAAAACTTTTTTAAAAAAAAGACGTAAAGTGTAGTCGTTCTTCTCCCAGTCCACCTACCATAGATGCCAAGGGACCCCCTGGAACTCTGCGGCTCCATGAATAGCTGAATTTCAGCATAAGCTGGGCACTGACACACCTCCGATATGGAGCTCTGGGTTCTGCAGTGGTGGGAAGACGCCTTCACCACTGAGCTCATTTCTGACTGTGCTGGCTCCCTCCTTGCCCACAGGTGCCGCCATGGCAGAGACAGGACCCCTGCTGCAGGGGTGGAAGAACTGGCTCACCCTTCCCTGCCCAAGCAGGGGGCTCCTTGCCCCCTCCTGGCTTATGCTTCCCAGAAGCCATACTGTCCAGGTTAAAGCATGGGAAACCGTGGGAAGTGAGTGCTGGCTACAGGCAGGAGACTTCTGGCTGGGTCTGTTACCAGTTCACTGGATGACTTTGGGCAAGTCACTTTCCCTCTGTGGGTCTCAGTTTTCTCTACAGGGACAATGCCAAAGAATATATAGGTCAGGATTGTTTTAGTTGCAAAAGGACATCCAACTCAAATTTACTTTTAAAAATGGAGACATGGAATATATTGGCACCAAGTACATGAAAAGCTCAGTAGTGGTTGCAGATCCAGGCAAGGTTGGATCCAGGCTCCAACAGATGTGGTCAGGACCCTGTGTCTTGCTTCTTTCAGCTGTTTCCATTCCTGTGCTTCATCCTAGGCTGGGTTCCCCACAGTGGCAAGAGGCCTGCAGTAGCTCTGGACTTACAGCCGCATGGCCCCAATCCCAGCACAAAGCAGGAAGTACAGCCCAGGAGACGCCAAGCAGAATCTCAGGATCCATGCTTATTGGCTTGTCTCATGTCATGTGACCATGCCAGAGCCCCAATCACTGTGCCCAATAGGGCATTCTCTTCTCTGATTGGCCTGGCCCGCCAGGCAGGCCAAATCCACAGATGCCAGCTGAGAGGACCAGGGGCTCCAATTTGTTTGTGCTCTGGAACCCTGTCTTCAAATGACAGCTCACGCAGGTACCCATCACCTAATGCAGAAGAAGGTTCTAGTTGCTTTGGTAGAGGGAATTGGGCAGTCCAGGCCCCATTCACACACTGTCTCGCCTTCGACTCGCAGGAGTGATGTACCACCCTTCTCCTGGCCCAGCTGCGCTGGACCCCAGCGGGGTGGTGGAAGGACCTCTCGGCTCCCTGGATGAGATGCTCTGGATGGCCTCCAGGGCTAGGAATCAGGGTCTGTAAGGCCAACGACAGCTTGAGGTCAGGGCCCCCATATGACCTGCCCCTTCCTACTGACAGAGCCCAAGGTCATGTCACCCACCCTCCTAGCTGACTGACAACTAAAGTCCTCCTCAGCAAGCCGCCTCTCCACCTCCACAGTCAGGTGCTTGCCTTCTAGGTGTTATTGCTTGTTTAGTCTTCACTCCAGCTCAACGGTGTGCTTTGTGAGGGCAGAGGTGGTGCCAATTTTCATCACTCTCCCCAGGCTAGTACAAAGTCTTGATAAATATTAGATGGATAAATAGATGGATAGGGATGGATAAACAGTTGGGTGGGTGGGTTGAATGGATGGATGACTAAGTGAGTGGATATGTGGGTGGGTTGATGGATAGGTAGGTCAGTGGGTGGCTGAATGGGTAGATGGATGGACAGACACGTGGGTAGGAGAGTGGATAGGTGGATGAGTGGGTGGGTGGGTGGATAGATGAATGGATGGGTAGGTGGGTGGGTGAATAGGTGGGTAGGTGGCTGAATAAGTGGATGAGTGGGTGGGTGGGTGGATGGATGGGTGGATGGATGGAATACATGTCTTCCTAGATATCCCTTCTCTAAGAAACTAGGACTAGGAACAAGCACGTACTCAGGCAGAGCTCCCAGCTTCCTTCAGTATCAGACACCTATACATAGAGGGTCCCAGCCCACATAGTTTCCTGCTCCTCCCACCTCCGGCCCTTTCAGGGCAGCCCTGCAAACACTGGAGGAGGTAGTGACCAGGACCCTTGAGGCTGCCTCTCCAAACTGAGTGACCCAGCTCCTCCAATTGCCCCTCACGAAGTGAAGTCTCTCCTGCCTGGCCACACCCACTGGACACAACCTAGTCCATGCCTGTCCTTCGGTAAAGGATCCCAGCTGCAACATTTAGGGGGTTCTGAAGAGTACAGAGGTGGAGGCAGCAATCAGCTCCCTCCTTCTAGGCTCTATGCCCTAGGTAATGTGGCCTCTGGGCACATTTGCTTTTATGTGCCACACGGGGCTGAGCCCCTAAGCACCATGAACAGTGCTAAGCCATATCTTCCTATCCTGGCCATGTGCAGTTTGCTTTTTGGACCCAAGTGCTGGAATTGACATTTATTCCTAGTCAAATTCACTTTGCATGATTCCTGCCAATATGACAAAGCCATTGTGAGTCCTGAGTCAGGGTTTTGAGCCATTTCCACCTCAGCCCAATGCCCCTCACCATTCTTTGCGCAGCCAGGAGCCAGATATGGAGACATTTCTCCCTGAGGAAGCCATGGTAGGCAGGGGGAGTGGAAGAGGGGAGGGCAGCACAGTGACCTCGTGGTGAGTGCCTGAGTCAGACCCTGGTCCTTGCCCTGCCTCCCAGTGTCTTCATTTTCCATTCTTTGCTTCCCCCATTATCCTGGGTTGGGGGCTGCAGTCCCCCTCCAGCCAGAAGCTTCCTAAAGACTCAACCCACTTCCCCCCAAGAACCCCTGAAAGTGGACATGACACGAGTGTGTTGTGTGCTTTACAGATGAGGAAACAGAGGCCTGTAGAGAAGATGGGCTGGTCAAAGATCTCCCAGTACCTCTGGGGCCAGACTGGATTCCTGCTCTATTAAGGCATCTCTGCCACTTACTAGTCTGGGCCATGCAGTGGTTAGACAAGGGGGACACATTTCTGGGGTGGAATATCAGTTCCACCCCACGTGAGCCAGGTGTCTTTGGACATTGACCTCTCTGGGCTCAGTTTGCCGAGTTGTAAAATGGGATTAGTATAGGACTCACCCCACACCACACAGTGTTAGAAGGATGAAATGAGGTCGTCTATATGGAATGTGAAGAACGGTCCCCCCACCTGGAAATGGGCAGCAGCTCTGCATGTCTGCCCTACCGTGTGCTAGACAGAGTGCTGGGCACACCACATACATCCTCACCTTTCTTCCTCACAGCACACACGCTAGTTAGAAAGTTGTTCACATTTTACAGCTGGAGAAACTGAGACTCGAAGAAGGAAGCCCAGCCTGCTGCACTCCCTACCCCAAAAATGGCCACTTTGTGTTCTATTGAACAAGAAAGCAAAGGTGCCCACACTTGGGTCACTGCCCACCTGTTTCCGAGTTCACAGTTATTCTGATTCTCATTTCCAGGCACCAGTCTGGGCTCTGAGGAGCTGCGGGGAGCAACAGAGATGAGGTCCCTGCTTTTTCTGTTATGGAGAGACCAGGATTGACCTTCAGCCACCACCCACTACTACCTTTATTTGGTGCCACACCGTACCCCTGAGAGATCTGGACTTTAAACAAGCAAACAAATATGTAAAAAGACACATTCCCAAAGTGATCCTGCCGTGATGAAGACAGATAGGATAGTGAAGGGATGGGGGCGGGTCAGGCACATTTAAGCCAACGTGGGTAACCAGTAAACCTCTCTGGAGATACAGTTTGAGTTGTGGAGAAAAAGATAGATGGTGGCTATCTGCGGGAAGAGATTCCAGGCGGAGGAAACGGCAGGTGCCAAGGCCCTGAGGCAGGAACATGTTTGGCATATGCTTCAGAAGCAATGAGGTGGCCGGCATGATGCAACCCAGAGTGAACTCCATCCAGTTCAGACAGCAGGAGGCGATGAGGCTGGCGTTAAGGATCCCAGGAAGAAAGCCTGCCTCCCTAGAGGGTATCAGCTCTTCCAGAGCATGGGGAATTCTGTATGAAGGAGGAAACAAACGTAGCATGGATCACTTTTGATCCCAGAACATTTTGCATAAAAACTAACACACAGCTGTGGGAGTAAGGAACCGGTGTCACGAATCAAACATTAAAAATGCTCACTCTGAACAGGCAATTTTGCTTCAAGACACTGATTCTAAGGAAGCAGCATTAGATGTAGACAAAGATTGAGTGGCAAGGGTGATCAGGGGCATGTTCACCACAGCAGGGAAAACCTAGGAAACACTGCAGTGTTGATGGAGGGTTTGGCTGCACATATCACACCCTGCCAAGGCGCCGGATACTATGCGGCCGTGTGAAATGGTATTATAGAGAAATGTTTAATGGCACAAATTCATGAGCACTATATAGTATTAAAATGAAAAATAGCATGGTCCTTTCTTTCTAAATATACATATGTATATATGGGCATAAGAAAAGAGATTAGCGATGCTAATGACCGTCTCTACGAGAGGGACTTGCAGGCAAGTATTCTTGTCCTCCTTTTGTTTATCTGAATATTTTTTCACCTAAAAGCCACTTCAATTCCCAGGTTAAGTTCACAGGGAAAGTTTAAAGAGATGCATGGCTTTGTGGTCCTATAGCCAAGAGGGGTCCCAGAATGGTGGCCTCATGACTCTGGTCCCTGGGATGGGTCCGTCTGCCATCTGCAGTCCTCTGGTGATGCAGTACCTATCCTTTCATGCCGTCAGGTGCCAAGCCCTGTGTCCAAGCTTACCCCGCACAGATTCCAATCTGGGAGATACTATTGACACCTGACAGATGGGGAAACTGAGGCTCAGGGAAGGGTGGCAACCCACCCAAGGTTTCACAGCTAAGCATCGCCAAAGCTGGGACCCAAACTCAAACAGACTCTGGAAGCCTGTGATTGGATGAGAGCACAACTTATTCTACCCACCCACTCACCATTTCTCAGTTCCAACCACGTGCCGGGCCCTGTGTAGGGCAGCTTTACACATGCCCTCACCATGATGGGAAACTAGGCACAGAGAGGTTAAACAATTTCCCTGAGGCCACCCAGCCTAGAAGTGGCAGAGCCTGGAGCCCTGACTCCCCACTGCACACTCCAGCCTCCATACTGGGGGAAGTCCTGAGGGAGCCAGGAGGATAACTGCCTTCTATTCCTAACGACTTGGTGGGGAAGCCGAGGCAGTTGTGAGTGGTTGCAGGGAGCTGCTGATGACCCACTTCCCAGACAGTCCAGTCTACCTGTCTGAACCTCCCAAGAGATTGAGAGCCTTGGGTGAGAACTGATCAAAGGTCTCCATTAGAGGTTCTGCCAGAGCCCTGGAGTTCCGAGGAAGCCCAGAGAGGGGTGGTGACTTGTCCAAGGTCACACAGCCCAAGAGCAGCAAGGCAGGGCCCATAAGCCTCCCTTCCCCAGACACAACAGGCTGGAGTAAGGGGACTGTCAAGGAGAAGGAAGGAGAGAGCCTGCATCTTCCAGGCAGAGATTCCTCACGTCTGGCAATCACGTCATCGGCGGGGACGCCACAGCCCCCGGAGTCACCGTCCCCGTCCTTCATGACCTCATCTCTTGGCTGGGACCCAGCCCAGTGCCTGATGCCTGGAATCAATACCTCTTGGCAGCACCCAAGGCCCCCTTGTCTTCCTGCCCCCACCCTGGGCAGCCCTGCCCAGCACCTCGACCTACCTCCCACGCCCATCACAGCAGGCTGGAAGCCAGCACTGAAATCCTCAGGGAGCGCAAACTCATTCCCTCCCCAGCGGCTCGCCTGTGCTGAGGTGGGAGGAAGGAGCCTCTGTTCGAATCCAGACATCTCCCCACACTTGCCACCCCATGGGGGCAGCTCACATGGCCTCCTTGAGCCTCAGTTTCCCTGTGCGACTAAGGGAGGGATGAATCCAACTTACTGGATGGCCATGAGGTTCCACTGTCAAACACAGTGCCTGGCAAACAGCAGGGACTTCATATACACTAAGTCCCTCCTCTCCTTAGTCTGGATGCTTAATAAAGCAAGTTCAAGTTAACTGTCATCACAGTTAACAGCAACCATGTGAAGGAGGCAGGGGGACCAATGACTCCTCTTTACAGATGGGAAAGTGGAGGTTTGGGGAGGGTAACATGGAAACAGGCTTTGAACCCAGCACCTTATGACTTTAAAATGCTGCTCAGGGCTGCATCTCAGCACCTGGGCTGGAGAGCCTCTTATAGAACATGTCACCCAACCCACGCACCTGTTCACAGGTGGGAAAACTATGGCTCAGAAAGGTCAAGGGAGCACTGAAGGTCAGAGAGCTAGTCAAAGACGGGGCTGGGTGTCTACACTCCAAGTCTGCGGGGACTGGAAATCTTCAAAGCCTGTGATCTGGAGAAGGCTGTGGCAGGATGGTTCCTTCTCTGCAGCCACCCACTCGCTTGGCCCCTGTGCATTAGCGGGCAGCTGCCATGTGTCCCTCCAGCGACAGGGCCTGTCCTCAGCACCCTGCCCTGGGGATTGATATCCCTGTATCAGATTTGACCAGGATATCGTGGCTTCTCGAGGCTTCGAAGTGTGTCCCTGCTTCCCAGGCCCCGCCAGCTTCAGAGCAGTGGGACAGAGTGTCCTAGGAGGGGCTAAGAGAGGTGAGGCCCTGCACCAGCTGGGGCTGTAAAGGCAACGCAGGTAGCAGAAGGGAGATGAGAGAGGCAGCTCAGCTGCTCCTGTTGGTGTTATTATATTGTTTTTGAAAAAAAAAAATCCAGATTTCTATGTGAAATCTCCTCATTGAATCACTTAAAACACTGAGTCTCAGATAAAACCTCCCTGCAAGCTGAAGAAGGCCCCTCCAGAGAGGGCCCTCATGGACGGAAGGGCGCCTGTGGTGAGGGAGCAGGGAAACTTGGGGATGAGGGAGGGGAATTTGGCCCTAAACCTGGAGCCTCAGTTCCCTGCGCTGTAAAGCGGGTCCATCAGTCCCAACCCGGCTGGGTGACTGTGCAAATGCTTCTCGGGCTCTCCAGAATTCCACAGGGCCGGGCTCACCCTGGGCTTTCTCAGGCTTCCTGGTGGGATGGGGTCCCCAAGTGGCCCACTCCTGCTCTCTGCAGGCTGGCACTCAGGCCAAGGACACCCCAGTGTGCACCCTTGGATTTGCAGCCATGGCTGCAGGTTTGGGGCAATTCCTGTGTCTTCACTGACACTTTCCTTTTCTCTCCCCAGCCCAGAAAGCAGGTGGGAAGGCCCGCATGGGAAGGGTGAGAAGGGAGAGCTGGGAACAGGCTCTGGTTCAGAGGTGGGAGCAAAAGGAAACCATTCCCACCTCAAGTCTCATGCATTTCACCCAGGGCACATCCAACACCACACACCTCTCAGCAGCTGAGACAGCGGACGGGACAGCCACAGGGCTTGCCTGGACTCAGCTACCCACCCTGAGCCATCGGGGCAGCCTGCGGCCGAGAGGAGTCGGGGTTAGAGAGTCCCCATGCCAGCACCGAGTAGGATGAAGCCACTGTGGTAGGAAAATGTTGCATCTCCCCCACGCCCTGCCAAGAAGAAAGGCCACATCCTAATCTCGGGAATATTTTGCAGAGCAGAAGAGACCTTGCAGATGTGGTTTAATCAAGGACGGGGAGATGGGGAGATTACACCAGGCTGCCCAGGTGGGCCCAATGTGATCACAAGGTCCCCATAAGAGGGAAGCAGCACTTTGGGAGGCTGAGGCCAGTGGATTGCCTGAGCTCAGGAGTTCAAGACCAGCCTGGGCAACATGATGAAACCCCACCTCTACTAAAAATACAAAAAATTAGCCGAGCTTGGTGGCCCATGCCTGGGACTGATGGACCCGCTTTACAGCTACTCCGGAGGCTGAGGCAAGGAGAATTCCTTGAACCCGGGAGGCAGAGGTGGCAGCAAGCCAAGATCTGCCACTACACTCCAGCCTGGGCGACAGAGTGAGATCCTGTCTCCAAAAAAAAAGATGGGGCAAGGCAGGAGGTCCGAGTGGAAGAGATGGGGTGGCCTCGCTGCTGGCTTTGAGGATGGAGGGAGGGGCCCTGAGCCCAGGAGAGCAGGTGTCTTCCAAAATCTGGAAAGGGCCAGAAAGGGCTTCTCAGAAGGCATGTAGCCCAGGCGACACCTCGATTTTGTCCCATAAAAGCCATTTTGAATGTCTGGCCCTCAGAACCGTCAAAAGAATAAGTGTGTGTTGTTTTCACCTGCCCCATTTGTGGGAATTTGCTACAAGCCCCATAGAAAAATAATCCAGCCTTGAGTTCATGTCCTTTGTAGGGACATGGATGAAGCTGGAAACCATCATTCTCAGCAAACTATCGCAAGGACAAAAAACCAAACACCGCATGTTCTAACTCATAGGCGGGAATTGAAAAATGAGAACACTTGGACACAGGAAGGGGAACATCACACACCGGGGCCTGTTGTGGGGTGGGGGAAGTGGGGAGGGATGGCATTAGGAGGTATACCTAATGTAAATGACGAGTTGATGGGTGCAGCACACCATCATGGCACATGTATACATATGTAACAAACCTGCATGTTGTGCACATGTACCCTAGAACTTAAAGTATAATAATATATATATGTGTGTATATGTGTGTGTGTGTGTGTGTGTGTGTGTGTGTATATATTAAATAATCCAGCCTGAAGATGGCGTGGGGCAGGAGCAGCTGGGGCATGAGGGAGCCCCAGGCACGCCTCCCACGGGACACTAAGCTACCCCCGGGAAAGACCGCATTCCTAGCGTGGGCACAGCCGTGGGCATGGCGGGGTACTCCCTTTCCCACCACGCCACACACGGGCCACTAGGAACGGCTAGCCGGGCTACCCAAGGCCGGTCTACGACATCCCGCCCCTTTCTCTCCACGATTGGTCCAGATGAACCAGGTCCAAGCCAATCAGTGCATGGCCTCCTCCTGCCCCCAGAACAGGCATAAAAATGGGCCAATCGGTCCAAAGGCCAGAACCTCTGCTGGCTCTGCGGGAAATCCTGCCAGAGACGCCTGGAACCACTGCAGCAACTTTGCGATCATGAGGGAGTTAAAAACCAGAGGAGGCAGGAGCAAGAGAGTCGCCAGTAAGGGAAGATGAGCCCTGAACCAGAACAATGGCTGTGGAGAAGGGCCAAAGGGGGCCAGAACAGGAGGACTCTGGAGAGAACCGGGAAACCTGGAGCTCTGTGGCACTGGGGAAGAGAAGACAGCCTGTGGGGAAACTGAGTCACCACCCTCTATCTCATCTACATTCTCCCCACAGCAGCCAGGAGCACGCCATGTAAACCTAGGTCAGACCACCACCCTCCACTGTTCAGAACCTCCTGACAGGGTCCCCGCCCAAAGTCCTTACCCACACCAAACTCCATACTGTGGCTTCAAGGTGCTGCACACCTTCTGGCCATGTGGCCTCTCTGATCGCCCTGCACCCAGTCTGCTACTCCCCGGCCTTGCACAGTATTCAAGCGCACCAGGCCCATGCCTGCCTGGGGGCCTCTGCCTGGGATGTGCCTACCGCCTGGAAGGCCCCTGTCTCAGACGCCTACTTGGCTCACTCCTCCTCTTGCAAATGTTTGCCCAAGAGTCACCTTTCCAGTGAGTCTGTCATTGACCATCGCCTCGCCATCACTCCAACCCCTGCCATCTCTCCCACCCCACTTCCTGCTTGGGTTTGTTCCCTAGAGCTTAGTGCAGGCCATTTATTTGCCTATTTGTTTTGTTAATTGACTGTATTAATTGACTCCTGGAGGGCAGAGACTTTTCCTTTGCCCAGGGCATATGACAGTGTAGGCCCAATCAGATCATGGCCTCCACCTGCCTCCAGAACAGGCATTAAAATGCCCCAACCTCCTAAAGGCCAGAACCTACACAAAGTAGGTACAAAATTCATACTTGACTCAGAACCGAGAGGCCATCAGATGGAAGCTCAGCTCTGACCCTGATAACCCCCTCCGCACCCACTTGGGTGCCTGGAACTTGTTCTGGGGCGCCCTTCACCCCCTAGTCACCCGTCAGCGGAGCCAGACCTCTGGAGTCTGCACAGACAACTCTGCCTTAAAAACAGCAGGCATTCCTGGGCGCCCCCCTCCCACCACCCCGGCCCCGGGGCTCTAGTGCACACAGGCACGTGTACAAACAGGCCGGCAGGAGCAGATTCCAGGAGCTGAGGGAGCAGCCTGCGAGCCCAGAGAGGCTGCCCACCAAGGGGCACCAGCAGCCCCCGCCCTGCGACAGCCCCACATCTGCTACCTGTGCTCCTCGGCACACACGCCACACACACACGCCACATACACACATGCATGCACACATGCCATGCACACACACACACTGTGTTTGGAAATTCCAGAATCTTATAATTTTGAAAACTCATTTATTTCAGCTTAGCCCACATTCTGTTCTTAAAGCCTGGGTCATGGAAAACTGTGCCTTTCCAGAGCCTCAGAATCTCCAAGACTCAAAGCAGAAGGACCCGACGAGATTGTCCTGTGGCAGAGTCAGCTGGTAGACCCCAGGACAATCCTCCCCTTCTTTCCCTGAATTTCAGCTGGGCTCCCAGAATAAAGCCCTCACTTTCAGCCTCTCTGGCATCTAAGGGTGGCTGTGTGATGAAGCTCTGATCAGTAGGATATAAGCAAAAGTGTCCCACATCAGCTTCCAGGAGCCTTTCCTAAAAGACATCTGATACCCACAGTCTGTCCTTTTTTCTTCTTCCCTCCTACTTAGAACTTAGATGTGATGGCTGGAACTCTGGCAGCCATCTTGGACCACAAGGACCAGATTTCCTCCTTGGTTAGGTGGAGCCAGGAGCTAGAAGGAAGCTGTTCCCCATGCCAGATCTGTACCACCTACCTTGAGGCTTAAATATGAATGAGATAGAAATTTCTCCTTTCTTGAAGCCATTGTTCTTTGGGTTTTTCATTTACAGTCCAACCCTCCTATTGCATAGATGGGGCAAGTGAGGCCTGAGTCAGGCATTGACCCATGCGATGAGTCAGGGCAGAGCCAGGGCAGAACTAACAGCACCTGCCTTGACCTCTTGTGAGCCCCTAGGATACCTTGGTTCTGACTCACCCTTAAGTCTCAGGACTAGAGGTCTTCAGGGGTCCAACAGCCCAACACCTGCCCCTTTCACAGCATTACTGGCAGATGGTCAGCCAGGTGCTGCTTGGACATCTCAGGTGACTGGGAGAATGGTTCCTCCCTCCCAGTCCAGCCCAGTCCTGCTGAGTTCCAACTGGGAAACCCGGGCCACACACAGAGGTGGAATTGGCCTCCAGTCCTTGGCCCCAGCTTACCCTCTGGGCTCACGCAGGGGCAGAGACCAGGACTCCCTGAGGCTGCTTCTCTCCAATCTCATGGGCATTTGCTGCCCTGCCACTCTCTGAATTCTGCTTTTGGGAAGAAGTTCAAGCAGGAGAGAGCAGGGAAGAAAATACAGACTCATTGGGGCCTTCTCAGACTCTGGGCTTTGATCTCAGTGGATAACAGAGCAGCGGAAGCTCACCCAGGCCTCCCATGTCACAGGAAGGGACCCAGCGCGTGTTGAGCCCTGGCTGTAGACCATGTAGAGCACTGAGTGCTTTTCATACACTGTCTGCTTCAATTTCCATACAATGCTCTAAGGAAGGCCCAAATATTCACCCCATTTTACAGATAAGGAAACTGAGGTGCAGAGAAAGTTGCCTAGGATGGCCTTGCTAAAACATTCATCTTCCACCCAGGTGTGTCCCACTCCAAGATGTGCACTCTTTCTGGGCCCAACCATGCCCCTCAAACCTCGAGCAGGTCTCAGTGCTGGGTCTGCCACTGGCCCACTGCTCCTCAGCATCCCACGCCCACCCCACGTCCCAGTCAGGACAAGACTCCAACTTGCAGCAGAAATTATGAATAAGGCAAAAGAAAGTTGTCCTGGCCCCTGTGCATGCCTTAAGTATTTAAATTCTTTTTCATAATTATCTCAAATAGTAATTATTGCAGGAGCAATGCGCTTATCGCAGACATGAAACCACCTGCCTTCCCATTTTTGTCAAAAGTGGAAACACTGACATTATTTTTGCGATTCGTTTCAATAGCTGTTTTCACTGTAAATACCACCTTAACCACAAGAAAAATACCCCGGGAGACGCTGGAGGTATTGGAGGTTTCAGAGGAATTATTCCAAGAGGGCTGTGGGTGTCTCCCAAGCACACAGAGAGAAAGGAACATGGAAAACTGTTTCCTCTCCAAGCCAAGGGGGAAAGTGCACCCCGGGGAAAAGTCCCGTGGAAGGGGGCTCACAGGTGCCCCCCCAAGTCCCCTTCCTCCTCTCTGCATCCAACTGCCATCCACACTGCCACCTCCACCCACCCACCCTGGGCTGCCCACCTACTGGAAACACCTCATTCCCTCTGAAAAACATCAAAATCAGGAGGCTCCCTCCCAGGCACCATCGGGAACTAGGGGCCGCAGCTCCAATAGGAAGTTCGAAGAATTCAAAGACTAGAAGGGACCAGATTTCCAAGAATGCAGCTTTCCAAGATTACACAGTCTGGCATGGGTGTGGGCGGGGGGAGGTTGGAGAAGAAAAAGGAACATCCGGAGCTGCAGCCTGAGAAACCACCTGCCCTAGAAGGGAGGGCCCCAAGACATGGTTGGATGAGCCGTGAAGGGAAGCAGGCATCTTGGATTCTAGTCCTATGCCTGCCACAGGGTGGCCTTGGCCAGGCTGCCAACCCTCTCCCGACCTCAGCGTCCCCATCTGTCAAATGGACAAAAGTCTTGAGGGGACCCCTGGGCCTCTCATTCCTGGTGAGTATATGGTGGGCAAACACCTCTTCTTCCCAAGCTTCAATGTTCTCCTCCGAATAGCAGGTCTCTCCCGACTCTAAGCCCCCAGGTCATCAATGCAATTGTCATGATTACTAGTTATTGTCACTGGGCATTGACTAAGTGCCAGGATCTGTGCATGCATTATGCATGTGTACCTGGCATACAGAAGATCCCCACACCATAGTCCTACCATCACTTTACGAGGGTGGAAACTGAGACTCAGGGAGTTGCCCAAAGTCACACAGGTAGTTGTGTGAGGCACACATGGTTGCAAGAAGACAACGTTCCCGAGCACTTGCGATGTACCCCCCTAGAGATGAAACTCTGCTTGCTGCCACTTCACAGATGCAGGCATGGAGGCTTGAAGAGATGAGCCTTCCAGAGCAGTGGAGTGGAGCTGTAATTTCAGCAGGCACTGTTCATGCTGCTTAGGAGGGAGGAACTTTCGAAGAGAGATGTGATGCTGGGTACAAAGAAGCAGCAAGGGAGGGGTCCTGTCTCCAGCCCCGGCTACCTGGGAGTCCCCAGGGTGCTCAGATTCAGTCCTCACCCTCCGCCCTCGTCCCAGCCGTGTTCTCTGCTGCCTCCGTGTGGTCGCTGGGGTTGACGCAGCCTTCCGGAGCCACGCAGCTCTGGGGCTGTGGAGCTTTGGGGCTGTGGAGCTCTGGGGCTGTGGAGCTTTGGGGCCGTGGAGCTTTGGGGCTGTGGAACGGGCTTGAGTAAGGAAGGGGTGACTGCACCGGGCAGAAGGCAAGAGGGCACTGGGGTGCAGGGCACAGTACTGCCCGGGAGTCTCGCTCACTACACTCCAGCCACGCCTCTTGTCAGCACATTCCCACTTCCCAGCCTTTGCTCCTGCAGGTCCCTCTGCCTGGCGCACTCTTCGCTTCGCTTTTCACATCATCCCATTTCCCGCCCAATGGCAGCCCCGCTGTCTAACCAAGGCCCCTCGCTGGTGCCCTCTGACCCCAGTCCTGCTTTGTTGTTCATCTTCCTACTTGTCTCCATCTAATGTCATACTATCGATTTGTTTATTTGTTGACTATCAAATTCTCCAGTAAAATAATATCAGCTCCAGTGTCTGGCACACAGTAGGTGACCGATAAAGACTTTTGGAAAAATAACTGCATGAACATTTCCACTAAATAGCTGTCCCAACTTGTTCACCCCCATACGGCAGCTATGAGTAAAACTGGGAGACTTCTTCATAAGCTTGGGACCTGTCTTCCCAAGGTCCCGGTCCTGCCCACAGATCTACCAGCTCCTCCTAACCCTTCTGCCCCAGGACAACCCTGCAGAGAATTAGGGACAGCAGTGGGGACCCCCTCCAAGCTGAGCCACCCCATCTCCTGACAGAATGCTGTCTCCAGGGCTTGCTGTTCATCTCAGGGTCCACTGATGTGTCTGGAGCTGAGCATAGGAGCCAGAGAGCTCAGAGAATAAAGCAAAACTGGATGTCCCCTCCCTCGTTGCAAGTATAGACCTTTGGTAATGTGGCCTGACAGACACAGTCATCCACTCAACAAATATATCTTCATGCTGCTCCATGCTGATACAGAGGGGTCTATAGAAATGAATCAGGCATGGACATTGCTCATGCAAGAGACATACGGGCTTGGCCCACTTCGTCCTACACACCTCTGTCTGGCCATGTGGCTTTGGGCAAGTCCCTTATCCTCCTCTGCTTCAGTTCCATGTAGGTACAGTGCGAGGCTACTGAAGATGGTCACAAAGCCCCCATCTCACTGATGTTGAACCTGTCCCTGCTCTGAATCTGTGCCTTCATAAGCACCCACACCTGGTGTGCCCACCTGCCCCCTCTCCAACTACTGTTCACCTCCCACTTGCTGCTCAGGGCATGGAAGCCACAGCAGGGAAGAGGGATGGATGGCTCAGGGGACAACCAGGGGCACCGAGGGCTGCCCTCCACCTGCCCAGCACCTTTCGAGGATGGCCCGACAGCTGTTGTCATCACTCTCTCCTGGGAAGAAGGAGACAGCCGGCCCAGTCTCCCCATGAAAGCCTCCCTTGCTGTGTGATAAAGTAGGGGAGACTCCTCCCCATGTTTGCTAAGCACCTATGTGTGCTACACCCCATCCCTGACGTGCCCCGCATGAGAGGCAGCAGTGCCCATTTTACAGATGGGGAGCCTGGGGCTCAAAGTGTTTTGCAACTGGCCCCTGCCACCTAGCTGGTTTGCATCTCCAAGGCCTCAGTCTTGGCCTGGCACAGACTTCACCACTGTGGCTCAATGTACTGGGGCCTCTCATTTTCCTTTTCTTCCCAGGAAGAGAAAATTTTGGACCAAATATTCCCTGCAAGGTAGATCCTGCTATCTTTCTCAAGACCCTGAATCTCTGTGCTCCAATGTAAGTCTCTGGGCTCCTGACCCTGTGAGTCCAATCCACTGTAGCGAGTGATGGTAATCATCACCTCGGGTGCTGTGCTAGAGCTTAACTGCACTGGGTGTCCAGTCCTTGCCACAACCCGATGGGGCTGGTACCATCAGCAGCCCCATCTCACAGATGGGAAACCTAGGCCCAGAGAAGTTAGGGGACTTGCCTGGAAAATGGCAGAGCTGGGATTTGAACCCAAGCCATCCGGGTGCCTCATGGCTACACTGTACTGAAACTCTGAGGGCAGGGGTCCTGAATTCTGCCGCTGAGATTCCAAAGCAGCGATATTATAGACACCTAAGAGAGTGTCATCTCCTTAATGGGATGTTCCCGGGACTTCCTCCTCCTGCTCTCTGGGAAAGCCTTCAGGCCCAGAAAAGGATGGCACCTGTCTGTGCCTTCCAGAGAGGTGGCCCAAGGCGCCCTGCAGTCTCTGGTTATCTCTGGGCAGCCACTCCCCTCGAAAGTGCGAGGGGGAGGTGGCTCCCTGGAGGAGGGGTCCCCTAGGGTTAGCTTGGCAGGTCCCTCCAACCCAGGTCCCACTCACACAGGCACTAATGGCACTAATGGGGGAAGCCAGGGCGGAGCGTCGAGGGGACCATCACGCGCCCCAGGGGCAGTGGGCAGACGCAGCAGGGCAGGCGGCCGGCGCGGATGGGTCTTGGGCGCGCCTGGGAGACCCTCAGGCCTCGCGCGTCCCCGGCGCCGCAGCGGCCCCTGGCGGCGGGCGACCTCCGGCTGAGGCCCTGGCCTTGGGCGCGGGCGGGCCCTTCCTGCTTAGCTGGACGCGCCGGGCGGCCGGGGCGCCGGGAAGAGGAAAAGGCGCTCAAGGCCCGGCCGGGAGCGGCTCGGGGACGGCCGCGGGCGGGCAAGGGCGGAAGGCGGCGGCCGGGCGGCTGCCAGCGGGAGGAACCGGCCCCTTGGCCGGCCGAGCCTCGCCAACTGCTGGAGGGAACCGTCCCCACAGGGGCCTGGCGTCCCGGCCCCAGCCCCGGCCAGGGGCTGCGGGTTGAGCCCGTCGGAGAGCCTGGCGGGCTGGAGAGCGACCACCCGGGATCAGGGACACTCCTGCTGCAGCGCCGTCCTGGGGCTACCTGGGCAAGGAGTTGGCATCCCATCGCCCAGCTGTGCTCACGAGCAGGTCCCCCTTCCTGTATCGCCCGGCCCTAAGGGGGAACCTGAGGCAGACGGGATGTCTCCAGTTGTCGCCACGCCTAGGGCTGCCATGTGTCACTCCCCGCCAAGCCCACATCCTGCCCCAGTGGGCATGGGAGCAGGGAGGTGGGCCAGGCACTGGTTTGATCAAAGCGGAGCTGTGTGCAGAGGGAGTGCCAGGGCTAGGGGCACAGAGGACGATGGGGGAACTGTCTAAAGCCACTTGAGGTGAGAACACACTCCTGCTTCCCGGTGCCCTGGGTCCTGATGCCCCTGACCTTCCACTCCTAACCTGGTACACTGCCCTTTCATCATCTGCTTTACAATCTAGTGAAGCAAATTGCAAGCTGGGGGCTGGGAGCAGGACGGCCAGAGCAGGGCCAAGTAGAGGCTACTGGCCCCTCAAGAAGCACAGACTCCTCCACAGAAGGGGGCCCCCCAGAAAGCAGGCCCTGGGTCTAACAAAGGGAGGCGGATGCTGCCTCTGCTGGAGCCTCCTGCCTCTGTTTCCATGGCAACCCCACTTCCAGGACAAAGCAAAGGCTCAGCATTCCCAGGACACGTGAGCGGGCAGGGAGAGAGCCTGGGCCTTACGGAACAGAAGGGGAAACTGAGGCCCAGAAGGGCAGCAACTTGCTCTCAGTCCCCAGGACATGGCCCGGTTTCCCCCATCACAACACCCATCATGCCAGGGTCTGTCTCCCAGGGGCCCCCAGATTATACTCCTGCAACTAAATATATTAAGCAATAGCCACAAGTGAACGTGCCTTGAAGACACTCATACAAGAGTGAGGAGGCGGATGCCAGGCGTTGGGAAGGGTATTGTAGATATGGCAGTCAGCACAGGCCACTCTGACGAGGTGACATCTGAGGAGAGACCTGAGTGACGGGAGGGAGGGAGCTTTATGAACACTGAAGCCAGCATGTGCCAGGCAGAGGGACCGGCAAGTGCAAAGGCCCCGAGGTGGGAATGGGCTCACTGAGCTGTGGACACGGCAGAGAAAGGGGAGGGAGAGGAGGTTCAGGGGGCGGCAGTGCCAGGACTCTGTGGGTCTCACAGGCCACGGCAAGGAATGTGACTGTATCCTGGTGTGATGGAAACCATGGGGCTGGGAGCTGAGAACAGTCATTAGTCATAATGGCTTAGCCAGCTGTGAGGAGCAAGGTAGTGACAATGGAGGGTGAGGGTGTGGAGAAGAGAGGAGGCAGAGGCCTCCGAGGAGGCGATTGCAGTGACGTCGGTGAGAGACGCAGGTAGTGGAAGCAGGCCGGGGCAGTAGAGGTAGGGGAAGAGGCAGGAAGTGGCGAGTGCTGGAGTGGGTGGGCGGAGGGCTGTGCAAGACTCACCGCTGGCTAGGAGATGAGGGGACGGGCAGGGGCCAGGCTGTCCAGGTTTCCGACTGAGCAACTGGGTGACCAAAGACACCATCTCCTGCGTATCCCCTGATCCAACTGGCCTTGCGCCTCCTCCCATCTCCAATTCCTTCCGCTGCAACCCCTGGATTCAGATTGCTGCCAGCAAACCCACTAAAACCACCTCTTCCCTTACCTCCTGCCCCTGGAGCCCCAGCCCACGTTTGGGGCCCTTGTTGAGGAGGCGCCCTCTCAAGCCCCAGGTCTGGAGATACAGTGTGCAAAGGATGGCCCAGCAAAGACCATGTGCGTTGGTACTGGCAAGGGGAGCTCCCCAAAAGAAAATGGGGAACACTGCAGGCAGGCACATTAGCTGAGGTTCTGTGGACATGTGCTATCCAAGAGCCCCAAAGGGTGGCTACTAAGGCAATGCCCATTTACAGTTGCGGAAACAGGCCCCAGGAGGCAAGATGTCCCAGCCGATGTCTCTCAGCAGGACAAAGACGCTAGCAGTGTTCACTTGGGACCTAATCTGCAGTTGCCTCCTGCCAACCCCCAACCCCGGCCCACCCCGCACCCCAGCCAGCTCCCAGCCCTCAGGCTTTGCTGGGCCCCCTGCAGGGATGGCTCAGCACCAGACCTAGGGCGTGGGCCTGGTGACCAGGTCTGGGGGTGGGAACATCAGGGCATAAATCCTGACCCAGCTGACAGTGCCCCGGGGCAGACACAGAGGCCCTAGTGTCACCTTCCTGTCCCCACCCTTCCTGGCATGTTTCACAAGGTCAGAGGTGCTGGGTGGGGTGAACAAGCACATAAACCTTGGCCCCAGCCAGGTCAGCCTTGAGCTTCCGACCTGATAAATGGACAGAGAAGAGGACGAGGCCTGGCCCTGCACTGACCTTTAGGGCCAAGAAAGAGTGAGTCACAGAGGGCCAAGCTGCAGTGGGGATATCCAGGGGCCTGAGTGGAAGCCACAGCCAAGCCCCATCCAGGAGCATGCAGAGAGGGACCTGGAGCAGATACCTCAGGTGTTGGGGTGGGGTGTCCAGCTCACAGGCCCAGCCTGGGCCTCCTAACACCAAATGCAGCCACCACCACCCCCAGCCTGCTCCTCCCTTCAACTCTGGCTCCAGCCTGGACATTGGACAAACTCCGATTGCCACCTGAGTAGCTGGAAAGGACCCAGCCCTTCTCTCAAGCAGTTCATGAGGAGGGGGGCGGGTGGAGTGTGCACGCACACATTTGCTTATTCATTCGACACGCATTTGTTAGTGCCTGCTTTATGCACGGTGCTAGGTGCTGGGGACTCGGATCTTATTTTGCTGCATCAGTCCTGAGAAGGACTACCTGCAGGGATGTGTGAGGGCGGTGGGGGCACACAGCAGGCAGATGCCAACTCTGTGTGGGGTGCTCAGAGCTGAGCATTGCAGGATGCGTAGGAGTTTGCCAGGTACAGAATGGGCAGAGGCGTGGAGATGAGAAGGGTCTTGGAGGGTGCTAGGAAGGGCTGGTGGCCAGGGTGGCTGGAGTGCAGGGAGTGGACGGGGAGTGATGGGCAATGAATCTGAAGGGGGCAGGGACCGGAATGTCAGGCCATGGAACTGGGACTTGATGCCGTGGCAATGGGGAGTCATGGTGGGGTTTACACAGGGGAGAGGCCAAAAGCTCAGTGTCCTCTCTGCTAGCTCAGCCCCAAACATCTTCCTCTCACCTCCTGACGCAGCAGATAAGGACAGCAAGGCTCAGAAAGGCCAGGTTTCCTGTCCCTCCCCGATCCTCAGCCCCTCATCACCCGTGGCTGGACTCCCTGTGTGGCCTGGGCCAAATATTCAGCTCTTCTGGGCCTCAGTTTCTGTGTCTGTAAAACGGGGATCATCATGGAAGGAAGGAAGAGTTTAGTGAGGTAAGAAGGCTACACAAGTAGCCCGCCTGTCTCCCTCAGGGGAGGCAAGACAGACTGGTTCCAGACCATTTGCTACCCCAGGAAATGGCTGGGCAAGGTCTCTCTGAGAGCTGGAATGACCAGGCTGAACACAGGGCTGTAGGTCAGGCATCTGCTAGAACCCAGGTACTAGAGATCAGAATGCCCTATACACACACACACACACACACATACACACACACCCAGAACAGTGGCAGACACCCCCTCCCCTCCTCAGATGCGTTTCACCAGGTTCCCCCACACTCACAGCCACGCGCCTACAGAGATGCAAACTCACACACAGCTCCCGGTGTCCTGCAGGCCTCAGGGTAGCCCTGGTCCCAGTGTGCTAGGGACAGTCCCACCTCATATCCACTGCCTTGGCCTAATTAGCAGTGCCCCTTTCTTATTCATGTCCATGTCCACAATAAACTGTCTGATAAACCACTACATAGCGGACACACTGGTGTTGCCTTTCCTCTCCAGAGAGGTTCTCAACCATGCATGTGTGTATGTGTACACACGTGTGTACATGCAAGTGTGCGTGTGCATGTGTTCATGTGCGTGTCTGCGTGCATGTGTGTCTGCTTGTGTGCATGTTAGTGTGTGTGCGTGTGTGTGTGCCAGAGACGCCTTTGGCAGTCTGGGCAAGCCTGTAGGCTCTTAAATGCCGATTAGATTTAAATTATAGTTATCAGAATACTAAAAGGGGTCTGTGACGTGGCGCTACCTGGGCTTCCTTCTTAACCCAGTGAATGACACGGTCTAGCAGCGGGTCTAATACCCACTGCAATTTCAAAGTACTAAGGAAGGAAAGCGAGATTGCGCCATCTCTGAAATCAGTAGTGCTACTATAGCTCATTGCGTTCATAATTAAAGGACATGCTATGTTCCAATTAGAGTACAAAAGATGTTATTTCTGCCCATCCACGTTCACGCACCCCCACCTCGATTTCTCTCCAGGTCCTGAAAGCTGCTGTGCGACGCGGTCCTCGGACCTGGCCACCTGCCTCGCCCCGGCCGGGCCTGGCCTGCACTGGCCCGCACCGGCCCGCACCGGTCAGCACCGCCTCGCACCGGTCAGTACCGCCTCTCCGCTGTCCGCTCCTGCGCAGCCGTCCGCAGTTCCGCATGCCACCGCCAGGTGTCGCTGCACACACGCCGTGGCCCCGAGGCTCCTCTGCAAGCCGCTCCGCGAGGCTCTAGGGGGCCCCCCAGGGTCCTGTTTCCCGCGGCCCGCAACTTATCTGTGCACAGAGCACCCCCACGCTGCGCTAGGAACTTCCGCTGCTCCCCCACCACCTCACTCCTTCGTGCCTTTGAGCATGCTGCCTGCAGTGCCTGCCCTGATCTCCGGCTGGGTGATTCCTGCTGCACGTCAAAACCCACTGGAGGCAACACCTCCTCCAGGAAGCCTTCCCTGATGCCACTATAATGGCCCCTCTTGAGTTTCCACAGCCCCCTGTGTCTGCCTCATCATTGCAGTGACTGCCAACATGGTTGTGTCTGTTTCTGTGTCTGACTCCCCACTAGAATGTGAGCTTTGGGAGTATGGGGAGGGCCACGCAGTGGGCTGTTATGTTTTGTTTTTTAAGTAGACTTAATTTTTTAGAACAGTTTTAGGTTCCCAGGAAAACTGAGCAGAAAGTACAGAGAGTTCCCACACACTCCCTGCCCCTACACGTGCACAACCTCCCCTCTATCAACATCCCCAGCAGAGGGGTGCATGAGGGACCTGCACTGCCACATCAGTGTCACCCACAGCCCATGGTTTACGTGAGGGCTCATTCTTGAAGCTGTACATTCCATGTGTTTGGACAAATGTACAACGACCCTTATCCACCATTATTGTATCACACAGAATAGTGTCACCGCCCAAAAAATTCTCTAAACTCCACCCGTAATCCCCTGTGCTCCCTTCCCCCTAACCCCTGGCAACCACAGATCTTTTTACTGTTCCCATAGTTTTGCCTTTTCCAGAATGTTGTATTGTTGGAATCATACAGTGTGTAGCCTTTTCAGATTGGCTTCAGATTGGCTGGGCCACATGGCAAAACCCCGCCTCTACAAAAAATACAAAAATCAGTTGGGCGTGGTGGTGCATGCCTGTAGTCCCAGCTACTCAAGAGGCTGAGGTGGGAGAATCACATGAGCCTGGTAGGTTGAGGCTGCAGTGAATCGTGATTGCTTCACTGCACTCCAGCCTGGGTGACAGAGAAAGACCCTGTCTGAAAAAAAAAAAAAAAAAAAAAAAAAAAAAAAAAAACAGCCAAACTGTTTTCCAAAGTGGTTGTGCCATTTTGCATTCCCACCAGCAATGAATGTGAGTTCCTGGTGCTCCACATCCTCGCCAGCATTTGGTGTGTTAGTGCTTTGGATATGAGCCACTCCAGTAGGTGCGTGGCAGTATCTCATGGTTGGTTTAACTTGCAGCTCCCTAATGATATACCTATGTGGAGCATCTTTCAGGTGCTTATTTGCCATCTGTGTATCTTCTTGAATGAGGTGTCTGTTTAGATCTTCTGCCCACTTTTTAATTGGGTTGTTTTCCTATTATTGAGTGTTAAGAGTTATTTGTAGATTTTGGATAATAGTCATTTATCAGCTATGTCCTTTGCAAATATTTTCTCCCAGTCTGTGGCTTTTCTTCTCATTCTCCTGAGCAATGAGGTTTCCCTTACAGAGTTGAATCCCTGTGTGGCCCTAGGCAAGTCATACACTCTCTCTGAACCTCAGTTTCCACCTCTATAGATGGGGCTGGGAGCCCTCCCTCCAGGTTGTAGGTGGGAACAGGATCTGAGCAACGCAGAGCCTGCCAGCACAGAGCCTGGACACGGCAGGGGCTGCCGGTAGATGCTGGTGGAACTGAGTCACCTCCATTCCCTTGGGGGTGCATTTTGCCCACAGTTCCATCATTAAAGCCCCTAGCTATCAACGATGGTTCCATCCATGGCAGAGCAGGCCAGGCCAAGCCAGCCCACAAATCTGTTTGCAGGAAGATTCCTGTGGTTGGAATCCCTTGGTCTTAGGAATGGGTCAGAGGAGCAGACCCCAGGGAGCCCTTGGGATCATGGACAGACCTACTGTTCAAGGGAGGGGTGGCCACTCTGCCCAAATTCCCTCAAGGACCACCCCTCACTCAGTATCCCATCCTCTCCCCACTTGGTCCCCACAGACCTCTGGCCTCTGCTCCCACCGCACCTTTCCCTCCAGCCACACTGGCTGTGGGAAAGCCTTGCAGCCCTTCCTGCAGTCAGAAACACCTTTCCCCCGTGCCACTTGTCCAAATCCACCCCTCCATTAGTTGCAGGCAGAGCGGCCAGGCTGGGGCTGCAGCCACGAGGGGGCACTGTTGCCCCGCAGCTGCGTCAGAACTCATCCACAAAGCTGGAAGGTGCTTCTGTCCCACCAGCTTGCAGAGCGGCAGGCGAGGAGAATGCCTGTCTCACAAAGCTATGGAAGCTAAACGAGGGGAACGTCAGTGGCCCCATCCCACACCCGGGACCTGCTGGGGCCGCTCTGATACCTCCTGCGATGGGTGCTCACTGCCTCCAGCCAGGCTGCCCAGCCCTTGGCGGGAAAAGCTCTGCCTGGAGACAGGGCTTTGCAGTGGACCCAGTCTATTTTGCAGAAGCCATAAGGTGCTGTGGGGCAACGGGGTCTTCCAAATGAAAAACGTTGAGAAGAACAGATTTACCTTGGGAACCATAAGAAAGAAGCAGTTTGGGGTTTCCAGAGCAGCCCAAAACCTAAAAGGGCACGTGAAATTCCTCAGTGTTGACATGTTGGCTCAAAACTTTTCTAAATATTGTGCCCAAGCCAAGCAATGACCCACTTGAGCCTACAGCCCACAGGATGGGATGCTGGTTTTGGGTGTAGCTCAGTGACTCAGAGAAAGCAGAACCCTTAGCGCCCGTGTGCAGAACAGCCGGCAAGCAAGCGCGGCACGCCCCTCCACTTGGCACATCTCAGGAAGTGGGATGATTGATGGGGACGCACAGGCTTTCTGGAGGGCAGCCTGAAAAAATGGGGTCAAAACTGGAGTACAGACACCCATGATCAGCAGTTCGCTCCTTGGTTGCATGTCCAGGGAAGTCCACAAATGGGCCCCCTTCTCTGCAGCAGAGTCTGTGGGGTGCGTACCTGGGAGCAGCCTGGACACGTGATCCCAGGGAAAGTGTGGGGTGCCCCTCGGAGGACTCCGTAGCAGGCACCAGCAACAGACAAGATGTGCGCCAACAGGAAGGAACACTTAACACTGCTGACTACACAATCAGGGAGCCGAGTGGCATCCGTAACACCAGGCTGCAAAGCAACTGCAAATATGTGCACCAAAGAGTGCACTGCAGCGAGTGGGGAGGAAGAGAAACTTCACAGTGGAGAGACCCAATCAGCACGACCTCAGCCAGATGGGCAACGCCAGCATCACAAGGGATGCCTCATGTTGACAGCAGCTGCCCTCCATTGGATGTGCTGATCAGGGCACTTTACCTCTGTGATCTTCCTCCCCAGACCCACAATCCCAGTCTAATCATGAGAAAAGTGTCAGACAAACCCCAGTAGCGGGCATCCTACGATGTATCGGGCCAGTCCTCCTCAACTGTCAAAATCGTCAAAACCAAGGCAAGAGCCAGGCATGGCGGCGTGTACCTGTAGTCCCAGCACTTTGGGAGGCTAAAGTGAGAAGATTACTTGAGACCAGGAGTTCAAGACCAGCCTGGGCAACACAGAGAGACCCCCCCCCATCTCAAAACAAAAACAAAATCCCAGAGCTAGTCTAAGAAACCGTAATGTGTATCCCAGAGGAGGTCCTGGGACAGAAAAAGGACATTAAATAAAAGCAAAGGAAAGCTAAATAAAGTATGGACTTTAGTTAAGAATGTATCAATATTGATTGACACATATCTCACTGTGCACATATAGTAATGTAAGGTGTTAACAGTAAACGGAATTAGGTGGGGGACTACTCAGAATTATCTTTGCACCTTTTCTAGAAATCAAAAACTATTCTAAGACTAAAACTTTATTTTAAAAAATACATGCCCACCGCACCACAGTACCCATTTTCTAAACCAATTTTCAGCACAGAGATACACAATGAAGGTGTTAGGATGGAGGCCGGCGGGGCAGGGATGGGGATATTGACACAGCCCCCAGGGACAATGGTGTGGGTGAGTGCCAGCCTTCACCCCCTAGCTCTCCAAAACTAACCCAACAGGAAGGCCAGGGGCCCCAGGCACTCCCCACATGCCCTCTGCATGCCCTGATGGTGGGGCAGCTGCACAGACCTGCCCATCATGGTGTGCCCATCTCTAGCTGGTCCCAGGCTGGCCATGCCCAGAGAGGACAGGCAGGCTGACCCAGGTGTGGGCCCCACAGGCAGCAGGAAGGCCCTGGCAGGGGAGGCCAGCAGGTGGGCTGGGTGCTGCCCTGACCGTGTGGGACTAACACATATGAGTGTGTCTGGGGTCTGGGGACCTGTGTTCCATTCCACACACCCCTCCTCAGGGCCGGGAGAGCAGCGCACATGCGGGAGGGTGGAGATCATGAACATGGGTGTGAATGTCGCTGCTCTAGCTGAGATGGGTCCGCCAGGCTTGTCCAGTCTGAGATGGGTGAGTCACTGTCTTGTCCCTGAGATAAGAGAGGGGCCCAGGCATGAGATACAGCCCAAATGATAAGACTGGCATCCCAGGACCCCACACCATAGCATCCCAATATCCCCAGAGGGATCAGCTCCAGCAGGGCCTCCCTTATAATCCATTCTCCAGCCTACAGCCAGAGGGGTATGGGGAAATGCAGTTCCAAGGCTGTCATCACTGCCCCGTGCTTCAGCTGCTCCCAGTGCTCTGGGGATTTGCTCAGAGCCCTGGTGGAGGCTCGTGGTGCCTTGCTGACCCTGCCTCACCCCACCCCCTCCACCCTCATCCCTCATCCAGTCCTTCCAGGCAGATCAGGCTTCTCCGCTTCAGAAGCTTTGCACGTGCTGTTCCCTTGGGCTGGCATGCCCTTCCCTGCTTTTCACTGCATCCAGCTGGACTTTTTTTTTATTATGTTCAACAGAAAATTCACAATCAGGTCTTCGGCCTGCCACTCAGCTCTGCCTGCCCTTCCCCTTCAGGAGACAGGTGCCGCTTTGTGAGCTGCCATAGGCTTTCTGCCTCCCGCTTGGCCACCAACCTCCAACTCACAGCTCAGACTCTCTCATCCCTCTGCAGGGCAGTATAACTCAGCAGTCCAATTCCTCTGGTCTTTGTAGCCATCATTCCCTCAAATTTTTCCAATGCCTGCATCAGCATTCCCAGCCACAGCATTCCCTCTACCAGCATTCCCTGTGAGTGTTCCCGGGCCACCACTGGTGCCATCTTTAGCAATCGTGCTGCCACCTTGTGCTGGGGAATATCTGTGCCCCAACCACCAATGAGCTCCAGTAAAAACTCTGGATACCAAAGGCTCAGATAAACTTCCTTGGTTGTTTATCCTCTTTGTGTATTATCATACATCATGTCTGGGAGGAGGTCACACCATCTGAGACAACCAGAAACTCCATGTTTGGACCCTTCCTGGACTTTGCCCTCTGTGTCTCTCCCCTTGGCTGGCTTGGATGTGTATGCTTTCACTATAATAAAATTGTAATAAGTATAGCACTTTCCTGAGTGCTATACTTTTCTTTGAGTCATTCTAGTGAATGATTGTATCTTAGGGTGGTTACAGGGACCTCTGACTATGTCACCAATTGATCTGAAGGGACGGTGATCCTGGAAACCCCATTCTCGGCTGGTGCCTGAAGTAAGAGCAGCCTGGTGGGGACTCCTTCCTTAAACTCTATCATTTGCTGAACTCCTTACAGTTGGTGTCAGAGTTGGGACTTTCTAGACCAACCCTGACTCACTGGAACATGTGGTTTGGGAAGAGTAAAAGGGTAGGAGCTGAGGAAACTTTCATTCCTGGTGGTGGCTGTGCTGCAATCCATTTTTTGTCTTTTTTTTTTTTTCAAGTACACTTGCAGGTAGAACCAATACAATCAATTTTTTGTAAGGTAAAAGTTATCAATGGAATTTAGAAATGAGGGATCCAACTCCTAAGCAGTTGGCTCACTAGAATATAAGGAAATGCAAAGAAACAACAAAAAAGGAAAATGTGAAATCCCTTGGTTATTGTTATCTGCAGTGGTTAAAAGGTAAGTGAGTGTAGGAAGGGACCCTGGTGCTGAGCCAAGATTCTGGTCAGCCTGGACCACAGCCTCTAGCCTGAAGCCCTACCCAAGGAATGTGTGGGGTAGATTCCGATGCTGGGCCAGGGTACAGTCAGTTGACCCAAGGTGTAGCTACTGGCCTCAGAGCCTCCTCCAAAGGGAAAAGTGTGCCGAGACAACAGATAGTAAAGGTTTTCATAAGAGCATGGACAAAACAAAGGGGTAGGACCAAGGAGAGAGTCAAGGGACTCATCCCAGCAGGGTGGAAGCTTTTAAACAGGTGTTAAGAAATAAGATGAATAAAGTGGATATTGATGAGGACGAAACAACGGTCTCAATGCAGCACTCACAGAAGCTGGATGGACCCTGCCGGCCGCCCAATGTGAAAAGGCCCTAAAAAATCTGCTTTATTCATTCTAGTTCGGAAGATTTTTAAAACCTGGGAGGCCTAAAATGACAGTGAGAATTCTGATCTCAAGTTGCCTGAGGCAGTGGTCTCACAATCTAACCAGGAGAAGGCCTGAGTCTCTCGGCCCACCCCCTAGCTGGGGACCCAAAGCCATACACACACGGGTGAGTGAAATGGCCGGGGGAGGAGAACAGACTCCGTCTGTGGGAGCCTCTGCTCTGTGATTCCAAACCTGTCAGCGAAGCCCGAATGGAGGCTCTCGTTCAATGGGGAGGATTTAGAAATGTGATGGTTGACGGAATTAAGGTGGATACTTAGGTGAAAACTGGAATGTTGGAACAAATTCTCTGTGAAGTGCCTGCACCTGCTTTATCGGAGCATATGCTGGGGATAGAGATGGTCTGGCTGGGGAATGCTTCTCCCACCAATTGCTGTAAAATAGAAGGCAGGTAAACCTGCCCTTCTGGCAATAGTGATTGAAGACCAGCATCTGGTCAGCTGATTCAGACTTTGGAGGGTACACACTCCACGTCCAGGAATATTGCAACTCCTTCCCATAAAACTACCCCCAAAAGCCCTGGAGTCCTTACACAGACCAGGCTGTACGGCAAAAGCCTGTTAGTGCCACCCAGGGGTGACCACTGGGATTTGGGACTAGAAAATTTTCATTGGAGAGACAATGATTGCATTTTGACTGAGGCCACTCTTATGATTGAAGGCTATAAAATAATCTAAAAATCTGAAATACACATAATGTTCTGGACGATGTCAAAGAAACACCCTAATGGGGAGGGCAACACCCAGAATTTCCTTTTTTTTTTTTTTTTTTTTGTGAGACAAGGTCCAGCTCTGTCACCCAGGCTGGAGTGCAGTGGTGCCATCTCAGCTCACTGCAACCTCCGCCTCTTGGACTCAGGCCATCCTCCCACCTCAGCCTCCTGAGTACCTGGGACTACAGCGTGCGCCACCATACCTGGCTAATTTTTGGATTTTTTGTAGAAATGGGTTTTTGCCATGTTGCCTGGGCTGGTCTCAAACTCCTGAGCTCAGGCGATCTACCCGACTTGGTTACAGGCGTGAACCACCACACCCGGCCCCAGAGTTTCTTAATAAAATGGAAATGGTTTGTGCAGGAATGTGCTGCCTGGGGATGCAAAGGGGTACTTGGCGTAGTCATGAGCAGACAGGCTTTCCCCTAGGGCCAACTTTAGAACCACCCGAGGGGCTGCCAGATCCTACTGTCACTTGGCTGATGCTCTGTGAGAGCTCTTGACTGGCCAGTGTGTACAGATGATGGTTCCAAGGTATGCGGACAGCACAGTTTGGAAGGCCAGCCCTCCAATGGAAGAAGGTGAAAATGAATCAGCTCGGTGGGAGGGACTGCGTGCTGTTCAGTTGTGTGTTTGTGTTTTTACTGATTCATGGGTGACCTTGTCAGACCCTATGGTCAGGCAGGAGGGCAGCGGAAACCTGGCCTATTAAAGGGATACCCGTGTGGAGCACAGCCCTGCAGAATCACCCTGGGAATCTGAGGGGTGCATTAAAGTGGGACATGTTGATGCCCATCAAAGGAACCCCCTTCCAGGATCAAGAAGTGATTGGGATGGCAAGTAGGCGTCCCAGTGTGCTCGCTTGGGGTGGCACCCTGGGTCCACGAAATGAGTGGACATTGGGGCTGCAGATGAACCTAGACACATTCCTCTTGCACCCCCTAGGCACAGTTCATAAGAGCTGTTCTTTCTGCCAACAGACAGAGAAACAGAGACTGCCGATGGCTGTGCAGCAGAGTCCCATGAGGGAAGGCCTTGCATGGAGCTGGCAAGACAAACCAAACATAGAAGCCCCAGGAGGCCACCAATGGGCCCTGACAGGGAAAGGCGAGCCACTGACTCTCACCTGGGCTTTGCCTCCCTGGCAGCAGACGCTTGAGGTACTATAAAAGTGTGGCGATGGGAGACAGTGCACGAATTTGCACTGCCCACTCACACTTCTCCCGACCAAGGGACACACTTTACAGCCCTGAATGTCCCACAAGGGGCAGAGCACTCTCATCCTTGGCGTAAGGTTGGATAGAGAACTGGAACATGTCATGGATACTGGTTGTCTAAAACAGAGGTGGTGGGGCAGGAAAGAGTGACTTGCACGCCATCACAAGTGTGTGTCCACCCCAAACATGAGAAGGGCCAGGAGAGGGTCCCTGCTAGATAGAGTCCCACACCTCTTCTTTTCTGTTTTTGTTTTGTTTTGTTTTGTTTGAGTCTCACTCTGTTGCCCAGGCTGGAGTGCAGTCATGCGATCTCAGGTCACTGCAACCTCTACCTCCCGGGTTCAAGCGATTCTCCTGCCTCAGCCTCCCAAGCAGCTGGGATTACAGACGTGCACCACCACATCCGGCTAAATTTTTTTTTTTTGTATTTTTAGTAGAGATGGGGTTTCACCATATTGGCCAGGCTGGTCTCGAACTCCTGACCTCAAGTGATCCACCCGCCTTGGCCTCCCAAAGTGTTGGGATTACAGGCGTGAGCCACTGTGCCTGGCCTCCTATGCCTTTTCTAAGAGAACTGGGGAAGGGAGGTTGCTGGTAAGACTGCTTTTCTTTTCTTCTCCACATCACCTCGCCTTCCTCCTTTCCTATCTGCTGCAGTGGCCCCAGGACCAGGGCTGCAGCTGCAAGTGCTGAGGTAGCAATGACTCCTAGGCAGGAGGGTGCACCTCTAGCTCCAAAGCTTCATGCCAGAGCTCCTGAGGGCTGATGGAGTGGATGGTGCCTTCACCCCATCCGGAAAAATCAGGGCTGCTAGTGAGGGCAGGCACATTGCCTGGTGGTGGAGACAGCCCACTAGTTCTACACCTGTGAAGCCCCATCCTACACCAACCGGAGTGGACTGTCAGGGAGGCACTTGCTAGGCTGGCATTGCTTCTGACAATCCGGCCCAACAGCATGGCCGAACCTCATGGCCCTTCCAAAGGTGGAAATACCTGGATACAAATGGAGAAAAGGAGGAACCGGAGCTGAGGGTAAAGCAACCAGTACGTGGGTTATGTAGTGAGGGAAATCCTTTTTTTTTTTTTTTTTTTTTTTTTTTTGCGACGGAGTTTCGCTCTTGTTGTCCAGGCTGGAGTGCAATGGCACAATCACAGCTCACCACAACCGCCGCCTCCCTGGTTCAAGCAATTCTCCTGCCTCAGCCTCCTGAGTAGCTGGGATTATAGGCATGTGCCACCACACCCAGCTAATTTTGTATTTTTAGTAGAGATGGGGTTTCTCCATGTCGGTCAGGCTGGTCTTTAACTCCCAACCTCAGGGGATCCGCCCACCTCGGCCTCCCAAAGTGCTGGGATTCCAGGCGTGAGCCACCGCGCCCGGCCGGGAAATCCAATTTTACGTGAATCCTACATTACAGTACTACCTTAAGAGCGGCGTGGAGGGCATCGTCTCAGCTCAACTACACTAGATGCCTGAAAGGGTGACGCCAAGGCCGCCTCTGCTTTTGGAACTTGACAAGGTCGAATGGCAGCCTGCAAACCTGAGTGGCCTCACCCTGGGGGACATCTGCTGATCTGATGTGGTGATGGACTAGATAAACTGCTATGACTGAGTGGGACTCCGGTCTTCCTTTTTAGGTGACATCCACCAGACTGCAATATGGTCCTACCTGGCACGGTTGATAAGGTTATAACGTTGATGGTGATGGCAAATGTATTGAAACCCTGAGTTCCAGCCTCCTCAGGATGTAGCAACGATGGAGAATGACACCTGCGGAAGAGCTAGGTGGAGCCAACCCCGGGCTAACGCCTGCACACGGTGGTTCTTTACATGCTTCATAGGCACGGGCAGCCCTGCCACAAGGGAGGAAGCAGGCAACGCTGAAGGAGCTGCCCAGACAAACGTGACTATTCCACTGCGAGAACGCTGGGGCCGGGGCCGGGGGTGGCCTGCAGGGTGAGCTCTCGGCCCCCAGAACGTCCTGGCTGGCACTGGAGTACCAGCGTTTTCAGGGGCTTTGCTGCCTCAGTTCTGACCTCTGCGAGGGACTGGAGACTTAGGGCCAGCCACGCTGACAGCCAGGTGGTCAAGCTCCCAGACACACCTGGACCCCAAAGGTGCCCTGTTCAGCTCTATTCTGTTGTGCTGCATCCTGAGGACACGGGAGCTCCGTGACTGGGCTCTCCTGGACTCTGCTCTAGAATTCATCAATGACTTTAACCTGCTTCCTTTCACCATAAACTGTCTGAGTCATGCAGGTGAATTAATGAGCCTGAGGGTGGATGTAAGGACCCCCAAACCTGTAGCCCATTGCTCAGACGTGAGGGTGGTCCTAGGGATGCCTGAGCTTGTTTCTGGTGTGCAGTTCTTGGTCTGCAGTGAGGGTAGTCTTGTAGGGGCTATTCCCTGAAGCTGCAGTTTGCCAAACTTGCCGGCATGGAATTCTAGAATCACCTTAGAAACTCTAAGGTCCGGAGAGAAGTTGTTCTCCAAGACCCTCCGTATGGATGCGCTGGGTGCCAAGTTCATTTTACTGGCTCGATGGCCTGTGCAGGAAGAACAGCTGGAGCCCCTGTTCACAGGGGAGACCAGTGAGGGGAGGCGAAGTCACTTGCCTGAGGTCCCAGAAGGAGTAACCGGGGCTGGGTAGGAGCAGGAACGGCTGCTGCCAGCCAGGGGTGTCCCTAACCTGCCTGTCCTGTTGAATGGAGCCTGTCACCTACTGGTTCCCGCTGGTGGGGACTGTGCACCACAAAGGTGCCGGATCTAGTTTTTCTGAAAATCAGCAAAATAGAAGGAACAGAGACAGCCCGGACAGGGACAGGGAAGACCTGGCTTCTGCTGCACCCTTGGGGATGGGGGCCGGCGAGGAGCAGGGACAGAGGGCCCCCACCGCAGGCTTCCGGCAAGAGGCTCCCAAACACCTGTCCTTTAGAAGCCTGAGCAAGTCGCCACCTCTTAACACTGAGAGAGTTTGTGTTGAGGAATGAGAACATCTGGCCATCCCGGGCCACGCGCCCAGAAGGCGGCCTTGCTGGAGCCAAGTGTAGGCGCCCCCTTCACACAGGGCATGTGCTGCCCAGCGCGCCCCGACAGGCCTGCTTCCCTCCACCCACAGTGAGAAACACTTTCTACCAAAAGCCAGAGCTAGCGTGCCCACGCATAGGTGCACACGCCCCATGTACTGTGGTTTGGTGAAGCAGTTCTTCTCTTTACAGGGTGTGAAGCACTCATATCTCATCTGCTCTATTCTACGTCATTTTAAAAGTGCTGGCTGCCGCCCCCTATATTTAACTCTAGACCCACGGAGCCCGAGCAGGGTCATCAGAGCTGGGTCCCGACACCTGCTCTGATGCTCGCTGTGGGCTGGGGGCACATCGCTTCCGCTCTCAGGGCCTCAGTTTCCCAGGTTCCTTCAGGCTCCTGCCCAGGTCTACTGCCTGACCTGACAGCTCAGCAACAGGGGCCAGGACAAGTTCTGGACAACATCCAAGTGACAGGCCATCAGTGGAGGTCTTCATGGGGGGAAGGCAGAGGAGGGAGGAGGGAGGAGGAAGGAGGAGGGAAAGCTGAAGTGGTAAAAGCAGAATAAAGAGCCTGGTCAGTGACTGATCACACTGGGGTGCCCTCATCCCAAAGTGAACTTCAGGTTCGGGGCTCGTTGAGAAGGACATCAAGGTCTTCATCAATGAATTGACATGCTGGCCAGGCCATAGAGCCCTGTGACATCTGGACAACGTTGTCAAACTCTGAACACTTTACAAAAGTAAAGGGACCAAGAGGCGTTTTCCTCTGTTACTTTATAACCCTTTCATACTAGTTGAACTTTTTTTTATATAATGTACATGTACTACTTTATAGTTAAACAAAAAACTTTAAAATGATTTTTTAAAAAAGAAAAGAATTAATCACAGTGGAACATGAAATGGAATGTCAACTTTGGGGACGGGTCATCCAGAGGAGTCCAAGAGCCCCAACATGGTCGCGTGTCTCTGGTCCTCAGGTCATCACCCAGCCTCACCCACAGGGCACCCGCCACGGCCGTGGCCCACCGTGCAAGCTTCCACTTGGTGCCTGCGTGGGAACGCACCACCTGCCGTGGAACTTCCTCCTGCGGGGCAGAGGAGGGGTCCAGAAGCCACAGGAGTCAAGTCAGCAAAATTAAGTTAATTTACAAAGTTATAGTAAAAACCACAATAGTGACCCAGTCCCTCCCACGCAGTGTGAGCCCTGGGCTGCGCCACACCCGCAGGTGGCCCGTGCTGGCACCTCACAGGGCAAAGGTGGTGAAGAAGATGTGCATCTTGGCCAGGAAGGTGGTGACGGAGCCCTGCCTCCAGAGCTTCATCTCCACGTCCAGGGCAAAGTCCCGGGGCTCCAGCACGGCCCGCTGCAGGTAGACCACACCCGTGTAGGCATTGAGCCTGCGCGTGCCAAAGTAGCCCTCCTCATTGCCCTTGATGATGTTCAGGGCGATGGTGTCCCCCGTGAAGGCTGGCGCGGGGCCAATGCGGAAGATATGCGCAGGCACCAGGAGGCCCGTCTGGAAGTTGAGCTGGTAGTGCGTGATGCGCGCTGGCGAGTTCTGGCACTCCAGGAAGTCATGGCACGTGGTGCGCTCGCACTTCCTGCAGGGAGGATAGGCCGGGTCACCCACAGCTCGCCCACCCCCCTCATCCCCAGACGGGGACACAGATGGCACAGCTCAGCGGCAGGATCAAGGGCCAGCTCTCTCCCTAATGGCCGGGAAGCCTCAGGCAAGTCCCCTTACGTCCCCTGGGTCTCAGTTTCCTTGCCTGCGAGATGAGGTTAATAAAACCTTCACCGGCTCACTGGAATGGGTGAGTTTAGCATGGCACTGGCCAGGCTCGTTAACAGCTCTTACCTGTCCCCATGCTCCTTTCTTCCTCCCTCCTGCCATCCTCCCATTCTTCCTTTCTCCTTCCTTTTCCCTCTCCCCTTCCCTTCCTCCTCCTTCTCCCTTCTTCCCAGTGCACCCAGTGTCCCTCCCAGGGTCCCTCCCAAGTGCCGGGCCGTGTGGCTGGTGGCAGAGTAGCGGTCTGTCAGTTCTGAGGTTAAGTGAGGTTAAGGGGCTGCCGCTGGCACTTCTGATACACTGAGCTGGGGAGTGGCATGTCACAAGCAGCCTTGTGGAGGGGCTCATGTGATGCGGAGCTGAGGCCTCCTGCCCAGAGCCCCATGAGCAGTGGCAGGATCCCGCACCCCGGACAGGCAGCCCCTGAGATCCTGAGCCAGACCACCTAGCTACACCACTCCCAGGCTCCTAGCCCTCAGACACTGCGTGACAAAGAGTAAGTATCTGTTGTATTCTGGTGCTAAATGTTGGTTGGGATAACTGGTCACACAGCAGTAACTACCATGTGTGTGTATGAGGAAGAGGGCTGGTGTTTTCTGTGTGTCTTTTCCCCTTCCTTCTCTCAACCCTGAACTCTCTAAAAGCTACTTATATTTGTTTTGGTCACCTAGCCCACAGACCCAGCAGTCAGGGGCTGGGACGAGAGGGAGGTGATCAAGGCAGGCGCCCATCTCTCAGCCTCTCCCTGGATAGTACAGGACCAGGACAGGCTCCCTGGGACTGGGACTGGGGTGGGGACACTCACGTTTTGGAGACTTGGACATAGTTGGGAGGACACTCGAAGCGCAGGCAGCGGAAGCTACCCTGGATGTTGTGGCAGGTCTCAGCCTCGGAACAGTTGTGGGTACCCAGTGCACACTCATCCACGTCTGGGGGAGAAGAGGGGCAATGGCAGGGTCCCCACAGCTGGGGGACCCAGCCTGAAACTCCCCAGCCTGCATGAAAGGCCTGGGCCCCACGGCAGCCGGACCTGTGAGAATAGCCCGCGTGCCTCCCTGCACACACATGCCCCATCTCACCTGCTCGGCACCCCGCAGCAGGGGGCCTGGCTCTAAAGTGTCAATCACCTCATGTCATGCCCTCCCAAGGCTTCTCGCGCTCCAGAATAAAGCCCAGCTCCCTCCCCTGGATGCCAAGCCACACAGTGCAAGGCTCTCTGGCCTCTCTAAGCTCCTTCTCTTCCACAGAGGCCACAGTCCTGCTGGACATCCTTGGGCTGCCCCAATAGCCTGACCCTTATCCTACCCAGGGCCTTTGCTGCTGCTGGAACGCTATCCCCAGCTTTTCCTACTGCTGGAGGCTTCTCATCTTTTAACTCTCAGATCTTGAGTCACCCCCTCCAGGATGGCCTCCCTGACCACTCTACAGTGGTCCTCCTGCCCCATCACCCTCCATCCCACCCCATTTTATCATCCTCCTATGGCTCCATGCTCTGCAACACACCGAGGCTGTTTGGTATGGCTGCATGTTTTGTATGTTTCTACCGTCCCCCCTCAACCTGGGCTCCAGGAGGGCAGGGGTGTTTGTCTTTCTCATTCCCATGCTGTCCCCAGTGCCCAGTGGAGTGCCTGCATGGAGCAGCGCTCAATACTTCTTGCTGGATGGAAGTCCAAGACCCATCACTTGCAAGTCCCGACTCCGAGACGCAAAGCTATGAGTCAATGTCCCCCATGAGCAACAGACGTGCTCACGCTTCCTGTACATTCAGAAGCAAACATACATGTGCAACTCCAACAGGCACATAGGTTCAGCACACACGTGAGCACACGCACACCTCCACAGGTGCACAGAAACAAACACACAGAAGGCCCATTTGGGACAAAGAAACATACACATATAAACGTCAACAGACATATGAATAGATACCATTCACGAAAGCTCAGAGAAGCAGGGGTGGGGTAGGGGTGTGTGTGGGTGTGTGTGTGTGTGTGTGTGTGTAACCCACAGGCACCCTGGAGGACAAAAGGTCTTAGAAATGGGTTCTTGAGAAACTTTGAGGATGAGCTGCTCAGCCCAGAGAGGGCCGCCTCAGGAGGCCTCCAGAAAGTCCCGTGGGGTAGGGGCAGGGGGTGTTCCAGGGGCAACCACAGAGGGCTTCAGTTTTTGTTTTCCAATCCTCCATATTGACACCATTTAGGAATTTGTCCTCACTCAGTCCTCACACCAGCCCTGTGCAGCGAGGGTCACTGGCTTCCTCAGACAGAGGAGGGTGTGGAGGCTCAGAGAGGGGCAAAGCCTTGCTCAAGATCACACAGCAGCGAGCGGGGCAGCAAGTCAGGCATGCCTGATGCCAAAATCTGGGACCCAGTCATGATGCCAAGCTGACTCCTAACAATAACAACAACATAATAGTAATAATACCAATAGTCAGCCTGCCTCCAGAGTTTACTGCCTGACATCCCTGTGATGCTTGAGGGACTCTGCACCCACGCCAACCCCACGGGGCAGGTGCAGGTGTCCACAAATGTGCCCAGGGTCACATAGCTGCCAGGGCAACGCCAGGACTCAATACCCCCGGACCGCCTCAGACTCTGGGCTCTTGGCTGCCAGGCTCTCTTGTAGCGGGTCAGCTCACATCTATTTACCTCTCCAGGCCTCACTTCCCTCCCTCCGTAAAATAGGCCCCAGGGTGGCGCAGAAGTGAGTGGGAGAAAACACGGCAAGAGGCCAGGCAGGGTAGAGCCCAACCGGGTGGTCCCAGGCTGCTGATTATTCACTCGTGGACTCCACATGGAGAGGGCCTCCTCCTGCTCCTTGGCCTATGCCCCCGGTGGCCCGCTCCAGTGACCCTGGAGCTTATGTGGGTGGGGCAGGAAGGACGTGGGAGCTTTTTGCTTTGGCTCTGGGCTGCTGCTGATGGAGATGCCCAGAAGGGAAGGGCCAAGAAGGGTGAGCGGCTACAGCCTGGCCTCACCAAGCTCGCGGGAGGCGGTCAGTCGCAGGTCTTCCCTAACGCCCCAGGGCCTCGCCCATCGGCGCTGCCAGGCCCCTGGAGAGCGCAGGCTAACGTGGGAGCTGGACTAGGCCCCGTATCCAGGGCTGCCATCACAGCCTCATCAGAGACAGCCAGGGTCAGCCGCAACTCAGATGTGCAAAAGTGGGTGACAGAGCAAAAAGGACGAAACAGGGGAGTCCTGCAAAATTCAGCCCCGGAAGAGAGGCTTCCAAGGGCTTCTGAAGGACTTGAGGCCCAGAAGCCCACAACAGCTCAGGGGCAAGACCGAGAGTGCTGCTCAAAGCTGGCCTGCCCCATCGAGTGGCATGCAGAGATGGGCTCTTACTACACAGAAACGACCGGGACTCAGAGTGACTTTCAGCTGTGTGTGTGTGTGTGTGTGTGTGTGTGTGTGTGTGTGTGTTTGCAGTGTGTTTATATCTGCTAAGGGAAAGACTGGAGGGAAATGCATGCAAACATGAGCAGTGGTTCCCACTCAGCTCAGTCATGGGGTCAACTGTCCAATGAGCACCTACTATGTGCTGGGCATTGCTCTAGATGCTGGTGAGCCGGACAGATAGGGCCCTACCTTCATGGAGTGTGCATGCCAGGTGAGAGGGCTGAGTCTAAATTCCTTCGGATTTTCCTGTCCTTTTCTTTTTTAACTATTGGAGAGAGGCTAAAGGCTAACGGGGACATTATCCAACACATTCTTTCCCCCAAGCCAGCCTCCCCCCACCCTGTTTGAGCCGAGAGACCTCAGGGTTTGGCCCAAGCCAGAACAGGAGAAGAGGACAGCCTCTTAGCTCTGAAGGTCAGGAGCTGCAGAAGTGGCTACATGGAGTGACCTGTGAAATGGATGAGGCCGGGGAGCCGGCAGCCCCCACTGTGCCCTTGCCCACCATGTGAGTCAGAAGGCTCTTCCAGAAGGAAGGTCTGGAGAGCAAGCGAGGGCGGCAGATGTGCAGGTGTGGGGCTCTACCTTGCCCCAACCTCCTGGTGGGGCTGGTGGCACACTGGGGGCCTGCAGAGGGGACCTGGCCTCGCCAGTTCTTCAACACAGAGCAAGTCGTCGGGGCAGAGGAGCAGCCACCCCAAGAAGAGGATGCAGAGACGGGGTGGCGGGCAAGCCCGGGCAGGAGAGAAGCGCTAGGGTCAGGTGCACCCACGATGGGCATATGCCAGGTCCCGGGAAGCCCTCTCTAGTGGCTAGCCAGGCACATGTGGGCATCCAGGTGTCCTGAGCACCCCCAAGGTGTTTGGTGTAGGTCAGAAAATAAACAGCCAGGGAGAGTCTGTCCTCAATGCAGACAGGTTTGCATCCTGAAACTCCTCCAAGAGCAAATGTCACTGCAGTGTCTGATGGGGCTTCCTTGAAGTGGCCACACTTGTGTTCTGCCACCAGGAGGAACAGGGCCTTGGTGTCACATGTGAAATCACAATCTAGAAGGATAAAGCCATATTTCCTGCCGAGCTGAGCACACGGTGAATAGAATCCTTACCTTTTACGGAGTCCATACCGACTTTTTTTTTTTAATTAACAAGAAGAGGGCTTTGCAGCCAGCAAGACCTAAGTAAGCCAGCTTCTGTGGGCCGAGCAGGCCTCCCAGTCAGTGATTTATAGGGTCTTCTCATGGTCTTCTGACTTAACTTACGACTCTGATACGTTTGCATCCACCCACACAAAGGACTCCTTGTGCATTGGGACTAGGTACACACATAAGGGCTGGAACCTAGGGTCACACTGCACTCTGACCTGCCCCATGCCACGCCACTCCACTCTGCCCTATGCTGCTTTCTGTTCTATGCTAATGGAAAGGAGAACACAGGCAGCTGGCTGAAGTCTATCGACTTGATCTCAGGATCCACTGACAGGTAGCAACCACCAGCCTGCACTGTGCTGAGCTAACTCCAAACCCTTCTGGGAGCTAACTCTGACCCCTCTGCTTTTGCGGGCCAAGAAAATGCCCAAGGCTGGGCCAGGACCCTGGTCACACCCCGAAAGCTGCACCCCAGGGAACTCCAGGTTCTCAGCTCCATGTGTGAGGAAGACCTGGCCACTGAAGTCAGGAGGAGGTCTGAGCTCTGCGGCGCCAAGGGACCGAGGGGCCGAGGGAGCGAGAGGCCAAGAGGCCATGGGGCTGAGTGGTTGGTTCTCCTGGGGCAATGACCCCTTCTGTGTCCTGGCCCCTCACCTTGCCCTGGTGGCTTACCAGGCCCAGAATCCGGTGGCAAATGGCACTGAACTTAGAAGTACGACTCTCTAGCAGAGGAGGAACATTAAATACCACAGAACACGGTCTCTATCCAGGGACACAGTCCCCTCTCTTGCAAATTCCACAGGTGACTGCCCAGCTCTTGTACATCCTCAATAGCAGGGGAGTGGGGGACCCTCCCATTGTGCAGCCCCTCCCAGCTCTACACAGCTCTGATGAGGAGAATGCCCTTCTGCACCAGGGTTGGGAAAAGCCTCCCCATGACACCCTTCTCTACTCCCCAGGATCCCGCCCTACTCTCTGGGTCCACAGACCTGCCTGATCCCCTTGTCCCTGCATAACACTGCAGAGACTCGGGACACTGCCTGGGACCCCTGCGGCTCTTCTGCCGTCTCCTCACTGGGCAGGCTTCGTGCCTCCGTAGAAACACCCCATAGTATCTCTGTTCCACTCTCAGGGCAGGGTCCAGAGCTGAGCACAAGCCTGGAAGATTCTAAGCTGGATTGAGCAGCAGCAAGACTGTCACGTTCTTCATCCCAGGCACAACCTCAGTTAACATGGCCACTGGTAGCATTGGCCATCCTGCATTTATTCACTGGGTGTGGGGGCTCCAAGTGCACGCAAGCTGTGTGAGCTTTTCTGTGCCTGCTTGGAGCCTGCCCAAGGCCCTGATGGAGGCGGGGGCGTGTGGGGGGACTTGCTCACCCTTGCAGGACCTCCCGTTGGCCGTCATGGTGTAGCCCTGCTCAGGGCATGCACACTGGTAGCTCCCTGGCACGTTGAGACAGCGGAAGGTGCAGAGGATGCCGGCGCCTTGAGCACACTCGTCGATGTCTGTCAGAGAGAGGTTCAGCCCCTGGTGAACCTCGTCCACCCACAGAGCCCAGCCACTGACAGTCAGCCTGTCCCTGTCACAGCCATAGAGCTTAGGGGCCCATTTTTTAAATGAAGACAAGTGGACTGAGAGAGTAGAAGAGAGTTGCCCAAGGCCACGAAGCAAAACAGGACTCCCACTCCAGTGCTTATGCCCTAGGGCTGCTCCGTGACTGCTACTACCAGCTGAGGGGACAATCAGATGCCAGTCATGGGCACCTATGTAAACTTAGGTCTTCATCCCCCTGAAGTCAGGACCATTCTTCCCATTTTACAGAGGAGGAACCTGAGGTCAGAGTGGAGAGGCAATCTGCCCAAGGTCACACAGCCAGGAAACTGCAGGGCTGGGGCTTGAACTCAGATCTGATGCTAAAACCTTTCTGTGTCCATGGCCCAGCAGGGACTCTCGGGGAGCCTGGCACAAGGGAAAGGAGTGACTCTCTGGAAGGGGGCCCTTGGACAGGGGAGAGGTACCTGTGCAGGTGTGCCCATCCTCAGCCAGCTGGTAGCCCTGGCGGCAGTAGCACTGGTAGGAGCCATAGATGTTGGCACACTCCTGGCTGCAGCGCTGGGCCTCACACTCATTCACGTCTGCAGGGACACCAGCAGGCAGTCATGGCAGGGCCCAAGTCTGCCTTGGAGAGCCCATCCAAATGCTGTCTGACAGCCAGGCCCACCAAGCTCCCCGGCCTGGACTGGGGTTGACCTATGCGAGGGCCAGCTCTCCTGCCAGGCCTGGTGACTGGGAAGGGATCCATGGCCTCCCAGGGGTCTCAGCCAACTCACCTCACCAGGAGAAAATGAGGAAATTGCCTCCAGGCTGGGGAGGGGCTGGGAAAGACCGTGCCAGGTAAATGGGGCCAAGACCCCATGGCCTTCTGGCTTGGCCCCTCGCCCCCTCACTGAGCAGCCTGGTGGCCTTACTCCACACCAGTCCCCACTGAGCTGGGGCCAACAGCACCATGAACACACATGGGAATAATGTTACAGCCCCTCCCTCAGCCACAGGCGCGTCCCGCACAGGTAGGTACACGGACCTTGGATGCCTCAGATACCCTATTTGTGGGTACAGATGACACAGAGACCCAGCCTCTCTGGACTGAGGGAGCTGGAGCCCCAGGACCTCAGCAGGGGAATTCAGGGCAGAAAACAACAGAAGGAAGGTGAGAGTGGAGGCCAGAGAGGGTTGGGCCAGACAGAGGAGGAAGGAAGGGCCAGCATGGGTGAAGGTGTGAGGGTGAAGGTGTAAGGGTGAAGGGTCACAGAAGGCTCTGGGCCTTCCACGGCGGGTCTGCCCACTACAGATACCAGGCGGCATAGGGTCAGAGATGAGGGCCAGCCTACCTTCACAGCGCTTGCCGTCCGCTGCTAGCAGGAACCCGGAGGCGCAGGAACAGCGGTAGGAGCCGAGTGTGTTCTCACACGTGTGCTGGCACAGGCGGCCTGGCGAGGCCCAGCACTCATTCACGTCTGTGGGAGGGCAGGCAGCAGGTACAGGGTAGGTGGCCCTAAAGCCAGCTCCCTCCACCCCCAAGGGCCATCCAGGGCCGAAGGGGAGGCTAAGTGGGAGAGGGACCCAGAAGGAAAGACAGGGAGAGGCCAGGACAGGGAAAGAGAGAGGCAAAGAGACCAGGTGGCGGGGAGGCAGCAAGGGTATTGGAGGAAGGCGAGAGGAAGAGGCCAGAGGGACAGACACAGGCAAAGCAACAGACAAGAAGAGATGGTGACAGAGACCGAGGGAAGCAGGAAAGACCAGAGTAAGAGGGGCAGAGGCACAGAGATGAGACAGGAGGGACTGAGAAGGTGGGGGCGGGGGCCAGAGCCAGGTCCTGGCAGGCCCAGCAGGAGGATGAGGCCAGCTGGAAGGCGACCTTGTGGACTCCAGCAGGTGGGCCCCACTCAGGCAGTGGAGGTGCTGGGCATGGGGAGGTGGAGTGCACAGAGGGCAGGGGACCAGCCAGGTGTTCCCCAGGGGTCCTGGCCACCAGCCTACCTACCGATGCAGCCCCGGCCAAAGGCATCCCGCTGAAAGCCGGCTTTGCAGTCACAGCGGTAGGAGCCAGGGAGGTTGTGGCACACTTGGCCCTCACCGCAGCGGTGCACACCTGTCTCACACTCATTCACGTCTGTGGGGGGTGAGCAGGGTACCTTGAGGCCTGGGGCTCCCTCCACACACACCTCCCAGGGGTGGGGAAGCGGGCAGGCCGGGCTGGCTGGCAGGGCGGAGGCGGCTGGCCTTACCCACACACTTGGTCCCATCATCGCTGGCGTGGTAGCCGCGCGCGCAGATCAGCGGGTTCCTCTGGCATGTGTAGGAGCCCACCGTGTTGATGCAGCTGAAGCCTGGCCGACATGGCTCGGACAGTGACGTGCACTCGTTGATGTCTGCAGAGGCAGGTGTAGGTGACAGGGAGCCCGGCATGGTGTCCTCCCAGGCCCCAGCCCCTCCCAGGGCCACACTGGGAGGGGGTCGGTCCTGGGCTCCAGACCTGCCCTGGTCAGAGTTGCAGGGCCAGACTGTCCTACCCCTGTGCCCCACTACCCAAGGGATACACCTCCCAGAACCCAAGCACCTGATGGCTGGCCCTACGCCCTCTCACATCTGCCCAACAGAGCAGCTGGAGGCAGGGCGGGATCGAGGCTGAGTGCTAGGATAACTACACCAACCACGTGCCAGGGGTCTAGCTGCCAGGGAAGCACAGCACATTAACAAGAAGTTTTAGAGGCACAGAGACTAAGCAAACCCTTTTTTGGAAGGAGTTGATGGGGGGCGCAGAGCGGGTAGAATCTCAGACCCACTTGGGGACTAGGCCGGCATCTGTAAAACTGTTAAGTCTCAACCCTCGAGTACGGCATGGAATCACTCTAGGAGGTCTCACTAGCATTCTCTGAAAATGGGAAATTTCAGTGGGTGTCACATGCAGTACTGTGTGGGGACACTGGTATTGCAGTTCTTCCTGGATGTGTGTAGATGTCTGTGCCAGGTCATGATCTATCACATAGCCACTGCTGACTGGTTAAAAAAAAGGGATACTCATTCGTATCCAGTCCAACCCCACAGATAGCTTCACAGAGGCCACTGAATAATAACTCAGCCAAGGTTTCACAGCTCAAGGTAATAGGAGCAGCTACACTTTGGGGACAGTGGTGCCCCCAGGGTTGAACACTTGACATGCCCATTCACAGGTAGGGACAAGGGGGCTGGGAGAGGAATGGAGCAGCAAGCCAGGCCTCCCTGGTCTCTAAAGCCCTAAAAGCCCCCACAATGCCTCCAGTAGAGCCCTAGGCTGATGATCCCCAGCCCTGCAGCCCCCGCTCACCCACACAGTTGCCTTCAGGATCCTGCAGGAAGCCATCCATGCAGCGCTGCCTGGCCTGGCAGTAGAAGGAGCCCTTGGTGTTCTGGCACAAGAAGCCCGGCTGGCAGGTGTGCGTGCCCATCGCACACTCATCCACGTCTGCAGCGGAGAGGCTGGGTGTCAAGGGCTGGGGGGCAGGTCCTGCCTTTACACTCAGCAGCCCTGCCCACACATCCCCGCCCTCAGACCCATGACCCTGATGGCCACAAAGATCTCCCTGGGAAGCTGGCACAGCCACATTGTTGCCGGCATGGCCTTTGTCCCAGGAGTAATAACAACGTGACCATGTTTACTGCGCTTCTCTTTGGTCCCACCATTGTTCTGAGCACCTGAGATGGATTTATTTCCTTAAACCCCACACAGCCGTAAGAAGTAGATGTCATGACAAGCCCCATCTTACAAGGAGGGAAGCTGAGGCAGAGACAAGGCTCTACTGCTGGGGAGCACTGGACCAGGACCAGAACCCGGGGGACTGGCTCCCAAGCCTGCTTTGTTAGCCGCTGTCCCACACTTGCAGGGGGCGGAAGTGGGGATATCCCCACCGTGTGCCTAAATCTCTAAGGTAAGGTCATGTGTTCACACTTTAGGGAGGTAGCACAGGTAGCAAGAAGGCTCCAACCCCGGAGACTGTCTTTCTGTTTCTGGAACATGCCAAGAGTGCTTCCTCCCCACACCCAACAGGCCTTGGCACGCTGCCCCCTCTGCCTGAACACCCTCCCCAGGAGCTTCTCATTCAGGTCTCAACTCCAACGTCACCTCCTCCAGGGGCCTCCTTGAACCCACCACTTACAGGGGCCCCCAGCCCCCAGTCACTCTGCCATCTCTGTTTGCCTGTGTGGACCCCGCTGCCCCAACCACAAGGTCAGAGAAGGGCCACAGCACCCCACCCTGGATCCCTGGTACCCAGGACCCGGCAGGCACATAAGAGCAGCTCAGGACGTACTTGTTGAAAGGGTTGGATGAAACCCCTCCCTCTGATTAGAAGGCTAGAATTTTCCAGTAAAAGGGACAGAGTGAACCCTCTGTGGGCTCCACCTCAATGTACAAACCAGGCCACAGCAAGGGGGATAACTGGCACCCAGACACCAGCAGGCAGGAGCAAAGCCGGGGTGGACCTAGCCTGCCCTCACCCTGCCTCAGACTCCCATCTCCGCCCCAAACACCACCATTGTGGGGTCTTCCCACCAGCAGGAAACCCAACTAAGGGGAGCTTGCTAGAAAGGAGGGGATGGAGAGGGGCGTGGCCAGGCCTAAGGGTGGCCAGGGCAGGACAGGGGTGGGACCAGGGAGGGGCGGGGCAAAACTGGCCATGGGGCGGGGCCTCCAGTTGGTCCTTCTGGGCCCTTCTCACCTTCGCACTCGCCATCCTTGAGGGCATAGCCTGGCTCACAGGTGAGTGCCTTGTAGCAGTGGAAGGAGCCCAGTGTGTTCACACAGTGCTCGCCCCGGCTGCACGTGTGCAGGTCCGTCACACACTCGTTGATGTCTGCAGGGAGAGCGAGGCCATCAGAGGCTGCAGAGTCCCCAGGACAGTGGCTGAGTGCAGCCAGCAGACCTTGGGCCACCAGGAGGGAGAGAGCTCCAGGCCCTGCCCTCAGGGAGCTCACCATTCGGAGATGTGGCTGATGTCTCGGCACCCAAACATCCCTTCATTCAACAAAGATTTATTGAGCACCTGCTATGCACCAAGCACTGTTCTTGGCACTGGGTGTACATCAGTGACCAAGACAGAAATCCCTGCCCTTGTGGGGCAGACACTCAAGGGGAGAGGACACAATAAATACATAAACAAACATAAATGGAGGTGGTGATGAGTGCTATGGATAAAACAGAGCAGGACGCAGGAGACAGGGAGTGCCCAGGTACAGCGGGGGGCGCTGGGCGGGATGGGTCAGGGATGGATTCTCAGAAAAGAAGACATCTGAGCAAAGATGTGACAAGATGACAGACTGGGCCATGCAGACAGTCCAGGCAGAGGCGTCAGGGATGTAAAGGCCCTGAGAAGGAAGCCAGCTGTGCAGGTTCAAGGGCCCACCAGGAGGTGGGTGTGCTGCAGGGGAGGGAAGGGAGAAAGAGGGTGAGCAGGAGGAATGGAGGGAGCCATAGAGAGTTCCAAGCAGAAGAGAAAGTGGTCTTATTTATTTGGAGCAAGGATCCCTGGCAGGGGCTGGAGAATAGGGGTGAGGATCCAGGCAGGAGATTCAGTGGCTCGGACTACCTTCAATGGGCTGGGAGAAGTGGCTAGATTCTGAAGTATTGTGAAGCTGGAACCAACAAAACCCACTGATGGATGAGATGAAGGTGAGGCAGGAAGAGGGGCCCAGAGCTTCTGGCCAAGCAGCTGGACAGGTGGCAGTGAGGGCCGGCTGTGAGGTGTAGGCTGCAGGGGAAGGTGGGAGCCCTGCTGGCCATGAGAGTTTGAGGGTGAAGAGGCAGCTGAGGACATGCCTTGGAGTTCACACAAGGGGTCTGAGTGGGAATACTAACTTGAGAATGGTCAGATGGCTGAGGCCACCCAGGGGAGAGATCACACGGAGAGGAGGCCAAGGACCAGCTCCTGGGAGATTCCAGGGATAAGCAGTTGGGGAGAGGAGAAGCCAGTGAAGGAGAGAGAGGACGCATAAGGGAGGTGGGGAGCCACAGAGGCTCAGAAACTGTCCCCGGGCCACAGAGGCCACCAACTCAGAAACCACCCCCAGGCCACAGAGGCCACCAACTCAGAAACCACCCCCGGGCCACAGAGGCCACCAACTCAGAAACTGCCCCAGGGCCACAGAGGCCACCAACTCAGAAACCACCCCCGGGCCACAGAGGCCACCAACTCAGAAACCACCCCAGGCCACAGAGGCCACCAACTCAGAAACTGCCCCGGGGCCACAGAGGCCACCAACTCAGAAACTGCCCTGGGGCCACAGAGGCCACCAACTCAGAAACCACCCCCGGGCCACAGTGGCCACAGAAGCCACCAACTCAGGAACTGCCCAGGGGCCACAGAGGCCACCAACTCAGAAACCGCCCCAAGGCCAGCGCTAAGCCAGTGTGGAAGGCTGACCCATCTACCCCCTCCTGGTGCTGCACCTTGTGGCGGCGGTCAGGTGCACTAGTCCCCTGCTTATCCATCCATTCCACACACATAACTCTGTGCTAGGCTCCTGTGACCAAGTGGGTGTGTCGGCCCCAGCCCCGGCCCTCAAGGACAGGCAGGTGGAGGCTTGGGGGCTCTGGCCAGAGAACTGCCTGCTGTGGTCTGGACCATCAGAGCCACTTCTCAGGAGTGGTGACATTCGAGCTGAGTCTACAAGGATGACTAGAGGACCAGGTGGAGAGGTGGAGGCCAAGGCCCTGGGGAAAGAGACCCTCCCAAACTCACAGGTGAACCAAACAGTGTCCAGGCCAGGCAGACCCGGGGATGGCTGGGAATGGGGAGGAGGGAAAGGGAAAGTTCTGGGCCAGTGGTTTCCAAGGAAGGCTTGGCTGGGCAAGATAAAGATTTCTGATTTACAGGCTGGACTTACAGAGGGAGACCATTCCCAGGACCCCAGAAATGCCCATAACCCAAGAGCCTCCCACAGCCTGGAGGAATTATGGTAACAACAGCAGCACCATGAGCGGAGGCTCACCAGGGTCAGGTGGTTTAGAGGACATCGTTCTGCAAGCCCCATTTCTCAGAGGAGGAAATCAGCCTCCCGGTAGTGCTGTGACTGGACCAGAGTCACACGGACAGCCATGTGGCAGATCAAGAACGGAAGCCAGAGTGCCCGGCCCAGAGCTGTACCCTTGTACCCATCATTCAAGCACTGCTGCAGCACCACTTCATGGGGGGCTCAGAGCTGGGGGGCTGCCTCCCTCACATCTTGCAGCCTGGACCACCTGCAACACTTTTCCCTGTGCCCAAGACAGTCTTCAAAGTACAGACCACAAAAGGCAAATGGTAAACACAGGGGAGTCCTTGGCACAGGTCACACCCAATACTGTCCCACTTTGATTTACATACCTCCAGTGATGGGGAGCTTACTACCTCTGCAGGTTGCCTCAGTGAAACATTGGTTGAATCATAACAATGATGTCACAAGAGTAGCAACTTCTTTAAATGGACTAATTCATTTAATCCCCACAATGACTCTTTGAGGTAGGTGCTGTTATCTCATTCACAGATGAGGAAACTGAGGCTCAGAGAGTTTAACCAACTGGTTTAAGGTCTTATGATTAAAAATTGAAAGAGCCAGGATTTCAGCACAGGCAGGCAGGCTGGCTGCAAAGGCCACACTCTTGATCCTAGCATAAGCCTCGCATCTCACCTGCCTGGGTTAATAAACAAGTGCAGAGCAAACAAATGAACTGCAGGAGAGCCCAGTGGACATTTGTGGACGTACAAATGACGGAAAGAACGCGCGGCAGGTACTAACACGACGGGATGAACACGTGTGCGAGGGGCATGGAAGGATGAAGAGGTGCTGACGGGTTTGTACAGGATGAACAAGGAGGGAAAGAAAGAAAGGAATGCATGTGAGCTCATCAATTTTGCTGAATGGAATGTGCCCTTGCTCTTTCATTCCCAGAACCCACTTTGCAGCTGCCTGGGGATCCCTTTTAGTATGTTTTATCTCCAGGCAGCTAGACAAGCCTGCGTACTCAGGCACCGCGAGAGGGCAGGGCATCATGGGAGGGGTGCTCGTGGGCCCTGGTGGGATCCGCCTTCCCAGACGTACACACACGGACCCAACCCAGACAGGAAGAGCTGGCCGGCTGCTGGCAAGCAGGGTCAGGAGGCGCATGTTGTGCCAACGGCTAGAGGCCTAGGGCAAACATGTCTGCAGCAGGCATTCAGCCCAGCACCATGGGCCCGTGTGCCCAGTGGTGAAAGGCGAGGAAGGAAGGGGATATGTCCAGGCTGGACATGGTCCCCAAGCACAGAGAAGACAAACGGGGCTCTGGTCACATGCCCTGAACGCACTAGGTTCTGATCCTACTTCTATACCTTTATTTGAGCTGTTCCTTCTACGCTGCATGCCCTTACTGATTTCCAAATGCTAACCCGATGCCACCAGCTGGAATGACCTCGCCCTCTGCGCGTGTCTCTGTGATGGCATTTACCACCGTCTGCCCTGAGTCCCAGCTACTTTGGGTCTATCTCCGTTTGGGACCACAAACTGGAGGACACAAGGGTTTACAGTTCTCTGAAAACATCAGAGGCTGCAGACATGTACGCACAGAGCACTCCCAGAGCCACGGCGCCTGGCCCACATGGGGCCTAAGAGAGGAGAAGGAAGAGGCATCACTGAGCACCAACCCGGGCGATGTGCAGGCCAGGTGCCGGGTATGAGCCCTCACCCAGTCCTCTGGCCCCACGGTCAGAGGGGAGGAAAGGCAGGCTCAGAGAGGAGAGCTCCGCTGCTCAAGGTCACATAGCAAAGGAACGCCAAGCTGGTATGCGAGGCGGGCTCTGCTGGACCCCATCCTCCATCCACCAGCTCTGCGGGGGACCCTGGGGAAGGCACGTAGCTGTTGTAGCATGCTCACGGTGCCCAGGCTCTGTGCTACCCCACATACATGTCACACAATCGTCAAAAGAGGATCAACAGCCTCCTTACTACAGATGAGAAAACCACAGCTGGGGGAAGACGAGTCATTCATCCAAGGCCACGGAGCTTCTGGGGGTCCTGCTTGGCTAGGCCTCCTGCCTCCAGACCCCACACATCCTATCCTGCTCCCAGCATGTCTGACCCCCTCATTTTCCTGCAGCCCAGGTGGGGTCCCTGATCCACCAGGCCACACATCCAGTTCCCTGACACATAGACACGTCCCTGGGGAAAGCAGCCTCCGGGTGGAGCTGGCAGCCAAGCGGGACAAGACGCCAGGACACAAGGGCACGACATAGAGCACGGAGATGCCGGCTGTGCTGAGAGCTCACATGCAAAGGGCAGGCCCTTTGGCATGTGGCCACAGTGTGGTGGGCTTGGCGTGGAGCAGAGCGGAGAGCTGTGACGGCGGGCGGCAGGCGGGGCCCTGGCTTACCCACGCACTTCCTGTGCGCATTGAGGATATAGCCATCGGCACAGAGCACTGTGTGGTTGACACAGTAGAAGGATCCCAGGGTGTTCACACAGAACTGTCGCCGGCTACAATCGTGAGCACCCATCAGGCACTCGTCTTGGTCTAGTGGCAGCCGCAGGAGGAAAAACAGAAGGACTGTTAGAGGGACATGGGCTGCCACGGAGCATCCAGTGACAGGAGAATGAGACCCAGCAAGGGGCAGGGGCCTGTCTGGGGCCTCCCCGCCTGACTGTGTGTAGCTGGGCCTTGGGCCCAAGTGTGAGTGTGCAGAGCTGGTCCCCACTGCCCCAGTAAGGACGGTGGTGAGGTGAGACTCAGAGAGGGTGGGTGGCTGCCCACGGTCACAGTGGGGACAGGACCAGAGGCTGCCTCCCGTACGCACTCGATACTTCCCACATCCACGGGCGCCAAGAGAACCATGCCCCCGAGAGCTTGCAAAGTCCAGTACTTAGGGGACCAGGCCAGCCACATAAACCAGGGAAGGGCCCACAGGGGCTCCAGGACACTGAGTGTCTGTGCTCCATCCAAAAGGGGACAGGGGTGTGGGCCCCTTGTATGCAGATTTCACACCAAGAGAAACCTAAAATCTGGAAGTGTTTTAATCATTCTTGTGCTCAACACGTTTGGAACTCACTTGATTATTTCCAATGCAGCAGAGTTGAGCAGCGCTCCTCCGCAGAGCAGGTGCCTCTCTGAATGCCCATTGCAACCTGGACCCCAGCTTTCACTGCCAGGGCTTCCAGAGGAGGGAGGGGGTCCTGGGGATGCGCAGACATGGGCTAGGCTGCATGAGCAGCACAGGCAGAGGGGCCTCACAGGGCTGGGCCCAAAGGAGGCCTGCCCCAGAAAAGATGCAGCTCTTACATCTTCAGGGCCCTGGGAGATGGGGGGCGGGGCCCAGAGAACCCAGCACCACCTGGACCTGAGAGCTGCCCCCAGCATCGGAGAGGAAGGCCTGCCGGTCACTGCCACGTCATGTACCCTGGGCAAGTCTACTGTCCTCTCTGGGCTCGTAGGACGGTGTTTGTCCACATCAGAACAGTCTCGGCTGGGGATGGACACGGGCTTTCAGCTTCTGGGAGGGATGTGGGTATTCACCCAGGCAGACTTGACTCTGTTCTCCCCCAGACACCCACCAGGGTCTCATCTCTGAGCCAGAACTGCCATACTTCCTAGACTCTGCATACTCCATTTCTGTCCTGCCCCCAGGCAGGAGGTAGAGTCTTGAGACCTCTCAGCTTGGTTCTTCAGAAGCCATTCACTGTGGGAACCAACCCAGCAGGTGCTGGATCCAATGGCCTCATTTTACAGTGGGGGGTCCTGGCCCACAGAGGCCCCACAAAGACAAGACCCAGACCTAGGCGGGGCCACGGGGGTGGAAGGTATGTGATCCTTGGACAGCTAATCATCACCAGTGTCCTTCATTTGGGAACAGATTCAGCCAGGCATTCCTGCTGTCCAGCCTCCCTCCCACTCCCCATCGGGGACACTTCTGGCTGCCCTTAAAACAACCGGCATTGCTTCCCCTTCCCCCTCTCCACCCAGGCCTGGACATGGCTGCACAGACCAGGGCAACCCTCAAGGGCAAGGTGAGTGGAGGTGGTGTCCGCGGACCAGCAGCATCCGTATCACCTTGTTAGAAGCACAAATTCTCAGGCCCACCCACCCAGACCTATTGACTCGATCTTTGGGGATTCGGCAGAATCTCAGGACTGCCTGTTTGACCCAGGCCTCCAGGGACTCAGGTGCACACTCGGCAGGAGAAGCACTGCTCCGGGAAATGCGGAGCGACACCATGTGAGGAGCCCGGGCCCCATTCCTATGCAGCCACACTGCAGGCCCACCCTGGAGTGCATGTATACACCGCACGTACGGTGAGAGGGAGTGACTGTTTAACCTGCTCCACTAGGGGTGCTCATCATAGCAGCCAAGACTCTTCCTGCACAAACTCAGCAAGTTTTAAGTCTCAGCCACCCCCACCTGGAGGCCCCCATCACAGGCCAACTCAGGTTTGCACAGGTAGGAGGGCACCCCAAGGCACTCACCTTCACAGGACACGCCATCCGCCATGATGGCATAGCCGGGAAAACAGGAGCATATGGCTGAGCCCCCAACAGTGCTGCACACCTGCTTGCAGGGTCCATTGTCTGGAGGAAACCACACAGAAATCAGAGACCACCAGGCCCTGGCCTTGGTCCACACTGGCTCATTCCCCATCCCTGGCTCTAACCTACTAGTGAGACACAGAAACAAGGCCCCTAGAAGGCAGGGATGCTGGGAGACAAGGAACGCCACTCCTGGTCCTTTTCACAGGTTCATCCATTAAGTCTGCTCCAACACCGTCTGGCGTCGGGGACGACGTTCTGGGTCTACCTCCCCCACCACTCGGATCCCAGCCCATGCCTTGCGTGACAGCAAGAACAATGGGGAGATGGAGGAGAAGAGAGAAGGAAGAAGAGAAAGGGAAGGGGGCAGGGAAAAAAGCAGGGGAAGGGAATGAGGAGAAGAACAACAAAGAAGAGGACTTTCTACACAGCGCTGAACACAGCCTCCACAACAGGTCGGCAAACCAGGATTTGACTACCTCAACGTTACAAGAATGGAGACAAAAAGCAGCTAACTGGCTGGTTTGGGGTCACACACCAGGCCCTAGGCTGTCCCCACACCACATCTCCCCAGTGACTTCCTCAGCTCCTCACTCAGCCCAGGGTAAGCCCATCATCCCCAAAACAGAAGCACACCCTTTGGAGGGGCCATCTTGCACATACCCAGCACCAGACAGCTCACCACCTGCAAGCAGCCCAGACCCACCCCCTGGACCCTGGGCCCTGTCCTGGAGACACCACCCACACTGCTTACCTTTGCAGGTATTGGGCTGCGGCAGTGGCAGCGGGATGGTGTTAGAGGCCACCTGGGAAAATTCTGACTTCAGTGCAGGCTCCTGTGGGGCTTCCGGCTGTGGAGGGTGACCCTCTGTCATGGGTAGAGCAGAGTGGGGGTTGCAGGGAGGTCTCAGGTCTTCAGCCAGGCCTCAGGCACTTCCAGGCACCTGCCCTTCTCACACAGGGCACTGACATTTAATCCCCCACCCCATTTCACAGGAGAGGAAAATGAGGTTTGGAGTGTGCATATACCTTGGGAAAGATCAATCTCAGCTACTGGGGGCAGAGGGGGTAGAAGGAAAGGAGGCAAGGAAGAAGAGAGGGGGGAAAGGAAAAAGAGTGTCTGGATTAAAAACCAATCAATTCTGGGACCAGTGACTGGGAGGAAATCCCTCAGGATCACCATGGGCCCAGCACTGGGGAGATAGCTGGGTTTTGGTGAGAGCCTCTGTGGCCTGAGCCTGTCCCTGCGCTCGAATATGGGACAAGGTGCTGGGGCCAGGTCCCTGCAGATGGAGCCCCAGGAAGAAAGCTTCTATTTTTCCTGCCTCACAAATCCCCCATCACTGGAAGCTTCAGGCTTCTGTGGGTTCCAACTTGTGGGGTAACAGGAAGTGAAGGACCCCACAGTGTGCACCCCAGGAATGCCACACCCCCTGGCAAGATCAGCCCTTCCCATAGCCCCTGCCCTGGCCATCAGGGCCCTTACCTGGGCGGCAAGTGCGGCCATCGTCCTGCAGTGAGAAGCCAGGAAAGCAGGCACAGTGGTAAGAACCCACAGTATTGATGCAAAGGTGCTGGCACAGCTCTCCCGGGAGGAGAAGGCACTCATCCTGGTCATCGCCCGGCAGGCTGTTCGGCAGCTCGGCCTCTGTGCCCAGTGACAGGGCCTCTCGGCCCGCCATCTCTGCCTCTGAAACTAGGACAGGGGTTAGAGCTCAAGACAGAGCCAGCTTGGTCAGAGTAGGTGGCTGAGACAACCAGCTTTGGGAAACTAGTGCAGGTCCTCATCAAGACCTCTGTGTGCCCAGCAGACAGCAAGGATGGATGAAGCAGGATGGATGGATGGGTGGGTGGGTGGATGGGTGGATAGATGGATGGATAGATGGGTGGGTGGGCAGGTAAATAGATAGACGGATGGGTATAGATGGATGGGTAGATGGATGGGTGGATGGATGGGTGAGTGAGTGGATGGGTGGGTGGATGGGTAGATGGATGGGTGGGTGGATGGGTAGGTGAATGAATGGGTGGGGGGGTGGGGGGGGTGGATGAATGGATGGATGGATGGATGGATGGATGGATGGATGGTTAGATGGATGGGTGGGTGGATGGGTGGGTAGATGGGTGGGTGAATGAATGGGTGGGTGGATGGGTGGATGGATGGATGGATGGATGGATGGATGGATGGATGGATGGGTGGATGGGTTGTAACTGGATGGGTGGATGAATGAAGGAGGATGGATGGGTAGATGGAAGGATGGGTGGATAGATGGATACATGGGTAGACGGATGAATGAGTATTTGGCTGAATGGATGGATGGGTGGGTGGATGGATAGATGGATGGGTAGATGAATGGATGAGTAGATGGATAGATGGATGGGTGAGTGGGTGGATGGGTGGATGAGTGAATGGAAGGATGGGTAGGTGGATGGATACGTGAATGGATGGATGAATGGGTGTGGGGCTGAATGGATGGATGAATGGGTAGATGAAAGAGTGGATGAGTGGATGGGTAGATGGATGGGTGGACAGACAGATGAACAGACGGATGGATGGACTGGTAGGTAGGTAGATGGATGGATGGATGGATGGATAGATGGATGGATGGATGGATGGATGGATGGATGGATTGATGAATGGATGGGCAAATGAATGAACAGACCTCAAGCAGTAAGAATGAACCCATCAGAGCCAGGTCCAAGTCTTCATCACTGAGTCCTCTACAATAGGACAGGGTCAGATCCACAAAGAAGCTCTCACTAAAGTGTTACAATGGATTCAGACCCCTGACCTCAGTGACATCAAGGAGGATCATCCTTAGCAGCAGAAAGGGCTCCAAATCTGGGCTCTATTGGATCAGATGTGACCACTGACCTGGGCCTTCCCTAGCTGGGTCAACTTGGGCAGCACTAGGCCTCTCTGTGCCTCCAGATTCTGGAATAAACCCATCTCCCAGGGTTGTGCTGGGGAGCAGGTGAGAGTGGAAAAGAAGGCTCCTGAGGCTGAGCTGCCTTGGGAAGCTCTTTGTATGACAACTGTGGGGAAAGCATGCAGCCAGGACTTCAGGGGGAGGCCTACAGCCCCTCTAAGCTCTGTGCCAGCCCAGGGCCTCCTTCCCACCCCACCCAGGCAGCAGAGCCCACAGAGAGAGTAGCTGCATGAAGTCACGTATGAGGAACGTGTTTCATATGGAGGGTGTTTACATTAAGCTGCAGCCCAATCAGTCCCAGCCGGTGCCTCCAGGCAGGGCCATGATGGCTGGCGGTCTGGTCCCGCAGAGACTCAGCACTGCAGGCAGGCGGCGGACAGACCTGGACCCAGGGCTCCTCCTAGCACACCACAGGCTAGACAGTACCTCCAGGATTCAGGCTCAGCTCACCCTCACCAGCATCTTCCTCACAGGAGGAAGCATGGATCTCTGGCCAGGATCGTGCCTGGCTCTGTTGCCCACCTACTCCCTTCCACCCACCTGCCTTTGACTTTTGAAGCCGGACTTCCTCCCAAACTCTACCTTCAGCCAGACTCTTCTGGGTACTAACCTGGCCTTCACACCAGTACTCAACCATTCCCCTTAGAGCCAATCTCAGCAAGTAGCACTTCCTTGGACTGGACTTACTCTCTGTACCCACATTGGATTGGCAAGGGTGGTTGGTACATCTGTTCTGGTTGATCTGCCCAGGTCTGGCCTGGTCCAACCCCCACACACTCACCCCTGCCTCTGCCTCACCCTGATGGGAGATCCAGGTATCTGTTCTCCCACCTGTACCACACAGGATATGAGCTCTTCCTGTAGGATCTCCTGAGCCCTGGCACCTGTGGACAGCAGGCATCTTAACCCCTATGCACAGACTTCTGCCATCTTGCATTATAGTGACAGAGATCTGGGTCAATCGGAACCAAGGCTGACTGGGTCTAGATAAAACTCAGGGCATCAGGAAGGCTGGGGCAGAAGTGGGAGTCATTAGAGCCAAGGTGTCCAGTCCTGGCTGTGCCAAAGACCCGGCATGTGCCTGGGGCAAGATCCTGCCCTTCTCTGGGCCTCATCTTCCCCCTCTGAGCTGCTGAAGCACGGCAACGGTAACAGCAACAGTGGTGGCAATGCTGAATGCATCACTAGGCACTGCCAAAAGCCCTTGACAGGCATCCTATCATTCATCCTTGCACTGAACAAGGTAAAGAATACAAGACCATTTGACAGATGCCACAGTGAAGGCTCTGAGAAGGAGCCTTCCTTCTGTGTGACCTGCCCCAGGTAAGCAAAGGAACTAGGATTCCAACCAAGTCTGCCTGACTCCAGAGGCCAAGAGTTTAATCTTGATACCAGGACCTCATCTGTGGCTTTAATTCCCACTCCATGAAGTGCCCAGGACAAATCCACAGGGGCCCCAGATGACGGTCCATAGGAACAGCGAAAAAACTGGGCTGGTGGTTCTGGAACCTACCTGGACATCTGGTCCCCAACCAGTTGAGGCTGAACATGTGGACACCAACAAAGCAGGCCTGCCAGGACTCTCACGGCACCAGCCCCAGGGCCACCAAGGCCCATGTACAAAAAGGACATCTGCTGACTCACTGGGGCACCCTCATCAGGCTCCTGCAGACCCACCAGGCACAGAGGAGGCTAATGGTCATGGGTCCAGGAGACAGCCCTGGCTAGGGGACAGGGACTGGACATGGCAGCTGGAACAGTGGCTACAGCACAAGAAGGGAAGAAGAAGGGGGTGACACCAAGGACAACGAGGATGGATGCATGGATGGATGGATGGATGGATGGATGGATGGATGGATGGATGGATGGATAAGCAGATGGATGAACAGACGGATGGGTGGGTGGATGGATGGATGGATGGATGGATGGATGGATGGATGGATAGATGAATAGATGATCAGACAGATGGATAGATGGACAGATGGACAGATGAATGAATGAATGGATGGGTAGGTAGATGGATAAATGGATGGATGGATGAGGGATGGATGGATGGATGGATAAACAAACGGATGGATGAGTGGATAGTGGATAGGTAGATAGATACATGGATGAATGAATGGATGGATAGATGGATGGGTGGGTGAGTGAATGGGTGGATGGGTGGGTAGGTGGATGGATGGATGGATGGATGGATGGATGGATGGATAATTGGGTGGGTAGGTGGGTGGATGGGTGGATGGATGGATGGATGGATGGATGGATGGACAGATGATGGGATAGAGGATGAATGAGGGAGTGAATGAATGAATGGATGGAGAGATGGACAAGAGGATGGGAGGATGGGTGGGAGACAAGTGCAATGGATGGAAAAAGAGCAAACTGATAAGTGGGTAGGGAGGAAGATGTATAGACAAAGTAGACAGGGAGGAAGATGTATAGACAAAGAGAGGGGAGGGTGGTGAGTGGACAGTGAAAGGGTGATGGGTGGTAGTTGGTGGTTAAGTTGGTGGAGTGGGTAGTCCACAGAAAACAATGAAATCACCATCCTCAGAACTCTGTTTAGAGCAGAACTTGTGTCTCAAGCCACAGGTGATGATGGACCCAGGGTCCCCACAGAAGGCCAGAGGTCAACCAGCCTTCGCCCTATATGCCGCAGCCAGGGAAGAGCAGCACTCACCTCTCCGTGGTGCAGCTGCGGGCTCTGGAGGTCGGCGAACCTCAGGTACTATGAGAGGCTCTTCACCCTCACAGCAGGAGAGCATGACATGATTGCAGGGATAGCCCAGGTTAGGATTGGACTCACACGACTGGCCCTCGGCCCGCACGCGGAGGCCCAGGCCACAGCAGTCACAGCATTGCTGCAGGGAGAGACAGTTATCACTGCCCAATCTCTGGCCCCAGCCTGGAGCTAGGCTCAGGGGAGGGACTGATAAATGGAGATGAATTCACCATTATCTTATCTCCTCTGCCAGACTATGCGCTCTCCCAGGGCAGAGGGGTCCTCTGCCTCTATTTCCCAAGTCTGGCACAGGTAGGACTAATGTAAGTCTTTTGAAACAGATAACAAGTAAATGGCCTTTAGTTGAAGGAACTATAACCCCCCAGCCACACTCATTATCCCCTCATGTTTACTAGCAAACCCCAATTCTATTCAAGTCAGTTAAAAGATGGCATTTCCCAGGGGCCTTTGCAGTTAGATTCACTCAGCGGAGCCTTCAGGAGGGCTTTAAACTGGGGATGACTCTACTTGAATCAAGTACATCGTTTTTGCTCCCCCTCTTTCTCCTTCTTGGAGCACATATGTGATGGCTGGAGCTTTAGCAGCCAACTTGGGCCATGAAGTGACCCTGAAGATGGAAGCTACAAGTTAAAGATAATTAAACATAAAAATAGAAGACTAGGTTCCTAAAGATGTAGATCTACGCTAGCCCAGGCTGCTTTTCTTCAAAAATAAATTGGTTTTATTTATTTTAAAATACAGTAGTATTTTGGTTGCAATAACGGCAACAATTATTCAATCTTTTCTGTGTTCACTGTCTTTGCAATGTGATATTGCAGCTGCTTCTATTAAGAGAAAGTGTGTATTTCCCAACCTCTTGGTTGTGCCTTCTGTCTTGCTTTGGCCAATAGAATGAGATACACATGATGGTGTGCCAGTTCTTAGCCTAGGCCTCAAAAGACCTTGAATGCTTCTATTTATTTTCTTGGAACTCTGCACATCATAACTGAACAGGCCCATGCTAGCCTGCTGGGGGTTGAGACACTGCAGGGAGCAGAAACAAGTCATCCCAGCCAAGGCCATCCTAGGTCATCTAGCTCCAGTGGAGCCGTCAGCTGACAGCAGCCACATAAGCAAGCACTCACCCCCGCCCCCAGGATCAGCTGAGCGTGGCTCAGGTCAGCAGAAGTACTCAGCTGACCACAAATTCATGCATTAAGCCAGCAACAGGCCACTAGGTTTTGGATGGTATGTTACCCAGCAACAGCTAACTGATACTCTATTCTTGCATCTCTCAGTGTTGAACACTTCCCACTAATGAAGGCCCATCACATACTTAACACTTAGTTTGCATTATCTCTGATCCCCACAACCACCCAAAAAGACATGGATTATTATCCTCATTTTATAGATAGAAAAGCTGAGGCTAAGAAAAGAGAACTGGCCGGGCATGGTGGCTCATGCCTGTAATCCCAGCACTTTGGGAGGCCGAGGTGGGTGGATCACGAGGTCAGGAGATCGAGACCATCCTGGCTAAAACAGTGAAACCCCGTCTCTACTAAAAATACAAAAAAATCAGCCGGGCGTGGTGGCGGGCACCTGTAGTCCCACCTACTCGGGAGGCTGAGGCAGGAGAATGGCATGAACCTGGGAGGCGGAGCTTGCAGTGAGCTGAGATGGCATCACTGCACTCCAGCCTGGGTGACAGAGCGAGACTCCGTCAAGAAAGAAAGACAGACAGACAGACAGAGAGACAGACAGACAGAAAGAAAAAGAAAGAAAAGAAAGAAAGAAAGAAAGAAAGAAAGAAAGAAAGAAAGAAAGAAAGGAAAATAAAAGAAAAGAAAAGGAAAATAAAAGAAAAAAGAAAAGAAAAGAGAACTAGTCCAGGGTCAAACATAAAGACAGAAAAGGGGATTCTAAACGTTTCTAGACCCTGTCAACAGGGTCCTCTCACTAATACTAGTTGTTTTAAGGAAAAAATTGACCCCAAGATGACCAAAATTGAAGTCAAAATCCTCTCCCAAATGCCAGAACCATCCAGCGGTCTCTGTCACCATCACCCAGGCTTGAGACCTTGGGCTTCTTCAATTCCCTCTCCCGCTCCTCAGTCAGGATGAGGTCCCTTCTGGAAGGTTTCCTGAAACTGTGCCACTGTCATAGTTTGCCCTCACCTCTGCTGTAGACAGCCAGCTATCCATCCCAATGTCTGTTTCCCTTTTTTCTCATGTTCACTGGGGCACCTGACCTCCCAGAATAAAGACACTACATTCCCTAGTCTTCCTTGCAGCTAGATGTAGCCAGGAGATGAAGCTCCAGCCAATGAAATCTAAGCAGAACTACAGTCTGCCCTCAAAAAAGGGAGCTCTTCTTCTGCTCATGTTCACAGCAGCATTACTATTCGCAATAGCCAAAAGGTGGAAGCAACCCAAGTGTCCATCGATGAATGGACAGATACAGAAAATGTGGTCTGTCCACACAATGGAATATTATTGCACCTCAGAAAGGAAGGAAACACTTACATTTGCTACACATGGCATGGATGAACCTTGAAGACATTATGCTAAGTGAAATAAGCCAGACACAAAAGATCAAACACTGTATAATTCCACTTACATGAGTTCCCTAGAGGAGTCAAACCCACAGAGACAGAAAGCGGAATGGTGGTTACCAGGAGCTACAGGGAGAGGGAATGGGAGTTAGTGTTTAATGGGAACAGTTTCAGCTTGAGAAGATAAGAAAGTTCCTTGGGTGCTTGGTGGTGACGGCTGCGCAACAGTGTGAATGTGCTTCATGCCACTGAGCTGTGCGCTTACAAATGGTTCAGACGATCAATTTTACATCATGTGTATTTCACCATGATCAAAACTAATTTCAGCTGGACGCAGTGGCTCATGCCTGTAATCCCAGCACTTTGGGAGGCCAAGGTGGGTAGATCATTTGAGGTCAGGAGTTCGAGACCAACCTGGCCAATGTGGTGAAACCCCATCTCTAGTAAAAATACAAAACCAAGCATGGTGGCGTATGCTCTACTAAAAACACAAAAAAATTAGCTGGGCGTAGTGGCAGGTGCCTGTAATCCCAGCTACTCGGGAGGCTGAGGCAGGAGAATTGCTTGAACCCGGGAGGTGGAGTTGCAGTGAGACGAGATCGTACCACTGCACTCCAGCCTGGGTGACAGAGACTCTGTCTCAAAATAATAATAATAATAATAATAATAATAATTTAAAACAAGGGGGCTCTCCTGCCCCTTTCTGGAGTTCATCCTGGACCAAGAGGTGGCAAATGAGAGCTGGCAGGGCAAGACCACTATGCCTGTGCCCCATTCCTGATGACCATGGAGCCTCTCACTCCTCTAACTCAGCCCTGCCTTCCTCCAGCCTGCAGCATATGAGAGAAAAACCAGTGTTCCAGGAAGTTTTCCATTACTTGTAGCCAAACTGACACCCTGTCCGCCAGTGGCCACCATGAGCTCTAGTAGACAAACTGATCTCCTGCTGCAAATCCCTCCCACGGCTTTACAGACACTGCTTGAAGCCGAAAGCTCTCAGCATTTACTGTCCTTTATGGTCCAGCCTGAGGACTCCCGGTGGCCTGTCTCTACTGCTGCCAGACCACTGGACCACACACCCCATTTCCCAACGTCCTCGCCTGTGTGTTAGTTCACACTGTTCTCTGCACCACTGTTGCCTGGTGGGGTTTTACCCCATCCCAATCCCACCTCCCATGTGAGAGAAACACCCTCAATAACCGGTCCCCACAACTGCCAGAAGAGACCCTCAAACTCCCCATGGGGTCCACCTCACCCACAGTCAAACCACAGTCCTTCCGATGATGGCCAGGAGCCCTGACATCTCTCTGGGCTCAGCTCCACCTGCCCCCTGTCACTCGATGCACTCCAGCCACACAGCCTAGACATGCCAAGCAGGCTCTGACCCCAGGGCCTTTGCATGTGCTGCACTCTGCCTGAAAGCATTTCACAGACATCCCCCACCCCGGGCATTGCACAAATGTCCCCTCCTCAGTGAGGCTGTCCCTGGCCACTGTCAGCTGATACTGCAGTCCCTCCCCAGCCCTGACACTACTTATCCCACCTCTCCTTAAGTTTTTCTCCTTAGCACAATCGCCTGCAACCACGCCAGGTGCTAAAATATTCATCGTGATCTTCCTCTGTCTTCCTGGCCAGAAAGAAATCCCTGGGAGGGCGGGAATTGCCATCTGTGTTACTCACTGCTACATCCCTGATGCCCAGGGCACACAGTGGTGCTCTACAAATATTCTGTGAATTAATTGGTCAGTATAATAACTGATGATGTTTTCTGCGCAGATTAAGAGTCCTTCCACCCCAGGCGTGAGGGTCACTCCCAGGAGGAGCCCCAAGGACAGCCTAACTTCTTGGGCCACGAGGACCTTCAGGCCCAGGCCAGCCTCCCGCCCCGCCCCACCCCACCCTGCCTTGAAGGCCACAGGTCAGGCTTGCCTTGTACAGGGAGATGCCGCAGCTGTCGTTGTCCTCAGCCCCACAGGTCTCACCCTCCTTGGCTCCCAGGACGCCGGCCATGCAGCTCTTCTCCTGCAAGTAGGAGACACAGCAGTGCCTCTGGGCTGTCCTGAAACAGAGGGGGTAACTTAGCCCCCAGTCGCCCACCTCATCCTCCCAGAGTGGAAAGTGAGTGAGGCTCAGAGGAGGGAAGCTCTGCCCAAGGTCCACAGCAAGGGAGCCGGTGCAGGTGGCAGAGCCGGCACAACCTCCACTGGGTTGCATGGGTTTCATTTCTTGGCTTAACCATGCAGATGCAGGCCTGGGTCCCACTAGACTCGGAGATGTGTGTTCATGACCTCTGAGAGAGAGGGGTTGGCATCAGAGTCCCCACCCCCACAACGGTCGGGGAGGACAGAGAGACCTAATCCCAGAAAAGGCTGGCAGGTCAGCCTGGAGGAGCACAGCCTCCGGGTCCCTGGTCACTGCCTGCCAGTCACTGTTGGGCTGCCTGGGGCAGAGGTGGCTGACAAATCAGCTGCAGAGACCAGAGCCAGGACAGGGCGGCGGGGATTACGGGGGACAGGGCTCAGCACCCCCTGAAGTGGGACACGTCCACAAGACGGATGCAAGCATGCACTAGGACCGCTTAGCCCCAAACTCCAGGGGTCCCAGTGCTGCATGCTCTAACTCCTAAGTTGCCCCATATTGGTAGAATGGCTGAAGGGAAAGACAAGGTTAGAACATAAATTTTTTTTATAGGAAGCAGAGTGGTCTGGACATTGGGAAACATGGGGTCTAATCCCAGCCATGCTGCCAGTGAGCTGTGTAGTTTTGAGTGAATCACACTGCCTCTCTGAACTTAATCTTTCTTATTTGGAAAAATGAGTAGGTTAGACGGGGTCCCTGGAAAAAAACAAAGCATGAGCAGCTGACCAAGAGCTCTCCTGGGCCTGGAAAAGGGAAGGCATGGGGATAAAGGATTGCTTTGCTGTGGTATCAGAGTCAGAAGAAACAACCAGCACAGCAGCAAGGGAGCACAGTGAGAGGCCAGCCTCCTGAAGACCCAAGGGTAGCAAAGCAGAGAAAGGAAGAGGGCAGAGGAGAGAAAGCCTGAGTGGCATGAGTGCGGCAGCAACTGCAGAATGTGGTGAGGGGAGCACCCGACTATTCCTAGGGGACAGCACTCCTTTAAAACTTGTTTCAAATTGTACATTCCTCGGATCTTGCTCACTAGGCCAGCTACCAATTTATGTGGCTGGTTTGTTCCTAGGACCAGTCTTGGACTTTCCACCCCTGGAGAAAGCCTGGCCAGATGGCGCACGGCAGCCACACCCAATCACCCTCATGCCCCAGAGGCATGTGAAGGTGCACTCTCTCCGGGCTGCCTGGAGCCTGGGGTCCTAGGCAAGCAGGGTTCTGGAGAAGGCAAATGGGCAGCTCCGCCTGCTCCAGGGAGCCCACCCTACCTGCAGACGTTGTCCTCAGTGCCACTCTCAGGGATCTCCAGGCACTCGTCATTGTCAATGGCCCACTGCTGTCCGGCTGCGCAGCAAGTCTCGATCAGGTCCTTGGTGGAGCCTGTGGATAGCAACATGAGGCAGAGTCACCATTCATAAGTCACCAAGTCCAGCAGATATGCAGGGGCCTGTCCAGGTCTCCTTTACTGGGCAGGCAAACTCATCCACCCCTGCTGCTGTGCATGCTGGTCGCTAACAGCTCACAACACAACTGTCTTTGGTGAACTGTCTGCGAGGTGGAGTCCTCCCTATGGGGGCTGGGAGGAGCCCAGCCCATAACAGGTTAACATGGGGCCAGAGCTCAGCCCCCACTCTCAAAGCAGCCAGTTCTATGGGGGCCACTCACACTCTAGAGCTCCCACAGGGTCAGACCTCACGTGGGCCACAGCTTTGTCCACCTCTCATCCCTCACTCCTCAGAGTTTCTCCTGAGAGGTCTCCCCAAATGAACCAACACATGCACAAGACCCCCCAACTCAGGCTCTGCTTCTAAGGAACCCAACCTAAGATGCTAAGACAGGGCAAGAGATACGAAAACAGCAGCAGTGGCAGCAAGGGAAGTTTAAGCTCATCCAGGAAATTCACGGAAGTTTTATGTTGAATACACACTTGACCCCTGGAACAACACAGCAGTTTCTTCCACCTCTGCAACCCCTAAGACAGCAAGACCAGCCCCTCCTCCTCCTCCCCCTCCTAAGCCTACTCAGCCTGAAGACAGTGAGGATGAAGACCTTTATGATGGTCCACTTCCACTGCATGAATAGTAAACATATTTTCTCTTACGATTTTCTTAATAACATTTTTTTTTCTCAAGCTTACTTTAAGAATACAGAATATAGGCTGGGTGCGGTGGCTCATGCCTGTTATCCCAGCACTTTGAGAGGCTGAGGCGGGCAGATCACGAGGTCAGGAGTTCAAGACCAGCCTGGCCAACAGGGTGAAACCCTGTCTCTACTAAAAATACAAAAATTAGCCAGGCACGGTGGCAGGCACCTGTAATCCCAGCTACTCAGGAGGCTGAGGCAGGAGAATTGCTCGAACCTGGGAGGCAGAGGTTGTAGTGAGCCGAGATTGTGCCACTGCACTCCAGCCTGGGTGACAGAGCAAGACTCCGTCCCGGGGAAAAAACAAACAAACAAACAACAACAAGAAAAGAATACAGAATATAGTCAGCCGGGCACGGTGGCTCATGCCTGTAATCCCAGCACTTTGGGAGGCCTAGGCAGGAGGATCACCTGAGTTCAGGAGTTTGAGACCAGCCTGACCAACATGGAGAAACTCCGTCTCTACTAAAAATACAAAAAATCAGCCAGGCATGGTGGCGCATGCCTGTAAACCCAGCTACTCGGGAGGCTGAGGCAGGAGAATCACTGGAACCTGGGAGGCGGAGGTTGTGGTGAGCTGAGATCATTCCACTGCTCTTCAGCCTGGGCAATAAGAGTGAAACTCCATCTCAAAAAAAAAATACAGTATATAATATATATAACATATAAAATATGTGTTAATTGACTATTTGTGCTATCAGTAAGGCTTCCTGTCAACAGTCAGCTATTAGTTAAGTTTTTGAGGAGTCAAAAGTTACATGTGGATTCTTGACTGTTAGTCGGGTCAGCACCCCTCACTCCTGAGTTGTTCAAGGTTCAACTGTATTTGTGACTGGGGAGGCTGGAAGGAGTCAAAGGTAGGGGAGAATGTCTTAAAACTCAAAGGCACAGGCTATAGGTTACAAAAATTAATGAATTTGATTACCTCAAAATTCCAATATGTATAACAAAGAACTCCATGTACACATATAATAGACTGCTGACATATTAAGAAATGTTTCTGGAATGTCCAAAACTGACAAGGAATTGCCATCTACAAAACATAATAAACTCCTGAAAATTAACAAGAGAAAAAAGAACTCCAAAGTAAAATACTCCTTAGGCCAGATGTGGTGGTTCACGCCTGTATCCCAGCATTTTGGGAGGCTAAGGTGGGTTCATCACTTGAGCTCAGGAGTTCGAGACCAGCCTGGACAACATGGCGAATCTCCAACTCCACAAAAAGTTAGCCTAGCTACTCGGGAAGCTGGGGTGGGAGGATGGCTTGAGCCCAGGGATGGGGAGGGGGGTTGGAGGTTGCAGTGAGCTGAGATGGAGCCACTGCACTCCAGCCTGGGTGACAGAATGAGACTCTGTCTCAAAAAATAATAATAAAATATCCATTAAACTAGAAATATGAGTAAGAGTGAGAAATGCCACACAGAGGTGGGGACCCCCTTTTCTCCCTTAGTGCTGTATTCCTCTACACTGCTGCATGTCCATGTGTCTAGGGTGGGAGAGGAGACTGCGGCCAGCTGGAGAGATGTGGCACCACTTATACAGTTAAGCACACGCAACATCAAGGACCCAGACGCTCTGCTCCTGGTGTCTGTGCCAGGGAAGTCCTCACGACAGCCCGTAACACAACCAGTACAAGGATGCCCATGTCAAGTGTTATTTGTGGAAAGGGGTTGCGGACAGCCTGGGTGTCCATCACTGGGGGGGAGGATGAGGAAAATCTGGGGCCATGCTACATGCAGGAGCTGTCAGAAACAATAGACTGGATACACACACAGCAGCATGAGCTGGACACACCAACACACAGAAGTGTGGAGGAACACAGCACTAAGGGAGAAAAGGAAGAAGCCAAATCAGTTCTACTATACAAATTTAAACTATCACACATAAAATAACAATGCATACTTTGCAAGAACACATGACAGCAAAAAACACACTGATGAGATGAAACTGTCAGCTATGCAGATGGAGGTGGTGGATGGGAATGGAGAAAGAAGATGAAAGGAAATAAAATATTAATAAATAAATAAAACAAGAGCCTTGCAAAGAGGATAATAAGAGCCATGCCAAGAAATGAGACGTGTAATTAACCCAAGCGTTTGCCCCTGAGGTCTAAAGTGACATTCCTAAGTCAAGTTTATACAGAATGCCTAGACATTCGTGCTGAGGGCAACAAGTAACAGATGAGTGCCTCTGAGCCTGATGGGCCTGGGTCCACATCTCAGCGTTACCACTGACAGCCGCTTCTCCTCCCTCCAGACTCAGTGTCCTTCTCTGTATGAGGACTGAATGGCTGTGTAGGTGCTAAGGCCCACAAAGCCCTCTAAATGTCCTGAGCAGTTCACGTAAGGGCACAGGGCTGAGGGATAGATGCCGTGAAGGACGGCACCTGCACACTCCAACCGGAGCAAGAGCTCACTGAGGGTCATCGGCTGCGTTGCCTTAGCAGGCACGGCAAGTTACCAAGCTTTCCTAAGTTTTCATTCCTTTTCTGTAAAACAGGGAAAACAGCTTCCATCACAACCTGTTACTGTTCTGCTCTGAGGCACTGAGAGGAATGAGAACTGGTGTCTACCAGAAGCACATAGCAAACATCATACTCAATGGGGGAACATTAGACACATCCCCCACTGAATTATTAAATATTACAAAAATAATGCCCACGGGCCATGCTACTATATAGCATTGTCCTGGAGATACTAGCAAATGCAGTAAAACAAGAAAAAAGGAGGCCGGCTCAGAAATAATACCACACATCTACAACCATCTGATCTTTGACAAACCTGACAAAAACAAGAAATGGGAAAACGATTCCCTATTTAATAAACGGTGCTGGGAAAACTGGCTAGCCATATGTAGAAAGCTGAAACTGGATCCCTTCCTTACACCTTACACAAAAATTAATTCAAGATGGATTAAAGACTTAAATGTTAGACCTAAAACCATAAAAACCCTAGAAGAAAACCTAGGCAATACCATTCAGGACATAGGCATGGGCAAGGACTTCATGTCTAAAACACCAAAAGCAAGGGTAACAAAAGCCAAAATTGACAAATGGGATCTAATTAAACTAAAGAGCTTCTGCACAGCAAAAGAAACTACCATCAGAGTGAACAGGGAACCTACAGAATGGGAGAAAATTTTTGCAATCTACCCATCTGACAAAGGGCTAATATCCAGAATCTACAAAGAACTTAAATTTACAAGAAAAAATCAAACAACCCCATCAAAAAGTGGGCGAAGGATATGAACAGACACTTCTCAAAAGAAGACATTTATGCAGCCAACAGACACATGAAAAAATGCTCATCATCACTGGCCATCAGAGAAATGCAAATCAAAACCACAATGAAATACCATCTCACACCAGTCAGAATGGTGATCATTAAAAAGTCAGGAAACAACAGGTGCTGGAGAGGATGTGGAGAAATAGGAACGCTTTTACACTGTTGGTGGGACTGTAAACTAGTTCAACCATTGTGGAAGACAGTATGGCGATTGCTCAGGGATCTAGAACTAGAAATACCATTTGACCCAGCCATCCCATTACTGGGTATATACCCAAAGGATTATAAATCATGCTGCTATAAAGACACATGCACACGTATATTTACTGCAGCACTATTCACAATAGCAAAGACTTGGAACCAACCCAAACGTCCATCAATGATAGACTGGATTAAGAAAATGTGGCACATATACACCAGGGACTACTATGCAGCCATAAAAAAGGATGAGTTCATGTCCTTTGTAGGGACATGGATGAAGCTGGAAACCATCATTCTGAGCAAATTATTGCAAGGACAGAAAACCAACACTGCATGTTCTCACTCATAGGTGGGAATTGAACAATGAGCACACTTGGACACAGGATGGGGAACATCACACACTGGGGCCTGTCGTGGGGTGGGGGGAGGGGGGAAGGATAGCATTAGGAGAAATACCTAATGTAAATGACAAGTTAACAGGTGCAGCACACCAACATGGCACATGTATACATATGTAACAAACCTGCACATTATGCACATGTACCCTAGAACTTAAAGTATAATTAAAAAAAAAAAAACTTAAAAAAAAAGAAAGAAAAAAGGAGGCCAGGCGTAGTGGCTCACACCTGTAATCCCAGCACTTTGAGAGGCTGAGGAATGCGGATCACGAGGTCAGGAGTTCAAGACCAGCCTAGCCAACATAATGAAACCTCGTCTCTGCTAAAAATACAAAAAAATTAGCCAGGCTTGGTGGCGCGCACCTGTAATCCCAGCTACTTGGGAGGCTGAGGGACAAAAATTGCTTGAACCCAGGAGGCGGAGGTTGCAGTGAGCCAAGATCGCACCACTGCACTCCAGCCTGGGCGACAGAGCAAGACTCGTCTTGGGGAAAAAAAAAAAGAAAGAAAGAAAGAAAAAAGGGCCAAAGAAATAATAGAAAGAAGAAACAACAGTCGTTATTGGCAGATGTTATGGTTTCATCTTCCTAGACAATCCAAGAGACTCAAAACTCACAAAGTATTAGAATTAATACAATTAACAATAATGACTATAATACAATAGCCAAAAACAAAAACAACACACTCAAATTAGTGGCTTTCCTATACCCCCATAACAATTAAATAGAAAAGTTAATAGGAAAAAATTCCCATTCAAAAGAGAAACAAACCTAGAAATAAATCTACAGTGAACATGCTTGATTCACATGAAGACGAAAATTTGATTGTCTAATGGGTATAACATACACTTTATTCAAAATACATACCATGTATCTAATATGTACCTTAAAGATGTCAATTCTCCTCTACTTACTCTACAACTTCAATGCGATTCCAACCAAAGCAAAGTGTAACTGTCACAGAATTTGTCGTGTTAATTCTAAAATTCATCCAAAAAACGAAATGCTTAAGAATACCCGAGAACATTTCTGAAAAATAAGAACAGAGAAGGTAGACTTTCTCTAACGGTATCAGAATACACTTCAAAGTTCTAATAATTAAAACAAGAAGACAAGGCGCTCAATGGAAGAGAAAAGACTTCAGAAACAGACCTATGTGCATACGGGAATTGAATATATGATGAAGGTGGCATTCAAACTTTGCAGGGAAAGAATTTATGATGCTGGGACCCACATCACACCATACACGAAAGTAACTTCCAAATCTATAAAGGCAGGATTAGAATAAAATTTACAGAGATAATTTTAGAAAAAAGAGAATCTTCTTCAGAAATAAAATCCATAGCCTGTAATCCCAGAACTCTGGGAGGCTGAAGCAGGAGGATCACTTGAGGCCAGTAGTTTGAGACCAGCCTGAGAAACATAGTGTGACTGTCTCTTAAAAAGAAAAAATTTAACCAGGCATGGTGGTACATGCCTGCATTTCCAGCTATTCAGGAGCCTGAGGGGAAGGGATTGCTTGAGCCCAGGAGATGGAGGCTTCAGTGAGCCATGCTTGTGCCACTGCACTTCAACTTGGGTGACAAAGACCTTGTCTCAAAGAAACAAATAAATAACCCTCTCACAGCAGTCAGCACTGTGAGAGCCTCTTGTGGATGAGTTTACTTTCTCAGTCCTCTGTTTCCTCCTTTGCAATGTCAGCTCCCAGAGGGTAGGGTCTCTTATCTATCTTCCTCATAGCCATATCTCAGCCCCCTGGCACATGGTGGGTGTTCAATGAGTATTTGCTGAATGAATCTAGGAGACCCTGGGCAACTGAGAGGTGCTGTGTCGGAGGCCGGGATCAGTGCTCACCATCTGAATGGAACATGGCTCAGACATGTCTGTCCCAGGACTCAGGAGCACAAGGTGCCAGGCAGAGTCCTGCCTCCACCTCCCAGGATGCCAGAGTCCTGACTTCAGTCTCTGTGGTCACTGAGAGTGACGCCACCATTCAATGTCTCGTCCCCTCTTGTTACACTCTGGGCATGTGGGAGACTCTCCTTATTTGAATACTTCTGGTGACAGGAGGCAACTCTGCCCAGGCGGCTTATCCTCTCTTCTGCACAGCTCAGACTCACAACATTCTTCTACAGGACCGAATCCTTCCTCCCTAAACCTCTTCCAAGATTGCCTTACAGAGATTATGGTCCCTGGCTCTTAGCCAGATGACATCAGTGGGATGCCCAATGAGGATAACAGTAACAGCTGAAATATAGCAGCGCTAGCAACCAGCCAGGCAGGGTCCCAGCACAGGAACCTCACAGTTACTAAGAGTGAGAACTGTCAGCATTCCTATTTCACAGATGAGCTGGGGAGTTAGAAATCCCAAGCAGAGTGACTACCCTTAACAAAAATGCACGGTAGTCAGGTGATGGACACCCTCAACACCCTGATGTGATCACTGTGAATCACATACACGTCACAATTTCACATGTACCTGCCCCATAAATGTGTACAAATGGCCAGGTGCAGTGGCTCACGCCTGTAATCCCAGCACTTTGGGAGGCCGAGGTGGGCGGATCACCTGAGGTCAGGAGTTTGAGACCAACCTGGCCAACATGGCGAAAACCCATCTCTACTAAAAGTACAAAAATTAGCTGGGCATGGTGGTGGGCACCTGTAATCCCAGCTACTTGGGAGGCTGAGGCAGGAGAATCACTTGAACCCGTGAGGCGGAGGTTGCAGTGAGCCAAGATGGCGCCACTGCACTCCAGCCTGGGTGACAAGAGCAAGACTCCGTCTCAAAAAAAAAAAAAAAAGTGTACAAAATTAAAAAAGAAGTCGCAAGCTTCAATTTCCCCTCTTACTCTCCCTTCTCCAGGCCTGAGCGTCCCCATGTCTGTTGCACAGGTGACCTAATGCAGCCGATCCTGAAGGTCGTCTCTGGGACTCTAACCATCACCAGCTCGAGAGGTGGCTCTGCTTTCGTGGGTGTTGAATGGCGCTCTCTGCCTGCTCCTCCTTGATCAGGTGCCAGGATTCCCCCCATTCTCTCCTGGCCACCTTCCTTCTCAAACAAAGCTCAGGAGCTGTGACCCTTATGCTGGGAGGGCCACCCAGTTGCAGCAGGAGGGGAAATTGTGCAGGTGCCATGAGTAGCATTGCCAGGTGCCATCCAAAATGTGGGAGGCAGAGCCAGGCAAAGCCCAGCACGATGAGTGAGTACCCTCATCTCATGTCCAGAGGCCCCCGCCCTCCACCCTGATTCTCCAAGGCTCCGCCCAGCAGTCACCTCCTCTCCTCTAGGTCTCCTTCTGAGACCACCTCTCACAGGTCCCCAGCCCCTGCCTGGCGCTCTCTCTCTCTCTCTATCGCTCTCTCTCTCTCTCGCTCTCTCTCTCTCTCTCTCTCTCTCTCTGTCGTGTTTTTTAACTTCCTGAGCACCAGACTTTTGGAGTCTCAACCCTGGGGCTTCTTCTCTTCTCCAACACACGCTGGCCTGGCTGATCTCATCTCTAAGCTTCCAATGCCACCTTCCTCTTGCCCCCGCCCCCCATGTCACATGCACATGCCCACAGCTGGCCAAGAAACCACCCCAGATGTCTCCCTGGCACTTCCCCAGCTGGAATTTGCTCAGCTCCGGATTTTCCCAAGCCACCCCCTCCCTGGGTCTTCCTGTGTCAACAAAGGCCCTACCATCCTCAGGACGCTCCCAGGCCAATCCCTCATCCCCCGCCTCCCTCCAGTCTATCACTCACAGGGCCACCTCCAAAGGCATCTCAGTCCACCAGCCACCTCCTCCTCCACCACCCCCTCCTGCCCTCCTTGCTTCCACTTCTGTCACCCTCCAGCCCATCACCCACAGGGCTATAGAATGACTGTCCACAAATACAAATCAGATTGGATCACTCCTGCGCCTATGACCCCCCGTGGTCTCCACTTTCCTTACAAAGTCCTACACGGTGGGGTCCTGCCCACTTCCCCTCCTGACCTCCTTTCTCTAACTCACTCTCCCACTCACTCTCTCTACTCAGGAGCTCCTCAGACTCAGTCCTGCCCCAAGGCCTTGGCATTTGCCATGCTGCCTGCCTGGAATCTTCCACCTCTCCCTGTGCCATCTGCTGCCCCCACTCTCTATGGGACAGGCTCCTTCTCTTTCTGGGGGTCTCTCCTCCTCAGAGAGGGTCTCCCTAACTTCCATATCTAAACTAACTCCTACTCAACCCTCATCACATCATCTTACCTGGTCGTCCTCACAATGCCCTGGCCTTCCACATCCCTGAGTCATCTTGGGGAGCCTTGGGGCTCCACAGATCCCACAGAAAAGCCACTGCCCCACAGGATAAAGTGCCTCTCTCTGGAGTGAGACTCAGGGCCTTCACAGCACAGCCCAGACTCAGCTCCCAGCCACATACACCTTCTCTTGTTCTACGCCTTTGCACACGCTGTTCCATGCTAGGATGCCCTTCTTCTACCTTGGCCAACTGGCGAGTATCCAACTACCCATCCCTCATGAGCCAGTCCAAATGTGACTCCCTGCCTGTCTGTGCGTCCAGCAGGCTCTGTCTAGCACCCAGGAAAAGCAGCTCCCTCCTCTGACTTCACTCATGTCCTTCGACCATGATGTCCCTGTCGGGTGGCAGGCTGTCCCAATCACCAGATTGGGAGGGTCTCATGGGCCAAGAATCAGCCTAATCATTTCAGGGTCTCCAGTGCCCAGCACACAGCACAGACCAGGTCCCTGGTAAAATCTGGGGCTGGGTGAAATACTTCAGGCTCTTGGTGTATATCATCTCATGTAAAGCTCACATCAACAACAAGAGGTCGGTGGGATGATCTCCCTGCCCCAGAGGCGTAAAAAGAGGTTCTAAGAGTTTAAGAGAGGGAGCCCAGGGGCACAGCCTTAGGGAAATGACAAGGAAGAATGCAAATCCTTACTGGCCACCTCCCCTTACACCACTTCTATGTAGCAGATGCTACCAGGGTCACAAGATGAGCACAGGCATGTCCTTCCACCACTGGAAGCACAGGTGTGTGGTTGGGCTACCACTCACTGGCTGGGGCACTTGGGCGAGTCACTCGGCTTCTGAGCCTCCATTTCCTTGCTTGTAAAATGGGCAAGTAACTCTCCCCACCCAAATTTCACAAGTGGGAACGTAAGACTCATTGCATGGCAAATAGCTGGTACTCAGTAAACACAGCCTCCTGTCTCCTGGCACATAAAAGACGCTTGGTGACTACTTTCCAAGTTAATTAACAAAGGGGCAGACAAATCCATGGAAGGATTAGCAACCATCCCTTCAGCAGTAGAAGCTGGTGCAGCCTTCAGCCACGCCTACCCTGCCTCCTCTTTCCTCTGGCTTTTCGAGAATTCTCCATTTCTGTCCACTTTGCTGCTTTGCAGGAGCTCAGGCCGAGGGGGAGCAATGCCTTCCCCACCTGCCGGTTCTCAGCAGCACTGTGGAAAGAGAGACGCAGGTGCTCTCCCACTCTGACAGCCCAGCCTCAACTCAGAGATTCTCTCTGGCCTCCTGGGGTTGGCAGTGACATGGCCCAGCAACATCCCAGCTTCAGAACACACTGCCACGGTTGACTTCACAGCATCAGGGCTCCGGGCCTGGCAGCAGGGTGAGCACAACCCTTGCCCAGCAGGAACCCTGCTGTTCCCACGCCAAGTGGCACAGAGCAGGTCCACTCTGGAAAACCACTCACTGTCCCCTGGTAAAGCAGAAGGCGCCACACCCACGACCCTGAGTATTCTGGTGGTCTCCAGGTGGTTTCCAAGTGCCCACAAATGAGAGAAAGGGTCCATAGGCTGCAGTGTGACCACATGATGCCAGCCACCTCACTGCCACCACGTGCAATAACCCACAAGGAGCACACCAACACTGCACCAGGGAAAGAGGCAGGTCACAGGGGAATACTGCACACAGCCTTTCATGTGAGACTCAACAACAGAGAAGAATGAAGCAAGATTGTTCGGGGGTAAAATTATAAGGAAAAGGAGGGAACTCTTGCTGACTGCCATCAGGACGGTGGTAACTGGAGTGGGGTGTCAGGGGCGACCCTATGGTTTCTGTCCTGCTGCCCATGTGGACACTTCCTGAACTGCTCTCCTCCCAAACAAAGACAGTACTGAAAAAGGTAGTATGATCAGAAAACTCTAAGACTAAAGACTAAAAGAGTCTTTTAAAAATAGATCCAGGCCAGATGTAGTGGCTCACACCTATAATACCAGCATTTTGGGAGGCTGAAGCAGGAGGGTTGCTTGAGGCCAGGAGTTCAAGACCAGCCTGGGAAACACAGCCAGACTCCATCTCTACAAAAAATTTAAAAATTAGCCAGGCATGATGGTGTGTGCCTATAGTCCCAGCTACTTGGGAGGCTAAGGGAGGAGGATCACTTAAGCCCAGGAGGTCAAGGCTGCATTGAGCTATGATCGTGCCACCGCACTTCAGCCTGGGCAACAGAGCAAGACCTTATCTAAAATAAATAAATAAATAAATAAACAAATTTATTTTTTAAATTTAAATAATAAATAAAAAACTAATTTATTTTTTAAATTTAAATAATAAATTTTAAAAATAAAATCAAGGTAAGTGAAACAAGCCAGATACACAAGGATAAAGACTATGATTCCACTTGTATGGGGTCCTTAGAGTAGTCAATTCATAGAGACAGAAAATGGAATGGTGGGTGCCAAGGGCTGGGAGTGGGGATATAGGGAGTTAGGGTTTAATGGAGACAGAGTTTCAGTTTGAGAAGATGAAAAATTTCTGGAGGTGGATGGTGGTGACAGCTGCACAACGAGGTGGATGTAATTTATGCCTTGGAAGAGCACAACTAAAAATGGAAAATGTCATGTTATGTGATTTAAAAAATAATAAAAATGCATTGCAGTGTAAAAAATTTGTGACCCTGCAATTCTCCTTGTAGGGATCTAATCTGCTGATAGATGAGATGCTCCCATGAACACAAACAGGAGCATCACAGATTCTGATGCACCTGCATTTGTGACAGCAAAGATCCAGAAACAACCTAAATCCCACCTGCAGGGCAGTGATTAAATAACTGATGCTGACCAGCCTAGGTAACACAGTGAGCCTCCATCTCCCAACAAAATTTTAAAAATTAGCCAGGCATGGTGGCATGCACCTGTGGTCCCCACTACTTGGGAGGCTGAGGCAGGAGGATGCCTTGAGCCCAGGAGGTCTAGGCTGCAGGGAGCAGTGATCACGCCACTGCCCTCCAGCCTGGAGACAGAGCAAGACCTTACCTCAAAACAAAGCAAAACTGATGCTATATCCATCTAATCGTATGCAGCTGTTAAAAAGCGTTAGATCTGCATGCACTTACATGAAAGAATTTCCACATGTACTATGAAGAATTTTTTAAGGGTCAATCCTGAATAGTATCTCTAATAAGCTACCATTTGTCTTCCTAAAAAGATACATGGATATGCATGGATTATTTCTGGAAGGATACCCAAGAAACTGGTAACTGTGGCTATCTTGGGGAAGGACTCAGCCCTGGGGAGGGAGGAAGGAAACTGACTGTTTACCCCTTTTGTAATTTGTATTTGTTTCTTATCTTATGCAGGTATTACCCATTTTCTGAGGATTCTAAGCTCCTTTGATCATAGGACAATGGGTTCCCTGAACAATCCAGTGCAGAGGTCATGACCGCTCTAGCCAGTCCCAGTCCCTTGACATTAAAGCCTTAAAGAATTCCGGCTTTGAAAATGCTGCAGAGAAGTTTCCACACCTGGCAGGAGGGTGGTGACAGGGCCATCTCCGCCAGGCCCCTGTTTGGACAGGATATTTGTGGGGCCTGAGCAAACAGCACACAGAAGGCTGCAGCCCTGATGTTCCCGCCAGCCTTGGTGTTCTCCTGGGGGTGTGGAGGGACAGGGTGGGAGGGTTACCTGAAGGTCTGTGGAGGCGCCTTGAGTTTTTTTTTATGAGGACTGTAAAATGGACAGACAGAAAGGGTTTCTGAACCTGGGTCTGCCTTCCTCCCCGGGATCACAGAAACCAGCAGGGGATGGCTAAGAAACAGCAGGAGCGGCCAGGCAGCGGGCTCTGCCTGAGCTCACCCAACTCAGCCTGAGGGATGCCTTCCTCAGCAGGCAGAGCAGCCCCAGCCAGCCCCCTCAGCACCGGCTTCTGCATCCCCACTGCTTTCTGTGGCCCTCACATCACCTTCTCCTCTGTGGGTGTTTACTGTCTGGACACCCCAGCCTGGCCAGTCCAGCCAACCGGCCGGATCTCAGGCTTGGCAGAGCTGCCTGCTAGACCCCACCCTGCACCCACGGTATCTTCCCTCTGGCTCTAGAAGGAACGTCCCAGCCTCAGCCCCCATTTTGCAGACCAGCAGACAGCTGTGGAAAGAGAAGGCACAGCTTGCCCCAGACCACACACCCAGCCGGGGCAGCCGCAGGATCTCACCCCAGCTGCATGGCTCCAGAGTGCAGGCTCCTGAGCCAAGCATCAAAGAAAGGAAAGAAGGGAACGGAAGTTCAAGTCCCCATCTTCATCAGTTCTTCCAAGGGAAGCAAGGCCCTCCCTGCCACCCCTCTGGCCCCTTCCCCAAGCCCACTCTCACAGCAGGCTCTCAGCTGTGCACCATCCTGCATAGGGTCTGGACCTGGGAGCCCGGGCTCTGGGGTCCCTCTGTGTCCCCAGCTGAGTGTCACCTGAAAGCCAGCTTGACCATTCAGCTCTGCCAGCTTGAGAAGCCTGGCAAAAGCTGTTTCCTGGGCCCAGGTCGGGGGCTAGGGCTCCCCCTCCCTCCAGAGCCCACGGAGCCAGGATCACTTTAGTAACAGCCACCACCCAGCTGGGAAAACCAAGACCCAGGGAGGCAGAGTGATGTGCCCAAGGGTTTAAACATACAGGGTTTAAACGACAGGCTTATTTTGTGAGGTTATCCCCAATCCCCAGGACAGGAATCAAAGCTGCCCAAGCTGCAGGTCCCCTGAGCCCAGGAATGGTGAGAGACAGGGTCTGAGCACAGAGAGAAGCCCATCACAGCAGGGACCTCTGCCCCGCCCAGAAAGAAGCCCATCACAGCAGGGACCTCTGCTCCATCCAGAGAGAAGCCCATCATAGCAGGGACCTCTGCCCTGCCCAGCACCACCCCCAGCCCATCAAGCCCGGGCAAGTGGGTCTCTGAGCGACGGAACTCTGCCCATGTTTCAACAAGCAGCCCCCAAACGTCAAGGAGGGTGGGTTTAACCGCACCCTCAGTATCCTACCCACCCACTGGGGTCTACGAGCTTTCCAAAAGTCTCCAGAAAAAATGCTTGACTCCTGGGCCTGGGAAGAAAATATAATGGCTCCAAAATCTAAAGAGACAACCACAGAAAAGAACTGGGAAAATGTTCACTTAAAAGTCTATACATTTTACAAGATACCAGCTTGTCAACTGTAACTCAGCTCAACTCTGAAGTGGAGGTAAAATGAGTGTTATAAAAGCTTGCAGTGTCAGGGGCAGAGGAAGACGAGGTACACTGGCTTAAGACCGGCTGCTTCCAGGGCTGAGAGAAGAAGAATTCATACTTGCTAATGGTTACAGCCGCCCACGCTGGGGACTTCTGAATATGTCACCCACTTAATTCAGCCGCCCGTGCTGGGGACTTCTGAATATGTCACCCACTTAATTCTCCCCACAACCCTGCAGGCTAGGGGCAATTATCTTCCACTTTTTTTTTTTTTTTTTTTGAGATAGAGTCTCACTCTGTCGCCCAGGCTGGAATGCAGTGGCGCGATCTCAGCTCACTGTAACCTCTGCCTCTCAGGTTCAAGCAATTCTCCCGCCTCAGCCTCCCGAGTAGCTGGGACTACAGGGGCACACCACCACGCCCGGCTAATTTTTGTATTTTTAGTAGAGACGGGGTTTCACCATGCTGGCCAAGCTGGCCTTGAACTCCTGACCTCGTGATCCACCCACCTCAGCCTCCTAAAGTGCTGGGATTACAGGTATGAGCCACTGCGCCCAGCCAATTACCTTCCCCTTAAAGGTGAAGAAAGTGACTGTACTGAGATTGGAATGCAGCTCTGCCTGTCCCCAAAGCCCAGGCTGTTGTCTACCAGAGACAAACTTGAAAACATTTCCTTATGTTTATATCACAATGTGAGTGTGCAGATTAACTTTAACCCATGCCCGGGTAGTTAACATGTGCAGGACTCCAATGAAGATCCAACCCTCCAGAGGTGGCTGCTAAATTCAGTGTGAATATTGCCATCCTATCTGTGATGACTGCAGAAATCACCTCAATGCTTTGCAGTTCCTCCCATTGAGAAGTGGCATCTATTTCCCCACCTGTTGAATCTGGGCTGACCTCGTGACTATGTTGCCCTGGACAACAGGATATGGCACATGTGAAATCCAAAGGGGCCTTGTGGCTTCTGCTGTCTCTCCTGGGACTCTGTAGTCCGGGCTGGGCTGATGGAGGATGAGAGAGCATAGACAACCATCCCAGCAGAGGCCATCCCAGACCAGCTATCTCCCAGCTGAGCTCCCAGCTGACCACAAACACCTGAGCGAGCTCAGCCACACCTGGCCCCCATCAGCAGAGCCCAGCCCAAATTCCCAACTCACAGAATGAGCTAAATAAACTGTTGCCAAAGCAAACTAATATAAGCCAGAAATACTTAGAAAATAAAGGGTTAAAATCAATACAATTTGCAATAGTATTAAAAACATCAATTAGCTAAGAATACATCTAATTAAAGATATACAAGAACTCTACACTAAAAATGACAAAACACTCCCAAAAGAAAATAAAAACAACCTGAATAAATAGGGGGATATATCATGTTCATGGGCTGGAAACTTAATATTGAGATGTCAATTCTGTCAAATCTGAGCTACAGATTCAATACAATACCAATTGAGATGCTAGCAGCCTTTTAAAAGGGCTAATTCCAAATTTCAATGGAAATGCAAAGGACCCAGAACAGCTGAAACAATCTTGAAAAAGAAGAACAACGCTGGAAAACTCTCACTAGCAGATATTAAAAATTACTACAAGGCTACAGTAATCAAGACAGAGTGGTAATGGTGCAAAGATAGATAATGGAACAGAAAAGAGAGGCCAGAAAACATTGGCCGGGTGTGGTGGCTCACGCCTGTAATCTCAGCACATTGGGAGGCTGAGGTGGGTGGATTGCTTGAGGTCAGGAGTTCGAGAGCAGCCTGGCCAACATGGTGAAACCCTGTCTCTATTAAATAAACAAAAATTAGATGGGTGTGGTGGCAGGCACCTGTAATCCCAGCTACTCGGGAGGCTGAGGCAGAAGGAGGATCGCTTGAACACAGGAGGTGGAGGTTGCAGTGAGCTGAGATTGCACCACTGCACTCCAGCCTGGGCAAGAGTGAGACTCTGGCTCAAAATAAAAAAAAAAAAAAAAAAAGAAAAGAGAGGCCAGAAACAGACCATACAGATGCAGCCACTGGATTCCTGGAGAAGCTAACAATGTAACGCAGTAGGGGAAAGATGGCCTTTTCAACACATGGTGCTGGGCCAGCTGAATGTCTATCAGTAAAAAACTGAATTTTGATTCCTACTCACACCATACACAGAAACAAGTTCCAGATGCACTAAGGAGCTAAATGTGTAAGGTAAAACAATAAAACATCTAGGATATTACAGAAAAATATCTTTATGACCTTGGGAGAGACATCAATTTCTTAAACAGGACACAAAATCTTGAAAAAGAAGAACAATGCTGGAAAACTCTCACTAGCAGATACTAAAAATTACTACAAGGCTACAGTAATCAAGACGGAGTGGTAATGGTGCAAAGACAGATAATGGAACAGAAAAAAGAGGCCAGAAAACATTGGCCGGGTGTGGTGGCTCACGCCTGTAACCCCAGCACGTTGGGAGGCTGAGGTAGGTGGATCACTTGAGGTCAGGAGTTCAAGGGCAGCCTGGCCAACATGGTGAAACCCCATGTGAGATGTCTAGGGGCCATTTGTTAATACAAAATGTACTAACATAAATATATAGATCAATAGATGATACTTCATTCCAATTTGGAACTTGTGTTCCTCAGATGACAACATTTGCAATGAATTCATCAGAAAGTTTTATTAAGAGAGTAAAAAGGCAAGTCATAGAATGAGATCACCTATGTGGAATCCAACAAGAGACTCATAACCAGAACATATTTTTAAAACCCCTATGAATCAATAAGACAAAGAAACTTAATTTTAAAATAGGCAAATGACAACAAAATAGCCAAGAGTAATATGAAAATGTAGACAACATCATAACTTGTAAGAGAAGGCAAATAAAGGCCACAGTGAGCTATTACTGCACATCCTCCAGACTGGCCAAAATTACAAAGAATGGCAACCGCCAGAGTTGGCAGAAATGTGGAGCAAATGGAACTCTCATGCATGGCTGGTAGGGATGCAAATTGGCAATGTACTTTGGAAAACCATTTGGCAGTATCTGCTAACATTAAACATAACCTTTGATGCAGCAACTCCAGTCCTCAGTATGTATCCAACAGACATGGATGCCTAAGTCTTCCAAAGACGCAGACGAGAATGCTCACAGCAACAGTGTGCAGCATGGAACCCAAATGTCCATCGACACTAAAACTGATTTTTAAAACTATGATTTATTCCTACAATGGAATCATAAGGAGTAATTTTCTAAAAATGAACTACTGCTATATGCACCAATATGCATGAGTCTCAAATACCTTACCTTGAGCTAAAGAAGCCAAACACAAGCAAGATCACGCTGTATGTTCCCATCATTCAAAATAAATTCAAGAACAGAAAACAAAACAGGGCTGGGCATGGTGGCTCACGCCTGTAATCCCAGCATTTTGGGAGGCTGAGGCAGGTAGATCATTTGAGGTCAGGAGTTCAAGACCAGCCTGGCCAACATGGTAAAACCCCGTCTCTACTAAAAATACAAAAATTAGCCAGGCATCGTGGTGGGCACCTGTAGTCCCAGCTACTTGGGAGGCTGAGGCATGAGAATCACTTGAACCTGGGAAGCGGAGGTTGCAGTGAGCCAAGATGGCACCTCTGCACTCCAGTCTGGGCAACAGAGTGAGACTCTGTCTCGATAAATAAATAAATTAAAGACTAGGCAAGAGTTAGGCCAGGCATGGTGGCTCCTGCCTATAATCCCAGCACTTTGGGAGGGCGAGGCAGGAGGATTGCTTGAGGCCAGGAGTTTGAGACCCAGCTGGGCAACATAGGTAGACCCCATCTCTACAAAAAAATAAAAAATAATTGGCAAGAGTAATAGATGGTGATAAAAGTCAAAATAATGGTTTCCAGCAGCGATGGGGTTAAGAACTGAGAAAGGGCACCAGGAAAACTCTGGGGTGCTTGAAATGCTTTCTATCTTGACTGTGGAATGCCTGGGTTTACACATAAGAAGAAACTTGCTGGGCTGTTCTATTAAGGCTTGTTGCTTTACTGTCTATACATTTTACTCTAATAAAAAGCTCTAAGACGAGTACTGTTATATTAATCTGGATTAAAAGACACTCAAGAGCATGTACATTATGCTTCAATAGAAACTTTAAGAAAGAAGGAAACTCAGGAGACATTAACAACCAAAAATAAACCAAATATCTAATCATCCTTGATTAGACATTGCTTTTATAAAACGAGCTATACGGTACCCTTTGGGAAGAAGAAGAGAGAGATTAATATAGTTGGAGTATTAGAAGGCATTAGGGAATTGGTAATTGTGTGAAGTATAGGGTCATGGTATGTGATAATATTAGAGAATATCGCTATTTTTTAGAGTTGCAAGATACAGTGTCAAGACTGAAATATCCATGTGTGTGTGTGTCCCAAATGAGAGAGAGCACTGGACAATGATGAGGCTGAGGCCCTTCTTCACTGAGCCCCCTTCCCCCTCAAATAGCCCCACTGAAAGTCTGTCCCAGCTGCTTAGTGTGGACTGGGGTTCCAGGTGGAACCCTGGGATGTTAGTGAGCTGTGGCTGGGAGAGTCACAGTTACCAAAGGGGGCTTGATGGTGGGCTTCAACAACATGGGTGGGAGGGGCTGTGAGACCCCATAGTATTTGACTTCCAGCTGCTCCTTAGAAAGCTCTGGAAAGTGGTATGTTCGCAGTCAGAGGACCCATGGACAAGCCTCACCCTTCCACAGCCTTCCAGGGAGCCAGTGATGTGTGCGACTGTCATCCGCATTTTCATGGGTTATTTTTGTTGCGATGTCTAGGGGCCAACTCTATGCAAAAGAGAGAAAAGTATCTTGCACAACTCTGGCCTGCCCTGATTCAGGAGAAGCACAGAAATTCTTGACAAGTTTAACTCTGTTTAAAAAGAATGTGTGGAACTTGCAAGGCACTAAAAGTGTGCACTGTCCCTTCTCAGAAAGAACTATGAATTCTCTCTTTCATTATTATTTAAGGAACTGCTATTACCTAAGAGACTATACTTCTGCTCAAACTGAAGTTTGATGTAATTCTGATTCTTAGAATGATGTTTTGTGTTACTTATAGATGAATCTTATAAATGATTTAATTCTGTTGCTTTTTCTTTCTCGCTTAATTTCCAGCCCATCATACGTACAGTTTAATAAGAGATATTTAACTACATAGCAATTTTGGTGTTCCCACACCAGTATTTACTATGAGAAACGTAAACATACCTTTTTAGAAACATAAATAATGATTGATAAAAAATCAAAGTAAAAATATCACATAATATAAACTGGATCTTTTTTTCTCTTAGAAGTAAACAGGCAGTGGGGCACCAGCACTGTCCAGCGTGGTCTTCTGCAAAGCCTCGGGTGATCCGTGCTGGCCGGGGAGGCGTTGACTCAGAAGTCCTGCCTGGAGAAGAGGCAGCAGGTACCCTGGGAGCAGCCACCAGCCGTGCTCTGCCAGAGCAAAGCCAAGGTGGTCTGGGACCTGGAGCTCAGGGTTCCCAATGAGAAGCCACAGGGCCAGGCTGGGGCCCTTCCAGAACCAAACGCCCCGTGCCTCCGCCTGGCAGCTTTCCATTTCCCTTCACCCCACACAATCATGCGTCACTTAACGAAGGGGTCACGTTCTGAGAAATGCGTGGTTAGGTGGTGTCGTCATCGTGTGAGGACATAAGAGTGTCCTTACCCACACCTAAGTGTCATAGACTACTACACACCTGGGCTGCATGATATAGCCTTGCTCCTAGGCGACACACCTGTCCAGAACATGACTGTACTGAGTACTACAGGCAACTGGAACACAATGGTAAGTATTTGTGAATCTAAACAAAGCTAGACACAGAAAAGGCACAGTAAGAGTATGATATAAAAGATAAAAAGTGGTTCGCCTGTATAGGGCCTGCAGGCCCAGAAAATCTGAGACAGGTCTCAGTTAATTCAGAAAGTATTTTGCCAAGGTTGAGGATACATGCCCAAGACACAACCTCAGGAAGTCCTGACCACTTGTGCCCAAGGTGGTTGGAGTGCAGCTTGGTTTTGTACATTTTAGGGAGGCAGGAGACATCAATCAAGCACATTTAAGAAACACATTAGTTTGGTCCAGAAAGGCAGGACAACTCAAAGCAAGATTGGGGGGTGCCTCCAGGCCACAGGTAAATTTAAACATTTTGTGGTTGACAATTGGTTGAGTTTGTCTAAAGACCTGGGATCAATAGAAAGGAATGATGTTTGGGTTGGGATAAGAGGTTGTGCATGGTGTAGTTTTATCATGCAGATGAAGCTTTTAGCTAGGCTGTAAAATGTTTCTTATCAGACTTAAAGTCTGTGCTGAAGTTAATGTGAGAGATATAATGAGGCCTCTCTGACCCCCACTTCCCTTCATGGCCTGAACCAGTCTTTCAAGTTAAATTTTAAGAGCGCCTGCTGAGAAGGAAGTCCAGTTAGATGGTTGGTGGCGGGGGGCCTTAGAATTTTATTTTTGGTTTACAGGGCCCTTACCATGCATGGAGCTTGCAGACTGGATGCTGCCGTGGGTGACTCAATGAGTGAGTGGTGAGTGCATTTGAAGACCTAGGGCACTACTGTGCACTACTGCAGATTTTAGAAACACTGGACACTTCAGCTACACTAAATTTAGTTTAAAATATTTTTCTTTCTTCAATAATAAATTCCTCTTAGCTTACTGTAATGTTTTTACTTTATAAATTTTAATTTTTTACCCTTTTGTAATAACGCTTACCTTAAAACATAAATGCCCTCATTGTACAGCTATAGAAAAATATTTCTTTATATCCTTACTCTATATGTGTTTTTATTATTTTTTTAATTATTTATTTATTTTTTTTTTTTTTTTTGAGACGGAGTCTCGCTGTGTCACCCCGGCTGGAATGCAGTGGCCCAATCTGGGCTCACTACAAACTCCGCCTCTCGGGCTCAAGCGATTCTCCTACCTCAGCCTCCTGAGTAGCTAGGATTACAGCCCTGCGCCACTGTGACCGGCTAATTTTTGTATTTTTAGTAGAGATGGGGTTTTACCATGTGGGCCAAGCTGGTCTCAAACTCCTGACCTCAGGTGATCCGCCCTCAGCCTCCCAAAGTGCTGGGATTACAGGCATAAGCCACCGCACCCAGCCTATTTTCAATTTTTTTTTTTTAACTTTTAAATCTTTTTTCTTAAAAACTAAGACATAGGCCGGGTGAGGTGGCTCCATCCCATAATCCCAGCACTTTGGGAGGCTGAGACAGGCGGATTGCCTGAGCTCAGGAGTTAGCAACCAGCCTGGGCAACATGGTAAAATCCGTCTCTACTAAAATACAAAAAAAAAAAAAAAAAATTAGCTGGGCATGGCACCATGCGCCTGTAGTCCCAGCTACTCAGGAGGCTGAGGCAAGAGAATTGCTTGAACCCCAGGGGTGGAGGTTGCAGTGAGCCAAGATCACGCCACTGCACTCCAGCCTGGGTGACAGAGCAAGACTCCATTTCAATAAAAAAAAAAAAAAAAACAACTAAGACATACGCCAGGCGTGGTGGCTCATGCCTGTAATCCCAACCCTTTGAGAGGCCTAGGCAGGCGGATCACGAGGTCAGGAGTTCACGACCAGCCTGACCAACATGGTGTAACCCCGTCTCTACTAAAAATACAAAAATTAGCCTGGCGTGGTGGCGGGCACCTGTAATCCCAGCTACTCAGGAGGCTGAAGCAGGAGAATAGCTTGAACCCAGGAGGCAGAGGTTGCAGTGAGCTGAGATCACGCCACTGCACTCCAGCCTAGGGGACAGAGCGAGAATCCATCTCAAAAAAAAGAAAAAAGAAAAAAAGAAACTAAGACATAAACACACACACTAGCCTAGGCCTACACAGGGTCAGGATCATCAATATTACCGCCTTCCACCTCCACATCTTATCCCGCTGGGACGTCTTAAGGGGCAGTAACATGCAGGGAGCTGTCATCTCCTATGATAGCAATGCCTTCTCCTGGATACCTCCCAAAGGACCTGCCAGAGGCTGTTTTATAGTTAACTATTTTTCAAATAAGTAGAAAGCCAAATAACACACTAGCGCACAGTAGTGCCCTAGGCCTACCAAAATAACAACAAAAACATAGTAAATACATAAACTGGTAACACAGACATTCATTATCAAGTATGATGCACTGTAACTAACTACACGTGCTAGGCTTTTTGTTTTGTTTTGTTTTGCTTTTTTGAGACAGAGTTTCACTCTTGTTGCCCAGGCTGGAGTGCAATGGTGCGATCTTGGCTCATTGCAACCTCCGCCTCCTGGGTTCAAGCGATTCTCCTGCCTTGGCCTCCCAAAGTGCTGGGATTACAGGCATAAGCCACCACGCCCAGCCCATGTGCTAGGCTTTTGTATTACTGGCAGTGCGGTAGGTTTGCTTATACCAGCATCACCACAAACACGAGTAATGGCTACGCTGTCACTAGGCAAAAGGCATTTTTCAGCTCCTTCAGCTTCACCATAATCGTATGGGACCATCACATATAGAGTATATCATTGATGGAAATGTCATTATGCAGCGCTTGACTGTACCACCAGGCCCGCCTTCCTAGAACTTGACCAGGCACTGATTGATCTGATTCCCCCATGCACACCCCCCACTAAAATACATCCTTCCTCTGTCTAGTTGCTCCTGCAGAATAACTGGCCACTCTGCACACTCAAAGTGAAGCAATCAGCACTGATCAAAGGTGCCTAGGAGAGGTCAGGGTAACACGCTCACCAGCCTCACGCCAAGCAGGAAACACTTCTATCCTGATGGCCACGGCTGGTGGGGGGTGTGAGGCACAAAGCCAGGAAGCCAGAGAGCTCCACTCAAAGCCCAGCCATGCCCCCACCAGCCAAGCAACCTCTGGCAAGACCCTTGGCCTCCCTGCTCCTGCATCCAGGCTCCAGGGGCCACACGGTGACAGATGAGGAATTGTGAGGTCGTCCTCCATCACTCACCCACCACCAACCCAGCCCCAACTGCCAGGTGGGCCAGCTTGGTGGGGAAGGGACAGAAGCACAGCCATTCTCTGATCAGCTTCCACCTCTAGCTTAGACCTGTGCCCTGAGCTCCATGCTCAAGTTCCCACCGCCAACATGGCATCTCTACCTGGGCATCTGAGCTCACTCTAACTCCTCCCGTGTGAGCATGTGAGGAGCACACAGAGATGAGCTTGAGGCTGCTCATCTCACGCCCATGCCTGTGTGGTGGCATTGCGGACAGTCCCTGATTCCCAACCACCATACCCGCACGGCCATCCTCCCCAAAGCCTACTGCCCACTCCCTATCTGCCCTAGACCCACCTTCCACCCGTCAGCCCTGCTCTTTCTTGAGGGAGGCTGGCCTGGAGGGTGGCATCCTGGGGTCCCCATACAGGCACAGTTGCCTCTACCTATGGCCACGGCTACTCCCTGGAGCCTCGGCTCTCACCAGTCTCCCCTGCAGGCCAGGGGTGGAGCTCCCACTGTTGCTGGTCCAGGTACTGCACAGTAACCTGCAGGTCCCTGCCCTCAGCCCTCCATGTAGCCTCACCATGACACTGATCCCACCAGCTCTGACTCAGCTGGGATGGGAGGTCTGGGCAGAGAGAGCCTGGGTTGGAGTCAGGGCTCCTGGGCCCCCATCCTCTGCACCTGCAGAGCTCTCAGCCAGCTCCTCACCCAGCACTGGACCTCTGTGTCATCCTAGTGGTGTCAGGAGGGGTGGCAGAGGGAGAGTCCAAGCTATGGCAGCAAGCAGGTGCCTGTAGTGTACTTTGTGGGTGCTTTAAAAATATGTGAACGAATTGCTAATATTTACAAATTGGGAGCTGTCATATGAAGTTCCAGATCCCAGGCTTCTTGTAGAAAATCCAAAATCTTGGACCATGCCAGGCCTCCACGGCCCCAGGGCAACAGCAGGAGCGACTGCCCTTGTGTTCTAGGTACAGTCTCTGGTCCCCACGGCCCCCACTTTCCAACAAGCTGTTTCACTCCCAGACTTCTAGTGCTGCTTCTCCATTGCATGCATTCTAAAGGCCAGCTGGCCACAGTCGCTGGAGTTAACAGCAGGGACCCTCATCCCTAAGGGTCTTCACCTTTGTGGTTCCTGCTGAATCTCTGGCACCCAAAAGGTGAGGGGGGCAGGCTAGAGGACGGGGCTGGAAGCAGGAGAGAAAGCCTCTCACTCCCTCTCTCCCTACTCCTCCACCCCCAGGTTCTGGGCCCTCTGTGCCAGGCAGGCTTGCCTACCTGCTAATCCCACCTTTATATATGGGGTCTATCACTGACCAAAACGTCCTTATGTGGCCCTTGACTATACTTGGAACCACAGTCCCACCAGGTCCACCGGCCTAGACCTTGACCAGGAAGGTACCAGGGAGAGGCCTGAGGGGTTGGGGCAGGGGGGCGAGTGCAGAGCCTGAGGCCTGCCAGCTTGCCCTGGGCTCAGCTTTGCCCCTTGAGGGCCAGCCATCCAGACAGTCCTGAAGCCTCAGTCTGCCCACAACAGGGAAATGCCTGCTCACACTGGGCAGCCAGGCAAACTCAGGGAGTCAGCAGGCAGGAGGTGGAAGTGCCCGGTGCAGGGGGCCAAGTCAGGGGTTGGCAAACGTCTACTTCACTGGTTTCAGGAACCATGGACAATTCACTTAACCTGCCTGGGCCTCAGTCACCTCGTCTACAAAATGGACATAATGATGACATCCCCTCACGGGGTCACGACACATAATGGACTGATACGCGTCCAGTGATTAACACAGTGCCTGGCACATAATAAATGCTCCACTGATGCAGGGTGACCTGTGAGGGTGGCAAAGAGGGCCCCGCATGCAGACTCAGTAGAGGAGGGTGCCCCTCCCCTTGTCTGTGGGAAGCCAGCCTTGCAGCCAGGCAGTATGGCTGAAGGAGGGGTCTCGCAGCTCGCGCGTTTGCTGACGCAGTTGGCAGGGGCCGAAACAAGAGTGCAGCATGGGAGGGAGACAGCCAGTGAGGAACACGCTGCTGCACATCTGGAGGCAGCTGGAGTGGCAAACATAGCAGCGGAACGGCCCCTGCCCAACCCTGCCAGGCCTGGCTCCTCTGCTCTTTTGCCAGAGGGGACAACTTCTGGCCACCAGAAGATACACATCTACATCTGTTTGAAGAAACAAGAACACAAAGCCCTCTTCTCATCCCTCCCCCGCCACCCCAGTTCCTGCAGAACCTCTGGCAGGATGAGGCAAGCAGCCCGTGGCCCGGAGCAGCACTCTGTGCTGGCTGCCGTTAGCCCGCCTGCTCCTCTCAGTAATCCTGAGACTAACAGGACCGCCCCATTGTACAGATGCAGAAACTGAGGCTCAGAGAGGGTGAGTCGCTTGCCTGAGGTCACACAGCCACGAGCGGCAGAGGCAGGAATTCACTCTCTGAGGGCCAAAGCAGGCTCAATCTCACTGCAACTTGGCCCCAAGCCCACTTTCCCAGCATGGAGGCCGAGGAGTGGACAAGGGGGTGGAGGTCCCACCAGAGCCCCAGCCCACACAATTCTGATCTCAACCAGAAGCTTCACCTCAAAGCCCCGGATGCTGCAGGCCAGAGGTCCTAGAGGCCCACAGCCTGGCCTAGCCTCGAGGAGGTGCTGGCAGGTAGAGGATGCCGACATTGCCCGCAGGGAAACTCGCAGCACAGATCCTGAACTCCAGCTCACTGAGGCCCCCAGGATTCTGGAAGGCTCAGGAGGCCAAGGACTCCTAGGCATGGTTCAGCCTCAGGAAAGCCGCATCTGCTGCCTTGGCCTGGGTGCGTGAACAGGATGCAGCCCAGGGCTCGAAGGCCGCCACCCTCTCAGCAGGGCCTCAGGACTTGGAACCACAGCATCCGGGACGCCAGCCATGAGTGGAGCTCTGCTCTGTGGCAGGCCTCCCCTGCACCTGGTGTCCACTGCAGGCTTTCTTCCCATTGAGAACACAGCTCTGGGAGGAAGCCAACAGTAAGCCCCTTTTACAGATGAGAAATCTTGAGGCCCAGGACAGTTAAGCAATTTGCCTGAGGTCACACAGCTAGTGAAGGGTCGAGCCAGCCTCTAACCTGGGGAGCCCTGTGCCAGGACCCAAGCAGAAAACACAGAGATGCCTTTTATGTCAACAGATCTGGGTTCAGAGCTGGGCTCAACACTTCCTCGCCCTAGGCCATGGCCAGGCACAGGTTGACACCACGGTGGGAAGGGACTCGTAATCCCTTTGCTGTAGGGTCACTATGGGAACTAAATGAGAGGAGGCACGTGAAGCACTGGCACGGGGTCTGGGGCTTGGTGGTCAGGCACGGGGGCACCCACTGAACTGACCGCCTGCATTCTCCCCCTCCTTAATCCCCACCATGGCAGCAGGACTCTGCAGTGACTCTCGTGGCCAGGAGCCTTGACCCTGGGCTGGCCTCTTGACTGGCTGCCAACACAATGTGGCAAAAGCAGCGGCCCTGCTAGTTCGGAGCCCAGGTGCAAGAGTCTGTGGGTGTTGAGGTTTACGGCACGCATACTACCTCAGCCTCCACGTCTGATTGGCCACCTAACTTAGATGATAAATTCCTGCTGTCTTTCCTCTACTTCAGCCCAGAGAGCTCCTTCCCCAAACCCACACCTGACCTCCAGGCCAGCAGGATTCCAAAATAACACCTCCGTCCAGGAAAGGACTTTGCATTGGTTTGTTTCAAATCTCAGGCCTGCTTGCTTTAAAGTGCCCAACCACTACCGGACTTTCATGTTCCCCATCCTGGACCCCAGTGAAAGCCAGTGCCCCAGGCCCACACCTCCCCCCCACCCCCCACCTGCCGCCCCTGACTTCCCCGCGTGTGTGTGGCCCCCAGGTGCACCACGTATCCCCCAGGAAGTAATAAAATCTCAATCTCCATCTCAAGTCTATCTTAATCATTGAAGGAGTGCTCTCCATCTTCAAGATCCTAAATTAAACACCTGTGTGTTTCTAATCTTTCTCTTGGACCTCTGTTTCCACAATGAGAACACGCCAGAGCTAACCAGCTGGAGACCACGTGGCACAGACATGAGCCATCCTGGCTGAGGCCATCCCGGACCAGCTGAGCTGCCAGGTGACCACAGACACACGTTCAGGCCCAGCAGGTGTCAGCCACGCCTGGCCAGGTTAGCAGGACTGCCCAACTGGCCCGTGGACTTGGGAGCAATAATAAATGTGCACTGTGTGCGCTACGGAGGAGCTGTGGTTGCCTCACTTGCATTCCTGTGACAATGGGTAATTTATACATGGCCGAGGTGTGTCCAAGGAGGAAAGACTAACATTGGTTTAGCGAGAATGGCAGGAAGGCCACCCCACAGCAGTGTTGGTGGGAGTGTGACCAGTGAGACTCACTGGGGAACCATCAGACGAGGTGGGTGGAGAGCTACGCACACACAAACTAAAACCACCAGGAGAGGCTGCTCCCCACCTCTCAGACTGGCAAAGTCCAGAACCTGCTTAATTTCCTCTTTAGCACTTTCACCATCTAACGTGCCAGATTTCAGATGTTCATTTTGTTGACTGTGTGAATCCCCACCCCACGACTGGCAGCTCCAGTCTTGTCTGTTTTGCTCACCCTGTCTCCCCGGCTCCTGCAATGGTGAGAGAGGCACTCAATAAATATTTGTCGCATGAATAGAACGAGGAAAGAGACATTCTCATGACTGCAGGTGTAAGTAAAATCCAGTACACCCTCCAGGGCGAACAAGTGAACAACGTCTACCAGGGCTATAAAAATACGTCCATATAAAAAAAAATTACATCCATATCTCCTAGAGCTGAGCCAGCCAGCACCTCTCAACTGAAATGCACAGGCATAAGGACCAGAAGCCTGGCAGAGAAAGCTCATGGCCTCCACTGGAAACAACCCCAATGCCCCCAGCCGGGGAACAACAAGCTAGGCAGGGTCGATCCCTGCAACGGAACACTATGCAACAATCAAAAAGACCCCCTCCCGATACACGCAATGGCACGGTCATTCATTTATAAAAGTTTAAGAGCAGGAAAACTAACCTCTGCCATTAGAAGTCAAGAGAGGTGGTTTCCTAGGAGGGGCACAAAGGAGGCTTCCTAGGGCCGGCTCTTGTCTCATGAGCTGAGGGTCAGCTTCACAGGTGTGTTCACTTGGGAAAATTCATTTGAGTTGTGTGCTTCTGACAGGTTCTAGTGGTTATGTGTCAATGAACAGCGTACAAAGAAAAAAAGCACAGACACATCGACCTCACAATTCCACACTGGGGCATGGTGTAGAGATGCTCACAGCAGCATCGCTTTTTAAGAGCAAAAGACTGGAACCAACCTGAATATCCATCAGTAAGGGAACCGGTAAATCAAAGATGGGGTTTGCATGCTGTGGGGCACCACGGCCATCAAACACAGAAAGGGGACTTTCCATGCAGTGACAGGGAAAAGCTCCAAGATCCATTGTTATTTGAAAAAGGCATAGAACAGAACGCTGTGCGTCCTATGTTAGTGCTTGTGAAAATACGTGCACGCACCTACATGCTTGTAGTTGCACTGACCAGTGGTTCTCAAGTGTGGTCCTGGCCCTATAGGGTCTCCAAGACCCTTTCAGGGATCCATAAGGTCAAAATTATGTTTGTCATAACATTAGGACATTGGTTGCCTTCTTCATACACTCTCCCCCAGTGCAGTGTATAGTGGACTTCTCTGGAGACTACATGACAGTGTGATGATGTCATCACTTTGAGGCTAATGGGATGTGTGCTTGCGTATTCTAGAAGTTTCTAGAGCAATCTCATGAACACATGCTCAGCATCATTAGTCATCAGGGAATTGCAATCTAAACCACGATGAGATGCTATTTCATACACACTAGGATGGCTATAACAACTGGTGAGGATGTGAAGAAACTGGAACCCTTGTGCACTGCCGGTGGGAATGTAAAATGGTGCAGTCGCTCTGGAAAACAGTCTGATAGTTCTCTTTTTTTTGAGACGGAGTTTCACTCTTGCTGCCCAGGCTGGAGTGCAAAGGCGTGATCGTGGCTCACCACAACCTCCGCCTCCTAGGTTCAAGCGATTCTCCTGCCTCAACCTCCCAAGCAGCTGGGATTATAGGCATGCACCACCACACCCGGCTAATTTTTTTATTTTTAGTAGAAACGGGGTTTCTCCATGTTGGTCAGGCTGGTCTTGAACTCCCGACCTCAGGAGATCTGTCTGCCTCAGCCTCCCAAAGTGCTGGGATTACAGGCGTGAGCCACCACACCCGGCCTCAGGCTGGTAGTTCTTCTAAGGGTTAAACACAGAGTTACCATGTGGCCCAGCAATGCCACTCCTAGATATGTTCCCAAGATGAATGAAAACATGTGTCCATATAATAAACTTACACATGAATATATATAGCTGCATTACTCATAATACTGAAAAGCTGGAAGAATAATGTCCATCAACAGATGAACAGATTTTTGAAATGTGGTATATTCATACAACATTATTCAACCATGAAAAGGAATTAATGACACATGCTACCACATGAAATGGACCCTGAAAACATCGTGCTAAGTGAAAGAGTCACACACTAGAAACCACATAGTGCATGATTCCCAGAGAGTCCAGGGATATCCAGAATATGCAAATCCATAGACTCAGAAGGAAGATTCCTGGCTACCGGGGACTGGGAGAAAGAGGGAATGGAAAGTGACTGCTACAGATGTGGGTGTCTTTCTGGAGTGATGACAATGCTCTGAGATTAGATTCTGGGGATGTCTGCACAACTCCAAATCTACTAAAACCCACTAGATTCTGCTCCCTCAAAGTGGGGACTTTATGACATGCAAATAATATCTCAATAAAGTGGTTTTATTTGCATAAACTAACAGAGTTAGTTTTTAAAATTAAAGAAACCCACCGCAGGCCTAGCCTTGGCCCCAGACCCTCAAGATGGGTTGGGTCCGGCTGTGAAATGCACGCATTTTGCCCAGGCAGGCAAACACAGGGAGCACCCAGCTACCAGCCACCCAGACCCACTTGTACCTCTAGGTCCCCCATGGGAACCACAAGCCCTCCTCCTCCACTGGGAGACTGGGGCCCCCTGCTACAGCCCCAAGATGACAGTTTTCTCTTCCATGAAATGGGATGTCCATGCAGAGTATCTCCAGGTTGCCACAGGGTGAAACTTGCTGTTTCTGACAGATGCCCCTGAGCAGAGGGCCTGAACCCAGCTGCCCCCGGGCTGGTGGCAATGAGACCTGGGGAGCTGGCCTGGAGGGGACTGCAGCAAATGCAGGGCACCTGTCCAGCCACGGAGCTCTGTGGACCTGGGGCAGCCACCTGCTCCCATTCTCTCCAGCAGAGCCTCTATGCACAGCTGTGCTCTGGGTCTCTGTACTGACAACAGAGAGGATGTGTTCCCTTTTGGGAGCTCCTTGTGAGGGCCCTGTACCAACTCTGCCACTCCTCCTAGCCAGGGATCCTGTTAACACATAAGTTGGCCAGTGTCACCCCTTTGTTCAACACCCTGCTGTAGCTCTCACCTCAGAGTAGAAGCCAAAGTCCTCATGGTGGCCACAGGCCCTGGACAGCCTGCCCCAGTGACCTCCCAGATCTCCTATCCCCCTCCCTCTCCCCCACTTATCTCGGCTCCACTGGCCTCCTGTCCAGGCACCTTCCTGCCCTGGGGCCTTTGCACTCGCCGCTCCCTCTTTCAGGTGCACGCGTGGCTCGCTCCTCCCCTTTCAGCTCTCTGCTCGGGTCACCGCCCCAGGGAGGACTCCCCTGTCCATCCACCCTTCCTCTCACTGTGCTTTTTTTTTTTTTTTTTTTGAGACGGAGTCTGGCTCTGTCACCCAGGCTGGAGTGCGGTGGCGCAATCTCGGCTCACTGCAACCTCTGCCTCCCGGGTTCAAGCGATTCTCCTGCCTCAGCCTCCTGAGTAGCTGGGATTACAGGTGCCTACCACCACACCCAGCTAATTTTTGTATTTTTAGTAGAGACAGGGGTTTCACCATGTTGGCCAGGATGGTCTTGAACTCCTGACCTCAGGTGATCCATCCACCCACCTCGGCCTCCCAAAGTGCTGGGATTACAGGTGTGAGCCACCTCACCTTGCTTTAATTTCTCTTAGCAATACCTGACATTACAGCAGATAATTCCCATGGACTTGTTTACTGTTTTCTTCCCCAACAGAATGTCAGCACTGTGAGGTGAGGGTGGGGACCATACCTCTCATATTCTCTGCAGAGCCCAAGGGCCTCTAGCAGGGCCTGCACACAGTTGGAGCGCTATAAATACTGGGTGGATAAATGAGTGAACCCGGGGGGGGGGGATCCCCCTGACCACCCCTTCTCTCAGTAATTCCTCCTCACCCTAGTTCTCCTGCCATCCTGAGCATTCCGACCTCTCTCCCCTCTGTTCCAAGCATTTGCTTACACTGTTCCTGGCCAGCTCAGATAGCACCTCCCCTGGGAAGCCTTCCTGAATCTTTGTGCCTTCACTCATCCCCCTCCCCCAGCTCCAGCTCTACTTTCTTCCTGTCTCCCTTCTGAGGTTTCTAGAGATCTGTCCCCACAGTTGGATGCCTGTGTCTTGTTCAATCCCATATCATTTACTCTACAGCCTTCATCAGGTGTCAGCTCTGAGCATGTCCTGGCATCCCTGGGAAGGCAGAGATGAACCAGTATGGACTTGGTTCACAGACTGGGGGCTGTGAGGAAGAGAGGCCTGTGTGATATCTGGGAAGGCTTCCTGAAGGAGGGGGCATGAGGGGCTCTGCAGTGTCAGCAGTGTTCCCATCTACTCATTCTGCTGCCCATAGCTGTGGCCTTGGGCAAGGCTCTTAACCAGCTTGGATCCTGTTTTCCCATCTCCCAAGTCCTCCCACAGCACTTGCTGGGCATGGACCATGTGCAAAGCCCATGCACATGCAATGAGGGTGAAACTGGGGTCTCTGTGGGTTCCTCCAGGCCTACCGGCTGCCACCCCTGCCAACTCTGCTTCCAGCCTGCTTACGGTGGGCAGGGCACAGAACTCGCCCTTGCCGAGCACCTCCTGGGTGCCCGGCTCTTGTTTCTGTGATATGATCCTCCCAACAAGCTGGGGAGGTAGGCTCCATCTCCCTATTCTCAGCAGAGCACAGTCCAAGAGGTGTGGCTAGCAGCACCAGGTCACAGGCGGGACCTGGTGGTGGGAGGTGGTGGGCTGGGATGGGGGAGGAGCGGAACATGCATGTTGTGGGTGGAGTGTGTAATGAAGTGCACGTGTGCCAGGGAGGGCATGCAGCCAGGCTCAGAAGCGTGGTGCATGCAGTGCAGCTTCCAGGGTTTCTGAAATAGAAGCAGCCCCACCCCTGGCCCCCAGTCCTGCCTCTTGATGCCCGAGGCCTCTCTGTGGTCTGGGCTGTGGGATCCTAGAGAGCAGCTTTGTTATCAGGAGCCCCAGTTTTCCCCTCTGCCCTGAGCTTTCTCAAATAGATTTTTTAGGTGTGGGCTTTGATGAGGACTGCTGGCTGTTAGGCCCCCAACTGAGTCCCCCTTATCTTGTCTGACGGCTGATCTGGCAGGGGACCCAGCAAACGCAAAGGCCCAGAGACCAGAGTTAGGGCAGGGACAGGCAGCTGCAGCGTTTGGTGTGCAGGGAATGGAAGGTTTAAGGACCCAGGGGTAGAGGATGAATTCAAAGGGGACCCAGAAGCTCAGGCCTGGCCAGATAAACATCCACAGCCGCACCCCAACTCTCACCCTTCTGCCCACCCATGGCCCACTTGTCATCACGAATTCATGGGCTCTGGCTCAACCCACAGAATCTGAGCATGCGGCTTATGGTTTTGTGCCTCAGTTTTTCCACCTGTAAGCAGCAGGGAAGTCCCTGCATCATGGGGCTGCTTTGAGGATTAAATGAGCTAATTTGTGTCCAACACTCAGCTGAGGACTTGCTGAGCAATTAGAAATGCGACGATGATTAGTCACCGTCTGTCCTCAGCCCACCCGCTGATATCTTCAACAGATACTCACAGAGCACCCTCACTGAGCCAAGGCTGCGACAGTGAGCAAGGCAGACGCAACCTCGCCCTCGTTTAGAGTCTAATGGGGGAGGAGGGCGTTACAGGGATGTACACAGGCAGGTTTATCCCTGGTCACGGCCATGTGCACGCAGCATGGGAGGGGTGGGAGATGGAAGCCCAGCGGGTGGGGGATCGGGCTGCCCAACTGAGCCTCTTGGGGGAAGTGGGGTTTGGACCCTAGCGCCCCTGGCTGCTGTTGTTGGGGGAGGCCTTGGGGGATCTAGATGATGGAGCAGCCCTTGGTGAGGAGAAGCTGGGGAGGTGGCTTTGCCCTGCTCAGCCCTGGGCCCTGCAGAAAGGGAGGTAATGGGGCCAGAAGTGACCCCTCCAGCCGCGTTGCCATGGCAGCCCTGGGGCCTAGAGAAGGGGTTTCCAGCCAGTGCCCCAGGCCTGGCTGGGCTGGGGGTCCTGTCTTTGAGCTGGAGCCCTGCCAGGGATCCAGACTGCCTCGGCCAGGCCATCCCTGCCTCTGAGCATGTCCAGATGTGGCCTAATGGAAGCCACATGCCCGGCTCCCTGGGCTGGGAAGAAGGGGTCTGACGTCTGTTGTCACTCAAGGGGCTTCGTGAGGGCGGCTTTTCCCGCAGGGCTGGCACAATGGAGGGCCACACGGAGGAACCCTCGGGCAGGGCGGCCCTCAGGAGGTCGGAGGTTCCCAGAGCAGCTGGGGGCAGCCCCTGACCTGCAGAAGGCCTCTCAGCACAGCCTGTGGCCCCAGGAATGCATGGCAGGAAAGGGGCCCCTTCCTCAGGGCCTCACACACGCAGGTTCTGCAGGGCAGGAGTATCTGAATGCTGTGATGCTCTGGCTAACAGGGAAACCCTAAAACTCAAATGACTGCTGCTGTCCACTGCAGACGCCCCTCAACACGGTGACTCTGTTAGGCACCGTGCTCGGCGCTCTGTGATTGCTGAGCCGCGTAGTCCTCACAACAGCCCTCTTAGTTTACAGGAGTGGAGAGTGGGCTACAGGGAGCTCAGGCCACCGCCTGTGGACACAGGGGCAGAAAGTGGTGGAAGCAGGCTTCTCTTCTGCCTTCTTCAGCTCTTCAACCTCTCACAGTGGTTCCCTTTTTTTTTTTTTTTTTTTTTTGAGTTTCACTCTTGTCGCCCAGGCTGGAGTGCAATGGCACAATCTTGGCTCACTGCAACCTCTGCCTCCCAGGTGGTGATTCTCCTGCCTCAGCCGCCCAAGTAGCTGGGATTACGGGCGCCTGCCACCACGCCAGACTAATTTTGTATTTTTAGTAGATTTGAGGTTTCACCACGTTGGCCAGGCTGGTCTCGAACTCCTGACCTCTGGTGACCCACCCACCTTGGCCTCCCAAAGTGCTGGGATTACAGGCGTGAGCCACCACGCCCGGCCCACCCTCTGACAGTGGCTTCTGAGTGCCCAGCATGTGCACAGGAGCCGGTAAGATGCTGAATGTACAGGGTTCACAAAACCCAGCAGAGACCCTGACCTTGGGGAGCTTGGGGCTTTGAGGAGGAGATAGAGACCCCAGCAGTCACAGAGGTGTGATGTTCTGAGCAGTGATACGAGCTGAGGAGTGAAGTGGTGAGCCTCACTCAGGGGATCTGACTCCTCCTGGGGGTCAGGGAAGGCTCCCTGCAGGGAGTCTTGAGCTTCCACTTGAGCTGCAATGTAGAGGATGAGGTGATAAGTGGGCAGTGGTGAGAAGGGGGTGCTCCAGGCGGGGGAAACAGCACGTGCAAAGGCCCCTTAGCCAGAGGGAATTGAACTTGATTGAAAGGAAGCTCTGACTGGTGTGAGAAGAGGCTGGGGAGGGGCCGGCCGGAGGGAGCCATATAGGGCAGAAGGTGGCATGATCTGATTTGTGTTTGAGGCGCTCCCCCCAGGTGCGGGGCTGTCCCCTCTCACACTGACGGAGCTCTGGGCCTTTCCAATGTCTGTGGGTCTGTGAGGCCCCCAGATTCCCTAGGCTGTGGCAGCACAGGGTTATCCACCCAGATTAACCTGTTTGCTAGAGGACTCCTGAAGCCTCTCCTCTCCAGTGTTGGCCCACGGGGGTTTCAAACCTGCGTGGGGTCTTAGGAGCATCACCCCAGGTCCCCATGGAAGCTAGACCAGGCTTCTGGATCTGCAAGCCCCCAGCTCTTGTGACAGAATCACCCCCTGCAGGAGTTCAAGGCTCCTAAAGTAAGCAGGAAGGGGTCAGCCTCGTGGGGGCTGTGGCCCCTGCTTAGCAGCAGCGCCCTTTGAGGACGGCTCTTAGGTAGGCTCAGCGGACCATTCCCCTTCTCGCCACAGCTCATGGGGTCTTCAAATGGGGTGTCTGACTGTGCTGGGCTATGGAGGACCTGCTGGGAGCAGGCATGGATGGGCAAGAAGAGGCCTGGGCCGCCTACCAGCCTCTGCACAGCCTTGGGCCGGTCCCTATCTGAAGCCTGGGTGCCCTGGTCCTGGCTGCCTGCTCTGATGTGCCCGATGGAGTGTATTGAACTCTGTGGCAGGTGGCTTGGAGGATATAGGGTCAGGAGTGCAGGCTCCAGGGCCTTCCAGGCCCACTGCTCACTGGTTGTGTGACCTGAGCCTCCAGCACCACCCTCGAGCCCCAGTTGCCTCACTGGTGAAACAGCGTACATAGTAGTAAGCACTCGGTGCTGCTGGAAGGACTGATGGGAAGCTGCCTGACCAGCTCGGAGAGGGGCCTCCATGGAGTGAGGGTACAGCTGGTGTGGCCCCACCACCTCCACTGGCCCAGCATGGCCAGCGCCCCTGCTCAAATGGCCCACCCACCTCGCCTCTGTCCACGAGTTCACTTCTTTCTACAACACATGCTTGTGAGATTAGGATTTGCTGCAGACACTTAGAAATGGGAAGATGTCACATAAAATTCAGCTTTCTGGCTGACATTTGTTGAAAAATTGGCAGAGGTGGCCATGCTAGGCTCCTAGGCCACAGGCCAGCCACCGGGGCAGCTGAGAAGAGACCGCCCTTCGCATTTCCTGCCAGGACACGTGGGGGCCTACCGGGCTGAGGCAGGAACCCTCCTCAGGGCCCCCAGCTCTGAAGATGTGCACCTTCTGGACCCTTGACCACTACCGCAGCCCTACCAGGGGGCCCAGCACCTCCCACAACAGGAACCCCACTCCCACCCACCCATCCCATCCCAAGAGCTGGGCCTGGGAGAAGATGCACTCTCACAGCCTCCTGCCCAAACCAAGGGCCTGGGGTGGCCACCCTAGGCCTGGCCCCACAGTCCAGCATCCCCAGCCCCAGGCAGAGACCTGGGGCAGCGGCCAGAGCCCAAGGCTGCCCTTCCCACACAAAGTGCCCTGAAGGAACCAGGACAGGGTCTTACCTTCAGGGCTACTTCTGGGGATAGAATGGACAGAGTTGGGGTCTGTGTCCTCCTCCACGTGGGAATGGGGCAGAACTTGCGGCTTCCTGGGCACTTCTCGGGTGGGTGGGATCCAGGCTGCATCAGGCAGTGATGTGGACAGGATGTTGTGGGGGCTGGGCTTGACTGGGTCCCTGGGAGAGCCAGGCACGGCCTGAGTTGGGACGAGAGCAGCCTTGCCCAGGCTCGGTGCATGCGTCACGCCCTCCGGCCCAGTGCTGCGGGACGTGGCTTGGGCATCCAGGATGAGGTTCTCTTCAGGCCTTGCCCCAGCTTCTGCCCTTGCCCCAGCTTCTGCCCTCTCCTCCTGGATAGGAAGACTGGGTCCAGCTGGGGCTGTAGTGGGCAGCCCATCCAGCCCCCTGTGGCCACCTGCTGCCAGCTGCTCAGTGACAGCCATTTCCTCTCTCTCCTCCTCCTCCTCTTCTTCCTCCTCACTGTCCTCGGTCACTCTCCTAGCTTTGGCCTGCACTGGGGCTGGGGGACCCAGGGCAGCAGCCGCTGTGGGCCTGGGGAGGACAGCTGGCCAGGGGGGTGCCTGGATGGTGGACAGTGGCTGACTCCCACCTCCCAGAGCAGCTGGGGGGCCCCCTGCGCCTGCCTGGACTGCACCCGCCTGGACCTCACCCCCCAGGGCTGTTGCTGCTTCCACCTCGGCCACCTCCTGGTCATAGCTGTAGGGGTCTTCGTAGTGTCGCTCGGGGTCACCCTCCTCGGCATCTGAGAAGTTCCCGTGGCAACCGGGGAGCTGGTAGCAGATGAGCTCTCCACCGGCGTCAGGGCAGTGGCAGGCCCGGCAGGGCGGCAGGTGAACAGTGTGGCCAGCGGCGTACTTGTGGCCCGCGTGGACGCAGCCCACCTGGCCGCACTGTGGGCAGCTGTCAGCCACCACTACAGCCTCGATGCAGTTGGGCGGCAGCTCCGGGCACAGCATGAACTGGCAGCTGATCTTGCCGCCGCCTGGTGGGCAGGAGCACTCAGTGCTCCCGAAGTCCACAAAATAGGACTGACCGGCGGGCACGCGGCCGCGCACGAAGCCACCCTGTAGGCAGTCATAGTACTGGTAGCCCTCGCAGGCGCAGCCCTGCTGCACACACGTGGCACAGCAGGCACCCGGCTCCAGCGCCTCCTCAATGCAGTTCTCCAGCGGCGGGCACTCCACGCCCGTGCAGTCCTGCCGAGGGGCAGCTGCGGCCACGCTGGGGCCCAGGGCCAGGGCCAGGCCCAGAGCAAGCCAGGCTCCTGCAGGCTCCCAGAGCAGCACCATGGTCCAGGCCAGCCCAGGACGGTCCCCTCTCCTGTAAGACCCTGGGGGAATCAGAAAGGAAGCCTGTCAGTACTGGGTGTGCACACACAGACACGGTGCACACCGGCACGCACGCGGGCAGGGGCCCAGCCTCAGCCACCTCACACGCATGCGCTCATCCCCAGGAGCACACTAAGCACTGCCTCACACACACACACAGGCTCCGCCACACATGGGTCAGATCACACACAGGTGAGTGTCTAGTCGCTGGGCGCCACAGGTGTTGACCTGGAGTCGCTGACAGCCCCACACGTGTTTGCTGGGCCACTCCATCCTCCATCCTCACCTGCATTCTGAGGCAGGTCCTCTGAGTGAGCCCTCGTGCCCACACACACACATGCACAGCCCCACACCCACTCGGTCACACTCACCAGGGCACGTCAGGCAATATGCCCCATAATCCTCTATGCAGTTACACACGCTGTCTCACCCACAGCATGCCCACGTGCCAGTACACACCCTGGGCGGTCTCACACGCACAGTCCCACGCACACACCCGACCAATCCCTCCCCCCAGATCCTTGACTCAGTCCCCAGCCACGCACCACAGCTGCTGGCCAGAAAATACAGTCAGTGGGGAAATGCTAGGCAAGAACAAGACGCCCCCTACAGCCCCAGCCCGCAGACCCTAGGACTCAGGAACACACCTCTGAGACCCTCGGGACTGCAGGCTTAGCCCCAGGGGACGCTCCTGTCCCCCTCCCCAGTAGCACTGGCAAATGCATCCTGATGCCTTGCTGTCCCTAACACCCCACCAACTCCCCCAGTCATGTCCATTCTCCCCGCAATCTGTCTCCACTCCCTCCCCACGGTCTCTACCCCTTCCTTCCATCTCTAGGCCCTGTCCCCACTCCAGTCTCAGCTCTGATCTCCACTGGAACAGCCCCGCCACCTCCCTGCCCACCACTCCTCCCCTTTCCCAGGGAACCCAGTCTGGCCTGAGAGCAGCTGGCCCCGACATGCCACGGCCCCACAGCCCGCCCCAGTTTCCCATGGCCAGAAAGGAAAGGTCTGGATTCCCAGCTGAGCCTGGCACTCAAGGCCCTGCAGGAGCCATCCCAACCCGACCCTCCCACAGGCCCTTAGGCCTGAACTCCCCCAAGGGCTCTTCTCCCCTCTCATCTTGCACAAGCCACTCAAATGCCACCTTCTCACCAGTCCTCATGCCTCCTCCCTCCTCCACCCTGGCCCAAGTCCCCAGTGCCTGTAGCCCCACTTGTGACCCAGTGGCCGTACCTGACTCTTATAGACAGCGTGCTCCCCAAAGTCACAGGCAAGAGCTCCTTCTCCGACTCCCAGCCTAAAGCGCAGCCCCATAGGGCAGTGACAGAGGGACAGCAGGACTCGTTACCACAGCAGTGGTCCCCAAGCCTGCCCCATTTCTAAAGGAACGCCTCCTCTGCACCCAGCCCCTCTAGGAACCAGGGGTTTATCAGCCAGCAAGACAGGTTCCCAGCGTCCTCACAGCACTGACACCCTCAGGGGTGGAGGGGCAGATAATAAACCCAAGAGCAAATCTGTAGAGAACTGAACGCCAGGCAGGCATGAGCCCCATGATGAAATAAATGAAGGGAATCAAGGAGACGGAAGGAGGACGTGGCAGTGTCAGGGGAGCCCGTGTCAGTCCGGCGGAAGAGGAGGGCTTCTCTGAGGAGGGCGTCAGGCAGGGAGTGGCAGGGCCAAGGGGCTGAGGCCGGACCAGCAGCAGAAAGGTGAAGGACAGAGAGGGCCCCCAGGGCTGAGCCACATCAGCACACGGGTGGTAACTGCAGAGCAACGGGCTTCCAGCCTGCTGTGAGGGCCTCTGGGCGTGCCTGTAAGCGCTGGAGCCTGGGACTCTCCAGTGCAAGGGACCCACCCAGCTGCCCACTGCGCTGAGACACGGGAGCCAGCAGGGAGCAGGTGAGAGAGCCCAGGGCAGTGAGCGAAGAGAGGCAGGAGATGGTGGCACAGGGGATCTATTTTGAAGGTAGGACCCACAGGATTTGCTGATGGATAGGATGCAGCGGACAGAAGACAGAAGTCCAGGAGCGCCTGGAAGGGGGAGTTGTGTGACCGAGGCAGGGAAGGCTGCGGTGGAGGGCCATGGACGGGCAGGGAGATGGAAGCCCATGCCCAGACCAGGCTCAGGGCCGGCGGAGTGCTAGGGAGCCTCTGGGGCCTCGAGGGCTGACGCCCCTGCCCTCACACTGAGGTGCCACCTCAGGAAGCTGGAGGACTCCGTAAAGCCACTGACATTAGGAATGGGCCCCTGGGAGAATCAGGGCCTTTACTCCCAGTCAGCAAAAGCAAGGACCCTCCAGACTGCAAGGGAGAGGCCCTCAGGTCCACTCTCAACAGTTCTTTCTGTTTGTTTTTAGAGACAGGGTCTCACTCTGTTGTCCAGGCTAGAGCACAGTTGTGTGATCATAGCTCATCGCAGCCTCAACCTCCCGAGCTCAAGCGATCTTCCCACCTCAGCCTTCTGAGTAGGTGGAACTACAGGCACACACCACTACACCCAGCTAATTTTTTTTAACAAGGGTCTCACTGTGTTGCCCAGATTGGTCTTGAACTCTTGACCTCAAGCGACCCTCCTGCCTCAGCCTCCTACAGTGCTGGGATTACAGGCATGAGCCACCGTGCCAGCTGACAGTGTCTTTTAAGAAAGGAAATCTTTGGCCAGGCGAGGTGGCTCACGCCTGTAATCCCAGCACTTTGGGAGGCCAAGACAGGCGGATCACTTGAGGTCAGGAGTTCGAGACCAGCCTGGCCAACGTGGTGAAACCCTGTCTCTACCAGAAATACAAAAATTAGCCAGGCATGATGGCGTGTGCCTGTAATCCCAGCAACTCAGGAGGATGAGGCAGGAGAACTGCTTGAACCCCGGAGGCGGAGGTTGGAGTGAGCCGAGATCGTGCCACTGCACTCCATCCTGGGGAACAGAGGGAGACCCCGTCTCAAAACAAAAGGAAATCTTTGGTGAACTGAGACCCAAGCTCCCTGCCCTCCTGCCTTCAGGTGCATCACACACCTAGGCATGAACGTTGTGTCCTGAGAGGACAGTACCCCAGCCACAGGACACAGGGCTGTCCTAGAACTTCTTCCAGAAGAACTTCCTTCCCAGCCCACCCTGCCCCACCACCCGGTCCACCAAGTCCATCCCCTTGCTCTGCTCACCGGCACAGCCCCCAGGGTGACCTGGCCCCTTGGCCCCCCAGGCCCCCAGCATCACATTCTGTCCATGCTTAAGCAATCCCAAACCTCAGGCTTGCCCATCTCCCCACTCCAGGCCCAGGGCAATGATAAAGAACATCAGGCCCAAGCCTGACTCTGCATTTTCCACATTTGCTGCGCAACCCCAGGCACGGCCCTGGCCCTCTCTGAGCCCTGGTTCTGCATCCACCCAGTGAACGTGTTCCACCATACCTCAGGTCATAGTCGGGGGCCCACCAGCATTATCTGGCCCATAAGTGCTTTCGTTTGGCTCACACAGTGGGTTTCTCATTTTAAATTGGTTACCAGCATGCATAAATTGAAAACGTTCACATAAAAATTCAGGTTTCCAACTCCTGTTTCAAGCCACAGAGCTCTGGCCACCCTGAGATGTCACATGGGGTGTGAGCTCCCAGGTTCCCCAAGTCGTCTGGGCCCCCCCAAATGCATGCAGCTCAGAGTATCCTGGTGCTGTCTGATGGTTGTATGTCCACTCAGGAGGGGAAAGGACCATCTGGGATGTGTCGAGAGGGAGTGGCCCACGTGGTGAGGGGGCCCAGGCCCCTTGGGGTGGCTCACCTGGGAGAATAGCAGACCTCACTGTCCTCACATCTCCACAGCTGCTCCCAATGGGGCGTGTATGTGTGGGGCGGGAGGTGGGGGCATGGAGGAGATGGCAGATGTCAGCTCCAAGTGGAGAACACTCCCTCCAGGGCAGGGACTGACCAGGCTGCTGGGAAGGAGTGAGCTCCCTATCTATCGCCAGAGATAAGCAAGCAGGGCTGGGGACACTCGTACAAGAGAGAAGCAGGAGGGCACAGTCTCTACACTGCAGGGTCACAGAATCAAACATGCCCCTCCTGGGAGCTCCAGCTGAGTTTTCCCACAACCCCGGCTTCTGCAGACAGCTCCCACCCCTCAGCAACCTGAAAAAAGAAGCCCCTGGAGATGGGGTGGGGAAGGAGGCCTGACCTCCCTGCGGGGGGACAGTCCCAGCAGTCAGAGCCTGGCCAGCAAACAAAGCCCCTGGGACTGGCTGCGGTGGCCAGCCAGGCAGTCACACTGCACCAAGCCAGCCCTCCCGGGTGGGGACGCAAGAAACAACAAGATACAAAGTAAAACCACTGCAGCCTCTCCCTTGCACCCATCAGGAAGGCAAACACTAGGATAGTGGTATTATTATCATTCTTATGCCACTGGCCGAAGTGTCACCTGGAGCAGCCTCTTTGCAAGGCAGTACCCATGTGAGAATTCAGCACATGCACTCCATGACCCTGTGCTTCTGACGCCCAGTGTGCGACTCAGAGACGTCTGTACCAGGTCCATATGGCCCCTGGTGGTCACCGGGCTGCCATCTGGGGACAGGAAAGGTTGGCAGGTGGAGGCCACCGGGCCAGTCACTGTCCAGGCTGGCCTCAGGCTGCAACCCTAGGAGGGGTGAGGGTTGGCAACTGCTGGCATTTTTAAAAGATGAACGCTTTACGTATCATGTGCGTAACATATATCACGGCATTAAAAAATAGGCAGGAGACAGGATCTTGCTCTGCTGCCCAGACTGGTCTCAAACTCCTAGCCTCAAGCAATCACCCTGTCTCGGCCTCCCAAAGTGCTGGGATCACAAGCGTGAGCCTCTGCGCCTAGCCATTCCTCTGTATTTGGCGGCCCATTCTTCACAGGAAGAGCCAAAATGACAATGGACATTTAGGTGACAATGAGGACGTCAAGCCACCATGAAGTGGCACTCAGCACTTAGCATCTGGGAGTGCATCCAGCACTGTGAGCAAGGCTTTGCCACCGGAGTGGAGACACAAGAGCAGGCTCCAGACAGGACCAGCGGCAGGTGGGGCTATCACAGCTTTGGTCTTTGTTGATCAAATCCCTGCTGTGGGTGGGGGGACCAGGGTATTCTAAAGTGGCAGCAGGGTTCACACCTGGGGTTACGTACTCAGGGCCATCACTTGAACGTGCACAGGGCAATGTGGGGGCGGAGAGACATTCAGCCAGGGTCTCCCCAGGGAGTGTCCAGCAGGGACAGGTGACTCAGCACACAGTGTGAGTCTCCTAGAGACCTGCCCACTCCTCACAAGGCACCTGGGGCAGGCAGGATGGGGAGGGAGGGCTCCGGCACATCAGAGTCAGAAGTGCCTCAGGATGTGGCTCAGGCCCCAGCTGCCTCTCTCACCTGGCCACAAGCTCCTCGCTCTGCTGTCCTGATAGGGCTGGGCCCCAACCTACCACAAAAACAAACACGCATCCTATAGTAAAGCAACACTGCCTCCTTTGATAAATTAACCTTCACATTCATCCACAGCAGGCCCCAGATGAAACCTCTCTGGGCTGGCGAGGACACTGGAAGGTCAAGGCCACCTGGGGGGACATCCCCAGTGCTGCCACTGTGGAAAGGTGGGGGGGTCCCACCTTAGTGAGCACACAGGCCACAGGATATGACACTGGATCAGGAAGGAAAGGTCTTCCCACCTCCAGTTCTGACCCTTCTGGCTCTGATGAGATCCAGCAAATACAGATCTGGGATGTGCACAGGCATCTCAGAGAAATGATGGAGAACTGTCTAGCATTTAAGGATGTCCTGTACAGTATTTGGCACACATCTGTCACTTATCTGAAATTCCAACTTAACTGGGCAACCTCCATTTGATGAGGCAACTGTAGATAAGAACAAAGTCTCAGGTTGGCGCCAGTATGGCTTTAAAATTTTTTAAATATTTGCAGGGGATCTCTTTTAAAAAAATAATAAGCAGCTATATCAAAACACTGGGACTTGCAAACTGGGACTGCTAGGGATGGCAGCAGGGAAATAAACACACAAGACACTCACAGACAAGACAGTGACAAAGAAACCCATAATCAGTACCACCTGGCCCGCTGGCTGTGCCCACACGGCTGCCCCCGGGCCCAAGTCCAAGCAGAGAGCAGGCACAAACCAGCCACCCAGCCTGTTCACACACAGATGTGTTTGTGGGGCCCACATGGTGCTTTATAAATTAGCTGCCAATATTACTCATTGATAATTAGTTTAAAATGATAACATTTAATGTCAGGACACTTGACACTGAAGCTGTGGGGCCCAGCAACAGGGCTTCCCTGGGCTAATTTGGATGCACACTCCCTTCCCATTGGCATCGTTGGGCTTCCTGAGTCATCTCTACCAGCCTGAACACTCCAAGGCCTGAGCGTCTCTTGTCCACACCAGGAGGAGAGAGGCCTGGATGAGGTGGGAGCTCCTGCCCCTCCAACCACCCCGCCCCAGGGTCGCCTCCAGAATAGCTTGGTTTCCTGGGTTAGGACCTGCCTCTTCTATATGTGATAGATGCTGGGAGTTCTCACCCTCTTCCAAGGAGACCACCTCTAGCCACATGGTGTAGTTGGCCTCAGTAGGTCAGCTGCATCAGAATCCAACCCAACGCCCACAGTAATGCAAGACCCATAGTGCTCAGAGGGATATGTGAGCTGCGCACTGTCTTAGACGGGGCTCCCCAGAAGCAGAGTCCGAGGCAGGGACGCTTGAGGGCATGGTCTGTCGGGGGAGAGCGCTCAGGAGAAGGGCAAAGGAAAGCAGGCAGAGCCAGGGGGAGCTGGGCAAGACTGCATCTCAGCTGGAGTCCAGTGACCCACGAGAAGCCATGCAGTGTGGGGGGCACCCCGGGTGCATCCCACTCAGAGGCATGTCAGTCACTGGCCAAAGACCATGGAGAGTGACCTCCCAGGCACTTCACGGGGAAGTGACACCTGCCAGCAAAGGGCAGGCAGCTGGAGAAGGCACAGGTGTGAGCCATCAGCAGCCAGCACCTGTGGCCGCTGGGAGACATGTGCACCTCCAGGTGAGAGACCTGGGTGGGCACCCACAGTGGCCATGGAGTTTACTGAGCACAGACACACAGCCACACACCAGGCAGAGGCAGGGAAGACAGCCTGATCCTAGAAACTGTCCAAAAATCTACCCTTAATTTATTAGTGGGCCTGAGACCACCTGAGGCCCAGAAAGTAATTTTTTAAAAATAATATTTGCGCATCCAAGTTCACTACAGTGTTATTCATGATAGACTCGAGTCACACGGATCAAGCCAAGTGACCATCAATGGATGGATGGATAAACAAAATATTCCATACAATGCAACATTATCAGCCTTGAAAGGAGGGGCATTCTGACCCGTGCTGCAACACAGATGAACCCTGAGGACGCTGTGCTAGGTGAATAAGCCAGACACCAAAGGACAAATCCTGTGTGATTCCACTTCTATGAGATATCTACAGTCATCAAATTCAGAGACAGAAAGTAGAATGGTGGGTGCAGGGGCTGGAGGTGGGAAGCAGGAGGAGTTCCTGCTTAATGGGGACACAGTTTCTGTTCAGGATAATGAAAAAGTTCTGGAAATAGATAGTGGTAACGGCTGCACAACGTGAACTTCCATGATGCCACTGAGCTGTGCACTCAAGCAGGTTAAAATGGTAAATCGCAGCCGGGCGCGGCCTGCAACAGCAGCACTTTGGGAGGCCAAGGCGGGTGGATCATGAGGTCAGGAGATAGAGGCCATCCTGGCCAACATGGTGAAACGCCATCTCTATTAAAAATACAAAAATTTGCCAGGTGTGGTGGCATATACCTATAATCCCAGCTACTTGGGAGGCTGAGGCACGAGAATTGCTTGAACCCAGGAGGTGGAGGTTGCAGTGAGCCAAGATCGCTCCACTGCACTCCAGCCTGGGCGACACGGCAAGACTCCGTCACAAAAAAAAAAAAAAAAAAGTAAACTTCATGTTACGTATATTTTACCAAAATAAAGGACAATAATCACAAATGTGCACTGTAGAGCCAAACGTAAATAACCAAAGAACAGGGAGAAGAAAGGGAAGAAGAACTGCACTGAAGATGGACAGGAAATAAGGGCTGCTCCTGAGACCTCCCCTTAGCAGTATGCTTCCTGGCAGCCAAAGCCAAAAGGGAAATTAGAGGGTGACCCGGTGCTCCTTCTCTGATAAGAGGAAGTCATCTAGTTCACTGGGAAAAATAAACTTGCTCTTGGCACAAAGCATCAAGTAGGGATTTTAGCTGTTAATCAAGTTCGTGTCTAACTATCACTTCCTCAGTGCCAACACAATGCCAATCACTGGACTGTGAGTTTCCAGGGATATTTATTTTCCTTAACCATTTAATACCTACAAATGAGGAAACTGAGGCCCAGACAGAGTAAATGATCTGTCCAAGGCCACATAAGTAGTAAAAGGTGTGGGGATTTGAACAGGTCTGTCTGGCCGAGAAAGTTGAGCTAGAGTCCTTTAGTTTGCAGCTATTCATCAAACAGTTGCTACCGGCCAGCCCACTGCAGGTGCTGGGATATGGCAGCGAACAAGATGAAAGAAAGTCCTACCCGCATGCAGCCAATGTTCTGATGGGGGGAAGAGATAAGGGCGTTGTGACAGAGACAGACCGCATGCTCCTTTGGCAAGAATGGTCAGACGAGGAGGCCTAGGAGGCAACCTACTTGCTGATATCATGCAAAAATGTGGTGGCCATGCAAAGATCTGGGGAATGGTATCCTAAGCAGCACTAACAGTATGTGCAAAAGCCCTGAGGCAGAAACCAGCCTGACACACTGCAGCCGGCATGCAGGGAAGGAGGAAGAGAGTGGTCGCTGGGAAGTGAGCAGCACAAAGAAAAATGATAGAGGTGGCGGGGGGGTGGGGACACACATCAAGGAAGAAGAGATGCCAAGGAGAGGGCGATCAGTCAGTCACTGAATCCGGGGCCCAGGGACCTCAGCAAAACATCTGGTACATTTAGTGGATGTTGTCCCAACAGGGTGGCAGGGCCACCACTAGGTCACAGCACACTGGGAATTCAAGAACAGACTGTAGACACCCCTTTTGAGAAATCTGGGACAGATTCCAGTCATAAAGTACAAAACCTGGTGAAATCTAAGCTACATCATTTAGGGACTGCAAATGTAGGAACCAGAACTAGAAAGTCAAGCAGGAGTTGTCACCATCAAAGTCTAGTGGCCAGTAAGGGAAATCAGAGGACCTATGGGGGCGGGCAGTATCCTCTTGCTTTGCCCAGGTGGTGGTTATCCAAGAATTTCCTCTACCACCCTACACCGACTTTTAGGTACTCTTTTGTATGTTTGTGTTTTTTTCCCTTCAAAGAGACTCTGTATCTAGCTACTTGGGAGGCTGAGGCGGGAGGATTACTGGAGCCCAGGAGTTGGAGGCTGCATTGAGCTATAATCACACCACTGCACTCCAGCCTGGGTGACAGAGCAAAACCCCGTATCTAAAAGACAGAGAGAGAAAGAGAGACTTTTTAAAGAAAATAAAAAAGAACCATTGCAGTAATCCAGAAAAAGGAAACAAAAGCCAGAGAAGGTGTTGGCAGGAGAAACGGAAGGAAGGGAAATGATTCGAAACTCACAAATTATCAGAGCAAAGTAATCAAGTTGGCTTCAATCTTGAAAACTACAGTTGCCTTCATTTCCTCGCGGGCAAATGTCTTAATAATAGCACGATGTGCAAAAGACCAGAAGCTTGGCTGCGAGGAAAGGGCTACCGGGCCAGGAGGATGAGGAGAGGTCTGTGGTCCTTTCTGTTGAACAGGTGAGGCTGATGACACAGGTGGGTGGTGTGAGACCCCAAGGAGGAGGAGGGAGACAGCAGGTCCAGGGCAAGCCCTACACGTGAAGTACAGACCAAGCTGTAGGCCGCAGGTGGGGCTTAGGGTACCAGGTGCCCCATGCTCCTCACACGCTCACTGGTCACTGGGCCTTCCTTCAACAGGGTGAGCTCATGAAAACCCTGGGAAAAATAATCTTTCAAGTGGAACAGCCAGGGTTTTCTCCCCTCCCTTCCCTCTCCTCCCTAAAAAAAAGAAAAAACAAGAAATGAATAAAAAGCTCCCTAAATTTTAGGTAAGAGCTGACCCTACATACACAATCACTAATCTCATTACCAACATAAGCACGTGAAAAATTACAAAGATTAATGTCCGTGACTTTTAATCAACCTTTGAGAAAGAAAATGTTGCTTTTGGCATTGAAGGGAGCTGGTATTTTCCTTCCCCACAAGTTACTCCTCTGCAAAGAGGAAACACTCCCAGGGTGGGAGCGATGAGAAATGAGGCTGCCCACGGCCAAGGCTGAGATCACCACCCTCCCCACCTGGCGCTCCACACACCCTCCACCCGACCCTAGAAGGAGGCACACCCATGCCCCGCCTGGGGCGGGGGGAGTCCTAATCCCCAGGCATGCTCCACATGGTCTGCTCCTGGACCGAGATCCTGCCTCCAGGGACTGCTCATCACCTCTCATCCCTGCTCCAAACCCTGAATGGTTCTCCATCAGCTCTGGCCCCCTGGAGAATGTGCAAAAAGCTATGGATAATACACACCCAGCTCCACCAAAAAAAGCACATAATGAACCAAGCTCTGCAGCGACACTGGGTGGTTTCTGACCACCTGGCACATATTCAGCCTCTTTCCAAGAACAGCCCCTAGATTTCGTTCTGTGGCCCTATCACCCTGCTGGAGCTCCAATCAGCACTTCCCATTCCCCTTGCAACAGCACCTGACTCAGAGATGGACACCAGGACAATTAGAGACTATAAGACCCACCTCAGGTAAAACACTGGGCAAACAGCTTCTCTCTTTCCTACTGTATTAGACTAAGATGATTTAACATCAAGGGTACCTGAAGCCATCTTGTCATCAAGTGGAGACCATCAGAGGCTGGCACCTGCTCATAAAATACACAAAAGCCAAGAAAGAGAAACAGGGTCATAGTGATAGCTGCCTGGCACCTGGATCCAGCCATGCCTGAAGCTAACTGAAAAACTGAACTTCACAATGACATGAACCCCTTTTGATTAACCTAACTTGGACCAGGTTTTCTGTCCCTTGCAACCAAGAGCCTTAACAGACATATGGGCACATACCTAAAACTGCTATGTGAGGGAGTTTCATAGACTCCCTGCAGTCCACTCACAGACCCCTGGCTGAAGTCCTGTGGCCCAAGGATAAAGAAAAAACTCCTAACGGAGACATTCAAAGCCCTTCACCAACTAACCCCACCTAGCTTTCCTAACCCATCCCCCTCTGTTGTCCTCCACAAACCCAACTCCTGCTAAACTGGAAAACTCTCTCTAGTTCCCAACCCCTTATCTTTCTCTCATCATTAGCTCAACCTGCGATGCCCTCTCTCCTGAAACTCTCCTAGAACCCTGAACACCCAAATCCCACCCCATGCTTTAAAGCCAAGCCCTGAGGGTGGGATAAGTAGGTAGATGGATGAATGGGTAGGTAGGTGGGTGGGTGGGTGGGTGGGTGGGTGGATGGGTGGATGGATGGATGGATGGATGGACGAGTGAATGGATGGGTGGCTAAAAAAGTAGGTAGGTGGGTGGATGGGTGGGTAAGTGAACAGATGGGTGGGTGGGCGGGTGGATGGATGGGTGTGTGGGTATATGGATGGGTGGGTGAGTGGAGAGGGGTAGATTAATTAATCCGTATGGCCCGAGCACAGGGCTGGCAGAGAGGATGGGATGAATTATGAATGTGAGTATCCCAGAAGGGCCTTCAGAAACAGAAAAGGCTTCCCTGAAGTCACCTGGCTAGTCACTGGCTAAGTGACCTAAACAACCAAGGTACGTGTCCACCTTTCATACAGAGGCACTTTCACTCCTGCGTCCGCCTTTTAGTCTCACAAAGGGCTGAGATCCTAGACTTGGGTGGCGGGGTGGGGGGAGTGGTGCCAGCAAAAGACAGGCAGAGAGAGACACAGAGACTGACAGAGACAAGGAAAGAGATCCATTAGTGAGACAGAAAGAGACCAAGACAGAGATGGAGAGAAGCACAGACCGAAAGCCAAGCAGACAGCCAGAGACAGACAGCGATGGAGACAGGCAGGCGGGGCCGGCCTACGGCAGAACCAGGCTCCCTTGGCCACCACAGCATCTGGAAGGAGGCAGCAGCCAGGGGAGCGGGCAGCCCAGTCTCTCTGCGAGTCCCTCAGGCCTTTGCTGTGCCCAATTTATTTGCACGGCCCTGAAATTTAGGAATTTCTCAGGGCTGCCAGTGAGGCGGCCAGTGTACAACCAACAGCGGGGTCTGGCCCAGTCTGTGGTATAACCGTTGGGCTCAAGAGCCTTGGAGGCCCCCAAGGCAGTCAGCCCCTGCTGCCAAAGCCAAGGGAGACAGCCAGCAGGACCAAGCTCTGGACTCCCAGAGATCAGAGCTCAAATTTGAACCTAGCCCTGCCACTAGGCTGCTGGGCACCTCGGAGCATGTGACCCTCTGAGCAGCAATGCTTTCATCTGCACAGTGGGTCTAATCACTGCAGCCTTTCTCCTCTGGGGAACCCCCCTTCACACTTCAGGCTACGTGGACTGCTGGATGGCCAATGAGAGGAGTCCCTGCCCCATCCACAGTGACAGGTCAGAGCAGTCACACGACCCAGTCACATGGCCCATGCTGATGCTCCTGGGAGGAGGCTGCCTTGCTCCAGAGCTTCTGAGCTCGAGGGTGAGCCTGGAGCTGCTGGGGCACCTGACCACCACACGGCAGAGCCTGCCTGGGAGTATGGAACACAGAGAACAGCAGAGCAAGAGATGGAGACCCGGTCCTGATGGCATCTGCAGAGGCCCTGGATACAGCCATGCCTGAAGCTACACCCTGTATTTTTTTAGTTCCATGACTTTTTTGCTGAAATTGTACTTTCTATCACCTGTAACCAAAATTATCCTGACATTTGTGAAAACAAAGAAAGAAGAACCACCTTCTTGTATTCATGGCTGACTTAACCCCAAAATGTCTGAGTTGCTGGGGTTATGTGTCCCTGCAGTAGACTAGACCCCTCCTAGGGCAGCAGGCTGCCTCGCTCAGTCCCCAGGCTCAGGGAATGGCTCCAGACATGCGCCTGGGGCCACATCAACGCATGACCTCCTGACCCTCCCCAGCCACAGCTGACTGGCCCAGGGCAGATGTTCTTCCCAGGCTGGGCTGGTCACAGCTCCTCCCTGAGCTCTTGAAGTGGAAATAAAAGAAAGCACAGACCACCTGCAGAGGAAGAAACAGCAAGTTCTGAAGGTGGGCACATTTCCTGCCATGTGGCGGGCCTCATTTCGAGAGAATCAACCAGGCTCACAGAGAAAGGCAGAGACAAAAGAAAGATGGGGCGTGAGGGAGTCCTGGTGGCTGCAACTTGACCCAGGGCTGACAGATCACTAGTCCTTCCAGGAGGATGTAGTGGGGCCCCTACGTCTCCTGAATAGCCTCAGACACAGACAAGCCTGTGCAAAGGGGCCCCTGCTTCCAGCAATGGGCAGGCCAACTTCCGAAGTCACTGTGGGGGACCAAGCCCAGGTCATAGGTGGGCTACAGTGTCATGTGCTGATGCCCAACCAGACCCTGGGAACCCCAACGTCTAGGGCCAAAGAGGGGTCACTCCTCCCATCCCATGCACAGGAAGCCATGGCCTCCCCACCACACCCTGCCTTGGGGTCACACAGGGACTGGCAGCTGGTGTTACAGTGTTTCCATCCTCAGCAGTTCATTAAACCAGTCTGTTACAGGCTGAACATCTGTGTCCTCCCTACATTTCTATGTGAAAGCCCTGACCCCAGTGGGATGGTATCAGGGGGTGGGGCCCCCCATTAGGAGGTTTAGATGAGGTTACATGGGTGGAGCCCCCATGTGTGGATTAGTGTCCTTACAGAAAGAAAGACCAGAGCTCACTAGCTCTCCCTCCCTCCCTCCCTCTCTTCCCTTCTCTCTCTCTCTCCGTCCGCCGCTTCCCACCCCCCACCTTGTGAGGACACAGCAAGAAGGCAGCCACGTGCATGCCGGGAAGAAAACTCTCACCAGGAACGAAATCTAGGGCTTAGACTTCCAGCCTCCACAACTGAGAAATAAATGTCCATCTTCAATCTCCTCCCCGACTCATCTGTGACATTTGTTATAGCAGCCGGAACCCGCCAGGACAGTCTTAGGGCACGGAGCTGGGGGCACAGAGGACATGGCCACTCCCTGAGAGCCAGACACTTGGTCTCAGAGAAGACATTCCTGCTAGAGGGCTGGGGCCTCCTCCATCAACCCCAGCCTAGCACGAAACATGCCAAGGCAGCCCCAGGAGATGTGAGGTATGTGACGCCCCTACCACAGGGGACTTCCTGGGCAGGGATAGAGATGACTGTTCCAAGGACAGCTGATTTCAGGGACAAGCACCAACGCTCGGTGATCTTGTGAGGAAATGTCCCCGCGAATCCCTCTGAACCAATCTGGCTATTGGAGACCGTCTCTAGACAGCACGGGTGTGCCTCCCACACCTCTCAGACGCTTGCCAACCATTCTTTTTAAAAACCAGGGTGCTGGGCACAGTGGCTCACGCCTGTAATCCCAGCACTTTGAGAGGCCAAGGCGGGTGGATCACAAGGTCAGGAGATCGAGACCATCCTGGCTAACACGGTGAAACTCCGTCTCTACTAAAAATACAAAAAATTAGCCAGGCATGGTGGCGGGCGCCTGTAGTCCCAGCTACTCGGGAGGCTGAGGCAGGAGAATGGTATGAACCTGGGAGGCGGAGCTTGCAGTGAGCCGAGATGGCGCCACTGCACTTCAGCCTGGGCAACATAGCGAGACTCCATCTCAAAAAATAAATAAATGAATAAAAATAAAAATAAATAAAAAAAAAACAGGGAACACTCACTCGGGCTCAAGGCTGTGGCAGGGCATACAAGGTGGCTAAGATGCTAAGCACTGTATTTTTAGTGCCATATTTATTTTTATGGGTATTGCTGGTTTAGGACAAGTGATCCTGATTTCTGTCTACAGTTGTGATCAAAGGTTTCCTTTAAAAGTAAGTATAAGCAGCCAAGCACAGTGGCTCACGCCTGTAATCCCAGCACTTTGGGAGGCCAAGACAGGTGGATCACCTGAGGTCAGGAGTTTGAGACCAGCCTGGCCAACATGGTGAAACCCCATCTCTACTAAAAATACAAAATTAACCCAGTGTGGTGGCACGCACCTGTAGTCCCAGCTACTCGGGAGGCTGAGGCAGGAAAATCACTGGAACCTGGGAGGCAGAGGTTGCAGTGAGCCGGAATCGCACCACTGCACTCCAGCCTGGGTGACAGAGTAAAATTCAGTATTTAAAAAAAAAAAAAAAAAAAAAAGTAAATATAAGCAAAACAGGGAAGGGATTTTTTAAAATAACATTAAGTTATTAAGTATGATGTCAAGGACAGGAGGTAGGAGGATGCAGCCGAAAACACGGTGGTGAAACTCATCCTCACTCTGTCAGAAAGGAAGCTGACACCCTCTGGCTTATTCCCCAAGAAAGTGCACAGGTCCCCGTAGAAGCCCTCTGCCTCTACCAGCCCCATAATCAGACAACAGCCATCAGGGCCCCTGGGATGCCCATGGGCCAAAACGGTGAAATTAATTTGTTTCCACAGCCATGCAGGGGAGCAGAGATGAGGGAGGACATTGAGATGCTCAGCCAACACCAACCACCACGAGGACTAGGGAAGTTGTCTAAGAAAACACAGTGATGAGCGAGATCTTCAGAGACAGACAAGAGACAGAGAGAAAGAGAGAACGTGTGTGTGGGCACGCGCATGCATGCTCATCAATGTTTTTTGACGATGTGTTTTCATTTTGAGGAGACTCTAAGAAGAACAGAACTTTCTGGATCATCTAAAAGCTCAACTTGGGACCAAGGTTGGGGCTGGGAATTCAGGGCCAGGATGGGGGTCCCAGGCTAAGGAGGGAAGAACTCTGGGAGGCTTATCAAGCACTGGGGTACCCCGATCACAAGCCCAAGGGCTGGCCCCAACACAGATGATGGTGTCTCCGTGGCCAGAAGACAGAAGCCACGGGAGACACAGGTGGCTGCACTCAGCCACACTCAAGAACCAGCTACGGCCAGCAGCACTGTCCGCCTCCCCAGAGTGGGCCTGGGGCTCTCCATTCATCCTTCAGCCTTCACACCAACCCTACTGGGGGCCCCTACCACCAGGCCCATTTTCCAGATTGAGAAGCTAAGGATAGGAGACAAATCCCTCATGATGCAGGCTCCGGGGGCTCAGGCCCAGGCAATGCTCAACTCCCACGGTGCTCCCCACGCGCCCAGCTGGGCCTCATCACACTTCAGAGCCCTCCTCCTGTTTCAAGGCTCTTCCTGGGCAACAATGTCAGCATAGCCAGGGGGGCGCCCCCGATTCACAGATGAGCAACCAGAAGCCCGACAAGGTGTGAGACCTGGGACTGGCAGGGTCTGCCTGAGCACATGGGTGCTCCCCTCCACATCCCTGGCCCGGCACAGGTGGGTGGCACCACTTCCTCACCAGCACACAGACCTGGGCGGGACGCACTGGCCGCCTACAATACAGCCCCTCTCAGGAAAGCCAGGCTCCCCACCCTCGAGGAAGGAAATAACCTTTCCCCAAACCAGCACTTGCTTTGCAACAATCTCCATATATGAGGGGAGAGAGAGGCATTTCTGCAACGTTTCCAAATTCCAATAACTGAAGACAATGGCACAAAATGACGCACGGCTTGACCCACGAGGGGCCCTGGGAAAGGACGTGCCCAGCTGAGGCGAGTTTGTGGTGTGGGCGTGCAGTGGTGCCCCGTACACGAGGGCAGCTCGCCAGGCAGGACCTGGAGGTGGACGGAGCTGGCTCCCGTCCCAGCTCTTCCTCCTCAGTCGCTATGTGACTGCAGGCAAGCACGCCCCACTCTGCGCCTCAGTTTCCCGGCCCTGTCACTCTCACAGGTCTCCCACCTGCCGCCTTGTCCTCTCCAGGCCCACTCCTACACCTGGGCTGCAGAGGGACCCTTCAACCTCACAGTCTGGCCGCGCCTCCTCTGCTCGGAACGCCCTGAGGCTGCCTGTTGCTCGCTCGCAGACCAGGACTGGAGGGCCTCCGTTTTCAGGGTCTAGTTGGCCTTGCCAGCCTTACTTCCCACTCTTCCTCCAAGCCCCCACTCTGAAAGAAGCCAGGCTTTCTTCTGTCCCCAGGTGCCCCTCACCCCTGTACCTTCATATCACAGTGCCTGCGCCACCTCCAGGAAGCCCTCCCTGACCACCCAGGCTCAGCTAGATGCCTCCTCAGTTCCCATGGCTTCAGCGTTCTCCTCCAGGATGGCCCCGACAAAGCATTTCAGAGCAACCCATGCAGGCACCCCTGGGGATGACCTTAAAAGGGGCCCTGTGTTCCGCTCCTCTGTACACCAGCCCCTGGCACAGCATTGGCCCACACCAGAGGCTACTGCCAGCACTGTGGGGTGATGAAGAGAATCCAAGGCCCTGGGCACACTCCCTGGCAAAGGGTTTCATAGAGCTGCTAAAGCAGGAACGCCAACTCCAGGGAGCCCCTCCCTGGCCGCCCCCACACAACACCCAGTCACAGCTCCCAGCCCTCCCGAGGTGAAGCCACAAACCCACTGCTCCCACCACCCTATAATGCCTGGCTGGAGGTACAGCCCTGTGGTCCCCTCTGCCCCTGTAGCATACAGGAGCAGCGCCTCTGTCTGGTCTATTGGGAGGGTAGACCTCTGCAGCCCCAGCATTCAGAAGGCGCCCTGGAGGCAGAGCTGCCTGCAGCCACACGGACACCTGCACCACCCACACTCGGGGACCTGGGGAAGGAAACTGGATGACAGAGGGCTGCTAAGGACCAGAAGCCATGCATGGTGTTTACGTCCACCACCGGGCAGGACAGCCGGCCTCACCCTGGCCTCCCCTTTCACTCACTCCACTTCCAATCCATCAAGAAATCCTGGCAGCCCCACCTGCAAAGTCAGTCCAAATCTGACCACTCTCACCTCCAATGCTGCCACTGCCCTAATCCAAGCCCCAACTTCTCTCACCTGGAAGCTGCATGGATCCCCACAGCTGCCCTCCAGCCTGTTCCCTGCCAGCAGCAGTGTGGGGGAAGGGACCTTTAGGATCTCAATTAGACCCCACCCCTCCCCAAACCAGAATCCACCAGCAGCTCCTCATCACACCCAATCACCTGCACCTGCTGTGAGTGAGGATCACTTGAGGCCAAGAGTTCAAGATCAGCCTGAGTAACAAAGTGAGACCTCATCTCTACAAAAAATAGAAAATTAGCTGGCTGGTGTGCGTCTGTAGTCCCAACTACTTGGGAGGCTGAGGCTGGAGGATCACTTGAGCCCAGGAGTTTGAGGCTGCAGTGAGCTGTGATCACACCACTGCACTCCAGCCTGAGAGACAGGACGAGATCCTGTCTTTAAAAAAAAAAAAAAAAAGGAGGGGCCGGGCACGGTGGCTCACACCTGTAATCCCAGCACTTTGGGAGACTGAGGCGGGCGGATCACGAGGTCAAGAGATGGAGGTCAAGTGGCTGTGCAATCTTCACCTTAGGCCCGAATTTGCTGCAGAGAACCCAGTTTCACTTACCATCAGCATGCCCCAAGCATTTACGAAGCACCTATTGCGTGTGAGGTGTGGATGGGCTCAGGGCACTCCCCCCACGGCCAAGGAGACCAAGTCCTCCCACTAGTGGCTCAGTAAGAGGGGCAAAGAGCTTTGCTTTGGAGGGAAAAGATCCTGGGCTGAACCCCAGCTCTCCCCCTTGCCTGCTGGGAGGCCCTTTCTCTACCTCCCCTTCCCCGTCTCTTAAATAGGTGCAAGAGTTCCACCCTGCAGGAGGGATGTCGGGATCTGGGAAGAAAAGTGATGAATAAAGCCTGCCTCGGAGAATGCTCTCTGGCATGAGCTCTTGCTTCACGGGGTCCCCATACCACCGTCCCCCACAGCCTAGCAGGAAGTGTCTGCCACCATCACAAAGATGCCCTGTGGCCCAGGGCCCTGGGCACCACTCATTGCTTCAACGACTAAGGCCTCGAAGGGTAGGAGGCCCGCCCAGGGCTTCCCCAGCCATGCATGGAGGACCAGCCTGGGCCTATGCTTGAGGCGGGCAATGGAGCAAAATCAGCCCAATGCATGCAGCAGTCACAGCCGCACAAAGGCCACGCAGGCCAGGCAGGAGCTGAGAAGGCATGAGAGGGCCAGGTGGGGACGGGGACCAAACAGCGCCCCTGCCCCATCCCCTGGGTTGGGGGTGGGCAGCACCAGCCAGGAGATGCAGATCCTGAACTACCAGACCTTGTGACTTTTCAAGAGAAGACGGAAATCCGGACTTTTACGTGAAAACTGCCAATTTGTAAATGCAGGCAGCTAATTAATTTTTTAAAATAATAATAACATGGTGAGAGCCAAACAAAACATGCAGGGCCAGCCACAGCCGGGGCTGGCAGGTTTGTGCCTCCAGAATAAGATTCTTTGACTTCATCCCCTGCTCACCCCCATCACACAGCTCAGCTGCAGAAGGGGAGGGCGGGAAGTCAAGGGTGCACCCCAGGGGAGTAGCTCCCCCTCCCTCTCTTCCTCCTGCTGGGGAGTCTTCACCCCATTTGGCATATGGGGAAGTTAAGGCCCAGAGCCCCTATCAGCCACAAACACACACCAGCTCCCAATCCATGCCAGGCTGAGGGAACACTTCTCAGCTGCCACCCAATTCATCAGGGCTCCCTCTGGGAGGGCCCGGACCAGCATCTCAGGGGCATCAGGGTAGACACAAGCACCCAAACCATCCTGTTTGACTTCCCTTTTTCTCTTTTTGGCCTGTCAGGGGACGCCTGCTGGCTCAGGCCTGCTTGGGACTGGCCCAAGTGATCACTGCAAAGCTGATATGGGCAACTCCTTGTGGCAGCAAAAAAGGGAGGGAGGGCACCCCTATTTCGGAGACTGGAGCAGGGGAAGGGAGAGAGGATGCACGGAGGTGAGGAGTCAGGCCCAGCCTGAGGCTGAGCCACCCCCATGCTCCCCACAGCCACCCAGGTCCCATGGTAAGCAGCCTCTGTCAGGAGGAACCACCTCCCTCCTCCAAAATCGGCTCCCCACCCCCTAGGACAGGGGAGGACTGCCCATGGAGTGCCAGGGGGGCTGGGACTGTGAAGTCGTGGGGGTCTGTGACTCGTATGTGAGACTCACAGTGTGTGGCACTCCCAGTGTTTGTGATTCCAGGTATTTGAGGAGCACACGCATGTGAGAGACACATGTGTGATACATATGATGGAGATATGCATGTGATAGCTACCCCTGTGTGGCGGACGTGTGTGCGTGTCAGAGGGCAGTAAGGGCACATGTGTTTATCAGAGACACAACTGTCTGCTAGAGGCATGCCTCGGAGGGGTGCCAATGTGCAAGGCATGTGTGTGTGGAGCATTGTGTGCTAAGGGGACGTGAGATGAGTGTGAGAGATTCTGGCCTGGGGGAGCTGGCGGGGTGAGCATGGGGCTGGGAGAGGGAGGATGTGGTGACAGGCAGGGTGGGCGCGCCAATGCAGAGCGTGCAGAAACTTCTGCTTGTGTGAGTGCGTGTGTGGCGGTGAGTGTGACTTGGGGGTGATGGAGGGGGTAGTGTTAGACCAGGGACTCTAGTCTTCTTTCCCCGAGGGGGTTGACCCGGCCCTCTGGACTGGAGGGGCGGCAAGGTCCTGCGGTCGGGGTGGGGGTGGGCAGTGGGACCAGAGGGGATGACTGGTGGGAGCCGGCCCAGGGGGGAGAAGTGAAACCCAGAGCGGAGGAAGCTGCGGACCTGGGGTGGGGGAACCCGCCCGCGGACCCCTGGCCCCCACCCCGCGCCGGCCTCTGTGCCCGCATCTGTACACTGGGTCGCGGCGCTCGCGGGCCGTCCCCGCGCTGGGACCGGGAGAGCGAGACCCGGTCGGACCGGCGGCGCGGGTGGAGGCGCGGGCAGCCCGCGAGGCGCGTCCGAGGGTCCGCCGAGCCGTCGGTGCGTCCGAGCGCCCCCGAGTCCTGAGCTGCGAGGCGCGGACCGACGGGGATGAGTCCGGGCGGGAGGGGCCGCGTGCACTCACCGCGGGGCACTGCGCTCGGCGTCCGTCCGTCCGTCCGCCCGGCCGTCGGCGCGTCGAGAGCCCGGGCGGCCCCTGGCTGTGTGCGCGCGGGGCGGGGCGGAGGCGCGAGAGGCGGGACCAGCCGGCCCCCGGCCCCCTCCCCTGACTCCGCCTCCGCCTCCGGGGCGGGGTCTCGGCCGCCCGCCGGAGAGGGGGCCGGGCCGGCGCCGCTCGCTCAGAGCCCAGACTCGCTGACCCGGCTCCTAGAGGCCGCCCGGCGCGCTCGCTGCGGAGCCCGCACCCTCCCTGCGCCCGGCCTAACCTCTGAGTGCCAGACCTGGCACTGCTGCCCACAGGGCAGGGCCAGGGGTTGGGGTCCGGCCACCTCAGCCAGCCTGAGCCTCAGTGATCACCCCTGGAAGATGGGCCCAGCAGCCTTGGGCACATTGTGAGGGCCTGAGGGGCCCGGCTACAAAACTGCCCAGAGGCCAGGCCCTGCCTCCCACCCGCCTTGCTTCCTACCCTGGGGGCCTGCCTGCAGCCCCACTGCTGCTGCATGTGCCTGGGCAGACGGTACTGAGCCCCCAGCTTTGGAACAGGTTCAGTTTGTCCTTTTCCTCAGCCCAGCTCTGATGCCTGTGACCACTGTGTGACCCCCGGGGTGTCTCTTCCCCCAGCCCACACCGATCCCTTTCTGGGTCTCTTTCGGGGTCTCCATCTCTGATCTAATGTCATCTCTCTGTCTCCCTTGGTTTGTCCCTCTTGGTCTCTGCATCTCCCTCTGACTTTATCTCTTGGTCTCTGTGTCTCTCTGAGTCTCTCCCATCCCTGTCCAGAGACGTATGGCCTGGTGGTCACCACCTCACATCTGAGCAGCAGCCATGGGCCCAAAGTGTGCCTGCCCCCACCCCCAGGGGTCTCCCTGCAGCCCAGGACAGGGGTGAGGCAGCCAAGAGCAAAGGCACAGGGCAGGGCAGCTGCCTGCCCAGGGCCGCACAGCAGAGAGGAGGTGGAGCCAGGAAGGGCCCATTGGCTTAGATGGGGCCACCCACAGAGAAGCCAGGAGCGGATGGAGGGGCCAAAGCCTGAGCTGGCAGCCTGTGCCTGGCCTGCCCCAACTTGTGTCTAACCCCAGGCAGGTGCCTTCCCTCTGGGCCCGTTTCCCCATTGGAGCTCTGTGCTTGCTGTTCCCTCAGGGCCTTTGCCATTGCTGTTCCCTCTGCCTGGGATGCTCTTCCCCAGATCCACCGTGGCTGACTCATCCCTGCATTAAGATGCAGCTGAAATCCCACCACCCCCAGAGAAGCCCTCCCTGAGACCCCAGCAGAGGTAGCAACTACCACTCTCCACCCTGGGACTCGGCCGCACTGTTATTACAGTACTTGTCACTGGCTGATTTCTCTTATTCATTTATAAATGACTATAGGTAGGATCACCTGGTCATTAAGAAAGTCACCACACACCAGCTGTGTGACCTTGGGCAAGTTACTTCACCTCTCTGGGCTTTATTTCCTCAACTGTAAAATGAACATAACGACATCAAAGCCTATCTTATAATGTTATTGGAAAGATCAAATGAACCGAAATGAGCCAAACCGAAAGTACAGATGCTCCTCGATTATAATGGGATCATGTCCCCATAAACCCATCGTAAATCGAAAATATAGTAAGTTGAAAATGCATTTCATCCACCTAACCTACAGAACATCATAGCTCAGCCAAGCCTACCTTAAATGTGCTCAGAACACTTCCATTACTAGCCTACGGGTGGGCAAAATCATCTAATACAAAGCCTATTTTATAATGAAGCATTGAATATCTCATGTAACTCATTGAATACTGCACAGAAAGTGAAAAACAGAATGATTGCCTGGGGATTCCAAGTAGGGTTTCTCCTGGGTGTGTACCACTTTCTCAACATCCTAAATTCAAAAAATCCTAAATCGAACCATCGTAAGTCAGGGATTATCTGTACTTTGGATGGGACTTGACCCAAGGGAGTGCTCAGTAAATATCTGATGAGTAAATGACAGATTGAATCCTTCCTCCTGTGGGGGAAGGAGGGGCAGTGGCCTGGGGTGATAGAGACCCTGGGCAGCTGCTAATGAGGCTCCCTTCCCCAGGCCTGGGAGGAGAGGCACTGAGCCAGATGCAGCTCACTCTGCAGCCCAGGGAGCCCAAGGCCTGGCCCGCCTTCCACAAGATAAAGTGGAGACACTTCTCCCGTCCTGTTATCTGAGCCGGAGATGCGGCCAAAGCGGCTGTCCCTTCAGAGCCCTTCCAAGACTGTTATCGCAGACAGAGCACGCATCACCCACCAGGAATTTGGGGCCCAGGGCCTGGCTGAGAAATGGTTGGAGGAAGTCAGGCTGATAAGGCCTAGACAGAATGATCACAGTGGGCAGCGAAGTTATTTACATCAGTGACAATCTCACCAGCTCCCTGGGCACTGAGGCGCCAGGGCCAGCAGGCATGAGGCTCACTTGTCCCACCTGTGCAGCCTGGATTGGGAAGAGAAGCCTTGCTGAGCTTCCTGGGTCTGCATCCTCACTGGGTAGCCTTGGGGAGGCTGCCTACGTTGGAGCATGGGTTCTGGGACCCAATGGCTTTGATTTAAATCCACATCCTCCCTGTATGACCTTCAGCAGGTGGCTTCAACCCTCTGGCCTCAGTGTCCTAGCCTATAAAGAAGTTCCTGCCTTATAGGATTGTTTTGAAGTTAAGATGCTTACAGCAGTGTCTGGTATATCATAAGCCCTCCATTAAATGTTTGTTGTTGTTAATCACAAACAACATTAACTTGAGCTGTTTGGATGAGAAAAGAAATTTGTGATCACAGTGTGCCTGGAAACCAAGCTTCGGGGAGAAAGGCCCAGTGACAGGGCCCAAAATCTCGCTGCCCACCTGGGTGCAGACAGCGTGAGGGCTGCCCACTCCTTGAATGGTGGGCCCCGGACTCCCCGCCAGGACTTCTCCCCAGCTCCCTCCAAGGGTCACAGTGCCTCTCCTTCCCCAGCAGTGGGTTCGGCCCTGAGCCTGCTTAGTCATCTCTCCCACCTCCCATTTGACAGCAGCTGCAGCCACAGTGGGGGCAGTGTGGGTCTCCCATCTGTCCCCAGTTGCAAGAGATACTAGGAAAGTCAGTGTCCAGGCCCCCCAAGACCCTCGAGGGGAAGAATTCCACACGATAGGAAAGATATCTAGACATAGGCCCACCTCCCCCAGGGGACAGCCCCACCTGCCATCCTGCTGCCCAACGAAGACCCAGGACACCACACCCGCTCCCAGGCTTTAGAACAAGGCTTCTCAGACCTGGCAGTGCATCTGAATCACCTGGGGAATTTCTCTTTTTTGTTTTTTTTTTTTTGTTGTTGTTGTTGTTTTGGAAATACCACTGTCTAGACTCTACTCCAGAACAATTAAATCCCAGTCTCCAGAGGGTGGAGTTGGGCATCAGTACTTTTTTTTTTTTTGTAATCCCCAGTAGGTTGTAAGATGTGCTGCCAGATTTGAAAAACACCACTTGGGGTACCTCCCTCTAGCCTTCCTCTTCCAGCTTTGTCCCTCCCCAGAGTGAAGAGTCTAAGAGAACAATGAGATGTGCCCGCCAGGAGTCCCTGATGACCCCCTACTCCTTTCCAGATCATATGCCAGTGCCCGGAAGTCCCTGCTTAAATGGCCCTGACCCCCAAAGCCTGCACAAGTCTCTTTCCGTCTTCCCTCCTCCCAAGAGTGGACTGCACACCAGTCTATACACCCCAGGCCCAGGCCCGAGGGCAGCTGCTGGCAGGTAGCATGAGCAGAGCATGGACATGTGGGCACACAGTCACTCCTGGGAGCCGGACACAGTCACTCCTGGGAGCCGAGTTCAGGCTCTCTCTGGTCTGGATCCCCACTGCATCTCCAGCCTTTCACCCACCTACACCCCGTCCTTACATCCCAGAGCCCTACTCCTCACCCAATGAAAAGCTGATTTCTTCTCTTACACCAGGAACTTCCCCACCTCTCTGCCTGTCCATCCCACTGTGAATGCTGTTCCACCTACCCACATCCTTCCTACCCTGTGGCAGAAACCCTCATCGGCCCCCACCATTCATGTAAGAAACATAACTATAGAAATTTTAGATGGCTTTCTGGCTGAAGATTTCACTCCCACCCTCCCTGGCAGCCAGGTGGGACCACAAACATGTCGTGCTGTTGAATTGGGGCAGAGTAATGTGGACAATTTCTGGCTCATGGCCTTAAAGGAAAAGATGATACAGCCACTTTGTATTACCAGGTGAGAGTCACATTTGCATGGAGGGAGTCCCTGGGCAGCAGAGGAGCACCACACCTGGCCTGTACCTTCACATGAGTCTTTTATAGCCTTGCTATAGCTAACAGCCTAACCTACACCCAACTAACAACCACCCCTCCCACTTCAATATCGAGCTCAAATGCTCTACTAAGAAGTCATAGACGAGCTGTGTTCTCTAGTCTCCCACCAAAGCTCATGACTCAGAGCCTTCCAAGAAGACCTGTGCAGTCTACATCTTTGGTTTCTGCCCATCCCCATCCCCTGCTCCAGCTGCCAGCCCCTGAGGCTCCTCTGCAGAGCCTTCTTGGCTCCGTTCTGGGTTGATGTGGTTCATTCGGTTGATGTGGTGTGGCCCACTGGGGAATCCCCTCCCCAGCCACGGTGGTTGGCTCAGGGAAGGGTATGTGGCCCTAGTGAGGGGCATCTGTATGTAAGGCAGATTGTGCCTGCCCTGGAGCCAGGGGAGGGAGCGCTCTTTCTGCCCTATTGCCCAGCTGGGGGTGTGAGCCAGTAGCTTGGAGACCACCTCTTAGGGGAACTTGCTGAGAATGAAACCAGCTCAGAGGTAAGGGCTGAGAGGAGGAGGGGAAGGAGAGAGAGGCTTTCTGATGGTATGATGTTTAAGCACCTGGTTATAGCTCAGCCTGAAGCCATCTTGCCCTTGGATCTTTCAGTTACAGGGGTCAATAAATGCTCTTTGGGGCTTCAGCCAATTTGAGTTGGGGTTTTGTTTTTGAGTTGGTTTAGTTGGGGTTTCTTGCACCTGAGATTTGGTGTGCTCACTTCTATCACCCAAGAGCCTTGGCTAATGGAATTCATCTCACTGAGACAACATTACCCACCAAGTCCAGCACCTGCACTTCCCAGGCCCCTTTGAACACTGGTGTTTGCCATTGAGGTTCCATTTTTTATGATGTCTAGGCTCTCTCCAAAGGTGGTTTGCCTTAAATAAAGGGGGCAGCGACTGTGATGAAAAATAAACTCGTGTCTGTTAACCATATACTGTGTACTAAGCATTTTAACAGGCACCTTACACGGATTAGTTCATTTAATCCTCTACACAATTCTAGAGGTACTAGATATTTCCCCCATTTTACAAATAAACTGAGGCTCAGCATGATAGCTAGGGCCCCCACCTGGAGCAGCCCAATTCCAGAGTCCGCACGCTTTTCCCTGCCCTTCTAGAGGAAGAGGGAGAACATCGTAGTGAGGTAGTGGGGAGCTGGGGTGTGTGGACAAGGACTGGGTGACCCCTTGGCAGAGTGGCAAAAAGGGCTGAAGTGCATAGAATAGAGTGTCTGGGGAGAGGAGTGGGGGAGAGGCATTACAACTTTTATTCCACTCTGGGATTTCTCTGCACTTTCCCAAGCAGTCTACTTATTCCAGGAAAGTCGCCTGGCCTCACAACTCCCGTCTGGGAATGGTCAGCCCCTACCTCCTATGGCCCGGCTCGCTCGTGACTCATGCTGGCCCATTCCTTTGCCTGGTGTGATGAAATTTGGCCCAGCCTTGCTGTTGGGGCCAACTCTTCAGGCAGGGGGAAGGGTGAGGAGGCAGGGTGCTGGTCTCAGAGGCTGGGACCTCCCTAGCAGGCTGGAAAAATAGGCTGAGCAGCCTCAGAGCCCCTTCCCCACTGCAGCCAGCCAGAGAGGGAAGAGACTTGCCTAAGGCCACACTGTGAAATCCTAAGGGGCTGAAGGGGGCCCGCAGGACAGCGAAGGCAGCCCAGAGACAGGGGGCCTGGTCCCAGAAAGGCTCTTGCCCACTCTCAACCTCAGTTTCCCCATTTGTTAAATGAGAGAGACTGGCTCTGATTTTAATAACTAAGTTAGAAACTACATGTAATAAAACATTCAATATTGGGAGATTCTATCTTCCCAAGAGAATCTCATCCAACCACTTTTGGTTTTTTTTGTTTTTTTTTGTTTTGCTGGGTTTTTTGTTTTGTTTTGTTTTGGTTTGGTTTTTTTTGAGACAGAGTCTCACTCTGTCGCCCAGCCTGGAGTGCAGTGGAGCAATCTCAGCTCACTGCAACCTCCAACTCCCAGGTTCAAGCAATTCTCCTGCCTCAGCCTCCCAAGCAGCTGGAGATATGCTACCACACCCAGCTAAATTTTGTATTTTTAGTAGAGACGGGGGTTTCACCATTTTGACCAGGCTGGTCTCGAACTCCTGACCTCAAGTGATCTGCCCACCTCTGCCTCCCAAACTGCTGGGATTACAGGCATAAGCCATTGCATCCGGCCCCAACTGCTTTTGTTTTATACATATACATGATATATATGAATGTATGTATGTATGCCTGCCCACAGCTTCTAATAAATATTTTCCATCATGTGATATATTATGGTCATTTTTCTATCAATAACAGATATCAATAACAAATATCCAAAGATATCAATAACAGAAATCTTTGGAATCACTGTCAATAGCTGTCCAGTATTCTATCAGAATTAGCTTAGACTGTGCAGTCCAATTCTAGTCAATAGGGGAATGACACTGCAGTAGGGGCTACCTGCGTTAGGGATAAGAACCCCTTCCCCTCCCTTGTGTGCTCTCACCTTTGCTCCATCTGCAAGATGCACCCTTCTATAGAAGTAAAATTGCCTTGCTGAGAAAATTCACGTTTGAGTGCTATTTCTTTTGCAGCACCGAAAATTTATTTCTAACACCTGTAAAGCCAACTACTTGGTAGGCAGAGATGGGAGAGTGCAGTGAGCCATGATTGACCCCTGAACTCCAGTCTGGGAGACAGAGTGAGACCCTATTTCTAAAAAAAAAAGAAAGAAAAAGAAAAAGAATAAAACATAAATCTCTATATTTTGGAGCACTTGTCTATTTCCAAGAAGTTGCAAGGACAAAGGGCATATATACTATGGAGGTGTCCATCTTGGTCGTAGTAACCGATAAGCATTTTTTGTATAGCAGGAGTGCCAACCTATTGTCTGCCAAGCACATGCTGCAAACTCCTCTAGTTTAGCTTTGGTTATATACTTTTTTACACATAGAATTTTAAAAATTTGATGTAGACAGACCTACCAGTATTTTTCTTTGTGGTCTATGGTTTTGGGATTGTGCTTGGAAAGCCTTCCTCTATTCCAAGATAGAAATAGAATAGTAAGCTACCTATATTCTATTCCAGTTCTTTTTTCATCCATCCATGAAACCTTCATTTATTGCTGCCCTTGAATCTAACCCCAAGCCCCTCTGGCTGCCCGTCCCATGCAGCTGATGGCTGGTCCTCCAGCAGGTTGCCTTGTTATGGGGCAAGAATTTCCAGTTATACCTGGAAACCTCCCCTTCTAGGAATGTGAAGAAGGGAAACACATCTCTGTTTAAATAACAAACTTTGGCCTCTGAGGCTCCAAGTAACCTCTGGTTACCTGGCAGGACTTGACCCAACCCATCTTGGGTATAGATGGGTTTTGGATAATTAGGATTATGGTGGCCATGAAGATGTATCACTCAGATCTCGACTTATCTCTGCAGCATAGGTCACTGACTGCTCCTCCACACCTGCCATCACATTTGCACTGAGGCCACTGTGAGCTGCTCCCAACCAACGACAGAGCACAGAGCTAGGAATGGGAATGCAGCAATATCCCAGAGAGACCCAGGACTCCTTGCACTCACCTGCTGGAAAAGCTCCCAGGCCCAATCATCATCCTGGCTGAAGCTTTTTGGAATTGCATCACATTCCAAGACTCCTCCTGCCCAGTCCTTCTTCCCCTTCTCCCAGCACAAGTGTCAGAATTGTGCTGCCCTCTGAACTTCTCTCTGCCTTCTCCTGCTCCCTCCCTGCAAAATTTCCTTGCACATCTAATCCTGTCTTGCTTGGCAAAATCACTTTGGGCTTCTTAACAGACCGAAACTAATCCAATGATAGAAATGGTGATTGAAATCGTCACTGCATTATACAGTTTATGAAGCTCAGACACAGCTGCCTCCCTTGCATGTCCTCCACCAGCTGAAGGTTAAACACTGGGTGTCCCCACTTCACAGATAACAAAACTGAGACAGCTCAGAGGCAGCTGAGCTTGGGTCCCCCCAGGCAGCATGAGTGAGTCACACAGCCCCCTGGAGTCCCAGGCTCTTCTCTCTAGGCCTCTCAGCCCAGAGCCTGTGCCTGGGGCCACGGCCCAGCAGGCTCTGTGTTTCCTCATCCGGCCCTTAGGCCCTGGGGCCCCAATGGGCCACTGGAATGCCAGGAAAGACAGAGCCTGGAACCCCCTTCCTTGGGTGGAAAGAGCCCAGGTGCCCCTGCCCCAGCTGAACCCAGAGGAAGGAGCCAGGAACTGAGCTATGGGGTGGGAGGGCAACACCCTCTCTTCTTGAGCAACTCTGGATGTTGAGAGAAAAGTCATCCTTGCACAGAGAGGTGACCCCCTTCTGGGTTCTGGCCCCACCCTCTGGTCCTCTTGGCCTGTCTGCTTCTCCTCAGCCAAAGCCTCAAGGCTGCTCTTCTGCAGGCTGAGCCACCCCAGCTGCTCTAGTATCCTGGGGCCAATTCAGCCGTCCCTCTTCCAGGACTATTCCAGGGACTGAGCACAAGTCCTTAGAGTGGTCTGCACGGCCCATAGAGAACTTTCACTTTCCACATTCCAGCCTTCAGGCCATGTGACCTAAACTGGCAGTAGTTATTCCGGGTGATGTATTAAGCTGCCAACACACTCTGACTCCAGGGTCCCTTGACCTCCTAGCTGAAGGTCCAGAGCTGCTTGGCCATGGGCAGGTCTGTCCCTCTGTCCTGAGTATCTTCACTGAGTTGCCCTCTGGTCTCTTCCCATCCCTCCCGCTTTCCCCCAGGTGCTTCAACCCCTCCTTTCTCCAGGCCTCTTCACCAGGGCCCTGATAAGGGAGCAGATGGGAGACCCACATCCTCTGGACCACACTGGCCAGCTGGCCAAGCCCCTGGAAGTAGAGAAGACCCCCGCAAGGTGTGCCTTGATCCTTCATTTCCATCTGTCGGCCCTGGCCTCCCGACATGTTCGGGACATGGGCCCAGTCTCGGCTCCATGCCCCTGATCTCCACTCACCCTGACCCCCAGCAGGAACATAGCTTCAGTGTCCATCCAGCCATCTGTGCAGCCATCCGCCCACACAGGGATGACATAGCACGTGGTTACCAGGTCAGACTCTGGAGCCAGGCTGCCTGGGTTTGAAGCCCAGCTCTGCTGCTTAGTAGACATGGGACCTGGGAGAAGTTGCCTCTCTGTGTCTCAGGGTCCCAACTATAAAATAACTGCCTACCTCGGCATGCTGTTGTGAAGACTGAGTTATATGCTTAGGAGTGCTTAGGAGGTGGTTTGCATGTGGTAAGTGCTCAATAAGTATTAGCTAATATTACTCAACAAACCTTTCCAGGACACCCACTCTGTGCCAGGTACTGTGCATCCTACCAGGGCTCTGGCCATGAGTAGGGCTGACTCGCCCCTGACCACATGGAGCTCACATTCCAGTGGGAGATAGATATAAATCCAACAACCTCACACCCACACAATAAGAAGCGCCTTGAGGCAGTGCTGCAGGGGAGGTGGTGCGGACAGTGGTCAGCTGGAGCCCGGCTGCCTGGCTGTGTGCTAACTCAGACTCGGGAGGCTCCTAACCACTTGGGCTTCCTGTCCTCTTCCATAAAATAGGAACAGCAGCTCCTACATCGCCAGGCTTTGGGAGGGCTCCATGAGTTAACCAGTGGGAAGGATCAGACAGGGCCTGGCACACAGGAAGTGCTCAAGGACAGTTAAGTGGGCTCTGGGAAAGGGATCCGGAAGCTGAGGAGTCCACTGAAGGGATAGTTGGGGAGACGAGGAGGTGGCAGGGTCAGGCCTCACGGGGGAGCCTGTGGGCACGGGAAGAAGCTCCATGTTTATTCTGAGAGCGGTGGGAAGCCACTGGAGGAGGCTGGTGCAAGAGTCCAGGTGGGAGATGATGGGGTTCAGACAGGGCTGGTGGCATGGGGGCAATGGTAGGATTGGAGAGACACTGTGGGGAGAGGACACTGGTGTGATGCTGGGAGCCAGAGAAAGGGAGGGGCAGGCTCACACACACACGCACACACACAAACACACACACAGGTTTCTGGCTCAGGAGGTGTGAATGACAAGTTGGGAAAGGGTGCCAGTCTGGACTTACTGCTGCAAGTCACAGTATACTTGACTCAAAGAGGCTAAGTCAAGAAGGGAACTATTGACTTCAGTACCGACAGAGTACAAGGGTGGACTTCAAGCACAGCTTGATCCAGTCCTTCAAACATGTTACCAGGAGCAAGTTTCTCCCCCATTGTCACTCAACTCATAACCCTTCAAGTCCAGCTAGAATGCAGCACTTTTGCACTGGTCTTAAGGTTCTCCCCAAATGGAGGGACTCAATTCAGGTGCCCAGGCCTGGAACCAGTCACTGCCGTGGGGATGGGCTGTGCTGATTGGCTCTGCCCAGGTCATATATGTGTCCAGAGGCCTGAGCAGGTGGGAGGAATCTCCACGTGGAAACTGAGGGCTGTTCCCAGATGCTGGAGAGCGATCCATGAATGGCCCCAAAAGGGTGGGTAAATTTGCAGCCTTGAGTTTCAGGTCAATTTCTTGGACATTAAATTCAGACACTGTCAGATATGTATTTAGCACACATTTTTAAAATATGTTCTCTCTAAAGTTTTCAACAGACAGAAGGGGACTTCATCAAGCTCCTCAGTGATTGGCTGTCAAGTCGTGGAAGCCCCTGTGATCCAGCCAATGAGAGCCCAGAGATACCCAGAAATACCCAGATCTCATAGGGTCGTTGGCTCCCACTAGGCTGGGAACCGAAGGCCAAGCACACTGCGAGGGTCTGATGGAAAAGCAAGTCGCCTGTGGTTGGTGACTAATAATAAAACAAGCAGGTTACACCCATTGCAAAAATGTTAGCCAGCAGGAGAGAATGTGACATGAGCCCAGGGGCTGATTCGGGTCATGTGCAAACACTAGAAAGGGGTTCTGTGAAAAGCATGGGCTTCTTGACCCAGAAATCCTCTCTGGGGCCCCTTCCCAGTCACACTAACTCCCAGAGTTTCCTTAAAAGTGTTCCCACTTCTGTATGCACCCCTAATCTGTTCAATTAGGGCTGTTTTTGAACTTGATATAAAGAGACTCATACTTTAAGTGTTCCTCATTGCACTGAGGAGATGAGATGCATCCATCAGTGCCTACAGGTGGTCTTCATTCCTTTTCAGTGCTGTATAGTATTCTACTGACCAGCTCTTGCATACCGAATGATTCTCTGTCTATGGATATTTAGATTGCTTTCTGGTTTTTGTCATGTTTTGTTTTTCCTGTTACAAATAATGCTGCTATAACCGCCTCGTGCCTGTCTCCCTGTGACATTTGTAGACATTTGTATGAGTCCTTTAGGGCAGACGTACAGCTAGGTCATGGGACATGCACATATTTAGGCTCATCAGCTCATGCCAAATACTTGCTGCAGAGTGTTTGTGCCCATGTGTATTTCCACCAGTTGCTGCCAAGCGTGCCACCTCCTCACCAACTCTTGTGTGCCTGTGTAGTAGGTGTGAAATGGTACCTTGGTGTGGTTTTAGTCCACATGTCCCTTGTTACTAATGAGGATGAACATCTTGCCATGTTCGTCATCCATCTGCATTTTCTTTTTTGTGAAATTTCTGCTCATGGCTTTTGCCCCTTAAAACATTGCTTTCTTCTTTGCAATCACTAATTTCTAAAGCACAATCTGGCCATGGGACTCCCTGATTTTAAGCCCTCCGTGGCTCCCTGTGGGCCTCGGAGTCAAGCCCATACTCGGCAGCCTGGCCGGCAAGGTCCTAAAGTGGTTTGGCTCCAGTCTGTGTCTCCGTTTTTGATGGGAGCTGTTTCCTGTTTCCGCTCACGGTCTCCCCTCCCCCGACTCCTGCTTCCTCCACTGGCTTACCCACTCTCTGCTCTCTGCAACCTCCCAGCTCCTGCTTGTGCTGTGCCACCTGCCAGGAGCACCCTGCCCCTCCCCCAGGGCACCTCATTCTTTCCTGGCTGCTTCTTTGTCAGCCTTCAGGTCTTAACTGAAACCTCACCTCCTCCCAGGAGCTCTCCTGGCTCACTCTCACCCCCTGGACTGTGCAGCCACAGCACCTGTGAGCGCCTGTCTCGGGGCACTACTCCTGTGACATCAATGTCAGTGGGTTCGTCAGGCTTTGCCACTGGATGGCAAGCTCCCTGAGGGCCAAGATCATGACTGTTTTGTTTACACTTCTATTCCTGGTAGCTGGGAGTGTGGCTGCACACAGCCACACTCTAAAACTCTAAAACTCTCAGTGGAAGGACAGGAAGGAGGGAAGGATGGGCTGGAGGAGTGGGGGTTGTTAAAGAAGAGTGGCTCCACCAACACAAACAAACTCTCTGAGGGACCCAGGGACTTCTGGGAACCCATCTTAGGGTGGAGAAGGGAGAACACTGGATTGGGAAGCAGAGAGCCAGTCCTGCCTCCACTGCTGGCAAACTGAGCTCTCTGGACCAGTCTCTTGCTCTCTCTGCCTCAGTTTCCTCATCTAACAGAGGGTGACCCCGGCCTCCTCCATCACAGACAGTGCCCCTAGATGGCCAGCCTGAGGTCTGACCCATAATTCCAGGCCTAGGGAGCAGGCAGACCCCAGACCAGACAAAGGGGCCTTGTTCCCCGGGCTCTCTGGAGGAAACTTCCCCCGACAGCTTGGCTCCTGCTGAACAAAACCATATGCCAACATGTGGGAGGAGGGGCAGGTGGGCGGCCAGCATCCCAGCATCCCAGCACCCTTCTCAATGTCTGGGCCCCTGCCCAGAATGCCAGATGCCACGGACTTCGAGGAGAACTCCCTTCCACCCCTGCCCCAACCCCGGCTGCACCAGGCCCTCATCTGAGTCTTCCATGGGGCTGCGGGAGCCAGGCAAAGCATACACCCTTCCTGTCTCATGCACGGCTCATGCCAACCTGCCAGGCAGGCCCTGCTTTCAGGCCCGTTTTACAGATGAGAAATGCAGGATGCTTGGAGGTGGTGGTGTAAGCCCTTGGGCTCAGCCAGGAGGGGCAGAGGCAGCCTGACCCCCACGGTACGGCCACCCCCAAGGCTCCTGCCTGAGACCACAGTGTCTTCTAAAGCACACAGCAAGTGCCAAATCCCATATTGACCTTCCCTCTAGAAGAGTGGGCACAGTGCAGCCTCTCTGCAGCAAGCCCGAGAATGGGCAGGGAGAGATGTCACCATACGGCCTGCCAGACAACTTCAAGGAAGAGGCGGCTCTCAACCCCACAGCCAACTTCACGCAGCCGAAATCAGCTCCACGCTCCTCCAGGCTCCCCCTACCACCTGCATCCCTCCGGAGAGACTTCAGTCTCCATCCTGCCACCCACAGGGTGTGTGACGTGGAGTAAGGAACTCCTTCCCCTCACCTTTGTGTTCTCACCTGTGAAATATGAACAAGGGTGGCTGGCGGGAGGATGGAAAAGCTGTGGCTCCACCCCACTGGAATTGTGGAAGAGGCAAGAAACTCAGAAAATAACAACTGTGGACAAAGAAGGGAAACCACTGGAATGTTTATCCGCCAGCGGGAGTTTCGGATGGCGCGACCATTGTGGGAAACCGTTTGGCAGAAGGGACCAAAACAGAACATATGTGCGTGCTGTGACCCAGAAATCTCCCTCCTCAGTTTCCACTCAGGACAGCGTGTGTCCTCCAGGCAGGAGGCACAAACGAGAAGATCCCCAGCAGGGCTGGCCATAGCTCCCCAAACCGGAAGCCACTCCTCACCCACTGACAGTGGAGATGGGCAGGTGCGTCATGGGGCCACCACACAATTGAATACCCACAATTCACAACTACATACAGCAAGGTGGATGTAGCTCACAGACATAGCTCAGAGCCAAAGAAATTAGACACAAAGGAGTACACAAGTATGGCATACGCACTTTGTACATTTTGTGTGAAGTTCCAGAACAGGCAACACTCATCTATGCTGTTAAAAGTGAAGAGCAGGGGCTGGGTGCGGTGGCTCACGCCTGGAATCCCAGCACGTGGGGAAGCCGAGGCAGATGGATCACGAGGTCAGGAGATCAAGACCAGCCTGGCCAACATGGTGAAACCCTGTCTCTACTAAAAATACAAAAATTAGCCGGGCATGGTGGCGTGCACCTGTAGTCCCAGCTACTCAGGAGGCTGAAGCAGGAGAATCGCTTGAGCCCAGGAGGCAGAGGTTGTAGTGAGCTGAGATGGCGCCACTGCACTCCAGCCTGGGTGACAGGGTGAGACTCCATCTCAAAAAAAAGAAAAAAAAAGTTGGGAGCAGGTACCCTTTGGGTGGTTGTGCCTGTAAAGGGGCATAAAAGGGATTGGGGGCGCTGGTCAGGTTCTGTTTCTTGAGCTGTGTGCCAGTTCCACAAGTATGTTCAATTTGTGAAAAGCCAGGGTGCACACATTTATGATACAGGCGTCGGTAGCTGATGAAAGACAGGGCTGTGGTGCACTGTTCCCCCAGGGATGTTTATTTTGTTGCTGGTCTCTAAAGGCATGGCTAGAGTAGTTCAGTGCAGACAACATCCTGCCTATAGTCCTTCAGCTGGTGCTGGAGGTCACCTGCAGCCTCATGGTTGGCTCCTGCATATACAGATGACTTGTCACCTACACCACTGCTTGCAAGAGCTCATCTGGCCCACGTTGACTGGGCAGCCCAGGCATGTCCTGAGTTAGTGCCTCCAGGAGCCCCTCTCAAGCAATGGGGGACAGGGCAGGAGGTCTCTTGCTGGGACAATTCTGAGCTGTGCTCTGCACTGTCGCTTTGGATCCTGGCTGGACTGAGCTCCAGCGGCTCCCAGTGATGACATTCATTAACATGCCTTTTCCGATTTAGAGACAGGATCTCACCCTGTCCCTAGGCTGGAGTGCAATGGCGCAATCATAGCTCACTGCCACCTCAAATTCCTGGCCTCAAGCGATCTTCTTGCTTTGGCCTCTCAAAGTGCTGGGATCACAGGCGTGGCCCCTGTGCCAGGCCTAACACACCCTTTGTGGGCTTCCTCCTTTCCCTGCCTCACACCGTCACTGTGCTCTCTGGGATAATCTTCCAAATAAACTACTTGCACCCAGATCCTTGCCCCAGGTCTTCTTTTAGGTCCTCAGATGTTAAGACAAGAGGGATTGTTCATATCTGGAAATCAGGAGGTGGTAATGCCAGTCTCCGAAGGAATCAGAACATACCACAGGGCCTTAGACAGGTCACCAGCCTTGCCTGAGCCTCCTACAGGAGAACGAGGTGCTGAGGAGCCCTTTCCTTTTGCAGGAATTAGTGGCTAGGACCCAAAACTCAGGACAAAGAAGCAACCAGACGCCCACATTTTAAAGAGAGCCAGCAGCCCTTGCCAACACCCCAAGATCCTCTCCTCAGCCAGCCCTACCAGCCTAAATATGCAGACATCCAGGAAGAAAAAAGGAGCTCAGAAATCACCAGGCTTGTGAACTGTTGCTATGGGGCAGGAGTGGCACTTCCCTTCTTGCTCCAAAAAAAGCCAAAGGAAAGCCCAAAGCCAAATCTCCAGGAGACTGAAGGCACCTGCAAGGTGGGGAGACAGGCACCTCCCTCTCAGCCTGGGTGTCATCTCCTGCAGCAGACTGGCAGTGCTGTGTCCTGGGCTCATCGGCACGGGGAGAGGAGAACTGGAGAGAGCCGCAGGACAAGGGGGGGTGGCAGGGTTGGTCCCATGCGTTTCTGAAAGTCAAATGTCACCACAGTAGGGAGCCTGACATGGGCTGTCTCCTTGGTTCCACACCAGAGAGGGATGCCTGGCCATAGGGGGACCACAGCAGCAGGGGACCCTGATGGGAGTAGGAACTGAGCTGGTGGGATGGGGTCCAGCAGAAGCCAAATGCAGAGAGGGCCTCCCCCAATAACACTTCTGGAAGAATCACAAAAGCTCTGGTGGACAAAGGCCATACCAAAGGCATTGTTGGCGTTGGTGACTGGTCAGTGCAGCCAGGAGGCACAGAGACAGAAATTGGCCAGTAGAGTCAAACTCGGCCTCCTCCCCAATGTCTCCAGCCTCAGGGAAAGACAGGCCACACCCTCCCCACCCCATCCCTGGTGCCTCAGGCCGCATCCATCCAAACCCAGTGGGGAGGGGGGAGCGTGGAAGTTGACAGAAGCCTGATGGGGATTTTCAATCTGAGTGTGCAGGGATGTCCCACAGATGGAGATTATGGCACACCAGAATCCATAGAGCCCAGGAGGACAGCACCGATGGAGGGAAAAGAGAATTCTTTCCCTTCAGAGAGTTCAGGCTGCCCCAAAACTGGTGGTGCTTGGATTGGGAAGCTTCCCTTCATGAAGGAGGAATGGGAGGAGAGCCAGGGATGGGGGGGTTATGGGGAAGGGGAGTCTGGCTAAGGCTCAGCCACAGGAGCCCCCCACTTACCCACGCACCATGATGGCCACTCTCCAGGCTAAGGGAAGTCTCCATCACCCTCGGTGACTATGTCCCAGTGGCCACCGGCCTCGTGCCCAGGATCATTAACTCCCCTCCCCAGAGGCCCCCCCAGCTCATCCCCACCAAGGGCCCAGGAAGCTTCGCCCCACAGCCCCGGCCAAGCTCTTGGTCTCGGTGTCTGGTCCAGCTCAGATGGCTGAGCTGGTGAACATGGCCAAGGGTTGGGTGGGGAGCAGGGTGGGGGTGATTGAGCAATAGGAGGTTGTAAGTTTGAGAAAAGGAAAGCACAGGCCAGCCTCATGCAGAGACAGAGATGCAGCACCCGATAGTACAAACACTAACAAACCCAGGGCAGCCGCTTCTGAAGGCAGTTCATCACCCGCCAGCAGGAGGTATCCAGGAAGGCAAATTTGGCTTAACCCTAGAAGAGCAAGGCATTTGGCTTACCAAGGAAAAGGAGGAAAGTGATATGATCACCTCAGTAGAGACAGGGAAATGTGTATAATAAAGGCAACACCAGGCTGGGCATGGCGGCTCATGCTTGTAATCCCAGCACTTTGGGAGGCCAAGGCGAGCGGATCACCTGAGGTCAGGAGTTCGAGACCAGCCTGGCCAACATGGCAAAACCCATCTCTACTAAAAATACAAAGATTAGCTGGGCAAGGTGGCGGGCGTCTGTAATCCCAGCTACTTGGGAGGCTGAGGCGGGAGAATCGCTTGAGCCTGGGAGGTGGAGGCTGCAGTGAGCTGCGATCATGCCACTGCACTCCAGCCTGGGTGACAGAGTGAAACCCCATCTCAAAAAAAAAAAACAAAAAAAAAACAGAAGGCAACACCTTACAAGCTACAGTGGAAAGAACTGCCTTAGTATCATAAAGTATATTTAAATATTTCATTTTCTACAGAAAATTAAAGATAGGGCCAGATGAGTGTACAGGTCCTATTTCAAGACCAGTTTGCTCTTGCAGGCAATTGTCCCTCAACACCTCTCATGCCAGGCCCATCACACAGAAGTAGCAAGGGGCCCCACCCTGGTGGAACTAAATGTACCTGTCCAGCCTCAACGAGGCCTTATCTTGTTACAGAGGTGGCCGTCCCTGGAGTTGGGGAGCAAGGCAGAGCTGACTCAGTGCCACACACCAGTTTCCTGGCCTGCCTTTCCCTTCCTCACATGAACCTCTGCTACTTTTCTTTAAAAATTGTGGTAAAATACACACAGCATAAAATTTAGCATGATAACCATTTTTAAATGTACATTTCAGTGGCATGAAGTACATTCACATTGCTATGCAACCATCACCACCATCGGGCTCCAGAACTTTTTCCTCTTCCCAAACTGAAACTCTGTCCCCATTAAACACTGACTCCCGTTCCCCCTTCCCCTGCCCCTGGCACCCACAGCCACCATTCTACTTTCTGACTCCATGAATTTGACTCCTCTAGGGATCTCACGTAAGTGGAATTATACAGTATTTGTTCTTTTGTGACTTGGATTATTCCACTGAGCATAATGTCCTCAAGGCTCATCCATGTTGCAGCATGGGTCAGAATTTCCTTCCTTTTTAAGGCTGAATAATATTCCATTGTATGAATAGACCATATATTTTCTTTATCCATTCATCCGTCGATGGGTACTTGGGTTGCTTCCATTTTTTGCTGTTGTGAGTAATGCTGCTGTGAACATAGGGGAACAAATATCTATTCAAGTTCCTGCTTGCAATTATGTCAAACCATAGGAGCACTGGCTCCTCTCTCACTAGCTCAGACACTGAGATTGGGGAGATTTGCTGCAGAAGGACTGCTTTCAGTCCTTCTGAGGCTTGTTTTTAAGAAGGGGAGGGATGTGGGTGGGCAGAAGAGTCAAGGGCTGCATTTGTTGGCATCATCCACACGTGCAGCCTCAGCTTATCTTCACAGCAACCCCGATCTGGGCCACAAAAGCATTTTGTTTGCCAGGATACTTTAAAACTCACGACAGTTCAAGAATCTGTATTTCTTGCTTTCTGTATTGAAAAGCCAGCGGGTCTGGTTTGGCCTGCATTCCCACAGCTGGAGCCACGTCGTGGCCCCTTAGCCAGGGCCTGGCCTGCCGCTCCCTGCCCTTCCCTGTACTCCTCCATGCTGAGCGGAGGGCCAAATACTGCTGGCCCTCCTGGACTCGTTCTCCCTCTCTCGGAGACCCTGTGAGCAATGGAGCTTGTAAGCCTTTAGCTGAGGCTGGGGGAGTGGAGGACATCATCTTCCCATTTTTACAGCTGAGAAAACTGAGGCAGAAAGGTTAAGGAAGTGGCTGAATCAGGACTTGAACCCAGGACTCTCAGGCTACAAGCAGACACCAAATGAAAACCTGACTGTGGAAGTTGGGACTGGATGCTCAGAGAGAAATGTACTGACTCATCCACAGGCCCTCACCTGCATCCCAAACTGCTCTCTAGTTTGCATCCCAGACTGTGGCCAGGAAGGGCCTTCTGGAGGCATGCACCTGCCTACATTATTCCCCTGCCCAGAAGCCTTCCTGGGCCCCCACCACCTTCAGGATGGAGTCTGAATGCGTCAGCCTGGCCTTCAAGGTCCCTGTGAGCAAGCTCAGCTGCTCTGCCTCCCCATTTACTAACATCTGCCCCTCCAGCCAGACCACATCATTCACACCTCTGCCTTTGCAGATACTCTTCTCTCTGTCTTGATGCCTTGCACTCACTCTTTCTCCTGGTAAACTCCTACTCACCCTACAGAGCCCGGTTTAGGCATTGCTCTCTGCCCTGGGCTTTCTCCATTGGATGTATTCCTACTACCCTTCTCTCATGAGACTGAGCTCTGCAAGGGCAAGGACCATGTCTGAATCAGGCCTCAGCCCCCATGCCCAAGCCAGAGCCTGGCACAAAGTGGGAAAAATTGAATAAATAAATGGATAAAGGGAGGGATGGAGGAAGGGAAGGATGAGAAGAGATGGGTGGCTGGAGGAAGGGAAGAATGGATGGATACAGGGAGAGAGGGCTGGATAGAGAGAGGGATAGAAGGATGGATGGGTGCAGGAATGGAAGGAGGGAGAGAAGAATAGGTAGATGAAGGGAGAGAGGGAGAAATGGATGGATGATGGGTTGAAAGAAGGAAGGATGGCTCAATGGAAGGAGGGCAGGAGGGATGGAGGGAAAAGGGTATGGATGGTTGGATGGACGGATGGATGGATGGATGGAGAAAGAGATGAATAGAGGAAGGAAGGGGAGGACAGAGGGAGATATAGAAGGATGGATGGATGCGGAAACAGAGAGACGGAGAGATAGGTGGAGGGATGGGATAAGAGGGATTTCCTTACCCCACTGTGTGGTGAGGCCCTTGGGGAGGCAATGAGGTCTTCATCTGACCCAGGGGTCCTCCTTGGAGCACAGAGGTGGCTGCACAGCAGGAGCTGCGTGGAGTGAGGAGTAGCTGGAGCAGGGGTGAGCTGGAAGTGTCATTGGGAGTGGAGAGAGTAGCCTAAGTGATGGTGGTGACCAGCCTAGGGAGGGGCTGGGGTCCAGGGAGGAGTGGCCAGGGCATCAAGGATGAAAAGACGGGGGTCATGGGGACTGGAGCTGTGCTTGGGGGTTCTAACAGAGAGAGGGGAAGGGAACATGTGGGATTTAGGGAAATGTCCAGATATCGGTGGAAAAAGCCAGAGGATAAGGCAAAACCTTGGGGACAGGAGAGTGAAGCCAGCCAGGAAGGAAGCCAAGAGAAAGGGGTGGGGACGGAGTAAAGGGGTGGGGAGGGGGGAAAGGGGTGGGGAAGCCCAGGAGAAGCCCAGGCCACAAGGGGCTGCAGAGAGGGCATTCAGTCAGAGTTCCTTCCCTTCCCTTAGGCCTCCTCTTCCATCCAGTTCTGCCCTTGTGGTCAAACAAAAGATTGCAGAGAAAGGATGAAGGAGGTGAGGCATGGGCAGAATAGCTGTTATTTGCAGCTCCAGGGCGGCCGGGCTGTCTGCCAGCAGAAGCAGCCAAGGGTCTTGTTAACAGAGATGCGACGTCAGAAGCAGCCAAGGGTCCTGTTAACAGAGATGCGACGTGCAGAAGGTGGGAGTGGGGTGGCTCCTGGCAGACTCCTCCACCCTGGCCTGTTGTGGCACTCCAGCCTCTGTTTGGCCCTCTTTCCCACCCCTACTTCAGCTGTGCCTTCAGCACCCCCTCCCCGGCCCTGCCTTGCCTCCCCGCCCAGACCTGGGGTTCAGAGTGACCTTCTGCCTGGCATACCTCAGGGTCTTGCACCCCATCCGGGTTCTCTCTGTGGTTACTCTGGCCCAGTGGCAGACATAGCACATCGGACACTCAGAGCAGGTCACTTTTACAGTTATTCTTGGTAGTAATCACAAAATGAAAACATTGTATGGATGAACTAAAATGTGCACTAGCCAAGCAAAACCATTTCACTCTGTTTGCATTTGTTTCACTGTTTTAAATGTTAAACTCGAATAAAAACTCCATGTGGGCACAGAGAAAGAACTGAAATAACTCAATTTTTGTTTCTTTGTTTTTCTTTCTTTCTTTTTTTTTTTTTTTTAGAGCGGGTTTTGCTCTTTTTGCCCAGGCTGGAATGCAGTGGCTCGATCTCGGCTCACCGCAACCTCTGCCTCCCAGGTTCAAGCGATTCTCCTGCCTCACACTCCCGAGTAGTTGCAGGTATGTGCCACCACACCTGGCTAATTTTGTATTTTCAGTAGAGACGGGGTTTCCCCATGTTGGTCAGGCTGGTCTCAAACTCCCGACCTCAGGTGATTTACCCGCCTCGGCCTCCCGAAGTGCTGGGATTACAGGCATGAGCCACCAGGCTCAGCCATGTTTCTTTTTCTAATCACTGCACAGTCACTGATTATTTCAAACCCACTTCCTAAATGCAAGAGTAGGTAGCTGCACCAGGAACTAGAGACACAAGTTTATATTAAGCTGCTCAAATGATCCTAAATCACCACAAACAGACTCTCCAAACACATGCTTGTCATTGAATGGGCATGTTTCGGGGCTGACTGCATAACTGAGTTCTCCATGCTTATTAAAACAAAAGTCGGCCGGGCGCAGGCTCACGCCTGTAATCCCAGCATTCTGGGAGGCTGAGGTGGGAGGATCACCTGCGATCAGAAGTTCGAGACCAGCCTGACCAACATGGAGAAACCCCGTCTCTACTAAAAATACAAAATTAGCCAGGCATGGTGGAGCATGCCTATAATTCCAGCTACTTGGGAGGCTGAGGCAGGAGAATTGCTTGAACCCAGGAGGCGGAGATTGCGGTGAGCCAAGATGGTGCCATTGCACTCCAGCCTGGGTGACAAGAGTGAAACTCCATCTCAAAAAAAAAAAAAAAAGTCACCAGAATATGCTAATGTGAGCATACATACATGTTAGTAAAACTTAACAGTATCTACAGCAATTGTTTAGCACAAGGAGCAATATTCTATCATTCACCTTTTTTTAGATTTTTCAGAGCATGGTGATAATAAAAAGCAGCCTGGCTTTTGGCCGGGTTCATTACTGATTCACATCAGGTGCAGCCAATGCACCCCTTACTGGCTGTCCCAGGACAGACGGTTCCTGCCTCTCACCTTAGCCTGCCACACCCCTAGCACTTCATTAGCTGTGAGGAAGGGTCCTGCCTGACGCCCCCAGGCCTAACCCTCTGACCTAACCCACAGATCCTATGGCTGGAAACTGTTGCATATACCCTGGCCCCCACCTGGAGACACCAGACCACCTCGGTCCTCACCCTGACTATGTCCCGCCTGGGCAATCACCACCCCTGGTCTAAGTAGTGGCAGGGTTGACCCGAGGAGGAGGTCTCTGGGGATGAGGACATTTCTGGCTCTGCCCTGTGACCCCAGAGGGACACTCGTCAGGGTCCCTCTCACTTTCCCAGCCCAGATGGCTGTAAGTCCACCCATCGCAGATGTGCCGCAGCAGCCAAGCCCCACACCAGCAGGGACGCCGTGCCCGGCAGGCAGCCTGGGTCAGCCCGTGCCTGCCCACCAGACTGGTGACCCTAATCCTGTGTGCAGACAGGGCCAGCCCGAAACCCTCCCTTGCACAAAAGGCCTTTGTTCTGCTGCCCTTCCTCCCTGTCCCCCATGGCTGCCTTTTCTTCAGCCAGGGAGGAAGGAAGCTCCCTGCCGAGCACACCACCTCCAGGCCCGGTGCCAGCCGTCCCTTCCCATCCTCATCCCTGTCCTCAGCTGAGAAGAAACTAGAAAGGCCAGGCGTGGGCTTTGTGTCAAGCCTGAGAGGGTTTGCTCCTGATGCCACGCACTAGCTTCCCAAGTCTGGGCTTGTTCCTGCCTCTCTGCAAGCCCACTTCTTGGACATAGAGGTGTCCTCCTTCCTGGAACAGATTTGAGCGCAACAGGAGACCACATCTCCCTCCCTCCTTGCTGTGTCTCCGGCTCCTCAAGCCCCATCCAGACTCCAGGCCCTGACCCTCACCAAGCCCCGAACCAGAGCCCTCCTCCCCGTGTGGCTGGCCCCGATGACACAGGCCCTGATCACGCGGAACACTCTGAATTCTTACCCAATTTATTTTTCTTCCCAACCAGCAGTTCTCAAATATGTTGCTCTCAGGATCCCTTTAGTAGGATCACCGGGTTTACTACATAAATAACAGTACAGAATGCCCAGTTCAATTTGAATTGCAAATAAATAACAAATAATTTTTTTAGAACAACTACTTCCCAAATATTGCACAGGACACACTTCCATTGTATCTGGCAAGCCTATTTTCCATACTCTTAAAAATTATCAAGGACTTCAAAGAGCTGTAGTTCATGTGAGTTATGAAAACTGATATTTACTGTATTCAAAACTAAGACAGATGAATTATTAGAATATTTATCAAAGTATAAGAGAATCTTTTTAAAAGAAATAATACATGTTCACATAAAGCATTTTTATGAAAAAGCTACATTTTTCAAAACAAAGAAATCAGTGGGAAAAGTGGTGTTGTTTTGCACTTTTGCAAATCCTTTTAATGTCTGACTTAATTGAAGACAGCTGGATTTTCATAGCTGTTTCTTCATTCAGTTCGTTGCGATATGTGGTTTTCATTGAACTATGTGAACAAAATCTGGCCTTGCACAGATATGCAGTTAGAAAAGGGAGGAGCATTTTAATAGACTTTTCAGATCTTTGTGAATATTTTTCTTTGCTATAACACCAAAACTCAACGAGTGTTAATTTCTTAAACTTTATTCATGATGCAGAATTTGGAACCATATGAAGAGCTTTTCATACTTGGTTACACGAAAATCCATCTGTCTTTTTTTTTTTGTTTGGAGACCAGGTCTCACTCTGTCACCCGGGTAGGAATGCAGTGGCGCAATCTCAGCTCACTGCAACCTCTGCCTCCCAGGCTCAAGAGATTCTCCTGCCTCAACCTCCCGAGTAGCTGGGATTACAGGCGCGTGCCACTCCCGCCAGCTAATTTTTGAGTTTTTAGTAGAGATGGGATTTCACCATGTTGGCCAGGCTGGTCTTGAAATCCTGACCTCAAATGATCCACCTGCCTTGGCCTCCCAAAAGTGCTGGGATTACAGGCATGAGCCACTGCACCTGGAGTTTTGTTTTGTTTTTTAAGATTGAGTCTCACTCTGTCACCCAGGCTGGAGTGCAACGGTGCGATCTCGGCTTACTGCAGCCCCCACCTCCTGGGTGCAAGAGATTATTGTGCCTCAGCCTCCCAAATAGCTGGGACTATAGGCACACACCATCATGCCTGGCTAATTTTTGTATTTTTAGTAGAGATGGGATTTCAACATGTTGGCCAGGCTGGTCTTGAACCCCTGACCTCAAATGATCCACCTGCCTGGGCCTCCCAAGGTGCTGGGATTACAGGAGTGAGCCACCTCGCCCAGCCTGTCTATCTTGTTCTTTGAATGGCTTTTTTTTTTTTTTACCTTCACACATATTGTAACAACATGGGTTGATCATTTAAAGAATATTGGTTCACTCACCTTCCAAATGTTGACATATCTTATTATTCAATAAGTAAACATCACAGTTTGCTGATATCCCTGCCAATCTCATCAGAAAAGTCTGTAAGTATTGGCTCCTGGTGCTGGTACAAGTTTTTGTTTGTTTTTTTGTTTTGACACAAGGTCTCGCTCTGTCACCCAGGCTAGAGTGCAGTGGCCCAATCACAGCTCACTGCAGGCATGCACGCCAACATGCCCAGCTAATTTTTATATTTTTAGTAGAGATGGGGTCTTGTTATGTTGCCCAGTCTGGTCTCAAACTCCTGGGCTCAGGCAATCCTCCCAAAGTGCTGGGATTACAGGTGTGAGCCACCATACCTGGCCAGTTTTCTAACATTCTAATTTTCACTTGAAAGCTGGAATCTTTTCACTGGCAACAATTCCTGTCAGTTGTTTTCCTTGAAGCGACAGCTCATTTTGATCATTTTCAAGAAAATATCTGCCACGATACCAAGTCTGAATAACCATAGCTTGCCATTTTTATGAAACCCTTGGGTTCTATATAAACGTGGCTATTTGGGCTGACAACTCAAACATCTCACGTGTGCCTTTTTTCTGAGAACCATCACACTTGGGCTTGCTTTATGTGCACTTCCCACTTTGTCACGAAGAATATTCAGAAGATGTGCACTCAAGGGTCAGGCTCAACACCACTGCTAGTCTGTGCGCTTAGCAAGGATGTGACCCAGGTGTGCTGGTGAAGACTATAGGGGCCACCAACAGGTGCACCACGGCCCCGACTGTGCTTTTCTCCTCATCTTCTGCATCATTCGAGCAAATGTCAGTGAAGGAAAGGGGCTAATGATATCTTAGGATCATTATGAAAACCATTTGACCCTGTGGATCTTCTAAGAGAGCCTTGGGATTCCTGGGGGTCTGCGGACCACACTTCGGGAACCTCTGTGTTGCATGGATTTATTTGTGCCTCTGCCACTGGACTGTTGGCCCCACGAAGGTCAGGGTCTTTGTCCCCCATTTTCTGCTGTGGCCCAGCCCCTTGAACAGTTGCCTGCCTCTCCTTAGAACACAGAATGGACAATCAGGGCTTCTCCTCCCTGCCCAGAGAGACCCACGGTCATGAGTTTTGGTGTCTATGCTTCCAGGTATTTTTCAAGGGGTTTCCATGCATGGTTACTCCTCCAGGAAATAAATGACATTAATGCAAGACATACTTGCTGAGTGCTGACCATGCACACAGGGGCCCCAGCAGGCAATAAGGCGCACAGATCTCTGCTGGCCTGGGGCTGACCACTGTGTGGGGAGACCACCAGCAGGCCCATCAGTAAGCCAACACGCAGAAGGTCAGCTGGTGGCACGGGAAGCAGGGGGAAGCTGGGCGGGGCTGGCACGAGGGGAGGGTAAATATGAGGCACATCAGGCAAGGCCTCCCTGAGAAGGTGATAGGTAAGCAAAGAACTGCATAAAATGAGAGAGCAAATCATGTGGATACTTACTGAAAGAACAGCAAGTGCAAAGGCCCTGAGGCGGGAACACGCTAGCTCCCTGTCCTGGCCAACGACACCTGGGATACATTCCACACTCCAGAGACATTTCCAAGCATTGGCCATGTGCCCGGTGCTGCCTGAGACCCTCATGGGGCTCATTCCAGGGGGAGGAGAAAGGCAATAAAAACAAATAGGTAAACAAACACATCTGTGTCCAGAAGTGGCAAGTGAAAAAAAAAATACAATGGGGAAAAAGAAGAGGGAGTAGCAGGATGGCTGTTTTTAAAACAGGGCCCAGGGGAGGCTTCTCTGAGGAGGGGACATAAGGAAGAGGTGGGGGAGCTCTGCTGGCTTCATTCCCATTTCACAGATGGGGAAACTGAGCTTCCAGAGCTCACCAGCCTGCCCAAAGGCACACAGCTGTGCAGGACAGAGTCAGGAGAGGACCCAAGTCTCTCAGGTACTACCGATAGATACCTGCTGTCTCATGGCAGCAGGGCCCCAACTCAGGGTGAAATCTGCCAGAGCTTGGCAGGGCCTCCCTGCACAGCCCAACAAGGATAACATCGACAATAACAGTAAGAGCTGTGGCAGCCCGGACTGCTTCCCCCTCCGAATCCTCACAAGCGCCCTGTGAGAGAAGTGCTAGTATTATCCCCACTTTACAGATGAGGAGACTGAGGCTCAGGGAGGGTGTCTCACACCTAGGACCACAGGCACACTGACTCCAAGACCATAATTTTTATTTTCACAATTTCCAATACAAAACACCTTATAGTTGAATACTGGCATACTCACATTAACACATAAAGTACATATCTTTTTAAAGACCTCTTTATTCATATATAACTCACATATCATATAATTCACCCATTTAAAGTGTATAATATGGTTCGGCTGTGTACCCACCCAAATCTCATCTTGAATTGTAGCTCCCATAATTCTCATGTGTGGTGGGAGGGATCTGGTGGGAGGTAATTGAATCATGAAGGGTGGGCTTTCCCATGCTGTTCTCTCGATAGTGAATGAGTCTCACAAGATCTGATGGTTTTATAAAGAAGAGTTCCCCTGCACAAGCTCTCTCTTGCCTGCCGCCATGTAAGATGTGACTTTGCTCCTCCTTTGCCTTCCACCATGATTGTGAGGCCTCCTTAGCCATGCAGAACTGTGAGTCCATTAAACCTCTTTCCTGTATAAATTACCCAGTCTTGGGTATGTCTTTATTAGCAGCATGAGAACAGACAAATACAATGAACAACTCAGTAGTTTTTAGAATATTTGAAGGATTATACAATCATCATCACAATCAATTTTAGGACACTTCCATCACCCCAACAAAAAAATCTCACGTCCACTAGCACTCATTCCCCATTCACCACTCCCCGCCCTAGCAACTGCTGATCTAGCTTCTGTCTCTATGGATTTCCCATTCTGGACATTGGAGACAAATCGAAGCATACACTCTGTGGGCTTAAATGGAAGCATACACTCTGTGGGCTTTTGTGTCTGGCTGCTTTCACTCAGCATGATGTTTCCAGGGTTCATCCACGTGGTCGGGCTCATCAGTCCTTCATTCCTTTTTATGGCTGAATAATATTCCACTGGGTGCAGACACCACATTTTACTCATCCATTCATCAGCTGATGCACATTTGGGTTGTTTCTGCCTCTTGGCTCACATTTATGTGACACAAAATTGTAAACCAGATTGCCACATCTACACCCATACGGGCAGATCACTTCCGTATAATTAATGTATTCATGGAGAAAACAGTCAAGAACCAAGGCCTGAGTGGAAGGGTTCATGCCACAATGGGCAGGTGTATGCTGCTCTCCAGGGTCTGCGCTGTATGTTTTTATTTCAGAAAGTTTCTAGCAGAAGTAGAGAGCGTAGTAAAATGACCTCCCTTCTCAGGAACCCCCAGGTTCCCTGCCCGGGACAGCTGCTCTTCCCAGCAGCTCACACACTGGCCCCTCTGGGAGTGGGGCTTCTGGCCTGAGAGTCCAGTGTCCCGTGGGGCTGTCAGGAAGGGATGCTGGTACCAAGCAGTCACCCAGAGTTCCTGGCTACACTGCCAGCCTCTCCCTGGGCCTAGCAGGGTCATCTCTGGATTGATACCTGCCTTGTGGGGCTGAAGGGGTGGAAAGGCCTTTGGGGGCAGGGACATGCAGGTGGGGTGGGGGCCCCCTGAGGTAGCTCAGCACTGTCTCACCCCAGCAGCACCTGGGCGCCCAGGGCAAGCGCCCTTCCTCCCCTCAGCCTTCTCTGCCCCCTGCCTTGGAGTCCCTTCCATCCAGCAAGTTCCAAGAACAGCCTGGAAAGAGCAGGAGCGGGGAGACAGAGGCCTAGGGAGTGTTGGGACTTGTCAGGGCCACACAGCATGTGCAGGGCAGGGACTCCGTCCTTCTCCATGGGCCTCAGTGTCCCAGTGTAGGCGATCCAGGTGGTCTTCCTCATGACAGAAAGGAGGACACACTGCAGCGGGGCTGGCTGTCATTTGCAAACCGCCTTGTGGTTCCTCCCTCCCATTTCACAGATGAGGAAACTGAGGGTCGGGAAGGAGGTGGGTTTCATTTGGCATCACACAGGGAGGCCAAAACAGAAAAGCCTTCAGGCCCAGGATCTCTATTCTTCCCTGGAGATGGGACTGAGGTTTCCTGAGGACAGAAGTTCCAACGGAAGGCAAGGAGGGGAAAACACTATGTTGATGTTGCTGTTTTGTTCTTTCACTTTTCCCTTGTTAGCCCTACTCTGTGCCAGGCCTTGGGAGAGGGTTTAGCCAAGTTCATGCTGGTGTTTTCCTCACAACAGCTGTGGGAGGAGGGAGGCTCCACCCCATTTTACAGATAGGGAAACTGAGACTCAGAGAGAAAAGGTAACTGGCTCAAGACTAACAACAAGCAAGTAGCAGAGCCAGGGAGGGGCCCAGGTCAGGGGCTGGGGAAGACCAAAACAAGATGAGGCCTGAAGTGGGGAGAAGGCATCCAAAATACCAAAGCTCTTCCCTGTCCTCAGTCTCCCAGGCTTCTAGCCATGGCCACCCACCACTTCTGGAAGGGGCCTGCTCTCTCGTGCCCCTGGGCTTTTGTACATGCTGTTCCTTCTGCTTAGAATGCTTAGCTCAAACGTCTCTTCCTCCAGGAAGCCCTCTTGGGCTGGAATAGCTCCTCAGGCCGAAAGCCCCTGAGCTTTCAGAGCACTGAGTTTGCTGGGCTGCTCAAGGGTGGGCTAGAAGCTCTGGGTCCAGACACTTGGAGGCTCTGCAGCCAGTGGACCTCTCTAGGAGGAAGAGAAGCTGATGGCTTGATTCTTGTCGGAGCTAGAGGACTTGCAAGCTAGCATGGAGCTCCACCCACGCTCTCCATGTTCCTGCAGCTGAGACAGGGGCTGCGGCGCTCTGAGGTCCATTGGGGTCGCTGTGGGTGCCCAGCTCCCTGGCCCCGCCCCAGCCCCAGCAGTCTCTCCAATGCTCAGGCTGCAAATGGGTGGGGACTCCTTGGGGACCTCATCCCACCTCCTGACGGGGGACCAAAGAGGGAAAGGGCCCCCAATCTCAGCCTGGCTGCCTCTTGGGAGAGGAGATGGAGGAGAATGGGGGCAGAACTCCCGCAGTGCTGGGAGAGGCCTGCCAGGCAGCCAGGGAGGCAGGAGCGGCAAAGATGGGGTTTCGGGGTAGGGGCAGTGCAGTCTCAGCCTAATCCTGTGGGTATCGGGCGGCAGCATCAGCACCACTGCAGGAAGGCCTTCCCAACAGACGCACACACACCATTGTCCCACTCCCCAGACTCTCCGTGTTTATTTCCCTCTTGTCCTCATTAGAATGTCTTCCAAACAGTCCAGCCCTGTGTGTCATAGGACCTGGGGGCAGGACTTCCAGTAATGCTGGGGCCAGGGTATCAGAGGAGGGAAGGATACCCGGCCTCGCCCACCCCCAGAGGTCTGGAGTCATTGGGGAGGGAAGAGGGGACTCTGGAGACAAAGTCAGCCGAAGCACTGTCACCAAGCTTCCCCCAACCCAGGAAGCCGCCCCTCCAGGGTCAGCCTCGGGGAAGGGAAGGACCAGCCCTGAGGACAACTCAGGGCTGAGTGTGCGACACCCAAGGCACAGTGAACCCAGAGTCCTGGTCTGCGAGGCCCACGGGCTGGGGCCTGCCTGGGTCTCGCCAGCCCTCCCAAGGCCTTGGCCCCAGGCCCTGATGCCTGGTCCCAGCTCCCAGGCCCTAGACTCTGCCAACCCTGGCAAGATGCCCTCCCTCCCCTCAGCAGGCGCCGCCTTCCTCCCCTAGCCCAGGAATTGCCCCATGTGTCCAGCCACACGAGGAGCTCCCGGAGCTGGCTTTGTCCCAAGCATCCTTCCAAGCAGAACATATCTGCTCCCGCCTGCAGGCTTCCCCGGGCCTCCTGCCACCAACCCTTGGGGGGGCAGCCACAACATTTGTGCTGAGCCCAGGCCGACAGTCCCTGGCACTGCCTCTGCAGGCGGGTGCCCACTCTTCACCTCGTGCCCGAGAGACCTTGGTAGAACGCTGGCCGAGCCTCCACCCTGCACTTTCTCCTCCCCACCGTCTGGCCTACATTCCTGGGATGGACCCAAGTTCCCATAGGCAGAGAATCCATCCCTGGGCTGGCATCGTTTGGGAAAAGCATCAAGGACTTGCCTGGAGGTATCCAAGGACTCCGAAGCAAGTGCCAGAGCAAACCCCACCCGTGCCTGCTTCCTTCCTCGGGCCCTCTGGATGGATAAGGGGAGGTGGAGGAAGACAGAGGCACAGAGGTCAGACTGCAGACCAAGCCTTTGGTGTACATGACAGCCAAGCTTTACCTCTACGGCATTGTGTTGGTGGCATTACTGTCCCGCTTTATAGAAGAAATGGAGAAAAAGAGAGAAAGGACCTGCCCAAGGTCACACAGCCAGGAAGTGGCACAGGCAGGATTGAACCCAGGACCCATTTTCAATGCCCCTGAAACCAGCCTGCCATGCTTGGGGCCTGAGCCTCACTTGAGCGGGCATGGGAAAGATGGCAGCCTCCTTCCCATCAGTGGGTAGGGCTGGAGGTCGATGGTCTTGGACCCTGGATTCACAAGGACCTTGGAGCCCAAGTCTCCACGCAGTAGCTGCCTCCTCCTGGATCAAGTTTATTAGGCCCTATAACTGGGCTCCTGCCTCAGTTTCCCTTGCTGCCTAGAAGGCTGGGTCCTGCTGCTCCTCCTGGGTCCAGGAGACAGTTCCTGTGTGGCTGTCCTGACCAAGGTTACAGATCCCTCACCTTCCTTCTAAGGTGGCTCCTGGTGCTCACTAAGCACATGTGAGCACCCTGGCCCCGGACCCCACCATGTGCCTCCTGTCCTTTTTCCTGGGCCTTGAGTTGGAAGGGCAGCAGGGACAGAGGGCTCCGCCCCCGGTTTCTCAGTAGAGGTAAAAGATGGAGGCCGACAGAGGGTCAGGGCCTGCCTCAGGCCACCCAGTGCACAACCTGGGTCAGCCAGGGACTGTCCCAGGCCTGGGAGCTGCAGAAGCCGAGGGGAGGGTGGGGCTGCCGGGGGCTGGGGCTGATGACTGCTCTATCTTCCAAACAACAGCAGCAAGGGATGGCAGCCAGGCTGTCGGGACAGCCTGTTCCCATAGCGGGGCCCAGGGGAACCTAGCCTGACCACACCTCGGCTATGCCGGGCCTGACATCTGTGCAGCTGCATCGGGTGACCCAGGCTGGCCCTGTCCCTGCTCAGTTCCTCCGAGGGCTGCAGCATGGCAGTAGCCCAGGGCCCGCGGGTCCACCATTTCCGCGGCTGATGGGGCTGGGGGTCCTCCCCGAGGTCAGGGGACCCATCCCCTGCCTCTGGGGGCACCTGCCAGGCTGGTGGAAGAAAGAAGGGGAGAGAAAGCTGAGGAAGCAAGGGAGGGAGCTGCCACCCACTCCGCTTCTACTTCCTGCAGCTTCTGTGAGGGGCTGTCACCTCCGGAGGCTTGCTGTGGGTGCACATGGTACGCAGAGACAGTGGACGTGGCTGGCCCACACCAGGCAGCTGTGTGCGGCAGAACCCTCGCATCCAGCCTAGAGTGCCTATAGCAAGGGCTGCCATCAAGACCACTTGCTTCTGGGCATGGTTCTGAGTGCTTTACATGAGCTGACGCATTTATTCCTCACAGCAACCCCAAGAGGCAGCTACTAATATTATCCCCATTTTATGGATGAAGTAAATGAGACTGGGGCGGTTAAGTCATTCACCTAAGGTCAAAGGAAAGTGGGCCCTGACCAGTGCCGTCCAGTTTATCCCAGTACCGGTACCCCTGTGGATGGAAAGGGTGAAGCCTGTTCCTCCCACGCCCACTGATGTCTCCTCCAACACCGCCCCCCGCCTCCCCCGCCTGGCCTGGCTGCCAGCAACTCCTTGGACGCTCCAGGTGGAAAAACAATTGTGGGGCTGGCTCGGGTGGCTGGAGCAGCCGGGAGCTCCAGGCTTGGTGTCCCACCTATGCCAAGCCGCCAGAGCAGGGTGGGGGATGGGAGCACTTGCTCAGGAGCAGGGTGGGGATTCAGAGGAGACGCTGGGGCCCACCAGGGATGGCAGAAGCAGGCCTCTACCCCGGCCTGGCCAAAGTCGGCTCTGGGCCTGCTCCCCACAGTCAGAAGGGCAGGGGGAGCCCCCCAGCAGGCACCAGCCAACTTCCCTCCCGACTGGAGCAAATGACTGAGTCTTTACCAAGCGCCTACTAAGCACCGCAGGCCCTGTTCCGGGGGTCGAGTCAGGGACAGACCCAATCCTGCCCCTTTACTGCCTGGCAGGAAGAACAGGCAAGGAAACACACAGTCTCAAGAATGCTTGCTTGTTTCAACTCCCTGGGGATCTCAGTTTGAGCTGAGGAAACTGGGGCTCTGGGAGACGAAGTGAATCGCCCAAGCACTCAGCAAGGCCGAGCTGAGATTCTGAGCCCTCGTGCCTGGGCTCTGAACTCACCCAGATCCCACCTTGGTGCCAGCTGCTTCTCATTGAGCACCTACTGTGTGCTGGGTCATTCCCAGGCCCGCCCGACCCTCCCAATGGCCCCCCAGGTGGGTATGGCCATTGCCATTTTAGAGAAGCGGTAGCCGAGGCTCCGAGTCGGGGAACCACTTGCTGAGAGTCACCTTGCTGGAAAGGGACCCCACCCCAGAGTGTCTGACCCCAGAGCCCACAGCCTCCCCCAGACTTTTTCTGGAAACTCCTGGCATTTAGGGGAGTGAGAAAGAGCTGTCCTGAGCAGGTCAGAGTGGTGTCAGGGATGCTGCCAGTGGGGCCACCTCCTACACTGGGGACAGCTGGGGGCTGGACCTTGGCTGACACTATCCTTTTACAATGATACGTTATTCATCTAGCTTAAGCCACACAGATGAGAACTCTCTAGATAATTTTGGTCTTTCCTTTTAGACAACAACACAGTTATAATTTAACTATTTTAAGAGGACATGAAGTCTACACAATGTCTTCTCTGCGTTAATTACCATGGTGAACCATTTTCAGGCCACAGACCAGTACAGTGAAGGTCTTGGTGCTCAGTGAGATAGGGAACGTTACTTGCACCTACACAAATGGCCCCAAACTGATATTTTGTTGTTATTCTTGTTCTTATGTCTGCATTTAACGGTTGTTCTGTCTCTCTCTTATTGTTGAGCTGTTATTTCTAAAAGCGCTAAGGGTTTGCTCTGGAAAGTAGAAAATAAGCTTGATGCATCTTGTGAGTGTCTGAGTTATCAATGGTTCTGCTGTGAGCAGAACTTAACAACAAAGGGAATTCACCAAAATAATAAATTACACCAAGTACTTATCGAGCTAGAGAAGCTCTGGGGACTCAAGGATTAAAATCAGGGTCTTGATTATGGCATGGTCACTAGCCTTTGCAGCAATTGTTTGCAAATTAGAAAAAGGCTCCACTTCTTCAAAATACTTTACTAGTGCCTACTAGAAAATTATTTTAATCAATACACAAATCTACTGTGATTACCGTGTAACAGCAGCCTCGAGAGTTGTGCAGTGCACAACCTGTGCAGATGCTCATGGCAGCCCTATCTTGACATCACCAGAATTCCCTCTTTTCCATCATGTTTTTTCTTTTTCTCCCTTCGTTTTACTATTTCATACCTCAGACAGGCTTTCTGTTTGTGGTGGGAAATATGGCTTCTCTAAAACTTGATAACTCAGAAGATAAAGTCCTTCCTCTTCCACTCAAAATGTAAAAGTAATGTAAGGACTCTTGAGTCACATGATATCTCTAAACCATCCCTATGATCAGGGAAATGGAAAGTGTATCAGCCAGGCTGATATCAGTAAGGTTATGCTGCAGAAACAAACCACCCTTAAGCATCAGGAGCTTAAACAATCAAGGTTTATTTATCGCTCACACTGGATGTCAGCCCTGGTTTGACTGGGAGACCTGAGTCATCTGGGATTTCAGGGACCCAGACTGTCGGGGGCTACAGCTTGAAATGTGCTCCCTCCATCGCTGTGGCAAAGGGGTTGTGGAGAATCGCACACTGGCTCTTAAAGCTTCCACTTGGAGGGCACACAAGCCACTGAGCTCATGGTTCATAAAACAAGTACATGCCACGTCTAGCCATGCAGGGGATGGAGGTGCAGGCCTGCCCAGCCTGGAAGAAGCCTGGTCTAGGGTTATCTGAGCTTGAATCACACACTTACACAGCCCCTGGAATCATAGCCTAGGTGGGCAGGGCACTGTGACTGTTCCAGCCTGGGACTGGGGAGAGGGAGCTCTTCAAGGAAGCAAGAAGGATGTCACCTGGCCCCAGGCAACCATGTAGGGCAGCTGCCAAGACTCAGCCAGCCTGGAGCGGCCACACCCAGCCTCTGGGCACTGCGGCCAGAGGAACCCGAAAAACCCAAAGGGACAAGAACTCCAGGGAAGAAACACACTCCGGCCCCGCAAAAAGCATGGGAGCAGCTGGACCTGAAGACATCTCTTCTGCCCGCAAGAGAGGCTTCAGATGTGCAGCCCTGGATGTGTTCACACCCTCTGGAGGCAGCCATGGGTGGGCAGAAGCGCCGGGTGAGTAAGGACCAATCATCCACATCCCCTGGTGTGGCTGAGACCTTCCTAAACTCCTGTACCACACTTTCCAGCCCGGTTTTACAGAGCAGGCTACTGGGGCTTGGATGGGTCAAGGGACCTACTTAAGTTCACAGAGCCAGCTGGGAAACCTGCATGTACCAAACACCTACCACACACCAGGCTGCATTCCATTCTCAGGAGTTCCCATCCCCAGGACACAGGAGAGAAAACGCAGAGGCCGGGCACATCGCAGTCAGGCGGGCCCACCCCCGAAGCATCTGCCCTCCCCACATCACTCTCTAGGTAATGGGGTTGGGAGGGACCCTTTGGGATTGGGGAGCCAAGGGGAAAGAGCAGCAGTCCTTTTTTAAAGGACGATGAGTGTGACACGTGACCAAGGAACTCGTGCACCAAGTGGGCGTCTGCCGGCTCGTGTTTAAGGCACATTCCTGAGCTCCAAAAGGAGAAATAAAACTGTTCCCTTGTCTGTGAGCTGAAGAGGCAGCAATATTGTGGGGTAACTAGGACCAGATGGGCTCCAGGAATTTCCAAAGGCCTTTTAGCATATTAGACAAAATAGCCTCCCAGACACACACGGTAACTTTGTCTGGCCGCCTGGTATCGGTTACCGAGACAACCGGTGGAATGCGCACACTGGCTGGAGGGTCCCAGAAGGGAGCGGGCCTCTGGCAAGGCCCCTGCACACTCCCCACTGCCACAGCAGGAGCCCCCCTCACACTTGATCCCTTCCCTCTGGTTCCAAGACCAGGGCACACCCTGAGAAACTCAGCCTCTCAGGGTTGGCAGGGGCTAGGAAAGTCCCAGAAACTGGGAAGTCCCAGATGGTTCCCACAGCCCCAAGCCTCCACTTGCACCCCTTTGAGGGGTGTGAGAGGTCACACCCCACAGGGCACCCAGTGTGGGGGTGACTGCGGCCAGCTAGGTGTCAGCCCCGGGCTCTACCACCCTGGCTGGGAGAGCCTTGGGGGGCCATCAAACCTCCCCCAGTCCCCTTTCCTCATCTGCAAAACATAGTTACGTGAGGACAAAGCCATTTGATACAAGCGTGGTGCCTAGAGTGTGCCAAAACTAGCAAGCGCTCCTTCTGCACTGGCCACTATCATGGTGCTCTGTGAACAGTTCTGGCTATGAGAAAGTCCTTTCTCACTCTGACTTAGGTAATATTATTAGCTAAAATTAACTGAGCATTTGCCACGTGCCAGGGCATCTGATGGGGGAAACGGCTGAGGCTCAAGATGGTGGTTGCCTCACCCAAGGCAGCACAGCTAGACCCAAGCAGCTAGACCCAAGCTCTACTCGCTGTGGACACTGCCCTGCTGAACCCACCTCCCCGTGGGTCCCAGCTCCTGCTCGGCCCAAGGCTCCTGCTCTCTCTGGGTTTCAGTTTCCCTGTCTGTGCAAGGAGACGTTGGACTGCATGGGCCATGAGAATCCTTCCCACACTGGCCCTCTAGACCCTCATCCTGTCCTCAAATGACCCAGAGATGCAACAGGTCTGGAGAAACTTGGAGACCAGTAGGAGGGAAGACACGGTCTGTGTGCTGGCACCCAACACAGGGCCTGGCACCCAGAAAATAGCAGAGAAGTCACTGAATACAGCAGGTCCTCAAATAACATCGTTTTGTTCAACATCGTCTCGTTGATAAGAAAAAAATGTCGATTTCTGGCCATGCCCGCTGTCTGTGTGGAGTTTGCAATGTTCCCCCAACGTCTGCATGTGTTCCCTCCACGTACTCTGGCTTCTTCCCACATCCTGAAGATGTGGGTGTTAGGTGAACCAGTGTGTCTACATGGCCCCAGTCTGAGTGTGAGCGTGTCTGTGAGTGTGCCCTATAGTGATAATGGGGTGATATCCAGCTCAGGGCTGGTTCCCATCTTGTGCTCTTGGGACAGGCTCCAGCCACCCTAGAGCCGAGACTGGAATAAGTGGGTACATATCTTGTTTTTACTAGTCTTTCTTAAATGTATGTACACCTCACATTTATTTCAATGTTTAATATTAGAGGTGCTTCGTATTAGAGAAGTTTGATGTTGTTTTTGTGACCAAAAATACGCTGTAGGAACTGAACTCTTGTTTATATCAATTAGCCTATGGTAAAATTGGTTTTGTTATAGCTGGTGTGTTAGTCCGTTCTCCAGCTGCTATAAAGAAATACCTGAGACTGGATAATTTATAAAGGAAGGAGGGTTAATTGGCTCAGGGTTTGGCAGCTCTACAGGAAGCATAGTGCCTGCATCTGCTCCGCTCCTGAGGAGGCCTCAGGAAACTTACAATCGTGGCGGAAGGCAAAGAGGGAGCCCACAGGTCACATGGCCAGAGCAGGAGCAAGGGACAGAGGAGGGAGGTACCACACACTTTTAAATGACCACATCTCATGACAACTCACTCACTGTCATGAGGACAGTACCAAGAGGATGATACTAAACCTTTCATAAGAAAACCACCCCCATGATCCAATCACCTCCCACCAGGCCTCACCTCCAACATTGGGGATTATGTGAAATTACAGTTCAACATGAGATTTGGAAGGGGACACAGATCCAAACTTTTTTTTTTTTTTTGAGATGGAATCCCAATCAATCTGTCGCCCAGGCTAGAGTGCAGTGGCACAATCTCAGCTCACTAAAACCTCCAGCTCCCCAGTTCAGGCGATTCTCCTGCCTCAGCCTCCCCAGTAGCTGGGATTACAGGTACATACCACCATGCCTGGCTAATTTTTGTATTTTTAGTAGAGACGGGATTTCACCATGTTGGCCAGGCTGGTCTTGAATTCCTGACCTCAGGTGACCCGTCCACAGCCTCCCAAAGTGCTGGGATTACAAGTGTGAACCACTGGCCTGGCCTGATTCAAACGATTTCATGTGGTTTCACTTAAAGTCAGTTTCCAAGAACCTATCAAGGACTTAAATGTGGACTTACTGTACTGCTTTGCAGGGTAAATAAAGGTGGAGGCGTTGATTACAGTAATGTTGGCAACCCCTGCCCCTCAGTGATACAAGAGCTGAGGCTGATTAGGTGCAGTTCTGATGCTTAAATGGGTTCATTCGTTCTCACAACCACTCTGTGAGGCCGGTGCTAGTGTGAACCCCATTTGACGGATGGGAAAACTGAGGCACGAGGAGCTGTCACCTGTCCAAGGTCACATGGAGGGTAGAGGCAGCAGTGGGACTTGAATCTGCTGCCCTGGCTCCCAGAGTGTGCATGCACTGGGCACGCTACCTCTTTCTTTCAGAAGACCACCGTCAGCTGGGCGCGGTGGCTCACGCTTGTAATCCCAGCACTTTGGGAGGCCGAGGCGGGCGGATCACCTGAAGTCAGGAGTTCGAGACCAGCCTGGCCAACATGGTGAAATCCCGTCTCTACTAAAAATACAAAAATAGCCTGGCGTGGTGGCAGGTGCCTATAATCCCAGCTACTTGGGCAGGCTGAGGCAGGAGAATCACTTGACCCTGGGAGGCAGAGGCTGCAGTGAGCTGAGATCATGCCACTCCGCTGCACTCCATCCTGGGTGACAGAGTGAGACTCTGTCTCAAAAAAAAAAAAAAAAGAAAAGAAAAGAAAAGAAAAGAACGTCACTGTCTCAGGACCAGCAGGGGTGACCTGCGAATTCTGGATGTGAGGGGGACCCAGACTGGTGCTTTACCTGCCTAGCCTCCTTGACCCTCAAGCCACCCTAGGGAAGGAAGGGATTATCATCGCTATTTACAGAGGAGGAAACTGAGGCACAAAGCGTGAAGTGATTTGCCCACAGCCACTGAGAGCCTAGATTCAAACACAGATCCAAGTCCAGGCCTGAATTTTCCCTGTATGGGACCACCCTCGCCGAGGGAAGATGGGTGTCTTCCCACAGTTTAGAGATGGTGACCTGCCCAGCCCCATTCCCCAGGGCCAAGAGCAGGGAGGTGCAGCAGGCTTCAGGGAGGCTACCCAGCATCCCAGGCGCCAGGCCTGATGATATGTGTCCCCAGGTCCTTTCAGCTGAACGGACCCTGCGAACTCTCCAGCCAGGAGCCTGGAGCCATGGGAGGGTTGAGGGAGGGCTCAGGCCCAGCCCCAGGCAGGTGCACGCGAGGGCTGGGTAAGCCTTGGCCTGGGGCCCTGCCTAAAAGGGCTGCCCCGCAGCTCACTGGGAGGCCCTAAACCAGAGATGGAAACAGGACTTTGCCCTGTTGCTGAGTCAAAGAGGTGATGAGAACAGAAGAGGGTAAAGAAGCCCCTGGCCAGTGTCACATGTATTATGCACCTGCTGTATGCCAGCCTCATTCCCACTGTTTACCAGAGTCCTCTATAGAGGAGGCAATGAGGCTCAGCCCGGGGCCACAGCGCAGGTATACAGCAGAGGCAGGACTGAAACCCTGGCTGGGCAACTACAGAGCTGCATTCTTTCTCTGGAGGCCACTCTCCACCCTGAGCTGAGGTCACCCTGAGCTGAGGTCCTGGCTTTTACCCGCCCTGTCCACAGTGCCTCAGCCCTAATAAAATCAGGGAGTTCAGAGGTCAACACCCGGGGTGGTGGTGAAGACTGGCCACTCTGCCACTCCACCGTGTGTGGCCATGGGCGAGGGCCTGCAGGCCCCTCTAAGCCTTGGTGTTCCAGCCTGGACAATGGAGCTCCAGGACCCTGCACAGGGAGGCTGCTGTGAGGATAAACAAGGACCAGGCACGCAGAGAGTGGCATGGGCCTCGCCGTGCACGGGCCTCTGCAATCCTCTCACACATGTGGCCTGGCACATGGCACATGCTCACCACAGCCACCCCCCGCAAGGAGGCTACCAGGTGAGGAGGGGAGGAGGCCGGGGTTCTGGTTTGCTTGCCAGGGGGTGCCAGGCTCCTTCAAGCCCTCCCTGGGCCTCACCTTCCCCATCCACAAATCGACAACGCTGACAGCCAGCACTGAGCCAGGGTGAGCAGGCCTCCTCAAAGGATACCTCCCTTCTCGTCCACCCCCACACACCCTGTCCAGCTGCAGTGCCGAGGCTGGGCCTCTGCAGGTGGAACAGGCAGGTGGAACAGGTACTCTCCAGGGCCCTAGCCCCAGCTGCACACGCCAATCCATGATGCATTTCTCAGCTGCCTGCTGTTTTATGACTATTTTTTAATTCACTTTGTACTTTGAAAGTTCAAGCTGAAAGCCAATGGCCCTTTAGAAAGCCCAGTGTATGTTTTCCAGCTGAACAGCATTTCCAGGGTAGGATGTGGGAGCACCCGTCTCTGCGGGCCCCAGCCTGAGTAGACAGCAATGTACCCACAGGTGCCACACTTCCCTCCACCAGGCCCTGCCACCACCGCTGAGGGGCCGTGGGACTGCCTTTCCCATCCGGGTCTCTGTCTCATCTGGACAACAAGGGTGCTGAGGCCTGCCTCTCCCGGGGTTGCTGGTAAGACTATGAGCTGGGGAAGGGCGTGGAAGTCCAGGCAGTGTGCAAGATGCCATGCTCACCAAGACACTGTTTGCCAGAGGGCCTGGCCATGGGGAAAGGGCACTAGTGTTGGAGTCGGATGGATGTGGGTGCATTCCCTGGCTTTGCCATTGCCCAACTCTGCAGTCTTCGGCAAGCCATTTCACCTCTCTGAGTTTGTTTCCCATCAGTAACATGGTGGTGGTGATGATGGTGATGATGAGTGCCGACAGCCACAATCAAGCATGCTTAATTGAGTGTTTACTCTTGCTTTAAGCCCTTCACAAACATTCACTCATTTAATTCTCCAACACCTAGGAGGTAGGTGCTATCATCCCCATTTTGCAGATGAGTAAACTAAGGCACACAGCTATCGAGGGGAGGAGGCAGGACTCAGAGCCAGGCCGGAGGGACTGGAGCCCACGCGTCCGCTCCCTGGGCCTCCCTAGCAATCACGTGACGGCGTCACTTCCAGAGTGGTGCAGAGCCTCACGCGTTGGCCCTGGGCCTGAGCAAGGTGTCCCCAGCCAGTGCTGGCTAAGCTGAATGAAACCAACTCAAGGGCAGGCTGCCCTGGAGGAGTTCCTGGCCCTAAACCCCAAATGTTTGGCTGAGCAGCCAGGGAGGCATCATAAAAGTCTTCCTTTAGGTCTGCCCAGGAGTCCCGCTAGGCAGGGAGGGGCCCCGTGCCAGCAACCGCCTTTGTTTATGCCTGAGGCAGCAGAGTGGGGATGGTCATGCCTGCCTCTGCCCCCGCCCCCGCTGGGGCCCTATTAGCCTAGCCTGGAGGGGTGGGTTCCGGGCAGGGGCCAGGTTACAGCCGGGCACTGCTGCTTCCTGCTGGAACCTCCCTGCGTCTGTCCCGTAGAGAACAGAGCTGTGTCTCCCAAGATGAAATCCCTCTCCCCAAGCCTCAGCTGGCTCACTGGCCAGGCATGGTGCAAGGTCATGCCTCCCAAGGTCTCCCCAGATCATGAGTCTGATGGCCAGTCGTCCTCAGCCTGTCCCTGCTCTTATCCAGGGCTGCCAGCAGCCACTGGGGCGTCAGGGCTGCTGTGCCACCTCTCAGCCACTTCATGAAGCTGACCTGCTCCACTGGGATTGATGTAACTTGTGGTGTAATTTACATACAGCAAAATGCACAGATCCTGCAAACAGGTCCAAACACTTCATCTGGCCTCAGTTCTTCCGCCTGACCTACAGGACATTCCTCCCCCTCACCCTGACAGTTACTGGGAGCAGCAGAAAGCCACCCAGTGTCCTGAGTGCCTTCCAGGTACTGAGGCTCTTATTCCCAGGACAACCTCTTCCACGAGCATCTTTAAGGAAGAAACAGCTCACAGGTTCTGGAGCTGGGGCCTGGGCTCCAGTCCTCACTCCTCCACTTAGGGGCTGCGGTGCTCAGCAAATAACTAACCCCTTTCCTGCCTCTGCTTCTACATCTGTGAAGTAGGCATGGAAACAGTTCTCACCTCAGAGTGCCATGAAGTTCCATATGCAGTTCCCAGCTAGAGTCTGGATAGGGCCTGGCCCTTAGTACCACCTGGTCAGCATCAGCCTTTATCAGTCTCCTCCCACCCAGCACAGGGCCAATCGGGACCCCTGCCTGCTACCCCATGTCCTTTTCCCTGACACCCTGTCTGAACCTCAAGGGGCCACCCTGCCCCCCATCCAGGCTGTGCCACTGATACTGGGGATGCTCTGGTCACTCTGCCCGGCCAAGGCTCTGCCTTTCCCCCTGCCTGGATACCCCACCCCAGCCCAGCCTCATCTCGGGGCAGCCCATCCCCATAAGCGCTCCAAAAGCACCCCAGGCCTGGAAGACACCCCATCCACCCACTGCCCTGCCAGGGCCCCCTCCCACTGTGCAGCAGAGCCACCATCACAGCCCAGCTGTGCCTGCCCACCCATTCCCAGGCTGTCCCAGACCCCAGCCCAGTGACCTTATCACCCTGGGATCCTAGACCCTTCTCTGTCCAGAGTAACCCCCCACCCCCACCCCACCCCCCTGCCAAGTGTGAGGCAGCTGAGAACTTTTACTTTGGGATCTGGCAGAGCTGGATTCAAGCCTGGCTCTACCACTGTTGAGATCTGCTGGGAGGTGTGGCCTGGGGCAAATTTCTCACCCCTGCCAAGCCTCAGTTTCCTCATCTGTGAAATGGGAATCATTACCAACTCCACAGGACTCAGAAGATGAAATAACACACTAGCATTTATTGAGCAGCTACCCATGTCAGGCCTTGCGCTACAAGAACTTTCCATTTTCATTTCCTTTCACCCCTAGGAGGTAGGGATTCTTTGCCTCCAGCACACACAGCAGCCTGGGCCAATCAAGCCTCTAGGATTCTCTAGGAACAGAAGCTCAACAGTGACAAACCATGTCTGTGGCTGAGCCCCAGAAGTCGCTGGCCTGTGTTGGGTGTGAATGGATGTTAGGTGCCTCGAGTCAGCGACAGAGACCAACGGCAAGGGTAGGGATCTCAGAGTGCATTGTTAGAGCCTCGGGGTCTGGTCCAGGAGGCCAGCATTGTTGACATTTTGTGATCTTGGAACCCTTCTCCCTGCAGCAGAGGGAGCATTAGGGAGGCCGGGAGACAGTGGGAGCACCCCCTCACTGTAATGAACACAAGTCCCGTAGGGGGCTGATGGAGCAGGGCCACCTCAATGGACCCACTTTCCCTCCCCAGCCCCTGATTTGATCAGGGCCACAGCTGCCGGCTAGCAGGGGTGGATGCTCCCCCGCCCACTTCCTGGAGGTCCCTGAATGTCCCCATGAGTAGGGCTGAGGAACAGGCCAGAGGTCTGGCCCACCTGGGGCCCCTGGGCATGGAGAAGGATTGGGGCCCAGGCACTTTGGTGAGGCCAGTGGAGGCCACAGTCCCACCCAGGGCCCTGCCCCGGCTACCTATGTTCATAATCCCCAGGCCAGGATAGAGATCCTCGCTGCCCTCTCTCCAGGAACCCCTGCCCCGCCTCACCAGTGTCTGGGTCCCTCCCTGGGCCTGGGTTCCTGCAGGACCTGGCTTGGGCACCACCCTGCATCCCTGATTTCCACCTGTGAGCCTGGCCTGCCCACGTCCCCCACCCTTCTTCTGCCCTCTCCCCACCTGGGTCAGCGGCCCCCTGGAGGCGACAGGGCTGAGGCCCGTCCTTGCGCTAAGAATTCCTCCCCCCAAAACCTGCCCCTTGCACTGAACAGGCAAGACTACTGCTAAGGCAGTGATCTGGGCGCCGCAGGCCTTCCCCACCTTCACCCCCACAGAAGGGCCTGGGAAGGCAGGTCCAGACCTTGCTTTATTGAGGGGGAACTCCAGATGAGGGAACCCACCTGTACCCCTTCCTGACCGCCCCTCACATCCAGGCCCAGGGTTCCCACCTGCTGCCTGGGAACCAGGCCCACCTGGAGACCTAGCTCCAGCACCTCCTGGGCCATCCACACCAGTGCCTATAGCTCTTCAGCTCTGGGGCAAAGAGGGCAGCAAATCCCATGACCAAGGGGAGGGAGGGAGGCCCAGTTAGGATGCAGGCCTAGTCAGGATGGAGGTGGAAGCTTCCTCACTCCGACCTGGGTCTGCCGTTCTCAAAACCAGAACACCCCAAGCCCAGGGCCCTCGCTGTGCCTGGGACCTAGCCTGTCCTCTCCAATTCTCAGTTAACTGCCTGCCTCCCTGGACCTATGGGCTGGTGACTTCGTGTGGGTCCCCCTGGGACACAGGCTCTGCCTTCTGCCCCCACCCATAGAGGCCTCAAGCCCTTCTGGCTTCCAGCAGGGAAAAGTAGAGGAAGGGCCAGCTCCAGGCCCCAGCCAGGGATGGCCCTGCCCCTCCATGCTCACTGAAGGCTGCCTCCACCACCCCATGAGGTTAGAAAACAAAAAGCACTAAGGGGCGGATAGGCAGGGCCACGTGACAGGCAGGGCAGCAAGGGTCAGGGCACTGCAGGGGGAAGCAGCGGTGTGTCTGAGTTCTGTGCGGAGACGCTGGGTGACTCAGGCCCAATGAGCCCCAGGCCAAACAGATTAAGTATGGAGTCAGCAATGATGCGGGCTGTGCGCTTCTGGTACCCGCCTGAGGTCACCATAAGGATGGGCACCCGGCGGCCACGGACCATCCGGAACACCAGCTCATCCCGCTTCACGATGCCCTGTTAGGGGAAGAGGAGGGTGACTCAGGCAGGCCAGACCCCCATGGTGTCAGGAAGTCCTGCTGCAGGGCTAGCCCTGCTCCAAACTGCTGTTGCTTCAGTCCATCTCCTCCCTGACATGAGGCCGCCCACCTTTCCTGCTGCTGCTGAGTCCATAGAGCAGACCCTCCCGTGGCCCCAAGGGTCAGGACGTACCGCTGGGCTGATGGACAGCCCCCCAAGGCGGTCCCCCTCGAGGATGTCGGTGCCTGCATTGTATACCACCACGTCGGGCAGGTGCTCCTGGAGGGATTTCTTGATGTTCCTCTCCACCTTATCCAGGTACTCATCATCCTCTGTGCCCCACTCCAGCTCCACCTTCCGCCTGATGGCCTCTGGGAGAGAGACATGGATGGCCTCAATTTATAGAGAAGGGAAACTGAGGCTCAGGACAAGACTGTGGACACCAGGCAAGACTGGAAACTGGTCTGTCAGATTCAGCACTGCTCAGCCTCATTCCACCCAAAACTAAGGTGAAAAGAGCACCAAGAGCTGCAAAAAGGGGGACTCAAAGGAGAGAAGGGGCACTGAAGCTGAGACACTGCCCTGGGGGTGTGGAGATCTGTGTCGGCAATGTCAGATTTCACTGCCTCCTCTGGGTCTTGCCTACACACATGGACACCCTGCCCTGCCCTTAAGCCCAGGCTCAGCACATGTGAGGTTCTGTTCAGAAATTGGTTCCTTGGGCCATACTAGCTGCTGACTTATCCACACCAGACTCATCGTGACTGGTGCAAAAATGTCCCCTACCTGCAAAGGTGGCAGCCCTGTTTTTAAATCTCATCTGAGAGTCTCTGCCTTTTGATTGATGAGTTTAATGCATTTTCATTTTAACGATTATACATGAATTTCTTTCTTTCTTTCGAGATGGAGTTTCGCTCTTGTTGCCCAAGCTGGAGTGCAATGGCGCGATCTCGGCTTACCGAAACCTCCGCCTCCCAGGTTCAAGCAATTCTCCTGTCTCAGCCTCCCGAGTAGCTGGGATTACAGGCATGCGCCACCACATCCAGCTAATTTTGTATTTTTAGTAGAGATGGGGTTTCTCCATGTTGGTCAGGCTGGTCTCAAACTCCCGACCTCAGGTGATCCGCCCACTTCAGCCTCCCAAAGTGCTGGGATTACAGGCGTGAGCCACCGCGCCCAGCCTATGTGAATTTATTTCTTATTTCGTATTTTCAAATTTATCCTATTTTTCTTTTTTTTCTTTCATTCTTTCCTGTTTTTTGCCAGACAAATGCATGTTTATTGTAAGGGTTATGTGATCTTGGGTGGGTCGAGTGACTTCTCCAGGTCTCGGTTTCCTCATCTGTAAAATGGAAAGGATCACCTCACAGGGATGCTATGAACCACTGCAGTGGCTTCTGCAGGGCCTAGCAGACAGGAGACACTCAGGAGAGAGCCTCATCCACAAGGACACACCCAAGATGAGGGTAGGGGCAGCAGCTTACGCTTGGCAAAGCGGTCCCCTGGGTAGATGTGGCGGTTGTAGACATCCATGATGTACACACGCTTGTCGTCCATGAAGTCTCGCTCATGCCCATTGCCCTGTGGGGAGGTCACAGTAGCCGCTCTCGGGTAGGTGCCCTAGGCAAGGCTGGGGCTCTGCCACCCACCCACCCCTCAGGAAACTCCCCATTTGCCAGGGCAGCACGGCCTGCTCTCGGGGGCAGCAGGTCTCATGACTGTTAAGGGGCAGAGCTGGGATTCAACCTTAAAACCAGGCCCCGACACCTTCTAGCATGGGCTTGAGCAAGCCCAGTGCTCTTAGGTTCCCTATCAGAGGAAGAAATCCCGCTCTGCCACCCTCTCAAGTCTGTGGTGGGACTGGTTGGGATCAGGGATGTGAAAAGCAAACTGTAAAGGACTGTCCACATGTGACCTGGCTCAGGAGTTCGGGGTCGCAAGAACCCAAGGCAGGGCCCCAACTAGCACAAAGCCACAGCAGTAATGGTGCAGGGGGGTGCCTTCCGGAGCCCACTGGGTCCCCTCCCTGTCTGACCAGAGGCACTGGCCTCATTAGGGGTCCTGAGGAGGAGGTAACCCTCTGCTTTGACACTTTACTCCCTAGGCGCCGAGTTCTTAAATGGTGACCCCAGGTGCCCGAGCCAAGCCATGTGTGTGGGCATCCGCCTGAGGGGCAGGTGGCCAGTGCTCAGCAGCTCTGGGCAGGGGGCAGTGCCCCAAATTATTCATAAGCAATGGGGACCCACAGCAGAGCTCTGCACACGAGAGCAGTCCCATCAGAGTGGGCTTCAGGAAGAGCCTCATGTGGGGGCAGTCAGGAGGAGGGAGGGAGGACCCTCGGGAGCAATGAGGAGGACCCGCTGTCCTGGACAGAGTGACAAAGACAGACCCTGCATTTGTAGCCCGAGAGACAGAAGACAGAAGCCGTGAGAGCCGTGGGGACATGAGGAGGGAGACTCTCCTGCCCCGGGAAGATTCTGGAACTGGGGGTGGCAGGTCCCCTAAGAGTCCAGCCCCTGCAGGGCACTCACCTGATGGGCATCAAGATCAATGATGGTAGCCCTGGAGATGCCCTCCACACGCTCAAACAGAAACTGCCAGGGAGGAGAGGGTAGACATGAGGATCTGGGGCGGACAGAGGACCCAGCCCTACAGCAACTCCCAGCTGGCTGGCGAGGGGCGGGGAGGGGGGCCTAATGCTTGTGGGTAATCAGGCCACCCAGCAAAGATGTCACTTGCCAGGGAGAGCTGTGCAGCTCCAGCTGTGGGGCTCCATGTGTGCATGCAGGAGGTGGTCAGGGAAGGCTCCCTGGAGGAGGGGGCATGTCCTGTGCCCTGAAGGGTCATAGGTCAGGAGGTAAGTGGGTCACTCAGGCCCTGGATTTTCCCAGATTCCCTAGGAAATGTGTAGGGGTTAAGGAGAGAATCCCCACAGCCCTGGGACTTCAGTCCCCAACCTCTGCCTTATCCTACAAGGCCAAGTCCTAAATGCCCCCTCTTCCAGGAAGCCTTCATTCCCTCCTCCCCAGGAAGGTCTCCTGTGCTTCCCCCTTCTCCTAATGGCCTGCTTCCCCCCATCAGTCTATGTGCCCCATGAGAGCAGGCACACATAGGAACAGGTCAGTCAGTTCCTGATGCCCAGCACAAGGCCAGGCACAGAGTGGCAGGGGAGTTGTGGGGCCCCACAGACCAGAGGCCAGCGCCAATTCTGCCCCTGCTATTTGCATGCCCTCACCTCTGTGGGCCCCTGTCTGTCTGCGAGGATTCAGGGAGTAAGTCCTGGAGCACAGCGCGGGTTGGAGCATGCAGAACTGCCAGGTGCTATCAGCACCATCATTCTTTCCACTCCCTACTCCCTTTGCCAGCCATGCCCTTCTTCCTACAACTTAATATGTGGCTATACAGCAGATCCTGACCCTCTCTAGTCCCCTGGCTCTGTGGGAGGCTGGAATAACTCCCTTCCACCACAGGCAACCCTTCTAAGCAACATGGAAGAGGAGCAAGTGTCAGATCTGGATTCAGTTCCAGCCTGGCTGAGCAACCCAAACAAGCCCCCTCCCTGCTCCAGCATAGGCCCCTTGTCTATAATTCAGGGTGAGAACAGTTAATTTGGAGCTATGGGGAGGATTCCAGGAGGGCTCTTGGAGGCGAGACCCCACTTGCTCATAGACACACCTTGATGGCGAGCGTGATGTCCGCATAGGCACAGAAGCCCCCGCCACGGTCGCTGGAGCAGTGGTGGAAGCCACCCCCTGCGGAAGGGCAGAGAGCGGTGCTGCTCAGAGCCAGGCTCCCAGGCTCAGTCCAGGAGCTCCTCCATCCCTTCACCTCCCCCAGCATCCTCCCTGCTCAGCTCTCAGGAACCTGTGCCTCGGACTCTGGGTTGGCAAACTAAGCTGAGTGCTGGGGCATGTCACCATCCCCAGGCCAGAAGGCAGCCACATCTTCAGGGTGTCCCCAGCAAGTCCTCAGTGCCACTCACACCCCTAAGCAACAGATAGCTCATCATTCCAGAAGCAGAAAGCTGCTCCTTGTCCCCACCAAGCTGGGCCTGGCTCCATGTGGCTCCCCACTCCAGGAAGGAGTGGTGGTATGGGGGCCACACGGATTCTGCCAGTGGCCAAAGCGGGTGGTCAGGAAGGGCACCCTCTGCTGGTCATGACTGCCTACAGCCACGAGGAGGGCCCTAGAGCCCGGGATCCATCACCCCTCAACCCTGAGACACAGCCTCAGAGCCCTAGGGCCCATAGATACCCCCTCCCCTGCAGCCCCTGGGATGGCCTGAATTGCAGAGGCCCTCTGAAATTGAGCCCAACAACTGCTCCGTCAGACAGTGTGCAGCTGGCCCCATGGATACCAGGAACTTGCCTCTCCCACCCCCCAGGAGGCTACTGTTGGCTCCTAATGATGAGAAGACAGCCACAGTGAACACCTGACTGAGCAACTGAGCTTGCTGAAGACTCCCTCCAGCCCGAGGAGGGGCATTAGCATCACCATCCCCATTTTACAGATGAGGAGACTGACCCACAGAGGAGGTCAGCAACTTGCCCAGGGTCACACAGCCAGGTAATGGCAGAACCAGGATCAAACCCAGGGTGGATCAGGATCCAGGCTCTTAACCTCTACCAGGCAGTAACACCTGCCATGGGGAGGGCCATCCAGGCCCTCCTCGGAACCCTGCTGTAGACACGCAGGGCACAGATCACTCCCGGGTTTGTGCAGCAGAGTACCATAACATCATTACTATGCCAGACTGAATGCTAGGCACCTGGTAATACCAAGATGGAAGAGACCCAGCCCCTGCAGAGTGGGGCTCCCCTCAACTGTGCAGTGGCCCAAGGTGGACTCTCCCCTGCAGAGTTCAGAGCCAAAGGCTGGGGGACCCTGCTTTAGGGCTCTACACGATCCAGTACGCATCTTTCCATGGCCATTTCCTCATCAGTGAGACAGGCCTGACAATTATGCCCAGCTCAAATAAGAGTCTGGGTGAAGGCCGGGCGTGGTGGCTCATGTCTGTAATCTTAGCACTTTGGGAGGCCGAGCGAGGTGGGCGTATCACCTGAGGTCGGGAGTTCAAGACCCAGCCTGACCAACATGGAGAAACCCTGTCTCTACTAAAAATACAAAATTAGCCGGGCATGGTGGTGCATGCCTGTAATCTCAGCTACTCAGGAGGCTGAGGCAGGAGAATTGTTTGAACCTGGGAGGCGGAGGTTGCGGTGAGCCGAGATCGCGCCATTGCACTCCAGCCTGGGCAACAAGAGTGAAACTACGTCTCGAAAAAGAAAAAAAGAGCCTGGTGAAAAAGAGCTTTGTAAATTGTCAAGTGCTGTGCCTCCAGGAGGGACAATGACAGGGACAAGGGAGACTCCCGTGCAGCCCTCCCATGAGCCAATCTTGTGGGAGATTCAAGGGGGCTGGGGAGCACGGGCCCTCTGGACCCTTGAGAAGGTGGTGGTATTGACCCAGGATGTGCCCACCCAACCCAACATGACCAAGCCTCTGTGGGCTGTCCTGGGCCCCAGGACACAGGTGGAGTCCTTCAGGGAAGACACAAGGCAGGCTTCAGACCATGCTGAGCTGCCCAAGGATGGCACACGCTCTCTGGAAGGGAGGAAGCTCCCTGCCACCGGAAGTACGCAAAGAGGGGGCTGGGGAACCACCCGGGGACCTCCTTAGACAAGGATCCCACGTCAGATGGAGGCACTGGTCAGTCTCTCCCAGGTACCTAGGAGGCTACACATCAACCTCCAGGCCACTCCACAAGGAGGCTAGGGTGACTTGGGAAAACCAGAGCTTCTGAATTCACAGCTGCCACCTCCAGGATCCTCCCGCCCTCCCCCAGCCCCCTTTCAGGCCAGTTCCACCAAGCCGGGCTGGACATTCCCGAGGACATTCCCAGCACTCACCCACGTTGATGGCCCAGCCTCGCTCCACAGCCAGCTTCCCCGCCTTTGGAGACAAGCAGAGGGTGAGGGGGCGCAGGCAGCCGATCCACCAGTCATTCATTCACTGATTCATGCACTCATTCCATAAACACTGCTTCTAGCCAGCTCTGGGGGAAGGATGAGCTGAGCTACAAGGCAGGGGTATAGAAGGAACTCCCTACCCCAAGCAACAGTCCAGGAAGTAAGTGCCAGCTTGGCTGGCATATGAGATGTACAGTGCATAAGCACCTTTGAAATTGTGCAAGGAAACTGGAAAAAATAAAAGTACTTATCATCCATCACATATGAGCTGACAATAATTTTGATATGGCTTTCAAAGGGAAAATAGGCAAAGTTTTGCTCACAGAAATACAGTAGACTGGGCCAGGCGCAGTGGCTCACGCCTGTAATCCCAGCACTTTGGGAGGCCGAGGCAGGCGGATCACTTGAGGTCAGGAGTTCAAGACCAGCCTCGCCAACATGGTGAAACCCCGTCTCTACTAAAAATACAAAAATTAGCCAGGCAGAGTGGCGTGTGCCTGTAATCCCAGCTACTCGGGAGGCTGAGGCAGGAGAATCACTTGAACCCAGGAGGCAGAGGTTGCAGTGAGCCAAGGTCACACCCCTGCACTCCAGCCTGGAGGACAGAGTGAGACTCTGTCTCAAAAAAAAAAAAAAAAAAAGCAAAAAAAGAAATATAGTAGACTAAATACTGAAATCTTCCAGGAAATCATAGTTTTGGGGATGGGCAGTAATATTCTACTAAGCTAAAGGAAAAAGTACAAATTTACAAACATAACAGAACTGTAGGGGATCAGTAGGTAGTGATCCAGGGCTGGGTTAGATCCTCATACATTTGCATGTGAAACATTCCTCTATCTCCAAATAACTAGGCAGTGTGTGGCACATTTTTTTAAAAAAACCACACACACAATGTGAAACCTAATTTTGCTGTGGGGATTCTTTGTTGCCACACCCGCAGTGGGGGAGACGTGGAGGCTTATTCATCACTGAAGTCATGGAGGATCAGTTCTCCATCTTAATTTTGGGTGCATTAGGGCTGGGCATGGTGGCTCAAAGCCTGTAATCCCAGTACTTTGGGAGGCCAAGGTGAGTGGATCATTTGAGGTCAGGAGTTCAAGACCAGCCTGGCCAACATGGTAAAACCCCGTCTCTACTAAAAATACAAAAATTAGCCAGGCATGGTGGCGAACACCTGTAGTCCCAGCTACTCAGGAGCCTGAGGCAAGAGAATCGCTTGAACCTAGGAGGCAGAGGTTGCAGTGAGCCAAGATCACACCACTGCACTCCAGCCTGGGCGACAGAACGAGACTCTACTCAAAAAAAAAAAAGAAAGAAAGAAAGAAAAAACTGGTGAGGGGGTGTGCCTTAAAGCCATAGTGCTAGGATATCCGCTTTGGTGGGTGGAGAGGTATATTATATACTAGCAATTACGGTAACAAATAGGAGGTCATAGGAGAAGGAACGATGAGAAGAGAATTCTGATGTCCCAAGATGGGGAAAAAAGGCTTTTGGAGAAAGGGTCATTGTTGCCGAGCCTTGAGGAATATTTAGGATTCTGTTCAACTACTAAGTGGGAGGAGGGCATTCCAGGGCAAAGGAGGTGAGAAGGACCCTGGGGTGTGGGGGCCCCCAGCCCAGCCATGCCCCCCCACCCCACCTACCATTATGGTTCCTCCTGTCTGGGTCCGAAGGGGCCTCAGCACCTTCCTCTGCACAAGGAAGTTGGGGAGGAAGATAACGGGGGGGATTTCTGTGATGGTAGCAACAGCAAAGGACCACTGCGGAAAAAGACAGGGGCTGTTGGCCTCCGCTTCCCCACCCTGAGGCAACCCGTGAGAAATTGGTTCCCCGGGAAATGCCTTGAGGACAGTTTCCAGGTGCCCTTGGATGAACTCCCTGGTCAAGCACACTTCCTTTGGTAGAAATGAGAGCCAGAGCCACAACCCTACCAGGCTCCTGGCAAGCTCTGGGCTCAGTAAAGAGCAGTTTACACAATGCATTTCTTAAAGCTAGTTGGCCAGGGTTCCTCAGCGTTCTGAGGCCCTTGGCTGCCCTCTTGTGCCCAGAACAGGAGGTGCAGAGGGCTCCAAGTCAGCAGTGCAGGTCTAGGACTGCTTTGGGATAACAAATTAGTCTAGACCACCCACTGTACAGAAGGGGACACTGAGGCCTAGGCAGCGAGGATCTTCCCAAGGCCACACAATGAGTCACTGACAGAGCTGGGACGGGAGCCCTGGCCTCTGGCTCCCTCGCACTGCATTGCCTCTTTGTCCATTGGGAATCGGACCTTCCTGGCAAAAGGGATGCACTGCCCTCATCTCCAGCTGCTGAGGCTGGGGGGGTCTACGGTACCTGAAAGGTATCTGCACTAAGATCAGGACAGAGTGTGCCCTGTGACCTCCAAGTGCACCAGGTAAATATCCATGGCACTGGCTGCCCAGCTGAACCCAAACCCCAAGCCATCTCCTGGCTGAAAACGCATCCCTGCTCCCCACCCACGCGAGGCAGAGCCACTCACTTTGTAAATATTTACTAAGTGCCTGCTAGGTGCCCCAGGTGGGCACTGGAGGGCCCATTCTCATGCCAGGACACTTGCAGACACTTATTTGCAGTGTGATGAGTGTGGTGATGAAGAGGAGAACTGGGTGGGGGTTATTAGAGAGGCTTTCTGGGGGTGATGGCATTTGCAGGAGGTGAAGAGTGAATAGGAGTTATCCAGATGCAGAGGTCAAGGGAAAAAGGTATCTGTGGGCAGAGAAGTGAGTCCATGATCTAGAGAAGGTGGGTGCAGCTGGAACAGGGCAGGCTGAGCTTATCACACAGGGCCTGGTCTCCTAGCACAGGCTCACACATTGTCGTCAGGGCAGTAGGGAACCATAGATGGTGCTGTCCCAAGCTGCACTAGCTGCAGCAAGGAGAACCAATTAGGGGAACAGGAATAGAGAAGTAGCAGCCCTAGAGAGGAAGCATGAGATAAGAAGGGTCTGGGGTGGTAAGAGGAGCAGGTATTAGCAGGCAGCATGCAGGGACAAGGGGTAGAGGGCCCAGGTGTCGGGTCTGGGGCCTGTGAGGGTAATGGCACTTGGAGGTGAACCTGAAGCAGGGTACAGAGGCGGCACTAGGTTCTGCTCTCTATGGGCCAAGTCAGCCCCTGGGGCAGCCAGGTGAGACAGCTGAGGTTTAAGTGAGACTGGAGCTCAGAACAGGGGTGGGAGAGTGGGAGGTGAAGGGCTGGGTTGGGACTGCAGGCTTCCCATGCTGAAGGGCAAGGCCCAGAGAGAGAACCCCTGGGGACGATCAAGGGCTTCCCTGGGACAGGGTGAGATGTGGAAAGACCTAAGGTGCAGTGCTCAGGAGGCCAGGTGGAGAGAGGGTGGCTGGAAGGAGCAGGTGGAGGGAGGCACCAAGCTGCAGACATTCCATGAGAGGAAAGTGGGAAGTGTGGCCATTGCGTTCACCAACCAGGAGGAGGAGTTTTAGGATGGGAGAAACACGAGCATGTTCAATGACAGACAGCAGGCAGCAGGCAGGGAGAGGGTGGCCAGGGATGGGTGTGATGGCAGAGGGGTGACGAACCTCAGAGGGCCAAGAGGTGCTGTAGCCAGGCCACTCAGGGCCGGACAAAAGGCAGGACACACCCTAAGTCAGGCCCCAGCAGGGGCCTCATGGCTTAGGCCCTGGCCACCAGGGGAGGCTTCTGTCATAGTCCTGGGGGTGCCAGGCACCCAGCCTGCCCACACTGCTGGGGAATGCCCATGGCCACCAGCCCAGGCCGGCAAGGGCGGCTGAAGGCGGGGGAAGCTGGCATCACTCCCTCACTCTGGTAGAGAAGGCAGTGAGCAGGGTCCCACTCATGGTCGGGAAGGAGAGGTGCCCACGGGGCACCACTTCCACAAGCCCAGGCCCTCTGGCGGTAACATGGAGGCATCACAGGGCCTGGGAAGGGGTGGGAGTGTAAGAGCTGGGACCAGCACAGCCAGACAGCTGCAGGACACACCCATGAGTGTATGTATGTGTGTGTATGTGTCTTGTGTATACATGTGTGCACAGGTATGTCCGTGTGCGTGTGTGCGTGTGTGTATGTTGCGGGACAGACCCAGAGAAAGGAAGGTCCCTGCCTGAGGTCATCAGCTCCTCTTGTTCACCACACTCATCCCACTGCCCGGCAGAGGCCCCGCGTGTGGCTGGCATGGAACCATGGTTTTCCATGAACGAATGAGCAAACAAACGAGCCGCTGAAGGAGCACATGGAGTCACAGCCTCCCTCCCTCCCTGGGAAGCCAGCAGGGGACACAGACTGGAAGACAATGCAGCCGAGAGCCCAGCATGGACACAAACCACGAGAAAGGCATTCTCTCGTGTGCTCCACAGCCACGGGTCTCGCACAGCACTCCTCAAGGAGGCTTCCACCGGCAAGTCGTTTGGGAAGCATGGCTTATGCCGCCTGCCTCCTGGAGATTTGCAGCACATCCTAGCATGCTAAAGGCTCTGAGAAGTTCTGCAGCAAATATTCCATTCTAACTTTGCTCCCCCCAGATGTCAGAAGATCTGCCTGCCCTCTTTGCCTTTTAAGTCACACACACTAACCTTCTGCAAAACTGCAGTGGCATGGGACACACTTGGGAACCTCAAAGAGGTTCCTTGGTATCCTCCACAGATTGGACCTGACCTGGTGCAGGGGCCAGGTGCAGCCACCCAGGAGCATGCACGGGACTTGGCCAGCAGGACCAGCCCCCACAGGAGAAAGTATGTGTGTTTGCTGTGCCAACGTTGGCGAGACGAGCCCCTCAGCGGAGCAGCAGGCTTCGGGCAGTGAAGAGGAGGCTGGCACTTGGGCCTTCTCCTGGTGCAGCAGTGGTTTCTGCACAAGGCAGTGATGTGGTTGCCAACACCCTAGACCAGCACCATCCAATCCAGTGGCTGCCAGCCACAGGTGGCTACTTACGAGTGATTGTAAATTCATCAAAATTTTAAAAATTCAAGTTTGGTTCCTCAGTTACACTCTCCATATTTCAAGAGCCACATGCGGCCAGTGGCGACTGGACTGCACAGAGCAGGTCTGAGCATTTCCATCATTGCAGAAGGTTCCACAGGGCAGCACCGCTCTAGGAGAAACCACCCATCAGTGGCCAAGGTGAGAAATAAACAGAGTGGGTGGGGCGGACTAGTGGCGGGTCCCTGGGTGAGGGGAGGAGAGGGAAGAGGGCCTGGGCTAGAGCAGGCTCTATGTGGTCAGAGGAGGTGGCAGGTAGGAGGAGCTCAGGGCACCACCAGGTGACATCTGGAGATTCACTTTCTGACCAACACTTCCAGGGATAGCCCCCGAGGGAGCTGTGGGTGGGGCAGGTGGGGGGTGCTGCACTGCTGACAGATACCTTCTCTGGGACATGCAGCATGCCACGGTGGGACTGCCCAGATCCAGCAGGTCAGGCTCCCTGATAGTCTCGCCCTGGGCAAGGGCACTGTGGGTGAGGCTAGGACTGGGGTGGACAGGCTCAGAAGTTCCCCAAACTGGTCCAAGTCTGGGTTCTGCCACTGGCTATGTGAATTTAGAATTCACTTCTCTGTGCCTCTGTCTCATCTATAAAACAAGGCTTTGGATGAGGACTTAGAGGTGGAAACCAGTCAGAGAGGCCTGTCCTCCTCATCTAATCTAAAATCCCCACACCCAGCCAGGCTTGGTGGCTTACATCTGTAATCCCAGAACTTTGGGAGGCTGAGGTAGGCGGATTACTTGAGGTCCAGAGTTCACGACCAGCCTGGCCAACATGGTGAAATCTGGTGTCCATTAAAAACACAAAAATTAGCCGGGCATGGTGGCAGGTGCCTGTAATCCCAGCTACTCAGGAGGCGAGGGAGGAGAATCTCTTCAACCCAAGGGGTGGAGGTTGCAGTGAGCCAAGATCGCACCACTGCACTCCAGCCTGGGTGACAGAGTGAAACTCTGTCTCAAAAAAATAAAATAAAATACTCCCACCTGGGGCCCCCTGGAGCCCACACCTTGGCTTCATCTTCCCAGATAGCACTTCTCTCCCTGAGGCTACAGACTGTCCCGATTAGCATCTATCTCCCTCAAAAGGATGCCAGCTCCAGGAGGACAGCACGCGTCTGCTCACTGCTGTGCAGACAGTGCTGAGGCCATGCCTGGCACACAGTAGGTGCTGGCCATGCATGCCGTTGATCCCCTTTTCTGGCTGGTGCACCAGAGCCCTTCTCCTGACAGAAGCCACCTCACCTGCATCATCCCAGGAGAGCCATGACTGACAAGGGCCTGTAACAGCCAGGCCACATGCTTCTGGGCAGGGCAACCCTGTGGTGACATTCACGCCCCAGAGATCTCCATGGAATCAGGCTGAGGCCACACTTCCAAATCCACATCTGTGCTCAGCTGCTCACTCTGCCCGCTCCCCACTGCCTGTGCCTCTTGCAGGGTTCATCTGAAATCGCCTGCACCATCTCAGACTCTGCTTCTAGGGATGTGGTTCTCAGACCAGCAGCATCCACAACACTTGAGAATGTATTAGAAATGCAGATTCCCAGTCTCTACCCAAGACAACATGGATCAGAAACTCTGGGAGGGGCCCAGCCATCTGCTGGAACAAGCCCTCCAGTGTTTCAGATACTTGCTGGGGTTTAAGAGCCACCATTCTAGGGAGCCCAACCTAAGGCAGTGCTGGGTGAATGAGCACACTATGTGAGCATGGGAGGTCTGCCCCAGACTGACGCCACCACCCGCCAAAGGGCATGGCCTGCATGTAGCCAGCTATCAGGGCCCCCATACCTCGTCAGCCTCTGTGGGACTCCACAGAGAGCAGGACATGACTGGGGCTGGCCATATCTCTGGGACCTACTGCCCCATCTACTCAGCTCCACAAGCCTTCACCTTCCAGACACCTGGTTTCCTCAGGCGGACCCGCTGCCCTCAGGTTCAAACCAAGAACTGCTCTCAGGGAAGAGCTAGGCTGTAACCCCTCTAGGGCGCCCACTGCTTGCTTTAGGTGGGTCCTTTCTACCAGTAGAAGGGGAGCAAAAGCAGAGAAGGGGAAAACACGATCTCTCAGTTGATGCACAAAAAGCCTTTGACAAAATTCAATAGCCTTTTGTGATAAAATCACTCAACAAACTAGGAACAGAAGGGAACTCCCTCAACATGATAAAAGGCGTTAAAAAATTTAACCCCACAGCTGACATTATACTCAATGGTAAAATATTGAAAGCCCTCTGTCTAAGATCAGGAACAAGACAAAGATGCCTGCTCCACTACTGCTATTTAACATAGTACTGGAAGTTCCAATCAGAGGAATTAGGCAAGAAAAATAAATAAAAGCCATCCAAATTGGAAAGGAAGCTACCTCTCTTCACAGACGGTATGATGTTATATATAGAGGATCCTAAAGAATACACACACACACACACACACACACACACACACACACACACACACAACTATTAAAGCTAAGAAACAGGCCAGGCGCAGTGGCTCATGCCTGTAATACCAGCACTTTGAGAGGCCGAGGTGGGCAGATCACGAGGTCAAGAGATCGAGACCACACTGGCCAACATGGCGAAACCCCATCTCTACTAAAAATACAAAAATTAGCTGGGCATGGTGGCATGCACCTGCAGTCCCAGCTACTTGGGAGGCTGAGGCAGAAAAATCGCTTGAACCTGGGAGGCGGAGGTTGCAGTGAGCCGAGATCATGCCACTGCACTCCAGCCTGGTAACAGAGAGAGACTCTGTCTAAAAAAAAAAAAAAAAAAAAAAAAAAGAAAAAAATGCTAAGAAACAAATTCAGCAAAGTTGTAGGATACAAGATCAACACAAAAAAATCAGTTGTATTTCTATACAACTGATTATTGTATATACCAGCAATGAACAATCTTAAAAGGAAATTCAAACAATTTCATTTATAATAACATCGAAAAGAATAAAATGCATGGGAATAGATTTAACCAAGAGGTGCAAGATTTGTCCATTGAAAGCTACAAAACATTGCTGAAAGAAATTAAAGACATAAATAAACGGAAAGACATCCCATGTTCATGGATTGAAAGACCGAATATTGTTAAGATGGCAAAACTCCCCAAAGCAATTTACTCAATGCAATTCCTGTCAAAATCCCAATGGCCTTTTTTGCAAAAAATGGAAGTTGATGCTATAATTCACATGGAATCTCAAGGGACCTCAAACAGCCAAAACGATCTTAAAAAAGAACAAAGTTGGCTGGGCACGGTGGCTCATGCCTGTAATCCCAGCACTTTGGGAGGCAGAGGCAGGCAGATCATGAGGTCAGGAGTTTGAGACCAACCTGACCAACATGGTGAGACCTCATCTCTACTAAAAATAGAAAAATTAGCTAGGCGTGGTGCCGGGCGCCTGTAATCCCAGCTACTCGGGAGGCTGAGGCAGGAGAATCACCTGAAACCAGAAGGCGGAGGTTGCAGTGAGCCGAGATCGCGCCATTGCACTCCAGCATAGGCGACAAAGCGAGACTGCGTCTCAAAAAAAAAAAAAGAACAAAGTTGGAGGCCTCACAATCTGGAATTTCAAAATTTGCTCCAAAGCCACAATAACCACAGTAAGCCACAGTAACAGTACCAAAATAGTGTGGTATTGACATATAGATCAAATGAATAGAATTGGCTGGGCGCAGTGGCTCACACATGCCTGTAATCCCAGTACTTTGAGAGGCCGAGGTGAGCAAATCACTTGAGGTCACGAATTCAGGACCAGCCTAGCCAACATGGTGAAACCCCATCTCTACCAAGAAACACAAAAATTAGCCAGGCATGGTAGCACACGCCTGTAGTCCCAGCTACCTGGGAGGCTGAGATGGGAGAATTGCTTGAACCCAGGAGACGGAGGTTGCAGTGAGCCAAGATGGAGCCACCGTACTCCAGCCTGGGCTGTCGAAAGAATGCAACCCTTTCTTAAACAAACAAACCAAAAAAATGAATAGAATTGAGAGTCTAGAAATAAATCCATACATCTATGGCCAGTTGATTTTCTACAAAGGTACCAAGACCATTCAACAGGGGAAAAACAGCCTAACAAATGGTGCTGGGATAACTGGATATCTGAGTACAAAACAATGAAGTTGGACTTGCCTCACACATATACAAAAATTAACTCAAAATTTATCAAGGCCTAAATATAAGTGAAAACTATAAAACTCTTAGAAGAAAACACATGCGGTAAACCTTCATGACCTTGGGTTTGGCAATGGATTCTTAGATATGACACCTAAAGAAAAGGAAAAAAAGATAAATTGGACTTCAGCAAAACTAAAATTTTTGTGCATCAAAGGACACTATCAAAAAAAAGACAACCCACAGAATGGGAGGAGTTATTTACAAATTAAATAATATCCAGAATATATAAAGAACCCTACAACTCAACAAAAAGACAAGCCAATTTTAAAAATGGACAAAGGACTTGAATAAACATTTCTCCAAATGACATATACAAATAGCCAATCAGCACATGAAAAGATCCTCAGTGTTAATTAGCCATTAGGTAAATGCAAATTAAAACCATGAGATACCACTTCACATCCAGTAAGATGGCCACACTGGGGGGGAAAAAAAAAAACACCAGAAAATAACAAGCATTGAAAAGGATGTAGAGAAATTGGGACCCTGGTACATTACTGGTGGAAATGGTGCAGCCCCCGTGGAGATCACCTTGATGGTTCTTCAGAAAATTAAACAGAATTACCATGTGACCCAGTAATTCTACTCCTAGGTGTATACCCCAAATAACTGAAAACAGGTATTCTAATAAATACTCGTATGCACATGTCCACAGCAACACTACTCACAATAGCCAAAAGGCCTATAAACTAATGAATGGATAAAAAAAATGTAGTGTTTTACAATGGAATATCATTCTGCTGTGAAAAGGAATGAAGTACTGATACATGCTACAACACAACACAGATGAATGTTGAAAACGCTGTGCTTAGTGAGATAAGCCAGACACAAAAGGTCACATATTGTATGATTCCATTTATATGAAATATCCAGGATAGGCAAATCCATAGAGAGAGAATGCAGGTGAGTGATTACCAAGGGGACTTGGGGGGATAAATGGGGAGCAAGTGTTTAAAGGACACAGGGTTTCCTTTTGGAGTGATGAAAATGTTTGGAACTAGAGATGATGGTTGCAGCACTTTGTGAATGGACTAAAGGCCACTGAACTGTACAGTTTAAAGTGGTTAATGGCGAATTTTGTTATGTAAATTTTACCACAATTAAAAAAAATTTTTTTTTAAAGGAGAGAGGAGCCCCTCAGGGAAGAGAAGAGAGAGTTGGAGACCAAGAGGAGCTCACTCCCCTAGAGACTCTCCAGGGTCCCTCCAGGTGCTCCATGGAGCTATGGTCTGTGTCTCCTTCTCTCCACACTATACTGGAACTCATGACAGATAGTTCTGCCCTGGGATCTTTGCACTTGCTGTTTCTTCTGCTTGGAATGCCCTTCCCCAGATGACCACATCACCCACTCCCTCACTCCCTTCCCACATGTCACCTGTGATCACAGGTAGTAAGCCCTTTCCTGACTCCTGATTTAAAACTGCCATCCTCTCACCAGCTCTCCCCACCCCTTTTCTGCTGTCCCTTCCTTTCTTCACGACACTCAGCACCATCTAACATATTATCTCATTACTTAATTATTACATTTATTGTCTGACTCTCCCACCTAAATGCCAGCTCCAGCAGGAAAGGGATGTGGTCTTTTGCTCCATCCCATCCCTGCAGCACCTAGATCACAGAGTGGTGCCCTCTGAGCACTTGCTGGATCCACGTGTTCTGAGCACTGTCCAGTGCAGAGTGCACAGGGGCAGGATGTCAGATGCTGCCCAGCACTAACCGACACTCCATGGCAAACTGTCACCCGAGAATCAACCAAAGGCAAGAGCCCAGTGCTGGGGCACTGGGGAGCTCAACAGCTACCCTCAGAGGGGCCAACCCTGGACCTTGCACACAGCAGGAGCTTGATAAACATGGGTTTCCCTGAATTGACATCTTGCAAACGTCCAGCTCCTGCTTCTCCTTCAGTGCCCTGTTTATTAAGTATCAAAGGCCACACCAGTGCAGAGTCAGGCATGAGCCCCAGGCAGGGGTTGGGGGTAGAATGGGATGAGGCAGGGGAGACGGTGGATGTTACACAGCACACACAGAATGACCAGGGAAAAGCAGCCTGAGAAACCTGAAGGACTCTCTAGGGCACTCTCTGGGCGCCCACAGCAGAGGAAGGAGAAAAGAAACATTGCAGACATCTGCAGGGAGGTGGGAGATGTTCCTGAGCTGCAGCCTTAGGTGCCAGATGATGTCTGAAACGGGCTTGGGTCCCACCTGGGCAGCAAGGGCATGTCACACCATATCACCCTCCTGCTGAAAACCCCCTCGTGACTGTCCAAGGTCCCTGGAACAACATATACACTCCTCCCACGGCCTGCAAGACCTTGTGTGGCCTGGGGCTCTGGCCTCCCTAACTGCACCGTGTACGAGCCACAATGTTTTATTCCCTTCCATCCGGCCTCCCAAGCATTCTTCTCCCCTTTGGAAGATCAAGTCCCCTCCACCCTCCAGGCCTGGGATTCTGAAACATTCTTCCTTCAAAGCTATACATGAGGGCCAGGAGCAGTGGCTCATGCCTGTAATCCCAGCACTTTGGGAGGCCGAGGCAGATGGATTGCTTGAGGTCAGGAGTTCGAGACCAGCCTGGCCAACATGGTGAAAACTCCGTCTCTACTAAAAATACAAAAATTAGCCGGGCATGGTGGCAGGTGCCTGTAATCCTAGCTACTTGGGAGGCTGAGGCAGGAGAATCGCTTGAACCAAGAGGCAGAGGTTGCTGTGAGCTGAGATCGCACCACTGTACTCGAGCCTGGGCAACAAAGCGAGATTCCTTCTCCAAAAAAAAAAAAAAAAAAAAAAAACACCTCTACATGAGTATCACCTGCTCCTTTGTTTAGTCTCAACTCAAACATCACCTCCTCTGTGAGGCCCTCCCTGACCATCCAATTACCCTCTATTTTTCACTTTCTTCATAGCCCTTGGTGCTCTCTAAAATGCTCTTGGGTGGTTGCTTCCTTAATTTTAATCTTCCACGACTCAAATGCAAATCCATGGTGGCAGAGAGCCCTGCTGTCTTATTCTCTCTGTACAGTTGGCATTCAATACAGATGTGTTGAATGACTGACTACTTCTTCATCTTTTTCTTTTTTTTTTTTTTTTTTTTTTGAGATGGAGTTTCACTCTTATTGCCCAAGCTGGAGTGCAATGGCGCAATCTCGGCTCACTGCAACCTCTACCTCCCAGGTTCAAGTGATTTTCCTGCCTCAGCCTCCCAGGTAGCTGGGATTACAGGCATGCACTACCATGCCTGGCTAATTTTGTAGTTTTAGTAGAGACAGGGTTTCTCCATGTTGGCCAGGCTGATCTCAAACTCCCGACCTCAAGTGATCCGCCCGCCTCGTTCTCCCAAAGTGCTGGGATTACAGGCATGAGTCACTGCACCCGGCCTACTTCTTCATCTTAATAGGTGCCGTAGAAACCATCATGTTTCTCCTTTTGTTCTGACTGCCAGGGAGCTCCAAGCCAAATATGCAGCTGGATCACCATCTTGGTTAACTTTTTCAGTGGACATACCTGAATTCTCCTCCTACCCTCAACCTCAGTTTTCTACTTGGGACTCTACCTGTTAATACTTTTATTATTTTTTTTAAGAGACAGTCTCACTCTGTCATACCAGCTGGAGTGCAGTGGTGCAATCATAGCTCACTACAGCTTCAAACTCCTGGGCTCAAGGTCTCCTGCCTCAGGCTCCCAAGTAGCTAGGACTACAAGTGCATGCCACTACACCCAGCTATTTTGTATTATTATATATCACATAGTAAGCTGCTTTCAGGCTTTTGGGGGACCAAGGCCAGGCATGCAGCCTGCCCAACACAGTTCCCCTGAAGGCCCCTCAAATGGGTGGGGCCCTGGAACCTAGGCCCCCCACCCCCAGCCTGGTTCAATCACACCATTCTGTTTTGGTTTCTCCCTGCCCCAGCTGAGCGCCTCCTGTCCCTTCCTTCCCCTCACCCTCGGGACTCTGGCAGGCATGTCCTCCTGGCCCAGCCCTAGGCTGTGGACTGTGACCACGCATGCCTGGGCCCCAGGAAACCAGGGCAGCCAAGCACTGGGCTTCCTGCCAAGGCCTCACACCCCTCTCTCTCCCAGGAGCCAGGTTTCAACCTCTTCCTGGTAATCTTTCATGTGCTCACACTGTCGTGGCCCTATCTAGAATTCTCACACCTCAGGCTGCGGTTGGGGAGCAGGGAGGCAGCAGCCCTGACTGGGAACCTAGAAGACTGGACTGGATGACCTGCCAGGGGTCTCCCCAAGGCCCGGCCAACTTCCCAGGTGACCTTGAGCACAGCCTCTTTCTGGACCTAGGCTTTTCCACCTGTGGAGCAGAGGGGCCTGCTGGCCTCAGGCATCCACTGTGGCTCTGAGTCTAAGGTGAGCTCAGCCAGGGAGCCTGGGGGTCAGGGCTCCCACACTCTTGGGGCAGATAACCTGAGGCATCCCTGACCCCACCCCCACCAAGGCAGGCTGGCAGTACCAGATTCCAATGCAAGCCCCCGCCCCAACCTCCCCTCTGTTCCTACAAAGAGCACTGAACTGAATGCCTCAGCCCTCAGAACTTCAGCCACTAATAGGAGCTGTGTCCTTCTCTGGAAAGAGGTCACAAGCAGGCAGCCAGTGTGCCCAGTTTGGTCTACAGGTGGGCTTTTACAATCTTATAATGAGTGCCACATTAAGAAATCAGGGCCGGGTGTGGTGGCTCACCCCTATAATTCCAGCTACTTCGGAGGCTGAGGCAGAAAAATTGTTTGAACCCGGGAGGCGGAGGTTACAGTGAGCTGAGATCGTGCCACTGCACTTCAGCCTGCTCAACAAGAGCGAGACTCAGTCTCAAAAAAAAAATCAGGAAATGTCACTTAATAATCTGGATTCCTGGCTTCTCTTTGAAGACCAGGTGCTCTGGCCATGCCGGGCCCACAGTGGAGCTGAGGAGCCGCCCCTTGGGAAGGGGCAGGAGTTCACCTCAGACTCTACCACCGGCCCTCCCACTTGTTTCTCTTCTCTGCTGAGCCCTGAGGGTTTCAAATTAGTTTTTAGACCAACAATTTTCAACAAAACTTCAGCAGAAGTACTTAGACCAGAGTCTTAAACTTCAGCCCAATATAAAAAATAGGGTGGGTGCGGTGGCTCACGCCTGTAACCCCAGCACTTTGGGAGGCCGAGGTGGGCAGATGACCTGAGTTCAGGAGTTCGAGACCAGCTTGGCCAACACGGCGAAACCACATCTCTACTAAAATACAAAAAAAATTAGCCAGGCATGGTGGCACGCGCCTGTAATCCTAGCTACTCACTCAGGAGGGTGAGACAGGATAATTGCTTGAACCCGGAAGGCGGAGGTTGCAATGAGCCGAGATCACATCACTGCACTCCAGCCTGGGCGACAGAGTGAGACTCCATTTCAAGAACAAAAACCAACAAAAAAATGAACAAACAAACAAACAAAATAGACCAAAGTGAAAGAGCTATGTATGGTTGGAGGACAGGGGCTGGGGTCTCGGAGGCGTGTCGACAGAGCACAGCTTGAAAGTCATAATGTAGAAGCCTAAAATTCTATGAAGGCTTTCATACGCCCTGGAGAAGGGGAGGACACCACCCTCAGAGTGGCCTGGCCCAAACTGAGGTCTGCCTTTTTATGACCTCTCTCCTTCTCTTGGGGACCACAGACTCCCATGTTCCTCCAACACTAGGGACATGAATGGGTGCCCTGTGAGACTTGGCTTCCCCAGGCTGAGTCACCTCCTGCCTCTGGCCACTCCTGGCCAGCAGCCCCCTGCCCCAGGCCCGCAGCCCCCCAGGCCCGACATCCTGTACCTTGAGCTCATTAAGATAGCGCCTCGTGTGCACCACCAGCAGGTCCTCCTCCGAGGCCTCCCGCGCCTCCACCAGCATGCTGTCAGACAGAAGCTTCTCTTCTGAAACCACAGAGGGAGCATCCTGCTTCCCCACTGACCTCAAGGCCAGGGCCAGCCCCAGACCCTCCCACAGGCTGCAGACTTGGCCTGTGGCAGCCCCTGCCCCAGGGGTAGGTAGGCACTGCTGGCTTGTGGGCCTTCTGAGAAGGGGTAGCCTCCCCAGCCACTGTGGACAGTGGCCAGTCCCTCTGGCCAGGGAGCAATGAACATCGTACACACAGCAATCCCCATGTTTCCCAAGCCACTGATAGTCACAAGGAGAGCTCAGGTGTGCTAGACAACCTTCAGGAGCAGGTGGCACAAGGGTCAGGGATGTTGACCCTCAGAGTGAGAAAAACTCTTCTTAGGAATTCCCCCTCCACCTTCCCCCCGCCCTTTTTTTTTTTTTAATTCATTTAAAGAGACAGGGTCTTGGCCAGGTGTGGTGGTTCACGCCTGTAATCCCAGCACTTTGGGAGGTTGAGGCAGGTGGATTGCTTGAGCCCAGGAGTTCAAGACCAGCCTAGACAACATAGTGAGACCGCATCTCTACAAAATATCAAAAACATGAGGTGGGAGGATCACTTAAGCCAGGGAGGTTGAGGTGGCAATGAGCCTTGATTCCGCCACTGCACTCTAGCCTGGGTGATGGGAGTGAGACCCTGTCTCAATAAATAAATAAACAAATAAATAAATGCAAGACAAGGTCTTGCTCTGTAGCCCAGGCTGGAGTGCAGTGGCACAACCATAGCTCACTGCACCCTCGAACTTCTGGGCTCAAGTGATCCTCCTGCCTCAGCATTTCAAGTAGCTAGGACTATAGGTGCATACCACCACCCCCAGCTAAGTTTTTTATTTTTATTTTGTAGAGACAGGATCTTGCTATGTTGCCCAAGCTGGTCTCAAACTCCCGGCCTCAAGTGTTCTCCTAGCCTTGGCCTCCCAGAGTGCTGGGATTACAGGCACGAGCCACTGCGCCCGGCCTCCCTCCACCTTCTGATGATATTACAGGAGGCTCAGTGTGGCATGGCCTCGCAACACCTGCCTGTGCTTTGCTCATCTTCCGTTCAAACCACTAATCAGTCTCACAGCCTGCAGGCAATAGTAACCAGCCTGGATTGAATTATACTGTTGTTTTCATTGCATTTACTTTTTTACCATGACCTATTTATGGCAAGTGAAACTGCCTTTTCCCATTTTGATGACATAATGTTTCCTTTTAAAACAAGTTTAAGTGAATTTCCCACCTAAATCAGGCCCCTTGATTACAAACCACAGTTAAAACGATATGCTCTTCGAAGCATCATTTTGCTCAAGGGGATGAGCCCTAAAGGTAGGGCGCCTGGAGCTCTGAGTTCCAAACCCAACTCCGCCTCTTGTAACTGTGTTACTTCAGCCACTAATGGGAGCTGTGTCCTTCCCTGGAAAGAGGTCACAAGCAGGCAGCCAGTGTGCCCAGTTCGGTCTACAGGTGGGCTTTTACAATCTTATAATGAGTGCCATATTAAGAAATCAGGGCCGGGTGTGGTGGCTCACGCCTGTAATTCCAGCTACTTGGGAGGCTGAGGCAGAAAAATTGTTTGAACCTGAAAGGCGGAGGTTACAGTGAGCTCCTGAGCCTCTGCTGCGATTGTGGTGCCTACCCCGAGGGCTGCTGTGAGGACTGGACTGGAATTGGGTGCACATGTTTCCTAATCATTCTAGGACACAATTTCCCCCATCTGTAATCAAGAGAGGTGCGGTGGAGGTGCTCTACCTCCTGACTCTCTGAACCTTAGGAAATGGACTCCTCCAAGCTTCACCTTCCCTGTGCCCATCAGTAATCAGCTACCTTTCCACTAGGCCTCTTGGGCAGAGGCAGGACTTAGGCCCACAGGATGGGGAGCCAGGGAGAGTCTGAGTCAGGGACATCATATCGTGATTAGGAGTCTGTGTTGGAAAAATCATTTTGGGCGGAAGCATGGGTGGAAGGCCATCCGAGGGCTGAAACTGAAGATGGGAGAGAGCCTGAGGCTTATGTTGGGGATGAGGACGGAGAGGACAGGTGGGTTGGAGGAAGCAGATGAGAGTCCAAGGGGGACCTTCCATACCTTTTAGGAAATTGATCACTTTGCCCCATTTTCCGGCATCAAAGGGATGCAGCTTCTCCAGGCCCATGAAGGTGATGTTGTAGCGCGGCGAGTACACGATTGGCCAGCGTGTCTCTGGCACATGCTGGTACAGCTGGGTTGTGTGTAGCCTACCGTGTGGAAAAAGACAGACGCACAGCTGGGGCAGCCTCGGCAGAAAGCAGCTCCCTCCCGAGCCCGCCTGGACTGACCCACCAGCCATTGCCCAGCACCACTAGCCCCTCAGCCGCAGACAAGGGCCCCTCAACAACAGCTGCTTAAACTGGCTGCCTTTCCCGGAACCCAATTCCAATCCAGTCCTCACAGCAGCCCTGGGGGTAGGCACCACAATCGCACCAGAGGCTCAGAGAGCAGACCAGGTGTGCCCAAGGTCACAGTGCAGGTCTGTGGAGAAGCAGGCGTGCACTCAGGTGTGTCTGGCTGCAAGGCCTCCGCGCATCACCTCTGCACCGTAATAAATGCCCCCACAGCTGTGTGGCACAAGGCTTCGGCTGCAAAATGTGTGGCTGTTGTGAGGACTCAGAGAATGCAACTGAGGAGCTGAGCACAGTAAGCACTCAGAAACCCAAGTCGGGACCCAACCTGAGCCAGGGCGGGGGGCGGGGATCCCCTGACCCCGCTGCGCTGCTAACCCTTCCCATCACACCCTGGCAGTCGTCACCCAGAGACAGAAATCCGCCCCAGTGGCTGCCTCCGTGGGGGCGTCCGCGTAGCCAGGGGGCTGGGCAGCGCAGACGTCAGACCCGCGCACATCGCCCGACCGCTCCGGGTCCGGGCCCAGGCCCGCGGCCGGCGCGCGTCCCTCGGGCCACCGAGCAGGGGCGCGGGGCTGGCCTGGCGCGCCGGGAGGGCCTGGAAACACCCGTCCCGAGCGTCCCTCACCCCTCACCAGCAAATCTGGGCCCTTACCTGGCGCGCCCGCCCGGCCGTCCCCGCCCTCGCCCTAGCGCGCCCGCCCACCGGGACCCCTGGGAGCCCACCCCCGCCCTCGCCCCGCGGCACTCACATCCCGGGGCCGGCCCTCCCAAAGCTGGCCGCAGCTCCGCGACCGGGCGGGGCGGGGCGGGGCGCGGGTGGGGCCAGCCCAGGACACGCCCCCGGGCTTAGCCGCGTCCTCTGGGGGCAGAGCTCTGGCCGATTTGGCCCGCCCCGCCAGTGTTGCGACACAGAGAGCCTGCCCGCAGGAAGGCCACCCCCAACGCCCATCAAGCCCGAAGTCCCGCCTCCGCAGGCAAATACCCGGTGGAATCCCGCCTGGTTCGGAAGCTCCGCCCCCTGGCGGGAGGGCCAAGCGGGTTTCACCCCGGCCTCGCGGAAGGGGCGCGACCACCGTATGTCCTGTTCCTGCGCTTCCCAAGCTGGGTAGAAACGGCGAGAGGCTGGGGGTTAGAAACGACAGGTTCCCGGCGGGCTGTGCCGGGGCTTCGCTGTGTGACCTTGGGCTGGCGTCTGGGCTCTCTGGGCCCTTGTTTCCGCGAGTTAAACGTAGGGGCGGGGGAGTTTCTCTGGCCCTGCCGCCTGTGACCTAAGGAGCCCCGTGACCTCTCCGACCCGAGCCCACCCCCGGCCCAGTCTGCGAGCAGCTCCGGGACAAGCACTCCCGGCGAAGACATGTAGGCTCTCAGAGCCTGCGTTTCCCTCTGTAGAGCAGGCCTAGTTACTGTCTTCAGGGTGCACGCGTCTCCGTCCCCGACCCGCACCCTCACCGCCGGGGTAAGCTGAGCCAGGCCCAAGCGACAGCTGGGGTTGTCCGTGGGGCTGCAACCCAGGAGGAGGCCCCAACAATAGAGCCCCAGAGGACGGAGACAATGGGCCTCTCTGTCGGCCCAGCCGTCCCCGCCATCCAAACAGAAGCAGCTGACGGAGGACTGCCGGGCTGGGATCCCTGGGCTCCGCGGGGGCGGCTGTGTGCCAGGGCGGGGCACAAGGGAAGCGCACAGACGTTTGAAGAGGGGCCCCCGTGTGCCTGCCATGATTGCATGATGGCATCTGAGCCTCACAACCTAATCCTGAGAAAGGTGCCATAATCACCCCAACTTTATCTTGAGGGAACTGAGGTTCGGGCCTGGATTAAACCCAAACTCGGCCACCCGCCAGCATAGTGGCTTTGGGCAGGTTGCTTCAGCCTTCTGGTCCTTCATGTCTGCATCTGAAAATGAAGTACTGGGCCGGGTGCGGTGGCTCACGCCTGTAATCCCAGCACTTTGGGAGGCCGAGGCGGGTGAATCACCTGAGGTCAGGAGTTCGAGACCATCCTGACCAACATGGTGAAACCCCGTCTCTACTAAAAATACAAAAAATTAGCTGGGCGTGATGAAGGGCGCCTGTAATCCCAGCTACTCGGGAGGCTGGGGCAGGAGAATCGCTTGAACCGGGGAGGGGAGGTTGCGGTGAGGCCGCGCCATTGCAATCCAGCCTGGGCGACAAGAGTGAGACTCCATCTCAAAAAAAAAAAAAAGGAAGAAAATGAAGTTCTGGTTGCACTTCATTCTCTGGATTTCATGGGCAAGTCCAGGGAATCAAGAGACAATAATGTTGATTATTATTCAGAGACCATCTGTCATGTGCTAAGTTGAAGTCCAAATGCTTTTTGCTTGTCGAACTCTTCTGACAGTCCTAGGAGGCAAACTATTGTCATCCCCATTTTATAGATAAAGAAATTGAGGCACAGAATGGTGAAGTAACTCACTCAAAGGTCAGGGATGTGGGCAGATGTAAACCACAGAAGGAATAAGTACTATTTTATAAAGTGACAGAGTGCATGCAGTGGCCCTGTGGCATTTGTGAGAGACCGACTTCCCCTCAGGGAACTTGCTCTGTAGTTTGGGAAGCCACACAGATGATCCTCTGGTTGGGAGAATGAGGATCTGGGCAGCCTGGACCTGAAGCTGAGGCCAAAGAGAGTGGGATTGGTCTGAATAAGTGGGTTTTTAAATTTTTTTAATTTTTAAATTATTTTTTAAGAGACACAGCCTCACTATATTGCTAAGGCTGGTGTCTAACTCCTGGGCTCAAGCGATCCTCCCACCTTGGCCTTCCAAAGTGTTGGGATTACAGGCATGAGTCACAATGCCTGGCCAAGGGTTTTTAAAATTGTGTCCTGGTAGCTAAAGAGTTAAGTGGTCTGCGGAGGCCCTGGAGCTTGTGAACACCTTCAAACCACCATGAAAGCCTGGGCCAACCGGCCGCATTATCACGTGGGGAAGAAATAAGTGTTATGCACGCTGCTGTGTTTGGGGGCCTCTTTGTTGCAGTATCCTAGTGTGTCTGCTCACTAAGACACAGCACTGGGGACACAGCTGCACAGAGCAGATGAGTTCAGAAAGCCTTTGTCAAGCTAATAGTTTAGTGGGAGAGACAAGCCTTAACCTAGGAAGGAAAATTGTGATTACAAAATGTGGTAACTGCTGTGAAAGGCATAGGCTGAGACTGTGAGAGAGAGAATAATGGGGTCCCTGATTTGGACAGTGGTCAGGGAAGGCCCCTTTGAAGAAATACATTTTTTCACTTTTTAACCATATGTATTTTATTTTTAAATGGCATTTAATGAAACAAGACACTGACTTATTGAACATTGTATACTTAACTGTTTTTCCCCTTTCATGCAATATTGAAATATATTTCAACTTAAAACAAATAAGAAAGTCCCAAATATAACACTTCTTTTGAAAAATACAGGCACGGCTGGGCGCGGTGGCTCACGCCTGTAATCCCAGCACTTTGGGAGGCCAAGATGGGCGGATCACCTGAGGTCAGGAGGTCAAGACCAGCCTGGCCAACATGGCGAAATCCCATCTCTACTAAAAAGTACAAAAATTAGCCAGGTGTGGTGGCAGGTGCCTGTAATCCCAGCTACTCAGGAGGCCAAGGCAGGAGGAGCTTGAATCCAGGGGCGGAAGTTGCAGTGAGCTGAGATCACGCTACTGCGCTCCAGCCTGGGCAACAAGAGCAAGACTGTCACACAAAAAAAGAAAAATACAGGCACGCAAAGGATATTACAGAAATGCACCAAACATGAATTATTGGCACAGATACAATATTTCAAAACACTAACTAATATTAGATTGAGACATCCTATTACAACATTAAAACCATGCCCCTTTCAATTCAAGTGAGCACCTCTATTTCCATTCCAAGACCCTGTGATTTCATACACATTTAACACAACGGTAACAATAACAGTAATGCTAGCTAGTATTTGTTATGCCCTTAATGAGTGCCAAGCTCAGCTAAATATGTAAAACATGTTTTGTTTGTTTTATTGGTGAAGAGATGAGTTCTTAAACAACCAGAAGATACTGCAGGTTCAAAGTCCCGGAGGCCAGAAGGAGCTTGCATTCAAATAAGAAAATATATTTTCTCAAGGAAATATAAGTTGTATTTCTATGTAACTCTATGCACCAGGAGGGCCCCAGCAAGAAAGAGAGGTCTCACTCCACAGGGATTTCTGAAAAAAGTTTAATGAACAGGCCATTTACCTGAGATGTGGGTGAGGTTGAGGGGACCAACAGGAGATGGTGCAGCACCTGGGGTTGGCAACAGAGGGGAGGGAGCTCTCACCCCTAAACCTGAAGGGTCCAGGAGAGGGAGTGGTTTCCTGGAACCAGTGAGAATAGCTAGTTATGGGCCACGGGGAAGCCTGAGAGGAGGTTTGAGGCCACACAGTCACTGCCAAAACTAGGGGTACATGGGGAAAATACCCCAAATTAGCTCTTCTCCCAGCCTCTGATGCCCTGCTGGCACTTCCCATTGGCTGGATCGAACTGGAACCCCAAGATCAAGGAATCCTCTGTGATGGCATCCATGAGGGTCCACTTCGTCGGGGAGCACCGAGCAGGGTGGGAAACCCTGGTGAGTGGGTCTGCAGGTTGGGGGTAAGCAGAGAATGACCACTGATGTTCTGAGCAACCTTGGAGATTCCTCCAGCCTCGTGAGCCAGCTCTGTAACAGGAGTGAGCGGGCTTGAAAAATAACCCTGCCTCCTGTCCCCAGTACTGCCTGCAAAGGTCTTGTTGACCTGGGACACTCACATATCCTGTCAACATGGAAACCTGATACTCACTCTTGGCTATCTCTGCCTACCATCTATACCAAACTGGTGACCGGGTGATGGCCAAGGGGATGAGAAATCACTGCACTGCTAGAGCCCCTGTGAGAGGCCCCAGTCTTGGTCTCAACCAGATGAGTTGAGCAGGGCCTCTGGAGACCAGCTGGGATATCTGGACACCCTGGGTGGGTGAAATCATCACTCCCTGCTCTAGGCTCCTGGCAACAAGTCATTTGCTCCAACTACCAGGACTGGCCCCAAGGGAACTCATTAGTCCACACCATTGCCAATGACAAACCCAGCACACACACTCTGGGGTGTTACCTCAGCTGCACAGATGAAGGGAGACACAGCCCACAGCTACAGGCACACACCCACGGTGCCAGATTCAGATGCACACACAGGCACAGACAGAGATGCACCCTTATAGTGAGTGCTGCCACACCCAGCCCCATGCCTGGCTACCCCTGCCAATCTCCTAGTCTCCGTCTTCCTGATTGTCCCAGGATAAAGTTGGGACACCCCAAAACACTGAGTGTCTTCACTGCCGTGTCCCCTCCCCAGAAAGGGACGTTCCTGGAGCACAGATATGAAAGGAAGGCACAGATATAGATGTGAATCTAGATATACATATGCCAAGGACAGAGTCAGGGTTTGTCAGGCCTGATGTTCATACAATGAGGGAGGGACAGTTCTTTTTAAACAAAGGCCAGGTGTGGTGGCACATGCCTGTAATCCCAGCACTTTGGGAGGCCAAGGTGGGTGGATCACCCGAGGTCAGGAGTTCAAGACCAGCCTGGCCAACATGGTGAAACACCGTCTCTACTAAAAATACAAAAAAAATTTTAGCTGTGTTTGGTGGCAGCTGCCTGTAATCCCAGCTACTCAGGAGGCTGAGGCAGGAGAATCGCTTGAACCTGGGAGGCGGAGGTTGCAGTGAGCTGAGATCGCGCCATTGCACTCCAGCCTGGGTGACAAGAGCGAAACTCTGTCTCAAAAAAAAAGATTAAAACTGTGAATACAAAACTAGAGACCTGGGAAGGAGCCCAACTAAGAGAGGAGCCCCAGAGCTTAACAAGAAATCAGCTTCTGTCGCACGCAGGAAACAGAGAGATAACCCTACAAATACACGTGGGAGCACAAACACAGGCACCCCAGGCTCTTCAAGCCACACACTAACACGCACAGACACCGGCATGCATGCGCACACATGCTCCGCGCCTCAGGCGCTCTCAGGGCAGTCTAGGGAGGCCTCTGTGCACCAACCTTCAGAGAGGCCCCTGCAGCCCTGGCTTAGATCTTAGGCTTCCCCCAGCTGCTTCTACAGCCACAGGCATCTTCTGAGACCCTGCATTTTGTTGTTACAGAGGAGCCAACCCTGCTCCCCACTCCAGCTTTCTCACCCTTCACCTCCGGCCCCAGGACAAGATGAGCAGGAGGAGGGGGAGCTGCCCAACACTCACTAAGGAGTCAGCCTCTGGACCTCAGAGCCAGCAACACCCCCCTGCACTCACACCCCTACCTCATCCTGCTGCCTTCTCCTGAGGAGGGGAAACTGAGGCCCAGAGAGGGAGGGCATGAGCTTTAATTTGAGTCCTCTGGGACGACAGCAGTACCTCATCACATGCACACAGAGAACCAACACACATTTTTCTGGACCGCAGGATATTTTAAAAGGTTTTCTTTTTTAATACAGAAAAGCATAAAGATGAAAATGGCCCGTAATGCTGCCACACAGATAATCCCAGTGGTATTTTTAAAATAAAGTTAACGAATGCCCACGTTTGCAAAATTCAAACCATACCAAAGGATTATAAAATGAAAACTAAAACTTTTTCCATCACAGTCGCTCTCCCCAGAAACGATGTCTCTTTGTTTCCTTCCTGAAGACATTGGCATGCCAGCATTTTTTACCTATAAAAAGAAAATCACTCTGCCCACTGTTTTGGACCTTGCCATTTTTTTCACCTAAAACACATCTCGGCAGATCTTTTCACATCCACGCTGCTAATCCGCCTCCTTCTTTCTAACGGCTGTGCTGTACCCTGTTGTACGATTGTGTTTTCCGTGGGTGTGTATTTACCGTATTTCCAGTTTCTTTGCTCTTACAATGTGCCAGCAGATCCCCGAGGTACCTGAATATACTGCAAATATTTCCACAGGGCTAGGCACGAGCAGAGGCGCCGGGTCAAAGAGTATGTGCATTTTTAATTCTTGGAGGGGCTCTTGGCTCACGTCTGTAACCCCAGCACTTTAGGAGGCAGAGGCAGGTAGATCACATGAGATCAGGAGTTCAAAACCAGTCTGGCCAACACGGTGAAACCCCACCTCTACTAAAAATGCAAAAATTAGCCAGGCATGATGGCCTGCGCCTGTAGTCCCAGCTACTTGGGAGGCTGAGGCAGGAGAATTGCTTGAACCCAGGAGGCGGAGGTTGCAGTGAGCCAAGATCGCGCCATTGCACTCCAGCCTGGGCGACAAGAGCAAAACTCCGTCTAAAATAAATAAATAAATAAAAATTCTAGTAGAGATTGCCAAAATGCTCTTCAAAAAGATGGCATTCATTCACACTTTTAGCAACAATTATGAATTTGTGTCCCTAGACTTTTAATCAATTTTGCCAATCTAAGGTGTGAAAAGTCCCATCTCAGTGTTTTTAACAGGTTTATTGTGATATGATTCACATACTATACAATTCACCATTCAATGGTTTTTAGTATAGAGTTGTGCAACTATCACCATCAATTTTAGAACATTTCGATTGCCCCCAAAGGAAACCCTATACCTTTTAGCAGTCATTACCCATTTCCTCCCTCCCGGCATCCACTGGAAGCCATTAATCCACATTTTGGATCTATAGATGTGCCTATTCTGGACGTTTCGCATAAATGCAATTGTATAATATGTGGCCTTTTCTGGGAGCAAAGGGGCACAGGAGCTGCTGTGGTTGGAGCGCCCGGTGCCTGGAGCCTTGGTGGTTCACACACTGCTATGCGATTGGGCACAGAAGGCCCACAGAGCAGAACTTGATGTCTAGCTCTCCACCCCCATTCAACCTTCCTGGTCAAATGCCTGCCCAAGCTTGCCTGCTGTGAGGGAGGAATGGGGCTGACTTTATGTCCTGTGTCATCTTCCCTAACCTCAGCTGGGTCCCAGCAGGGTGACTGGGCACTGCTTCCTGGTCCTGCAGGGTTAGCATGACTTTAAGGGGTTTTTTCCCCCTTCTTTTTATTATGGAAAATTCCAAACATATGCAAATGTAGAGGGAAGAGTATAAGTGAGCCTTGTGTACCCATCATCTGGCCTCAGTATTGATCAGCTCAATAATGATCAGCTTGGCTGGGCGTGGTGGCTCACACCTGTAATCCCAGCACTTTGGGGGGCCAAGGCAGGTGGATCATTTGAGGTCAGGAGATCGCAACCAGCTTGGCCAAAATGGTGAGGCCCCGTCTCTATTAAAAACACAAAAAATTAGCTGGGCGTGGTGGTGCGCACCTGTAATGCCAGCTACTTGGGAGGCTGAGGCAGGAGAATCACTTGAACCTGGGAGGGGGAGGTTGCAGTGAGCCGAGATCGTGCCACTGCACTCCAGCCTGGCGACAGAGCGAGACTCCGTATCAATAAAAAAAAAAAATGTAAAAAAATAATGATGAACTCACAGCAAAACTGTTTGATCTGTATCTTCTTCCATTCCCACCTCTGGCCCCTATGGTGAAGCATATCTCAGGTAACCTATCCTGAAATTCATCTTTAATCACTACTTTTTCCATACCAGAGGACGTTTGTGAAAAGATGACATGTAGCCATTTAAGATAATGAGCACCCTAGAGCCTGCAGTTTATGACCTGTGGACACACACTTCTCAAAGCAGGAATTCATTCACATACAGACCTTTCTAGTCCCACAAGTTGAGATAAATATGAGTATGTTTGCCAGCCGCAATGGTTCACGCTTGTAATCCCAGCACTTAGGGAGGCAGAGGTATGAAGATCGCTTAAGCCCAGAAGTTCAAGATCTACCCAGGAAACACAGCGAGATCTTGTACTGCACAAAAAGGAAAAAAAAAAAACAAAAAGAGACAAAAAAGATACGTGAATATGTTTATATGTGTATATTGATACACATACATTTCTTCATGTTAAGGAAATATGTGTCTATTCTGGTTCTACTAAGGACTTTCTTTAATCAAGGAAAGGATGTTGGATTTTGTCAAATAACTTTGTTTTAATCTGTTGAGATAATAGTTTTCTCCCTTTGATTATTTAATATGACATATTATAGTAATAGATGTCATCTAGTGAGCTCTTTTTACCTTCTTAAGGTGAACTCCGTGAGGCCATTTAAAGAACTACCGAATTCAATTTGCCAATATTTTATTTTGGATTTTGGCAATGTATATGAGATAGGTCTCTACCTTTAATTTGTATCCTATGTTGGTAGAATTTTGGTATCAGTGTTAATATTGGATTTATAAAAATAAATTAAATCATTTAGTGTTCTGGAAAAGCTTAAATAACATCTGCATTTTTTGCTCTTTGAAGTTAGAAACAATTCTCCCACAAAACTATGTGGGCCTGGAACTTTTTGGGGGAGGTTTTAATAGCTTTCTCAGTTTCTGGGAAATGGTAGATTCAAATGGGGTCTTCACATATGCTCTTCCAGCCACCACAGCTGTCCCTGCAACACTCTAGCTAACCAGCTCCTTCTTATCCTTCAGGCCTTGGGGTAAATGTCACCTCTGTCTTAGTGTGAGCTCCCCAACAATGAGGCCCTGAGACACAGATTTGATGCAAATGGTTCATTTGGAAGGTGATTCCAGAAGTACTGGTGAGCGAGTGAGAGGGGGTAAGAAAGGGACAGAAGGGAGCCAGTACAAGGTATGTCAACGAGCAGAAGACAGCTGTGGGTGCGCAGGGCTCCGGTGGCTGGAATATTCATCCTCTAACTCCTGTCCATCATTTGCTGAGGGCTACTGCCAGGGATGTTAAACCCCCACAATTCTGATTTGCCTCACACTGGCCAGGCACGCCCCTGAAGCCAGAGGAAGCCCACAGGCTGAATCACAGGGACATGCAGTCGGAAGCCACCAACAGTGAACGCTGAAGGGTGGGGACTGCATGCCAATAACTGTGCTACGTGACGGGAGAGGTCTTCCCTGGCCACCAAATGTAAGCAGCACCCCTCCACGCCTGGTGTTCTCCATCGCTGCATCCTGTTCTTGCCCTTCAGAGTATTCACCAGACTTTGTACCATTACCCATGCGTACACAGACATATTTGTTTACTCACCTGTTAACTCACTTCCTCCACTAGGTTGCAAGCTCGAAGAGGGCAGAGGTGACATCTCTGTTTACTGCATGTACCCAGCACAGTGCCTGGCACCAATCTGCATCCACTAAACATTTGTGCCTGGATGAACACAGCCTGCATGGGCTTCATCTTCATTATTTGTTCTTATGTCTGTCTCCACCACTAAGTGTGACCTTTCAGAGCCCAGCATCCAGATCCAACCTGCCTATGGGTCCAGACCTAGCTCAAGACCTTAAAGACTGGCCGGGTGAGGTGGCTCACGCCTGTAATCCCAGCACTTTGGGAGCCTGAGGAGGGTGGATCACTTGACGTCAAGAGTTCGTGACCAGCCTGGGCAACATGGTGAAACCCCATCTCTACTAAAAATACAAAAATTAGCCAGGCGTGGTGGCAGGTACCTGTAATCCCAGCTACTGGGGAGGCTGAGGAAGGAGAATCATTTAAATCCGGGAGGTGGAGTTTGCAGTGAACTGAGATTGTGCCACTGCACTCCAGCCTGGGCGACAGAGCAAGACTACATCTCAAAAAAACAAAAAAAATAAAAAAACAAAAAACACACACACAAACAGAAAGAAATGTGCTTCATGTTACTCCCACCTGAAAAGTTTTCCCAGCTAATGGAACCTACACCAGAAGCTGTGTGAAATAAGCCATCCATGGACTGGACATTGCAGCTTCAGTGACAAGTAGGAATGAATTTGGCAACATGGGAGGGTAAGGGAAGCATTTGAAAATTTAACAAGATTTGGCCACCAGTGTCTGAGTTTTAACTGTAGTAAAAACCAGCCAGGCCGGGCGCAGTGGCTCACGTCTGTAATCCCAGCACTTTGGGAGGCCGAGGCAGGCAGATCACCTGACGTCAGGAGTTCGAGACCAGCCTGGCCAACATGGTGAAACTCCGTCTCTGCTAAAAAATACAAAAATTAGCCAGGCGTGGTGGCAGGAGCCTTAATCCCAGCTACTTGGGAGGCAGAGGCAGGAGAATCATTTGAACCTGGGAGGCAGAGGTTGCAGTGAGGTGAGATCGAGCCATTGCACTCAAGCCTGGGGCACAAGAGCAAGACTTCTCTCACACATACACACACACACACACACACACACACACACACACAAACACCAGCCAGGCACGGTGGCTCATGCCTGTAATCCCAGCACTTTGGGAGGCCGAGGTTGGCCGATCACCTGAGGTCAGGAGTTCAACACCAGCCTGGACAGCATGGTGAAACCTCATCTCTACTAAAAACACAAAATTAGCCAGGCATGGTGGCGGGCACCTGCAATCCCAGCTGCTCGGGAGGCTGAGGCAGGAGAATTGCTTGAACCCAGGGGGCAGTGAGCCAAGATCACACCAGTGCACTCCAGCCTGGGTAAAAAAAGAGCGAAACTCCATCTCGAAAAAAAAAAACACAAAAATCATGAACTTTACCATATTAACCATGGGTAAGTATACAGTTCAGTAGTGTTAAATATCCTTGTGCAACAGGTCTCTAGAACTATTTTTTCTTTTTCTTTTTCTTTTCCTTTTTCTTTTTTCTTTTTTTTTTTTTTTTTTTTTTTTTTTTGAGATGGAGTCTCACTCTCTTGCCCAGGCTGGAGTGCGATGGCACAATCTCTGCTTACCGCAACCTCCACCTCCTGAGTTCAAGTGATTCTCCTGCCTCAACCTCCTGAATAGCTGGGATTACAGGCACCCGCCACCACCCCCTGCTAATTCTTGTATTTTTAGTAGAGATGGGGTTTCACCATGTTGGTCAGGATGGTCTTGAACTTCTGACCTGAGGTGATCTGCCCACCTCAGCCTCCCGAAGTGCTGGGATTACAGGCTTGAGCCACCACGCCTGGCCCTCTGGGACTTTTTTATCTTGCAAAACTGAAACTGTCTTCTCCTTATACACTAACTCGCTCTTTCCCCTCCCCTTTGCCCCGGCACCCCCCATTCCATTTTCTGTCTATGAAATTGACTGCCCTAGGTACTTCATGTAAGTGGAATCACACAGTATTTTTCCTTTTGTGACTGGCTTATTCACTTAGCATAATGTCCTCAAGATTCATCCATGTCGTAGCTTAGCTCAGAATTCCTTTCCCTTTTAAGGCTAAGTAATATTCCATCATATGAACAGAGTACATTTTCTGTATTCATTCATCTGTCAATAGACATTTAAGTTCTTTCCACCTCTTGGCTATTGTGAATAATGCTGCTATGAACATGTACGTGCAAATATCCATTGGAGTCTCTGCTTTCACTTCTTTTGGACATGTACCCAGAAGTGGGATTGCTGGATCATATGGCAATTCTATCTTTAATTTTTTTAGGAACCATCATACTGTTTTCCACAGCAATTATACCATTTTGCGTTCCCACATCAGAACAAGGGTTCTATTTCTTCGCATTCTTGCCAAGAGCTGTTATTTTCTTTTTTTTTTTTTCAATAGTGGCAATCCTAATAGTGTGACATTTCACTTCCTAATAGAAGTGACATTTCACTGTGGGTTTTTTTTAATTTTTTATTATTATAAATATATTTTTGAGACAGGGTCTCACTGTGTCACCCAGGCTGGAGTGCAATGCAGTGTCTCTATCCCAGCTAACTGCAACCTCCACCTCTCGGGTTCAAGTGATTGTCCCACCTCAGCCTCCCCAGTAGCTGGGATTACAGGCGTGTGCCACCACTTCCGGCTAATTTTTGTATTTTTTGGTAGAGACGGGGTTTCACCATATTGGCCCAGCTGATCTCTAACTCCTGACCTCAGGGGATCAGCCCGCCTCAGCCTCCCAAAGTATTGGGATTACAGGCATGAGCCACCACGCCCAGCCTTCATTGTGGTTTTGATTTGCACTTCCCTACTAGTTAGTGGTGCTGAGCACCTTTTCGTGTGCTTGTTGGTATTTGTATATCTTCTCTGGAGAAATGTCTATTCAAGACCCTTATTCATTTTTTATTGTGTTGTTGTTAAGTTTTAGGACTTCTTTATATATTCTGGTTTTTGGCCTCTTGTCATATATATGATTTGTAAATATTTTCTCCTATTCTGTAGGTCGCCTTTTCACTCTGTTGGTTTTTTTGAGGTGAAGAAATGTTTAAGTTTGATGTAATTCCATTTGTCTATTATTGCTTTTGCTGTCTATCCTTTTGGTATCCTATCCAAGAAATTATTGCCAAACCCAATGTCATGAAGATTTTCCCCTGTGTTTTCTTCTAAGGGTTTTATAGTTTTAGCTCTTACATTTAGGTGTTTCATCCGTGTTAGCGTGTGCTTTCATTATTTAAATACACTCTGCATGGTCAAGCAGTCTGTAGTCTGCAGGGAAATCATTGAGACTCAAACTCGGCCAAGGTTAGGCCTAGACATGGTTCTCTTCAGGTTATTGGATGATGGGGCTCATGAAGCTTTAGTGGGCTCTGGGCTCCTTCCCAGCACTCGAGGACATGCCCACTGGTCCCCATCTTACAACATTCATTGTCCTTATCATCTTTGATGTCACCAGCCTCTCATCACACAGGTTTGCATCATATTGATATCAGTGATGAGGCCCATCTGCTCAAATGCTGCCGGGAAGATGGGCCAGGAGTGATGCTCTTTTTTAAGCTGAGAAAAATAAAGCTTCCAGGCATTCTCACGTAGCAAGCATGGCTCTAAATGCAGAACCATTTCCACTACACTGAAGTTATTTCTCTCAGAAAAAAAAATTTTTAATGGATGACATGTAAGGACCCATCCTGGGAAAATTGAGCTGAAAGGAAGAATGTAAGAGAAAGCTTAAATCATTGCATATAAAAGGTCTTCCTATCTATTTTGTTTGTAGAAGCAACAAAACTGGAATGGACCCAAATGCCAAAGGATAGGGAAATAGTTAAGCCAACAAGTAGAGTACTTTGCAGTTAAGAGAAGTTAATTCCCGGATGCCTCCGAGGAAAAGGAGAAATGTGTATCTTAACCAAGAAAACTAAGTGGAGCCCAGGTTTATAAGTAAACACTGACCCTTGTTACTTATAAAAGCCACACATAGCATGCTGGTCAACTGCCCACAGGCACTCGGGTCCACTTCTGCCCTGCCCTTGTCCTCTGGCTTCTTATTCAGTCAGTGGCCACTGGTGCTGGAACGCTAGAGGGTGAGAAGAGAGGATAAAGCAGGGCATTTCTCCCCTGGGTGCCCTTTGACATCTCCAGCAGAGGGAGGGTCTTCTCCTCTGTGGCTTCAGCTCTGCCTTGTCCCCCTGGGAACTTCGGTGGTCCCATCGCCTACCAGAAAGACCCTTCCTACGGCTCTAGCTCCTACGGGGCACCCCAACTCCTGGGTCACACCTATTACCTTCTCTTTATTCCTAGGAATGGGAGTGGCCTCCTGCTGAACTAATCCCTCTAACCTCACTGCCACTGCCTCCACCACCAGAGCAACCAATTCCCTGTATTAAATTCCATGAGAGAGCTTTGTGTTTTCCTGGCTGGCTCCAGGCTGATACTTGCACTAAGGGATAAAAATAAGAAGTGTGTTTGTTTGTTTGTTTTGAGACAGAGTCTTGCTCTGTTTCCCAGGCTGGAGTGCAGTGGCTTACTGCAACCTCCGCCTCCCGGGTTTAAGCAATTCTCCTGTCTCCACCTCCTGAGTAGCAGGGACTACAGGTGCGTGCCACCATGCCCAGCTAATTTTTGTATTTTTAGTAGAGATGGAGTTTTGCCATGTTGGCCAGGCTGGACTTGAACTCCTGACCTCAGGTGATCTGCCCACCTCAGCCTCCCAAAGTGCTGGAATGAGCCACTGTGCCAGGCTGCATCCTCGGCAGATGGGAATGTGATCTCCGTGACAACCAGCAAAGACCACTCCTGAGGCCCAGATGGTACCGAGGATACCTCAGTGGAGGCTACTGACCCCTCCCACCCATGACTTAGCACCACATTTAATCCCTGGAGAGTGTAGGCGCATCCTAGAAATAGGAAGAAGGGAAATATTGAGTTGCCACCCTACAGGAATAAGATCTGGAAAGAGAAATTAAGATAGGATATAAAAAATAAAGAAAGGTACGATTTGTGCGCAAATTAGTTTATAGACTAGAATTCAAATCCACTACAACTGAGAGAATAATTGGCCTTCAGTGGAATGCAAAGAGGGTGATAAAGACACTAGAATGCAGTGGAAAATGTTCCAGCATTGGAGGGAAAGAATCCTCCCACTCCCTGGAATTGCCCACTTTGAAGTCAGCAGGGTCCTTCAATATTAAGCAGCATGACCCCTCATTTCATAGTCAAAAAAAACAGATGTCCAGGGAGGCTCAATAGCTGGCCTGAGATCTCACAGTCAGCTAATGTGGGGAGCAAGAACCCGAGCCTGTGGTTTTCTCTGCTACACTTGGGTGGCTGCTGGGTCTTGCTGCAAAGACCCAAATTGCTTCTTAATTGGAGTCTCCTGCTTAATTAGCTGCTTCCTGAGCAGCCCGTGCTCCCTGTCTGGAAATCTCAATCAACACCATCTTCTCTAAATTGCTGTGACCTCGCTCTTCTCATCTCTTCCATGCAGGGATTCACTTCTTGGTTTTGCCCAGTGGGACAGCTGGGGAGAGGATGGGCCATGTGGACAGCCTCTGCAGAGAGAAAGCAGCTGTTCTTACCACCATGCCTGCTCCAGGGACTTCAGAGGGCTTCACAACCACCCCAAGAGGGTTGGGACTGGGGAACAGGAAGACTGGGTCCAATCCTGGATTTGCCACTAACTCCCCGTGTGATCTTGGGAAACCTCTGTCACTCTAGGGGCTTCAGTGACCATTAAATTACGGTTTCTCCTCTAAATTAGGGTCACTAGGCTTAGCAAATAAAAATGCAAGATACTGAGTTACATTTGAATTTCAGTAAGCAACACCATTTTTTAGTATAAGTGTGTCCCATGCAGTAAGTGTATTTGAGATATACTTATACCAAAAATTTTTTTTGGTATCTGAAATTCAAATTTAACTAGGCATCCTGTATTTTATCTGACAATCCTACCCCACATGGAAAAATTCTGTTCCATCTGCTGTGCGGAGGCAGCCTGATGAAGCATACACAGCACAGCTTGAGGGTGAGGCAGTCCTGAGTGTGAATCCCAGAACTGCCACCCAGCCTGTGTGATCTTGGGCAAGTCAGTTCACCTCTCTGAACCTCAGTTGCCCAGAGTAGAAAATGGATATATTAATCACTGACTGGTCATCTCTCAGGACTAATTAGTTCTCTCTCAAGACTAGCGAAAGAGACCGGAGGCAGTGGCTCACCCTGTAATCCCAATACTTTGGGAGGCAGAGGCAGGAGGATTGCTTGAGCCTAGGAGTTTGAGGCCAGCCTGGACAGCATGGGGATACCCCGTCTCTACCAAAAAATACAAAAATTAGCCAGGCATGGTGGCACAGGCCTGTAGTCCCAGCTATATTCAGGAGGCCGAGGTGGAAGGATCCCTTGAGCCCAGGAGGGCAAGGCTGCAGTGAGCCGTGATCATGCCATTGCACTCCAGACCCTGTCTCAAAAAAAAGATTAGTGAAAGGACATAATTTAAATCCCTTTATAGACTGCAAAGTTTGCAATAAACTCGAACATTTATTAAGAACCTGCTATAAGCAGGTTATACAACACATTCTACCAAATATTATGGGAAATAGAGATAACAGTGCAATTGGAAAGACATTTGTAAGAAAAGCCCAAGGCTATCTATTTTTCACAGAATCCTTCCATAAAGTGAAATCCCATCAAGAATCTGAATTTGGACTGCTACGAACTGATAAGGAATTTGATGCTTCAGGAAAAAAATTTGTGCAGTCTTGGGAAACAGTCATGCCTGGGCTTGACGTCAGAAAGAGCTGGAGCGATTCCCTTAGACCGACTGGACTTTCACGTTCCCACCGACAGGTATCCCATTTGGGAGGAGACCTGGCTGATCTAGGGTGATCAAAGTCATCAGCTTAGGTGGAATCTTTCTCACCTTGACTTGGGCCTTGGAGATGCCTCTGCGGTCAGGGATGAGCAGACTTCATTTGGTTCCCACCATCCAGAACCCTAGAATGGTGGGAGTCGGTGGAATTGCCAGCCCAGCACCTGTCCTCAGGGAACCAGCTGTTCCCCTCAATCCAGGAGGTTCTCCAGGGGTGGGCATTTAATCCACACGTGGCCACCACAGAGAGTCAGAGACAGGCATGTGAGGAAGACAGGGTCCCAGCATTGTTTGAGCTGGGCCTGAAGCCAGTTCTCCGAGTCAGTAAACTCTGTACCAGTTTGAGCTGGATTTTCTGTCACTTGCCACTGATGGACACATTACTTCAATATGCTCCCTGCTTGGCTAGCCCCAAAGAGAGAAAACCGCATGAGTTAAAGTATGCAGGGAAAGCTTCAAACAGAGAGAAAAGCCACCCAGGGGCTCAGCCCAACGTTTGCGAGGGATTCATGCACGATTTTCACACAATCAGCACCTACTCTTGGTGATGACGGGCAGTCTCCACCTATGTTTAGGACCCAAAAGCCACACTTTTTTGGGCAACTTGAGTGGGGCTTTAGTGGATGTGCTGTCTTCCATGTCCTCCCCTCCTCACCAAGCTCACCCCTCATGATAGCACTAGAGGCTCATCCTAAGTTAGCACCCCCCAACCCAGCTCTCTAGTCCAGAGCATCCCCACCACTATATACATCAGCCACACTCTCTAATCCCCAAGAAACAGGCTGTGCTTCCAGCCTCCCCACCTGGCCTCCTCCTATTACCTCTGCCTGACATCCTCTCTGTGCTGTTCACCCCCATCTTGAATTTGTTAAATATCTACAGGAACAAAGCTCCTGGTCGCCCCTCAGAACCATGTCCCTGTTTGCCCTCCCCTGATTGGCGCTTATCCCACTCCGACAGCCTCCAAGAGCCCTTGGTCTGAATCTCAAATGGAGGGTATTCTGCCATGTCTTGGGTGGGAGGGCCCCAGCCTGAGTCTAAGCTGAGTTTGCCCCTGGGGAGCAGAGCATCTGATGAGCCAACAGGGCTGGGAAGAGGTCACTACGTGGCCATTCTCTACTCAAAGCTAAATATAGGCTCTCTCTGAGCTTCAGTTTCCACATTTATAAATAGCAGGCAGGAAAGAATACTACCTGCCGTGTGTAGTTATTATGAGATTAAATGGCATAACAAATCCATGACTACTATGTCCCACATTACCAGTTACTTGCTGGAATTATATGGTCATTTAACTTGCAGCAAATCAGACATTGAAGGTGGAGGGGGATTGGCTTTTTTTTTTTTGAGACAGAGTTTTGCTCTCGTTGCCCAGAAGGAGTCCAATGGTGTGATCTCGGCTCACTGCAACCTCCGCCTCCCGAGTTCAAGCAATTCTCCTGCCTCAGCCTCCTGTGTAGCTGGGATTACAGGCATGCGCCACCATGCCTGACTAATTTTGCAACTTTAGTAGAGATGGGGTTTCTCTGTGTTGGTCAGGCTGGTCTCGAACTCCCAAACTCAGGTGATCCGCCTGCCTCAGCCTCCCAAAGTTCTGGGATTACAGCCATGAGTCACCACGTCCGCCCTTTTTTTTTTTTTTTCTTTTGAGACAGAGTCTCACTCTGTTGCACATGCTGGAGTGCAGTAGTGGTGCAATCATGGCTCATTGCAGGCTCAATCTCCTGGGCTCAAGTGATCCTCCCACACCAGCCTCCCAAGTAGTTAGGACTACAAGTGTTCACCACCATGCCCAGCTAAATTTTTTTATTTTTCATAGAAACAGGTCTTGCTACATTTTTGAGACTGTTCTCAAACTCCTGGCCTCAAGCGATCCTCCCTCCTTGGCCTTCCAAACTGCTGGGATTACAGGTGTGAGCCACCGCACCCCGTGCAGGTACGACTATTATGAACCCCTTAGCCTTCCCCTTGTTCCCTCCATTCAGACTAGACCTTGGTCTTCACTGTCCCAGGGCAACTAGACCATAGCCAAGCTGAAAAGAAGAAAAAGTTATTTTTAGCTTTTGAACTCCCAAGGACCCTAAATTCCATTAATTCAGGGCCGTTTAAGGAATTTTCACAGGCAAATTGACTATAATGTAAATTGGGTTTAGGCTTTAGCACCTAAACTTCACATAAGGCAGAAGTCCCTTTACATCTCCTTGAGCCTCCTCCTCCAAAACACTGGATTTAGGACCCTGGGGGCTCACTCAGTGCAAAGGGGCCAGCCAGTCCAGGTTGCTAACGTCAGGCGGAGGGGCCCACCCTCAAAGTCTACAGCCTTGCTGCTGCCACAAGAGGGCGCTGCAGAACACCGGCGCTGGGAAGTCTGGGGGACCTTCCTCCTCTGCCAAGGTGACTCCCCCTGGCGGGAGGCCCGAACAGCTCTAGGAAGGTAAGTGTGCACGTGGTGGTCAAGGCCCATGGGGGACAAACCTCATTGTTTACCGTGACGGCTGCTGTGATGATGGGTAATCATTTATTGGGTGTTGCAAGTGTACAATTAGAGAGACTTGAGGGTTTGGTTTTAAGTAAAACAAGTGGTATTTTACTTCTTTGTCTAGGTGAACTAAAAAAGTCACTGTAGAGCAAATTGTGATTTTGAGAAGAGTCATTAACTGGCTCCTCCGAGGTAAATACAAGCAAGTGTGGAGGGGCACCCATGGCCTTGGGAAAAGGAGATTGTAATGGGACCTGCCAGCTACTCAGAGCTAGTGGCTGGGGAAAAGTTGGCAGTTTTGCACTGGGGTCAAATTACCTCTTGGACACAAAGTAATCAAGATCTCAGCCCATTCTCCTTTGAGATTCCACTATAGTAAGCCTGTCTGACCGATTGGGGTGTTTGCGAGAATGGACTTCTAAAGCCACCAAGAGAGAAATCACCTTGGGACATAGAGACTCATGCTCAATGCCAGCTCTTTGTATGTGGAAAGGGGAGCTATACATTGTGCTCAAACTAGTAACCCTGACACGGTGTGCACCATCTGGGGGCAATGGCTGAACATGAGATTATAAACCAAAGCCAGAAGCCGTGTGGGCAGCACTGTGGCCAGCCTCAGGGTCCAAACCAGTGAGAGCATTAGCACAGCCCCAGGTTGCATGGGACTGGACATAAGTCATTGCAGCCAGAAACTGTGCCCTGCTGGAGGCTTGGTCCAGTTCCTTCATTAAGAATTCCTCTGGCCAAATCCCACTGCAGCCTTTGCTGCCGCCACAATGCCGAAATGAAAGAAGCAGAATCAGCACCAGCCCCCGCCACAGCAGCAGCCCCCACTGCCCGAGAGGGAAAAGACTGGAGCTGACGAGGATGGGAGTCCCATCGGATCACCCAGCCTTCTTGAGCCTCCCACCATGGCCATTGGAAAACCTGATGACCCTAAGTCAGCTCCTCACAGAGGTCCTCCAGGAGCAAGGGGACCGCTGATTCTACCGCTGCTGAGCCTCCCACCTCCTCCTCAGGGTAGAGGCCCAATGCCAGGAGGCCTTGGCCCCAGGCCTAGCCCATATGATTGTAGTTGGTGGGGAGTCAATGCTGAACCTCCTTTTCCGGCGCCAGGCCATGGGGGTCCCGCCTGGCAAAGCCTTCACAAAGAACAGAGAAACCCTCAAAGGCTCGAAAGCCGGTCTCTTATCAAGAATACCAGCCCACTAGGATGACCCCCAGGTTATGGAAGACAAATCCCACCACCCAGTCTGTGGACATTTTGCCAAAAAGGACCACTGTCAATATGAGGACCTCTGTGCCTTCCACCACCCAGGCATCAATAGCCCTCCTCTGTGAGACTGTGTCCTCCCATCCAGGGTGGAAGGAGCCATCTGTAACCAGCGGCCATGTATTTCCCTGTGGCCCTGTGATGGCTACTATGAGGCTCTTCCAGCACTCCCAGCCAGTGACACACCCACCCTATCCGCCCCTTCCCCCGTGTGGGGTCCAGAGTTGTGCTGCATCACTGGGGCGAGGTGCACACACTTTCTTCTGACACAGCCTCTAGAGACTTGCCTTTGGGACCAATCCTTGCTCCCTTCAGCTGCCTCCTGGATCTTCCCCTTGTCAAATGACTGCTGAACAGGAAACCTCTTTGGGGCTGTTTTTTGTGCATCTGTCCACCTGTTCCCAGTATTGCCCTCCATTCCTGAGAGCCCTGGAGCAGTTTCTACCCTTCCTTTCTTCTAGCTGCTTGTTTTAAGTCCTTTTCATGTGACACCCCTTACTCCCAGTGTTGTCAGCTGCTCATGGAACTCAGCCAGGTTGTTTAATCTGGGGTCAAGTTTGAGTGACTGATATAGACTTACTTCCTAAAAGGCCACTCTCCCTGCATTTGGATTTCGTAGTTTCTCTGTCGGTAGCACGATCCCCACCGCTACGGCCTTTGATCACTGTGCTTTGTGAAACTCTGCATCCCCTCACAGCCTTTCTCAGTGTCTGTAGCATGTCTGTGACTTCCCAACAATAGAGTAAGTTTTTCTGCCAAAATGAGTAAGGCTCTTGGTGCCCTCTAGACTTTCCACCTCCCAACATGGGGGAATTGTGACCTCTCCATCAGACTGCCTCCTTGGTCCTCCCCATTCTTCCCATTCTTCTCTTGGTGTTGGTCATTCTGGGTCTGACACATGCCCATGAGACGTCTTAAAAAGCCTCGGGTGGCTTTACCCTACCTAGATCCTTTCCAGCTCATTTTAGTTAGACTATGTCATTGGGAGGCCCCCAGTCCTTTCATTTGAATTCTGTGAATCTCCACCTTGCTTATCTTTGGGTGGAACGTGGAAAGTACTGTCACCCTCTTCCAACCCTCTTTCCCTACATCCCTGGCACTGATTGTTTTCTGTGAAAATGGCAGAGAACAGGTTAAGTTTCGAACTGGCCCTCAGGAAATGGGTCAGGAGTTGAATGGGCAAGAGGGAGGGATGAGAGCTGTTGGAGAAATGAGAATGAGTTTTTGTGTGTGTGTAACTTTTTTTATATATTAGTAATAAATGCAGTGAAAACAAACAAACAGAAAAAAGAGTTCTGGGTCTGAGCACAGTGGCTCCCTCCTATAATTCCAGCACTTTGGGAGGCTGACGCAGGAGGATTGCTTGAAGCCAGGAGTTTAAGACCAGCCTGGGCAAAAATAGCAAGACCCCTTTTCTGCAATAAAATAAAATAAGAAAAAAGTTAGCTGGGCATGATGGTGCACGCCTGTAGTCCCAGCTACTCAGGAGGCTGAGGTGGGAGGACATTTGAGCCCAGGAGTTCCATACTGCACTCCAGCCTGGGTGACCGAGCGAGATCCAGTCTCTAGTAAAAACTTTTAAAAAATAAAAAGGAGTTCCTTTCAATTGCTGGAGTGAGTAATTCCCCAAAGCTGTCCCAAAATTTGGGAAGAGAAACAATACTTGTCTAGTATGTGCAGTTTCAGGCCTGTTGTAATTTGCAAAATTCGAGGTGAGCTCAACTATCCCCCCAAGCTGCTAAATAAATCACAAGCAAGTTTCCCTTCATTTTGTCATTATTGTCAGTGAAGGCCCCATCCTTTAGACTCAGCACCTACCTGGGGCTTCTCTTTTCCTTTTCATGTTTACTCCCAAGCCTGTGGCTGTGACTGCAAAGCCATGGGCCTGATTATCGGGATAAGGTTTAATTGTCTCCCATTTAAAATGAAAAGAGTAGACTTGGCCAGGTACACATCTTAGATAATTAATTCCAATTTTTTTTCCAGCCTCAACATGCAGACAGGAGCATGAATTCATCCTCAATTTAAAGGTGATGCCAGGTGTGGTGGCGCTTGCCATAATCCCAGCTACTCAGGAGACCAAGGTGGGAGGATCGCTTGAGCCCAGGAGGTCAAGACTACAGTGAGCCACAATCACGCTACTGCACTTTAGCCTGGGTGACAGGAGGAGACCCTGTCTCTAATAAATAAGTAAATGAAAATAAAGTTGAGGTCACTGATGCTTGAAGAGGTTAATGCAAACTGGGAATGTCCCACAGTTTAGGATCCAGTTGTGGTGGATCACTTGCAAAAATGGTCCCACTCTTCCGCCGGTGATATCCATGCCTGTTTTTAAATTTTCTTTTCATTTTGGTAAAATATACATAACATCAGTTTAGCATCTTAAACATTTTAAAAGTAATCCTGTCTAACTGAACTGAAACTTTGTACCCTTTAACCAACATGTCCCCATTTTCCTCTCTGAGGCATTTTTGTGTCCACTTCAGCGGCGTGAAATACATTCACATTGTTGTGCAATCATCACCACCATCCATCTCAGAATGTGTTTATCTTCCCAAACTGAAACTGTTCCCATGAAAACACTAACTCCCATCCTCACTCCTCCAGCCCCTGGAACCTACCATTCCACTTTCTGTCTCTGAGTTTCACTATTCTAGGGACCTCATAAAAGTGGAATTGGCCGGGCACAGTGGCTCACGCCTGTAGTCCCAGCACTTTGGGAGGCCAAGATGGGTGGATCATGAGGTCAGGAGTTCAAGACCAGCCTGGCCAATATGGTGAAACCCCGTCTCTACTGAAAATACAAAAATTAGCCGGACATGGTGGCACGCACCTGTAATCCCAGCTACTTGGGAGGCTGAGGCAGGAGAATCGCCTGAACCCAGGAGGCGGAGGTTGCAGTGAGCCGAGATCATGCCACTGCACTCCAGCCTGGGCAATGGAGCAAGATTCCGTCTCAAAAAAAAAAAAAAAAAAAAAAAAAAAGTGGAATCATGCAGTATTTGTCTTTTTATGCTTTTTATGACTGGTTTATTTCACTGAGCTTGTATTTAAGTTTCATCCATGTGGTCACATGGGTCAGAATTTCCTTTCTAAGGTTGAATAACATTCCAGTGTATGTACACACCACATTTAGTTTATCCATTCATCTGTCAATAGACGTAGCAGGCACCTCTTGGCTGTCATGAATAATGCTGCTATAAACATGGGGGTTCGAATATCTGAGGCCTTGCTTTTCATTCTTTTGAGTATATACCCAGAAGTTGAAGTGCTTAATTGCATGGTAATTTTTTCTTTTTTTTTTTGAGACCAAATTTCACTCTTGTCACCCAGGCTGGAGTCCAGTGGCACGACCTCGGCTCACTGCAACCTCCGCCTCCTAGGTTCAAGTGATTCTCCTGCCTCAGCCTCCTGAGTAGCTGGGATTGCAGGCTCCCACCACCATGCCCGGCTAATTTTGTATTTTTAGTATAGATGAGGTTTCACCATGTTGGCAAGGCTGGCCTCCTGACCTCAGATGATCTGCCCACCTCGGCCTCCCAAAGTGCTGGGATTATAGGTGTGAGCCACCACGCCTGGCCAGTAATTCTAGGTTTCTTTGAGGAAGCGCTATACTGTTTCCACAGCACTGCACCATTTACATTCACACCAATAGTGTGCAAGTGTTCCAATTTCTCCACATCTTCGCCAACAGACTGGTTGGGTTCTGTGTTTTTGATAATATCCAGGCTAGTGAGTGTGAGATGGCATCTCATTGTGGTTTTAATTTGCCTTTGCCTAATGTCCATGCCTTTCCCAGTGTGACATGGCAGCTCCTCCCATCAAGCAGTGACATCTGTGGTGGCTTCATGCCTTGTTTTGGTCTTTAGAATGTGATGGAGTGAGGTTGTACTGTGAAAGGAAAATAAGTCTCCCGAAAATCACTAAGCCAGAGGGAAAAGTCAAGCTGGGAACTGCATAGGGCAAACCTGCCTCCCATTCTATTCCTAAATAACACAGCTACAGATGTTTTATTTTATTTTATTTTATTTATTTATTTATTTTGAGACAGAGTCTCGCTCTGTCACCCAGGCTGGAGTGCAGTGGCGTGATCTCAGCTCACTGCAACCTCCGCCTCCTGGGTTCATGCAAGTCTCCTGCCTCAGCCTCCGAGGTAGCTGGGATTACAGGTGCCCGCCACCACACCCAGCTAGTTTTTGTATTTTTAGTAGAGACGGGCTTTCACCATGTTGGTGAGGCTGGTCTCAAACTCTTGTCCCCAAGTGATCCACTTGCCTCAGCCTCCCAAAGTGCTGGGATTACAGGCATGAGCTACTGCACCCGGTCAAGATTTTAAAAAGCTACATACCACGCTTGCAATTTACCCACAAAGAAATTCCTTGAGGACAAAGAACAGGCAATACTCAAAGTCATCCCTCTGCTCATGTGAGACAAATGCATATCTGATTGCTTCCTCTGCCCTATTGGTTCACTAAGCCAGACTAAGGCACGTGACTATTCCTGTAAATTGTGCATTCAGTGAAAGGCTAATCAGAAACTCAAAAGAATGTTTCAAGTTGTCCCACCTTTCTGGGCCAAACCAATGTACATGTTACATGTTTTGATTGATGTCTCGTGTCTCCCTAAACTGTATGAAACCAAGCTGTACCCTGACTACCTTAGACACATGTCGTCAGGACCTCCTGAGGCTGTGTCGCAGGCATGTCCTTAACCTTGGCAAAATAAACTTTCTAAATTGGTTGAGACCTGTCACAGATACATTTTGGTTTATGGTACCCATTACAAACCTAGGCTTTGGGAGGCCCTGCATGCTCTACTCTCACGGGAAATAGAGTGTCATCCACTGCCCTAGGATCAAGCCCAGGCTAGCCTGCTGGAGGGAGGGAGACACGGCACCACCCCAAACATCAGCTAACCAACTGGCAGAGGTGTGTGAGGCTGTGCTAGACCTGCCAGTCCAGCTGAGCTTCTGGATGACTGCAGTGGGGAGCCCAGCCAGGGTCAGCCAAACCTGGCCCAGGGCAGAACCGCTCAGCGGACCGGTAGAGTCCTAAACAATACTAAGTCACTGTTTTCTTAAAGCAACAAAGTTTGGTGCCTTGTTATGCAACAGTTGCTAAATGATACATCAGTGTCCAGCTCCTGCTCAAGGTTTTTTTTTCCACATCCCATGGACAGACTCTCCTGAACTGAGACAAAGCAGGCAAAGCTCTCACCTAACTCCAGGAAGACATCAGAGCAACCCCTTACCTGGTGTGTGGGACACAGGTGGAATGACTCTCTCAGAATCTAATCTTTTTTTTTTTTTTTTTTTTTTTTTTGAGACGGAGTCTTGCTCTATCACCCAGGCTGGAGTGCAGTGGCGCAATCTTGGCTCACTGCAAGCTCCACCTCCCAGATTCAAGCCATTCTGCTGCCTCAGCCTCCTGAGTAGCTGGGACTACAGGCACCCGCCACCATGCCCAGCTAATTTTTTTTGAATTTTTAGTAGAAACGGGGTTTCACTATGTTAGCCGGGATGGTCTCGATCTCCTGACCTCGTGATCCGCCCTCCTTGGCCTCCCAAAATGCTGGGATTACAGGTGTGGGCCACCACACCCAGCCTGAATCTAATCTTAAATACTGCTCTTCATGGGACACCTTTAGTCCAATCCTCCTGTGGGCCTGTAGACCCTCCAACCCCCATCACCCCCCAACCTCCCCTTCCTCCTTAGGAGGCAGGTAGAAATTAACCAAGGTGACTAAAGTCCATGCAGTTCATGTGTGCCCCTTTCCAGAAGATGAATGAAAGTGAGGAAGGAGAAAAGGCTGACACATTCCCCTCAGAAGCCTCTGCTTTCCATTTTTGAGACTCTCCACACGGGGATCTGGGAATCTTTACTTTTTTCTTTTTTTTTTTTTTTGAGATGGAGTCTCTCTCTGTCACCCAGGCTGGAGTGCAGTGGCACGATCTCAGCTCACTGCAAGCTCCGCCTCCCAGGTTCACGCCATTCTCCTGCCTCAACCTCCCGACTAGCTGGGACTACAGGCGCCCACCATCATGCCCAGCTAATTTTTTGTATTTTTAGTAGAGACGGGGTTTCACCGTGTTAGCCAGGATGGTCTCGATCTCCTGACCTCGTGATCTGCCCGCCTCAGCTTCCCAAAGTGCTGGGATTACAGGTGTGAGCCACCGCGCCCGGCCTTTTTTTTTTTTTTTTGAGACAGAGTCTCACTCTGTCGCCCAGGCTGGAGTGCAGTGGCGCGATCTCGGCTCACTGCAACCTCTGCCACCAAGATTCAAGAGATTCTCCTGCCTCAGCCTCCCAAGTAGCTGGGATTACAGGTGACTGCCACCGCACCCAGCTAATTTTTGCGGTTTGAGACAGGGTTTCACCATGTTGGCCAGGCTGGTCTTGAACTCCTGACCTAGAGATCCACCCACCCCAGCCTCCCAAAGTTCTGGGATTACAGGCGTTAGCCACCGTGCCCAGCCAGAATCTTTACTTTCAGTATGCTCCCCAGGTGGATCCAAGCTGCAGTCAAGTCTGGGCACTGTGGTAGAAGGCCAGGGGGAGTTGTGAAAAGTTCAAGCAGGTGAGGCGCCTGGCCTATTCTCTGGAATTTCTAAGCAAGCCCATAATTAGATAAACTAGCCCAGTGCAGTGCAGGGAGTGTCTAGTGGGAAGGGAGAGAAACAAAGTGTGACTGTTTCAAGGCTAAGACTGGAGAAAGGGAGAAAAAAGGTTTTAAAATGCATTTTGAAGCTAAGCTGATCAGTTATGAGATCATGTTGTAGGGTGACCCCTACCCCTGCCCCCAGTGGCCCTGAGCTCACTCTCATAACAGAGTTTCTCCCATACCCACTCCCATCCTCCCAGGTGGAGTTAGGACCTTGCCCCATCCATCCCCCAGGGACTAGACATGCCCTGTGGTCATCACCACCCCACACACTGTCTCCTCCTCTGGCCTGTGGGGTCTATGAAGGCTCCCAGCAGTCAGCCCAGGGCCCAGAACAGGTAGCGCTGGGATCAGGAGCACAAACCCCTGAAGGTGAATAAGTCTCTTATTCACCTTCCCATCCTGCAAACCTTGGGCAAGTGTAGCTCAGGTATTTTGCATTTGTGTTTTCTCATCTAAACAATGGGAATAGTAATAGTACCCACTTAAGGAGGTGTTGGGAGGATTCAATGATAGCCACACACAGGATGAGCTCAATAAATTGGGACAGAATGGACGTGTCCATGTCCAAATGTGTTTAGTTGATTATTAAATTTTCAAATCCAAAAGAATTATATTTTAGTGAAGGTAAAATACGCTGGTCTTAAGTATGTATGTATGGGCTCAATCTCCAAATCAAGATATAGAACCTTTCCTTCGCTGCAGAAATTGTCTCTTTTTAATGAATTTCCCTCCCCACTAGAGGCCACCACTGCTCTTATTTCTAATGTGATCGGCTAGTTTCGCCTGTTACTGAACTTAAAATAATGGAATCTTAGAGTCCACATTCTCTTTGCGTCTGGCATTTTTCCTTCAACAGTGGCCGGCGATGGTGGTGTGAACCTGTAATCCCAGTGCTTTGGGAGGCCGAGGCTCCTGGGACCATCGCTTGAGCCCAGAAGTCTGAGGCTGCAGTGAGCTATAATCTCACCACTGCATACTCCAGCCTGGGCGACAGAGCAAGACCGCCTCTGAAAAACAAAACAGCTATTATGCCTATGGGATTTGTTCATGCCTTCAAGTTTATTAGTAACTACTGAAACTCCATAATCCTTCTTATTGCTGACTAACTAGTATTCATTTTATGAATATACCACAACTTATGCATTCTCCTGTTTTTGTTTTTTTGTTGTTGTTGTTGTTGTTTGAGACAGCATCTTGCTCTGTTGCCCAGGCTGGAGTGCAGTGGTGCAATCTCGGTTCACTGCAACCTCCGCCAGCCGGGTTCAAGCAATTCTCCTGCCTCAGCCTCCCAAGTAGCTGGGACTACAGGCGTATGCCACCACGCCCGACTAATTTTTGTATCTTTAGCAGAGACGGGGTTTCAACATGTTGGCCACTCTGGTCTTGAACTCCTGACCTAGTGATCCGCCCGCCTCGGGCTCCCAAAGTGCTGGGATTACAGGCGTGAGCCACGGCGCCCGGCCGCATTCTCCTGTTGACGGAGATTTGGGTACTTCCAGTTAGGCTATTGTGAACCTGCCCTACTGATGCAGGGCAGGTTCTTGGCTTCCCCAGGAAGACCTGAAGAGCCAGCCGGAGGTAGAAGAAAACAGCTTTGCTGAGGCGGCGCGGCACTATTACAGCTCCAATGACGACTGCTCTGGCACGGCAAGACTACCCCCACAGGAACTGTGCAGAGGGTAGCAGCGTAGGGGCAGTTTCGTAGGCGTATTTAGGTCCACTTTAAAAGACATGCTAATTAAGAGGCGGGTCATTCAGAATTAGCTAGAAAGTGGGCGGGAACTTCCGGTGTTGCCGCGGCAAGGGGCAGTAACTTCCGGGTGTTGCCACGGCAATGGTAAACTGTCATGGAGGTGGTGGGCGTGTCTTATGGAGAGGGGCTTTAAGCGCCTCTCCTCAGTTTCCGCCAGTCTTCGATCTGATCTGGAGTCTGGTCCCGGCTGCCTCCTGCCTTACAGTGAATATTTATTTGTGCTCAGTATTTTTTGGTAACGTATCATTTTACGTGGGTGAGTAGCTAGAGTTGCTTAAGTCATAGAATTTGTTTAACTTTATAAGAAACTGCCCAACCAATCTCCAAAGCAGTTGTACAGTTTCAAACTCACGCCTGCGGGCTGGGCTCAGTGGCTCACGCCTGTAATCCCAGCACTTTGGGAAGCCGAGGTGGGAGGATCACTTGAGGTCAGGACTCACTTGAGATCAAACTCACGCCTGCCGTGTATGGGAGTTCCAGTTGTTCCACAACCTTGGCAGCATTTGATGCCACACTTCATTTGAGATGGTGCTGATAGGTAGGAAATGGTGTCTCATGGTGGTATTACTTTGCATTTATTTGATGACTAATGACTGTGAGTTTCATGTACTTAATGGCCATTCGTAGATCTTTTATGAAGTGTCTGTTCTTTTTTAACCCTTTTTTTTGTTTTCTTTTGTTTTTTTTGAGACAGGGTCTTGCTCTGTCACCCAGGCTGGAGTACAGTGGCCTGATCATGGCTCACTGCAGGCCCAACCTCCCTGGCTCAAGCATTCCTCCCACTTCAGCCTCCCAAGTAGCTGGGACCACAGGCCCATACCTCGACTGCCCGGCTAATTATTTTAATTTAAATTTTTTAAATTTAAAAAGAATTTTTTTTTTTTGAGACAGAATTTTGCTCTTATTGCTCAGCTGGAGTGCAATGGCACGATCTCGGCTCACTGCAACCTCCATGTCCCGGGTTCAAGCAATTCCCCTGCCTCAGCCTCCCAAGAAGCTGGGATAACCATATGCCACCGCGCCCAGCTAATTGTGTATTTTTTTAGTAGAGACAGGGTTTCACCATGTTAGCCAGGCTGGTCTCGAACTCCTGACCTCAAGTGATCCACCTGCCTCAGCCTCACAAAGTGCTGGGATTACAGGCGTGAGCTACCTCGCCCAACCGATTTTTTTTATTTTTTGTAGAGACAGGGTCTCCCCATGTTGCCTAGGCTGGTCTTGAACTCCTGGGCTCAAGCAGTCCTCCTGCTTCCACCTCCCAAAGTGTTAGGATTTCAGGCATAAGCCACTGTGCCCTGCGTTTTTCCATTTTAGCCATCTTAATTGCTATGTAGTAGTAGCACATAGTGAGTTTAATTTTCTTTTCTTTTCTTTTCTTTTTTTTTTTTTGTGAGACAGACATTCATTCTTGTTGCCCAGGCTGGAGTGCAGTGACGCAGTCTTGGCTCATAGCAACCTCTGCCTCCTGAGTTCAAGTGATTCTCCTGCTTCAGCCTCCCAAGTAGCTGGATTACAGGCATGCGCCCCCACGCCCAGCTAATTTTGTATTTTTAGTAGAGACGGGGTTTCACCATGTTGGTCAGGCTGGTCTCGAACTCCTGACCTCAGGTGATCCGCCTGCCTTGGCCTCCCAAAGTGCTGGGATTACAGGTGTGAGCCACCACACCCGGCCCTAATTTGCATTTCTTTGATGACTAATGATGTTGAGTATCTTTTCATGTCACCCATGTGATTTTCTTTTTTTTGAGACGGAGCCTCGCTCTGTCGCCCAGGCTGGAGTGCAGTGGCGCGATCTAGGTTCACTGCAATCTCCACCTCCCGGGTTCACGCCATTCTCCTTCCTCAGCCTCCTAAGTAGCTGGAACTACAGGTGCCCGCCACACCTGGCTAATTTATTTTATTTTATTTTATTTTATTTTATTTTATTTTTAGTAGAGACAAGGTTTCACCGTGTTAGCCAGGATGTCACCCATGTAATTTTCATAGTGAATATCTGCTCAAATCTGTTGTGCATTTTTCATTTTTTACTTTTTTATTTTTATTTTTTAGAGACAGAGTCTCCCTCTATCACCCAGTCTAGAGTGCAGTGGTGTGATCGTGGCTTACTGTAACCTCGACTTCCTGGGCTCAGGTGATCCTCCCGCCTAAGCCTCAGAAGTAGCTAGGAATACAGACATGCACCATTACACCTGGCTAATTTTTTTGTTTGTTTGTTTTTGGTAGAGACAAGAGTCTCATCATGTTGCCCAGACTGGCCTCCTAGTCCTGGGCTCAAGCAGTCCTCCTGCCTTGGCCTCCCAAAGTGCTGGGATTACAGCATTAGCCATACACCTAGCGTGTTGTGCATTTTTAAATTCGATTTTTAAAATTGAGTTTTGAGAGTTCTTTATATATTCTGGATATAAGTTCTTTATCAGGTGTATTATTTGCAAGTATTTTCTCCAGTCTATTTGTCTTTTTATTCTTTTATCAGTGTTTTCAAAAGAGCAGAAATGTTAAATATTGGTAAAGTTCATTTTATCCCATTTTTCTTGCGTGGTTTTGTGACTTAGAAGGCCAGGCACGGTGGCTCAGGCCTGTAATTCCAGCACTTTGGGAGGTGGAGGCGGAGGCGGGAGGACCACCCTGAGGTCAGGAGTTTGAGACCGGCCTGGCCAACGTGGCAGAAACCCCGTCTCTACTAAAACTACAAAAATTAGCCGGGCATGGTGGTGTGCGCCTGTAATCGCAGCTACTCAGGAGGCTGAGGCAGGAGAATTGCTTGAACCTGAGAGGCGGAGGTTGCAGTGAGCCAAGATCACACAACTGCACTCTGGCCTGGGCGACAGAGTGAGACTCCATCTCTAAATAAATAAATAAATAAAATAAAATTTTTAAAAAGGAAGAAATCTCTGCCTACTGCAAGCTCACAAAGGTATTTTCCTTGCTTTCTTATGGAAGATTCATGGTCTCAGCTATTATATATCTCAAATTATTTTTTATGTGTGGATCTGGTTATCCAGTTGTTGTAGGACACTCATTGAAAAGCCTTTATTTCCCAATTGAATCATCTTGTCATCCTTATCAAAAATCATTTGACTGTATGTAAGGGTCTATTGTCTGACTCTAATTTGTTCTGTAGATCTATTTGTCTGTTTTTTGTTTTTTTTTTTTTTCCAAGACAGAGTTTTGCTCTTGTTGCCCAGGCTGGAGTGCAATGGTGTGATCTCTGCTCACTGAAACCTCCACCTGCCGAGTTCAGGCGATTCTTCTGCTGCAACCTCTCAAGTAGCTGGGATTACAGGCGCCTACCGCTATGCCCAGCTAATTTTTTTGTATTTGGTAGAGACAGGGTTTCACCATGTTGGCCAGGCTGGTCTCGAACTCTTGACCTCAGGAAAGTAAGTCCTCCAAATTTATTGTTTTTCAAAATTGTTCTGGCTATTCTAGACTCTGCATTTTCAAATAAATTTTAGGGCCAGGCACGGTGGTTTATGCCAGTAATTTCAGCACTTTGGGAGGCCAAGGCAGGGGATTGCTTGAGCCCAGGAGTTGAGACCAGCCTGGGCAACATGGTGAAGCCCCGTTTCTACCCAAAATAGAAAAAAATTAGCCAGGCAGTAGTGGTGTGCATCTATAGTCCCAGCTACTTGGGAGGCTGAGGCGGGAGGATCATTTGAGCCTAGAAGGTCAAGGCTGCAGTGACCCATGATCATGCCACTGCACTCCAGCCTCAGCAACAGTGAGACCTTGTCTCCAACAAACAAACAAAAATTTAGGATCAGCTTGCCAATTTCTGCTAAATAGCCTGCTGGGGTTTTAAATTGAATTTCTGCTGAAACTATAGGTGAATTTGGGGAAAATGAACATCTTAAAAATATTTAGTCCAGTCCGGGCGTCATGGCTCATGCCTGTAATCCCAGCACTTTGGGAGGCCAAGGTAGGTGGATCACCTGAGGTTGGAAGTTCAAGACTAGCCTCACCAACATGGAGAAACCCTGTCTCTGCTAAAAAAAAAATACAAAATTAGCTGGGTGTGGTGGTGCCTGCCTGTAATCCCAGCTATCCGGGAGGCTGAGGCAGGAGAATCGCTTGAACCCGGGAGGTAGAGATTGCGGTGAGCTGAGATCGCGCCATTGCATTCCAGCCTGGGCAACAAGAGTGAAACTCTATCTCAAAAAAAAAAAAAAATTTAGTCCTCTTGAGAGGTGACAGCGTGCTGGCAGTCCTCACAGCCCTCGCTCGCTCTCGGCGCCTCCCCTGCCTGGGCTCCCACTTTGGTGGCATTTGAGGAGCCCTTCAGCCCCCCACTGCCCTGTGGGAGCCCCTTTCTGGGCTGGCCAAGGCTGGAGCCCACTCCCTCAGCTTGCAGGGAGGTGTGGAGGGAGAGGCACGAGCGGGAACCGGGGCTGCGTGCGGCGCTTGCGGGCCAGCTGGAGTTCCGGGTGGGTGTGGGCTTGGTGGGCCCCGCACTTGGAGCAGCCAGCCAGCCCTGCTGGCCCCGGGTAATGAGGGACTTAGCACCCGGGCCAGTGGCTGCGGAGGGTGTACTGGGTCCCCCAGCAGTGCCGGCCCACCGGCACTGCGCTCGATTTCTCACTGAGCCTTAGCTGCCTTCCCGCAGGGCAGGGTTCGGGACCTGCAGCCCGCCATGCCTGAGCCTCCCACCCACTCCATGGGCTCCTGTGTGGCCCGAGCCTCCCCGACGAGCACCACCCCCTGCTCCACAGCGCCCAGTCCCATCGACCACCCAAGGGCTGAGGAATGCGAGCGCACGGCGCAGGACTGGCAGGCAGCTCCACCTGCAGCCCCAGTGCGGGATCCACTAGGTGAAGCCAGCTGGGCTCCTGAGTCTGGTGGGGCCATGGAGAACCTTTATGTCTAGCTCAGGGATTGTAAATACACCAATCAGCACCCTGTGTTTAGCTCGTTTGTGAATGCACCAATCGACACTCTGTATCTAGCTGCTCTGGTGAGGACGTGGAGAACCTTTATGTCTAGCTCAAGAATTGTAAATACACCAGTTGGCACTCTGTATCTAGCTCAAGGTTTGTAAACACACCAATCAGCACCCTGTGTCTAGCTCAAGGGTTGTGAATGCACCAATTGACACTCTGTATCTAGCTGCTCTGGTGGGGCCTTGGAGAACCTGTGTGTGGAAACTCTGTATCTAACTAATCTGATGGGGACGTGGAAAACCTTTGTATCTAGCTCAGGGATTGTAAACGCACCAATCAGCGCCCTGACAAAACAGGCCACTCGGCTCTACCAATCAGCAGGATGTGGGTGGGGCCAGATAAGAGAATAAAAGCAGGCTGCCCGAGCTAGCATTGGCAACCCGCTTGGGTCCCCTTCCACACTGTGGAAGCTTTGTTCTTTCACTCTTTGCAATAAATCTTGCTACTGCTCACTCTTTGGGTCCACCCTGCTTTTATGAGCTGTAACACTCACCGCGAAGATCTGCAGCTTCACTCCTGCGTCCAGCAAGACCATGAGCCTACCAGGAGGAACGAACAACTCCAGACGCGCTGCCTTAAGAACTGTAACACTCACTGCGAAGGTCTGCAGCTTCACTCCTGAGCCAGCGAGACCACGAACCCACCAGAAGGAAGAAACTCCAAACACATCTGAACATCAGAAGGGACAGACTCCAGACGCGCCACCTTAAGAGCTGTAACACTCACCGCGAGGGTCCGCGGCTTCATTCTTGAAGTCAGTGAGACCAAGAACCTACCAATTCCGGACACACTCTCATCCATGAACGTAGTGTATCTCCACATTTATTTAAATATTCTTTAGGTCGGGTGCGGTGGCTCAAACCTGTAATCCCAGCACTTTGGGAGGCCGAGGTAGGCAGGTCATGAGGTCAGGAGATTGAGACCATCCTGGCTAACATGGTGAAACCCCGTCTCTACTAAAAATACAAAAAAAAATTAGCTGGGCATGGAGGCGGGCACCTGTGGTCCCAGCTACTCGGGAGGCTGAGGCAGGAGAATGGCGTGAACCTGGGAGGCGGAGCTTGCAGTGAGCCGAGATTGTGCCACTGCACTACAGCCTGGGTGGCAGAGTGAGACTCTGTCTCAAAAACAACAAAAAACAAAACCAAAAAACAAAATAAATATTCTTTAATTTCTGTCAGCACTGTTTTGTAGTTTTCAGTGTAGAAATTATGCATTTATTCATTAAAAGCTGATTTTTTTATGCCATTACCAATGGTGTCTTATATTTTTCCAGTTGCATGTTGCTAGTATATATAAATATGATTTTTTGTTATATTGATCTTGTAGCCTGCAGCCTTGCTAAGTTCACTTATTAGTTCTTGTATGTTTTGTCTTTTTTTAAAATAAAATTCTCTGAGGTTTTCTATACATAGTATCATCTTGCCTGCAGATAGAAACATTTTTATTGCTTCCTTTCCAATGTGTGTTTTTTTTTTCTTACCTTGTACCACTGGCTGAAACTTTCAGTACAATGTTGAACAGAAGTAGTAAGATTAGATTTCCTTGCTTTATTGCTGATGCAAGGGAAAGATTTCAATGTTTCACTAGTAGGCATGCAGTTAATTATATCTCATGGATGCACTTTATTAGATTGTGGAGATTCTCATTGCCTTGAAAGTTGTTAGTATGAGTGGGTGTTGATGGCCTCAAATGTTTGTCTCTCTCAATGAGATGGTCATATGATTTCTCCTTTTATCTTGTTAATGTGATGATATATATTGATTGAGGTTTTTTTTGTTTTTTTTTTTTGAGATGGAGTCTCGCTCTGTCACCCAGGCTGGAGGGCAGTGGCCCGATCTCAGCTCACTGCAACCTCCACCTCCTGGATTCAAGCAATTCTCCTGTCTCACTTCCAAGTAGCTGGGACTACAGGCACATGCCACCTCACCTGGCTAATTTTTGTATTTTTAGTAGAGATGGTGTTTTGCTATATTGGTCAGGCTAGTCTTGAACTCCTGACCTCAGGTGATCCACCTGCCTCGGCCTCCCAAAATGCTGAGATTACAGGCATGAGCCACTGTGCCCAGCTATATTGATTGAGTTTTAAATGATAAACCATTTTGCATTCCTGGGATAAGCCCTACTTGGTCATAATATATTCTTTTTTTTTTTTTTTTTTTTTTTTTTGAGACAGACTCGCACTCTGTCACTCAGGCTGGAGTTCAGTAGCACGATCTCGGCTCACTGCAACCTCTGCCTCTCGGGTTCAAGCAATTCTCGTGCTTCCGCCTCCTGAGTAGCTGGGATTACAGGTACCCACCAACATGCTCAGCTAATTTTTGTATTTTTAGTAGAGACAGGGTTTCACCATGTTGGCCAGGCTGGTCTCGAACTCCTAACCTCAAGTGATCTGCCTGCCTCGGCCTCCCAAAGTGCTGGGATTACAGGCGCGAGCCACCACACCAGGCCCATGATGTATTATATTCTTATATTACTGGATTCTGTCTCCTAATATTTTGTTAAACATTGTTATGTTCAAGAGGGATATTGATTTGTATTTTTCCATTCTTGTAATGTCTTTGTCAACATTTGGTATCAGGGTTCTGCTGGTCCATTAAAAAGTAGAGAAAGCCAGGCATGGTGGCATATGCCTGTAGTCTCATCTACTAGGGAGGCTGAGGCAAGAGGAGTGCTTGAGCTCAGGAGTTAGAGGCCAGGCTGGGCAACATAGTGAGATCCTGTCTCTTAAAAAAAAAAAAAAAAAAAAAAGAATAGAGGAACATGTCCACCTCCTCTATGCTCTGAAAAGGATTGTGTAAGTTTGTATTATTTCTTCCATAAATGTGTGATAGAACTCCCCAGAGATGCTATCTTGACCTGGAGTTTTCTTTGTGGCAAAATATTTTATCATAAATTTATTTTTTACAAATAAAGAACTATTGATATTTTAAATTCCTTTTTGTGTCTATTTTGTTAAGTTATGTTTTTTGTTTTTTTTTTGAGATGGAGTCTGGCTCTGTCACCCAGACTAGAGTGCAGTGGCACAATCTCGGCTCACTGCAAGCTCTGCCTCCCAGGTTCACACCATTCTCCTGTCTCAGCCTCCCGAGTAGCTGGGACTACAGGTGCCCGCCACCACTCCCGGCTAATTTTTTTTGTATTTTTAGTAGAGAGGGGGTTTCACCATGTTAGCCAGGATGGTCTCGATCTCCTGACCTTGTGATACACCCACCTCGGCCTCCCAAAGTGCTGGGAATACAGGCATGAGCCACCGGCGCCCGGCCTGTTATATTTTTAAAAGTATGTGTTAATTTCATCTAGGTAGCCAAATTGTTAGCATAAAGTTAGTTGTTCACAATACTGAAGATTTTAATACCTCCCTTCAATAGATAAAAAAGTACATGAAACATTAGGAAGCATATATTAATAGACTATTTAAAAAACGCTATCAAGAATCTTGTCCTAATTGATATTTGTAGACTATTACACTGAACAGTTGTAGAATACACATTATTTTCAGTTGATCATAAAATATTTACTACACAGAAGAGCACATGCTGGATTATAAAACACATCTCAAAAATTGCATTAAATTAGACAATAATAAAAAATACACTCTGTGATGGTTAATACTGAGTGTCAACTTGATTGAAGAATGCAAAGTATTGCTCCTGGGTGTGTCTGTGAGGGTGTTGCCAAAGGAGATTAACCATTTGAGTCAGGGGGCTGGGAAAGGCAGACCCACCCTTAATCTGGGTGGACACCATCTAATCAGCTGCCAGCACAGCTAGAATATAAGGCAGGCAGAAAAATGTGAAAAGACTAGACTGGCCTAGCCTCCCAGGCTACATCTTTCTCCCATGCTGGATCCTTCCTGCCCTCGAACATCAGACTCCAAGTTCTTCAGTTTTGGGACTCAGACTGGCTCTCCTTGCTTATCAGCTTGCAGACAGCCCACTGTGGGACCTTATGATTGTGTGAGTTAAAACTTAATAAACTCCCGTTTATGTATATGTCTATCCTATTAGTTCTGTCCCTCTAGAGAACACTGACTAATACACACTATCCTTCACACCCATTAGGATGGCTACTATTTTTTAATTTGTATTTATGTATTTATTTATTTATTTATTTATTTTTATTTTTTGAGACAGAGTCTCACTCTGTCACCCAGGCTGGAGTGCAGTGGCACGATCTCAGCTTACTGCGACCTCCACCTCCCAGGTTCAAGCAAATTTCCTGCCTCAGCCTCTCAAGTAGCTGGGATTACAGGCACACACCACCACGCCCAGCTTATTTTTTGTATTTTTGGTGGAGACAGGGTTTCACTATGTTGGTCTGGCTGGTCTTGAACTCCTGACCTCAAATGATGCACCTGCCTTGGCCTCCCAAAGTGCTGGGATTACAGGCATGAACCACCATGCTCGGCCCAACTACTATTTTTTTTTTTTAAAGAACAAACAAGTAAAAGAACAAAAAGAAAATAACAAGTAATGATGAGGATGAGGAGAAATTGGAACACTTTTCATTGTTGGTGGGAATGTAAAATGGCACAGCTGCTGTGGAAAGCAGTATAGTGGTTCCTGAAAAAGTTAAAGATAGAATTACCATAGCAATCTCACTTCTGGGTATATACTCAAAAGAATGGAAAGCAGGGTCCCTAAGAGATATCTGTATACCCATGTTCATAGCAGTATTATTCACAAGAGCCAAAATATGTAAGCAACCCCAGTGTCCATCAACAAATGAATGGATAAACCAAATGTGGTCTATCCATACAATGGGATATTATTTAGCCTTCAAAAGGAAAAAAATTCTGTCACATGCTACAACATGGATGAAACTTAAGAACATTGTGCTAAGTGAAATAAGCCTGTCACAAAAGGATCAATACTGGATGATTCCACTTACATGAGGTACATAGAGTAGTCACATCCATAGAGACAGAAAAAAGAATACCAGGGGCTGGGAGGCTGGGGGTTGGGGGTTTGTTTTAATGGGTACAGAGTTTCAGTTTGAGAAGATGCAAAGTTCTGGAAATGGATGGCGGTGATGGTTACATAAGAATGTGAATGCACTTAATGCCCTCTTAATGTGAATGCACTCTTAAAAATGTTTAAGGCTGGGCGCAGTGGCTCACGTATGTAATCCCAGCACTTTGGGAGGCCGTGATGGGTGGATCACTTGAGGTCAGGAGTTCGAGACCAGCCTGACCAACGTGGTGAAAGCCTATCTCTACTAAAAATCAAACCAGATACTAAAAATACAAAATTAGCCGAGCGTGGTGGCACATGCCTGTAATCCCAGCTACTCGGGAGGCTGAGGCAGGAGAATCTCTTGAAACTGGGAGGTTGAGGTTGCAGTGAGTCGAGATCGCACCATTGCACTCCAGCCTGGGTGACAAGAGCAAAAACTCTGTCTCAGAAAAAAAAAAAAAAATTAAGATGGGCTGGGCGTGGTGGTGTGCCCCTATAGTCCCAGCTATTCAGGAGGCAGAAGCTGGAGGATCTCTTGAGCCCAGGAATTCAGGGATTTAGGACACTATGATCACACTTGTGACTAGCTATTGCACTTCAGCCTGGGCAACACAGTGAGACTCTATCTCTTAAAAAAAATAAATGGTTAATATGGTAAATTTTGTGTTATCTGTATTTTACCACAATTAAAAAGCTATTCACAAAATCCCCAAAACATTTGAAAACCCACTTATACATAAAAAATGAATAACAAACAAAGTCACAAGGGAAATTTGAAAATATTTTGAACTGAATGGTAGTGTAAACACAGTGTTTCAGAATGTGTGGGAAGTCAAGAAAGCAGTCCTTAGAGGAAATGGATGGCTCTGCTCATGGTGGATTGTATGTGTCAACTTGACTGGGCCACGGGTACACAGACATTTGGTCAAACATCATTCTTGATGTGTCTGTGAGGGTGTTTCTGGATGAGATTAGTATTTCAGCCTATCGAATACATAAAACAGATTGCCCTCACTAATGTAAGTGGGCCGCATCCAATCACCTGAAGACCTGGATAGAATGAAAGGCTGAGCAAGAGCGACTCCTCCTGCCTGTTTCAGCTGGGACCTTGGTCTTCTCCTGTCTTCAGACTGGAACTTGGGTCTCCTGGTTCTCAGACCTTCACACTCAGATTGGAGTCTGAGCACTGAGACTGGCTCTTCTGGGTCTCCAGCTTGCTGACTGCAGATTTTGAGACTTTTCAGCCTCCATAATCAGGTGAACCAATTTACTAAATCTCAGTCTCTCTTTTTATACAGTCACATGTGACTTAATGCAATGCTTCACACATTGTTCAGCAATTTTGTTGCTATGGGAACCTCATAGAGTGTACTTACCCAAACCTGGATGGCAGAGCCTACCATATGAGGCTATGTGCTATGCCCTTTTGCTCCTAGGCTATAAACCTGTAGTGCATGTGGCTGTGCTGAATACTGGAGGCAGCTGTAACACAATGCTAAGTATTTATGTGTCTAAACATAGAAAATGTACAGTAAAAATATGGCATCATCTTAACGGGACCACCATTGTATATGCGGTCCATTGTTGACTGAAATGTCATTATGCAATGCATGACTACACACATCTACACATACATATGGATTCTGTTTCTCTGGAGAACCGTGACTAATACAGCCCTAAACATTTACCTCAGAAAAGATTCAAGGCGCATAATCAACTCTCTAAGCACAGGAAGGAAGTTGGGATTGCTTGGTCAAGGTCTCATGGTGAGTGAGGGAAGGTGCCAGGACTTGTGTGCTGCCACCACCATATGGCTACCTCAGGCTTGCAAAGGACCAGCACTCGGGAGGACAGTGACCAGGCTGACTCTGTGTGGTGCTCTTGAGGGTAGAACTTAAACCAATGGATGAAGAGGAGCTATAGGAAGGGAGATTTTGGACTGACATAGGGCGAAATGAGTGGACAGGCTTGCTGAGCTGCTAATGAATCTTGTCCCTGGAGGTGTTCAACAATGAAGTCAGACGATAACTTTTCTCTACTCCCAGTCAAAACCTATAACTAATTTTATGTTCAGACCAGCTAATTAATGAACACCCTTCAAGAAGCTATCTTGGCTGGGCACGGTGGCTCCTGCCTGTAACCCTAGCACTTTGGGAGGCCGAGTTGGGTGGATCACTTGAGGTCTAGAGTTCGAGACCAGCCTGGCCAACATAGTGAAACCTCGTCTCTACTAAAAATACAAAAATTAGCTGGGCATGGTGGTGGGTGCCTGTAATCCCAGCTACTTGAGAAGTTGAGGCAGGAGAATCACTAGAACCTGGGAGGCAGAGGTTGCAGTGAGCTGAGATGTTGCCATTGCACTCCAGCCTGGGCAACAGAGCAAAAACTCTGTCTTAAAAAAAAAAAAAGCTATCAAGCTATCATGGTCATCCTAATCGGTCATGGTTTTGTTTTTGTTTTTGTTTTTTTTTTACGGTCATTTTTTCATAAACCATACTTTTCTGGTCATGAAACGATGAAGATATTTTAAATAGGAACATGATTCATTTCCCTATTTGCAAAGGAAAAATTAAATGAAAAAAACAGAACCTTCTTGTCCTCAGGAGTCGGGAGAAGGGATTCTTTTTTTTTTTTTTTTGAGATGGAGTTTCACTGTTATTGCCCAGGCTGGAGTGCAATGGTGCAATCTTGGCTCAATGCAACCTCCACCTCCCGGGTTCAAGCGATTCTCCTGCCTCAGCCTACCAAGTAGCTGGGATTACAGGGATGTGCCACCATGCCTGGCTAATTTTGCATTTTTTAGTAGACAGGGTTTCACCATGTTGGTCAGGCTGGTCTCAAACTCCTGACCTCAGGTGATCCACCCGCCTCAGCCTCCCAAAGTACTGGGATCACAGACATGAGCCACCGCACCTGGCCGGAGAGGGGATTTTAACCCAATCTCAGCCCCGCAATACAGGAAAATACATTGTGCCCAAGTTCTGGGTCAGGCTCTATGGGATCATGGGCAGTGTTACTCCACCTTTCCAGGCCTCAGTATCCTCCTCTGGAAGATGGGCATTGTGTTAATAAAAGTGTGCACTTAAACCGGGCACAGTGGCTCACACCTGTAACCCCAGCACTTTGGGAGGCCAAGGCGGGTGGATCACCTGAGGTCAGGAGTTCGAGACCAGCCTGGCCAACATGGTAAAACCCCATCTCTACCAAAAAAAATACAAAAAATTAGCCGGGTGTGGTGGTGTACGCCTGTAATCCCAGCTTCTCGGGAGGCTGAGGTAGGAGAATCGCTTGAACTCAGGAGGCAGAGGTTGCAGTGAGCCAAGATCGCGCCACTGCACTCCAGCCTGGGCGACAGAGAGTGAGACTCCGTCTCAAACAACAACAACAACAAAAAACCCTGCACTTGCCAGGTCTCTTCAAAACACTTTCCCAAATGCTGTATCTTGTGCTCTGGTTCTTGGTGAGGATAAAAGATCACAGATGCAAACAGCATCTGAACAGTCAAATGCTGAACGCATATGGAGGGTGTAATTTTCTTCTGCCTGGGAGGAAAAGAGCCATATCTTTAATTTCAAAGCTTTTCAGGATATCAGCTCTTTTGCATCCAAACGTAGCCCACTTTTGCCGAAAAACACACTCAGTCTGTGACAGGCAAACTTCTCATCCCACCCCAGAGATCAGATTGGAATTTGAGAACATCAAACCCTTCACGGCAGTTCCCGGGACAAGCTTTTTATTTTTATTTTATTTTATTTTTTTGAGACAGATTTTCGCTCTTGTTGCCCTGGCTGGAATGCAATGGCGCAATCTCTGCTCACTGCAACCTCTACCTCTCGGGTTCAAGCGATTCTCCTGCCTCAGCCTCCCGAGTATCCGGGATTATAGGCATGTGCCACCATGCCCGGCTAATTTTGTATTTTTAGTAGAGACGGGGTTTCTCCATGTTGGTCAGGCTGGTCTTGAACTCCTGACCTCAGGTGATCTGCCTGCCTCGGCCTCCCAAAGTGCTGGGATTACAGGTGTGAGCCACTCTGCCCAGCCACAAGGTATTTTTCCTAAAGCTATAGCATTCATGTAAAGTTAGGCGAAAAGCAAGAGCATCCTATTACAAAGTTTTACTATGAATTTAATATGGGTGTCAAAGAAAATTTGGAAAATTTCTCTGACAAAAACAAAAGGAAAAAAAATCCCTAGGTTTACCACCCTAACACAACAACCATTAGCAAGTTGGTTTATTCTCTTTTCAGTAAGTTCCTTTTTTATTACATTTTTAGAATTTACCTTTAGATTTTTTTAAATTATTAGATTTTTGGAACTTAAAAAGATATGGGCCAGGTGCGGTGGCTCACGCCTGTAATCCCATCACTTTGGGAGGCGGAGGTGGGTGAATCAAGAGGTCAGGAGATCAAGACCAGCCTGGCCAAGATGGTGAAACCCTGTCTCTACTAAAAATACAAAATATTAGCTGGGCATGGTGACGGGCACCTGTAATACCAGCTACTGAGGAGGCTGAGGCAGAGAATTGCTTAAACCTGGAAGGCAGAGGTTGCAGTGAGCCGAGATGAGGCCACTGCACTCAAGCCTGGGTGACAGAGCAATACTCCGTCTCAAAAAAAAAAAAGATACGGAAAAATACACGCAATAATAAATTAAACATCTGTAGTCCCCAAACTCAAATTCAGCGACCACTATTATTATGCTTGCTTTGACTTTTTAAATAAATCAATTGATTACAAAGTTGGCTGTAATTACTAATATGCCTTGGTGGGAACCCTTCCTATATAGATAATATATAGGTTCTGCCTGTCAGCTCTCGGCTCTATTCCCAGCCTTCCCTGCTTACCGCAGCATCTATGGGGCTGGAAGTCTCCAAACTACTGACTCCCTTTCCTGCTAGTTTCCAGGAGGCACTAGTGGGAAATTTTAAGGCAGGAGAAAGAGAGAAACTATCTTTTCATCATGGCATCATCTCCAGCAGATTGGTGGTCCTTTTTGCAGCAGCAGCAGCAACAGCAGAAGTGTAGCCTCCTGCGTTCATGGTCGGGGTCAGATCAGTAGGGAGTGTGAGCTCCTGGCTTCAGTCTAGGGGTAGAAGAAGCCTCTTGATGTCTGCATAATAGTTCTTCTTGCCTTTGCTTCCTTCGTTACATACTTTTCTGCTTGAAATAGCTAGAATGACTTCTATTTTCCTGACCAGACACAGATGGATGCAGTACCATTGATTGGCATGCTCCTAAAGTTTATATAAACAGCATGATGCTATATATCATATTGCACATTTCCTTTTGTTTTTTAAAATAAAGTTAATTATAAATTACAAAGATACAGAAAAGTGTTCAGTTTTACAAAAGGTTCAGTGAACACTCATGAAATTACAACTCAGGTTAAGAACCAGAATATTAATGACACCAGAAATCCCAGTATCTCCTTACAATGTGCTTTTTCATGCAACACTATGATTTTCTGATAAAATCTGTCCCCTTGGCTGGAGTGCAGTGGCACGATCTCAGCTCACTGTAGCCTCCACCTCCTGGGCTCAAGCGATCCTCCTGCTTCAGCCTCTCTAGTAGCTGGGACTACAGGTGTGCACCACCACACCTGTAAATATGGGATCTCACTGTGTTGCCCAGGCTGGTCTCAAACTCCTGGGCTCAAGCGATTCTCCTGCCTCAGCCTCTCAAAGTATTGAGATTACAAGCATGAGCTATCACGCCTGGCCTCTTCCTTTTTGTTGTCAAATAATAGTCCATTGTATAACTATACCACATTTTGTTTATCCATTCATTAGTTGATGGACAACTGGGTTGTTTCTGCTTTTTGGCTATTATGAATGCTGCTGCTATGAACATTCATGTACAAGTTTTTGTGTGGATGTATGTTTTTATTTCTTTTTGGTATATGCCTAGGAGTAGAATTGTTGCATTATATAGTAACTCAATGTCTAACTTTCTGAGGAACTACAAAACTGCTTTTCAAAGTAGCTGCACCATTTCACATGTCCACCAAGAGTGTATGAGAGTTCAAAAATAGGATATGGATCCTTGTGAACACTTGAACACTTGTTATTGTCTGTCTTTCTAAAAATTATAGCCACCGTAATGGGTGTGAAGTGGTATTTATTGTGGTTTTGGTTTGCATTTCCCTGATGGCTGATGATGTTGGACACTTTCCATGTGCTTATTGACCATTAGTATGTCTTTTTCAGAAAAACATCCATTCAGATCCTTTGGCTTTTTTTTTTTTTTTTTGAGATGGAATCTCACTCTGTCGCCTAGGCTGGAGTGCAGTGGTGCGATCTCAGCTCACTGCAACCTCTGCCTCTTGGCTTTAAGTGATTCTCCTGCCTCAGCCTCCCGAGTAGCTGGGATTTTTGTATTTGTATTTTGTATTTGTAGCTGGCTAATTTTTGTATTTTTAGTAGAGGCGGGGTTTTGCCATGTTGGCCAGGTTGGCCTTGAACTCCTGACTTCAGGTGATCTGCCTGCCTTGGCCTCCCAAAGTGCTGGGATTATAGGCGTGAGCCACCATGCCCAGCCTTATTTGCCTATTTTTTTTTTTTTTTTTTTTTTGAGATGGAGTTTTGCTCTTGTTGCCCAGTCTGGAGTGCAATGGCATGATCTCGGCTCACTGCAACCTCTCCTTCCCAGGTTGAAGCAATTCTCCTGCCTCAGCCTCCCAAGTAGCTGGGATTACAGGCATGCGCCACCATGCCCGGCTAATTTTGTATTTTTAGTAGAGACAGGGTTTCTCCATGTTGGTCAGGCTGGTCTCGAACTCCCGACCTCAGGTGATCCGCCCGCCTTGGCCTCCCAAAGTGCTGGGACTACAGGTGTGAGCCACTGCGCCCGGCCTCTTTGCCTATTTTTTAATTGGGTTATTGGTATTTTTATTGCCGAGTTGTAACCCAACAACTTTAAAAAAATGAAATATAGAAAAAATGCTTAGAACTGTGCCTGGCGTATGGTAAACACTCAAAACATGAAATATAAAAGACAGAGTGATCACGTGTAGGAAGGGTAGCGTTTCTTGCAACTTTTGTTGCAAGTTACATAAATACATGTGTGAATTGGATTACACATGAATTGTATTTCTTACTCTGGATTGTGCATAGAAAAGTTCAAATCCCATTATTCTAAGAAATGAATTTAGGTGTATTTCTAGGTCATAGAATATGCTCATGTTCAAGTTTACTATGTACAGATCCAAGATCTCTCTCCATAATTCAAAAAGCCAAAAAAACTCTAAACCCGCTTTTCCCATTAGGTTGCAACCAAGTCCTCTGGCAGTGAAAACTGACCTAAAATGAGCTGAGGCTATTTAAAGTCTCTATCCCATTAGTGTGAATATTCATGTCTCATTGCAGAAAAATCAATGTATTGACAATAAGATGCTGCTCCTGAACCCACTAGGAGTGGTAATGTAAAAATAGCACAGGCACCTTTTACCTATCAAGCTCAAAAAAAAAATCTGAAACACATGTAGGAGCTAAGGGAAAACTTCCCTTTCATCCTCTGAAGTTTTGCTGAAAAATAAACTGATAAAAGGCAGACTCGTAGGAGAAATGGCATGCACGTTTATTAACATGCATGGGGGGAAATCACAGACTGATTGCTCCACTGCACCATGGGGTACAGATGCTTATATACCCTTCTTCTTAGGGGAAAGGGAGATGGCAAAGTGTGGATAAGGTTAGGGGGTTAGTATATGATTTTTAAGGGGAATTCAGTGGGCTTGAAGAGTATACAGAGGCCTGGGACAAAGTCTGTTGGGCCTGCAGTGCAGACAATGGTTTGTGACAAGAGTCTGTCTAGCTGTGTCAGAGGTGTTTGAAACAGAGCAACTCCATCTTGAATAGGGGCTGGTTAAAATGAGGCTGAGACCCACTAGGCTGCATTCCCAGATGGTTAGGCATTCTCTGTCACAGGATGAGATAGCAGGTCAGCACAAGATACAGGTCATAAATGTAATGGCCCAAGGGGTTCATCTTGCCTGCTGCCTAGGCTAGACAGAGCCGATTTATCAAGACAGGGGAATTGCAATTGAGAAAGGGTAATTCACGCAAAGCTGGCTGTGCGGGACCGGCGTTCTATTATTACTCAAATCAGTCTCCCTGAGCATTTGGGGAGCAGAGTTTTTAAGGAGAACTTGGTGGGTGGGGAGAAGCCAGTGAGCCAGGAGTGCTGATTGGTCAGAAATCAAATCATAGGGAGTCCGAGCTGTCTTCTTGCGCTCAGTCTGTTCCTGGGTGGGGGCCAGAAGATCAGATGAGCCAGTTTATTGATCTGGGTGGGGACAGCTGATCCATTAAGTGCAGGGTCTGCAAAACATATCAAGCACTGACCTTAGGAGCAGTTTAGGAAGGGTCAGAATCTTGTAGCCTCCAGCTGCATGACTCCTAAACCGTAATTTCTAATCTTGTGGCTAATGTTAGTCCTACAAAGGCAATCTAGTCCCCAAGCAAGGAGGTCTGCTTTGGGAAAGGGCTGTTACTGTCTTTGTTTAAACTATAAACTAAGTTTCTCCCAAAGTTACTTCAGCCTACGCCCAGGAATGAACAAGGACAGCTTGGAAATTAGAAGCAAGATGGAGTCAATTCTTTCACTGTCTCAGTCATAATTTTGCAAAGGCAGTTTCAATCCCTCCCTTTGGGTTTTATAGCACCTTAATCTTAAGGTGTAGGCTATGAAGATGGGAAAAGACCGTCGATGGCTCTGGCTTCTTCCTGCTGACGGGATGTAGTGGGAATGGGAGTGAACCCCAAGGTGAGAAGAATGGAACCCCAAGGTGAGAAGAATGGAACTGTTTTGCAACTGTCTTGAGCGTACTCATGCAGGCCTGGCTGGGCTTCTGAGGCTCGCGTGGCAAAAACATTAGTACTCTCAGCTATAGTTTTACTACAGTGTTTAAGTGAACAGCCTACTATAAGGTAAAATAGTGAGTCCTAGGATAAGGAGTACAATTCCCAATTTTAAAAGCAAAGATTTGAAAGCATTAGTTTGGGGACTTCTAACCCACAAGGAATTTAGAATTTAGTCTAAACTGCGGAAAAAAACCTCAAGAACAGCTAACAACAGTATACTACAGTTTTTCTTTTTTGTTTGTTTGTTTGTTTGTTTGTTTGTTTTGAGACAGAGTCTCACTCTGTTGCCCAGGCTGGAGTGCAGTGGCATGATCTTGGCTCACTGCAAACTCCACATCCAGATTCAAGCAATTTTCTTGCCTCAGCCTCCCAAGTAGCTGGGATTACAGGTGCATGCCACTACGCCTGGCTAATTTTTGTATTTTTAGTAGAGATGGGGTTTGGCCATGTTGGCTGGGCTGGTCTCAAACTCCTGACCTCAGATGATCTGCCTGCCTCACCCTCCCAGAGTGCTGGGATTACAGGCGTGAGCCACTGTGCCTGACCTAGTTTTCTTTCGAAGCATAATTTTTCTCTCTCCAGTCCCCATTTTTATTAAAAACAAATCATGATAGAACTGATTTGTTTACAAAATAAACTTTAGTCTTACTGTACTTGGCCTGATTATTTGCATAAAGTACAGCAAGAATAATTATTTTTCACTTAGGATATTTTAATTGGCTTTGATAGAACTCTGTTCCATGAAGAATCTCAAATAAGACTTTTAAAAGCTGAGCCCAGCCATGGGTTTTTACCCTCAAATACCTATGAGTTGGGCAAACTCCTCTCCTCTTGAGGTCCCAAGATAACTTGGGATTCCTGGGTCTGTTAGAAAGTGACATTGTTTATTTACCACAGGTCAGGAACTTTGTACAGGGACTCTGCGTGGACAAGGTATGAGGCCACATTCCCTAATGGGCTTTAACTGGCTCTATAAGTCAACTTTGATTCTTTAAAGGAAGTATACCATTCCATTCAAAGCCTTGGTAAAATAACCAATTTTTCCAATTGTGTCCTGTTACAAAAGAAAGCAAATTCTTATTGCACTTGTGTAATTAACTATACTGCCATAAATTGAGTATATTCACAAATAGTTCCCAAATTCTGAAGAAATCAAGTAGAGAGGAACAAATATGCTCCAAATTTTGTTCACAGGAGTATATATATATACACATACATATATATATACACACATACATATATATATACACATACATATATATACACATACATATATATATATACATACACACACACACATATATATATATATATATATATATATATTTTTTTTTTTTTTTTTTTTTTTTTTTTGGGAGAGAGTCTTGCTGTGTCCCCCAGGCCGGAATGCAGTGGTGCAATCTCGGCTCACTGCAACCTCTGCCTCCCAGGTTCAAGCGATTCTCCTGCTTCAGCCTCCTGAGTAGCTGGGATTACAGTGCCACCACACCCTGCTACACTCCCACAAGCACCATGACAGTTTACAGATGCCATGGCACATCAGGAAGTTACCCTATATGGTCTAAAAAGGGGAGGAATCCTCAGTTCTGGGAATTGCCCATCCCTTTCCCAGAAAACTATAATCCCAGCACTTTGGGAGGCCAAGGTGGGTGGATCACGAGGTCAGGAGTTGGCGACCAGCCTGGCCAACATGGTGAAACCCCGTCTCTACTAAAAATACAAAAATTAGCCAGATGCGGTGGCAGGTGCCTGTAATCCTAGCTACTCGGCAGCCTGAGGCAGAAGAATTGCTGGAACCCGGGAGGCGGAGTTTGAAGTGAGCCAAGATCACACCACTGCACTCCAGCCTGGGTGACACAGCAAGACTCCGTCTTGAAAAAAAAAAAAAGGGCAACCATAGCCCTCTGGGCTGCTCTGCCTATGGAATAGCTGTTCTTTATTCCCTTACTTTCTTTTTTTTTTTTTTTTTTTTTTGAGACGAAATCTCACTCTGTTGCCCAGGCTGGAGTGTAGTGGTGTCGTCTTAGCTCACTGCAACCTCCACCTCCCAGGTTCAAGTGATTCTCCAGCCTCAGCCTCCTGAGTAACTGGGATTACAGGCATGCACCACCATGCCTGGCTAATTTTTGTATTTTTAGCAGAGACAGAGTTTCACCATGTTGGTCAGGCTGGTCTTGAACTCCTGACCTCGTGATCCACCCACCTCGGGCTTCCAAAATGCTGGGATTACAGGTGTGAGCCACCACTCCTGGCCTCCTTTACTTTCTTAATAAACTTGCTTTCACTTTATGGACTTGCCCCAAGTTCTTTTCTTGCATGAAATCCAAGAACCCTCTCTTGGGGTCTGGATCCAGACTCCTTTCCATAACAGGTGTGTTTGTCAGAGGCATGTGAACCAGAGCAACTCCTTCTTGAATATGACCTGGGTAAAATGAGGCTGAGACTTACTGGGTTGCATTCCCAGATAGTTAAGGCATTCTAAATCACAGGATGAGATAGGAGGTCGGCACAAGACACAGGTCATAAAGACCTTGCTGATGAAACAGTTTGCAGTAAAGAAACCGGCTAAAATCCACCCAAACCAAGATGGTGATGAGAGTGACCTCTGGTCATCCTCACTGCTACACTCCCATCAGCACCATGACAGTTTACAAATGCCATGGCAATGTCAGGAATTTACCCTATATGGTCTAAGAAGGGGAGACATGAGTAATCCACCCATTGTTTAGCCTGTCATCAAGAAATAATCATAAAAATGGGCAACCAGCAGCCCTCAGGGCTGCTCTGTCCATGGAGTAGCCATTCTTTTATTTCTTTACTTTCCTAATAAACTTGCTTTCACTTTATGGATTTGCCCTGAATTCTTTCTTGTGTGAGATCCAGTAACCCTATCTTGGGGTCTGGATCGGGACCCCTTTCCTGTAACATGTTGACAGACTTTGGTTTTTCTTCCTGCAATATGGGTTCAGTTAATGAAAAAATGGCAAGGGACTGGAGATAATTGTTTTCTTCTTTGGCAGGTCCAGACTTTAGACAGATAAGGGAACTTCAGAGAACAACTTCATGCTGTGCTTTGGGACAGACAGGAGTGGGAGAAAGGTCAGCGAGACCTTGAGGCTGCTTCTTCAGCTGAGTACTTCAAAGCTCCATATTTTGGGGTATCGGTTGCTGAGTCCCAACAAACATCTGCTCTCAAAGATTTTCAGTCAAGGCTTGCAGACGTATGTAGCAAAAGGCTGTCCAGATTGGCTGGACTCAGCCGGGTGTGGTGGCTCTTGCCTGTAATCCCAGCATTTTGGGAGGCTGAGATGGGTGGATCACCTGAGGTCAGGAGTTCAAGACCAGCCAGGCCAACATGGTAAAACACTATCTCTGCTAAAAATACAAAAATTAGCCGGCCGTAATGGCAGGTGCCTGTAATCCTAGCTACTCCAGAGGCTGAGACAGGAGAATCACTTGAACCCAGGAGGCAGAGGTTGCAGGGAGCCGAGATCCTGCCATTGCAGTCCAGCCTGGGTGACAAGAGTGAAACTCTGTTTCCAAAACAAAACAACAACAACAAAAAAAAACCACACACACACAAACAAATTGGCTGGACTAATTTATGCTTCTACCAGCGACATGAGAGAGTTCATTTTCCTCCATCTTTGCCCAGACTTGATGTTGTAAGACTTGAAAGAAAAGTTTTGCCAATCTGATGAGTGAGAAAAGACAGCTTGTTGCTGTTTTAATTTGCATTTCCCTGGTTACTGAGAAGGATGAGCAGGTTTTCACATGTGTGTTGACCATCCGAATGTCCTCTTCTGGGAATTGTCTGTATGTATGTCTACCCATCTTTTCATTCTTATTTCTCCCTTTCTCAATACACAGAGAAGTACTCAGGGCCCACAGTGTAAAAATGGCAAGAAAAGGTTTCTCTCCTCTCCCCAACTAATTAAAATTTAAGCTCACGGCTGGGTGCCGTGGCTCATGCCTGTAATCCCAGCACTTTGGGAGGCCGAGGTGGATGGATCCCTGAGGTGAGGAGTTTGAGACCAGCCTGGCCAACATGGTGAAACCCCGTCTCTGCTAAAATACAAAAATTAGCCAGACGTGGTGGCGCATGCCTGTAATCCCAGTTACTCAGGAGGCTGAGGCAGGAGAATTGCTTCAACCCGGGAGGTGGAGGTTGCAGTGAGCTGAGATTTCACCACTACACTCCAGTCTGGGTGACAGAGTGAGATCCTGTCTCAAAAAAAAAAAAAAAAAAGTTAAGCTCATACAATTTCTAAAGAATGCAAAACCCCCAAACCTAAATTACTCAGCCAAGACAGGTTATGACTTAAAAGATATTACAGACCAGGTGCGGTGGCTCACGCCTGTAATCTCAGGACTTTGGGTGGCTGAAGCAGGTGGATCAGAGTTCGAGACTAGCCTAACCAACATGGTGAAACCCTGTCTCTACTAAAATACAAAAAATTAGCTGGGCATGTGGCAGATGCCTGTAGTCCCAGCTACTCAGGAGGCTGAGGCTGGAGAATCGCTTGAACCCAGGAGGCAGAGGTTGCAGTGAGCCAAAATGGCACCACTGCACTCCAGCCTGGGTGACACAGTGAGACTCTGTCTCAAAAAAGAAAAAACAAAAAAAAACACATTACAGTTTAACACAGTCTAATGTGTAAGCATTGAGATATTGTCAACCATTTAGCTGAATTTCCCTGGCTAATCACTCAAATGATTAACTTAAGCCTACTTAAGTAAGCCTACTTGAAGTAAGCCTGCTCCTCGAGCTGAGAGGAAGACTGGGGCATCTTACAGGAAGTCACCCTCCCTCTGACAAGACAGGAAGACACCTGCCCACTAAGAAGAAGTCTCAGGTGCAGGGCAAACAATCTGAAAGCTGCAAGATCAACAAAAGAAAAATTGTTGCTTCCTCCTGGGTGAATATAATGGAAAATTATGGAAAACCTAAATTCCTATTTGATCATTGTGTTGGCGAGGCTGTGGGTGAAATGAAAGTTTCCTAACATGTCTTTTGTTGTCTGGGCATGAATTTTTATTTATGTGTCACATACACTCTTGTATACATACTCATTCGGGATGAAAGGACTACACTCAGAAGAATGAAATGAGTAGAATATTCTGGTCTCAATCAGAATAAGTGATTATTTTTATTAGAAGAATCCTTTACTGTTAATAACTTTTTTTATATTAACTGTATCATTTATTTATTTATTTATTTATTTATTTAAAGACGGAGTCTTGCTCTGTCGCACAGCCTGGAGTTCAGTGGTACGAACTCGGCTCACTACAACCTCCACCTCCTGGGTTCAAGCGATCTCTTGCCTCAGCTTCCGGAGTAGCTGGGACTACAGGTGCCTGCCACCACAGCTGGCTAATTTTTGTATTTTTAGTAGAGACAAGGTTTCACCATGTTGTCAGGATGGTCTTGAACTTCTGACCTCAGGTGATCTGCCCGCTTCGGCCTCCCAAAATGCTGGGATTACAGGTGTGAGCCACTGCACCCGGTCTTCCTTTTTAAGACTAAATATTATTCCATTGAATGGATAGGTCACATTTTGTTTATTTATCCATCAATGGATGAATTGCATGGCTTTCACTTTTTGGCTATTGTGAATAATGCTGTTATGAACATGGGTATACGGTTATAGGGCTTTCAGTTGTGTTGCGTATACCCAGAAGTGGGATTGCTGAATCATATGGTAATTCTACATTTAATGTTTTGAGGAAATATACTGTTTTTTATTGTAGCTGCATCCTTTTTTTTTTTTTTTTTTTTTTGAGATGGAGTTTCGCTCTTGTTGCCCAGGCTGGAGTGCAATGGCACGATCTCGGCTCACTGCAACCTCCACTCCCTCCTGAGCAACTGAGCGATTCTCCTGCCTCAGTCTCCTGAGTAGCTGAGATTACAGGCATGCACCACGACACCCGGCTAATCGGCTAATTTTGTATTTTTAGTAGAGACGGGGGTTTCTCCATGTTGGTCAGGCTGGTCTTGAACTCCCGACCTCAGGTGAGCCACCCGCCTCAGCCTCCCAAAGTGCTGGGATTACAGGCATGAACCACCACGCCCAGCCTGTTTTTAGTCTTTATGTAGTTCAATTTATTTTTTTTAACTTTTGTTGCATGGTTGAATTTTAATAACATAAAAACTTTAAAATAAAACTTTTCTTTATTTTTCTTTTTTTTTTTTGAGACAGGGTCTCTGTTGCCCAGGCTGGAGTGCACTGGGGAGATCATAGCTCCCCGCAGCCTAGAACTCCTGAGGTCAAGTGATTCTCCCACCTCAGCCTCCTGAGCAGCTAGGACTACAGTTGTGTGCCACCATGCCCAGCTAAATGTTGAAGTTTTTTTGGTAGAGAGAGAGTCTCACTATGTTGTCCAGGCTATTCTCATCCTCCTGGCCTCAAGCAATCCTCCTGCCTTGGCCTCTAAAATCACTGGGATTACAAGCATGAGTCACTGCACCTGGCCTAAAATAAAACATTTTTTTGAAATTGATCCTTTATTAGCAATGCATTCTACATGGATGTTAATTTACAGAACTCCTAGAACATCTGCCCCCCATATACATCAATTCAGCTCATGTGTTTGTTCCCAGAGTAAGCTTATAACTTTTTGGAATCCTTTGAGCTTGCTTTGGGGAGAGTTGTTTTCTCCAACCCTTATGGTACTATACATTGTTGTGTTTAAACTGTAGATTTCAGATAACCAGTGATGGCATAGTGATTATAAAGACAAATTTGAGTTACTGCTATTCAGCTATTCCATGCTGAATGTAACTAAAAATACATTAATATAATTTTAAAAATATTAAGCCACTAGCTTTTCCTTTTTTGGTTGTAGTATTTTATTTTTATTTAAAAATGTTGCTGGCTTGCTTATCTATAAAAAGTTTAATAAAATGTTATTTTTTTCCTAGAAATTATTATATTTCATTTCATGTTTATTACTGAAAATAATTTTGTCTTATAAAGGAGGAGTGGTTCAAAAACTATCTTCCCTAGGGGGTCCAATTTGCTAGGTATGCTAAGGAGGTCTGAACTACCCAGGTGGGGCCAGGCCAGAGGAGTGAGTCTGGGAGGCAAAGGTCAGAGAGGATGCCTCGGAGGGCCTGGGGACCACAAGCAGGAGTTTGAATTCTCTGTCAAGGCCACCTGGGAGGCTGTGGAGGGCTGGCCCCCTGAGGGGTATGCCATGATCTGTGTTGACCACTCTGGCACCAAGGGGAGCTCAGAAGCAAGAAGAATGTATTAGGCTCACCACAGAAACAGAATAAGAGTGTGGGTGTGTGGGTATGGGTGTGTGTGTATGTGTGTGGCGGGGAGGGGTGGTTGTAGAGATGGAGAGATTATGAGAATTGATTCACATAATTATGAAGGCTAAGAAGTCCCAGAGCCTTCTGTCTACAAGTTGGAGGCCCAAGGAAGCTGGTGATATAATTTGGTCCAAGCCTGAAGGCTTTAGAGCCTGTCAGTCCAAAGACCTGAGAGCCCAGGGTCGGGGTGGGGGGTGCGGTTGTAAGTTCCATAGTCCAAAGCCCTGAGAATCAGGAGCTCCAATATCTAATGGCAGGAGAAGACAGATGTCCCAGCCCAAGTGGACAGTGAATTTGCCTTTCCTACACCTTTGTGTTCTAGTCGGGCCCTTGAGGGATTGGATGTGTCCACTCACATGGGTGAGGGCAGATCTTTACTCAGTCTGATTCAAATGCTAATCTCATCCAGAAACACCCTCACAGACACACCCAGAAACCATGTGTTGCCAGCTATCTGGGCATCCCTTAGCCCAGTCAAGTTCACACACAAATTAACCATCATGAAAAGGGATCATGCTGTTGGTAGTTCTAGAAAGCAAGGAGTAGAGAGCCTGTACTCTTGCAGAGTTGGTGGCCTGGTGATGTCTGAGGACTCCCTTGTGTATCCAGCTAGGTTTGCTGGAATCAGATTGAGGTGGCTGGGATAACACACGTGCGCTTGGACTTCCAAGGCAGGCTGAAGGTGTGACAAGCTGGCTGCCATCACTTATTCTGCAGCCATCATCCTCTAGTGATGCCTGTGGGGAAGGACCCAGGGGCCCACAGGAAGCAAACAATTGCCAATCCTGGCAGAGGCTGAAGGTGGCAAGTGTGAGGAACACATTCTGAGGAAGAGTAAACGCATCCAGAAAATGGGCCCCATGAGCAGGAGGCATGTCTGGGCATTGACTTGAGCAGCAATTTCTGTAATTAAGTGTTGCCATTCTCTTAAGTATGATGGGGTTTTGGAAAGCACTTTGCAAAGGTGGAAGCCATTCCAGTGCTCCTGGTGTTTTACTTCTTTTTTGTTTTGCCCAAAGCCAAGGTTTCCAGCTCAGAGGTGGTGCTGAAGGTCCACAGTGGGTGTCCCTTTCCTCCATTTCCAGAGTCCATGACCAAAGCCTGGGGGCAGACTTGTGAGAGGCGGAAACCCCCATTGCTGCTGCAGTAGGGCCCAGGCTAGTGGGGACTCAGCTTGGGGGTGTCTGAAAACACAAATGTCTACTCCAGAGGTCAAAGGGCAACATTTAAATTCAGGGAGAAAAGGAGAAATGGGGAAGGAAGCCTATAGATTGAAAGAGCCTTAAAAGACATTTCAATCAATTGCAATGTGTGAACTTTACTTATATCCTGATTCTGAAAGTATAAACTGTAAAAAGGTATTATGAATGTATGAGACAGTTGGAAATTTGAACTCTAATAATATTTTATGACCATAAGATTACTGTTAACTTTTTTATGTGTGATAATAGTATTGTGGTTATGTCTATAAAAGGGTCCTTATCTCTTAGCGATACAAACTGAAATACAGACGAAATGACAGGATATCTTGGATTTGTTTCAAAATGAGATAGGGTGGGGCCTGTGGTGACTGCAGAAGCAGCAGAATTGGCTGTGGATTGTGGCCACAGAACTGGACAGTCATGGGGCTTCATTATACCACTGTCTACTCTATGACTCTTTAAGTTTCCCCACTGCAGAATGATTCTTTAAAATTACTGTTTGGGCTGGGCACAGTGGCTCATGGCTGTAATCCCAGCACTTTGGGAGGCCAAGGGGCACAGATCCTTTGAGTCCAGGAGTTCGAGACCAGCCAGGGCAACATGGCGAAACCCTGTCTCTACAAACAAAACAAAACAAAACAAAAAGCAAAAATTAGCTGGATGTGGTGGCACACACCTATAATCCCAGTTACTCAGGAGGTTGAGATGGGAGGATGGCTGGAGCCCAGGAGGTAGAGGCTGTGGTGAGCTGAGATTGCACCACTGCACTCCAGCCTGGGTGACAGAGTGAGAGACCCTGTCTCAAAAATAAATAAATAAATGAAATACAAATAAAAATTACTGTTGTCACAAAAAGATGGTGGGTAGGCTCTAAAAGGACAACGTCCCCCTAGGAAAAAGTTAATTGCCTTGAAAAATCTCTCCATACTTGTATGCCCAAGGAGAAAGGTCAAGATTAGTGTGGTTTGTCCTTCACACTGTCTTGTGTTTGGTTATCTTCCCACTGAAGGCCCTGAGAGCAGGCCTTGGGCTCTCAGCCTTTAGCAAGAAATAGTATCCTGCGGTAATTTGAAGGCATTCTTTTGTTTCGCTGTATTTATTTTATGGCTACTTCTATTATATTTTGCAAACTGATAATGGCTTTTTATTAACAGAAGAGACAAAGTTTGCTTCTTAAGTAAATATATGTAAACACTTTGATTTAAAGACAGGAAATAACAGCACAAGTGGCACTCAGATAGATATTATTTTTTAAAATGTTTTAGGGTGGTAGAAAGTAACAGAAGTTTGGGAGACCCTGATGTGGGTCAGGAGACATTTTCCTATCTGGTTTTAGTTATCAGGTGGGTAACCGGCTCACTCAAATCTGTGGTCTCTTCCAGCCCAGAGGGTCTCTGTGCCAGGACAGAAGGCTGTGCTCAGGCCATTGTCCATGGCTGGCTCCCTGCATCTCAGATAAACACTGACACCCAAAGAAGGGGCCCAATGCCAGGGAGTGGAAACAGCCCACAGAGAAGGTGGGGGTGGCCCCTACACATGGACCCCTGGCTTGGCCCCAAATACCATCTCATACCAGGTTTGTAGGCAAGTGAAATGGGGTCTGGGGGCAAGTTTAAGGACAACGTAAAGGGATAAAATCTCAGATGGAAAATGTTTTACCCATCATTTTGTTGCCTTTTTTTTTTTGAGATGGAGTTTCTTGTTGCACATGCTGTAGTGCAGTGGCTTGATCCCAGCTCACTGCAACCTCCACCTCCCAGGTTCAAGTGATTCTCCTGCCTCAGCCTCCCCAGTAGCTGGGATTACAGATGCATGCCACCATGTCTGGCGACTTTTTGTATTTTTAGTAGAGATAGGGTTTTGCCATGTTGGCCAGGCTGGTCTCAAACTCCTGACCTCAGGTGATCTGCCCACCTTGGCCTCCCAAAGTGCTGGGATTACAGGTGACAGCCACCGCACCCGGCCCATTTTGTTGTCTTCCATGGATTGTTTTCTGCTGGGAAAATTTCCTGATTGCCTTAAATCACCTGAAACGTAGTTGTTTAGCAAGCTGTGTCCACTCAGATGTGTTTTGCTGGGCCTGTTTGTATGATTCTTTTTTTGAGATAATTGTAGATTACATGCAGTTGTAACAAATAACAAGAGAGATGCTATAATATGTGCCCTTTACCCCGTTTCCACTAGTAGACATCTTGCAAAACTATGGGATAATATCACAACCAGGAAATGGACATTGATACAGTCAAGCCACCAAGCACTTCCATCCCAGGGACTCCTCATGTTGACCTTTTATAGCCACATCACTTCCTATGCCACGCCGCCCCTGACCCCACAATCACTCACCTGCTCTATACTTCTATAATTTTGCCAACTCAATAATCTTGTATAAAAGCAAGTTTACAGTATGTAACCTTTTGTGCTTTTGTAGTGTTTGTTTTCCAGTCCGTATAATTCCCTGGAGCTTCATCCAAGATGGATGTATTAGCAGTTCATTTCTTTTTTTGCTGAATAATATTCCATGGCATAGATGTGCCACAGTATTTAATCATCACCCATGAAGGACCTCTGTGCTGTTTCCAGTTTGGGCCTATTTGATAAAGCTGCTATGAATGTTTTATGTACAGGTGATTGTGGGAACATCACTTTTCATTTCTCTAGGATATATGTCCAAGAGTGAGATTTACCTGCCTCGCAAGACATATGTATATGTATGTATATGTGCCATATTTCATATATACATATGTGTGTGCATGTATGTGTATGTGTGTGCATGTGTGCCATGTTTTATATATATATATGCTTGTTTATGCATAAAATTTCTCTGGATGTATACTCAAGTGGGAAACACTCATTGCCTGTAGGGAAGGGTATTGGGTGATGGGGAGGGAGAGGAATCACTTTCACTTGGAACCCTTTTGAGCCTAAGTTTCAACCATCTGTCTGGATTACCTGTTGGAAAACAAATCAATCTTGTGCAACCCAGAAGACACCCACAGACTTCCTCACAAATACCCTCTGAGGCTGCCTTTTCCGCGCAAGTCTGTTTTTTGTTTCTTCAAAGGGAGCCCGTTGGAATTCCCCTCCCAGAGCACCTGGTTCCACACAGGGCCGACCCTCACCCCCTTAGTTCTGGTTATCTCCAGAGATTTCCCCCAACACACACATTCCCTGGTCTAGGGCCCTCAGGCTTCGAGGGTGACCCCAAACACCCCGCATCACCATCCAAAAGCCCCATGATCCCTGAGGGGCAGGCTCAGCCTATGCGGGCCTCGCTGAAGCCCAGTGCGGTGTCTATGCCCAACCCAGGGGCCGCCGCCTCCAAAAAGCCTTCCTAGCCTTACTGACATTTATCCTCTCCTTCCTGGTCACCCAGTGGCATCGTTGTGTGTCTTCCTGGTTACAGTCAGCATCCACTTCCTGCACTCCTCAGACAGCCGGCCAGTGCACCCTCACCCCACCCTTTCCTGACCTCCCGCTAGGCTGGGCCTTCTCTGCAAGGCTAGATTCATATTTTAGCGGCACCAAGCAGTCAGGTGCCTGCTGACGCATGCCTTCATGCAATTCACGACAGACAGCTAAAAGCCACAGAGCACAGCGCGGAATCTAAGGCCTTCCATTGGTGTGCAGGTGGATTCCGCGGTGCTAAACTTTCTTTTGTGGGTGTGGGGGCCGTGGAGGGGGTTGTGCTCTGGCAGCGTTGGCGCCCTAAATGACCTATAGGTAACCTCTAATGGCTTCCGCAGGGGGTGCAGTGCGGAGGACAAGAGCTTGGGGCTCTCTGGCTGAGTGATCTGGGGGCCATTCAACCGGTTTTTTCCTGGAGAAATGGGAATCTTAAGGCCTCTCTGGAAAGGGTGTGAGGGGGTCGAGGGGGAGCGGGCCCCGGGCCTTCAGCGCTTCAGCAGGTGGCTTCCCTTTGCGAGCCCGGGGTCCCTCTTCTGGGAAGCATGGGCTGGGACAAGGCAGGCGCCGGTTTTCTGCATCCCAAATGTCCTGGGGCATGTGTCCCTTCCTTGCTGACCGTGGGTCCGGGCCAGAGCGCAAGGTCCAAAGCCGGCGGCTTGGCTCCACCGCCAGGGGCAAATACCAGGGCGGGATGCGTGCTGCGGGGCGCCCCGGGGGCTCCCCCTTGGGACTTCTAGGGTCCAGGGGTCCCCGCGGGCGCGCCCCAAGCCTTCTCCCTCAGCTCCGGGGGCCCGGGCGCGCGCCCATCCCCCAGCCCCGCGTCCCTGCGCGAGGGCCGGGCTGGGGGTGGGGTCGCCGCGAGCTCGGCCCCCAGAGTTCCCGCGCTCAGGCCCAGGAAGCGGCGGCCGCCGACGGCCCTCGCCCCGCCCCCGCGCTCATCACCTGCTGGCCTGGCGCGCGCGCGGGCGGGAGCGGAGGGCAACGGGGCGGCGCGGGCGGCCGGGCGCAGGGTCGCGGGAGGTGACGCGCGGCGAGGATGGCGGCGCGGGGCCGGGGGCTGCTGCTGCTGACGCTGTCGGTGCTGTTGGCGGCGGGCCCCTCCGCCGCTGCGGCCAAGCTCAACATCCCCAAAGTGCTGCTGCCCTTCACGCGGGCCACGCGCGTTAACTTCACGCTGGAGGCCTCGGAGGGCTGCTACCGCTGGTGAGGCGCGCGGCCGGGCCGGGCGGGCGCCGTGGGCCGGGCTGGGCCTTCGCGCTGAGAGGCTGGGCGGGCGCCGGGAGGCCGGCAGAGCCGGCAGGTGCGCGGCGCGCTCTCGCTGGGCGCTAGGCTGCAGCACTCGGAGCGGCGGGTGCGCGTGGGTCGCCACCACTGCTCATGTCATGGCGCCGTCCGGGCCTCCGCGCCGCTGAGGCGCGAGCAGAGCGGGCGCAGCCTGGCGGCCGTGACCCGCGTGTTCTGGGTTGTGCGGGAGGAGGGGTGGCCTGGGGAGCGGCGTCTGGGACCGCAGGGCCCAAGCCGGCCGGGCCCGAGCCGGCCTGACCCGGGAGGGGGCGCCGGGGCAGCTGGGCCGCACTTCCCTTGAGTCTGGGACCCCAGCTCGGGTTTGTCTGTGACCGCCCTCGCCCTGGCGTGGGAAGTGAGTCTGTGAAACGAAGCGCAGCGCCTAGCGTCGCGGGGAGGAACGGAGACCCTGGAGGAAAGGAGTTTTGGAGGGAAGCCCAGGGGCCGCTTTACAGAGGCGAAGTGAGACGAGGCAGGCCGGCGCTTCCCCTCAGGCTGCCTCGGCGCGGGTCCTGATGCTCAGGGCATTTCCATCACCCTCCCTCTCGGGTTGGGAGTTCTCCAAGGGGTCGGATGCGGAGTGTGACCCTGTGGAACCACAGGGACCCATGAAACCAGAGACCGACACTGACAGGGCGGTGCAGTCCAGCCCTTCCATTTTGCAGACCAGGGGAAATGGAGCTCCTGCCCCTGGCAAGGCTGCGTGGGCACGACTGAGCGCCCTTAGCTTCCCAGCCCAGCCGTCCTAGGGGTGAAAAGATGGGCTTCCGCCCTTCCCACCCCCAGGATGCTCAGTAGTTGCTCCCTTTATTTCTGTTTCAAGACTGGGTCAAGGTTGAGGCAGAACGGGGTGTGACCACGTGACAGCCATGTGTGTAAGCCTGGACATGTGTGTGTCAAGCCTGTTTGAGTATTAGTCTGTGCGTGTATGTAAGTGTGATGCCCGAAGCTCAGACCAGCCAGCTTTCTCTGTTGCTTGCACTATTTGCCCTATTTCTTTCTTTCTTTTTTTTTTTTTTTTTTTTTTTTTGAGACGGAGTTTTGCTTTGTCGTCCATGCTGACGTGCAGTGGTGCGATTTCGGCTCACTGCAACCTCCACCTCCCGGGTTCAAGCGATTCTCCCGCCTCGTAGCTGGGATTACAGGTGCAGGCCACCTGGCTAATTTTGTTTGTTTGTTTGTTTGTTTTTAGAGTGCACTCCAGCCCTTGTTGCCCAGGCTGGAGTGCAATGGCGCGATCTCTGTCCACTGCAACTTCCGCCTCCCCGGTTCAAGCGATTCTCCTGCCTCAGCCTCCCGAGTAGCTGGGATTACAGGCGCCCGCCACAACACCCAGCTAGTTTTTTGCATTTTAGTAGAGACGGGGTTTCACTATGTTGGCCAGGCTGGTCTCAAACTCTGGATTCACTGTGTTGGCCAGGCTGGTCTTGAACTCCTCAAGACCAAGGAGAACTCCTCAAGCGATCCACCTGCCTCAGCTTCCCAAAATGCTGAGATTACAGGCGTGAGCCACCATGCCTGGCTTGTCTGGCCAATTTTTGTATTTTTAGTAAAGATGGGGTTTCACTATGTTGGTCAGGCTGGTCTCGAACTCCTGACCTCAAGTGATCCCGCCGCCTCTGCCTCCCAAAGTGCTGGGATTACAGGCGTGAGCCACTGCACCCGGCCTGCCCTATTTCTTTTTTGAAGGTCTCCTTCCTGAAATCAAGACGTACTAGGTCAGCCCATTGCATTTTGGTTTTAGTGCTTTATGCACCTGGAGGCTCCTATTTCTGGCCTGATGCCAGAGGCTGAACTTGGGCATTAGGTTTTCTGTATCCCAGTCTAAGGCCTAGTCTTGTGTGGGAAAATCAGCTGTTAGTCAATACTGTGGCGGGGATACATGCTCATTCTCTTGTTGAAGCTGTCTGTCCTCTCAGTATGTGGGCAAGAAAGAGGAAACTGGTTATTAAAAACAGCTGGCTTCAAGTGAATCCCTTTGGATATATTTGTGTGTTACTTTCTCTGAGATTCTATAGCTGTACTTTTTTCTTTTTCTAAACTAACAACACTTTTTTCCCCCCCAACATCATTTTCTTTTCTGAGAGGAGCTGAAGGGTGTTGGTGGATTTTAATTTACTTGGTAGGAAAAAGGGAAAAAACATTCTTAATCTCTGATGCATCAGAGAAGTGCTAAGTACCTTATAACGTGTTTGGCGTTGATCTGTAGTTTGTATTGCAGATGTGTGACTGCAGATGTGTGACTGCTATTCAAAGTGTCTTCTCAGAGGTGTTTGGAAATTGTGATTCCCCCTTAACTTGACAGGAAGACATTCTGTCAATCAAGCATTGAGAATATTTTCTTTATTTTTAGTATTGCTGTTCCTAGTGTAGTCGTCTATTGCTGCAGTTTTGAAGAATCTGCTCTGGAGATTTTAAGAGCTGGCCTATAGACATATATCCACAGTCCTCTAAACCTGGGAGGAACATTACCTCTTCATCCAGAAAGTTCATTGTTAAGTCTCTCAGACGAAAAAGAAAATGAGAATTCTGCCAGACCCTGTGGGAACATTTGCACATCCATTGAATTTGCAGCTGAGCTCTAAGTTTACAGAAATCACTGTGTGTGCCTGAGCCAACAGCTTCATGTTTACTTTTCCTATTTTTTTTATTTTATAACATCAAAATTGGACAGTTTTCGGGCCAGGGGAACCTTAGAGGTCACCTAGTTTAAACAGCCTGTGTTTCATATAGGAAAACCTGAGCTCCAGAAGGGGAAGTGATCTCTGGGAAGTCTTGTAGCGATGGACACTGAGTTGGAGCAGGAGCTGCTGGGACCCCTCCCTGTCCCACGCCATTAGACCTGGGGACTGGCAGCCTCTGGCTAATTTGCCAGGCTCTAATTCTCTCCAACTGCACCCAGCCAGCACTGGTTTTGTGACAAGTTCCTGATTCCTTCTAGATATTTTGCATTATTGAAAGTGTTCCATAAAGTATATTACATTTGCTCCTTTTAAAGGTATATACAAAACGACCTCATATCAAAAACTGGGAGAACAGACGAAAAAGAAATCATGCCATAATCTTCCAGCTGTAATACAATCACAGGCAGCATTTTGGTTTCTTTTCGGTCACTTATGTTTCCTCTCCTAGCTCCTTTCTTACATTGCCTTGAACCTGGTTATTTGGGCACCTCGGGAACCTCCTCCCCTGCCAACACTGGCTAGCACTGAAGCCCAAGCACTGCTCTGTTGCTTCTTCCTGAGGGCTCCGTGTCTGAGCACCTTTCTGCTGGGTTGAAGTTGCCTCCTCATTGATTCTTTCCCTGTCATGGAGTCCCAGGGTATTCTGGGTGCTCCAGCAAGGGGGCGCTGTCTTGGAGAAAGTGAGTGGCTCAGATTGGTTTCCCAGGGGTGGAGCCTGAGGCAGGATTCTGCTGCCCTAGTTTACAGAGAAAGTGCTCTGTTGGGCAGCTGGATAGGGAAGGGAGGCTGCCTGCAGGTTGTCCTGCCTTCAGGCGAAGAGACCAAGCTTTGAGCTTTTGTACCCACTGTCAGGCAGCCATTGGTTCCCCTGGGGAAGGGGATGTTGTGCGACCTCCCGGGCCTCTGGCGGAGACACTCTGTTTTGAATTACGACCTGCAGCTCCCCTGGCTGAGGTGGGGAGGGGATGTGGACCTGCCTGGTGAACAACATCCAGACACAGCATGCACAGTGACTGCCATACCAAGCTGTTCACAGACTTCTCCTTTCCTGCCCCTGACAGTCTCTCCTGGGCACCTTGGAGCCATCTAACACGTGTGCCAGGCCTGGTCCTGCACCAGGGTACACCCTCTCTTATGTGGTCTGGGGCACTTCTCAGTCACAGGTGTAAGGATTCTCAAACAGGTAGATGGGAGTCCTTTCAGGGCCAGGGAGGGCACTGGTCCCTATGCCGTGGAGCTTGGCCTTGGGGCATGCTGTACCCCAGGCAGTTCAGATGACCCCTGGGGAGTCCCTCTTTGCTGAGGGGTGACTGTGGGAGGCCAGAGGCCAGCACTACCCTTGCGTGTGGATGTCCTGGGTCCCTCTCCCTGCCCCAGCAGGGGAAGCTGCAGCAAATCCCCTCACAGGCCTTCGTGGGTGAAGTTGGGCACTAAGGGTGAGGGATGCACGCTGAGCCAAGTCAGAGTGTCATCTGGCCTAGCTGGCTTCTGCTGGGCTCAGGGACCCTGAGCCTCTGGGACGGGCACGTCAGCAGGTCACATGCTGGAAACTTGCACAGGTGAGGCAACAGGGCCTGTAAGAAGTTGCCCCATAGTCAAAATAAAAAATTCACAAAGTGGAAACAACCCAAAAGAGGGAGTTGAATTCGACGGGAGGCCCCCAGTTTGCTCTTCTGTACCTCCTTCACTTGGCCTTCCCTGAGCCCACACCTGTACTTCTGCTCTTTTCGTTGAGAGTGTTTTCCCCTGTACCACTCAATTTGTGTGCATGCTGCATCCCCACACACCTAGGCCAAATCTCTGTCTCCTTCCTTATGCCTGGCCTTAGAGTCACAGGCTTTGGTCGATTGCGTTATCATCTGGGCCTATTTGATGGCATTTCTGGCAGTTAGAAAGTGGGGTGGAGAAACCAGAGCTCCCGCAGGGCCTGGGAGAGGGCACACGGTGAAGACCCGTCCTGCCTGAGCACCAGGGGACAAGCACTGATGGACGACACATATTTCACCGAGGAGGGCTGGAGAGTCACTGAATAAGAGGTGACAAATGTCTGTGACTCTTTTTATTTTTTGAGATGGAGTCTCGCTGTGTTGCCAGGCTGGAGTGCAGTGGCACGATCTCGGCACACTGCAACCTCCACCTCCCAGGTTCAAGCTATTCTCCTGCCTCAGCCTCTCAAGTAGCTGGGACTACAGGCACATACCCAGCTAATTTTTGTATTTTTAGTAGAGACAGGGTTTCACCATGTTGGCCAGGATGGTCTAGATCTCTTGACCTTGTGATCTACCCGCCTCAGCCTCCCAAAGTGCTGGGATTACAGGCATGAGCCACCACACCCACCTGTCTGTGACTCTTACTATGAGCCAGGCACTACTTGAGGTCCTGGGATGTGACAGTGAAGCAGCAGGAGATGCCCTGCTCTCAGGGACTCACAGTTGATTGCCGGAGTTAAACGGTTAATTAAGATGAGATCTGTGGATGCATGTGAGGCAGGAGTAAGTCCTGAAGGAAACAGAACTGCAAGGCATGGAATGTGTTTTGGGGAGGGCGCTCAGCATAAGCCTCCTGGGAGTCGAACTAGGAGTGGAGTGGGGTTGAGTTGGAGGGGACAGCAAGTGCAAAGGGCCGGAGGAGAGATAGAGCTTGTCAGAAGTGCGCAAAGGCAGCACGTTTGGCCAGGGCAGCAGGGCTGGGAGGGAGGGTGGAGAGGTTGGCAGGGCGGGGCCATGTGGGACCTTGTGGGCTGTGGTTAGGAGACAGGAAGGAGAATGCCAGGTCAGATGTGGGCAGGGTTAGACTGGGCCTGGTTTTTGGGCCTCGTTCTCCCTGGCCCCTGAGGGCTGTCTGTAGCTGTGGCCCCTGCAGGGCTGGACCGGGCCTTGCTCAACTCCCTTCACCAGGCCCGCAGCAGGGAAGTGCCAGGAAGTGTCTGTGGACCTGGGTTGACTTGGGCCTTGGGTGATTTTCTTCCTGCTTCCTTTGTGGGTCCCCCACTCTGCCTGAGCTCTGTCAGCCCCACGAGGTGGCTTCCGCTCTGTAGACACTGCCTTTGGGCACCGTTAGGGGCTGGACCCCGCGGGTGGATGGGAGGTGGCGTGTGTCATCCACCACCCTCACCCATCCTTGTTCTTTGTGCAACTCTCACTTCTCTTTTCTTTTCACTGTTGCTTTCTGGCCTGACCCAGGTCCCTGAGTTCCCCTATGGCCTGCCTGCCTCCTGTTCCTGTGTTGTGAAGAGTGGGGAGCACCCCCTCAAAAGCAGTGCCTGCCAGACGCCAGCACATTCTGTGTGCCAGTGGGGCCTCATGCGACAGTGGGAATGAGAAAAATTCACTCTTTCAAAACTCACTGTCAGTCCTTTAATTTTCCTCAAAATAAAAGTTTTCTTCTGGTGTCTGTATGTGGTTTACATATTTTTTTATTTTAAATTGTGGTAAAATATATATAACATATAATCGACCTCCTTAACCATTTTTAGGTGTAGAGTTCTGTGGCATGAAGTACGTTCACAATTGTTGTGCAGCCACCTCCACCATCCACCTTCAGAACTCTTTCATCTTCCCAAATGGACACTCTGTACCCATTAAATAGCAACTCCCTATTTTCTCCTGCTCGGGCCTTGGCCAACACCATCTTTTCATTGTACTCTTTGATGTTTGCCTGTCTCCCAAGAGAACAGGCAGACGCCTAGAGTCTTTGCAGGTAGCAGCTTCCCCCCAGGACTTACTGACACTGCTTTGAGTCATCTGGATGGATGACAAATGCTGTGATATTCTTATTTACACTAGTGTGTAAGGTTTCCTTTTTTGTTTGTTTGTTTTTTTTTTTGAGACAGAGTCTTGCTCTGTCGCCCAGGCTGGAGTGCAGTGGTGCGATCTTGGCTCACTGCAAGCTCCGCCTCCCGGGTTCATGCCATTCTCCTGCCTCAGCCTCCCATGTACCTGGGACTACAGGCGCCTGCCACCACGCCCGGCTAACTTTTTTTTGTATTTTTAGTAGAGATGGGGTTTCACCATGTTAGCCAGGATGGTCTCGATCTCCTGACCTCGTGATCCGCCCGTCTCGGCCTCCCAAAGTGCTGGGATTACAGGTGTGAGCCACCGCGCCCGGCCTCAAGCAATTCTTCTGCCTCATCCTCCTGAGTAGCTGGGGCTACCGGCATGTGCCAACACGCCTGGCTAATTTTAGTATTTTTAGTAGAGACGGGGTTTCACCATATTGGCCAGGCTAGTCTCGAACTCCTGACCTCGTGATCTGCCTGCCTCGGCCTCCCAAAGTGCTGGGATTACAGGCGTGAGCTACTGTGCCTGGCTTTTTTTCTTTTTTTGAGACAGAGTCTTGCTCTGTTGATCAGGTTGGAGTGCAGTGGCCTGATCTCGGCTCACTGCAAGCTCCGCCTCCTGGGTTCACGCCATTCTCCTGCCTCAGCCTCCTAAGTAGCTGGGACTACAGGTGCCCGCCACCATGCCCAGCTAATTTTTTGTATTTTTAGTAGAGACGGGGTTTCACCATGTTAGCCAGGATGGTCTTGCTCTCCTGACCTCATGATCCACCTGCCTCAGCCTCCCTTTTTTTTTTTTAATTGAGATGGAGTCTTGCTGTATTGCCTGGGCTGGAGTACAGTGGCAAGATCTTGGCTCACAGCAACCTCTGCTGCCCAGGTTCAAGCGATTCTCCTGCCTCAGCCTCCTGAGTAGCTGAGATTACAGGCATCCACCACCATGCCCGGCTAATTTTTGTGTTTTTAGTAGAAACGGGATTTCGCCATGTTGGCCAGGCTGGTCTCGAACTCCCGACCTCAGGTGATCAGCCCTCCTCTGCCTCCCAAAGTGCTGGGATTACAGGTGTGAGCCACCACACCTGGCCAAGGTTTCCTTTTAAAGTAATTTTTTAGTAAAGAAGAATCCATTTAATACAATAATAAGAAAAGGGCCGAGCATGGTGGCTCATGCCTATAATCCCAGCACTTTGGGAGGTTGAGGCAGGAGGATCGCTTAAGCTCAGGAGTTTAAGACCAGCCTGGGCAACATAGCGAAACCCTGTCTCTACTAAAAAAAAAAAAAAAAGAAAAGGAAAATAAAGCTGGGTGTGGCACAGGCACCTGTGGTCCCAGCTACTCCTGAGGCTGAGGCAGGAGGATTGCTTAAACCCAGAAGGTCAAGGCTGCAGTGATCCATGATTGTACCACTCTACTCCAGCCTGGGCAACAGAGTGAGAGCCTGTCTATTAAAAAAACTAGGCCGGGTGCAGTGGCTGGCCAGATGCAGTGGCTCATGCCTGTAATCCCAGCACTTTGGGAGGCCGAGGAGGGCGGATCACCTGAGGTCAGGAGTTCGAGCCCAGCCTGGCCAATATGGTGAAACCCCATCTCTACTAAAAATACAAAAAAAATAGCTGGGCGTGGTGCTGGGCGCTTATAATGCCAGCTACCTGGGAGGCTGAGGCAGGAGAATTGCTTGAACCCGGGAGGCGGAGGTGGCAGTGAGCTGAGATTGCATCACTGCACTCCAGCCTGGGTGATAAGAGTGAAACTGTCTCAAATAAATAAATAAGTAAATAAACGAATACAAGTCATACCTGTATGTGACTGGGCTAGGGCAGGTGTCCAACCAAGAGGAGCCTGATGGTGGGGAGGGGCCGTCGGCAGGTGCAGGTGTCTAGGCAACTGCCCTTCCTGGCCACAGCCTGCAGGTCCAGAGGCAGGGGCTTCCAGTGTTGCAGAGGAGATGTGGGGGTGGTGACAGGGGGGATGGACAGAGGGAGCCAAAATGAAAGAACCAATTTTTCTGTTAATCCCTTTGCATACTATGCCCCCACTTAATCCTAAAAATGAACAATAAACAAAACTCCTTTGGTAAGAATGACTGCACTGTACAAATGAGGAGCCTGGGTCCAAGAGCCTCACAGCTGGTTAGTGGCAGAGCTGTGTCCAAAACCAGCCTCAGATCCAGAACCACACTCACTCTCAGATGCCTGGGGAAATGCGCCACCCTTCTCAGATGATTGTTGGTTTACCCAGTTTCCTTCAGCTGGATTTTAAAACTTCAGTAGTACTTTTATTTTTCTGAGACAGATTCTTGCTCTATCACCCAGGCTGCAGTGCAGTGGCACAATTATAGCTCACTATAACCTCAAACTCCTGGGCTCAAGTGATCCTCCCTCCTCAGCCTTTAGAGTAGTTGGGACTATAGATGTGAGCCACCACGCCCAGCTAATTTTTAAAATTTTTATTTATTATTATTATTTTTTAGAGACTCACTATTGCACAGGTTAGTTTCAAACTACTGGCCTCAAGCAATCCTCCTACCTTGGCCTCCCAAAGTGCTGGGACTAAAGGTGCATGCCACCACACCTGGCTAATTTTTTTTTTTTTTTTTTTTGAGACAGAGTCTTGCTCTGTCACCCAGGCTGGAGTGCAGTGGTGCCATTTCAGCTCACTGCCAGCTCCGCCTCCTGGGTTCACACCATTCTCCTGCCTCAGCCTCCCAAGTAGCTGGGACTACAGGCGTCTGCCACCACGCCCGGCTAATTTTTTGTATTTTTTAATGGAGACGGGGTTTCACCATGTTAGCCGGGATGGTCTCGATCTCCTGACCTCGTGATCCACCCGCCTCGGCCTCCCAAAGTGCTGGGATTACAGGTGTGAGCCACCGTGCCCGGCCTTTTTGTTTTTTTTTTTAGAAATGGGGTCTCACTGTTGCTTAGTCTGGTCTCAAACTCCTGGTCTCAAGTGATCCTCCTACCTTGGCCTCCCAAAGTGTTAGGGTTACAGGCATAAGCCACCATGCCTGGCCCAGTGGTGCTTTTAAAAATCAGTATTGGCCAGGCACAGTGGCTCACGCCTGTAATCCCAGCACTTTGGGAGGCCAAGGTGGGCGGATCACCTGAGGTCAGGAGTTTGAGACCAGCCTGACCAATATGGAGAAACCTCATTTCTGCTAAAAATACAAAATTAGCTGGGTATGGTGCTACATGCCTTTTCCTAGCTCCTCGGGAGGCTGAGGCAGGAGAATCACTTGAACCTGGGAGGTGGAGGCTGCGGTGAGCCGAGATTGTCTCATTGCACTCCAGCCTGGGCAACAAGAGTGAAACTCTGTCTCAAAAAGAAAAAGAAAAAGGAAAAAAAAATCAGTAATAGCTGGGCACAGTGGCTCACACCTGTAATCCTAGCACTTTGGGAGGCCAAGGCAGGCAGAATGCCTGAGCTCAGGATTTAGAGACCAGCCTGGGCAACACGGTGAAACCGTTTCTACTAAAATACAAAAAAAAAAAAAAAAATTAGCTGGGTGACGTGCTAAAAATTACAGGTGGCGTGCACCTGTAGTCCCAGCTGCTCGGGAGGCTGAGGCAGGAGAATTGCTTGAATCCAAGAGGCAGAGGTTGCAGCGAGCCTAGATCGTACCACTGCACTCCAGCCTGGGTGACAGAACGAGACTCCGTCTCCAAAAAAAAAAAAATTAGTATTCAGGATACATTTGGAGGTGGGGGCTGATTCAGGTGGATGTTAAAGCCATCCTTCTGCTTGGTCTGGAGGCAGCACCAGGTAAAGGTGGGAGGCCTGTGGCCTTGTTTTGAACTCCGTGTACCCTAGCACAAGGGAGCAGGAGAGTGTCCAGACCAGGGGTTCTGAGCTAGACTACACTAAGGCCCATGTCTAGGGACGTGGCTTCATGAAGGTCACTTAACATCCATGCAAAGGATTCCTCATGTATCAAATGGGGGTTTTAATAGGATTGTTTGGAAGCAAATGAAATGTTCATGATATGTTTCACTCTGTGATTGACACATAAGAAAGCATAGAATAAATGAAAGTTTCAAGATGGTACCAGCATGGTCAGGTTCTGGTGAAGGCTGTCTTCCAGGTTTTAGACTGCTCACTCCTTGTGACATCCTCTCATGGTGGGAAGGGATGAGCAGCTCTGTGGGACCTCTTTTATAAAGGCGCTTAGTCCATCCATGAGGGCTCAGACATCATGACCTAATCACGCACCAAAAGCCCCACCTGTTAACACATGTCATCACCTCAGAGGTGAGGATTTCAACATCTGGATTTCAGGAGGACACAGACATTCAGACCATAGCAGACAGGCACCTACAGAAAAATTGAGTGCTGTTACTGGAAGGTATGTGGAGGCTGGGCAGCCCAAACCCAGCACATGTCCCCCACAGAAATGGCACTCACAGGTCAGCTGCTTGCCTGTTGACAGCTGTTTGTGGGAAGGGCAGGGGAGGCCTACAGACCCTGGACTTACAGGGGAGCTGGTGTGATGAGGGAGGACATTGAGCAGAACAGAGTCAGGTGCCTTTGAGGAGGCAGCCTGGCCATGTGACAGCACCAGAGCTCAGTCTCAGCAGCCGTCAGGTGGTCACATGAGACCTGCTGCTGCACGGAGCTTTTGGGATGCCCTGAAAACACTTGCAGAGTATGCAGCCCTAGATGCCTTCTGTTCCACTTGGTACATTTGATAAAATTAAGTTTGTAATTAAAAACCTTTTTTTTTTTTTTTTTTGAGACAGAGTCTCTCCCTGTCACTCAGGCTGGAGTGCAGTGGTGCGACCTCAGCTCACAGCAACCTCTGCCTCCTGAGTTCAAGCGATTCTCCTGCCTCAGCCTCCTTAGTAGCTGGAATTACAGGTGCACGCCATGATGCCTGGCTAATTTTTGTATTGTTAGTAGAGACAGGGCTTCACCATGTTGGTCAGGCTAGTCTTGAACTCCTGATCTCATGATCCACATGCCTTGGCATCCCAAAGTGCTGGGATTATAGGCATGAGCCATGGCACCTGGCCTAAAAACCTTTTCATAAAGAAAACTGTAAGCCCAGATGGCCTTGTCTGTAAATTCTGTGAAAGATTTAAGGAAGAAATGATACAGGTTCTTTACAGACTCTCAGGAGAGAGAGAAGGAGCAATTGTTTCCTAATTCACTTTTATGAGGCCAACATTACACCCATTGCAAACCAGATGAAAGCATTATAAGAAAAAAAAAATCCCACAGACCAAAAGCACAATTTTTTAAAATACTAGCTAATCAAATCCAGAAAAATAAACAAGACTAATATATCATGATCTGGTAGGGCATATCCCAGGAATGCAAGGTTGGTTCAATATTTTTAAAAAATCAGTGTAATGACCATATTAACAGAATAAAGAAGAAAAGCCATGTATTTGTCTCCATGGATGAACATTCACCACCCACACCTGATAGAGTCCATGCCTGCCTGTCCTTAAAGTCTCTGCTTGCACAGTGCCCCCTCAGTGATGCCTCCTCTGAGTGTCCATGGAAGATGGCAGCCCTGGCCCTCCCAGCATTTTATCTGTCCTTAGCCATTACTAAGATCCCATCTTCATTCACTCATTTTGTCTGTTTTTGTTCTCCTTCCACTAAAGTGAAAGCTCCGTGAAGATAGAGGTTAATGTGTAGTCTGTACTTAGTTGTGTCCTTGGCACCTAGAACACTACCTTAAATATCACTAATAGCCCAGTATTTATGGTTTCAATAAGTGGATGAATGCCTTAAAGACCTCAAGGAGGACCAGCGGTGCCATGGGAGCTGATAGGAGGGGCATGGGTGTTGCAGATAGGGACAGTCCATGGAAGAGTTGCTGTGTTTGGTGAGCTAAGAAGGTTGGACAGCATACCTGTGGGTCAAGAGGTCATGTGAGGTGGAGGGACCAGCATCAGCAGAGGAATAGAGGTGGAGAAGCTGGGAGGGAGGGAGGAGTGGGAGGCAGGGGCTTTGGAAAAGAGGTTAGATTTGATGGCAGGTGGTTCAGGCTCTTTCCAGCAGTGCCACCTTGGGCCAATAACTCTGTTTTGGGCCTGAATCTTTGATTCAGGCTTTAAGGATGCCTTGGTGGTATCATTGGGAGGCCTGTGAGGAGGGCCCTGACCCTAGGGCTTTAGGGTCAGGCTTCAGGGAAGAGGAAGGACAGGTTCAAGCAGGAGTAATCACAATGCCTTGAACTCCTGGGCTCAAGCCATCCTCCTGCATAATTGGAACTATAGGCACAAGCCACTGCGCCCAGCTTTTCTCCTTTCTTTAAAAAGCAAAGTTCTTGTGGTCAGAATCATCCCAAACATTGCAGGACCACAACTCCTTCATTTGGGAGCCCCCTCCTTTTTCCTAGATCTGAGAGCTGTGAGAAGAGCTTGATATATATTATCCCAGCCCAGTGCTTTGTATAGGTGCTATTTTCATTCCTATTGTGCAGATGAGGATGTGGCAGCCCAGGGAGGTTAGCTCATTTGGTCAAGATCACGCAGCTGGTGAGTGGCAGCACCTGTCTGTCTTACGACCTCCCATTCCACAGATACCAACAGATGAGAGAACCGAGTGAGCCACGTCCCCATCCCCGAGGGCTACTTGCTGCACTACATGAGGGGTCCCTGGGAAAGCCACACGCACCACTCCCGACTATGAAACCTGCCATGTGTGCCGTGTGGGGGGTGGGGGGGGTTGGGGCAGAGGTGTTGGTGAGTGGGAGGGTAGGGCAGACATGCCGCCCACCTGCTGAGGTGCAGAGAAGAAGGACAGGTGTGCAGGTAAGAGGACCAAGTGTCCTTTTAGAGGAGTGGCTATTCATTTAGACTGGATGGGCAGGGGAGGGCTTTTCCTCAGAAAAGTCGCCGGACTCTGTTTCTTTGGCCAAACTTGATGTGGAATCCAAGTGAACTGGGCTATGAGCTGGCTGACCTGGCTTCGGTGGGTGGCAGATGAAAGTGTTGGCATCTCAGCCAGTGAGCCCTATGTGCAGACCCTGCCTTTTCTGCTTAGTGAGCCCCTGTGTGTCCTTGAGTGCTGTGTCTCCAGACCCGGTTTTGAGTATGGGCTGAGTGGCTACATGGGCCACCTATGGCCCAGAGCCTGTACTGGTCAGGGACTGTGTTAGCTGTTGTAGCCACGTGCCTCTTCCAGTGGTTCCTCTGTTCCTCACGGTGGGTCCCAGCCAACCAGGGAGAGGCCCATCTGGTGTTTAGAGTTCCTGATATCAGTGTAGGACATTACCCTGCCCCTGTGCTCCCAGAAATTGGAGAATGGCAGCTTATATCAGACTCTGTACCAGAGGGAAGGCATGGCTGGCGTTGCAGGGCTCGGTTCCCCTCTTCCCTGGACCCACACTTCCCCGAGGTGTGCCTCAGTAGTGGGTAGTGGGGACTGCAGTCACTTCACTGCCACCATTAAAATGCTGCTGCTTTTATGTACTACCTATACTAGAATTTACTGAACATTTCCTTCAAAATGACTCACTTTTTAAAAAACATTGACATTATCTTTCGTATTAACATTTATGAGCTCATGAGTTTGGTACATTTGTTTTTCCTAAAACACTTAAATGAATATGTAATAGTTAAAATGCATAATGAGTCTGTTAAAAAATAGCTCATCTGTGCATCATCTAAACTGGTGGGTGTGTCATATCCTGAGGAAAATGCTCCTGGAATGGGAGAGGTATCTGATCTGGAGTCACCCAGGCCTAGCTGCGATAGTTGGCCCTGCTGCTGACAGCTGTGTGGCTTTGGGCAAATTACTTAACCACTCTGAGCCTCAGTTTGGTTTTCCCATACAGGGCTGGTGGAGGATTCAGTGATAAATAGAAGTGTTTAGCTCTGGGCCTGATACATGGTGCCCTTTCCTTTCCTCAGTTGCCCTTCTCATTTCTTATACCCTCCCTGATTAGTCAGGGTTTTCTGAAGAAACAGAACCAATAGGACATATATGTCATATATATATAGCTCATATGCATATATTCAATAGGCTATATATATAGCCTATATATATATATCTTATACACACACCCCCTCATATGTATATGAGAGGTTTAGTATAAGGGATTAGCTTATATGATTATAGAGGCTGACAAGTCCTAAGAGCTGCATTCAGCTGGAATCTCAGGAGAGCTGATGGTTTAGTTTTAGTCTGAAGGCCAGCAGGCTCAAGACCCAGAAGAGCCTATGTTTCAGCTCGAGTCTGAAGGCAGGGATGCTGACATCCCCACTCAATGACTGCGAGGCCCAGAGCGGGAATTCTCCTTGCTCAGGCTTTTGTTCTGTTCAGGCCGTTACCTGATTGGATGAGGCCCACCCACATTAGGTGGCATCTACTTTACCCAGGCCACAGATTCAAATGCTAATCTCATCCAAAAACACCCTCAGAGAAATGGCCAGATTAGTGTTTGACCAAATATCTGGTCACTGTGGCTCAGTCAAGTTAACATGTAAAGTTAATCCTCACACTCCACCAGCACACTTTTATTTTAATAAAAAACAGTCCTTGGATATCTCAGTGGTCTCCAGAAACGAACTGTTCCTGCCTGCCCTCACCTCTCTTATCTCCTCCTGCACTCCCTGTCTCTCTTTGCCTGGGTTGGTTTGATCAACTACCATGTCTGTGAAGAATTACCCACCCTCCCTCCATGTAGATGTAATTCTTCTCTCCCCAGATCCTGGAAACAGAAACATTCCCGACTTGCACATGACTGGCCAGCTCTTTCATTCCCAGCCTGGGAAAGAGCCAGCCTGAATCTCCAGGGACACCTATAGGGTTTTTCTAAGGCCCATCCTGGAAAGCTGTGAGGGGCAGAGACAGCCCTTCGGAGGGAGGGCGCTTCTGCGTGGCCCTGATAGCAGAAAGTATCCTGCTTTTGGGCTTAGAACCCCTGTGTCCTAGCCTGGCCTCTGTGGCCTTAAACCAGTCCCGTTTTCCTAAGCCTCAGTTTACCGATCTGTAAGATGAGGACATAGCAGTAGTTCTTTAAGTTACAACTAACATTAGGGGGAAGATATTTTCATTTAGAAGTTAGAATAACACAGAAAAGAAATAATAATGTAATGAATACCCATATTCCTACCATCAGAATTAGCCATTGTGTAACAACCTATATTGGTTTCCATTCTTTTTTTAAAGAAATAAAGCCTTCTGAATAAAAGTGAATTCCTCCTTACTACCCCCACCATTTCCACTTCCACCTTCTCTATTTTGAGTTTGGTGCAAACCTTTCCCTCTGTAATTCTCTGGCAGACACTTTCTGTTGTGCTTTTTCATCCAGCATTACACACCCCTGTGAGGAAGGCAGGGTGGGTGGGGGGCCTGCCTTACAGATGAGGACGGAATTGGTGGCTGTTGCAGTTCTTTTGTGTCCCTTAAAGACATGCCCAAAGCTATGGGTGGGCTCAAAATGCCCGGGAAGGAAGTCAGATAACTGAAAGGAACACTCACACTGGTCACAGGAAAACCAGCGTGAGCTGCCTGCAGCCTCCAGGAGGTGTTGGGATGGGCTGCCCCTGATTCCCATGCAGGTCCTGACCCAGAGAGAGCAGGCCCCAGGGGAGCGGGGATCTGCAGAGGCCAGACGTGGCCCGGTCTGCTTGTGAGGAAGCCCTGGGTGGATGGAATCTTACTCCTGTTGCACAGAGCTCAGCCAGCTGAAGAGGGGATGCAGGGATCAAGCCCCAGGCCCTGGGGCCTGAAGGGTGGGAGCCACCTTAGATGGCTGAGGCAAGCCTTCCCAGGCCAGGCCAGGCTGCTTTCTCTCTCCCCCAGGCTCTGTCGTCAGTGCTGAGAGGAGGGACTTTCTTAAGAAGGTCACAAGAGCATTTAGCACCCGCTGCCTCCCAAGTAGAGCCTGGGCAGGGGTCAGAGGTGTCCACAGAGACCCCAGGACATGAGAGCCCTGCGCCTGCACGGCCCTCCACCAGGAGGCCAGGCCTCAGAGCCAGGCCAGCATTGGAACCACTCACCACGTGAACGAATGTCTGTGTCCCCTCAGACTCATGTGTTGACACCTCATCCCCAAGGCGATGGCATTTGAGGATCCCCAAGGCGATGGCATTTGAGGTAGCACCTTTGGGAGGTGATGGGGTCATGAGGGTGGGGCCCTCATGGTTGGGATTAGTGCCCTTATACAAAAGGCCCCAGAGAGCTCCCTCGCCCCTTCTGCCATGTGACAACAGTGGGAAGACAGCAGGCATGACCCAGAAAGTGGGCCCTCACTAGACACCTAGTATGCCAGCTGATCTTGGACTGCCAGCCTCCAGAACTGTGAGCAATACATTTCTGTTGTTGGAAAAACCCTGTTTGTGATGTTTTGTCATGGCAGCCCCAAAAGACTAAGACGTGTGACTGTGAGCTCTGAAAATGCAGCCAGTACTACATGTCAGAAGCATGATATTTAGGATATGTTGGGGTAAATCACGTATTTTCTTAAAAATATGACTTTTTAATAGGGATTTAAAAATGGAGGAATAGGCAGAGTGCAGGGGACTTTTAGGGCAGTGGTGCTGTTCCGAAGGATACTGCCATGGCAGGTGTGGGCTGTTATCCATCTGTCCAAACTTACAGGACATGGGATGCCGACTGTGCACCCTCATGTCAGCTGCGAGTGTTCTGAGTGATTGTGAGGTCACCACAGCCTCCTCCATTGTAACCAATTCACCACTCTGGTGGGGATGTTGAGGGAAGTGTTGTGTATGCATGGGGCAGGGCATGTATGGGAAATCTATACTTTCTATTCAGTTTTGCTGTGCACCTCAAACTGCTTTAAAAAACAAGGTTTATTAAAAATTAATCTCACCTGTTACTTTTTTTTTTGACGGAAAATGAAAACGTGGCCTGTGTTACACGTCTGTTGTGCAGGGCTATCTCAGGCTTGTATGAGTCCTTAATGTAGCCCTGCTACATGGACATGAAAGGTGTGGTCACTGCAGTCGGGTTCTGCAGGCTGTCCAGGCATCTCAGTGTGGCAGCCCAGGGAAGAGCTTGGGGAGTTTTGCAAGGAGAATTTCAGGCTTCTTTTACTTGGATAGGAAGAGCTCTGTTTGCATTTATTGGGCCTGTGTCTGAGATTAATACACTGCTGTTATGAAGCAAGAAAAGAGTGGTTATCTCTATTTTGTTGAGGAGACAGAGGCTAGGAGAGGGTGTGGGATTTACAGGCCAGACCAGGACCCCAGATCCCAGTTCCCAGGGGCCATCGAATGATACATACCACAGTGTTTTTAAAGGCAGGAGTGGGAAATGATGAATTCTCTTTTCCCCCCATAGACTTTATTTTCTTTATTCTTTATATTTATTCATTTATTCTACTTGTTTGTTTGCTTGAGACGGGACCTCATTCTCTCACTCAGGCAGAGTGCATTGACACAATCACAACTCACTGCAGCCTTGAACTCCTGGGCTCAAGGGATCCTCCCTCCCACAGCCTCCCATGTAGCTGGGACCACAGGTGCACACCACCATAACTGGCTAATTAAAAAAATTTTTTTTTGTAGAGATGGCGTCTCACTTTGTTGCCCAGCCTGGTCTTGAACTTTTGGGCTCAAATGATCCTCCCACCTCAGCCTCCCAAAGTGTTAGGATTAGAGGCATGAGCCACTGCACCTGGCAGAGTAGACTTTTTTTTTTTTAAAGCAGTTTTAGGTTTATGGCAAAATTCAGTAGTAAGTACAGGCTCCTTTTTCTGCCCCCAGATCGAATCTAGGACCCAGGATTTGTTGAGTTTCCTTAGCCTCTACTGCCCTGTGTGAATTTTCTAATTTGTCCTTGTTTCCACACTCTTGTGTGTGCTTGTGTATGGGAAGTTTAAAGCCCCTCGAAAAACACCGTAGGGCACTAGTGCTGTCAGCATTTGGATGGTTGGACGGAGTGTTTCCAGTGGGTATGGGCCGGGTTCATAGGCACCTGCTTCTTGTCTCCTGTGTGGGCTTGTGCCTGCTTTGCTGTGTTCCTCGACTCTGTGCCATGCTATTTTCCTGGAAGAAATCCACAAGGGGCCACAGACACACTTCCTCCGGGGTGTAGATTGCTTTCCTTCACTGATGGATGCAGCTCATTTTCCGTGAACTTCCAAGGTCCATCTGGAGGCCTCCTGCCGCAGCCCATTGTGGCCAGGTGGTGTCGGAGTGGTCGGCATGCTCAGGTGTGTTGGAAGGGGCCTTGTGCTGGCTTGGCCCAGGGAAGACACTTGGCATCCAGCCAGAAGGCGGGACATCTGCCTAGGTGTGTTCCGCACCATTGCCTTTTTTTTTTTTTTTTTTTTTGAGCCAGAGTCTCACTCTGTTGCCCAGGCTGGAATGCAATGGCTTGATCTTGGCTCACTGCAGGCCTCCGCCTGCCGGGTTCAAGCGATTCTCCTGCCTCAGCCTACCGAGTAGCTGGGATTACAGGTACCTGCCACCAAGCCTGGTTAATTTTTTGTATTTTTAGTAGATACAGGGTTTCACCAACTTGGTCAGGCTGGTCTCGAACTCCTGACCTCTGGTGATCTGCCCACCTCGGCCTCCCAAAGTTCTGGGATTACAGGCATGAGCCACTGCGCCTGGCCACGCACCATTGCTTTTTGACACCAGGCAGTTTCTGACAAGTCTCCTTCAGAATACTCGTGGCTGTGGATGTTCCAGTGAGTTTAGGCAAAGTTAGGGAGGATGCAGAGACCCCGGAGTGTCTGCTCTGTGTCGGGTGCTGTGCCGGGTGCGGCCCCGAGAGACAAGCGCCAGGCACGGCTTAGTGGCCCCTCCTGGGGCCTTGGTCACACTATAAACTCTCTGAGGGCAGCATGGCCAGCCGCTTTCCATGGCCCTGCTTCACCCCAGATCCTGGTGGCATTCTTTTGGAGGCCCTGTACACTAGGCCTGAGAGCCTGTCTGTAGACAGCACATGCTAGCTGGGCACGCTCAGTGTGGAGTCTGCTGTCCTCTGCCTCTCGTCACCTTCTCACCTGGGCCTGGGGCAGTTATCCTGGGCCATGGATGAGAAACTGAGGCGCTGACAGCAGATAGCTTTCCCCACACATTCCTGTTATCCTTCCTCCTGTTATCCTCCCTGGGGAAATTGGCTCACAGACGTCTGGGCTCATTTGTGGATGTGTTTATCTGTCTGTCTCCCCACTGTGGCTATAATATCCGCTCCGCAGGCACTGGGAGCTCATGGTTGTGTTTATCATTACAGGTAGTGATCCCCAGGGTTAGTGGAACCCGTTGGGGTTGGAAGCTGATGCCTGGAGCCTGCTGTGCGCCAGGCCTGGGCTAGAGGTCGGTCGAGATGCCTGTGCCCCCTCCCTGTGCAACGTGTCCCTCATGGGATCCCTTGAGCAGCTTTCCTGCTGGTACTGAACGACTCCCACATCTGCAGGAGTCTTGGACGGTGGCCATCTGTTGAGCCTTGAGGTCATTTCCAGGTGTGAGGTCTCCTGTTTGATTTGCTCCATGGGAACTGTGTGCACAGGCCTGGAGCCCTCAGCTTGTGGAGGTCTTAACTGGAGAGGCCTTGGCAGGGCCCCACGTCTCCTCTGGGTTTGAAGCTGGTGTTAGGTGGCCCACCTCACTTCTGTCTTTGGGTCCAGGACTGCGCCCTAGACGGGTGCCACAGCCTGGTGTCTGGACCCCACTGTGCCTTGCAGTGCAGCTCCAGAGAGTAAATGCTGTCTTCTTCCACTGCAGGTTGTCCACCCGGCCGGAGGTGGCCAGCATCGAGCCGCTGGGCCTGGACGAGCAGCAGTGCTCCCAGAAGGCAGTGGTGCAGGCCCGCCTGACCCAGCCTGCCCGCCTCACCAGCATCATCTTCGCAGAGGACATCAGTAAGGGCTGAGTGCTGTGTGTGATCCCCGGTGGGAGCCAGAGACAGGGAAACGCCCACTAAGACCCAGGGTCCTAGAGGCTACCTGAGCCCATGGCAGGGCTTTCTCTTGTTGAGTGGCAGGACACCCAGGCAGGAGACAGGCACCCAGCAGGCAACACCCATCCCAAGCCTTGTGCCAGCACTTCGTACCGTGTTCCCTTTTGTGGAGGCTGGCTTGCTAAATTTCTAAATTATTATTTGTTACCTAAATAACTCTTAATGGGTAGCAACTCATTACTATGACAGTTGTCCTAATCTGTGAGATCACTCCTTTTCCTTCCCCATATCTAATTTATTATATTAGTTGTAAAATAGTTTGACAACAACAATATAATTTTCTATCATGCTTTTCCCTACTTAGATTATAGGACATGTTCCATTTTACCATACAATGATTTTTTTTTTTTTTTTTTTTTTTGAGACAGAGTCTTGCTCTGTCGCCCAGGCTGGAGTGCAGTGGCGCGATCTTGGCTCACTGCAACCTCCGCCTCCTGGGTTCAAGTGATTCTCCTGCCTCAGCCTCCCGAGTAGTTGAGACTACAGGCATGCGCCACCACACCCGGCTAATTTTTGTATTTTCAATAGAGACGGGTTTCACCAAGTTGGCCAGGCTGGTCTCGAACTCCTGACCTCATGATCCACCCACCTCAGCCTCCCAAAGTGTTGGGATTACAGGCGGGAGCTACCGCACCTGGCCCATACAGTGATTTTTAATGCTGAATAATATTCTCTTTTTTATGTTGCTGTTTTGAGACAGTGACTTACTCTGTCACCCAGGCTGAAATGCAGTGACTCCAACACTGCTGACTGCAGCCTCAACCTCCTGGACTCAAGCAATCCTCCTGCCTCAGCCTCTCAAGTATTTAATAGCTGGGACCACCACAGGTGCATGCCACCATGCCCAGCTAATTTGTAAAATTTTTTGTGGCGAGTTGGGCGTCTCCCTGTGTTGTCCAGGCTGGTTTCAAACTCCTGGGCTCAGGCAACCCTTCTGCCTTGGCCTCCCACAGTGGCGGAATTACATGTGTGAGCTACCACACCCGGCCCAAATAATATTCTTAACAGGAGGTTGTCCTATAAGCATTCCCTTGTATTGGGCATTTAGAGTGTTTTCAGATGTTTGTTTCAGTGTTACATATAAAAATAAATGTTTTTATATAGAGAACAAATTAGAATTCTTTTACATTATTTCTTAAGATAAATTCCCAGTTTTTCTGGGCCACAGCTTTGAATATTTTTATTTTTATTTTTTGAGATGGAGTTACCCAGCTGGAGTGCAGTGGTGTGTTCTTGGCTCACTGCAACCTTTGCCTCCCGGGTTTAAGCAATTCTTCTGCCTCAGCCTCCCAAGTAGCTGGGATTGTAGGCATGTGCCACCATGCCTGACTAATTTTTCTTGTATTTTTAATAAAGATGGGGTTTCATCATGTTGGCCAGGCTGGTCTTGAACTCCTGACCTCAAGTGATCCACCTGCCTTGGCTTCCCAAAGTGCTGGGATTACAGACGTGAGCCACCACACCTGGCCAACCTTGAATACTTTTAAGGCTTTTGATACATGGGACCGTATTGCTGTGCAAGAAAACCACACTAAAGTGCACAAGCATTTTTATATGGTACCTGGAGAATGGTCAGAACAATTTTGTATCTCTTGCTGCTATCCTTACACTTGAGGGTTCCCCAGGTAATGCCATTTACATACCTTATTTATGGAGCAAGTAAAAAAATCTCTGGGTGTGCCCACCAGCCCCTTCTGTACTATACTTGATAGTCTTTTATAAAAACACCAGCATATGTGAAAACCAAAAACCACCAGCGTAATCCCTAATCTCAGTGAAGGGACAGGGTTCTCGTCTTTGGGATGGGAACTCATCATACTATAACCCTTGTCACTTCACGGAATGCTTACACCCTGAACGAAACTAAGTTTTCCTGGAGTTTTTTTTGCCCACAGCTTTAAATGCTGGTGCCCTGCTGGAAAAGCCAGAATGGGTGGTGACAAGGCCCCCACAGCCCTTTCTTTCTGGTAGTCCCTGTTAACTGTCAGTGGGGCCATGTGTGAGGCAGCTGCTTGGCTTCTGAGGGTGAAGCTGGTGGTTGCCGTGGTCTTTGCCAGAGTGTAAGCCTGCAAGGCTTGGAAGTGGAGCCAGGGGCGGGGACTGTCTTTGGTGCTGACCCCTTCCTGGGGTTCCTCCAGCCACAGGCCAGGTCCTGCGCTGTGATGCCATTGTGGACCTCATCCATGACATCCAGATCGTCTCCACCACCCGCGAGCTCTACCTGGAGGACTCCCCCCTGGAGCTGAAGATCCAGGCCCTGGACTCCGAAGGTGAGAACGTCCCCTGCCTGTTTGTCTTCTGCAGCCCATGCTAGATCATCCCCCCACCATGACTCTGGCCTCTCTGCATTCCCCACTCCTCTGGCATCCAACCCTGCAGGTCCCTAGAGGGCAGCTCTGGTCAGGCAGGTGAAGTTGGTGCTGGGGGAGATGCTGAAGAGGCAGAAACCACCTCTGAGGTGGGCCTCAAGCCCTCGGTGGTGTCGAATCATGGTCACTCCTGGCCCTCAGGAACCCCTGCAGTGGGGCCTGTGTGCTCAGAGCTGTGGCTCTGTGACCCTGGAGCCAGACCCTGCCTGCATAGTGCTGGTCCTTGGTGCAGCACATCTTGGGGAAGCTAGCATTCTTGGCAGCGATGGGAGGCAGGGAGAGGCTCCCTGCTCTGGCTCTTAGGGCCAGTGGTGGCTTCCTGTTCCAGACCTCAGAGCATGTTTGTGGGTCAGGTCACATTTATGCTGCCGGCCCAGGGCACTGCCCTCACATCTTCACCTTGCCAGAGTCAAATATGGGCTTGTTTCCAGGCTGGAACTCTTCTAGGTGATCTCTTAAAGGAAGTAAGGGAAACTTTTTTTTTTTTTTTTTTTTTTGAGACAGAGTCTTGCTCTTGTTGCTCAGGCTGGAGTGCAGTGGTGCGATCTTGGCTTACTGCAACCTCTGCCTCCTGAGTTCAAGCGATTCTCCTACCTCAGCCTCCCAAGTAGCTAGGATTAGAGGTGCCTGCCACCAAGCCCAGCTAATTTTTTTTTTTTTTTTTGTATTTTTAGTGGAAACGGGTTTTCACCAAGTTGGCCAGGCTGGTCTTGGACTCCTGACCTCAGATGATCCACCCGGCTTAGCCTCCCAAAGTGCTGGGATTACACACATGAGCCACCGCACCTGGCCAGTAAGGGAAACTTTGTAGGTTAAAATTCTTGTCAGAGAAAATAAAAGTCAGGCAAAAGATGCCTTTCAGATGATCTGCCCCCAAACCAAGTCCAAACCAAGGCTCACTTTGTCTTTGAAACCTTTTCTGACAACTCTAGCTCCTGTTTTTGAAAAAAAATTTCTGGATCAGGATTTCTTAGCCTAGATAGTATTGATTGACATTTGGGGTTGAGTAATTCTTTGTGATGAGGGCTGTCAGTGCATTATAGGATGTTCAGCAGCATCCCAGGCCTCTACGTACTAGATGTTAGTAGTGTCTCCCAAGCCATGACAATCAAAAATGGCCCAGACATGGCCAAATGTCCCTGGGGGGCCAAACCACTGTTTAGAGCACTAGCAGACCCTTTCTTCCCCGCTTACCCATTCATCAGATGAGGCCCTTAACCTCTGACACTGCCTTCTGACCTGTGAGATTGAGATAGTGATGCTTGTCCTGGGGACCATAAGGACTTAGTGAGAAATATGTACAGTGTTCGGTCTTGCGTGAGTACTCAGTAAGCCAGGGGGTGTTTCTCTGAGCACTTTGTACAAACTGGGCATTGTCCAGGCACCAGTGTTGCTATAGGGAAAGAAGTACCTGGCAGCTCCCAAACAGTTAAACACAGAGTTATCCTGTGCCCCGGCAATTCCACTCCTGCCCAAGAGACCAGAAAACACATGTTCACATGTGAATGCTCATAACAGCATTATTCATAACCGCCAAGTGTGAAGACAACCCAAGAGTCCATCAACGGATGAGTGGAAAAACAAAACACGGTCGACCCCTGCAATGGAATATTATTTAGCCACAAAAAGAAGGAAATACAGGCTGGGCGCAGTGGCTCATGCCTGCAATTCCAGCACTTTGGGAGGCCGAGGCGGGCAGATCACTCGAGGTCAGGAATTCGAGACCAGCTTGGCCAACATGGTGAAACCCTGTCTCTACTAAAAATATAAAAATAAGCCAGGCGTGGTGGCGCACACCTGTAGTCCCAGTTACTCAGGAGGCTGAGGCAAGAGAATCGCTTGAGCCCAGGAGGCGGAGGCTGCAGTGAGCCGAGATGGCACCATTGCACTCCAGCCTGTTTCAGATTCCTGGGTGCAGTGTGTGAAGGTGCCATGATCTCCACGTCCTGGCCAGCACTTGCTATTGCTCATCCTTGTGGTTCTAGTTAAACCCCCTTTAAGTCACTTTTTCTTGAATGTGTATCCATTCTCCCCAGGTAGGTGGTGGGGATGTCGGGATTGGGGAGGTGCCTGCCTCAGCCTTCCCAGGCCACTGTTATGCCAGGATGGTGCCCAGCAGCCCTGGATGGTTTCCTCTCACACTCCCCCCTCTCCTGGAGGGTTGATGGCCCCTGCAGCCAGTTCCAGAGTAGGACGTCACCTGGTCTCCACAGACTGGGTCATTCACCAGTAGCCCATGTCAAGGCCCCACCTTTGCAGCAAGGAAATGGATAACTTCCCTCCTCGCCCACTGTGAGGGCATCATGCTTTCTACTTGGTCCTCCTCGCCCCGAAATACTTTGATGAGTACCTTCATCATTTCTTTTGCCTTTTTTTCTGAGCCTGTGACCTCTTTTCTGATCAGAGTCTCCTCTGTGAAGATGAACTTGATCCTTAGAACCTTTGAGGGCAGTCCCAGAAATGATGTGCCTTATCTGTATTGATGAATGTCAAGAAAGAGAATTGCTCAACGAACAGTGGCACCCTGGCTGCCCATGGATGCCAGGCAGTAGGTTGTCCCCTTAGTAAGTACAATGTCTTATTGTGCTTATAAATGGTCTCATGCCCACTATATAGATGAGGAAGCTGAGGCTCAGAGAGCTTCAGTAACTTGCCCATGGTCACACAGCTCATGGGTGGCTGAGCAGGGCCTGGGATCCAGGATGTCTGACTCTGTCGCCTGAGCTGTTTCCCGCTGGATGCACTGCCTGTCTCCTACTGCTGCATTTTCCTGGGCATTGGGGGCCCTCCCCACATGGCTGGGATCTGCCCTTTTGGCCAGAAGCCACCTGCAGAGTGCCCGCCTCCAGACAGGGCTCTGTCTGTTGCACATAGTAGGTACTAATAGCTTCTTTTTGCGTGGAAAAAGCAAAACTTTGAGCAGAGGTTTTCACAGCTATTTCCTGGCCCACCCGTGCCTCTTGCATCAGCAGAACTGGACTAGCTCAGGGTATCCAAAGATGCCCCCTCCTCACCTTTCCTTATCCCATCTCTTCTGCCTGGAGCACCTTCCCCTCCTGAACTCTGCTTTCAGAAGCCATGCTTCCTCTGGCATTGCCTCTCAGGTGTCCCCTCCTCCAGGGAGCCCTCCTTGGCTGCCCAAGGTGGGACTTGTTCTTCCCTTCGATGTCCCTCAGTTCTGCAGTGCCCCCTGCCCTGGGATACAAGACATTTTCTACTGTGGCTTGTCAAGGTCAGCACTAGGAAGACATAACTGAAATCAGTTCATTCTTCTGGACTTTTCTGTGCCTGACACTGGACTTTGGGGCCAGCCGGCATTGGGTAAATGTTTGCTAGGTTGAATTGCCTAACATTTTCCTTCAGCTGTCCTGCAGGACAGGGGAGGTAGATCCTCTGGAGACTGGATCCCTGGCTTTCCTGGTTAATATCTAAACTTGGCTGTGAGGCTTCAAGGTCAAGGGCTCCGTTGCACATAGTAGGTACTGATAGCTTCTTTTAGAGTGGAAAAAGCAAAACTTTGGGCACAGATTTATTGAGAGCTTTCCCTTCCCCCTTGCCACCCTTAGGGATGCCCACCTGCAGCAGGCCCTGGAAAGGCAGACACCTGCCTTGACATCCCCAGGGCCCACGCAGCTGGGTCTGGCCATGTTGCCAGCAGCTGGCGGGAGAGAAAGCCAGTGGCCAGCAGCTGGCAGGCCCATGCATGAACGAGGGTCCCTGTGTTCTCATCTGCACGGAGCCCTGCAAATCCTGCACTCGGTCCTGTGTGTGCACCTGCCCGAGCAGGTAACTTACAGAAGCCTAAGGACACTTTCTGCCCTTGAAATTACCACACATTCAACTCTTCTTCCACATTTGAACGTGGTGGACTTCCAGGAGAGACTGTGGGGAGCAAAGATGATGAAAAACAGAGCTCCACGTGCAGCCCCTGAAGTGTCTGCAGGCATGATTCTCTCCCACCGTTTTCCTTGCTAAGAGCCCCTTAGCAGGGCCTCCCCCACCTCCATCCCCTTGTCCATAAGCGGACCGTTGTGAACACTGGACATGTCATGGGGGTGCTTTCTCAATTTGATCTTCCCACCAACCCCATGCGTTGGTATTTTCATCCCCATTTTACAGAAGAGAAAAGCCATGCTTGGAGCTGAGCTGGGTGGAAGCCCCAGGGTAGCTATTCAGGACTCTTGTGGTGTTGGCATGTATTTGTGTTAAGGGAGTGGCCTGCCTAGTGGTCTGCAGTCTTGCGTTTCTGGTTACTGGGTCACACTATTATAGGGACTCCATGCTCCCCTCACTGAGCACACTGTAAAGCTGGCCTGCTGGGCTCTGACTCTGGAAGGCAGGAATTTGGGCCCAGGCTCCCCTCACCGAGCATACTGCAAAGCCGGCCTGCTGGGCTCTTCCCCGAGAAGGTGGAATTGGAGCCCAGGCTCCCCTCACTGAGCACACTGCTAAGCCAACCTGCTGGCTCTGCCCCCGGACAGTGGAACTGGGGCCAGCAGTACTCCATATGCACCCTGTTTCAGCTCAGTGTGCAGAAGAAGGTTCTCACAGTCAGAGCTGTTGAACAGAGGAATAGGCTGTGCTGGGCGATGAGCTCCTCATCCCTGGGGTATGCGGGAAGGGTCTCAAGCCCCCATCTGATGGGGACGCAGCATCCAAGGGTTGGACTAGAGGACTCCTGTCTTGCAGCCGATGTGCTTCGCTGGTGTGGATTTTCATATCCACCATCCTCACCTAATGCCCTGGATGTTAGGAAGACAGATTAATTTTCAGGAAACCATAGAGTTTTCATTTGCTCAAAATCCTGCTCTGGACCTCTAAGAAAAAATCTTCCCGCATATATGTACATCATAGATGGGGGTTGTCTTCCTCTGATCAGTTGCTCACATTGACGGAAAGACACCCAGGGAACTGTAAGAAGATGCCTCTCTTCATTAAAGATGCCCTGAGAAGTAAGGCGAAGGAGCAGAGTTTTCTGGAGCTTCTGCTAGGCACTATTTCATGCAGTCTTTGAGACCTTGCAGGGCCAGGGATCGGGGTGAAGAGAAGCAGGACCCCAGGCCCGTCAGACTCTAAATACCTTGCCCTTTGCACTGTAGAAAACAGCTTTTCTTGGCCCCCAGATCCCTTGTACTGGGAGCTGGTCAGAAGGGGAGTGTGGATGAGGGATGTGGAACAGGCGTGGAACATCAGGGGCTGGTGAGGAGTGTGGCATGGCCCCTTCTAGAGAGGGCGAGCAGCTTCTGGCTCTCAGAGGGAATGAGGCCCAGGTGGGTGGATCTTCATCCTTTCAAGAGGAGGTGAGAACTAGACTTGCATGTGGCATCTGTTTCTTGATTGGAAAGGACAGATCAGAAGGCTCCCAGGCAGCAAGCCAGGACATAAGAGCCAAGGCTGGCTGGGCCTGGCTCTCCTTGCCCCCTACCTACCCCACGACCTCAGGAGTCTCACAGTCAAGGTGAAGAGACAAGAGTCATGTGACACTAGACAGTTTGGGTAATGCCCCTCCACCCTGGGTCCCCTCCCCTGCACAGGGAGGGAGAGGAGTTTACTCCCAGGAAGTGGTGAGCAGGAATGAATGGCCCAGGTTTCCGAGCAGACTCCTAAATTGTAAACCGCTCACAGACGTGCGGGGCAGCAGTGTTATGCACTGCACTGAGCTGGTCCTGCAGTCAAGGGCAGGGAGTCACAGCAGGAAGAGCACAAGCTTTCATCGGACAGCCCTAGGTTCAAATTCTGGCCTCGCCCCCTGGTGGTCACATGACCATGAGTAAGTGTCTTCATTCCTTTCAGCCTCAGTTTCCTCTCCTGACATACAGTTTATGACACCTGCCTGGTGGGTGGTGATGTGGAGTGTGGTTCCTGCATGGGGCAGAAGCTCCCATCACGCCTCCCTCCACCCTGGGAAATTAACTCCATATCTGTCTGCCTCTCCCATCTGCTCTTATAGGGAACACCTTCAGCACTCTGGCTGGACTGGTCTTCGAGTGGACGATTGTGAAGGACTCCGAGGCGGACAGGTTCTCAGACTCCCACAATGCGCTGCGGTAAGGGGTGCCTCTGCTAGGCCTGGCCCCTTTGAAGGGAAGGGGAAAGGGGGACACCTGTGAGCTCCTCACCAGCGGGGGGCTTTCATCTGGGTCATTGAGGAGTCTGGGAGACTCCTAGGATGCCCGTAACATTCCGAGTGTCTGATTGAGGAATGGGATCCACTCACACCATTGTGCGGGAGCCTGGCTGCTTCTGCAGCCCCCAGAGAGTGTCCTGTGAGAAGCTGTCAGAGGCTTGGGATGTCCAGCTGGAGAAATGAGACATGCATGGCTGTCTCAGGGCACAGGGAAAGTGTGGGTGGCCCCAGGCTGCACTTCTGGGGGGCCAGTTAAAGGGCAGCCAGGTTTCGGCTGGGGCACAGGCCAGCTGTGCCGGTGGGTCTCAGGTGGAACAGGCTGAGTCGCCCATATGGCGGTATAGTAAGACCAGTTGTGAGGCGGACACCTTAAGCATCTTGACCTGTGTCATCCTCCTGGCAGCCACATGAGCTTGCGCACCACTGTGCTCTCCATCGAGTAGTTGTGGAGGCTGAGACTTGGAGAGGCCGAGCCGCTTGTCTGAGCTCCGGGAGGACAGAGCTGGAGTCTGAACTCAGATCCGTGGATCTGCACTGTCTCGTGGGAGCCACGGGCCCCAGAGCTATTTACTTGTAGTTAGAAAATGAGCAGTTCAGTTCCTAAGATGCATAAGCCTCCTGTCAATGGCTCACTGCACTGCCACATGTGGGACAGGGCAGGAGCAGAGCCACGCGGGTCCTCTGCCGGTGCTGGTGCAGGTCCCAGGTCTGAGCTTGTATTCCCGACTGTGCCGCCTTCCTCCTGATTTGCCATGTGATTTTTAAAAAGCATGGTCCCTTTTTTAAAGTTGTTTTTGAATCTTTTGAGTCTCCTTTTGCAGCAATTTTAGGCCTGTAGAAAATCTGCCAGTTTAGTCCAAAAAGTGGTCTCCCTCATTCACCTGAGAGCCGGCTGCCAGCCTCATGTCCCGTCACCCTGATGATTTTCATGTGCTTTACGACCATCGGGGCATTGTCCTGCACGGCCACCATGCAGTCATGGCACTAGGAAACGAACACTGTTGCCGGCCGTCTTCAGACCTTACTCGAGTTTGGTCATTTGTCCCAGCTTTATCCTTTTCAGTAAAAAGAAGGATCCCAGCCCCAAGTCACCTGCCGCATGTGTCCTGTTTCTCTTAGTCTCTGTCAGCCTGGGACTGTCTCCCGGGCTTTGACTTTGGACACCACAACGCTTGTGAAGAGGACAGTCTAGTTATCTGTAGAGTGGCCCTTGTTTTGGGTTTGTCTGCTGTTCCCTCACGGCCAGGGTCCGAACGTTGTGTCTTTGGCAGGAACATCACAGAAGTGAGACTCCGCTCTTCCACTTGCCTCTGCGCTTTCTCACCCCTATATAATTATAAGTCCTTTGTCAGGGAGTTTACTGTCTGGTCTTTCATTATGCCATTAAAGTCCTGCTCTGGGCTGTAGGGGATGTTGGGGATGTGGTGGTTCCTCTGTCACAGCCTTCTCCAGGGCTCAGCTTACAGCAACTCCAGGCCGACGTCCTCATGTCCTGACGCCTTTGTGAGCCGAGTTGCCCTTGTGGAGACAGCCTGCTGGACCAGCTCTGTGGGTTCTGGTGTTTTGTAAAACAATGACCATGGGCCAGAGAGTCAGAGACCTGGATTCCAGTCCTGGCTTTGTCGCTTCCTGCCTGTGTCCTTAGCCAGGGAACGTTACCCACCTGAGCCTCAGCCTCCTGCCCTGGGAAACAGAGCTGGAGGGAATCCCGTGCCTGCCTCTGAGGGCCACTGTACAGCTCAGTGGGTTGATCCACTCAGGGCCCCTCTCTGGGCCTGGCACACGCTGGATGTTGAGGGGATGCTGAATCCCTGTCCCCTTCTGACAATACCCCATTCCCCACCCCTTGAGCTTCCAGGCAGCTAGCTCTGCACCTGAGCCAAATGCTAACAGAAATCCCAGATGCCAAGGCGGGTTGGAGCTGGATTGTCCTGGATTTGTAATTTGGCGTGTGACACCTAGAGTAACCAGGCGAGGAAATAAATCACAGTGCGGCCCAGCATTGGCAGATTGCTCTTGTGCAGGGGAACAGTGGGCTCGTTTGTAAATGCAGGCTGAAGTGGGAGGCTGCGTGGGAAGGATCCCTGAAGTCCGCCTGCCCAGCAGCCCACACTCCAGGCTACACCACGTCCCCGACATCTCCCCAAGCTGGGATCCAGGGAGAGTGAGACATGGTGCCGTCTGGTGCCCAGGGCTAGGGGACCAGTCATGGAGAATCGTTCCCCAGAGCTGGGCGCTAGGCCGGGGAGGTTGGACAGGAGCAGGCAGCCTCGGGGAGGTGAGGGTGCTGCTGGCCCTGCTGTGACTGGGCTGTGCTCTTGGGCCTGCTGCCTCATCTCCCGGGCCTCACTGTTCCCATGTGGACTCAGCAGCTGGTCTCGCATGTTAGTATTTACGTCACGTGTGCGTGTGGATAAAATGCAGATTCCCAGGCATCTTGGAGACAAAGCCTGGGCCAGGGGCCAAGTATCTGCATTTTTCACAAGGACTTTGGCAGTTCTGATGTAGGAAGCTGCAGGGCCGTGTCTCTAGGCAGCCCCAGCCCTGACTAGGGGGACACCCCTTATTTCAGCATCAGCCCCAGTGGGAGGTACTGATAGGGAATGCTGTGGTAGATTCTGACAAATCTTGTGTTGGGGTTTGATCAACAAACTTTGACAACGTGCTCCTTTTCCAGAATCCTCACTTTCTTGGAGTCTACGTACATCCCTCCTTCTTACATCTCAGAGATGGAGAAGGCTGCCAAGCAAGGGGACACCATCCTGGTGTCTGGGATGAAGACCGGGAGCTCCAAGCTCAAGGCTCGCATCCAGGAGGCTGTCTACAAGGTGGGCCTGGGGCGCTGGGGTGTCAGTGGGCTTCCTGGGGTGGAATCAGGCTGACGGTACCTGCTTATAGGTACCATCACACCTATAGGCACGTTGAATAGTGGAAGTGAGATGCTGTCCCGTGATTTCAGGATGTGGGTTCATATTTTTATGTGTTTGGTTTGGTTTGTTTGAGCCTCAGCTTACAAAGAAAGGTGGTTGAGGCCCCAGAAAGCATCTCTAGGGGTGCATAGCATTTGCTCATTCTTAGTTTCTAGGGAGGTCCAAGAGCAGGAGGTTTCCAGTAACTCACCTGTTTCCAACTGGTGCCCCCACCGTGCTGGTATAGGGACACTCCCAAGCACTTGGGGCTTTGACAAAACCTGGGGCTCCTGGGTGTCTTCTATGCTGTCTCTCCTTGGGCCCCCATTGGAGCCCTGAGACTGGTGGCCCAGGGATCCTATGTGTAGATCACCTCAACCCCCTGCCCCAGCCGATCCCATGTCTTCCTGGCCTCACCAGCATCCCATTCTTAGGGTAGTGGGGGTATGCCAGAGGAAAGGAGAGTGAGGAGTGGGTCTATCCAACGTCCTGGTTCCTTCTCTGTCCCTGTGGACTAATGTCCACCCAACCAGTGCCTCGTTTTGAGCTGCAACCCTGAGATATTTTTGTTTGCCTAGTGTCTGGAGCACAGGCAGGAACACTGTGGTACTTGGCCTGCCATTTAATTTTGTAAAGTGGCAGACGGAGAAATCCTCTTCTGATTCACTCTCTGTAGTGGGTTTGCTGCATCTGGGAGTCCTGGAAAGTTATGGAAACATGGGGACATGCCCTGTTATAGGGGCTAATCCCGTAGGACTCTGCAGGTAGTACTTAGAGACAGTTTGCTCCTGTGTAGGGCCCAGGCTGGGATGGGGTACAGCCACACTGCTAAGCTGGAAAGGCAGACTTGCTGTCCTGCCCATAGACATTCAGTGGCCCTCCCTGCCTGCGTGCTGGAAAGCAGCCGCCACAGAGCCCTGCCCATGGTGGTGCCCAATACACTTGTCTGTTTTGGACACACTGAAGATATTAACTAGTTGTTAAGTGAGGAAAGCTGTCAGTTGTGACAGCAGGCTTAAAGGAGAATCCAAAGAGTTGCCACAGGACACCAGGCATGCTGAACTGAACTCAGAAAAATGTAGAATGCCCACACCCACAGGAGGGCAGTCAGCTGCGCCTTCACCTGAGGAAATGTTTTTGTGTTTCTGTGGACAAGAATCATTTGCTGTGTTGTCGCTTTTCTACAATGTACACTGCCATCAAACAGGCCAAAGACAATGAAAGGTGCAGGCCTCTGGAGAATCCAGTACCTAAGGGTGCACTAGACAGGGCACCTAGTGATCTTTCTCCCATTGCGAAGTTGCCCACGGGTTTTCCTGAGGAGGCAGGAGGTCACAGGTCGGGGGTGAAAGGCGGGCAGGGGAAGGGGTCAAGGAATAGCAGCCAAGGCTCATCACAGCATATGCCTCTCCTGCTTTTTATGTTGGCCTGGGGCTTCTCAAGTTCCCTGGACCTTGGGCTTTTGTGTGGAGAGAACTTGAGCTCCCGGTGGCCATAGCATCCCTAGAGTTCACCCTGGCTCTCCTCTTTTACTCCAGTTTAATCATGGTTTCACATAGAGATAAACCATGCACAATGGGCAGTCAGTGTGAGGGCTCAGTCTGGGTAATGCCCTTTTTCTGGGTGCCTGCTATACTTATGGAGCTCCCCTGGGACCTCTGGGTTCTGAAAGTGAGGATTTGGGAATGATATCTTGTTTCTTTCCTCTTAACTTCCCTATTCCCATGTTTAAAACATCTCTTTCTCTTGCTCACACCACCACTTCCCCATTCCCTGTCCGCACCTCACTTTGTCTGCCTTTTCTTTATGCCAAGAATGTACGCCCTGCAGAAGTCAGGCTGCTGATTTTGGAAAACATCCTTCTGAACCCGGCCTATGACGTCTACCTGATGGTGGGAACCTCCATTCACTACAAGGTGCAGAAGATCAGGCAAGGGAAAATTACAGGTGTGTCATTGGCTCTGCCATCATGACAGATGCTTCCTTCCTCCTTTTTTTATTGTGGTTACATACATGTAACAAAATTTACCATCTTAACCATTTTTAAGTGCTCCATCAGGTAGCATCAAGTACATTCACACTCTTCTGCAGCCATCACCATCATCCATCCACAGAACTCGTTCATCTTCCCAAACTGAAGCTCTGCATTGTTAAACACTAACTCCCCTTCACCCTCTCCCAGCCCTTGGCACTCATCACTCTATTTCCTGTCTCTGTGAATGTGACTACTCTGGTTACCTCATGTACGTGGAATCATATAGTATTTATTTTTTTGTAACTGGCTTATATCACTTTTTTCCTAGCCTGATGTCTTCAAGTTTCATCCATGTTGTAGCAAGGGTTGGAATTCCCTTCCCTTTTAAGGCTGAATAGTGCTCCATTGTGTGGATGGATAGACCACATTCTGTTTACCCATTCATCTACCCATTCATCCATCAGCAGACACTTGGGTTGCTTCCACTTTTTGGCCATTGTGAGTAATGCTGCTGTGAACATAGTGAGCAAATATCTGAGTCCCTGCTTTCAAATTCTTTGGGGTATATGCCCTTTCAGTGGCAGCAAGTCCAGAGCTGTGGGCTTTGTGTTTAGCTGGGCTTTGCCCCGGTCTGCAACTGACAACTGAACAAACTTGGACAAGCCACTGCCCTTCTCCAGGGCTGTTTCTCATTGGAGGCTTTGAGGCCTTTCTGCCTGGGCTGTGAGGACAAAATGAATCAATAGGAGTGTAGTTGTACTGTGTACTTGTGTTTAGATAGTGACGGTTCTCAATGGAGCGCCAGTCCTCCTAAGGATCATTATCATTTTGTTCAAAGCTGTGTATGTTTAACATCCAGAGCATAGGACCTGAAGGGTCATGGGCATAAGAGCTCTCAGGTCCAGTCCATCCGAGGGCCTCAGTCAGGTGAGTTTGCCAGGTTGGTAGGTTGGTTCCACCTGTGATACAGGGTGTCACTTAAGAGGCAGGCAGATACACACTTCAGCATAAGAGCAACTTGAGTGGTGTCTCCAGTTGATGGGAGGTGCTGCATTGTTTAAAGTCCTGCTCAACTGAGAGCAGTCACCTGGTTGGTCATTCCTGTGTGGCAGAACGCTTTCTCTCAGGAGGACAAAAAAACTGAAGACAGGCGCTCCTGCCTTTGGGCCCAGTTCTTTCTGGCAAGGGGGTCCTAGTTGAAGAGAAGCAAACTCATGTTTCTTGATTCTGGGCAAGCAGCATCTGCCCTTCAGCAGGATGTCAAGTCAACAGGAGGATGGCCTGCAGTAGGATTTGTAGGAAGCCAAGCGTGGGTGTCCTGGTCAGAGCCCGATGTTTACCTGACTTCAGGGAGGCAGATTCTAGGACAGGGACAGTCCAAGATGTGGCTTTCTGAGACTCTGAAAGGGGAGGAGGCTCCAAGATAGAGTTCTGAGGACAGCAGCCTAAGGAAGAATGCAAAGGGGAAGCGTGTTGAAAGGCCAGAGGGCACAAACAGGAGGTCTCAGAAATATAAAATTATCCATGAACACTGATCAAGAAATGGCACTGCGGCCTGAAGGAAGACGCTTGGAGAGCCTAGTCACTGCTGACAGCACCTAACCATGACTGAACATTTCCTCAGTGTTGGGCAGTTGTAAGTGCTTTTCTTTTTAAAGTTACTTTATTTTATTTTTTAGAGACTTGGTCTTGCTATGTTGACCAGTCTGATCTCAAACTGCTGGCCTCAAGCCATCCTCCTGCCTCATTTCTTCTGAGTAGCTGGGACTACAGTTGTGTACCTGGATATAACCCAACAGCTCTATGAGGTAGATTTCATTAATACCCTGTTTCATACATGAGGAAAACTGAGGCATAGAAGACCTGAAGCTCACAAAACTGTTGGACTCCTTGGCCTTAATCACCCCTGTAGGATCAATTGGAATTTCCCTCTGCCGCTTCTCCCCAAAGGAAACCCAGAAAAAAGCTAATTATAACAACAGGGCCGGCCGGGCGTGGTGGCTCACGCCCATAATCCCAGCACTTTGGGAGGCTGAGGCGGGCGGATCACGAGGTCAGGGGTTCGAGACCAGCCTGACCAACATGGTGAAACCCCGCCTCTACTAAAAATACAAAAATTGGCCAGGTGTGGTGGCGCACGCCTGTAATCCCAGCTACTCAAGAGGCTGAGACAGGAGAATCACTTGAACCCAGGAGGTGGAGGTTGCAGTGAGCCGAGATTGCGCCATTGCACTCCAGCCTGGGTGACAGAGCGAGACTGTCTCAAAACAAACAAACAAAAACAGGGCCTTACAGTCTCCCAGGGCAGCGGTGAGGTGGTCCATTTGCATGGGACTCATGGGGCATGAAACTGCCCCAGCTGGGCAAGCAGAGCCCATGTAGTTAAGAGGGGATGGGCTGACTTTAGAAAGAGCTCACTCGGCCAGGCACGGTGGCTCACACCTGTAATCCCAGCATTTTGGGAGGCCGAGGCGGGCGGATCATGAGGTCAGGAAATCGAGACCATCCTGGCTAACATGGTGAAACCCTGTCTCTACTAAAAATACAGAAAAAAATTAGCTGGGCATGGTGGCACACACCTGTAGTCCCAGCTACTCAGGAGGCTGAGGCAGGAGAATTGCTTGAACCCGGGAGGCAGAGGATGTTGCAGTAGCTGAGATCGCACCACTGCACTCCAGCCTGGGCGACAGAGTGAGACTCTGTCTCAAAAAAAAAAAAAAAAAAAAAAAAGAGCTCACTCTAAATTAGCTCAGGTATCACAGCCCAGAGGAACTGCACCTCCCAAGGTACCTAGAAAACTTACGAGCTTGGTCACTGACCTTCCTGCCACAGACATCAAGGAATTGGAGCACATGAAAGATGCCCTGGGACAGGAAAGGAAAGAGGCAGGGCCCACCTCCCTTTCATCATGTCATGAGATGTGAAAGTACTCCAAAAATACACACTCCTGTGCGATTGATGGCACTGGATGCTACTGCAGTAGATTCCAGATGGATGTTTTGGCAAAACTGAGAGGGGCCGAGCTAGCAAAACTTCACTGTGAACAAGACACACCAATGGAAACTCCTAAGTCTTTTAGATGAATTATTTTGGGGTTTTTTTGAGAGAGAGTCTTGCTTTGTCACCCATGTTGGGAGTGCAGTATCATGATCATGGCTCACAGCAGCTTTGACCTCCCAGGCTCAAGTGATCCTCTCACCTCACACCCCTGAGTAGCTGGGACCACAGGCACACACCACATGCCTGGCTAATTTTTTTTTTTTAATAGAGATGCGGTCTCTCTGTGTTGTCCAGGCTGGTCTCAGACTCCTGGGCTCAAGTTATCCCTCCTACCTCAGCTTCCCAAAGTGCTGGAATAATAGGCATGAGTTGCCATGCTCAGCCTAGCTGGATTGTTTTTTCATTGAGGTATAATTCACATGACTATATTGGTTTTTGCAGGTTTGCTAGACAGAAAAGTCAGGGAATGGTGTCTTCATAGGGGACCTGAATTTCAGCAAATCCCTGTCTTGCCCGGCATCCTGTGGAAGCCTCAGAGCATTCTGCGTTGGATGACAGTTACATGGGCTCATTAACATGCGATAATTATAACTGCAGATTAACTCTTTATATTTTCTTTTCTGTTGGGTTTCCTTCCTTACAGTAATTTTTTCTTCTTTGGTATTTTTATTTCCTTTATGTCTGCCTCTCTTCTTTTTTTTGGCTCCTCCCTTTCTTGCAAATACATTTCCTGAGCATCTGCTCTGTGCCAGCCCTTTGCTAAGTGCTGGGTGCACAGTGGTCAGCAGGACTGCCCGGTTCCTGCCCTCCTGGAGCTCACAGCCTAGCAGAGGTGGAGCACAGTCAGTCACATCATGTCTGCAAGTGAGGCCTGTGAGTGGAGGAGACAGGCTCCTGAGGCTTATAGCAGGGCATCTGTATTGCTTATAGGATGGGCTTCCAGTGGGAGCCGTGGTCTCCATCTCCAGTCCTTAGTGCTAAGTCCTGTTGGTGTTTGGATTGGTTGCAGACATGACTGCCACTGTGATCAAGTTGTTAGATGTAATAAAAATGTGGGAAGGGCATGCTGGCTGATCGAATCAGTATCTGAAGAGAACTTGAGTGGATAGAATGCTGGAATTACTGAAATAAAATGTACTAGGTTTGCAAAACCAATAGCATGCACATGTGTTGGGCTGAGGTTCATGTGTCAGAGACTCAGTTGTAGAAGGAACTTTGAATCTGGCAGGCACTTAACTGTGGCTGCTCAGAACTAATGTATCTGGGGCTGCTTGAGCAGGGGCTGAGGTCAGAGGCAGGGAGTGAGCTCTCCATCATCCTTGACTCAGACCCAGCTCCGCAGGAGCTCCATGGTCATCCCTGGAGCTCATGTGGAGTGCAAGGTCCGGGAGTGGGGGCGCTGACAGAAACAAATCTGGGGGGATCAGCCAGGGTCAGCAGGGGACAGAGATCATGTCTTTTAGAAGAATGTGGGCTTCCTGACCTATAGAAGGGCAGCTGTTCACCCCCTGCAGATGATAGCAGGGATGATCTGGGGCCTCAGGAGCGCCTTTCTGTTGTTGGCCCAATAATTCAAAGACAGGAACTGGGCAGTGCCCTTAATATCTGCGAAGACTTCCACATTCAGTGTCTCTTACAAGGAGTGAGTTCCAGGATACAGGGGGTATCTAAGGCCAGGTATGGTGGCGTGCATTGGTAGTCTCAACTACTTAGGAGGCTGAGCCCAGGAGTTCCAGGCTGCAGTGAGCTGTGATTGCACCTAAGAAAGCCACTGCACTCCAGCCAGGGCAGCATAGTAAGAACCTATCTCTAAAAAAAAAAAAAAAGAAAAGAAAAGAAAAGAAAGAAAAAGAGGTATCTAAGGAGTCTGTCACAAAATCCTCCTTATTTTCAGTCTTAGAATTTGCAAGGAGGGTTACATCTGTGCTATGTAAGTCCCCTTCAATGTAAGCATGTTCATTTCCCAAAAGGGCCTTACTCATTTAGAAAACTTTAAAGTAAACAAGGGAGGAAGCTAGTGCTTCATTAATCAGTATAAAGTAATGTTGCTTCATTGAGCAACTATGTTATTTTATTCTGACATTTATCTTTGATGCACTGCTCCATATTCTGAACACTAGACACATAATCTGCAAGAATCACTTGATTAGAGATGAGGATGTGGGCTGTGCATTCCCTTTGGGATTCTCAATTCTAGCCTACATCAGAATCACCTACAGGGCTTGTGAAAACAAAGCTTGCTGGAGCCCAGCCCTGGAGTTTGATTCAGCAGGTCTGGGATGGGGCCCATCATTTGCAGTTCCAGGTGATGTTGATGGTTCAGGGACCACACTTTGGGGACCCAATGTTCTAGTGAAAATTATTTGATACTTATTAGATCACATGAAAAATAACCCAGGACAAGGGCCAGGCAAGTTTCCTCTCTTTTAGAATTCTCATCAGAATCCCTGGAGATTCTGAAACATGCTTTAGCTGGAATTCCTCTGGGAGTCCTGACCTGGCACCCTCTATGGGGTGTTGAAGCCCTGAGCTGGCCTGAGAGGAGGGCCAAGCAGAGATGTTGTCTGCTGTTTCCTGTGTCCTCTTCTCTCTTCTCTTGCTGGAGGGCTAGAATGTCCCACTTGTGGGGACAGTGAATGGGTGACTGGTTAGGAAGCTCCGCGGGCTTAGGAGAGTGAATGTGAAAGTGGTCAGGCTCTCTGGATCAGAACGCCAGCTCTGTTTTCCACTAGCTGCGCAATGGTGAGCAGGCTGCTCATCTTGATATCCTCAGTCCCCTATCCCCAAAATGTGGCTCTCAGTAGCGTGTTCCCAGGGCTATTGAGGGATATGAGGGAACGTGATCATGAGACACCTCATTGCTCTGAGGCATCTTGATCCCTGCTCAGCAGTCACCATTGCTGTCAAAAGTGCTTGTGGTCTCTGCCCACAGAGCAAGGAAGATGTACATCGATGTTGCTCACTTTATAGAACTCTTACTTCTCGGGGAAACTCTTCTCCATCCTAGCCCACGTTGGGCAAGTTATTTTTCTGCCAAGTGGGTGTGAAGGGCAGGGGAACACTGAAGCTGGTGAGGATGGCAGCAGGGTTCATTGTTGGCAATTATAGACCCCATGGGAGACCAGTGACCAGAGCTTCTTGGGAAACCCCTAGAGGCTGGACGGAACCAGCAAGAACCCCAGTGCCCCCTCTACGTAGAAGCAAAGAGTTCACTTTGCAATGTTCAGAAATGGCATAATGTTAATATTCTCCAAGCAGTTGGCAAATAGATTGTGGTTAATTTTTTTTTTAAACAGCTTACACAGAAAAACTGATTGCCTCTGAAAATTCATGGAGTGTCAGTTTTGTCCACCAGCATGCAGAACAATATTAACATTTAAAGCACTGAAAACAATTAAGAAAATGCGTCAGCTGTACTGAGAGCAGAGTGCAGAGATTCGGGGTGGCAGTGGGAGTGTATTGGCTTCTAACATTTCCTGTCTTTGCTCTCTCTTTCCCTGTTATTTTTTGTTTCTTGGTGGCCAGAACTCTCCATGCCTTCCGATCAGTACGAGTTGCAGCTTCAGAACAGCATCCCGGGCCCCGAAGGAGACCCAGCCCGGCCGGTGGCTGTCTTGGCCCAGGACACGTCGATGGTCACTGCACTGCAGCTGGGACAGAGCAGCCTCGTCCTTGGCCACAGGAATATCCTTTTCTTGGGCTTGTGTGTTCTTAGGCATGGCGGAGCTGCTGTTTGGAAGTCAAGTCTTTTTTTCCCTGAAAGCTCGGCAGGGCTAAAAATAGCCGTTTCCCCTCAACGGTCTGAAAATCAGAAAGAACTGAAATAGCACTGCTGAGTGGAATTGCTCACGGCTGTGGGTGACTCACCCCAGAGGCTCCCAGCGGTGGGAGGTGATGGCAGGAGCTGAGTGTCGTTCCTCGTCTCCAGAAACTTCTCCAGTACCTGCAGCCTTCTCAGAGGGGGCCTGGCGGGGGCTGTTTCCATACTAGCATAATGGAGTGTTGATGCCCCAGACTTGTTGTTGTGTCCTGTGCGGTCTCCAGTGTCCCTCACAGAGATTCCCCTTTGCTAGTGTGGCAAGCGCAGTGTGGCCTTTGATTCTGAAAAGTGCCTTTGCTCTACGTGGCCTAAGCCAGGGGAGTTTTCATCCCCTCTTCTTCTCTCCATGTGATGTCTTGATGATCAGGATTCTGAGCCAAGCTGAAACTGGCCAGCCAGCTGGTTTATTTGCTGTCATATGTCTTGCCCCTTAATTCAAAATTCAGGTATTCGCATGCAAGGTGCTTCTAGGTTACCCAACAGCACTATCTACGTGGTCGAACCTGGATACCTAGGTGAGTGTGGGCCTCCTGGGCCCTCATGGATGCTGCTCAGTTGTGACTATATGAGTTTAAAAAATAGAAAAGAAGCAATAGCTCCACAGAAAATGCTTCCCTCTGGCCAGCTCTGCCACTTGCTATGACCATCATTGCCCAGGGCACTCACCAGCCCTTCCCTGTTTGGTGTAGAAATAGGTAGAATGAGCCAAGCCAGGCAGGCGGCAGGCTCAGCAAGGAGAGAAACAGAACCGGGTAGAGTGGTGAGGGGCTTGCACCCTCCTGGTTTTCATACCACGGCTTTGCCCAGACCTGACCATTGCTATGGACATTTAGAGGTTGGGGCCCAGTGTCAGCTCAATTATAGAGGGACCCTAAGGTGACATGACAGTAGGCAGGTACCTTAGCAGGGAGGGGAGGAACATGATGATGATATTGAAGGCAGGCATTTTCTCAGACAGAGCTTCTTTTGCGGGAAGGTGTCCTGGCAGAGGGAATTGCTTAGGCAATGGTGTGGAAGTGAAAAAGTACACTGGGCATCCCAGGGGACAGCAAGAGTGCTGTGGTATCCTGTGTTGCAGGGGACTGAGAACCTGGGAGGGCAGGGATGACTCATATGGCAAGAGTGCTCAGTGACAGGCTTCAGAGTGTAGACCTGCTGAGATGAGTCCAGGGTTGGTCCTGGCGAGGTCAGCTCAGGACTGAGAGTTCAAAGCAGAGAACTGTTGTGGATTCAGAGCGTAGACCTGCCGAGGGTTCAGAGCGTAGGCCTGCTGTGTGTTGAGGACAGAGTTGCTGGATTCTGAGTGTAGACCCACTGAGGACGGGAATGAGTTTGAAAGAGCCTTGATCAGACAGAGTGGGATGAGTCCAGGGTTGGTCCTGGCGAGGTCAGCTCAGGACTTAGGGCTGAAGGTGGCATTAGACTTCTGCTCCTCAGCAGAAGGAGGAGGCCAGGGCCATAGTTGTGGGGCCTCCAGGTGGGTGGTGTAGGGCCTGCAGGTGGGTGGTGTGGGGCCTGCAGGTGGGTGGTGTGGGGCCTCCAGGTAAGTGGTGTGGGGCCTGCAGGTGGGTGGTGTGGGGCCTGCAGGTGGGTGGTGTGGGGCCTCCAGGTAAGTGGTGTGGGGCCTGCAGGTGGGTGGAGTGGGGCCTCCAGGTAAGTGGTGTGGGGCCTGCAGGTGGGTGGAGTGGGGCCTCCAGGTAAGTGGTGTGGGGCCTGCAGGTGGGTGGTGTGGGGCCTGCAGGTGGGTGGAGTGGGGCTTCTCGTGTGGATGCTGAGGGCCCCTGTGCTGAGGGTGGTGGTCCCATCCTCCTCCACCCTGCTGCCCCTGAGGCCTGAGTGCTCAGGCTCCCTCTGCCTGTTTTAGGGTTCACTGTTCACCCTGGTGACAGGTGGGTGCTGGAGACCGGCCGCCTGTATGAAATCACCATCGAAGTTTTTGACAAGTTCAGCAACAAGGTCTATGTATCTGACGTGAGTGCCTGTTCAGGTCCTGGCTGGGGGGATGAGGTGGGGTCGTTGTCTGACGCGGCTGCTGAAGAGCAGCCCCCAAAGCAACAGGAGCCCCCATGCAGGCTGACCGAGGAGGGGTCCTGTTTCTAGTGGCGCTCCCGGGTCTGTGGGAAACAGTGCTGAGGCATCCCGGGGCATCTCCAGAGCCTGTGAGCCTGCACACCGGCCTAGCTGCAGAGCCCCTGTTGGGCTGGAGGGCAGAGGTTGCCACAGCGGCAGGGCTCCAGGATAGGAGGATAGGGAGGAGGTCTCTGCCCGCCACTCTCCCGCCCCCTTTTCCCCAAGCTGGGGACCTCAGAGAATCCATTCTCCTCCTGCCCTGCAGAGAGTCACGGAGCACGTCCTGGCTTTCTCCGTACTGGGTTCCAGAAATACCTGGAACCCTGCATGACAGAGGCCGAGCTCAGCACACTTTCTGGTTCTGGAAGGGGGTGTCAGACAGATGAGGAAATGTGCAGGAGTCTTGGCTGCCTCTCTGTCCCCTGTGAGAAATTCCAGGCTCGTCAGTGAGCACCCCCAGGCCCTTCAGGTGGCGTTGGAGGTTTTAGAAGAAAAAGGCGAGGTTCCTCTCGGTGTCCTTGAAGATGTCGTTGCTTTGCTCATGTTATCAAACAAGGGCTGGGATGGTCACCATTTGCAGTTAGCTGTAGGGGACGTGATGTCCTTTTTTTTGTATTTACTGGTTCCTTCTTGAGACCTCGGTAGGCTCCAAGCTGCCCCAGGTGCCACACGGGGGGATGAAATCGAAGCGCAGGTCATCAGGCCATGCAGGGAGGGTGGCCTCGGTGGGGACAAAGGCCATAGTGATCAGACCTCTGTTCCAGGGCCCAGCCCACCCGTCTGCTGCTAGTGGAGGCTGCTGAGCCCCAGGGGGCCCCTTGGCCTGGCCTGGCTGCTGGTTTCAGTCCTGTAGCTTCGTGCCCAAATTCTGACTTTCTGGAGTCACCCCAGAAGCACCTCTCTCCTGTCCTGCCTCACCTTCCAGAACATCCGAATTGAAACTGTGCTTCCTGCTGAGTTCTTCGAGGTGCTCTCGTCCTCCCAGAATGGGTCATACCATCGCATCAGGGCACTAAAGAGGGGACAGACGGCCATTGACGCGGCCCTCACCTCTGTGGTGGACCAGGCAAGTTGGTGTCTCCCCTGCGTCGTGCCTTGTCCTATGAAGCCACCCTCTGTAGGCAGAAATGTCAGCCCAGGAGGGCCATGAGTCCCAGGGAGTTGGGCCACCTGCATCCCTTTTCCTGTTTGGGCTACTTGCATCCTGGGTTCTATTTTCCTTAGTCTTTAAGAAGCCCATCAGCCTTAGGGAGCAGAGCTTTGCTGATTGGAAAATCGGCCTGGGTGTTCCCATTTTCCTACCCCGCACAGAAGGCCTCCTGGCCTGGAAGGGGCAGCAGGCTGTAACAGGAAGAAATGCCCATGCACCGACAGTGACTCCTGCCAGAGTCGGCCTCCTCAGCTCTGGGGGCTGGGCGGGCTGCTTTAGCTCTCAAGCCTCAGTTTCCCCATCTGTAAAGTTGGGGGGGACACCACATCCATCCTGCTGGGGTGCCCTGAGGATTCAGTCAGGCAGCATTTCCAGAAAGCACTTCACAAAGCCATCCCCGTGGAGAAAGAGAGGGCAGCAGGGTGTCTGGCACCTTCCTCTCCACTCTTCCCCCAAATCCACCTTTGTGACCCGATCCCCAGGGAGGGGTGGGGGTCCGGTGACTGGGAAAGACTGATGATGACATGGTTGTCATGGTTACGTGTGGCACCCTCACCCCTTGTAGGATGGAGGGGTCCACATACTACAGGTGCCTGTGTGGAACCAGCAGGAGGTGGAAATTCACATCCCGATCACCCTGTATCCCAGCATCTTGACATTTCCGTGGCAACCAAAGACGGGCGCCTATCAGTACACAATAAGGGTACGTGAGACCCCTCACCTCTGCGTGCATTCCTTTGGTGTTTTCATGGGATTGTGGCTTTTTGTCCATTCTATTACTTTTAGTATTACTCTCTAGTGGTTGTGGAGAATTTTAAATCACAGTCTTTATGTTTCCTGAGGTTTCCATCATAGCAATGCATTCTGGTAATTAGGAAAAAAAACAACAAAAACCAACAATGAAAAAATTGAGAATAAGGCAGGGTGCGGTGGCTAACACCTGCAGTCCCAGCACTTTCGGAGGCTGAAGTGAGAGGATTGCTTAAACCCAGGAGTTTGATACCAGGCTGAGCAACATAGGGAGACCTCCATCTCTACTCAAAAAAAGGAAAAAAAAAAAAAAAGAGAAAAAATAGAATAAAGAAAACCTGGAATACAGTTTTGAATTTCATTAATGTTTATTTTTCTAAAAATCTTTTTTGAAAGCATTATATATATACACACACCCTTAGAGAAAACATTAAAATTTAAGGGATAAGTATCTCCAACCTCATCACATGGGATGGATCACTGCTCTGACCTTAATACTTCCACCTGGCATTAGCCAGCAGGACTCGCCTTAGACAGGGCTCGAGTCCTCGTGGTCAGTGCAGGGCACATCAGTCCTGCTGTCCCATGGAGTGGTGACAGGTGTCCTGTCTGTGCACTGGCACCGGCTCTCTGCTCAGGTGCGTCACCATCCTGGCCCCTTGGGTTTTGGGGTTGTTTCCTCTGGTCTGGGAGCAGAGGTGCAGTCGCTGACCTCCCAGCAGACAATGAGGAATGGGCAGGGGTGTGTGCTGGGAGCTTGTGTCTGGTCAGGGAGGCAGCATCCTGCAACTGGCTCGGTGACCAAGGGTTCGTCCCACTCCAGCCTGAGCTCTGGGAGGTGCCACCAGGTTCTGGGGCCTCTGTCATGGGCGTGTGTGTTTGTGTGCATCGGTCTCGAGGTCCCCAGAATATGAGGACAGAAACGAGACAGGACAAAGAGGGTGAGGGCAGGGGGAGCCTCTAGCCAGACCCTAGCTGATACCACATTTTTCCCTGCTGTGGGCATCGACCTTGTGTGTCAGTGAGGAAGTGGCCACAGGTGTTTTAGAGCCTGTGAGAGTGTGTATGTGTTTGAGTGTATTGGTGCGAGTATATATGTGTGAACGTATGTATGTGTGAGAAAGTTTGTGTGCGTGTGAGGATAAGCTGGTGGGAGTAGGTGAATGTATGTGAGTGTACCGTGGGTGCGAATGGTGAGTGGGTGAAAGCGTGAGTGTGAAGGTAAATGTAAGTGAGCATGTGTACGAATGAGTAGGTGTATGAGTGTGCACTGTGGGTGTGAGTGGTGAGCATGTGAGCATGAGAGTAAATGAGTGTGAGCAGGTGAGTAGGTGTACGTGGTGTGCACTGTGGATGTGAGTGGTAAGTGAGCATGAGTGTGAGGGTGAGTGTGTGAGTGAATGGGCAAGTAGCTGTACATGTGAGTGTGAATGGTGAGTGTGTGCATGGGTGAACCCATGAGTGTGAGGATAAATGTGTATGAGTGTGAGTACGTGCATGCACACGCACGTGTCTCTGACCCTCTGACTTCCCCAGCAGGCTAAGGGTGGGTGGCTGGTCCTGTGATGGCTTTTCCTCCGCAGGCCCACGGTGGCAGTGGGAACTTCAGCTGGTCTTCGTCAAGCCACCTGGTTGCCACAGTTACTGTCAAGGGCGTGATGACCACAGGCAGTGACATCGGGTTCAGTGTGATCCAGGCACATGATGTGCAGAACCCACTCCATTTCGGTGAGATGAAGGTGAGATCTCAGGGCCAAGACACCCCCTGGGAGGCTCGGATGGTGGTCTCCAGCCGCCCCCTCTGAGCAAGCCTCGACTTCACTCAGAAACACCCCCAACCTTGGGTCCTGTACTTAGGAGCTCAAGCCCCAGCCCTTCCCTTAGGAGCTCACGGCCATGTCAGGAAGATGGACAGGATGTCTCACACCAGCCAACAATGGGCCCAGAAAGGCCAGTGTCCACAGAGCTGGGTTTCTGGAGGGGAGATAATCTAAGAGCCATTCTAGAAAATTCCCCAGACCTGAAAGATAGTAATCTCCATTTGGAAGGTCCACCAAGCACTGGGTTGTAAACTCACAGTGAAAGGGCACCACCAGGCTCCGAGAGACCAGGCCAGACTCCTCTCTCTTCACTCACCTTTGGGTACAAAGGCAGGTGTTCCCTGCACAGGTCCCCACACCTGGCTTTTGGCCCTAAGTGACATGGGGCCATCTCACTTCACAATGGTGGCAGGTGGTGGTGGTCACAGCTGAGCCTCTGCCAGCCCCACCTGTGGCCACTGACCCCAGGCCATACTTGCCTAGTGCTCTGACCTCAGCCCCTTTATTCCTTCATTTGGGGCAGGAAGGGGTGTCCCATGGAGTCCAGCTGCAGCCTGCTCTTACAGTATTGGGGACAGGGATGGATAGGCTGGCCAGTCTTCCGCTTGAGACCCAGAGCCACCTCTATCTAAAGTGAGGCCTGATTCTCATGGAGAGGGGGCTTCACACAGGCCCTTGAGATGAAGCATGAGGTCCAGCGTTGGGATAAACTGGGACCCCTGTCCTCTCACCCCAGTTTCCCCTTGTGCCACTGTTCGCCCAGCAGCCCAGCCAGATCCTGAGGACAGTTCCTCAGGAGGCAGCGTGCGTTCTGGGTAGAACCTGGCTTCCGGGGCCAGCTGGCGGGGCTTGCACTCAGACCCAGCATGCTGTAAGGGAGCCTGCCCTTTCCCTTCAGGCCAGTGCTTCGCCAGGTGAGTGGGGTTGAGGAGAGCCCCTCCTTAACCAGGAGGTGGGATTCTAGTTTTATGCAATCATGGCTGTGCTTACCTCTCTCCTGGCTCCAGCCGCTCTACCAGTCCATCTGATGAGCCAGACATTCAGAACACATCCCACATCTCACTGGTCCTAACACGCCTGCCCTGGCTCAAGCTGTCGCATCTCTCTCTGGGGCTTTCCAACAGCCTCCTCACCACACTGCTCACCTGGCTGCTGATCGGTACACAGAAGCCAGGGTGGTGGGGACCTCTGAGGTCCCCCAGCTCAGCCACAGTAAACACTGATTCCTCACCATGGTTGCCAGCCCCGTCTCTTTCCACTGCCCCTGCACAGTGCACTTCAGCACACTGGACTCCATGTTCCTCCAAGGTGCTGGCCTGGTAGGTGCTGCAGGGCCTTTGCACGCACCATCCCTTCACCCAGAGTGTTCTTCCCCCAGGCTTTGCCTGGCTGCCTTGGCTGTGGCTCTCAGATCTGAGCTCCTAGGCCACTCCTCAGAGAGGCCTCCCCTGCTCTCTGTCCCTGAATCACCCCACTGCCCGTGACAGGCTTCTCACAGATGTATCCTCAGTGCTCAGCACACAGCAGCACTTAGGATATCCGAGCAACAGGCCCTGCCTCTCCTGTGGAGGCAGCTGAGCCCAGGCCATGCCCCTGTCTTCCAGGTGTATGTGATCGAGCCCCACAGCATGGAGTTTGCCCCGTGCCAGGTGGAGGCACGTGTGGGCCAGGCCCTGGAGCTGCCCCTGAGGATCAGTGGCCTCATGCCCGGCGGGGCCAGTGAGGTGGTCACCTTGAGCGACTGCTCCCACTTTGACTTGGCTGTCGAGGTGGAGAACCAGGGTGTGTTCCAGCCACTCCCAGGTAAACCAGCGCTGCTGAGCAGGTGCCAGATACTGGGATTGGGGCCAGATTGTCTGGGTTCTCAGCATGGACCGCCAGATTCCCAAAGAGAGGGCTTGAGGCAGCAGAGGGGCTGCAACATAAGGAATGGCAGTTGTCTCCTGATCCACAGTCTGTTCCTGTCTGGCCTGGATCTTGCCCACCGTGTGACTTCGGGAAATCAGTGGCCTCGCTCAGCCTCAGTTTTCACATCTCTAAGCTGTGTGTCATCTACATAGAATCACATCAAAGTGCCTATTTTAGTCCCTGGAATGCAGTTGGTATTCAGAATGCGTTGTCAATAGGGGTTTGGTTAATTCTAGGGTCCTCTCACCTGTGACAGGCAAGGCCCACCCATCTGTTCTCTGCCGCATCTGCTGTGGGATTTTGATGGTGACATTGGTGGAGTCTGACTGTGATAGTTTATCCAGTGTCAGTCCTGTCAGGACAGGACAGGCACTTTGCATGCCTGACCTCCTTAGGACTTTACAACCACCCTAGGAGAAGGATCTGTTATTGGCCCATGTGACAGATGAAGAAACTGAGGCTGTGTAGCTGTAGCTGCCTAAGGTCACACATGGCCTGGGACAGGGATGGGGTGCAGATCTGGGCGTGGCTGACACTGACCCTGTGGCTTTACTCACCTGTGAAACGGGCCTTAAAGATAAGGAAAGGAAGGGCTTCCTCTCTGATTTGCCGAAGAAGAAGACCAAAGGACAGGTGAACTATTGAATAGGAGTAAGATTTGGGCAGAGCTTTGGAGGTTAACAGGGACACCATTTGGTGAGCAGGGGCGCCTGTACCAGGGCCCAGAGGTGGGCAGTCCGTGGTGCCTGTGCACGTGGAGGACTGGGAACAGAGGACCCGTTGAATCACAGCGTGTTTTGGAGGGCTTGGACCTAGTGTCCAGGCAGTGGGGAGCCACTGAAGGTTTTTGAACAGAAGAGCGATGTGATCCTGGCAGCGTTTAGGAAGCTTTATTGGCAGAGGTGTTTGTAGGATCGCCTGTGGTGCCAAGTGGCTGTGCGTGCAACTGTAGCTGTAATTACGTGCAGAGCTTTTGCAGTTTGAAGCTGCACAGAAGGAGGCCAGTATCTCTGAAAAATCCCTGAGCATACTGCATCCAGGAGAAACTAAGCTCATGAAGTCTACAGTGTCATTGCCAGGTAATCATTTAGGATGGAGGAAAAGTCTTGCACGTGGGAGAGGCCCGCTGACAGCAGGACACGAACCACTCCCCTGCACTGCCTGCCACAACCGTCCTGGAGGGAGTCTGCAGGGTGCTGCTCAGGCATGGGCTCAGGTCCCCGGGAGGAAAGTTCAGGGCTTGGAGTTCCACAGGCCTGGGTCTGAGCCACTCCACTCCCTTGCTGGCTGTATGATGCTGGTGTGCTGCCTAGCCTCTCTGAGCCTTGGGTTCTTTAACTGTAAAATGGGATGACAGCTCTTGCTTATTGTGATGGTTACAAGTGAATATCCCTCAGCACGATGCAGGGCGTTTCTCCAGGAGTTTGACTTCTGAAAACAGCAGTCAAGATGGGAATCCTGTGGTGTCAAATTTCTCTTAGGAAGTGCCTTGTACCGCCCCTGGTGTGGAGTGTGCATGGTAATGTGTAGGGAGGTGTGTAGGGCCCAGGCTGTATGAAAATATGTATCTTAGAAACCTGGGCTCTGTCAGGACAGAGATGCTCACCCCACAGAAACCCATGGGGCTCAAGAGCAGGTTGGATCAGCAGGTTGACCTGTCCCTATAATACCCACCCTGGAGCTTACTCAGCTAAAGAAACAAATTTGGTCCCATGTTAGGTAAACTCCCTCTGCCACCTCCCAGGCTCAGAGCACAGGTAGCCAGACTCTGATCATGGCTCTGAGGAGGAGCCCTGGTAGCCCTGGCCCAGGCTGGCCTCCCCTCTGTGGCTCCCTCTGCTTACTGCAGTTGGACTTGGCGGTCCCATTTCTGCCTTGCCCTCTTGGGTGGCATCTTCTTGAAAGCCCCTGGGCTGTGGGCACTACTGTAACTCTCTCAACACGGTGCTGGCATAGACAGACTTACAGAATAGAATACTGAGCCCAGATAAAAACCTGCTCGTACATGGTGAAATGATTTTTGGTAAGGGTGCCAAGACTGTCCAATGGGGAAAGGACAGTCTATTTACCAAATGGTGCTGGGACAACCACGTATCGACATGCATAAGAATGAAGTTAGACCCTTCCATAACTCCAAACACAAAAATTAAGTCACAGTGGATCAAAGACCTAATATAAAATTGAAAACTATAAAACTTCTAAAAGAAAACTGGAGGAAAGCTTCAGGACATTGGAATTTGGCATTTTTTTTTAGGTATAACACCAGATGCACAGGCTACAAATTAAAAATAGACAAACTGGACTACAACAAAATAAAAAAGTTCTATATATCAAAGGACACCACAGAGTACAAAGGCAACCTACAGAATGGGAGAAAACATCTGCAAATTGTATAAGGGGTTAATATCTAGGATATGTAAAGAACTCCTACGTGTCAGCAGCAATAACACCAATAACCCAATCAAACAGTAGGCAGAGGACTTGAATAGATATTTGTCCAAAGCTGATACACGGACAATAAGCACACGGGAAGATGCTCAACATCACTCATCATCAGAGTGGTGCAAATCAAACCCACAATGAAAAGCACTACACTCCTTAGGATGGCTGCGATCAAAACAACAGAAAACAGCAAATGTTGACAAGGATGTGAAGACACTGGAACTCTTATGTGCTGCTGGTGTGTATGTGAAAGGTGCTGCTGCTGTGGAAAGCAGTATGGTGGTTCCTCAAGAAAGTAAACATGGAGTTACCGTATGATCCAGCAGGCAATCCTGCATCTGGGTGCACATCCAAAGGTGTTGAAAGTACGATCCGAAAGAGGTATTTGTGCACCCATGTTCATGGCAGTGTTATTCACAATAGCCAAAAGGTGGAAATAACCCAGGTGTCCACCGTTGGAAGAATGGATGAACACAATGAGGTCTATCCATACAGTGGAATATTATTCAGCCTTAAGAAGGAAGGAAATTCCGACCCATGCTGCAACATGGAAGAACCTTGAAGACATCATGCTCAGTGAAGTAAGCCAGTCACGAAAGGACAAATACTCTATGATCCCACTTGTATGAGATACCTAGAGTAATAAAATTCATGAAGATAGGAAGTATAATGGTAGTGGCCAGGGACTGGAGTGAGGGGAATTGGGAAGTTACTGTATATTGGGTGCAGAGTTTCAGTTTTGTAAGTTGAAGAGTTGTGTGGATGGATGGTGGCGACATCCATTCACAGGCTGCATAAATGTACTTAATGCCACTGAACTATACACACAAAAGGTGTTATGGTGGGAAATTTTATCTTAGTTGTATTTTATCAGAATTTTTTTAAAACTTTTTTTTAAGATAAAATTTTAGGCTGGGCACGGTGGCCCATGCCCTTAATCCCAGCATTTTGGGAGTCCGAGATGGGAGGATTGCTTGAGCCCAGGAGTTTGAGACCAGCCTCAGCAGCATAATGGGACCTTGCCTCTACAAAAAAATGAAAAAACTATCCTGGTGTGGTGGCTCACTCCTGTAGTCCCAACTAATCAGGAGGCTGAGGTAGGAGACTCACTTGAGCCTGGGAGGTGGAGGTTGCAGTGAGCCAAGATTGTGCCACTGCACTCCAGCCTGGGCGACAGAGCAAGACCCTGTCTCAAAAAAAAAATAAAAATTTTAAAATTTAATAATGGCAGGGATGTAGGGCAGCCGTTGGCAGCAGTGTAAATTGACACAACCACTTTGGGAAGATATTTAACAACAGCAACCAACAATTTCTACAGCTAAACACATGCACGCCCTGCAGCCTAGCACTTCCTCTCTTAGGGACGCACGCAACAGAAATGCCCAGGTGTGTCCCCCAAGAGGAAGGCACCCAGATGTTTACAGCAATACCGTGTAGCACAGCCCCAAACTGGAAGAAACCCAGATGTGCACCATAGCATGGGTCAGTCTATTGCTCTATATTCATGCAGCAGAATCATATGGAGAATGTGGACAAAGGATCTTCACGGTGTGACCAATGAGAAATCCCATGAACACTGCTGAGTTGAGGAAGCCAGGCACAAAAGAGTTATGCCCATGGTTCCCTTTATGGGAACAATACCAAGCATGATTCAGTTGTGCTGGTAGGCGCCAGGGGGGCGGTTTTCCTTTAGGGAAAGGCCAAATACCAGAAGGGTTTCCAGGAGATTCTGGGGGTACAGATAATATTCTATTTGTTGATGTGGGTGCTGCATATAGGGTGGGTCCAGTATGTGGAAAAATCATTGTGAATTATATACTCATGTGAATTAAATATTATTTATTTTTCTTTAACTGAGTTTTGCTCCCTCGTTGCCTACGTGGGAGTGCAATGGTGCGTTCTCGGCTCACTGCAACCTCCGCCTCCCAGGTTCCAGCAATTCTCCTGCCTCAGCCTCCCAAGTAGCTGGGATTACAGACAGGCGCCACCACACGCGGCTAATTCTGTATTTTAATAGAGACGGGATTTCTCCATGTTGGTCAGGCTAGTCTCAAACTCCCGACCTCAGGTGATCCTCCCACCTCAGCCTCCCAAAGTGCTGGGATTGCAGGTGTGAGCCACCATGCCCGGCCGTGAATTAAACATTTTTATTTTTCTTTTGAGACAGAGTTTCACTCTTATTGCCCAGGCTGGAGTGCAATGGTGCGATTTCGGCTCACTGCAACCTCTGCCTCCTGGGTTCAAGTGATTCTCCCGTCTCAGCCTCCGGAGTAGCTGGAATTACAGGCATGCGCCACCACACCTGGCTAATTTTTTGTATTTTTAGTAGAGACAGGGTTTCTCCATGTTGGTCAGGCTGGTCTTAAACTCCTGACCTCAGGTGATCCGCCCATCTCAGCCTCCCAAAGTGCTGGGATTACAGGCGTGAGCCACCGTGCCTGGCTGAATTAAATATTTTTTTAAAAATCAGGGCCGGGTGCGGTGGCTCATGCCTGTAATTCCAGCACTTTGGGAGGCTGAGGGGGGTGGATAATGAGGTCAGGAGATTGAGATCATCCTGGCTAATATGGTGAAACCCCATCTCTACTAAAAATACAAAGAATTAGCTGGGCGTGGTGGCGCATGCCTCTAATCCCAGCTACTCGGGAGGCTGAGGCAGGAGAATCGCTTGAAGCCGGGAGGTGGAGCTTGCAGTGAGCTGAGATAGCACCACTGCACTCCAGCCTGGGAGACAGAGTGAGACTCTATCTCAAAAAAAAAAAAAAAAAAAGAAAGAAATCAGATCAAGGATCAAGCCTGGGATGAAAGAGGGGGCCCCCAGCCTGTTGTGCCTTCCCCACCAAAGGTGATTTCAGGGCTGGGCACAGTGGCTCACACCTGTGATCCCAGCACTTTGGGAGGCTGAGGCAGATTGATCACTTGAGGTCAGGAGTTCAAGACCAGCCTGGCCAACATGATGAAACCCCGTCTCTATTAAAAAAAATACAAAAATTAGCCGGGTGTAGTGGTCCATGCCTGTAGTCCCAGCTATCTGGGAGGCTGAGGCAGGAGAATCACTTGAACCCCGGAGGCGGAGGTCGCAGTGAGCCAAGATCATGCCACTGTACTCCAGCCTGGGCAACACAGCGAGACTCCATCTCAAAAAAAAGAAAAAAGTGATTTCAGGGTGACCATCTAGTTCTCTCCTTTCTGTAGGGAGGCTGCCGCCAGGCTCTGAGCACTGCAGCGGCATCCGGGTAAAGGCCGAGGCCCAGGGCTCTACCACGCTTCTTGTGAGCTACAGACACGGCCACGTCCACCTGAGTGCCAAGATCACCATTGCTGCCTACCTGCCCCTCAAGGTGAGCCAGGGGCCCTGCCCTTTACCACCCCCCTGCCCACTCCTTCCCAGATGCAAATTACCCATTTGCTCTGACGAATTTGCATGATAAACCCGATTCCTTCAAAATAGCTTTTGGCACAGCTTCCTCTCCCATGATTTCTGGCTGAAAGCAGGATTCATGTGGAAGGAGCAGAGCCTCCCTGATGGGGCAGTGGTTGTGGGCATCTCTGTGGTTACGCGAGACAGCGCTTGGCAGGCTTGGCAGGACACCGACCTGCCAGCCTCTCCCAACGAAGGTAGGAGTGTGGGCTGCAAGGGCTTCAGAAGTGTGTTCAGCAAGGGTCAGAACAGGGGAGTGCTTCTGCTCCACTCCAGAGCTAACCTTCAGGGTCCCCACAGAGCCCTAGAATTAGGACAGCGGCCGTGTGGTATGGCAGATGCTGAGGCCTCCAAGACTGGGGTCAGAGAGGATCTGCCCTGGCCTAGTGTGCATCCATCCTGCTCCCCATCTGAGGACAGTGGTGGCCACGGCCTGTGCGGAGCAGACCACATAGCCTCAGTGTCCATACCACCCTCCTGAGCTGAGACCAGCCTGACCCCCACCCACTCTTGGGCCTTACATTCCCTGCCTGTAAAATGGGACTGAGACAGCTCTTGCCTCATGGGGTCGTGATGAGGATTTGCTGAGCTCACAAATGGAATGAGCTCAGAACACAGTCTAGGGGGTAGTGCAGGCTCAGGAAGGGTTAGTTATTATACACGGATAAAAAAGAACTGGGCCTTCCTCTGGGGTGGGTGTGAAGGCTCCGTGCGAGGGCTGCCATGCAGGAGGCTGCTGACTAATCATTCCTTTCTTTGAACTCTGCCTAGCTTGCAGGAGGCGCAGAGAGGGTTTGTTGATGGGGAGTTCCTGCTCCTCCTTCCAGGGAGGGCTGGAGAGCAGTCCTAGGGGAGCCCCAGACTCCCTGGCTTGGTCAGGCAGTCCTTGCATTTTTCTGCTCCCAGTGTCAGCCTTGAAGACAGCTCCGGTCCTCATGGTTTGTCCCATTTTTTTCTTCCTCTCAGGCATTCATTGGAAGCAAGCCTGGTGATGTTAGGATTTCTTTTTCTTTTTCTTTTATTTGTTTATTTTTTTTGAGACAGAGTTTCACTCTTGTTGCCCAGGCTGGAGTGCAATGGCGCCATCTCTGCTCACCGCAACCATTGCCTTCCAGGGTTAAGCGATTCTCCTGCCTCGGCCTCCTGAGTAGCTGGGATTACAGGCATGCACCACCATCCCCGGCTAATTTTGTATTTTTAGTAGAGACAGGGTTTCTCCATGTTAGTGAGGCTGGTCCCGAACTCCCGACCTCAGATGATCCTCCCACCTCAGCCTCCCAAAGTGCTGGGATTACAGGCGTGAGCCACCGTGCCTGGCGATGTTAGGATCTTTTATCTCTGAACCCCTAGCCCTGGGTTCAGTGCCTGGCACAGAGCAGACATCAACCAAGGGTGGTTTTGTTTAGAATGAACGTGTGAGGAAATGTATCCAAGGTCACCCAGCCAGGGCAGAAGCCAAGGCCTCCTGACCTCCAGAGCAAACATAACAGACACTTCTCAGATGTCCATTAGTGATCAGAGGCCTAGCCCTGCTCCTCATCCTCCACACATTTGTTCCTTTAGCACACAGGCATGAATACCTACCTACTTGTGCAATCCCTTCTGCAGGCCCTAGAGTTGCACCAGGGCAGAGAACACAGAACCTTTGTCCCCATGAAGTGACATTCTGGCAAAGAGAGGTAGAGATGACCATAAACAAAGCAAAGAATGTATTTTACCTCTGCTTGCCATGAAAAAAGTAGAGCATGAAGGGGTGATGGGGGTGGAAGTTTAAAATGAGGAGATCAAGACCTGCCCCCACATCCCAACTCAAGCACAGCACTGCAGCAGGTGAGAGTGTCAGAGAGCAGAGTGGAGAGAGTTGAAATCCCCGAGCACAGCAGGCATTCTGGGGTTGCCCTGCGCACCTTCTGGGAGCTAGAGCATTTCACCAGGCACCTGGAGAGGGGTTCTTCAGGGCCCCTCCTGGCTCTGGATTATCAGGGTGTTTGGCTGGAGCAGCAGAAGCCAGAAGCTGAGCTCACAGTCCTGAGCTGGGATGTAACAATGAAGATAAGGTAGACATGTCCCTCAGGGAGGTGGCTTCCTGATTGGACAGATTATAGAGAAAAGTGGATATGGATCTCTTCTCCTTTCATCTGTCTCCTTCCTAGTTAGCAGGTAAGATCAGGTTTATTTACAAGGAACAAAAGCCAAGTGACAGGGACTTAACCAATAGAGGAATTGATGTCTCTGTTGCACGTGAGGAATATTTGGAATATTTGGGCTTTGACATCCGCTGAGGAGCCTGCACAATTCATGAGCATCCTTCATCAGCTGCGTTGTTAACCTGTCTCCTTGGCACAGGGTTCCATGATACTTTCATGCCTAAGGGAGAGAATTAAACAGGAAGGTGATAATTCCTCATCCTCCAGTTGTTAATTGTAGAACACACAGCTCCTTCGCACAGTTCTTTCACTTTGGGCTGGTCATGAAAATGTCTTTGGCAAGATACACAGTGGCCTGCTTTGCCCATAGTGGGGTTTTATTGGTTGTGGCCATGAGATGTGGGTAAGAGCATGGGATCAAGAGTCAGAACAGACCCGGGCCCACCAGCTGGGTTAGCTTGGTTTAGTGTCTTCATCTGCTGGGATTTATCCTTGCTGTCTATAAAGTGGGGATGACAGTTAATAATCATAACAGTTTCTAACAGCAGGGGCCATTGATTGAGCGTGTGCTAGTCACATATTCAGGTCTTTCATTCCAGCCCCTGAATCACAACAGTAGCACCGCGAGGTAGGCATTATCATTGTACCCATTTCACAGGATGGGGAAACAGCCTTGTAGACATTAACTTGTTTAAGGTCCCACACTAGCTTCACTCCAGTGGGGACAGAGAAGCAAATGATGGTATATCCAGTGATGTCTGAGGGGCAGAGATGAAGAGTTGAGCTGGAAAGGAGGTGACGGGGGAAGGGAGACCCTGCTTCAGACAGGCTCAGCAGAGGCCTGCCTGAGGAGGTGACGCTCAGGCAGAGGCCTGAGTGGCATGCAGAACTGGGAGTTCTGAGAGGAGCAGAGATGAAGGCCCTGAGCATACTTAGTGCTTCTCCTGCAGGAAACAGGGGCCACGCCTGGCTCTGTTGAAGGTCGAGTCCGGGGATGGGTTACAGCAGGGGCACCGCGGGCTCCTTGGAATTGTTTGTGTGTGAGCACACATGTGCAGGGAGGGATGCCCAGAGACAGTCGATAACCTATATCAGATCCCAAAAATGTTCATATTCAAAAACAAAGTCAAAAGGACAGAATTCTCATTTGAGAAGTCATAGTCTGTTCAGGTCGCCTTAACGAAACACCTTGGACTGGGTAGCTTATAAACAACAGAAATTTCTTTCTTGCAGTTTAGGAGCTGGGAAGTCCAAGGTCAAGGCACCAGCAGATTTTGGTGACTGGTGAGGGCTTCCTTCCTCATAGATAGCCATAATTTGGATGTTTGTGTCCCCACAAAATACATATGTTGAAATGCTGACCCCCACAGCAATGGAGCTGAGGCCTTTGAGGGGTGATTAGATCATGAGGGCAGAAGCTTCACGGCTGGGATTAGTGCCCTTATAAAAGAACCCAGAGAGCTAGCATGACCCTTCCACCGCGTGCAGGGGTGGAAGAGGTTTTTTTGTGGGTGGGGAGGGAATATTTTTCTTATAAGGTTTTTCCTTCCTCATGTGGTTAAGATCATGCCACAGACAGAGAAGGAAACAGACACACCGTACCCTCCACAAGCCTATAGCATGATCAGGGAGACCTCTCAGGCCATGAAGCTCCTTCAGGGTGAGGAGCACCAGGTGAAGTGGGGGCCAGAGAAGAGTCGCCTGGGCTGCAGGTTGGGGCTGGGTTGGGGAGGAAGCAGGGCTTTCTGGAGGCCAGTGTGCTGAGCCCTGCAGTGTGAGGAGGGGTCGCCTAAGTGAGACAAGGACAGGAGGGTAGCCTCTTCGAAGGCCTGGGGACAGCTGAGCCTGGTTCTCTAGAAGGATGCCACTAGTCTGAAGCTGGGACTGGAGCCAGGTTGAGAGAGCCCAAGTCCCAGGACAGAAGCTGAGCCTGTATTCCAAGGGCCGTGGGTGCGTGGAATAGTTTAATGCACAAGGGACAGGGTCAGGTCTGTGTCTTAGTGAGGGACACATGGGCAGCTGTTTGAAGGGAGAGTAGATGGGTCTAGCAGGGAGCAGACTGACAAGTGAGGACTTGGCAGTCACTGCAGTGGGACCCTCTGCAGTGGGAGGTTAGCCCAGCTGGGCAGGGATTCAAGGAGCAGGACTGCGGGACCCCTCAGAGTGAATCCCTCCTCTCCGCACCCCTGCTGTGTGTCACTGGAGGGAGGAGTCCTCCTGTGGAGTCTCCACGTCTTCCTGGAGGTTGGCTGGGAATGACACCCTGTTACATAGAATCTAAGCACTGCCATTGCCCACACCAGGAGGCCATGGGGCCCTGGGCACCACTGGTTGCCCTAGGCCATGGAGGAAATGAGAGCTTTGTGTGAAATACTACTTTAATTCTTCCTTTGTTTACTGGGTACTTTAAGGACTCCATAGTTTTACTTGCCAACTCACTTTCATTCAACAAAGAATTGCTGAGCACCCGCTATGTGCCAGGCATGGTTCTAGGTGCCACAAAACTCACCCTCGAAGCTCGTGCATACGTGGTGCAAAGTATGGGAAGCCCAGCGGCTCAGAAGGAAGGGAATGGACCACTGGCAATGATGCCAGCAAGGACACCACAGGCTGCATCTCCTTTGGTCACCTGGTGGATATCTCTTTAGGATGGTTTTATGCTTTTTACAGCAACATGATTGTGATCAAACGGCACCATCAGATTTGTATCCTGCACTTGTAGATCTTTGCGAAGACTGCTTTGGGGGCCCGCATAAGGTTCCATCACTGGGAAACACCATGTGTACTGAGCCCCTTGTGCTGGATTGTAGATTATTGTTGGTTATTTGCTGTGGGAAATAATAGTGTGATGAACATCTGTCTGTACATTGACATGTTTCTCTCCATTGTGTTGTTAGGTTAGGTTCCAGATGGGGAATTCCTGGGTTCCAGGGCTGTGGGTATTTTCAAGGCTTTTACCAGATTGTTTGACGAAAGAGGCAAATCCATGTACACCCTCCAGCAGTCTGTCAGAGTGAGGGCTTAATTCTATCTACACCCCATTCCTCTGGATCTTTGCAATGATCCCTGTGAGTGCTGCAGATGACGAGAATGAGTTTCAAACAGGAGATGGGGCTTGCCTGACCACCAGCCCCCACAAGCGGGGTGAGGATGTGGGGCTGGGATGCCCGGCTCCTGCCCGTGCTGCCTTAGAAGAATGCCAAGTCTTCTGCCTCTTCTGTCCCCAGGCTGTGGATCCCTCCTCTGTTGCCTTGGTAACCCTGGGCTCCTCAAAGGAGATGCTGTTTGAAGGAGGTCCCAGACCTTGGATCCTCGAGCCGTCCAAATTCTTCCAGAACGTCACCGCTGAGGACACTGACAGCATCGGCCTGGCTCTCTTTGCCCCCCATTCCTCCCGGAATTATCAGCAACACTGGATCCTTGTGACCTGTCAGGCCTTGGGTGAGCAGGTGAGTGGGCAGCTGCTCCAGACCCTCCTTGCCCTAAGGCAGGGGTGGAAAATGACTCTCTCAGTATTGTTTTATTTACTCCTTGGAGTAACGCTGAGAGACAGCCACTCCTATTGTACCCATTTTACAGACAGGCAAACTGAGGCGTGGTGAGGTGGAATGTGACTCAATGAACGCCAGGCAGGTGTGGCAATAGGGACCTCCCGCTATGCCAGCTTTCATAGAGTAGGCCAGTTGGGTGGCTTGCCACCTCCATGGGCTTCAGCATCCCCCACTAACCAAACCAGAGCTGGAGGCTTTGAGTTCGGGGGTCACAAGTCCAATGTCTCCAGGGTCGTAAATGAATGAGGCTGTAGACCCAGGTTTGACACATCTTGTTGGTTCTTGAGGATAACCTGGAAATCACAATATTTTTTTTTGTATAGGTAATCTCTTAAGTTTTTTAATGCTGAAAACCAAAAGCTGAGGAGGCTGAGGGGACCAGACAAAACACATGTGTGACCTGAATCCCCACATGCTGGCTGGAGGGCTTCTTGCTGTTCAGGCGCCTTGGGGCCTGACACTCCTTCCCCGGGGAGGGTGAGCTGAGAGCTTGTGGGGCTTCTGGTGGGCATCTACTGCTCTGTTTCCAAGGCAGGAAGCCCAAAGCAAAAGGGGTATTCGGCGGGAATCAGGAAGATGGGAGAGAGCCCATTTCTTTGGGACGTGAAGGGTATTTCCTGCATGTGTGCAGGGCAAAGAATGTCAGTTGGCAATAAAACGCACATGCATGCCTCCCACGGTGCCCTTATGGTATCAGCCATGCCACAGCTGCCCTGGTATGGCCAGAAAAGATGCCTGGTGATAGGTTCCACTCACCAGTGGGGTGGTTTTAGAAAAACAATAAAACAACAAGAACAATAACAGCATCATAATAAATAATACAATAAGAAGAATAAAATTCCTCATGAATTAAGTTGGATATATTTCTTATCCCTGGCATGACCCCACCATCCCTGTCCCCTCTCAGGGCTGTAAGAATGTGACCTCCAATTGGGGTTACCTCTAGGGCCCTCCCAATCCATTGCTCTGTGGCTCCCTCACATGCGGCACCAGGTGCAGACAGAAAGCCTGTGTGGAGTCACGGAGGACACTGCCCTTGGTCCTGCCTTATGGTCAGGAGGGGTAGGGGCTCGTGTCCTCCATCAAGTGCATGTTATCTGAGGAGGCTGAGGGTGCTACCTCAAGATGGGCCCTGAGCCATGGTGCTCCAAAAAAGAGGAGGCCAGATATGACTTCTGAGGTCCCAGCTCTCCAGGCAGACAGGTTTCCCTCTTTTCTTGCACCATGGATTTCCCTCTCTGCAGCAGCCCCTGGAGCTGCAGAGCATGAGCAGGCGGAGGGCAGGCCCTGCCTCCAGGCTGCAGCTCCTCCTGGGCGTTGTCCTGCAGAGCTCCTATCTGATTCGCTTGCCCTGTCATCATTCTGCAGCATGCACTTCCCACGTCTGTTCCTCGTTCCATGGGTGTTTTCACCTCCATATGGACTCCTCATTGAAGCATCCTTGAACTTGTGAATTTTCTAATGCAACCGTGGGGTTTTCCCAGGGTCCTGGGAAACCATGAAGCCTCACCGGGTCTACCTCTTCCCTGGGATAGGAGCAGCCCATAGGGCACATGGGCTCCCATCTGAGAGTCTCTTAGGTGTTGAGAAAGTGCATTCCCACCTGTGTGCCACTGGGCCTTTGTTAAGACCCTGTGGCATGGGTATCGTCATCACTCCCATCCTATAGAGGAGAAAACTGAGTCAGAGGGAGCTGGGGTGGGGTGTGGCATAGCTCAGAGAGGAGTGAGAACTCAAGCTTGGGGGTCTGACTGTTCACTGTGCCCTACCAGGTCATCGCCCTGTCGGTGGGGAACAAGCCCAGCCTCACCAACCCCTTTCCTGCGGTGGAGCCTGCCGTGGTGAAGTTCGTCTGCGCCCCACCGTCCAGGCTCACCCTCGCGCCTGTCTACACCAGCCCCCAGCTGGACATGTCCTGTCCGCTGCTGCAGCAGAACAAGCAGGTGGTGAGTGTGGGCTATGCTCGGGAGGAGGTGAGGGTGCCACCCGCTTGGGCAGGAGGACATTGGTGGCCTCGCCCATGGTCCCGAGCATTGCAACGGACATAGCTCCACGCTGCACTTCCTTCGTCTCAACAACTGGCCCTGTGAGGACGCTGGTTTCATTTGTGTTTTATATGCAGGGGACACACAGCTTGGAGAGGTGAGAGACATACCAAAGTCACAGCTACTAGTGGCAGTGCCAGGTGAAGATAGAGTCCTCTTCCACATTTGCTGCCTGCCTTTGTTTGGCACTCGGTAGTTTAAAAACAACTTGTTGTCTTCTGTGCCTTGAGGGTGTTAAAATGGGGCTTGCTGTCTATGGACAGGGTATGTAGGGTCAGAGTAGGCGTGGGGGCTGCTGAGGAGAGGTGACCAGCTACAGCATCCCCATGATGTGGGTGACGTGGGGTTGTGTTTCAAAAGTAAGTGTTGGGAGAGGAAGAAAGTCCCTTGGGAGTCTTGTCTAACAGCAGGGATGGTAGGGGAAGCCACAGGTCTGCTCCCCTTGGACTTGAGACACATCCATGCCTTAGTCCCTAGGGCATTCAGAGCCCAAGGTGCTGAGTGTGTCCAGGGTAAGGGACATGGGACATCCTCTGGCCAGCATCAGCCCCCAGCCCCTTTTCAGAGGAGGTGGGTGAGCAGCTCCTCACTCCTTGAGCATGTACTTATGGAGCATGTCCTCTGTGTCAGATACAGGTCTGAGTTTTGGATTGCACACTAATCAGGACAGGCAAGGAACCTGCCTCCCAGAGATGACAGGGAGACCAGGAGATGCACAAATAAGATGGATCAGAGGTGGCAAGCGCTGCAAGGGAAGTGAAATAGGGCACGCAGCAGAGTGAGGAGGAGGCTGCTCAGGAGGAGCGGAGTGGGGCTCTGAGGAGGGCATGTGCGAGCTCACCGCTATCTAACGCTGTGGAACTCACTCCATTGATTCTTTGCGAGTCCTAGAGCAGACCCTGGCTCATAGGAGGAGCTCAGTAACTAGGAGCGAAGGATGAGTGAACCAGCGAATGCACTGTGCATGCGCCACTCCTGTCTTCACCCTTGACTCTTGCAGACTCGTGGGTGGAGAAGCCACACTGCTGGAGAACTGGCCAGGGAGTAGCTGAACTGGAGAGCAGGTCCTCTCTGGACAGGCAGCCTGCTCAGCTCAGGGACAGTCAATTCAACCCCAGGCTGGCCCAGCTTTCTCATTTTCAAAGAAAAACAAATCATACCTATGTGCATCTTCCCTGTCCTTAGCGTTGTCTGTGAGCTGAGCGGGCCACCTTGGGGCTGGATTGGTCCTGGTCTGTCTGTTGGCCAGGACCTCTGCTTTAGCCCAGTGTTGTCTCTCTGGACTTAAATATGATGGCTGCAGGGCTTGACTCTGATTTGGCTTTGCACATCATAGATGTCGCCAGAAAATAATGGACCTCAAACACGGAGTAGCTGTGTGATCCATCAGTGCTCAGGTTCCTGAGCCACCAGCCAGCCATTCAGGTGTGACTCTGGCAATTTACAGCCTCATTAGGGAACTTTTGTTTTTCTTTTTTTTGAGACACAGTCTCGCTCTGTTGCCCAGGCTGGAGTGCAGTGGCGCAATCTCGGCTCACTGCAACCTCCACCTCCCAGGTTCAAGTGATTCTCCTGCCTCAGCCTCCTGAGTAGCTGGGATTACAGGCATGCGCCACCACACCCAGCTAATTTTTGTATTTTTAGTAGAGACAGGGTTTCACCATATTGGTCAGGCTGGTCTCAAACTCCTGACCTCGTGATCCGCCCACCTCGGCCTCCCAAAGTGCTGGGATTACAGGCGTGAGCCACCATGCCTGGCCAGTCATTAGGGAACTTTGAGAAAGATATATTCCTGCAATGCAGCCTGGATGCAGGATCAAGGTAATTTTATACTCTCCAACTTCAGAGGCTACCCAAGATGTGTTTGCAGATTAAATTATTGGTGAGGAGAGACACCAGAATGGAATTGACTGATCAGAATGACAAGGTAGAGCCAGGCTCAGCCTGACCCTGGCCCTCTGAGCAGGTCCTCTAGCGTGTGGCTCACTCACTGTGGGTGGGCACCAGTTGCATGGGACTGATTAGGGGCTTGAATGGGGCTGTCCCCAGATTGAGACACCAGAGATTGGCCACACTGAGTCAGGGGAGGTCCTTGGGCTCTACAATCAGGCCAGCTGAGTTCCACCCCTAAACCTGTGTGACCTTGGACAAGTCATTCAACATTTAACGTCCCTGGACCTCAGCCTCCCTGTTTGTAATATGGGGCTTATGTTGTTGCCTCAAATGGGCCAGTTAGCTTGCACATGTGCTTGGCCAGTGTCAATTTCCTTCCCTGGAGGAGCATTGGTTTTCCAGCCAGGATTGCATCTGGGGGAGCCATGGAGCACCTAGGATAGGTCCCTACAGCCCCTGCCCAAACTCCCGGCTTCTATATTATGAATAATGATGAGACCTTTGCATGCCTGCTGATGGTGCTGGCCTACTCAGAGCAGGGTGTGGATTAAGAATTTGTAGCCTGCTTGAATCAAGTGTTCTCTTGGGGCAAGAGAGCTAGAAGGAGTTGGGAGGAGCCCTCATGGTGCAGGTGGGGTGTTTTGTGACTGTATCGGTCAGGCAGGCGGGGCCTGGCCAGGCTGCCATGGCAAACAAGCCCACATCCCGTAGCTTCACATGGCACAAGCTCACCTCTTGCCCATGCTGCATGAGCCTCTCTAGTTGGCTGGGAGACCTGCTTTGTGTCATTGTGATCTTCATTCCAAGACATGGGCTGTGGAGCAGCCACCATGTTGATCATGGCAGGTGCCACTGTGGAGAGAAAGGGAATGTGGCAGGTCGGGATCTGGCAGTGAAGCTTCCCCCTAGTCCCATTTCACTGGCCAGAACAAGTGCCTCAGTCACTTCTAACCAGAGGATGAGAGAAGGGTAGTTCTTCCTGCAGGATCCCCCTCTCCCCGAATGGAAAACTAGCCCTGTTTGTGAATGATGCTCATGGCTGCCCACTTTCCTACCCGAATGTAGGAAGGCTCTAAAATGACCTTGCAGTCCCCATATTTAAATCCCTCAGTTGTGCTTTGTGTGTCATAGCTGGAGAAACTGAGGCTCAGGGAGTTCATAACTTGCCTGGGCACTGAGAGGTGGAGCTGGGGCTGAGTCCAAGTTGTGGGGTCAGAGACACTTGGCCTCTGCTTTATGGCCCAGCCCACACTGCCCCCATGCTATGTGGCCAGAGAAGGGAGGGATAGCCCACAGGAAAGAGGCTTGATTCAGCTGGTTTCTAAGGGGAGAGTCCGCTCGGGGAGCGAGAGATCACCCCAGAGTGGTGGGAATCCAGGATTTGGACCTGCAGCCTGGCGCTCCCATTGCGAACCTCCTTGGATGAGCTCCTTTCCCTGACTGGGCTTGTGCTTCCTTCACGTGGGGATGACCCCTTCCACCTTCCTGGGACATTTAAGGATTAGGCGAGTATTCCACTTTCAAAGGAGCTGTACAAACCCAGTAGCTCTGGGACATCTTAGGCGTTGAAATCTGCATTCCTGTGAAACCACTAGTGGGGCCATCCTAGAGGCACCGACATGTGCCTGGGTGGGGGATGGCAATCATTTGGGAAGGTGAGGGCAGAGGGGAAGGAGAGCAGCCTGCCCACAGTAGTAGGTCAGGATGGTGGTTCCCAGCTTCAGCACTGTTGACGTTTGGGACCAGATAGTTCCTGTGGGGGGCTGTCCTGTGTATCGTAGGGTGTTTAGCAGCATCATGGACCTCTCCCGAGTAGATGCCAGTGGCAACCCCCTGACTCATGCGTAGGGACAGCCAGAAATGCCTCCAGTGTTGCTGAAGGCCCCCTAGTGGTTCTCATTCCACTGAGAGCTGTGGTCTGGAGCCAGAGGCCAGCTTGGACAGGGCCATGGGGGGACCTGGTGGGTGGCAATAGTGAGGATTGCTTTCTGGCATATCCCATTCCCTCACCAGCACCCCCAAGAGCCCACAGGGCAGCTGCTGGCCTCAGAGTGCACTGCGTGGTCAGTGTCCAGGTCCAGTCCTGGGGGTGACCACAACATCTGACCTGTGTTCCCTGCAGGTCCCAGTGTCCAGCCACCGCAACCCCCGGCTGGACCTGGCTGCTTACGACCAGGAGGGCCGCCGGTTCGACAACTTCAGCTCTCTGAGCATCCAGTGGGAGTCCACCAGGCCAGTGTTGGCCAGCATCGAGCCTGAGCTGCCCATGCAGCTGGTGTCCCAGGACGATGAGAGTGGCCAAAAGAAGCTGCACGGTGAGCTGGGCACAAGCCTGATGGCCCAGGCAGGAGAACAGAGACCAGACAGGAAGCCTGCCAAGGTGGGCCAGTGCCTGTGGGAGCTTAGTTATCTGTGCTTAGATCCTGTTAACTCTTACAATCCACATAGTTTCAACACACACAGTTGTCTGTTTTCAGATTCGAAACTGCAAATCAGAAGGAGGGAGGGGCTGCTTCAGGGGTGGTGATGGGCAGACATCCAACGGTGGCTTCCTTCTTCCTGGTCTCAGGTTTGCAGGCCATTTTGGTTCACGAGGCATCAGGAACCACAGCCATCACTGCCACTGCCACTGGCTACCAGGAGTCCCACCTCAGCTCTGCCAGAACAAAGCAGCCGGTATCTCCCAGGGCCCAGTGGTGGGTGGGCTATGGGTAGCGGGGCAAGCCTCCTACTTCTGCTTAAATTCCACCGGGTATCACAGTGTCCTGAGTCACTGTCTGCTTGACCACCACTCCCCCACCCCAGCCTCTTGGAGGCCCCAGGAGAGGCACTGCTATTAATAGTAGGGGACCAATAGGTACATTGGAGGTGGGAATGGGAAGGGCTTCTCAAGAATAGCCCTTCCTGGATGACAGCCACCTCATGGGGGGTACAGCCACAAGGAAACTTAGGTCTTGAATAAGGTGGAGGCAGCAGGTACAGGCTGGAAGGAGAAGGTGGGACTGTAACTGTATTCCCATGGTCCCTAAATGCCAGGATGAGGCACTTCTATTGTCCTCTTGGGAGCAAACTTTGAAAGAGGCTGGGGTCCCGTGGGGGCAGCACTGGGGAGGCTGGCCTGGAGGGAGGGGGTCACTGAAGGGGCACACCTGTGCCTATACCTGATGGCTCAGTCCTCACTGGCACCAGGATTCCCTTGATTGGGAGTGAGGGGGCGTCACGGCCTCCTGCCTGATGCCTGAGCACCCTGACATGTTATCCCCATGACTTTGCACTTCCTCCCTGCCCTGATGTCCCCCCACCCCCCATAGCTGAGTCACTCAGGCTTCCTCCCCTTGCAGTCTGTGTTCCCCTGAGAGCTGCTCTCCCTTGCAGACACCTTCCTTGTCCTTGTCACCCACAATGCACACCTTCCTGTCATTGACTCACTCTTGCTCTTCCATCCGTGCATTGGAGTCGCCTCTCCCTGCCGGCAGTTGCTGCACCCCGAGTGCCTGGCACACCTGTGGCCCTGAGGAGGTGCTCAAACACGTGATTCCTGGGGGCCTCAGATCTGGGTGGCTCCTTTGTGTGACACATGGTGGGAAGCAGAGCTCAGTGGGTCATGTGCCACCCTAGGGGATGAGGGCTGTCATTGTCCTCTCCTGAGCCAGCCTTGGCCACACTTCCAGGGGACCCTCCCCCGATGCCTGGCCTGGCCAGCGGCCACATGCTCTGAAGCTGACCCTTTGCTGTGAGGTCCTGCAAGGCAGGGCGTGTGTGTGAGTTGCCCACCACTGGGGCCTGGTGGGTTGGGGTGGCGTCTTCTAAGCTGGATTGCTCCCAACCCTCTCCTCAGTCTGGAGTGGAGGAGCCAGCAACTCATTCCACCTCAGGAGGCTGAAGGGAGACCTCAAAGGGTCTGTGGCCATTCTGCTGGGCTCAGGAGCACCAGGGGCTTGTGGCCAGGAGCAAGGCCAGGCCCTAGGGCTTTTGGGCCTGTTCTTCCCGAGGGGCAGCCTAATCATGTCCTCCTGGATCTAATGGCCTTGCCCTTGTCCTTCAGCATGACCCTCTGGTGCCTCTGTCGGCCTCCATAGAGCTCATCCTGGTGGAGGACGTGAGGGTGAGCCCAGAAGAGGTGACCATCTACAACCACCCTGGCATCCAGGTACAGTCCTTGCCCTGCCACCTTCCTGGGCAAGACCCACGGGGGGACTCCTCGCCCTCCCACATGCGGCCCAACCCTCCCTGCATCTGCCTCCTGCAGGCAGAGCTCCGCATCAGGGAAGGCTCAGGTTACTTCTTCCTCAACACCAGCACCGCAGATGTTGTCAAGGTGGCCTACCAGGAGGCCAGGGGTGTCGCCATGGTAAGCTTGGGCCATCGGTCCCCACTGTTGGTTTTCATTCCTTATCTGGGCTGTTGTGTGGTTAATTGATTGATCATTTTGAAAGCTAGCACTTGACTCACACTCGGAATCCCAGAACTTTGGGAGGTCAAGGCAGGAAGATCACTTGAGCCCAGGAGTTCAAGACCAGCCTGGACAATATAGTGAGACCCCCATCTCTACAAAAAAAAAAAGAAAAATCAAAAATTAGCTGGGCATGGTAGCACAGGCCTGTGGTCCCAGCTACACAGGAACCTGAGGCAGGAGGATTGCTTGAGCCCCGGAGGTTGAGGGGTGCATTGAGCAGTGGTCATGCTCCAGCCTGGGCAACAGACCTGGGTGAGAAACCCAGACCCTGTCTCCAAAAAAAAGCTGGCACTTAATCACATTAGCTATAATTAGCAAGGTCTTTAGATTCTCTGATTCATTCTACAACTTTAGTCATTCTCATGAAACCTTTGTGATTTGTATTCCCTGTCCACAAACTGTTAGTTACCTAATGGTTTCCTTTCAATCAATCCTTTAAGATTAAAATATTATTCCATAAGGAGCACTGTAACAGCCATAAAGAAAATTGCTTTTAAAAGATGTCTCACCTTTCTCTATTTTTCCTGTGTTTCTCTCTTGACCCTCTCCCTACTCTTGCAAGCATTGACTTTAGCTGTGCTCATGGCATGGAAGAATTTAATGTTCTGCTTTTATTATGTTATTTTAAGTTTTTATGTTTTTGCGTGTTGCTAATGTAAGCTGGCAGTCCATCTTCAAGTTTGCTAATGCTTTCTTTTGCCAGTTTAAATCTACTCTTGTGCGCTTCTAGTGAATTTTTCATTTCAGCTGTTATACTTTTCAATTTAAGAATTTCTGGCCGGGTGCGGTGGCTCATGCCTGTAATCCCAGCACTTTGGGAGGCCGAGGCAGGCTGATCACAAGGTCAGGAGATTGAGACCATCCTGGCTAACACGGTGAAACCCTGTCTCTACTAAATATACAAAAAAAAAAAATTAGCCAGGCGTAGTGGCGGGCGCCTGTATTCCCAGCTACTCGGGAGGCTGAGGCAGGAGATGGCGTGAACCCAGCGGGTGGAGCTTGCAGTGAGCCAAGATTGCGCCACTGCACTCCAGCCTGGGCGACGGGGCGAGACTCCATCTCAAAAAAAAAAAAAAAAAAAGAATTTCTATTTTTTTTCCTGTAACTTTTCCCCTTTATTGATATTCGCTGTTTGATATGAGATTGTTATCAAATCTTCCTTTACTCCCTTCATCGTTGTTTGGTTGGAAGGCTTTGCCTGGTGAATCTGATCTCTGGTGGCCCTCACAGACAGTTTCTGTCATCTGCCTTTTTTCTGGAGTACGGGTCATGTTTTCCTGTTTTGTTTTGTTTTTTGTTTTGTTTTGTTTTGTTTTGTTTTGTTTTGTTTTGTTTTTTCATGTCCTATAATTGTTGGAAACTGGACATTTTAGGTAATGTATTGTAGAAACTCTGGGTACTGATTCCCCATCCCCATGCTGGAGCTTGTTATTATTATTTGCTTGTTTACTTCTTTAGTGACTGGCCTTGTTATTTTGCTGAAGACACAAAAACACACGCGCACACACACACAAACACACAGGCTGTGTTATTTTGCTGAACACACACACACACAGGCTGTGTTATTTTGCTGAACACACACGCACCCACACACACACACTTTTCCCCAGTAAGAAGTCTCTGATACTGCTCTTAGGGGATAACACCTTGGTATGTCCTTTGTCACTCTGGGATGACTGTGGCCTTTGCAGGGCTTTTTTTGGCTGTCTTTCACTGACCACTCAACTGTTGAGCTGCACTAATTGAGGCTGATTGCTCCACTGTCTTCAGTAATTCCCTGGGGCACACATTCCTACACAACTCAGTCCAATCCTATTCAGGATCCTTTGAAGGGACCCTTTCCCTAGAAGATGTTTAAGGTTTGTTCTGACCCCAGGAGAGCTCTTCCTACCTCTCTCTTTTTCCGTTTGTCTCTGGCAAACTTGCCGGCCTCCAGTGTAGCCCACACCTCCCAGGCTCTCCGTCACCTCCCAGTTGCCTTTCAGCACAACTTGCAGTGTTTTGGAGAGTGTGCTTAGGCTTGGACTTCTCCGAGCTCTGTTGCGCATGAAGTCAGTTCCTTCAGGAGCAACTCACACCTGTTTTCTGGGTGCATTTAGTTGCTGTGCACCAGCTGCTTTCCCAGGCAAACTCTCTGAGCCAGAGCTATGGTGCTGGGCACAGTGGTGCATCTCTCTCTGGTGACACCTGCACGTTAGGAGCTGGGTCCTTGGTGAGTGGGGCAGCAGCTCCAGTGTTCCTTGGCTGGCCTCTCTTAGCAGGGAACCCCACCCCATGAGCCAGGGAAGGGCAGCCGGGCCCCAGTATTCTCACGGGTGCCGCACCCAAGGCAGAGCCTCCATCCCACGAATGGGTTCTGGGTGGAAGATGAGAGCCCCCACCTCTGAGCCCACTTTCCTGGGACTCAGTCTCAGCAAGCTGTAGCTGGGGGCATGGTAAGAAAAGAAAAGCTGACATCCTGCCCCTCCTAGGAAACGAATCACCTGACCGAGAGCTGGGGGTGAGGGAGTCCTGTGATCTTGGAGGAACCAGTATGGAGCGGAGCCCCGCTCACTGGGGTGGGAGGTCAGGGAGGATGGGCATCTTATTTCACGCACCACAGGCCCTTGTTCTTCCCAGATGTCAGCAGGCTTTCTCCAATAAATGCTTCTTCATTTGCTGTTGCCCTTGGAATCATCCCAGAGATTTTAAACGGCTGTGTGTATGTTTCATGGGGAAGTCTGTGGCCTCCTTACACTGTCCTGCAGAACTGGCACCTCCGGCTGTTTTTTGATGTGTGGGGGTGTGGGCCTGTGAGGCAAGAGCTTCTGATTTTCAAGAGAAAATAGAGATCTCTATTTTTGTGTGAAACACCCCCTGTTTAATAAGTTTTTTAATTCAGTTTTTTTGTTTGGTGTTTGGGGTGTTTTCGAAAACCTTCCTTCAGCGTTTGATGTTGGTCTCCAGCTGTCTTGCAAAGAGGATGTTTTCTCAGCGCCGTGCCTCAAGGAGGGGGAGGGAGTCCCACTGTTCCTGTTCTTCTCAGAGGCAGACCCTTGGATGGCAGGACGCCCTCAGCAGCTGGGGACATGCTTGTGGTTGGAGGACACTGGAGGAGGCGAGGAGCCTGAGACCACAAGCAGCGTCTCCTAAGCATTCTTATCCCCTCATAGAAGAAAGAACAATTCCCCAGCTCTTCCTCCAGCCATGCGAGTGAAGAGAATCTTACATCTTAATTCTGACTGCTTGACATATGCCTTGTTTTGTTTATTTTTGGAAATTAATAAAAACTTCCCCATTACCAAGAAGAGGGGAGTTCCAAGTTAGGGAAAAATGTGTACAGTGCCAGTGAAACCGAGGCACACTCTCATTCACATTTACCTTGCACCTGTCATTCTGTGCAAGCTCTGAGGGTGGACTTGTGACCAGAGGGAGACCTTTACTCCAAGAACAAGAGTTCCTAGAGGTCGGTGATGGACTAGGCTGCCGCTGTAGGTAGTGAGCTCCCTGTCTCTGGAGGCATTTGAGCAGAAGCTGGGACACTTGTCTGAAAGACTCAAGGTGGGATTCCAGCATGGGAGTCAAGTTTCCCCAGGAGACCTTTAAACCCCTCTTGAATCCTAAAATGCTGCAATTCTAGGAGTGCCTCTGCAGTTCTGTTTTACAGGTGGCCACAGGGGAGCTCTGGCACTCTCTTTCTGAATTGTGGAATGGCCGCTGGCCTGGTTGAGTGGCACAGAGTGCCCATTGCAGGCAGGACCCGGGACGAGTCTCCCCTATGGCAAGCAGCAGCCCGTGCCACAGGCCCTGCGAACTGCTCTGGTCCAGAAGTTTCCTTCCATGGAGGCGCCCTGCCCACTGGGGTCTTCACCTCCCTTCATTTCAGGCTTGTGCCAAAGACTCTCGCAACTCCAATCAGGCCCTGGTTCCTCTGGTCTCTTCTGAAGCCTGCAGGAGGAATTTTCCAGGGAGTATTGACGTCAGCAGCAAGTCCTGGTTGCTTCAGAAACAGTTGCAGGCGACTGTTTCCGAGGGATGTCTACTCGTGGCTGTGGCTTTTTCCAGCTGCAGAGCAGCAGCACAGAGATAGACAAGCCCCCAGCGCTCCCCAGTTAGCTCAGAGAAAGGGTTTCTTTCCTTCCTGTTGATACATATTCAGCACGGAAGGATGGCTTGCGGGAATGTGTGGCTTTGGAGTGTCTCTGGGGGGCTCTCTGGGGCTCACGCAGCAGGGGTCCTGTGGGGGTTTTTATCCCCACACAGTGGACATGGACTGTGCAGGGCCGTGATGAATTTTGCTCACACAGCCCCAGAACGCTCTGTAAGGGCCTTTATTTTGTTTTCGGCTGGTTTGCACATAGGAGTGTTTATCCGATTTAAGCCTAAGTTTTCCTTCTTTTCAACGATTCTTTACATTTCAATCAAGTCCTCTAGGCGGAACCCATGAGATGACCAGAGCAGGGGAAGGAGCCTGCTGGGCACTTTACATTTCCCATTAACTCGTGCACTCAGAGACGCTGGAGTGCTTATCGTGTGCCAGGTGCTGTGTTAAGCACTGCGGATTCAGGAGGGAATGAAGCCGGGGGGCCCAGCTCCTGTGAGCCGCAGCTGTGTCTCTCCATCTCCTGGGTCCTATGAGCTGCGGCTGCTTCTCTCCATCTCCTGGGTCCTGTGAGGCGCAGCCCGTCATGGGGCCATTGTTCAGGTGAGGACATGTGTCCAGGATGAGTGGGGAGTGGGTGGCAATTGCAGGGCCTGAAGTCAGGTGCATCCACCTTTTCCCTGAGACTGATCTGTGGACAGTGGTGCACGTCCCCAGTCCTCGCCCTTGGGAAGGTCACAGGGCTGGCCGGGTCCCTGTGTGAAGTTTCATCCAGCACCCAGGCCAGGGCCCCACTCAGTGCCTGTGATTTTCATGTGAGCTTAGGTCCTTCCCTGCTTGCCTTGAGGGCGGGTAATCAGGGGCACACTCGCTTGGCACTTCCTGGCCCATCACGTGACGTTGACAAGCAGCCTGCAGGAAATGGAAGCCGATGACTCCAGTGACATTCAAAAATAGCTGCAAGGTCCCTTATCCCCTGCAGTCGCCACCTGTCGGGACAAATCTGAAATGTGATCAGGGCTCCAGGAAGCGGGGACCGAGATGATGTGGGCAGAGCCTTGGGGCCTGGCAAGCTCCGAGGTATTTGACAGTTTCAGCCCCCACATGCACAGAGCTGCCTCTGGCTGCACTCAGCATCTTAATGAGCAATGACACATTTGTCATCTCTGACTTGACAGAACTTTCCTCTTGGCTCAGTGTTTCCCAATGTTCTCAGGTGGCACCTTCAACACTCAGAAATTAAAATTCATCCTGGGCATGGGTCACCACTACCTCTTTCCCCTCGCAAACATTCTCCCATGTGTCAATCAGGAAGCAGGTGTGTCCAGAATGCATGGAGAAGCTGTGTGGTGTGAGCTGCATGCACAGTGTAGTTAGGAGTGGGTGCAGGGTCTCACTCTGCCACCAGCTAGCGGCCAAGTGCCCTCCATTACCCAAGCCTCCAGAGTGGCCTGGTGGGCACGCCCTTACAGCATCGCTGTGGGGTGCATTTAGCTGCTGTGCACCAGCCTGAGGGGCAGGCCACGCTTCGAGGGCTCCAGAGATGGTAGCTGGATGCCCATCCCCTGGGAAATCGAGTGGAAGAGCAATTGATTTCCCCACTGCCATTTTATGTCTCTGTTTAAAATGTGCAAGATGGTTCTTTTAAAGGAGGAAAAAAGAGAAAAAGCCCTTCCCTGCATTGCCCTGTGTTGCCCTGCGTGGGGCTCCGCAGTCGGTGCACTATGGAATTTCTTCACATTGTGAAGGACCTGCCCACTCCTGACAGCAGTAACTACAGTAGGAGTTTCAGGTTGGAGCCTTAAATTGGGTTCTCAAAGAAAGCTGTCATTACTCTCTGTAATTTTTCAATGAGTTTTCTTTGAGAGAAATGTAATAACCTGGGGTCAATCAGCCCCAGCAAAACCAGAAACCTGGTGGCTCCTGGACCCTGCTCCTCAGCCCATACTTGACACCAGGCTCATGTGGCAATGGCTCCAGTCACAAAGCTATTGTTTTGTAGTGTAAGTGTGATGTCCACTCCGGGATCTTTATTCATCTACTGTAAGTCATTGTGTGGAATAACCCAGGCATGCTTTGTCTGTATTGATGTACCCATCATTACACGGGTGGTGTGTGCAGCTCGGGCCAGCTCGTTGATCCTCCGTGCCCCCAGCCAGCTGTGGGCTTGGGCTCTTCTCAGCTAGGCCTTTGCTTTTGTCCACTCTCCCTCCTCCCCAGCCCCGCAGTTCCGTTCTGGCTGCAGGAGGCCTCCAGCCCCATTCTCCTGGGAAGTGGAGAGTCGGAGGAGGAGCCTAAACTGGGAGTTAGGGTATTTGGTTCTATCCCCAGCTCTGCCTTTTCAAAGCCATATCCCTGTCCCATCATCTGGGCCTCAGTTAACTCATTTGCACATTGAAGTGGTTGGACCAGAATCAGCACTTTCCAAATAAGTGAAGGTCCATGAGGGTTGCAGGTGATTTTCAGAATTTCCAAGTCTTAACAAAGCTGGTTTTACTCTGTAAAGCTGAGCAGGCTGGAGCACCAGGTTCCATGACCTTATCCAGAATTACTCAGAGCAGCGGCCCTGGATCTTCATCCAATCAAGATGTGCTCGTAGGAGGCTAGGCTGTACCAGATGCTGGGCTGAGTCCCGAGGGCATGTGAGTGCTAGGGACAGCCTGGAGGGGAAGGCCAAGTGCACTGTGGGTCCCATCAACACTGATGGCACCCGGCAGGACCAGCCCCCAGAAGAGGGGAGAAGAGGTGCTGGAGGAGCTGACGTGGATGCAGGAAGACTGTTCTGAGGAAGGACGCTGGACCTGGGCCTGGAGGATGACTTGGAGCCAGCAGGTGGAGGCTGGGGAAAGAGTCCAGGTCTTTAAGGTGGGCTGCGAGGCCCGGAGGCAGGCAGCAGCAAGCTGTCTGTATGAGTGGGAGAGAAGGCCTGCGTGGCTGGAGCGTAAGTGTAGTGGGGGAGGGTGATGTGCATGGAATCTGGAGTGGAGGCAGGAGCCAGGCCATACCAGGCTTTACAGGGCGTGGTAAGGCTTTGAGCTCATTCTCAGAGCACTGGGCAGCTGTTGAGGGGTTGATGTTGGGAGTGATGTGATCCTATTTGGTTGTCACCTTTGGGTCAGAAACTTTATTTTTATTTTATTTATTTTTATTTTTTATTTTTTTGTAGCTTCTTGATATTGAAACTCTAGCTTTGCAAACCCTGAAGTGCTTACTTTAAAACCTCTTGCTCCCCACCCCATGAATATGAGACCACAAAGAGCAAGCAACAAAGCCAGGCCCAGATAGAGGAGTGGGGCAGCCTGCTGGACTCGCCTCATGGCCTGTCCCTACTTGCCCAGCTCCAGGACCACCTGACTGAAATATGCGCCTAAGTAGTAAGACAAGCTGTATGAATTCCATCATAAACAGACATGTTACTTGTGTGAATGCCCATCTTCTGCAGCATGAAAGGGTGATTGTGATGCACTTTCTTAGGGGAGAGTCTTAAAGGTAGAATCCCTAAAAGTGGGTAGAGAGAAAAGGATTAAAAGGTGGGCTCTTGCCTTGAGCCCAGGAGTTTGAGGTTGTAGTGAGCTGTGATCCCGTCACTGCACTCCAGCCTTGGGGACAGAGTGAGACCCTGTCTCTAAAAATAATAAATAAAATAAACAAATGTTAAAAGGGTCTCTGGCAGTGAAAAGGCTGGAAAAAACTAGCTCTGATTTGTTCATTCACTCACAACACCTTGGCAGTCACTGCTTCACACAGAGCTAGGGATGTGATGAGACACAAAGATGAGCGAGATGCACATAGCTCACACTGGGGTGGCCTTGCGGGTCACTCCCAGGCTCTGTGGTTCCATCAGTCTGATTGGGACTTCCTGTGCAAGCTGCCGTGGGAAAGCATCTGCCTCGTTTTCTGCCAGCCCCTGACTTGCGGTTTCACAGAAGACCCCATGGGGTGCTTCTCTAGCACCAGGGCTGCAGCAGCAGGTGGCCAGCTCAGGATGTGGCATCCTGGGACTGCATCCTCACTCTGCCCTCAAGTTGGTGCACGTCCCAAGGCTGCTGACTGGCCCCCTTGGAGCAGCTTCCATTTTCTTCTCTTTGTAAAATGTGCAAGTGGAGATCAATGCTCTGTGAGATCCAGCCTGGCACTAATGTGTTATATCCCAAGCCCATCTCCTGGCCAGCAGTGGGGCTCATGACGAGAGGTGGGCAGGGCACTACTTGGGGTGATTTCCCTTGTCCACTGCTTCCCAGTGCTGGCCTGGCGGGCTCTGCCACTGGCATCCCATGAGGTGATAGGCTGGTGCTGAGGGCGAGGCACTGCTCACAAACCTGAGCAGAGGGGGGCCCTGCAGCTGCGTAACCCACCACCCACCCCTCCACCTCCGCCCCAACCTTGCAGGTGCACCCTTTGCTCCCGGGCTCATCCACCATCATGATCCATGACTTGTGCCTCGTCTTCCCGGCCCCAGCCAAGGCTGTCGTTTACGTGTCGGACATTCAGGAGCTGTACATCCGTGTGGTTGACAAGGTCAGTGGAAGCTTCATGACGGGGCACCCTCGGCTGACCTGCAGGAACTGGGAGGGAGGGGACTGTGGGAGGAATGTTCCGCATGGCCTTTGCTTTTGCTCCTGTGGTCTGCATCCCTTCCCCTGTGAGCTTGCGGAGCTGTCTCCCATCTCCTTCGCTCCATGTGGAGGATCCAGAGTCCCTTCAGTAAGGGACTTCTTCATCCCAGATGACATACCCATGAGGCTTGGCAGTAAATCCTGCTGTCTCTAAATTAGCCATGACCTGGGAATTCATGTCTTCTGGCTGGTGTAGGTTATTAACCAACGAGGCACATGCCCTGCTGAGCATGTATTTTCTTCCCAGAATATAGGTTTTGGGTTCACTGGGGTGTCAGTGGCAAATGAGTACAACTCACCCATGCCAAGCGCCATTGCAAAAAGAGACAAGGGATAGATCTCGGTTTATCTTTCACACTGATACAGAATTTTTATTACTCCAGATATCTGAGGTGACTGAAGCTGGGCTTCCAGAGGGTTGCGGTCAGGTTCCTCAGTGGATAGAAGGGCTGGTAATTAAAAGGGGAGTGTTCATGTGGCTTAGGCTCCTTAAGAAGCTAATATGCTGTACCCAGCCTCACATACTCCTTGTATAATCTCATTTCCACTGCTGTTTGCTAATCATCTGTTTCTTCGCTGTGTATTTCTGATTCTTATTTCCTAAAGTTCTTACTGTATTATACACTGCCAGGTGTGAGCTGTTCAGTCAGTGAGCATTTATTGAGCTCCTACTGGATGCTGCTGTTCTAAGTGGTGTCTCATCTCCCTAATTAGTGTATTAGTTACTTAAGAGTAGAATGTGGAATTTATGCCTCTAAGTATCCCCAAGCTCCCCCTCATCGATTTTCATTTGCTGACTGGCTGATAGTCCAGAAGTCAACCTGGGTGACTCTCCTGATTCCCAGGTCTGTGGGTTGAGGTTAGTGATGCTATCTCAGAAAGTCACGGAGCACCATAGATGGTAGGATTGGTCTTTTGGAGGCTGCCCCTGAACCTCTGTCCCCATGATGCAGGTGGAGATTGGGAAGACAGTGAAGGCATACGTCCGCGTGCTGGACTTGCACAAGAAGCCCTTCCTTGCCAAATACTTCCCCTTTATGGACCTGAAGCTCCGAGCAGCCTCCCCGATCATTACATTGGTGTGAGTTCTCCTAGGGGTCAGAGGAGGGCACCTCAGAGACAGTGCTGACCCCAGCTGCAGCCTTTCCCACGGGGTGGTCTTGGAGAAGTCCCAGCCCTTCCCTCTGTTTCAGGGCCCTTGATGAAGCCCTTGACAACTACACCATCACATTCCTCATCCGCGGTGTGGCCATCGGCCAGACCAGTCTAACTGCAAGTGTGACCAATAAAGCTGGACAGAGAATCAACTCAGCCCCACAACAGATTGAAGTAAGACGAGTTCTTCCCACACCATGTGGGATCAGCCCAGTGCTGGGGGTTGGGAGTGTCTTTATAGTACAGTCCAGGAAGCTACTGTAGAGAAGCCATATAAAAATCTGTGTCCCACAATGTCCTCTCATCAAAAGGCAGCTGTTACGAGCTCTAGGGATCTGGGAGGCAGCAAAGTTAGACTGGCAGAACCAGAGGGAGGGGGCCAAGTGACTTGACCTTTCCTCTGTGACTTGGGGGATTGTGTGGCTCAGAGAAGGGGTGTGCCTGGTCACATGGCAAGGGGACACACCAGGACTATTCCCAGAAAGCACTGACTGGGTGGAAGCTTAGACAGATGCTGACTCATGTGTAGAAGAACTCCTTAACCATTGGTCCTGAGCCTTAGAACAGGCACTTCGAGGGCAGTGGGCACCTGTCACAGGGGCTGCGTGAGCAGAGGTATCATAAAGGGAACTCCTGAAGTAGGTGATTCCTGGATGAAGGGAGCTTTGAGGTCCCCACACCAGCTCAGTGTGTGGTATGGGGCTGTCTCGGGGCATTAGGTTATGACAGGAGCCCCACTGCAGCCACAGGCCATGGCAGTTGTGGCCCAGGCATTGTTTTAAGTCTATTCACAGCAGCGGCATTAAACCAGCCCTGCCAGCATCCACCCTGCATCCGGGCCACTCGGGGGCTGGTGAGCGTCATTAATCTGTGATCCGAAGCAGGTGGGTGCCATCTGTGTCTCTAGATGGAGGTGCACCTTTCTTCTGGTGATGAGAAATTTGTTTCTGCCCATCAATAGCACAGCTACAGAGACCGATACTCCCACACAAGTAGCACCCTGGCCACCTCCTGCGTCCACTCACCTACTCTTGCCAGGCAGGCTCTTGTAGGGGTTTCAGGAGGAGCAGGTGGGGGCTTCACCTGCTGCAAAGAGTGGCACCAACGTCCCTGGTCTCCTCCCAGGCTAATCCGGAGGGTGTGCTAGAAGAGCAACCTCTGGGGGTCTGGGTGCTCCCATATCGGCAGGGCTGTCCTGTGGGGCCACCCCTGGCTCCACAGGCCAGGTGGCTGGGGCTGTACATTGCTAATGTGTCCCCAGGCGCTGCTGACATTGCTGCTTAGTGACCACACACTGAGAACCGCTGCTCTAAGGGGATGGCTCAACTGCATAAAAGCCATCCCTCCAAGGGGACGGCCCAGCTTTTGGGTTTTAACATCTAGGGAAAGTGAAACACAGTCACAAACAGAAGAACACACCCCAGAGAACCAGGGAGCCTCGGCCAGTGGCTGGGAGACAGCCCCCAGCATTGGCCCAGGACCCTGGGCCCTCTGGTCACTGCTCAGAGAGAAGTGATGTCCATGTCCCAGGTTTTCCTCTCATGAAACATGTAGTGTGTGAGTTATGCTTGGCGCCATGGGCTTGGGGCACAGTAGTCCTTTCTCTCCTGTGTCTCTCAACAGGTCTTTCCCCCGTTCAGGCTGATGCCCAGGAAGGTGACACTGCTTATCGGGGCCACGATGCAGGTGAGAGCCAAGAGGCCACGTCCTGCTCCAGCCCCAGTGCAGGCCACCACCTGGTTCCAGGCACGCCGCCTCTGGCCCTGCGTGCAGTGACTGGGAGAAGAAGGCAGAAGCTGCCTGCACTGGGGCCCTGGCTCTCTGAGTGGGAGGTGCGGGCTGCCTGGCATGACGGGCACTGACACGCCGCTGTTTCCTCCCCGCTCAGGTCACCTCCGAGGGCGGCCCCCAGCCTCAGTCCAACATCCTTTTCTCCATCAGCAATGAGAGCGTTGCGCTGGTGAGCGCTGCTGGGCTGGTACAGGGCCTCGCCATCGGGAACGGCACTGTGTCTGGGCTCGTGCAGGCAGTGGATGCAGAGACCGGCAAGGTGGTCATCATCTCTCAGGTAACAGGCGTGCTATTGGAGACTGGGCAGCTGTGCCTGGGACAGAAGCCTCTTTACTGTGTTTGAGTTCTACCTCTGAGGACCACCCCTCTCCAAGGGTGCTGCTTCTGCCCCCTGGGTCTGCAGTCACTGCAGGGGCCCTGGTGCAGGACAGCCCTGCCAATATGGGAGCACCCAGACCCCCATTGGTTGTTCTTCTCCAAGCTGAGTCTCCCAGTCCTTCCAGCTGCTCCTTATGGGACAGGGTGTTCAGCAACTCCCGGCCCCAAAGGGCCCTTCCAGTGGAGGATGATGGCAATCATGGTGAAGGCAGATGCTGCTCTGAGCACTTTGCCTTCATCTCCTTGAATCCTCTCAAGGCTCAGGGCTAAAATCAGGGCCTTTGCATTCTCCCTGACCTCCTTCGCCAGCAGTGACTTGCAGAAGCATCTCGGAAGGCTGCTTTGGGGTTCCACTCACAGCTGCGCCAGAAACCTGGTCTGTAAGAAGAGCCTTCTGTGATGTGTAATGCAACTGTGGACAGAAACCTGTTTCAGAGTCAGTCATACCATTCCTCATGAGAACTAGGTCCCCTGGAAGCAGTCCGTGCAGTCCTGAGTTCAGAACCTGTAAACACAGCACCCCAGAAGCTGGCAAGTGCACCGCCCTAGAGGGGGTGCAGGGAAATGCTTGTTCTCAGAGGCTGACTGTGATCCGTCATTGAGTTCATTGATTTACTCCTTTTCCCAGTGTGTGTCAATTATGAAGACAAAGAGAAAGACTTGGGGATGTAAAAACCTGTCCTGGGGATGGGGTAGGGTTCAGATGGGCTTCCTGGAGCGTGACATTCCAGACCACAGGAGACTCTGTGGTTTTTTTTCTCTAAAAAGGAGTGCAGCCTCAGGAGCTGGCTGATTTTTCTCCTGAGGGCGTAGGTAAAGGGCAGCTGGCTAGAAATTCAGCAAGAGGGGCACAGGGCCCTGCGTATTCCTTGTCTTTGTGGTCTAACCTTGCTGGGCACCCTCCCTTCTAGGTCCCCCATCTGGCAGGTTGGGGAGGTGCTGGGGAAAGGCCCTGGTGGTCCTTGGCAGGTGGAGGGGCTGCACCACGAGCCCTATCTGAAAGGCATGTTCTGAGCCCAGGCAGGCAGAGGTTTCACCTGCGGCGCCTTGTCCATGCCTGGAATGTGATTCTGGTCAGATGCTTCCAGTTCCATCTGTCCAATCCAGAGCACACAACCAGCACCCCAAGGCCGTGGGGTGGGCCAGGACTAGCAGGAAGAGACTGAGCAGAAAGATGAGTGAAAGGAGGGGAATGGGTGCTTTTCAAGCACTTACTGTGTGCCAGGCATTAGCCCAAGTCATGAGCCTCAAGATGGGCTCAGCCTGAGCACGTCAGAGAGTCTAAGGGTTTTAATAGCCTCAGTTCAGCATGACTCAGCAGCACTAGGAAGAAGCCAGGAGAGTTAGTCTTTGGCCAGATTAATAGGAGTGTGGAGTTCAGAATGAAGGAGGTTATAAGTTCTGATCAGACTCTACAGGGCTCCTGCATTCGTCCCTGTACCCTGCTCAGTCAGAGACAGGCAGGCTGGATTTGGGGTTGGGAGGGCCTGGAGACCTTTTGCTTGAGGGCAGCCAGGCCTAAGGAAGAGCAGGCACCAGTCCCCGGCCCCAAGTCTGCAGTGCTGACCTGGAACAGCTGGATCAGACAGGGCAGCAGCCTCAGGGGACTGGGTTGGGACCTGCGGGGCCTTGGGAGAGGCAGTGGCTGGCCCATGAGGGGAGAGCCACTCACAAAGCCAGGCCTCCCTCGGCAGAGGAGCATGGTGCTGGTCATCCTGAGGGGCCTTCTCGCCACAGACTCTGAGCCGCAGCCTGCTTCCCTTGAGGGGTCCCTTCCTGAAACATCCCTGGCCAGCACTGCATCCCCACACCTAAGTGCCACCCTGTTTCCCCAGGACCTCGTGCAGGTGGAGGTGCTGCTGCTAAGGGCCGTGAGGATCCGCGCCCCCATCATGCGGATGAGGACGGGCACCCAGGTGAGGGGACCTCCTGGGCTCTGAATCCTGGTTCCCGAAGAGCCACTGCTGGGACCCTGTCCTCAAGTTAGAGTGCTTCTCCACCTCCTCCATCTGCCTGGCCCGGGTATCTAGGGCCTGCTTCCCACCTGTCCCCACCCAGGGAGACACCCTCCATTGCTCTCTGGTAGCCACTGATGAAGGCCTGCTTCCTGCTGGCCTGTCACCTTCCCACATCTGGAATAGTACCAGGTGCCTAACAGGAGCACAGTGACTGTGGCACTTAACTCAACTCCGTGCTGTCTTGGACATTAATCCATTTGGTGTTCATAGCAGCCCTGGGAGGCTGGTGTCAGAACCATCTTCGTGTCGCAGATGAGCAAATGAACACACAGAAAGCTTAAGACCCGTGCCCAGGGCCACACAGCTAGGAAGTGGCAGCAGTGGGAGTGGACTGGGCAGCCTGGCACAACACCTGCTGTGGCCTTTTGCCGTCTTGCCTCCGCCTGTGCCCTCAAGCCGACACAGCAAATAGAGACTAAAGGAGCCAGGGACCCCACCCACACGTGCCCTGTGAGCAGGGACCCCAGCTAGATTAGGAGAGAGGGGCCCGGAGGAACCAGCACTGTGGGGCAGCACGAGCTGTGCTGCTGGGGGACCCATGGCCTCCTAGAGCTCCAGGGACTCCTTCCGGAAATGAGTATCTTGGCCATGGAGAGGTGCAGCCCGCTGCAGGGGAGGGACAGTATGGGGAAAACAGTCCCACCTCTGGTTTGCTCGTTTGATATTTCATCAAAATTCCCAAACCTGTGCCATGCTCTTCTCTAGTTGGGGAGGAATTGGGTTCATCTCCCACTGCTTGAAGGAGGCAGCAAAGCTTCTGGGGGCATTCCCAGTGCTGGGAGCTACTGCTCACTGGGCCTGACTTCTCCCCTGCAGATGCCCATCTATGTCACCGGCATCACCAACCACCAGAACCCTTTCTCCTTTGGCAATGCCGTGCCAGGCCTGACCTTCCACTGGTCTGTCACCAAGCGGGACGTCCTGGACCTCCGAGGGCGGCACCACGAGGTAGGTAACCACCCCCTCCAGAGCTCACCTCCCACCCCTGTCCCAGGCCAGCACCCCGAGTGGCAGGGAGGGTTCCTGCCACATTGTCCCACAGGAAGTCCCCACCCTCACACCTAGAGAGGCCCGCCCACTTTCTTCCCTCTCCCGAGGCTCATCGGGACTCCCTTCTCCCAAATGCTAAACACATAGACGGGGTGAGTAGGTGCCTCTCCCAACAGAAGCAGCCGTGTGAGGAAGTCACAAAAGTCCTGGGAGGTCAGAGTCTGCAGCTTCTGACCATTTTCTGAGATGATGCCTGGCAGCCCTCGGTTTCTCCTGGTTCATCCCAGAGGCCAAATTCCCCTTCCCTTAGCCCAGCGAGGGGCCCTGGCTTCTCCTAAGATGTCAGAGCTGGAAGGTGCCAGGGAGACTACTAAGTCTGTCTGTGTTAACTGAGGCCAGAAACGGGAAGGGACTTGCCCAGGGTTGCCCAGCAAGCCAGTGGGGAAATGGTACTGGGCACCAGCCCCTGTGACTCTAGGCCCAAGCCCAGGTGGGCCTTGGACACACAGGACCCAAGTGGAGGGTGGCTTGAAAGGTCGCTCCCTGCCTGATTCAGGGACAGTGGGGATGGAGGCCTGGAAAGAGACCAAAGCCCAGGGATAGGATTTCCTAAAGGCTGCCTGAAGCTTGTCTAGTGTGGGACGAATGCCCCCCGACCCCACCCAGTGGGAACAGAGTCCTGTCCCTGGTGCCCGGGGGCTCCCCCAGATTGCTCCCATGGAACACAAACAGTGAGACTTATTAGCAGATATCCCCAAACAGAATAGTCTGCAGGGACACACTGCAAAACCCAGCATCGCTCTGGGTGACCTAGAAGCACTGAAGTCTGAGGGACATCCTGTCATGAAGGCCCCTGGCTTACGTGGGTGGGCCCAGTGTTTTCCAAATGCATCTGTGCATGTTGTGCGATGCAGGCAGGGCAGGACCCGGGCACCCATGCTGGGGAAGCCGGGTCTGCACAGCTCTGGGGTTAGCAGACCCAACCCAGGCAGGAAGGCAGAGCCCTTGAGAACAGGCCAGCAGCTACCAGGACTGGGGGGCTGGGGGGTCTGGGGCTACTGTCCGGCTCTGCCTTTTTGAGGACACAGGGGCCTGGGCCTTACCCCTGAAAACGTGTTTGATGTCTTCCCAGGCGTCGATCCGACTCCCGTCACAGTACAACTTTGCCATGAACGTGCTCGGCCGGGTAAAAGGCCGGACCGGGCTGAGGGTGGTGGTCAAGGCTGTGGACCCCACATCGGGGCAGCTGTATGGCCTGGCCAGAGAACTCTCGGATGAGATCCAAGTCCAGGTAGGAGGCAGGTGGAAAGGCCACAGGGAAGGGGGAGAGGAAGTGCCAGCTGCCCAATCTTCCTTCGGGGCCACATGTTGCATGGGCAGGGGCTGAGAGACCTGAGAAGCTCTCAGTCCGTGGGGATGACAGTGGTCCATCGCAGTGGGGTAAACATCCGGGTGTGATTGGTGCTATGGGAGCCCAGAGGTGGGGCCAAGCAAAGGCTTCACAGAGGAGTAATGTTTCAGGATGGGAGGGGCTGGCAAAGGCCTGGAGGTGGGAACTCACTTGATGTGTGGCCAAAAGAGCAAAGAATTCTGAGCTTGGGGCTCACTGTGTCTGAGTGGCTGATAATTTAATCGTTTGTGTTTATTTAACACACATAGAGCACCCAACAGAGGCTGGGGCGCCCTTGCACGTTTTTCAGTATTGCTGCCTCCAGTCCTCAGGTGAAGCCTGCGGGGCAGGGGCTGCAGGGGCTGCCACCTGCTGATGCCCCTGAGGCGGGGAGGGTCAAGGTCACAGGGTAAGTTGGGGGTGGCCTCAAGAGGCCTGGGGACTGTGCCCTGTCTGCATTTGGAAAACAGCCTCAGAGAGGGAGGCGCCTTGTTCAGAGCCAGGGGTCAGGACTGCGTCTAGTGGTTCTCCTGCCTGGGGTGCAGCCCTGTGTCTGTATCCAGCCTGTCCCTGCTACTTATAGGATGGGCTGTGGGCGAGTTCCTGCCCCTCTGGGCCCCTCTGCAAGGTGGAGAGTTGGCAAGTTGGCTCTGAAGAGCATTTTTGTCTTCAAGGGCCTCGTTCTGCTCCTCTGGGCCTCAGTAACCCCTGGGTGCTCCTAAGCTGTAAAGAAAAACAAAAAGTGTTCCTTATATGTCCCAAGAAAAGAAACAGTTTCTAGTCCCCGCCTCAAGAAGAAATAAACTATGTCTAACCCAAGCACCTCCCTGATCAGGGGCAAAGAAGCAAACTTTTCAAGAAAGAAACACCCACAAAAAAACCCCCACCGATCTGCCAACCCCTCACCCCTGCCTGCACATGCACACACACACGACACACATGCACACACAGACACACATACATAGAGACACATACATACAACACAGAGGTACACATGCACATCCCCACACTCACCAAATGCATGTTCTTTGTTAAAAGGAAGTAAGTCCTGGAGCCTATCATGGAATTAAAGGCAGGGTTTTGCAGCTTCCAAATTCTGTAACCTCAGTTGGGTCACTTGGCAGCTCTGTGCCTCTGTTTCCCTATCTGACAGCAGGTAGAGTTTGAGTAAATCAGAAACTAGAGAATCTGGATCCAGCCTACAAACGTGTTTTATTTGGCTCACTCAGGCCTTTGAGACAGCTTGTTGTCATGTAAAGATAGGAAGATTCCAGGTAAAAATCTAAGATGCAGCATGTCCTAAAGATATGGTGTCTGCCACAGCAAAATCAGCAGGCAATGAGAAGCAACCTTGACTCCATTAGAGCTGCACTCTCCAGTTTGCCACAGGCCCCGCCACTCCCTGTTTTCTCCCTGACAGTGATATCAAGTATCAGTTGCCATTTACCATGGTGCTCATGCTGTTGCTTTTCTTATAGTTAACAGGAAAGTGGGAAATATCTTACAACTCCCCCTCCATCTAAAGAGAGAAAATAGGAATGCATGGTTTAAAAAAAAATAGAAGGAATCCTATTTATGAATGTATTTACCAGGCAGTAAGTGTGTCCGAGTCAGACTCAGTGAGGTGGCTTCCGTGTGGATGCCGGAAGGGGGCATCCGAGTCAGCCTCGTCTCACCTGACGCCAAAACCCCACCCAGCTCCCAAAGGCTGTTTCTCACCGTTTGGGAAGTGTTGTTCCTCCTGTCACCTCATATGGAGCCCACAACTCTCAAGACAGGCATGGAGAGGACGTTAGTTGTGGACCATGTTACACACAAGGAAATCTAGGCTTACGTGGACAGAGCACAGAGGAGCTGGGAGGGGTGGAATCAGGCCATCTTCCTCTCAGAGAATCACTCGTCAGATCCGATGATATTGGCCATGGCCCAGGGCTCAGGCCCGAGGGGTGTCCACCTGGTCTGATCAGAGGCCAGTGGAGAGCTCAGGGCACAGCTTTACCTGCCAGCGAGTGGTTGCCCCTGAGCCAGGCTGGGAGGCCGAGGAGGCAGCAGCCCTGAGGGGCCTGAGAGAGGGGACTTACACAGGTGGTGGACACATCTGAAGTCTTGCAGAGAAGGGGCCTGGAGTTCCCAGGTAAGTGCTGTTGCCATGGGCTCGGGGAGCCACCAGGGCCTTGGAGCACTTGGGCGTCCCAGGATCAGATCTGAGCCGACCTCATGAGGCTGATCATTTGCCGGACTGAGCTCCTCACCAGGCCCCTGTGTGTGTCTATGTGGATCCTGCAAGAACATGGCCAGAGCCAGCCAGAGGAGCCTGGGAGGTGGAACGGGGGTTGTTCTGAGATGGTGGCAGTGAGGAGCAGGATGTCTCTGTGAGAGAAGGGAGCAGTTCGGTGGCACCTTGCCCAGGCTCAGTCCTGGCACAGTTATCCTGAGCAAACCCTGGTGCTGGAGTTGTGTGTGCTGCCCTCCGCGCTCACATCCTGGCAGGTAAAGTTCTTCCTCACTGGGCACGGAGGGAGAGGCCTGTGTTTCCAGGCTCCTTGAAGGAGCTCCCATTAGACTACACAAACATGAGCCTGCCTGTCTTTTCTCATCATATCTTTGGCCATGTGTGTGTGTGTGTGTGAGATAGGGTCTTGCTCTGTTGCTCAGACTGGAGTGCAAGCCTCAGCCTCCCAAGTAGCTGGGACTACAGTTGCACACTCCATGCCTGGCTAATTTTTAAAATTATTTTGTAGAGACTGAGGGTTTGCTGTGTTGCCTTGGCTGAGCTACTCTACCCGGCCACACCTTTGGCCTCTTAAAGGTCAGCCCTTCACATCATGTCATCAGTGACCTGACAGACGAGAAAGCCGCTTTTCTCCTCTCTGGCCCCTCCTCGGCTCTTGCTGCTAGGAGAGAAGCAGACATCTGGCCTGAATGTGACTCCAGTGCCCCATCGGAAGTGAAACTTGCCCTCTCTTGCAGGTGTTTGAGAAGCTGCAGCTGCTCAACCCTGAAATAGAAGCAGAACAAATATTAATGTCGCCCAACTCATATATAAAGCTGCAGACAAACAGGTACGTGACTCAGCTCTTGTTTCCAGCAAAGTTGTGCGGCTGTGCTTGCATCCGACACCTCATGTGTCAACACTGTCAGGAGCCATGGGTACTTTCAGGGAGGTTTTCTCCTGCTGTGCTTGGAATGGGTGAGGCCTCTGCCTGCTCCTTCTCTTCTCTGTGGTGCTCCTCTGCTTCTTGAAATCACTTCTCACTGTGGGTCTCTTTTTCCTCCTTGTAGCCTAGAAACATTTTTATGCGAGGTACTAAAATTCAGTCTTTAAAAGGGAAAAAAACACCAGCTTAGAAATGTTGTGTTTCAAGACTTGCCACTCAGAGTGTAGCCCATGAGCCAGAAGCATCAGCATCACCGGGAAGAGAAGATGCAGCTCTCAAGCCCCACCCCAGACCTGCCCAGGGAGAAGCTGCACCCTAGGGAGATCCCCAGGCGAGGGGGCCGCACAGTAACGCTTGGGAAAAGCTGTTTAAAGCTCTTCTGCAAACCTAATTCCTACCTTTGATTCCAAGGGGATGCCTTTCGTAACAGTGGCTTGCATTTGAATGGCAGTTGCCAAGCGGGAGACTCCACGGGCCACAGGACACTTACATGTTGCATGAAACACATACATGTTTTCATTCAGCCAAAAGTAACAAAGTGCCAGGCTCCATGCTGGGCTCCAGGAACACAGATATGGGTGACATAGGGTGCCCCGGAGGAGGGTAGCAGGAGAAGGCTATTAAAAAGCAAGGTGTAGTATTCAAACCAGAGCCCAAAGAAGGGTGCTGTCCATGGGGATTTAGGGGAGGCATGTCCCAGATGGAGATGCTCGGGCTGCAGTTCTTGAAGGATGAATAAGAGTTCCCCAGGTTAAGAGGAAGGGGTTGGTGGGGGAAGAATGTTTAGGCAGAGGCAATAACATTTGCTCCTAGTCATCTATAGGGCTGTGGAAGAGACAGAGATGATGGAAACTAGCCGTGGGAGCTGGAGGCCTTTGCTTCCTGGGTTTCTTTATTATATTAATAAATATGTAAAAGGGTAACAGATACGGCATAATTTGCTTCCTACCCAGTACATAGTATCAGTAGTTTGCTAACAGTTTTCTTAGCGGGTAGTCTGTTTTTATCCTGTTGACAGTCCTTAGAAATAGGACAAGACAGGATCATTACACACCTTTTACCAAGTAAGAAGTCAACGCCGAGAGAAGAGGGGACATAATGTGCACACAGCTGGTGGCAGGACATGTTGGGACCGGCTTTGGATTCTGTCGGACTCAAAGCCCCATCCTCCACTATGCCAGGATGCCTTGCTTCAGTAAATTGAGAACAATTTGCTGCAGAAATGATATTTTACAGTAGATGTCCCATGGAGCTGATGAAAGAAACTGCCCTCATAGTCTCTCCCTCCCTGCTGGCTGACCCACGGCAGGCACTGCTCTGGGAAGAGTGAGACGCCACACTTTGCTCGGAACCATTGGATTTCTGAATTACTTTTCCGTGGGTGACTGATGAAGCCTCAGACAACTGACGGCACGTGGTCCTGAGGTCCGTGGGGCCAAGATTGGGCCTTTTTTCCTCCCAGGAGCATGAGGAGCCACAGACTCTTAGATCTCCTGGCATTGTATCCAGGCCCACTCCCACTGCTGCCATCTACAAAAACAGCTCTGTTTTGTTTTCCAAAGGGATGGTGCAGCCTCTCTGAGCTACCGCGTCCTGGATGGACCCGAAAAGGTTCCAGTTGTGCATGTTGATGAGAAAGGCTTTCTAGCATCAGGGTCTATGATCGGGACATCCACCATCGAAGTGATTGCACAAGAGCCCTTTGGGGCCAACCAAACCATCATTGTTGCTGTAAAGGTAGGGTTGCATTCTCCTCCTTTTTGGAGTAATGAAAGCAATAGCACTGAGGTAATATGCCTCTCAGGTGTAAAAGTGAATACGTTCACCTTCCAGCTAAGAAACTGTAGACAGGCATTTAGAGTAACTCAGGGGCAAAGGTCCTAGGTAGATAAAAAGCTACAGCATCTTCTGGTCATCAGAGCCGAAGATCCTTGGGAAATCATTGATTCCAAGAACTTCATTTCATAGATGAGGCCCAGCAAGGTCCATGATTGGCGTAAGGTTACAGAGCTGGGACTGGCACCACAGCTTCCTGACTGGAGTGCGGGTGCTCCACCCACTGTGCCTGGCCACTGATGTTATCACCACCCATGGTGGAGCTCCTGTTCTGGGCCAGCCCAGTGTCTGGAACATGGTCTGTTCTTAAGAGCATTGAATGTTGTGCTCAGTACCTGCCATACAAGTCGTGACATCCAGTACGTGACATCCACTGTGGTTTTGAGAATGAGGTGGCCCATTTTCCAGACAAGGAGACTGAGGCTCAGAGTGAGAGTGACTTGCTTAAGCTTGCATGGGGGTTGAGTGATGGGGTCTGTCTGGTTTGGGCCGTGTCCTTCTGCCATATCATGGCACTGCCCTCTGCCGTTCTGTGTTCCTTACGGATGGGACCTTCTCCATCAGCATCCCTGGGTCAGGTCCTGGGGTTTTGCTGAATGGAATTTTCTTTCCATGTCTCATCATCACCACTTGCTGAACCCTGGATGACAGAAGACACACACTCACTTAAATCTTTAGACTCTGCCTGGGTCACAGACCTCTTTCATTAATTCACATCATTTTGTTTCAAAATGGGTGCCTGGCAGCAAATCCCCCGCTCTAGTTTTTGGTGAGTGAAAGTGACTGACTGCTCATCCTATTTCAACAAATATGTACTGAGCACTAGCTGTATACCAGACACTGCACCACTGAACTTTGTTAAAGAAATTCAGACCTTTGGAGCACTAGCTTTTGAGCGAGGATAGATTTTCACCTGGACTCAGAGAAACAAGGGCTGCTGTTTATGGAGCTCGGGTTCTTGGGCTCCAGAAATCCCCATTTCCCTCCTTCCCCTGGTGGCCTGCAGGGCATGCTGTGGCCTGCTTAGCGCTGCCCCTGCGATCGAGGAGGATTTCGTTTCTTTAAATGCCCCAAGAGCCAGGTTCTCTGAAGAAACTGGACATTTGCAGCCCAGGGGGCCCTCTTGCAATGTAAATAGTGATCTCATTTATTCAAGTCATGGATTGGGACACTCCTGGGTGGGTTTTCTCATAGAGAGGCCAGTCTGCTGTGTTGGGAAGTAAGAACCTTGTCACTAGGTTGGGACACTCTGGGGAGTGTGGCCTTTACTCCTCTCAGGACCCCTAAGTCCAGCCCTGCATTGTTCCTGAGGTGGATCCTGCTGGGGGCAGGTGTCCCCTCCTTGGGAGGTGGGTTTTCCTGGAGGCCAGTCCCTGGCACTGAATCCTCATCATACCTGTATGTTGTCCCTTAGGTATCCCCTGTTTCCTACCTGAGGGTTTCCATGAGCCCTGTCCTGCACACCCAGAACAAGGAGGCCCTGGTGGCCGTGCCTTTGGGAATGACCGTGACCTTCACTGTCCACTTCCACGACAACTCTGGAGATGTCTTCCATGCTCACAGTTCGGTCCTCAACTTTGCCACTAACAGGTAGGATGTGGGCAAGGGTCATTTCTCCTATGAAGTCCTGTCTGGTACCTGGTAGAGACAACTGGGGATAACACAGAAAGTCTGCTGCTGTTGAAGGAAGATGTGTATTACTTCAGTTTCCAAGAGATGTGGGCATGCTGCACCATGCAGGGCCACGAGGAAACACCACTGCCCTTGGGGGATGTAGACCAGCTCAGAGGAAGACAGACAGGCATCAGCCCCCAAAGGAGGAAACAGGGCATGGGGCAGCTCCAGGGAGTGCTCCCCGAGGCACAGGAAATTGGCCCTTCAGCTTCGGCTGCCCACAGGTCCTGCCACAGTTGTGTTTCCCTGTTGCTGAATGCATTCAAAGACAGGTGTCAGGGGTGTTGCCTTATGGAAAGAACTGGGGTTTAGAGTCAGGCCTGGTTCTAGCCCCAGCTCTGCCCTTCGTGGGCCCTGTGAGTAGGTCACCATCCAAAAATCTGTTTCCACACCTCTCACGTTGGGCAATATGGCCTAGGTTCCAGGGCTTTCCTTCAGCTGAGGGAGTGGTCATGAGGACCGCTGGCAAACCATGGCACTCCGTGTGTGCGCACATAATTGCCATCCATCAGTTTAGGGCATGTCCTGGAGGAAATGGAGCCCAGTTCTCCCAGCCCTTTGGCTGCACTGCAGGTCATTCTGGCCTTCTTGTAGCAGGAGCACCTGATAGAGACCTAGTCAGCACTCAGGGTCAGAAGGTGTGGTGGAGGCAAGGATGCAGCCATGATCCCTAACCCAAACTGTCACCCCACGCAGTCCACACTTCTGCACCAAAGCTGCCATTGCCAACATTGACTGAGCACCTGCCCTGTGGCAGGTGCCTCCCCACTGCTGACCTCATGTAATGCTTATGCCAGGCCTGCGTCACGGTCACGTGATGATCCCCATTTTTCAGAGGAGGAAAGGGGCAGAGGCTGCTTCTGCAGTCAGGTTGCATAGTAAGGGCAGCCTTCCCTTTCTGGCATGTCCAGTTCCCTGGTGGGAAGAGCGTGAGGAAGCACTCTGGATCTCTTTCCCCTCGGGGCCTCAGCTTCCTTTCTGAAATGCAGGAATGATGCTGCTGCCACTGTTTGGCTGCGAGCTGCATGTGCTTTCTGGCATGACAAGTGAGGAGGTCGAGCCTGTGCCACCTGCCTGCAGTGGTCCCTCATCTGGGGCCACTGCTTGGTAACCTCGAGTTGGGGCCACACCTGGGACCTCAGTCAGTTGAATGCTTTGCTCAGCAGAGGACATGGATTACGTTTCTCCCTTTGGGAGTTGGAAGCTTCTTTCCCGAGACTGAGAGCCCTCCTTTCTCTCCTGTGCCTAGAGACGACTTTGTGCAGATCGGGAAGGGCCCCACCAACAACACCTGCGTTGTCCGCACAGTCAGCGTGGGCCTGACACTGCTCCGTGTGTGGGACGCAGAGCACCCGGGCCTCTCGGACTTCATGCCCCTGCCTGTCCTACAGGCCATCTCCCCAGAGCTGTCTGGGGCCATGGTGGTGGGGGACGTGCTCTGTCTGGCCACTGTTCTGACCAGCCTGGAAGGTAAGATAGATCCTGAGCAAGGGAACCTGTGGAGTCACGGACGCTTGCAAAGCTGGGTGGGGGCTACCTGGGCAGGGGCTCGGCACCAGTCACGGGGGCCTACAGGCAGACCTGCAGGATACTCAGGAGCAGTGCTCCAAAACTGCTGCCCGGAGACCAGATCCAGCCTGTGCCTGTTTTCTGCAAGTAAATTTTTGTTGGCACTCAGCTGTGCCATGCATTATGTATGGTCAGTGGCTGTTGTCACCCTACCACTGCCAGATTGTGTGGTCATAGCAGAGATTGTATGGGCTGCATAGCCCAAATGCTTATGTCCGACCTTCACAGAAAGCATTTGCCAGCCCTTTTCTGGAACAGCTCTGCCAAGTCGGTGGGGGGGTCCCCTGCCCCTGTGGGGCATCCTGTCTCTGCATAGTCTCACTCAGTTCCTCTAGCCAGGAGACACACGGATCTCTGCTGCTGCTGAGGAACTGAATTCACCATTTTAGTGAATTCTGTGGGAAGTGGCCGCCATAGTGGACAGCACAGGCTGGGAGACTTAAGCAAAGAAGGACACTGGGCTAAATCAGGGGCTTCCAAATTTCAGCCATGCCCAGGTGACCTGTAGTACATCTGTGGAACACGTGTACAATTATTTACTTAGCTTTTATTTTCAAATTGTCTCCACCTTTTTTTTTAACCTTACTAAATTCATTTTAAAAGGAGATGAAATACTACCTTTAAGGAAAAACAAATATAATTTGCCATAAATAGATTATGGTTGAGTCCTTTAATTGTACTTATTATATAATGTGATTGGCTTTTAACTCAGATGTGTATGTGGTGAAAGCTCTGAGCCTCACACCTGCTGTCTGTTGCTAAAAAGGAATTGATAAGGCAACGAAGGGATGGGGAGGGGCTGTGCTTTGGGGAAGGAGCTACAGAGGGCAGGGCCTGGCAGCAGCACCAGACCATTCCTGGGCAGGAGTCAGCTAAAGCTTCATGCCAGGATGGTCAGGAGATTCCAGGCAGGGAGTTGTGGGTCAGGGAGAGCAGGTGCTAGGGGCCACAGCCCTGTAGAGGGCGGGTGCAGCAGGGTAGGAGAGCTGATGGCTCCAGGTGGCTGGAGTCAGGAGCATGACCGGCACTGGGGCAGGCAGCGTGGCTGTCTCCTGAGGCTGCTGAGTGAGCCCCCATGGGGGTAGCGGCAGCCAGCGAGGAAGCTGGCCTGTCATCCAGGTGAGCTGGGCTTTGACTGGAGTGTCCAGCTATGGAAAGGGGGCTGACACCTGTGCTTCCTCTCCAGGCCTCTCAGGAACCTGGAGCTCCTCGGCCAACAGCATCCTCCACATCGACCCCAAGACGGGTGTGGCTGTGGCCCGGGCCGTGGGATCCGTGACGGTTTACTATGAGGTCGCTGGGCACCTGAGGACCTACAAGGAGGTGGGCTCTAAGCAGCCGGAGGCACATGTGGCTCAGTGGCCTGTGAGGCGGGCCTGACCTTCTGGGAGGATTATGAAGACTTTTCCTTTTAGGGAAAAGCCGTCTGAGGGGTTGGGTCTGGGAGTCATGAGTCTGGGACTGGCCACTTGCTGACTCTGACATGGGGACAAGCTCCCTTTTTTTTCCAGGCTTCAGTCTCCCCATGTTCAAGAGGGTGTGATGAGGACAGGCAGCCTTGTAGGGTGGATTCCAGCTCCCATGGGCTTGGGTCTGGCAACCCCGGAGTGGGCACTTCCTGGGAGCCGGTGCTTCCCTGTCACCTGCAAGGCTAAGACTCCCTGTGCAAGTCACCCTTTGAGTCTGGAGGCGACAAAACCTGCTGTCTCTTCCATTCATCTCCAGTTGAGAATGAATCAGTGGGGCAAGTCTGGCTGAGATCCAAATGCATCTCATTTTTAGAGGCAGCATGTGCTTTATGGAACCTAGCAGTTTAACCTAATTGTTTGCATATTTAGTGCTGCGGCTCTGCAGTTTGGGCGAGCCAGTTGCAGACAGAGGCATCCTGTGACAATACAGCTGTGCTCTCCTGGAAAGAGCCTCTGGTCAGGGGATGGGGTGGCATGGACAAAGGTGTGTAGGGTTCAAGGGCAGAGCCTCGGGGGCTGGAACAGAGGGTGTGGGAGAAGCATGGTCTGGCTTTGTGATCAGATCAGAAAATGCACCAGATTCCAGGCAGTTTGGTGCAGGTTGAGGGTGGGGCATCTACAGCTAGACGGTCTAGGTCAAATCCCAGCTTGGCCACTGCGAGGCTATGACTGAGCAATCATTGAGTCTCGCTATGTCCCGATTTTCTTGCCTGTATAATGGGGATGATAGCGTTGTGAGGATTTAGTGAGTTAGCACGTCAGAAGCCCCTAGGGTGGTGCTCAGCTCATAGCCAGTGCTCAGCAGAAATTAGCTGCTGCTGCTGCTGCTGTTCCAGGGTGAAGGGGTAGAAGCTTATGCCACACTCAGTGGAGTTTTTTAAACAGTGCTATAGACCAAGGCTGTGTTTGCAGAGGTTACCTGGCACCTGGAGGAGCTCGAGAGAGCAGTCGCTACAGGGTAACTGGCCAGAGACTGAGGCCAGGCCCTCAGCTGGGATCACTGGGTGTGGCAGAATCTAAAGGCAGGTTTGGGAGAGACGGGAGGGAGGGAGGCACATCAGAGCTCCATGAGCATCCAGAAGTGAGGCTGGAGGGGAGGAAGGGCTTGGGATGACCAGGCTGCTACTGGTCCTTTGCTGAGAGGGGCACACAGAGGTAGGTAGGCCTGCAGGGAGGTGAGGAGCCTGGGCCGGGGAGCTAGAGATGTCACAGCTCTCCCAGGTGAGGCAGGAGGCACACCTGGGTGGGTGCGGCAGGAGCACTGTGAGGAAGGCTGGACAGGGTGGGGGCCTCAGCCCAGAAGTGGCCTCTGAAGCCCTGGGAGTGGGTGGGAGTGCACGGGCACTCCAGGAGTGCAGGCAGGAGAGGGGCCAGGAAGCCTTGGGCACTCTCTGAGGGTGGACAGGGAGGAAGGGGAGAGGAGGGCCAGCGTTGGGGGGTCCCAGGCTAGAGAGTGGGACACAGCCTCTGTCAGTCCCTGGAGGTGGATGGTGGTAAGCCCTGAGCGGAGGCACCGTGAGTTTGACAGTGATGCCTGGTCACCTACAGCTCTGCATGGGCCACATCCCTGGGAGCTGCAGGGGCTTCAATCGCATCCCTGCTCTGAAGTTCACCTACTGGTAGAAATCAGATCTCCTGGAGGCAGGGAGCGCTGGTGCCTGCTGAGAGAGGGAGGGGGGCCTTCAGCTGCAGGAAGTGGCCTTGGGCCTGAAGGGTGGATGAGGCTGGGCTCTGCAGAGAAGATGGGAGGGTGTCCTAGCCAAGGGAGTGCAGGGAGGTCTCCAGCCTGGGGCTGTTTGGGTGTGGCCAGGTACAGGATGGGCACAGGGGGAACAGCTGGGAAAATCTGGGCAGACTGGATTCTGGGTGGGGTGTGGTGCTGTACTACAGAGAAGTGATCATGGCTGTCCGAACAGCCAAAATCCTCAGCCCACCCAGATCGATTAATGAATTCAGGCCCGCTGCTCAGCGTCCAGTCAGCTGCTGGGGGAAGCAGCTTGTTCAATGGGAGAACTGGGCTGTGAAGTCTGACCAGACTGGGCTCAAACCCCCTCTCTGCCACATTCTAGCAAGGCGTTTAGGCTTTGAGCCTCAGTGTTGCCACCTGTGAAACGGGTGACACTATGTCACAGACTGCAGGGTGAGGTTGTGGAAACGCCCAGCATGGACCGGGACACAGGCGGCGCTCCATGAAGCTTCCTTGGCTCCCTCTCTAGGTGGTGGTCAGCGTCCCTCAGAGGATCATGGCCCGTCACCTCCACCCCATCCAGACCAGCTTCCAGGAGGCTACAGCCTCCAAAGTGATTGTTGCCGTGGGAGACAGAAGCTCTAACCTGAGAGGTACTTAATGAGGGGCTTGGGCTGTCTTCAGAGTACCTGGGAGCGGGGAGGTGGCTTCCTGTGTCCTCTGGATGGAGTTTATCTGCTTCTCCTATTCACACTCACACCAACTCCAGAGAGGGCATTTAGCCCCCACTCATCCACTCCTTCCAGCGTTTCTGAAATTGGAGTCCTCCAAAAGCTGAGCCAGTGAAAGGAATCTTCATAATGGAGCCCAGCTCCCAGAAGGTGCCTGTTCTGCACTGGAAATGTGACTTCAGCCCGAGGGCACCCTAGCAAAGAAAGCCACAATTTCCCACCGTGAATCCCAGAAACTAATGAATTAGCAGGACTCGTCACTGGTTTTAATTTTTGTAATGACCTCTCCCAGGTCATGCATAGAATGTTGAACCCCATCCCCTGCCCATGACAGCCCTGAACAGCAGCTGCCAGAAATAAGTAAGTCAACAGGGCTGTTTTCTTAAACCACCTCACTGGCAGAGTGAAGCACCGCCCTTCTCGTCCTGATTAACGAGGCAGCTCTGTTCCATCATGGCAGCCTCTGCTCCTTCCTCAGCGCAAGTGGACAGCACTGTGCCGTTGCCTAAATGCTGCTCAGATGTTAGTGGAGAACTAGTGCCCTCTGAATGTGCAGAAGTAAATTGCCGTTTCCCCTGCTGACAGGGACAGAAGACAGGCATTAGTGGGCCTAGCCCGTCTGCCGTGCCCCTGGATGCAAGGTCTGGAACAAATGCTGAAATTCTGACTTGAAGCTCCCTGTGATGCCGATGGCATCCTCTTCCATATGATATGTCCTTGGCTTTACCAATCCTGGCTGCATCTCAAAGCTTTGAGCCGCCCTGGGGCCCTGCTGGAAGACATGCAGGGGCAGGTGGCATTTGCAGCCCAGCCAGCCTGTGCAGGCCTGGTGGAATTTGGTGTGGTGGCCATCGGGCCTGGCCCACACCCTCTCGTCTCTCCCCTCTCTAGGCGAGTGCACCCCCACCCAGAGGGAAGTCATCCAGGCCTTGCACCCAGAGACCCTCATCAGCTGCCAGTCCCAGTTCAAGCCGGCCGTCTTTGATTTCCCATCTCAAGATGTGTTCACCGTGGAGCCACAGTTTGACACTGCTCTCGGTAATTGCGAGGATTTGAAAGTGAAAGGGACTTGGAGACAGTCTCTGTCTTCTGGGCATCTTGCGGCTTCCACGTGCCCAGCTCACCATGGCCGTCTGTCCAGAGGGCAGAGATTGTCAGGAGCCCAGCCTGGGGATTGACGCCAGGGGGACTTGGGAGGACTGCTGGTCACAGAGGGTATCCTAGCTTGGCCAAGGCCTTTATAGGGGATTCCCAGGAGGACTCCTGGAGGAGGTGACTTCTCACCTGGGCTTTGGAGGATGCATAGGAATCCCCTGGTTAGAGAAGCAGGGAGAAGAAATGACATCAGTGCACGGGCAGGAGAGGGGACAAGACAATACACCCTTGTCTTCGCAGGCCAGTACTTCTGCTCAATCACAATGCACAGGCTGACGGACAAGCAGCGGAAGCACCTGAGCATGAAGAAGACAGCTCTGGTGGTCAGTGCCTCCCTCTCCAGCAGCCACTTCTCCACAGAGCAGGTGGGGGCCGAGGTGCCCTTCAGCCCAGGTCTCTTCGCCGACCAGGCTGAAATCCTTTTGAGCAACCACTACACCAGTTCCGAGATCAGGGTCTTTGGTGCCCCGGAGGTTCTGGAGAACTTGGAGGTGAGTGGCATCTGCATGCCTCAGGCCAGGCCGGAGTCAGGGGCATCAGGAAGGCCCTGGAGGAAGAGGGAATGTGGTGTGGATGTCCTGGGCCAGCTCTCTTTAAAATTTATTTTTACAATTAGAATTTTTAAATTGAAGTACTCTTTTCTTTTTCCATAGCACTGTTGCTGTCTCTCAGGCTGCGTGATTGTATTAATTGTTCTGACCGCTGCTGGTCTTCCCCAGCTACAAGTTAAGCTTGTGGGGGCAGCAGTGAGAACCCCAGAAAAGGTGCCAGTGAGCGTGTGGTGCGTGGCATCGCAGAATTCAGTGCAGGAGCATCTGCCACAGAGCAGGGAGGAAAGCCCTAATCCCTGCTGGGACAAGTCCCCTCTCTCCAGGCCTCACTTCCCCCATGACTAAGTCACGGGGTGGGATTGGTGGGTGAATGATCCCTCAGGCCCAGAGCCTGGCAGGCTGGGAAGAGTTCGGGGGTGAGAGAACCAAGGAGTTCCTCGGCATTTCCGCCTGCTCCTCCTGCCTTGCTGCAGCCAGCGTGATCGCATGTTCTGCAGAGGCAGGGAATGCTCAGCATCGCTGATGAGGGAGGAGGGCCAGCCCGCTGGCGGCGTGAGCAGAGCTCGGGCTGCTACCTTGGAGAGCTGGTGCTTGGTGATACTTCATGTTGGTTTAGCCTTTTTTTTTTTTTTTGAGATGGAGTCTTGCTCTGTCGCCCAGGCTGGAGTGCAGTGGCGCAATCTGGGCTCACTGCAAGTTCTACCTCCCAGGTTCATGCCATTCTCCTACCTCAGCCTCCCAAGTAGCTGGGACTATAGGTGCCTGCCACCACACCTGGCTAATTTTTTTTTAGTAGAGACGGGGTTTCACCATGTTAGCCAGGATGGTCTCGATCTCCTGACCTTGTGATCTGCCCACTTTGGCCTCCCAAAGTTTTTTTTTTTTTTTTTTTGAGACGGAGTCTCGCTCTGTCGCCCAGGTTGGAGTGCAGTGGCACTATCTTGGCTCACTGCAATCTCCACCTCCCGGGTTCATGCCATTCTCCCACCCTTGCCTCCTGAGTAGCTGGGACTACAGGCGCCTGCCACCACATCCGGCTAATTTTTTGTTTTTTTAATAGAGACAGGGTCTCACCGTGTTAGCCAGGCTGGTCTCGATCTCCTGACCTCATGATCTGCCCGCCTCAGCCTCCCAAAGTGTTGAGATTACAGGCGTGAGCAACCGCGCCCAGCCTGGTTTAGCCTTTTTGTAAGCAGCAGTTGATTAGAATTAAATGAGCTTGAATTTGATTCTGACATTCATATTGATTTGTCCTTCCCTCAAAAAACACCCTGAGTATGGACAGGGCTTCCCGACTCTGCAGAGTACACGCCGTCCATGAGCAGTGCCCAGGTGTCATTACCTGCCCATGAGATGTGACCTGGGCAGGGGTCCCCACCTGTACCCTTGGGCCCCAGGAGGGAAGCCCAGCATGTCAGGCTGAAGCGGGGGTGCTTCCAGAGATGGCCATGCAGAGCAGCCCTCCCGCCTCGGGGTCCTGAGGCCCCGCTCAGTGGTCCCCCCACTCTGCAGAATGTGCACCCCCAGCTCTGATGTCTCTTCCAGGTGAAATCCGGGTCCCCGGCCGTGCTGGCATTCGCAAAGGAGAAGTCTTTTGGGTGGCCCAGCTTCATCACATACACGGTCGGCGTCTTGGACCCCGCGGCTGGCAGCCAAGGGCCTCTGTCCACTACCCTGACCTTCTCCAGCCCCGTGACCAACCAAGCCATTGCCATCCCAGTGACAGTGGCTTTTGTGGTGGATCGCCGTGGGCCCGGTCCTTGTGAGTCACGGAACGACATCATCTGGGACAGACCAGGATGGGGAGGGACAGGCAGGAGTGGTCCTGGCTATCAGTAGAAACCTGAGGTGTAAGAAATGGAGGAGTCAGAAATGCAGAATGTCCCTCAAAGTGATCGCTGCTCATTGGGGCCATGATGCAGGCTTTAGTTGCCCAGCTTTCCCATCTGTTCTCAACATGGCAGCCACAGGGGCTGTGCCCCTCTGCTCAGCAGCCTGCGCCAGGAGAAGAAGTGCCAGGGTACCAAGAACAGCTGTGGGCCCGGGCCTCCAGCAGGTGGCCTGGCCCTCTGAGACCACCATCCTTACATCTAAGAGGGACCTGTGGACTGCCCTGTAGACGTACAGTAGGGCAGGAACGTGATGGGATGCCACAGTGGGCCTGGTGGTTTTGGTAACTCATCTTCCCATTGATGGCAGATGGAGCCAGCCTCTTCCAGCACTTCCTGGATTCCTACCAGGTCATGTTCTTCACGCTCTTCGCCCTGTTGGCTGGGACAGCGGTCATGATCATAGGTGAGGAGGCTGCCTGTATCTCTGGGTCTGTTCCCCTGCCCCGACCTGCTCTAACCAACCCTGTGCTCTTGCAGCCTACCACACTGTCTGCACGCCCCGGGATCTTGCTGTGCCTGCAGCCCTCACGCCTCGAGCCAGCCCTGGACACAGCCCCCACTGTGAGTAGCCCCCCTGCAGGCACAACCAGGCAGAGCTGCTGAGAAAGAGAAGAGCCCTGGGGGAGGGGTCGAGGCTCCTGAACCCTAAGTCTCAACAGGCCCTTGCCTGGGCCAAAGGAGCCTGAGGCCCAGAGGACAGATGTGGGAGCCAGGAGGGTCGGGGCAGAGGGGCTGCCAGTCCTGGTTCAGCAAGAGCTTTCCCCAGGTAGAGCCATGCTGGGTGGAGGTATGGGCAGCAAGGAGCTCTGTCTAGGCAGGAGTGCATGCTAGGACTGGATGCCCAATTGCTGAGGCTGCCTCAGAAGGCTCTAAGCTGGGGTTGGACGAGCTGACTCACAGATGGGGATTCTGGGTAGTTCTGATGAGAAATTTCCCAGAAGAATGGGCAAAGTCATTTATTTCAATGGTCTAACTGTCTCTCTGGTGACCCCGAAGCCCTGGTGACCCTGCACAGCTCCAGGGAGCACCTCACTGTGTGAATGTAGTTTCTCTCTCAAACAATGCAGTGCCCAGCCTGTACTGCTGTACGTGAAGGCCCTTTAATGTCTCCTGATTCCCATTTGAGGGTTCTCTCCCCTACACAAAGAGTCCTCGAGCTCGTGTCTGCTGACATGGGGGCCCATGGACCGGCTTCAGGGGGGTCCCTGAATTTTTTTGAAAGAAGACCCAGTTGTGTGGGTAGAAGCACTTTCCTGGGTAAGGAGAGCCCACACGCCCTTGTCTTCTGCCTGACGACTTCTCTACCTGCAAAGCGGCACCCAGGGGAGGCCACGGGTGCTCGGCCTCCTCGCGGCTCTGCTGCCTTCTGCAGCTGCTCTGGCAGCAGGTGCCTGCCCTTTCTAGCTGCCTCTCTCAGCGTGCTCCTCCCTGGGTTTTGGGAGCCACACCTGGATCTCTGCAAGGTCTCCGGAGCACTGCAGAATCGCTGCTCCCCTCGGGGTCTTTGTTCCTGTGGCGCTCTTGCCCGAGGCTGCATTGCATTCAGATGCACGGGGCCTCCCTGCCTCATGCCCCCTGGACAGATGCTGCTGTGGTCCTGAAACTTGAGACACGTTCTCCCCGGAAGGCTCTGCGCTCCTGGGTGTTAGGGTGGCATCCCAGGCCTCTCTGTGTGAATGAGGCCAGCTCAGCAGGTGCCCGTGGACTTCCCTCTGCTGGCCGGGGAGGCCTCGGGGCATCACTGTGAGAGTGTCCTGGGTGAGGCAGGCGCCTGCTGAATGCTGGCTGTAACTGAAGAGTGCGCCGCTTTCCCTGGCTCTGCTGCTAACATCGTCTCTCTTCCCACCCTAGATTTCGCTGCCTCATCACCCACATCTCCCAATGCATTGCCTCCTGCTCGCAAAGCCAGCCCTCCCTCAGGGCTGTGGAGCCCAGCCTATGCCTCCCACTAGGCCGCGTGAAGGTTCCCGGAGGATGGGTCTCAGCCGAGCCTCGTGCACCCCCAAGATGGAACATCCCTGCTGCATTCACACTGGAACAAGCCCCTCCAGATGAGTGCCCCGGCCCCAGGCCAGCTTCACTGCCGTCTCTTCACACAGAGCTGTAGTTTCGGCTCTGCCCATTAGCTCATTTTATGTAGGAGTTTTAAATGTGTGTTTTTTTCCTTTCAAGTCTTACAAAGCTAAGACTTTTTGGCTCATTCCTTTTTGCATGGTTGTCTAGGGTTTCTGGACAATGTGCTGTTGCATTTTTATTTTCCTAGCCTTGCTAAAATCTTTCCCTTCTCAAGACTTTGAGCAGTTAGAAGTGCTCTTTAGAAGTTGTCTGTGGGTGATGTTACTGTAGTGGTCTCAGGGAAAGGATTGTCCAGTTACTTTAGGGGGTTTTTGGTGGGGTTTTTCCCCCTGTGAAAACTTACTTTGCCCCTAGTCTGGCTGCTGCTAGGACTTCTGAGGAGCAATGGGACATGAGTGTCCCTGTATCTGCGCCACTGCCGCAAGGGAAGCCTCAGGAACCAGCACCTGGAGGCCAGGATAGCCAAGCCCTGGGTGAGCGAGAGGCTGGAGAACACAGGAGCTCACCCAGGGCTGCTGCCCAACCATGGGCCACTGTGAACAGACTTCAGTCCTCTGTTTTTGTTTCATAAGCCGTTGAGACATCTGATGGACTTGGCTTAGGCCCTGCTGGGACATCCCACGTGTGATCCCTTTCACTCCATCAGGACACCAGGACTGTCCTTAGGAAAATGTCCTTGAGATGGCAGCAGGAGTCATATTTTCTGTGTGTGTGTTTCGGAAAGCCGCTGTGTCCTGCCTCAGCACAAAGACCCAGTGTCATTTGCTCCTCCTGTTCCTGTGCCACTCCAGAACCTCAGCAGATCTGAGCCACCGCCTGCCAGTGTGAGAGGCGGCCACTTTCATGGCAGCTCATCAGGCGCAGGGCCCCAGACAGCTTCCCAGCAGGCCCTAGAGCCCGGCCTGGGCCAATGATGGAGGGCGGCCGCCAGCCCAGGGCCTGCCCATCCAGAAGGGACTCCCCAGGGCCTGGGGGAGGAGACCCTTGGAAAAGTCCTCTCTTCCCAGCTCCTGATTCTGGATCTGAGATTCTCAGATCACAGGCCCCTGTGCTCCAGGCCGAGGCTGGGCTACCCTCAGGGAGATCCAGAGACTCATGCCCATGGCCATCCATGCGTGGACGCTGTGTGGAGAGTCCAGGATGACGGGATCCCGCACAAGCTCCCTTCAGTCCTTCAGGGCTGGGCCATGTGGTTGATTTTTCTAAAGCTGGAGAAAGGAAGAATTGTGCCTTGCATATTACTTGAGCTTAAACTGACAACCTGGATGTAAATAGGAGCCTTTCTACTGGTTTATTTAATAAAGTTCTATGTGATTTTTTAAGAGGGTGTGATCGTTGCTGAGATTTCTGTCTGATGGTGATGATTTCTTCCCTTTACCCATCTATGATACTCTGGGGCCTGGCAGAGCTGGAGGTCTGAGCTTTATTCTCCCCAAAGGGTGAGCATCATTTTCAAGCACATTCAGGTTGGCAAATGCAAGTGCATCTGGACGCAGCCAGATCTTGCCAGCAAGTGAGTGTGCCCAAGAAGGCACATTGACAAAACCAGGTGATGCCACACAGTTCAGCTTTCTGCTCCCAAGCTAACCAAGCAACTCTCTGTCTCTAATGGTTGCCAGAAAAGGCTTTTAGCACCATTTAGCACTAAAAATATAGTACATCATATAGATTGTTTTTTCTCTAGAATTCTTAAGTCTGGCCAAAAGTGAACTCTCGTTCTCTGTTTCTCTGTGTGTCTTTGTGCATGCTTACATGTGCATTCCTGCATCCTGGAAATGTTTTTTTGTTTTGTTTTGTTTTGTTTTTGTTTTTCGTTTGTTTTTGAGATGGAGTCTCGCTCTGTCACCCAGGCTGGAGTGCAGTGGCGTGATCTCAGCTCACTGCAAGCTCCGCCTCCCAGGTTCACACCATTCTCCTGCCTCAGCCTCCTGAGTAGCTGGGACTACAGGCGCCCGCCACCACGCCCGGATAATTTTTTGTATTTTTAGTAGAAACAGTGTTTCACCATGTTAGCCAGGATGGTCTCGATCTCCTGAGCTCGTGATCCGCCCACCTCGGCCTCCCAAAGTGCTGGGATTACAGGCGTGAGCCACGGTGCCCGGCCGCATCCTGGAAATGTTACATCACAAAGTCTGCGAACACTCAGTAGCAGGGAGCACTGAACCTGGGGTGTCAGGGGTGGGTAGCACAGGTCTAGGCTGGTGAGAGCTTAGCAATCAGGTGACCAGGAGTCTAGGTCCACTTTGTTCTGGGGCTGGAGAGAAATTTATCTCTCTGGGCCACAGTAGTTTCCTCACCTGCAAAAGGGCCCTCCTGACATGTGTCCTACCCACCACCTGCCCAGAGTGGCTCCCAGCAGGAAGCAGGTGCTTCCTGAGGGTCTGTCCCCAGACCCTCAGCCTCCCTCTGTGCACGCCCTCTCCCACATGCCTTTGCAGTTCCTTCTGCCCATTGAGGCTAGGTGTGGTCATGTGACTTGCTTTGGTTGGCATGGGTGAGAAGGACCATGGGTCTGTGCTGGGCATCCCTCACCCTCCTCATGCCCCTGCCATTGATGTAGTAATCAGGAAGCCCAGGTAGCTGCAGGTCCAAGCAGGAGGAAGGACACCTGCAAGGGACCTGCCAATCCCGGATCACCTGGCCTGCAGCCCACGGCTATGAAAAGAGTGATGGTTCCTGGGGACAGCGTGGTAGGCAGCAGTGTTGCAGCAACCTGTGACAGGTAAGAAACATGCTATGGTTCCCTTCTGGCTGAATCCAGTGAAGGCAGATGTTTTCCGTCTCTCATGTTCCCTCCCTTTGTGGATTCCCTCTGGGCTGTCTGGTGGGCCCTCTCAGCCCATCCTGCTGGGACAGGGTGTCCTGGGCATCCCTGGCCTCAGGCCTAGCCAGGCACCCAGTCAGGAGCCTCTGAGGACAGGGCACAGCAAGGCTGTGCGATGCTGGGCCTGCCCCCTCCTGCGCTCCCATCTCCTTCTTTGGGCAAGGGTGTGGTCAGCCACACACTAGAGGCTGCTATGGGGGTGGATGGGAATGTGGCTCCACAGGACACATCGCTCCATCATTGTGAGTCCTGTGCCCACATGAAACCATCCTGCCCAGCCTCACTCTCCATTGCAGCCTTATGGCAGGGCCACAGTGGGAGGGATGTTCTCAGGATGGTTTGTGGAATGAATGCATGAATGAACCCCCATGAAGGAATGTGATTCTGGGTTTCCCCAACTCTGGGTTCTACTTTCTGGAACATCCTGAGCCTCAGGTCAGTGTGGAGAGGAGCAGGGTTCAGGGGGGCAGGTGGAGGCTGAAACTCAGAACAGGCTGAGAGTGCCCACCAGACACAGCTCAGGGGAGAATTGGCTGAAGGGAGGGACCACAGGACAGAAAACAGAGAGGGCTGACTCAGTCTCTTCCAAACCACTCCTTTCAGCCAACTCCAAGCCACCTGGGCCAGCGCCAAATGAAGCCAACTTGACAGAACCACCTCTGGCCACCAGCATGGTTCCCAGCAGTCTGTAGATCCGTGTAGATGGCTGGAAGAAGCCGAGAGGCAGGGTGAATGCTCAAAGCCGCCGCTGTTTCCTGCACGCCACCTGCTAGCACATGCTGAGCGTTTCCAGTCACCAGCTCACTTCATCCCCGCCACAGCCCTAGGAGGCAGGCCCATCCACCTACAGATGGTGAAACCGAGGCCCACAAGGTGAAGCCACTCGCCTGGTCACACACTGGCAAGTGGCAGAACCAGGATTCAAATCCTGGTTGACTGGCACCAGAGTTTGCTCCCCCGATGTGTACCTTCTTCTGCCCTCCTGGGTAGGGGCATCCACTGTGGGAGCCTTGCACCCACTTCCCTCAGACCAGCTCAGCTGTGGACTGTCTCATGAATTATTTTATAATCATAAAGAAGAACTTTTGCTGGGCATGGTGGCTCACGCCTATAATCCCAGCACTTTAGGAGGATGAGGCAGGCAGATCACTTGAGGTCAAGAGTTCAAGACCAGCCTGGCCAATATGGTGAAACCCGGTCTCTACTAAAACTAAAAAAATCAGCCAGGCATGTGCCTGTAATCCCAGCTACTCAGGAGGCTGAGGCAGGAGAATCACTTGAACCTGGGAGGTGGAGGTTGCAGTGAGCGAAGATCACACCAGAGCAAGACTCCATCTCAAAAAAAAAAAAAAAAAAGAACTTTTAACATAAAAAAAAACTTTAACATAGAAAAATATTTTTTATAAGGAAAAATGCTTTTCATAAAAAATTAAAAGGCCTGGTGCGGTGGCTCATGTCTCTAATCCCAGCACTTTGGGAGGCCAAGGCGGCGGATCACAGGGTCAGGAGATCGAGACCATCCTGGCTAACAGTGAAACCCCGTCCCTACTAAAAATACAAAAAAATAGCTGAGCGTGGTGGTGGGACTGAGTAACGGGACCTGTAGTCCCAGTTACTCAGGAGGCTGAGGCAGGAGAATGGTGTAAACCTGGGTGGCGGAGCTTGCGGTGAGCCGAGATAGCACCACCGCACTCCAGCCTGGGCGACAGAGCGAGACTCCATCTCAAAAAAAAAAAAAAGAAAAAAAATTAACAAAAACTTTTTATAAAAAAAAATTTGGCTAGGCGCGGTGGCTCATGCCTGTAATCCCAGCATTCTGGGAGGCCGAGGCCGGCAGATCATGAGGTCAGGAGATCGAGACCATCCTGGCTAACACAGTGAAACCCCGTCTCTACTAAAAATACAAAAAAAAAAAATTAGCTAGGCGTGGTGGCGGGCGCCTGTAGTCCCAGCTGCTTGGGAGGCTGAGGCAGGAGAATGGTGTGAACCCGGGAGGCGGAGCTTGCAGTGAGCCAAGATCACACCACTGCACTCCAGCCTGGGCGACAGAGCAAGACTCTGTCTCAAAAAACAAATAATAATAATAATAATAATTTTTTGGCTGAGTGGTGGTTCATGTCCGTAATCCCAGCACTTTGTGAGGCCGAGGCAGGAGAATCACTTGAGCTCAGGGGTTCAAGACCAGCCTGGGCAACACAGGGAGCTCCTGTCTCTAAAAAAAATTTTTTTTTTTGAGACGGAGTTTCACTCTCGTTGCCCAAGCTGGAGTGCAATGGTGCAATCTCAGCTCACTGCAACCTCTGCCTCCCGGGTTCAAGCAATTCTCCTGGTTCAGCCTCCCGATAGCTGGGATTATAGGCGCCCACCACCACGCCCAGCTAATTGTTGTATTTTTAGTTGAGATGGGTTTTCACCATGTTAGCCAGGCTGGTCTCACTCTTGACCTCAGGTGATCCGCCTGCCTCAGCCTCTGAGACGGAGTCTCACTCTGTTTCCCAGGCTGGAGTGCAGTGGCACAATCTTGGCTCACTGCAACTTCCACCTCCCGGGTTCAAGTGATTCTCCTGCCTCAGCCTCCTGAGTAACTGGGATTACAGGTGCCTACCACCACACGTGGCTAATTTTTGTACTTTTAGTAGTGACGGGGTTTCACCATGTTGGCCACGCTGGTCTCAAACTCCTGACCTCATGATCTGCCCGCCTTGGCCTCCCAAAGTGGTGGGATTGCAGGCGTGAGCCACCGCGCCCGGCCGTTGTTGTTGTTGGTGGTGGTGGTGGTGGTGGTGGTGGTGTTTGAGACGGAGTCTCTTGTCACCCAGGCTGGAGTGCAGTGGTGCGATCTCGGCTCACTGCATCCTCTCCCTCCTGGGCTCAAGTGATTCTCCTGCCTCAGCCTCCCGAGTAGCTGGGATTACAGGACCTGCCACCACGCCTGGCTAAATTTTTGTATTTTTAGTAGATACAGGGTTTCACCATGTTGGCCAGGCTGGTATCAAACTCTTGACCTCAAATGATCCACCCACCTCAACCTCCCAAAGTGCTGGGACTACAGGCATGAGCCACTGTGCCTGGCCAAAAAAAATTTTTTTTAATTAGCAGGTGTGGTGGCACATGCCTGTAGTCCCAGGTACTCAGGAAGCTGAGACAGGATTGTTTGAGGCCAGGAGTTTGAGGCTGCAGTGAGCTGTGATGGAGCCACTGTACTCCAGGGTGGGTGACAGAGTCTCTACTACTGCTACCACCACTACTAATAATTTTTTATTAAAAATAATTTTTAATAAAAAAATGATAAACAATGTTTAACATAGAAAAAATGTCTCATAATTTTTTTTATAAGAAAAAAGTTTTGGGCCCAGTGCGGTGGCTCACGCCTGTAATCCCAGCACTCTGGGAGGCCGAGGTGGGTGGATCACGAGGTCAGGAGAGCAAGACCATCCTGGCTAGCACAGTGAAACCCTGTCTTTACTAAAAATACAAAAACTTAGCCAGGCATGGTGGTGGGTGCCTGTAGTACCAGCTACGCGGGAGGCTGAGGCATGAGAATGGCATGAATCCAGGAGGCTGAGCTTGCAGTGAGCCGAGATCGCGCCACCACGCTCCAGCCTGGGCGACAGAGCGAGACTCAATCTCAAAAAAAAAAAAAAAAAAAAAAAAAAAAAGTTTTGGCCGGGCGCAGTGGCTCACACCGTAATCCCAGCACTTTTGGAGGCTGAGGTGGGCAGGTCATCTGTGGTCAGGAGTTCGAGACCAGCTTGGCCAACTTGGTGAGACCCTGTCTCTACTAAACACAAAAATTAGCTGGGCGTGCTGGCATGCGCCTGTAATCCCAGCTACTTGGGAGGCTGAGACAGGAGAATCGATTGAACCCGGGAGGTGGAGGTTGCAGTGAGTCCAGTGAGACTCCATCTAAAAAAAAAAGAAAGAAAAAAAAGGAAAAGAAAAAACTTTTAACAGAAAAGTACAACAAATAATTTAACAAACCCCCATGCCTACTACTCAATGTAGGCTCTTGTTAGCATGATCTCATAGGCTTCCAAGGTGTGTTTTGTTTTGTTTTGTTTTTCAAAAAATAGACAGAAAAAAACTACTATTATAACTTGTCTCATTTAACCTCTACGTTCTAGCCCTTCGTCTTTTTTTTTTTTTTCTTGAGATGGAGTTTTGCTCTTGTTGCCCAGGCTGGAGTGCAATGGCACGATCTCAACTCGCTGCAACCTCCGCCTCCCAGATTCAAGCAATTCTCCTGCCTCAGCCTCTCGAGTAATTGGGATTACAGGTGCCCGCGACCACGCCTGGCTAATTTTGTATTTTTTTAGTAGAGACGGTGTTCTCCATGTTGGTCGGGCTGATCTTGAACTCCCGACCTCAGGTGATCCACCTGCCTCGGAATCCCAAAGTGCTGGGATTACAGGAGTGAGCCACTGCACCCGGCTCTTGTTTTTCTTTTCATAGGCTACTACTTTTATAAAGTTGGAGACAATCTTTCCAAAGCAACTCTTATTGTTAAAAAGCATCAGTAAGTCTGGGTGCAGTGGCTCACATCTGTAATCCCAGCACTTTGGGAGGCCGAGGCAGGCGGATCATGAGGTCAGGAGATCGAGACCATCCTGGCTAACACAGTGAAACCCCTTCTCTACTAAAAATACAAAAAAATTAGCCAGGCGTGGTGGTGGGCGCCTGTAGTCCCAGCTACTCAGGAGGCTGAGGCAGGAGAATGGTGTGAACCCGGGAGGCGGAGCTTGCAGTGAGCCGAGATTGCGCCGAGATTGCGGCACTGCACTCCAGCCTGGGCGACAGAGCGAGACTCCATCTCAAAAAAAAAGAAGCAAAACCCGAGGTCACAGGCTGGGTGATCGTCTATCACGTTGTTAAGTTTTCTGTTGTATGTAATTAGCAAATGAACCTCTGCGGAAGATTTCATAGCTCATCAGGCGACCACTTCCATTTGGAGAGGCTTCACTGAAAGCCCATAAAGACCACTGACAAGAACCAGGAAAGTTGGAAAGTGGAATCTGAAAGACCCCTTGCTTCCTTGCTTTCAAGCATAGTAGCTTCCTTGTTGGGGTCTTTCTCAGTGGACGGGGGAGAGTCGGGGGGCAAGAGCAGCGGCCAGCGAACCTGGTGGATGGGGCCCAGGTGCAAAGCAAATCCTGCCTCTGCCACTCACCTGCTGGATGACCTTGGAACCTTCATGTTTGAGCCTCAGTTTCCCTGTTTGCAAAATGGTAATTATATGACCTTCGTAGCATTGCCACGTGGGCGTAATTACTGAGTTGAACCACCCCTTCCCCCACCACAACCCACAACAGTGGTGAGCAAACATTTGATGCTCAATAAACGTGAACTTTTCTTCCTTTGTCTTCCTGGGTGGTCCAGGGAAGCCATCCCCAGTCTCTTGGGGACCGTGACACACCTCTCCAGGAGTTGTTTCTTAGCAGTAGTCCCCTCTGCCACTCACTGGACCAACAGAAACAAATCAATAATCAAGTCCAGGGGTCACAAACATGGATGCTGCCAGGCCAGGTAGACACACCCGAGCCAGGGGGTCAGATGCTGGTGACCTGGACTGCATGGCCTTGCCTGCTTGGCTCCAGCTGCTGTGGCCAGATGGGAACAAAGCCCCACTGGGGCCAATTCCTCTGGTTTTCCAGACTCCCCTCATCCACCTTTCTTGGGATAAAACCTAATAGATAAATAATGGCAATAAAATTCAACTTTTAAAAACTGTAAAAAACAACCTACAGTGAGCCAAAACAACTGTCCTTGGGCCACCAGTTTTTTTGTATGTGTTTTGCTGTTGTTGTGTTGTGTGTGTTGTTGTTGTTGAGACAAAGTCTCACTCTGTCACCCAGTGCAGTATCACAATCTCAGCCCGCTACAGCCTCGACCTCATGGGCTCAAGTGATCCTCACGCCTCAGCCTCCCAAACTGCTGGGATTACAGGCATGAGCCACCAAGCCCCACCTGGCCACCAGTTTTCAATGTCTGAATTTCTTCCTACTTGGTAAAAGCCTGGCATATGTGTCTCCACACTGCCTCCTCTGGCCCTGGCAGATATTGCTTGTCGCTCCCATCACTTTCCTGCAGAAGCAGAACTCCCTCAGTGCTCCTTACGACCTAGCATCCAGGTGGTCACCACCAGTCAGCGTGTGCAGTTAGAGCAGAGGAGGCCACCGTTGTCCCAGTCTACTCCAAACCGTCATTGCAGAGATGGGGAAGGACTGGCTTTAGCTCACCCATGTTCAAAGATGGTCTCAGCTTTTCCCTGGCAACTTGCCCAGGACGAACACAGAGGAAGAGAAAAGGGACTGGCTAGAGGAGGCTGTGCATGTTTCTTTTCTTTCTTTCTTTCTTTTTTTGACAGAGTCTCACTGTGTCACCCAGGCTGGAGTACCGTGGCGCAATCTCGGCTCACTGCAACCTCTGCCTCCTGGATTCAAGCAATTCTCCTGCCTCAGTCTCCTGAGTAGCTGGGATCACAGGCGTGTGCCACCACACCCGGCTGATGTTTGTGTTTTCAGTAGAGACGGGGTTTCGCCATGTTGGTCAGGCTGGTCTCAAACTCCTGACCTCTTGATCTACCCGCCTCAGCCTCCCAAAGTGCTGGGATTACAGGCGTGAGCCACCGCACCTGGCCTGTGCATATTAGGTTTCTGTTTTTCCCGTCAATATCATGGGTTTGGAACTGAAGCATCTTAAAATGGCAAATGAGCAGGTGACAGTTGCAGTTTCGGCCACCTGCGTCCACTTCCCACAGGGTCCCTGGGTGCAGTGGGCAAGCGGATTGTGTGTGAGTGTTGAGGGGAGGGCAGTTAAATGCGACAATGTAATCCCTTTGTTAAGTTTTTGTTTGTTTGTTTGTTTTGAGACGGAGTCTCGCTCTGTCACCCAGGCTGGAGTGCAGTGGCGCAATCTTGGCTCACTGCAAGCTCCGCCTCCCAGGTTCAAGCCATTCTCCTCCCTTAGCCTCCTGAGTAGCTGGGACTACAGGTGCCCACCACCACGCCCGGCTAATTTTTTGTATTTTTAGTACAGATGGGGTTTCACCGTTTTAGCTCCTGACCTCGTGATCCGCCCGCCTCAGCCTCCCAATATGGTGGGATTACAGGTGTGAGCCACCACACCCAGCAATCCCTTTGTTAAGTTTTAAGGAACGACTGAAATGGCAGTTCTAGCCAGAATGTGGGAGGGGAATTAAGGCTCAAGTTCTAAATTAAAGGAAAATTATTAAGAGCTGTTTCTTAGGCACCTGAGCTGGAGGCCGATTCCTGTTGGCTGCCAGGTGGATAATTTTGTCTCCAAGCCCAGAGAGTTGAGTTGCCATTATCGCCTCCTAGGGACGTAGGCGTCTGCTCCTGATGCCTGCCTGCCCATGTATTTATTCCACTGCCATTCATTAGCTCACGTTATGTGCTGGCAGCGTCCTGGGGGCGGGCTGGGAAGGGGCAGAGCTATGAGTCAGGTGGGGCTCCTCCGTGCGGGGCAGCGAGGGAGACAGCCCAGGCTCAAAGGACCTTCACAGAATGGAAGGTGCTGGAGCCTTGGAGAAGAGACTGCGCCCAGTTGATGGGGTGGAGGAGGCTCTGGGAGGGGGTGAAGTCGGAATGGGGCTGGAACAAGGGGCATCTCATGGGGTGGGGGAGGGGCAATTGGAGGCAAGGTCAGAAACTTCTAGGCTCCTGCAGGCACAGTCTTAAGCGGTGAGGATTTCCGGGCAGCAGCCTGGGTTCACCTTCTCACCCATTTACAATGGAGTTACGGCATATTGCCCTGTTGCCCTGGGCATTCAAAGCTCCTGGGCCCCCAGAGAGGCCAGAGGTCCTGCTGTGGGATACCTGGGTCATTCTTCATCTTAGAGCATCACCTGGGGGCAGCTCAGCTGAGCTGAGATGCTCTGAATTCACAACAGCTGGGGAGCAGAAGCCAGCGATATCGACTCAGTGTGACTGGCCTCTGTTAGGATTCCCACATTTGGAAATACAAAATGGATACAACTCACTCAATAAAGGTTCACATAACTTCAGATTCTGAGTGAGTTAATTTGATAATTGAGAGCTATTTCATCAAGTTGTATCATAACATTTTCCAATTACAGTTAGCCCTCATTGTATTTTTTTTTTTTTTTTGAGACGGAGTCTCGCTGTTTTCTCCCTAGCTAGCATGCAATGGCAAGATCTCGGCTCACTGCAACCTCCGCCTCCCAGGTTCAAGCAATTCTCTGCCTCAGCCTCCTGAGTAGCTGGGATTACAGGTGCCTGCCACCACGCCAGCTAATTTTTGTATTTTTAGTAGAGACAGGATTTCACCATGTTAGCCAGACTGGTCTCGAACTCCTGACCTCGGGCGATCCTCCCGCCTCAGACCCCCAAAGTGCTGGGATTACAGGCGTGAGCCATCATGCCCAGCCACAATGTTTAATATTTTCTAGTTCCTATTAATGAAAGTATAACATTAAACAGGATGAAGTTATAGATGTCGACTTAAAATGTTGGGGGGTATAGTTTTGCTAAAATTCTTTAAGAGAACAAAAAAGAAGTCAGCCCTCTACTGTAGGCAGTGGGGAGGCATGGATGGTGCCTGAGCAGGGGTGTGGCGTGTTTGGAGCTGGGCTAGGAAGTTTATTCGAGGGGTAAGTGTGTTGGGCGGGGATGCATTCCCCTCTGTGGCAGCTGAGGGGATGACTGCAGCCCGGGGCTGTGGACGGGCCTGTATTTGGGGAAAATGTGCATCCTTGCCTTGCCACTGCCTGTTTGTCCTGTAACCTGGCTCCCCCTGCCACCCCAAGGAGCAGTAGGAGCAGGCCCAGGCTTCTGCTTCTAGTTCTGACTGTCCTGCCAGGCTCTGCCCACTTGGTTCCCATCCCTTGCCTACTGAGAGTCCCGGCAAGGAGAGGACCCAACGCCCAGGCCCCAGCCTGTCCCATCAGCCGAGCTCTCAGGGAGCAGATGTGCTGAACTCCAGGGGCTGCTCTGCCCTCAGCAGGAGGGAGGTGGGGCCTCAGAGCCACCGCTGCACCAGTGGGACAGGGGCCATCCTTTCCTCAAAGCCCAGCCCAGTGTAACCAACAAATACTGCCACTGGGGTCTGAAAGACACTATGAACTTGTCACTTCTCCCTGCCTGATTGGGGACATGTGAGAGAGGGACATGGAGCCAGGCCTGTAGAGAGCAAGTCACTAGGAGATGCCCGAGAAAAAGTCAAATGTGGGGCTCCTAATCCCCGAACTACATCTGTCACCCCACCCAGCAGTGCTGCCCCTAGCTGACCATCTCTCCATCCACCCTCCACGACACAGGGCCTCCTCCCATCCTCTCATCCACTGTGCCCTGGGAAGCTTCAGGGCAGTGTCCGGGCAGTCTTCTCTCCCTTGCCTGGCACCTGCACTGGGGGCTGACAGATGAGCAGAGGCCTCACCACCTGTGGGACTGCTCTTCTGCCCCTTCCCCTTCCCTCTCTTCCCCGTTTCTCCGGCTCTCTAACCACCTTCTCCTCTTTCTCCATGCGACACTCTTCAACCTCACTGCTCACACTGGGTCCTCAGATCACAGCAGCGGCACCCCGGGAGCTCACTAGAAAGGCTGACTCTCCGGCCCCAGACCTGCTGAATCAGAACCTGCATTTCAACCAGCCCCTGGGTGTGCACTTTTCTAATCACAGAGTAGTGGGAGTTAATTGAAGTAGAAAATACAGATAAGCAAGAACAGAGGCATCACCTGCAGCCCCTTTGCTGATTGTGATTCCACTTCAGCATGCTGCTCTTTCCTCCAGGACTCTTCCTGTGTGTGCCCTGCCAATAAGTACGGGCCTCTATCCATCAGTCATTCATCATTCATTCAACAAATATTAAGCGCCTATTGTGTTCCAGGCACTTTCCTAGGTTCTGAGTTTACACTGGGAAATAGAGCAGATCCATTTCTACCTTAACAGAGTTTACAGTCCAACTAGGGGGAAAAGATACACCAAGCTTCACTCTGTACACAGACCATGGCCGATGTGACAAGTTCCTGGAAGAAGACACATGTTATTGGGGGATTTGACCTGGTCAGGGAGGGACCTCACAGGGAAGTGATGACTGGGCTGGCATTTGAAGAGTAAGTGATAGCCAAGTGAGGACAGGTGGGTGGGGGAGAGTGTTCCAGGCACAGGCACAACCATTCAAAGGTTCCAGGCTGAGGGCGTGTGGCTATCATGACTGATCAGCAGAGAGCGAGGGAGGCTGCAGCAGAGGCATAGATGTGGCATTGGTGGCCTCACCCATCCCCAGTTAAGGGGCACCCAGCTTGCTTCCAATGTGTCAGTGTCATCAACAATGCTGAAATGAACGTCCTGGTGCAGACAGCTCTGCCCTTGTCTGGTTATTTCCCTTGGACAACTACCTAGACGTGGCATGCGCTTTCTTCTGGGTGGGTCTTGAGAGGCGTTGAGCCAAAATTCCTACATGGATTTTGTTCCTGCAAGCCCCTCCAGGAACCAGCCACCCTAATTCTCTGTCTCTGCTCCGGTCCACGCCAGAGGAGTCAACTCTGGTTGGTCAGGGACAGGCTGGGACAGGGACCAAAGTTATTCTGAGAACAGAAAAGATGACAGAAGCTGAGGTTTCCTGCTGATGGGAGGATGGACCTTGCAATTCCGCATTCATCTCTGTGGTGCTGGGACTCTGGGAGGCCTTCAGCCCACCCCTATGCTTCTGAGTTCATAGTGTGGTGAAGCGCAGGCTCAGACCAGGGCCAGAGCGGGGCCAGTGCTGAGGAAGCTCCTCTCCTCACTCCAGTGGTGAGGATAGGGATGATCAGGATGGGTTCCCTGGAAGTGGCATCCTGAGGCTTCCTCAGGCATCTTGAAGGAGTGGTAACAGGAAAACAGGGAACGGTTCCCAAAAGAGGGAAGGAGCTGCTTGGGATGTACTTGTACTAAAAAAATCACCCATTGTTTATCTGCAAAGACAAGCGGGGTCAGGAGCTGTGCTTTGTGCTGGGCAGTGGTGGTGGTGGCATCAAGGGCAAGGCTGAGGTCAAGAGAGGGCTAAGGCTGTGTGGCCAGGGCTGGCCTTCTGCAGGTCAGCTGAGTAAACACTGAAGTTAGTATAGTGACGGGCTGGACCAGGCCACGGCTTTATCTGCAGGGCCTGGAGCCAGAAGGCCTGCATTCCAATCCGGGCTCCACTTCTTATCAGCTGTGTGACTATGAGCAAGCTGCCTGCTCTCTCTGTGCCTCTGCTTCCACACCTGGGAAATGGAGGCACTAACAGCACCTCCATCGTTTGGGTTGATTTGAGGATCAAATGAGTTAATTAAAGAAAGTGGCCAGGCGGTGGCTTACACCTGTAATCCCAGCACCTTGGGAGGCCGAGGCAGGCAGATCACATCAAGAGATCGAGACCAGCCTGGCCAACATGGTGAAACCCCGTCTCTACTAAAAATACAAAAATTAGCCGGGCATGGTGGCGCATGCCTGTAGTCCCAGCTACTCAGGAGGCTGAGGCAGGAGAATCACTTGAACCCTGGAGGCAGAGGTTGCAGTGAGCTGAGATCATGCCACTGCATTCCAGCCTGGATGAGAGTGAGATTCCATCTCAAAAAAAAAAAAGAAAGGCCGGGTGTGGTGGCTCATGCCTGTAATCCTAACACTTTGGGAGGCTGAGGTGGGCAGACTACCTGAGGTCAGGAGTTCGAGACCAGCCTGACCAACACGGAGAAACCCAGTCTGTACTAAAAATACAAAAATTAGCCAGGCGTGGTGGCACGTGCCTGTAATCCCAGCTACTGGGGAGGCTGAGGCAGGAGAATCACTTGAACCTGGGAGGCGGAGGTTGCAGTGAGCCAACATCCGTGCCTCTGCACTCCAGCCTCGGCGACAAGAGTGAGACTCCATCTCAAAAAAAGAAAAAAAGAAATATATATATATTTATTTATATTTGTATATACATTTATATATTTATATAATTTTATATATTATATATTTATATTTATATTTATTTATATTTATATTATATATATTTCTTTTTTTCTTTTTTTGAGACAGAATCTTGCTCAGTTGCCCAGGCTGGAGTGCAGTGGCATGTTCTCGGCTCACTGCAAGCTCCGCTTCCCGGGTTCACGCCATTCTCCTGCCTCAGCCTCCCAAGTAGCTGGCATTACAGGCACACGCCACCATGCCTGGCTAATTTTTTGTATTTTTAGTAGAGACGGGGTTTCACCATGTTAGCCAGGATGGTCTCGATCTCCTGACCTTGTGATCCACCCGCCTCGGCCTCCCAAAGTGCTGGGATTACAGGCGTGAGCCACCACACCCGGCCAAAAAGAAAGAAATACTAAACATCATTGGACACACATGCGTTGGGCACTGACTGCACCCTGCCCTCTGCTGGATGGGCTCAGCTTCTCTCACAGACCTGATGTTCTAGTGGGGGAGACAGAAAAGTCAGTAAATAAGATTGTTTCCAAGGCGGTGCCAAGTGCCACGAGAAAGATAAGACAAGGCCATAGGAGGGAGGATGGTGGCGGCCCCCACTTCTGTCTGGTGCTCAGGGAAGACTGCTCTGCAGCAGTGACATCTGAAGTGAGACCTCAGTGTCAGGGAGTTGGGGTGGGGGTAGGGGTCCCAGGCTGAAGGAACAGCACATGAAAAGGCCCTGTGGTGGGAAAGTTATCGGGATTATGGGACAGCAAAGGGCCAGTGTGGCCGGAGTAGGTTGCCAGATGGCCAGGTAAACTGAAATTTCAGATAAGCAATGACTGATTTTTTTCAAGTGCAAGTGTCCTGAAGTTGCATGGAACATACTTGTACTAAAAAAAATGATTTGTTGTTTATCTGAAATTCCAGTGTAACTAAGCGCCCTGTATTTTATCTGGCAACCCTATACTAGGGTAGACGAGTCAGTTACAGGGCAAGCCCAGGCAGAGCCCCGAAGGCCTGGGGTGGTGGCTGGATTTTATTTTAAGGGTCTTGGTCAACAGGAGCTGAGCCCTCCAACCTCCAGCCTGGTCCAGTGCCCCTGGGTTGGTGTTCTTTGCTTAATGGGGAAGTGTCTGTCAGGGACCTCAGAACAAGCGTCACCCGCATTACAAAGAGCCCTCCAAAAGATGACTCATCCCAAGCAACAGGCGAGAGATCCGGGCTGCATCACACTCTCAGGAGGCAGAAACATCCCTTATATAAATGCAGGGGAAGGGGAGGGGACGGAGGTAGTAGAGAGGGATGTTAAAATTAGAATAACTGTGTTCTCTTAATTAGAAATGCAGTAGGTGCCTCATGAATCTGTAATGGGTTTTCTTGCAGACTTCTGGAAGCGGGAGGGCTGGGTCAGCCGTGGGAATATTCATGAGGGGTGGGGAAGGGTCCCTGGGGATGTTGGCCTGCCGGCTTCCAGGAGGGGCGTGGCAGGGGAGTCTGGATGCTGATCCCAGCTCTGCCACTGAGTGAATCTCGATGTGACTTCACGCCTGCCCTGTCTTCTCTGGGCCTCAGTTTCCCCATATGTGCAAACAGGGACCCTGCTCTAGGGAAGATGGATAGAGAGATGTCTAGGACAGCATACCCAGAGATGAGAGCCAGAGGCAAGGGAGGACTGAGCTGCCCCAGGCAGGGTCAGAGGCCCTTCATGTGGGCTCTGCTGGCTTCACAGTCTCATTAGTGCTTGTTGAATGAATGAGGGCTCTTTGGCAAACCCCTTCTCTTTTGTGGGCAGAGCTATTTTAAGACCTCTGCTAGGTTCTAGTTTGGCATTTCCATACCCCATCATATCAACATATTACAAGGCACCCACATGCCTCATTAAATAAAATTTATGTATAACTACACAAGAGTGGAGTTGAGATGCAATTGACTAGTTGACTAATGTTATGTTCTGTGGGCATTTAATTAAACATTTATTCATTTTGACGTGTCAGTGTGATTTTTTTCCCTCCCTTCCCCACTCCCAAACCCAAATATATTCACGGACCTCTGATCAGCTCCTGGCTGAGATACTGTGCCCAAGGGTCTAAGGGAAGAGGCCTTGCCTTTGTCCTCAGTCTTCCCATCTGTAAAAGGGTCAGGTTGCACGAGGTGACCCTGCAGGGCTCTTCCAGCTCCGGCTTTATAAATGGCACCTTCAGTGCCTGCTCCAGGGAGCACAGCCCCTGCTAGGGAGTGGGTGGGAAAGTGGGGATCGTGACAAGCCCAGTGCTATGGTTTGAATGTATGTATCCCTCCAAAATTTACATGTTGGACCTGAAAGCCTGAGGCAATGGTATTAAGAGGTTGGGTCTTTGGGAGGTGGTTGGGACATGCAGGCTCTGCCTTCATGAATGGGATTAATTTCTTTATCTAAAAGAGGCTTCAGAGAGCCGCCTGGCCCAGGCGCGGTGGCTCACGCCTGTAATCCCAGCACTTTTGGATGCGGGCTGATTGCTTGAGCCCAGGAGTTCGAGACCAGCCTGGGCTAAGTGGTGAAACTCCATCTCTTCAAAAAAATAGAAAACCTAGCTGGACATGGTGACGTGTGCCTGTAGTCCCAGCTGCTTGGGAAGCTGAGGTGGGAGGATGACTGGAGCCCAGGAGGTGGAGGTTGCAGTGAGTCGTGTGTATGCCACTGCATTCCAGCCTGAGCAACAGAGACCCTGTCTCAAACAAACAAACAAAACAACAACAACAACAACAAAACCCTAACAAAAAACAGAGAGCTGCCTGGCCCTTTCATCTCTTCTTCCGTGTGAGGACAGAGCAACAACACATCATCTTGGAAGCAGGGAGCAACCCTCACCAGACACCCAAACCTGCCAGCACCTTCATCTTAAGACCTGCCAGCCTCCAGGACTGTGAGTAATAAATTTCTGTTCTTTGTAAATTACCCAGTCTGAGATGCTTTGTAATAGCAGCAGGAATGGACTAAGACACCCAGGTTTCCTGCAGAGACAGAGGCCTCAACTGGGAGCCAGGCAGAGGAGGGGGTGTCCCACCTAGGGAAGCCAATCTGCCAGCCTGCCCATGTGGCGGGATGTGAGCGATCTCATAGAGGACTTCACTCCAGAGCCTGATGGCTGCCGAGGGAGCAACCCTCCCAGTGGGGGCTGGGGGAGCTGCAGAGGTGCCCCCTCCTTCAAAATTTGATGATGATAACACCTCTAACGCCACACGGGAGGACACCCTCTGGGGATTTCCATGTTACCCTACTCTGTTTCTCGGCTTCCAACATCCCTCAGCAGTAGGGATTATGATCCCCATTTTACAGACGGATAGGCAGGGACATGGGGTGGGGAGGTTAGGGCCAGCCTTTGGGGCCCCAGGACTCCTGAGACAAAGTCCTTGAGATTAGGAGATGTGCACAGAAGCACATGAAGTAACACGGCGTGACGGAGAGAAAGGTCCATCCTTTTTCATTTCTCTTGCAATCCTTCTTATTATAGAAAGTAGAGGGAGACTCTATCTAAAAAAAAAAAAGTAGAAGGTCTCAGGTAGGTGCTGATAAGTGTTTAACACCTCTCTAGTGCTTGCAAATCTCCCTTTTTTGAGGGGTGGGGGGATGGAGTCTCACTCTGTCACCCAGGCTGGAGTTTAGTGGCACAATCTCGGCTCACTGCAACCTCTGCCTCCCTAGTTCAAGCGATTCTCCTGCCTCAGCTTCCTGAGTAGCTGGGATTACAGGCGTGTGCCACCATGCCTGGCTAATTTTTGTATTTTTAGTAGAGACAGGGTTTCACCATGTTGACCAGGCTGATCTCGAACTCCTGACCTCAAGTGACCTGCCCACCTCGGCCTCCCAAAGTGCTGGGATTACAGGCGTAAGCCACTGCACCTGGGCCAAATCTCCCTTTTTAACAGGAAAAGAGCAGTCTTTGAACTCACGGTTTGAAATGACAACAGTTTCTAACCAAAGACATGTCTTCACCCCATTCATTTTATGAGTTACCTTCAGTTTATGGCAAGTGACATAAAGTTGCTTTATGGACTAAGTGTCTTTTGGTAAGGAAACTTTTAAAATGAAAAATATTGTTGTCAGCTGGGCACAGTGCTTTGGGCCTGCAGTCCTAGCTACTCAGGAGGCTGAGAGGAGAGGATAGATTTGAGCCCTTGAGTTCACATCCTGCCAGCCTGGATAACAGAGCAAGACTCTGTCTCTAAAAAAAAAAAAAAAAAAGTTGTAAGAGAAAGAAAATAAAGAAAAAAATCAAACGTGTATTTAGATTGTACCCTGGCTGTGGCAGAATTCATGACATCAGTATTTGAATAACCAAATTTGGGACTATATTGGAGAGGTCTGCCATTAACACACTGCGCGTCTTTAGACAAACCATTCTTTCTCTTTGGACCTCGGTTTCCTCATTTGTAATAAAGGATATCCCAGATAGCTTCAGCTAATGATCTAACTCTGTTGACTCCTTTTTCTGGTCCTCTTCCCTTTCTTTTTTTTTTTTTTTTTTTTTTTTTTGAGACAGAGTCTCGCTCTGTCGCCCAGGCTAGAGTGCAGTGGTGCAATCTTGGCTCACTGCAAGCTCCGCCTCCCGGGTTCATGCCATTCTCCCCACTCAGCCTTCCGAGTAGCTGGGACTACAGGCACCCGCCACCACGCTTAGCTAATTTTTTTGTATTTTTAGTAGAGATGGGGTTTCACTGTGTTAGTCAGGATGGTCACGATCTCCTGACCTCGTGATTCACCTGCCTCGGCCTCACAAAGTGCTGGGATTCCAGGCGTGAGCCACCACGCCCGGCCTCTTCCCTTTCTTTTAAGGGGGGTTCAGAGTCTCCCATAAAGGCCCAGCTGAGAGTAGGCTAAAGATATTTACATAGGGCTGAGTCCTGATACTGTGCTCTGTGTACATGTGCTCCAGGGGCTTGGCCCTGGGGACAAAAGACACTGAAGGATCTGTAATCCTCCAAGAGGGCAGTGTGCAGCTGTCCTAGGGTCTCCAGCAACTTGTAGCCAGTTACCTCGTCCTGCAATGTGATTCAATTCAGGAATGAGCATCCTTCCTGATTTGCAGAAAGGAGGTGAAGGACAAGTGACTGCGACAACCAGCCCACTCTATCTGGAGTGACCACAGGGTGCTCCTCAGCTACCCAGAGAGCAAGGGACCCAGCTCGTTAGCTCTGAGGATTTAAGGCTAGGAGCATCAGGATGGGAGAGGTAAGGAGGAGTGCAGAGAAGTTGGCAGGCAGGAACTTCAACCCCAGGGAGCTCTTGTGATGCTTTCACCTTACTTATCAACACATAGAAGCTGGACTTCATCAAAAGCCTATCTGAGACTCTCTGCCTCTTAATAGGTGAGTTGAAAACATTGACATTTATTGTAGTTGTTGATCTGTTGGGACTTATTCAGCCATCTTCCTTTGTATTTTCAGTTAATTATGATTTTGTTTTCTTTCACTCTTAAATTGATCAAACTGTCTTGGTTCTATTTTGTTTTTCCTCTAGTGGTTTGGAAATTATACCTTCTATCTATATTTTTCTAGTGGTTACTTTTACATTTTTAACATGCAGATGTACAGTTTTCTAATCATATTTATTGTTTAACATGTCTACATTCCAACTCGATCTTTGTGGATTCTGATAAATCTCAGAGCCAGGGATCAGGCAGGAGTGACAATACATGCACCTGCCATGTGCCAGTTACTTTCCATGTGTTTCCACAGGTGATCTTATTTCATCCTCAGAGCCACCTGGCAAGGGGGGGTTAAACTGCCTGTCCACAGATGAGGATTGGGAAGCTCAAATGGATGAGGAGAGCTGCCCAGGGCTCATCAGCACAGTGGTGGCCATGCAGTTTTCCTAGTTCTGACTCTTTCCAGCAGCCCATCCCTCCTGTGCCCGACACTTCCTCAATGAAGAGGCAGATAAGCAGAAAGAGTGGAGACAAGAAAGGAAGTTGGAGATGAGAGCATGCGGGGGAAGGGGAGAGTCCTCCATTGCCATCTGGCCTCTGTTTCCTGCCAGTGTGTGTTCTGCGTGCTTGGGAGCCTCGGGGAGCCCTGCACGGGCTTCCTTCCTGCCTCAGGCTTGTGGGAAGAACACCTTTACTGATTCAGTTCCGAATGAGGAAGGCAGGGACCACCCCAGCCTGGTAATATTACAGGCTTCTCAATCATGCATTCCCCATTCGTCAGATGTTTCCTGGGCTCTTCTTGGTGACAGGGTATGGGAGCTGAGGGTGCAGGGATTAATCAGACAGGGTCCCTGCTCTCAGAATCCAGGTTGAAATGAGAGGGAGATAAGCATAGAGAGTATCACACCCCACGATCGTCGTTCCCTTTCAGTTTATCATTATGGTTACATTTTGAAAAGCTGGTATGTGGGGCCGGGCGCGGTGGCTCACGCCTGTAATCCCAGCATTTTGGGAGGCCGAGGCAGGCGGATCACGAGGTCAAGAGATGGAGACAATCCTGGCCAACACGGTGAAACCCCATCTCTACTAAAAATAGAAAAATTAGCTGGGCATGGTGGCACGCGCCTGTAGTCCCAGCTACTTGCGAGGCTGAGGCAGGAGAATCGCTTGAACCCAGGAGGCGGAGGTTGCAGTGAGCCAAGATCATGCCACTGCACTCCAGCCGGGGTGACAGAGCGAGACTCCGTCTCAAAAAAAAAAAAAAAAGAAAAAAGAAAAAGAAAAGGTGATACCTGTGCATGGAAAACAGTACCTGAACTTTATGAAAGGTTATAGACTCAGTCTCCTTCCTACCTCAGGCTACCATTATTTTGTGAAAACGTGAAATATATATGAGGAGGTATAAAAAGCCCAGAGGCACCCATTTAACATTACCTAGGGTGTATCTTGGAAATAGTCTGAACATATTCAGGCTCATGATGCTGCACATTGCTTCAGACTTCTGCACTCCTGGGGACATCCCACAGCCACTGTCCTGTGCCGGGCTTTTGTCACTTTATCTGAAGGGTCGCCCTCATCAGTCCACAGAGAGCCTCCCCAACCTCACGTGGGGCTGCCGAGGCTCTGCAGAAGGGGCTTTCCTGGATTCTGCTGAGCATGTGAGTGAGCATATCTGTGGAATACGTTCTTAAAATTGGAACTGTCGGGTCAAAGGGTGTGTGCATTTGAAATCCACCTCAAGATTCTCCAGTTGCTCTGTGAGGAGGTTGTGCCATTTATCACCCAGCAATGTCTGAGAGTTAGTTTTTATTTTCCCACATCCCCATCAAACTGGTGAAGACCATCTTTTAAAAACAGCAGGGTGGGCCAGGTGCGGTGGCTTACATCTGCAATCCTAGCACTTTGGAAGGTGGGCAGATCACCTGAGGCTGGATGTTTGAGACCAGCTTGACCAACATGGAGAAACCTCGTCTCTACTAAAAATACAAAATTAGCCAGGTGTGGTGGCACATGCCTGTAATCCCAGCTACTCAGGAGGCTGAGGCAGGAGAATCGCTTGAACCCAGGAGGCGGAGCTTGCAGTGAGCCAAGATCACACCATTGCACTCCAGCCTGGGCAACAAGAGTGAAACTCCGTCTCAAAAACAAAAACAAACAAACAAACAAACAAACAAAAAAACCAAAAAAGCCCTGCAGGGTGAAGAGCTTTGAGAGCTAAAAGGAGCCTCCCAACCCCAGTGGCTGGAGGACTTGGGGCTGCTGGAGGGAGGTGCCAGTTGAACTGGGTCTTGTAGGATGATTAGGAGTTTGCCAATCTGGGGAGTGTGGGGAAGGGGTATCTGAAAGAGGGAACAGCATGTATAAAAATGCAAAGGTGTGGGGGCACATGATGTGAGCAAGGCAAAAAAATTCAGGAAGCGTGGAGGACAGAACGTGGATGCCCCGTGATGAAGGGCACTGCTGGCTGGGCCATGCCCCTTTCTTGCGGCTGTCCTCTATGATGGGCATGAGAGCAGCCGGCCCATTACAGTGGAATAATCCATAAGCCATTGGAAGGGGTGCAGGGCCAGGGAAGCCACACACTCAGGGCTTAGAACTCAAGGTCACAACCGCGTCCTGCCCCTAATGCACTGAGTGATCTTGGGCAAATGATTCCCCTCACAGGCTCCACTTCCTCATTTGCAGAGTGCGCCCTACCATCCCGCACCCCTGTTTGTTGGGAGGGGCCCCTGTACTGGGTTAGGGGGAGATGGCTGGCACCTACCAGGAATTTGGCAGGCAGTCGTTGTTCCGGGATGAGAGGCCCCCGGCTCTCACCTTTGGGGCTTTTCCCTTCAGCCCATGCCCCTCACAGCATCGTGGCTCTGTGTTCTACAGCGAGACTCGATTTACCGAGCACACAGCATCTGTCTTAGCCAGGCAGCCTGCTACTTGCCACTGGTGGGTGTCAGGCAAAGCAGCAAACCTAAGAGACCACGTTTGCTCATTTCTGTGTGAATCCCTCACCCTGTGACTGTGTGCAGCTCTCCAGAAAGATGCCTTGAAGACAAAGTAGGACAGAGCATGCAGCTCTCCACATCTCTCGCCTGAGCCGCTATATTCCTTGTAAGTGAAATGACCCCAGTCCTTGCCTTTTCCCACACATAAGATAACGTCTGATGGGGTTGGTGCTTATGCCTCTGTGATCCCTAAATGCACTCCCACACTCAAACCTAGGTGTGATTCTGCTGTAACTTCTGAACAAGTTTAATGTGGATTTGCGCACATTAACCCTCCACCTTCTGTATATGAGCCATGGGCTGAAATGCCGTGCGGGAACGGCCTGACGGCGGAGCCTCTCTAAAGGGCTGTTCCTGGCTACAGGCCTCGGTCTACAGTCCTCACTAAGGCTCCCACAGAAAACTGACTTTAATTCTTTGAAAGCCTGATTTTTTCTTTCTTTAGTTGACAATCATGGTGACCACAAAGGGACTCAGACTAGACTGCCCATGGTCATCTGGAACGCTGTGGGCATGCAGCACCCTGGTACCAGCACAGGCCCTGTGAGCGTCTCTGCTTCCGCCATGGTTGCAGACAACTGGATGAGTCTCTCCTGAGTCTCAGACCTTCCATTTAGCTGATGGTCCTGACGTTTTTTTCCAACTTGTTGTCCTTGCTTATTGATGTGGGGTAAGTTCTTCCTCGAGACTTTTCATTTCTCCAGAAAGGGAATTCTCCTAGTTAAAACATATTAGGAAGAAACAGATAGGTGAGGCTGTCTCACTGGCTGGGTTGTGCCAGGGCTTCCCTTTCAGTTTGCCTCTGTAAACAAGGTTTCAGCATGACAGACACTATTATAAATCTCTGAGGGTTTGACCTGCGTCAGCTCTGAAGACAAGGGACACCCGCTCCTTCAGACAGATTCTGACTTGGCATGTCCAGGTGACCAGAGATCTCTGGAAGTGTTGGAGGTACAATCCTTATGATGTGCATCAGTCCCACAGGAAATTCTTTGTCACAAGTAATTAACAAGTGGCTCATCTGGAGATGCACACGGGAGGGTTAGTCACCCAGTACGCTGAGCCTCCACGATTGCTTTAGGCAACCCGAGGGAGAAACTGAGACACGTAAGACAGCCATTGGCTGTGCTCAGAACAGCACATTTTCTTTTCTTTTCTTTTTCTTTTTCTTTTTTTCTTTCTTTTTTTTTTTTGAGACAGAGTCTCGCTCTGTTGCCCATGCTGGTGTGAGTGGTTCATGTAATTCTCCTGCCTCAGCCTCCTGAGTAGCTGGGATTACAGGCGCCCACCACCATGTCCCGCTAATTTTTTTTTTTTTTTTGTATTTTTAGTAGAGACGGGGTTTCACCGTGTTGGCCAGGCTGGTCTTGAACTCCTAACTTCAAGCGATCCGCCCACCTCAGCCTCCCAAAGTGCTGGGATTACAGGCATGAGCCACCATGCTCAGCCAGGACAGCACATTTTCTTTTGAGAAGGGTCTCACACTATATCCCAGGCTGGAGTGCAGAGGCACAGTCTCAGCTTACTGTGGCCTCCACCTCCTGGGCTCAAGCAATCCTCTCTCCTCAGCCTCCTGAGTAGCTGGGACTATAGGTGCACACTGTCATGCTCAGCTATTATTTATTTATTTATTTATTTTTGTAGAGACGGTGTCTCACTATATTACCCAGGCTGGTCCTGAACTCCTGGGCTCAAGTGATATTCCTACCTCAGCCTCCCAAAGTGCTGGGATTACAGCGGTGAGCCACTGTGCCCAGCCAAAGCTGCTCATCTCCCCACTACGTTTCTCAATAGCAGTCCTGCTTTGCTGAGCTCTCACAATGGAAAATAAATCATCCAAAACTGAAACAACAGGGTCATTGAACAACCAACCTCCAGTCAGCACTCCAGCAGGCTTTGTGTATAACACACATGGAGCTTACACTGGCAAGTGTCTCCTTGGATGGGAGGACTTTACCAAAGGAGATTTCACATTAAAATGGCCAAAAATGGGATTTTCCAGTGTGTCCCTGGAAACTCCCGCAAAATATATCTCTCATCCTGTGCAGATATTAAATGATTTAAATTGTTTGGTAAATTGTATGGGAGGCATTGTCAAATGATAAATGATACTAGATCTTTTTTCAGTTACATTTATGGGTATGTTATTGATATAAATGTTCCAAAAATAATATAAATTCATAAAAATCTAATGTTATCAGTAATAATTTTGATTGTTATATTAAATTGTTTGTAAGTTATATGTGTGTGGATATGTTGTTAATATAAGTGTTCCAAAGATTATATAAAATTTATAAACATCTAATGGCCCTGATGTGACACCATCAGTCATAATTCTGGTTGTTATCATAAAATGCTGTGTGAAATAGAAATAACTAAATTTCCCTGTCAATTAAAAACTTTCATCAGATTTTAACCAAGGCTATTCTAAGTTTTATTATCCACAGTTATTGTTATAAATTATTCTGTAAAAACATTTGCAGGGTGAGTGCAGTGTCTCACGCCTATAATCCCAACACTTTGGGAGGCTGAGGTGGGAGGATTGCTTGAGTTCAGGAATTCAAGACCAGCCTGGACAACATAGTGAGACCTGGTGTCTAAAAAAAATTAAAAAATTATCCAGGTGTGATGATGTGAGCCTGTAGTCTTAGCTACTCAGGGGGCTCAGGTGGGAGGATCGCTTGAGCCCTGGAGGTTGAGCCTGCAGTGAGCCGTGATGATGATGCCACTGTACTCCAGCCTGGGTGGCAGAGTGAGATCCTGTCTCAAAAACAAAAACAAAAACACTTGCAATCAGCTCTAGTCCAAAATTGTTTTTCATAAAAAGACTATACTAAATATGGGTACCAAAAGGGGAAAAATATTACAATCGATTAAAAAAAAACTATTCAAATGTATGTTCCAGTTTTGTTAAATGGTTATCGTGGGTTTTACAATCTGTAACTCACTTTAATGCTATTAAATATGTATTGCTACCTATAATCTGTAATATCCTTGTAATAGTCCTCCTGCTGAGGTATTGTGTTAGGTACAGGAAAAGGCAATGTCACAAAGAACAACAACAACAAAAAAACCCCAGATCATGCTAGTTAAAAGTAGATGCAATCTGAAGTGTGTTTTTTGCAAAATAGCCAAGTATGCATGCTGAGCCCGATACAACTACCACTGAAGCTTCCCTGCCTTCCTACGCAAGAGTCTTCCTGGCTACATAAGACAATCAGTGTTTGTCTTGTAAATGCAACTAATAGTTGATTATGAGCAAAAGAGGGAACTTGTGAGACAAAGTAACAAACCTAAGAAGCCATGTTTGCTCATTTTGGCTTGTCAGCATAAAGTGTAGCTCTCCAGAAAGATGTTTTGAAGGCAAAGCAGGCTAGATCACAAGGCTCCCACATCTCTGACCGGAGTCACTATTTTTTAGAAGTGAAATAACCCCAGTCCTTGCCTTTTCCCACACATTAAGATAATGTCTGCTGGGTTTAGTGCTTCTGCTAAGCACATGCACTTCCACACCCAAACCTAGGTGTGACTCTGCTGTAATGTAACTTCTGAACAAGTTTAATGTGGATTTGCACACATTAATCCTCCACCACCTGTATATAAGCCATGGGCTGAAATGCTGTGCAGGAACGGCCTGATAGAGCCTCTCTAAAGGGCTGCTCCTGGCTACAGGCCTCAGTCTATAGTCCTCAGTCAAGCTTCTACATAAAACTGACTTTCGGCCGGGCGCGGTGGCTCACGCCTGTAATCCTAGCACTTTGGGAGGCCTAGGCCGGCTGATCACCGGAGGTCAGGAGTTCCAGACCAGCCTGACCAACATGGAGAAACTCCGTCTCTGCTAAAAATGCAAAATTAGCCAGGTGTGGTGGCGTATGCCTGTAGTCCCAGCTACTCAGGAGGCTGAGGCAGGAGAATCGCTTGAACCCGGGAGGCAGAGGTTGCATTGAGCCGAGATCACGACATTGCACTCCAGCCTGGGCAAGAAGAGTGAGACTTCGTCTCAAAAAAAAAAAATTGACTTTGATTTTCTAAAAGCTTGATCTTTTCTTCAGTCAATATAGGGTAAGGGTTCCATGGCCCAGTGCCCTCCAGGGGTTGGTAAACATGACCACATAAGCACCCAACTTGATCAATAGCAGAGGGCATCTGATGGTGGCCAGGTGGGACAGCCACAGCAGGGAGGTGGGTTCCTGCTGCCGCCTCCAAGGAGCTAAGCAGGCTGGGTATCCTGAGGGTGCACCCCTTCCCCCCTCCCTCCATCTTCCTGGCTTCAAGCCAGGCTAGGGGGTGGGGGACAGCTGCAGGAGGTGACAGTGTCACCTACGGAGCCCCTGTCGTGTGCCTGGCTAGACTCTCGACTTGCTTTGGCCAACAGAGCAGGGCAGAAGAGTCACTGAGCTGGGTCTGTGCCTCAGAAAGCCTCCAGCCCCCACTCTCGCAATGGCAAGGAAGGGTGAACTGCGTGAGTCCTAGGACGGTTCCCGAGCCCCCAGCATCAGGGGTGGCAGGCCTCTGGGAACTAGGGGTGGGAAAACTGATGCTCCTGTGAGACCGGTGAAGGGAAGGACTCAGGGAAGGTGGCCACCATTCACCTGGAGACAACTGCAGCCAGACAGGGCCTGTCCCAGAGAACCCCAAGGCTAGATTCTTTGTATGAAATCTCCTGCCCTTAAAATGGTGGCAGCGGATACTCATTATGTTAAACGCTGCCTGTCTTGGGCTGGGATGCCGGCTGCACCATTTGCAACCTTTGTCCTGGGGTCAAGTTCAGTTATGGGACTGAGAGCCATGTCTCTACCATGACTGTGGCACTGATTCACACATTTATTCCTTCAACAAGGACCCAGTGATCTGTGGCTTCTCTGGGCTAGGCCCTTGGCTGGAGGTTACAGCCTAGGTGAGAGGCTGGCGAGGCTTCCCTGGACAGGTGCATCTAGGCTCTGACCCAGTACAGGGCTCCTGTGGCGGGGGGCTTCATGCTCAGTGTGGGGAAGCCAATTACCTACCCTCACTGCACCCCATCGCCCTACTCCAGGTTGAGCCCTCACGGGAACACTAAAAGAATGACCAGTATTCTTACTTTCAGCCACTCTAGTTGGTATGCGGTGGTATCTCAGTGTGGTTTTTTCCTAACAGTTCTACTGAGATATAGTAAATATGTCAAATAACTCACCATTTTAAAGTGTGCCACTCTATGACCTTTAGAGTATTCGTAGATGTGTACAACCATGACCACAGTCAATTTCAGACCATTTTCATTACCCCATAAGGAAATCTTCACCCTCCACTCCTGCCCCTAAGTTGTGGGCAAACACTAATCTACTTTCTGCCTCTATATATTGGCCTGTTCTGGACATTTCACTGGAAAGGAATCATACAATGTGTGGTCCTTTGTGACTGGCTTCTTGTACTCAGCATGATGTTTCCAAGAGTCATAATGTTTTCTATTCTCTTGGGCATATACCTAGGAGTGGAATTGCTGGGTCGTGTGGTTTAAATGTTTACATGTTTGAGGAACTGCCAGGCAATTTTCCAAAGCAGCTGCACCGTTTTACATTCCCAACAGTGGTGTATGAGGACTCCAATCTTTCTCCCTCCTCAGCAACACCTGTTAGTGCTAGTAGTTTTTGTTTGGTTTTGTTTTGTTTTGTTATTTGAGACAGAGTCTTGCTCTGTCGCCCAGGCTAGAGTGCAGTGGTGCAATTTTGGCTCACTGCAACCTCCAACTCCGGGGTTCGAGCAATTCTCCTGCCTCAGCCTCCTGAGTAGCTGAGATTACAGGCACCCGCTACCACGCCCAGCTAATTTTTTTGTATTTTTAGTAGAGACGGGGTTTCACCATGTTGGTCAGGCTGGTCTTGAACCCCTGACCTCGTGATCCACCCGCCTCGGCCTCCAAAAGTGGTGGGATTATAGGCATGAGCCACCGCGCCCGGCCTTGTGCTAGTAGTTTTTAGTCCAGCCAACCTAGTGGGTTGCACCTGGTGGGTATAAGCGGTTAACTGGTGTGTCAAACTTTTGATTTGCATTTTTTTCTGATGGCTAATAATGTTGAGTATCTTTCCTTGTGCTTATGATATCCTCTTTGTTGTGATGTCTATTCAGATCCTTTCCCATTTTTAAGTTGAGTTATTTGCCTTTTTTATTATTGAGTTGTAAAATTTATTTATGTATGCTAGATACATGTCTTTGATCAGACATGTGAACAGCAAACATTTTCTCTTCTGTGGGTTTTTTCTCTTCTGTCACTTTCTTTACTGAAGTCCTTCAAAGCGTAGAAGCTTTCAACGTTGCTGTTTCCCAGTTTATCTCCTTTTCCTTTGTTGCTTTGCTGTTGGTGTCATCTCTAAATCCCTGGGGTTTTAATTTGCATTTCCCTAATGACTGATGATATTGAGCTTCTTTTAATTTGCTTATTTGGCATTTATATATCTTTGGTGAAATGTCTGTTTAAAACGTATGCCCATTTTTAATTGGGTGTTTTTTCTTGTTTTTATTGAGTTGTAAAAGTTCTTTATATATTCTACACACAAGTCCTCTGCTGGATATCGAGTTTGCAAATATTTCCTCCCAGACTGTGACTTACCTTTTCATTTCTTAACAGTTTCTTTTGAAGACCAAGCTTTTTTTTTTTTATTGCAGTGAAGTCCAATTTGCTGATTTTTTCTTCACTTAGAGTTCATGCTTTTGGCGTCACATTTAAGAAATATTTGCCAAATTCAAGGCCATTAAGAGCTTTTCTAGAAGTTGTACCTATTTAGCTCTTACATGGGTTCTGTGATCTAGTCCCAGTTAGTTTTGTAGATACTCTGAAATGGAGGCAGAGGTTCATTCTTTTGCATATTATCCCAGCAGCTTTCTCAGGCAACACTTGTTGAAAGACTATCCTTTCACTCATTGAGTGGCTTTGGCATCTTTGTCAAAAATTGATTGCCCACATATGTGTGGGTCTACTTTGAGACTCTCTTCTAGTTTGTCAATTTATGTGTCTCTCTTGACACTGGTACCCATTGTTTTGATTACTCTTGCTTTATAATAAGTGTTGAAATCTAATAGAGTAAGTCCTTCCGCTTTGCTTTGCTTTTTGGTGATGTGAGTGGGATAGTTTGTATTGGATGACACTCCCTGTGTGCTGTATGTCAGGGCCCTGCCCATTGAATGTCAGAGCATTGTCAGTCATTCTCATGACCAAAAACATCCCCCACCAGATTTTCAAATGTTCTGACCAGGGACAATACCCTCTTAAGAGAATTTCTTCTCTAAAGGAACAAGAATCAGAATGACATCAGCGGCACTAGGTAATGGAGGAAAATGGAGCAAACCTTTCCATGGTCTGAGGAAACTGATTTGTAACCCGGAATTCTATACCCAGCCAAACTACCAATCAAATCTGAGGGCAAAGTAAATACTTTCAGACACACAAGGACTCAGAGACCTACCCATAGGCTGTGTCTGGCAGAATTGCCTGAGGATATACTCTGCAAAGTAGAAAATGAACCCAAGAAAGACAATACACAGGATCCAAGAAAGAGTGGACTCAATCCAGAAGTGTAATGCCAAGAAATCCCTGATAATAGCTGTGTAGCAGGCCCAGGAAGTAGCCAGCCCAAATTATAATAGTGAGTCAGAGAGTGCTCAGGGGAAGGTTTTTAAGGAAAAAAATGAATTTCTTATAAAAAGGACAATATTAAAAAGATTGATGATCTTACCAAGAAGCTGGATGTGAATAATAATAGGAAAATTCACAAATGATTTTACATAGTATACTTCCCCTTTCTCTGTTTCCTCCTCCATATTTTTGTAACCTTTATTTTTTTGGAGTGCACACTCACATCTTCCTTTCTGCAATTGAATTTAAATTACTTGGCCTCGAATTTATCACATTGGAAATGCCGGTTATCAGTTTTTTCAGGTGGCAGAACGTATCTGTATACAAAGCCGGGAGACCTTAACTAGAGTTACAGACTAGCATGCACATCCTATAAATCCTAACGAGGTCAAAGGACTGGTGTCAAGATGGGAGAGGAAGGGAAGGGAAGGGAAGGAGAATGTCCTGGGTCACCTCCCAGGGAAACATTCTGAGAGGGAGGTTTGCACACAGGAGGTTTCTTGGGGAGAGCTCAGGGGCCAGCACCAGCGAGGGAGAGAAGAGGCAGGATTGGCAGAGGGAGAGGCTGGGCCACAGTGTGAATCCTACAGAGGCTTGGCTAATCCCACGGGAGCTCTGGAGCTAGGATGACCCTGCAGAGTTGCCCAAATTGAGGCAAGGGGGCCAGGCTGTTGTCCTCCTGCATGGACCAGTCACTAGTTGGGGGCTGCCCTGGGAAGGGGAATGTAACCTTGAAGATTCCATCAGCACAGGGCAATTTCCTGAGACGGTCTTTGCTGAGCTGGTGCGAGGCGAGGGCCTCACCTTGAAGGGGGAATCTGGGCAGCAACCACAGCATCCATGACACGGTGCTTCAAGGACTCTAGAGGCTCTGATTCTTTTATTGCACATCGTGGGAATTTAGATGAGAGACTGCAGCTGAACTGGACGGCCTTTAACTGCTCTGACGTCTTGGTGCTGCCAGCCGAGTGAAAGCAATCCACCCTGTCCCTCTGTGTCTCATCTGCCCTCTGCTCATCAGTGTTCCTATGTCCGGGGCCATGTGGTGAGACTGGGAGAGACCCCTGGGTGCCCAAGAGCCCCGAGTCCAGTCCAGAAGCAGGTGGGAAGCCAATTAACTCACTGCATGCGGGGGTCAGAGCAGGGAGGCTGGAGGACCAGGCCACAGGGCTTTTATGTGGGGCCCTGTGGGATGGCCCTGGCCTGTGCCTGCTCATCCCCCTTGCTCATTCTCTGTCTCCATGTGAGAACTCTTAAAGAGCATGGGCCCAGAGCCTGGCCACAGTCGATGCTCGGCCACATTTACTAAAGGAGTGGCTGGCTGAGGCTCTTTGAGGAAGAGGCCTCCCTTCTCTGGTGGGGACAGGCATTGTTCCTCCCTCGTTTGGGAGCCAGGAAGGAGGGTGGACTTGGCCCCATTGCTGGTGGCAGACTCCCCTATAACCTCCAGCTCCGGGGAGCTGGCTGTCGCTGGAACACCCCCGAGTCCCAGGAATGGAAAGCAAGGCAGATGAGTGAGGCAGAGGGAGAGGACAGGCCCGAGGGGCTCCCTGCTCCCACTCCTACTGCCTAAAGAGGAGTCCAGGGATCCTGGCCGGAAGGAGCAGGGAGTGGGCCAGGAAGGCCACTGTTGTTGTTCACCACCTATGCCCTGAGGATCTCTCTGCTTGCCTCAGAGCCTGGGGAATGGCAATTCCAGGAGGACAGGGCCCTGCCTAGGCCTCGGGTGCAGTGCTCCTGCCTGGAGGCTCGAACAGCACCTTGTCGGCCTGTTGTCATCTTCTGCCCTGGCCAAGCCTGGAAGCTCCTGAAAGGCAGGGCTGAGGCCTCCTCCCCTTATGGTGTCTGGTGTCATCCGGGCCTGGTACAGATTGGGTGTTCTGTCTGCTGAGTGGCAAGGTGACCTGCCTCAGGGAGCAAGGAGGTAGTGCAGAGATGGAGATGTGGGGTCATCTTCAATCGGGAACAGCTGGAAGGGGTGTCTGGGGGCTCCACATGGGCATTGAGCATAGAAAGGGAGCCTGGCTGCTCCTTCCCCAACCCCTGCAGCTCTGTCCATCAGCCATGATCCTCACTGACAGGCACCAGGGTTTAGAGTTACCTTCCCTCCAGCCCCAAACACTGGCAGAGACCCGTGCGCAACTGCAGGGTCAGGCCTCCCATAAGGTCATGAGAAGCCTGGGCTACACGGATCCCTTTTTGGGAAGCTCCTCAGGTATTATCAAATGAGGAGATATTAGATTAGAGTGGCAAAGATGTTGGTATATTTTCAATTTATAAACCAAAATGATCAATGATTTGTACATGTACAAATAGGATGGTATCTGATGGTGTTCTTCAAAAGGTGATGATAAGATTTATAAAGATAACATTAATCTTGAGAACAGGACGTGTCTTAGAAATGAGGGACAATTTTAAAGTTGTGTTGAGCTTTCATTTAGGGTGGTGTGTGTATGATCTCATCCTCGTATAACAGTCCTTGGGGAACTTGAGGCTTCCACTACATGGCCCCACTACCATTCTGGGCCCTGCCCGTGGGACAGCCAAGGTGGGACACCGAAGGAGGCCTGAGGACCCTGGAGGGTCTGAGGTCTCTCTATGCAGTCTCCTCCTCTCCTGGGGATGGAGGGATAGCAACAAACATAAATATGGAACACCAAGTGTCAGTGAAGCTGGTGTAACAAAGGCAATGCCACCCGCATGTAAATAACAGCTTTAAAAATATATGAGATGTAGCTAAAGCTTTACCCAGAGGTAAATTTATAGCCTTAAATGCATTTGCTAGAAAATGGAACTGTAGAAATAAGCCAGCTCAAGTCAAGGAGATAGAAAAGTGAGTTTAGCCCCAAAGAAACTTGGGGTATGAAAATTACAAAGATTAAGAAAATAATCAACAAATGGAAAATATTTTGGCTGAGGAAAGGTAGGCTCCAAGGGGTAAAACAAATTGCTGCAGATCTCAACGCCGAGCAGAGGCGGGGCTTCCCTCCACAGATTATCAGTTCCCCACCGCAAGTGTGAGTGGTGGGTTGGGCCCCTGAGCCTTGGCAGCTCAGCAAATAGAACCATGGAGGCTTCAGGGCCACCTTCTGGTTGCAACTGGGAAGGGACGGCCGGGGAAACGTCTTGCTTCTACAAGTACAAAACATTCCCAGTGTTTTATTTTATTATTTTATTGGTATTTTTGTAGAGCCAGGGTCTCGCTCTTTTGCCCAGGCTGGTTTCAAACTCCTGGGCTCAAGCGATCCTCCTGCCTCGGCCTCCCAAAGTGCTGGGATTAGAGGCGTGAGCCTCCGCACCCTGCCCATACCCAGTGTTTTGGTAGACTCAGATCAATAAGAAATGCCAATGTTCTCGTGAGTGTGTTGATTTTTTATTTACACTTTTCCTAAAATCGTCCGCTGATGGATTCGAGATGTATTTCACGGAATCGCTTCCGATTTAAGGCGCCCGAGGCGGCCGGAGAAGGATGGAGCTGTCCCCCGACGCCTGGTGCGGGGGCGCGGGACCCAGGGGCGGTCCCAGCAGGCGGCGCCCTCCCCGCCCTCTTCCCGCGCCGCGGCCGGCACTTTGCAAAACTCCTCGCCTGCCCGCTGCGGCCGCAGCTCCGCGCCCTGCCGCCCCGGCGCGTCCGCGGGGCAGCGGGCGGCGGAGCGCGGCGGCGCGGGGAGCAGGAGGCGCGGGGGCCCCGGGGGCGGCGCCGGCGGAGGCGGGAGCCGAGGCGGGGCCGCGGCAGCCCCGCGCCGCGCCGAGCCGCCGTCCCCGCCGCGCAGCCATGGCCGCGCCGCCGCCGCCCCGCCGCCCGCTCGCCTGAGGCGCGGCCGGCCTCCGGGCGGGGGGCCATGGCCAGCGCCGCCGAGCCCCCCGGCCAGGCGGCCGAGTACCTGCAGGAGCTGACCCGGATCGTCGCCGCGCAGCAGGAGCTGCTGGCGCGCCGGCGACGGCGCATCGAGGAGCTGGAGCGCCAAGTGGCGCGGCTGAGCCGGGAGAACGCCGGCCTGCTGGAGCGACACCGGCGACACCTGGCCGCGTGCGCCCGCCGCCCCGACCCGGGCCCCGGCCCCGGCCCGCAGCCGCTCGGCGCCATCCCGGAGCTCGGCGGCCGCCGCGACAAGTAAGCGGGGCCCGGGGCGGCGGGCGTGTCGGGGACGTGGGAACTTCTTGGGGTCCGCGGCTTCCCTCGGGGCTTGGCGGGGAGGTGGGCGGGTGCGGGAGGGCGCGTGGCCGGCCCGGGAGCGCCCACACCCGCCGCCAGACCCCCAGGGGCTCCCTGGGATTCTCTGGCGGGGTCGCCGCCCAGATCCGGAGCTCGATCTCGGGTGGGGACTGGGTTCCCTGGAAAAGGGCTCCAGGGAGCTGCTCAGCGCTCCCGCCGGCCTGGCTCTGCGCTGCGGCGCGGACTCAGGGTTGGCGACCCCCGGGGCTCGGACGAGCCGGGCGGAGGTCTGTCCGGGGAGCGGACCTAGGTCTCGGAGCAGCAGGGCGAGAACTTCCGACCCAGAGATCCCGAGACCGGTAGGGAGGGGTCGCGGGCCGCGCGGATCCCGCCCTGGAGCGGGCCTGGGTCGCTTGCGGGTTGCGGTGTCCCTGGAATGGACTCTGCGCTGTGTCCAGTCCGGGACGCGCAGAGCCCTCTTCTGTGGACGCCTCTGTCTCTTACTTCAAGGCTGGGGTTAATTCCCGACTGCCTCGCCCTGGGATTACCCGGGGCTATTTCGGACCCAGGATTAAGTGAGGGATGGGGAGAGGTACAGGGCGGGGCTGTCCAGCAGCCCTGGACCCCAGCGTCCCTACCGGCTCGCAGCCCGCCAGCCGGGTTCCCGTTTGCCTCCCATGAGTGTCGGTGTCGAAACCCGGAGCAGCCTCACCGTGTGGACCTTCGGGCGCCCATCTGGGGCAGGACAAGGGGGCTGGGAGGCTTCGGTGTCTCTGGGGCGGGGTTTCTGCTGCTCTGTGCCCTCTGCCTGCCCCTCTGCCTCTCTGTCTTCGGGATCACCCGGGGCCCACTATGGCTTGGCCTGGGGAAGACTAGAAATCACTGTGTGGTTGGGGGAGTGGCCGTGGTCAGGGCTTCAGGACAGTCTTCCTGCTGGGCGGCCCTTCCAGGGTGGAAATGGGGGAGGAGTTAGCTGTGGCCCCAGAAGGTGGGGTGGTTCCTGATTCCCAGGAGTCCCAGTACTGTCATGGAAACCCGAGTTTCCCACCCCAGGGGGGCTGCAGCGACTGTGGCCATGGGACAGGCCCTGTCTGCTGCCCTGCCTGGAGGGTGTGCTGGCTCTGGGCGGTGCGGGTGGGGCTGGGGGGCTCTTTGGAGGAGGAGCATTGTGAGGATGGGGTCGGGCTGTGGGTGAACACATACATGGCTCTGTGCGTGGCAGGCGTGGGTGTCAGGCTCTTGCTCTCTGTGAATGGAGAAGGAGGAGCGGGACGTGTGTATAGCTCCTAACTGGTGTCACTGGGAGGAAGCAGAGACCCCGCCCACTGCCTGTCTGGGCCCCACTCCTGGCCCTCCGGAGTCTCTGAGACTCCCTTCACTCTTCAGTCCTGCCACAGCAGCTGTGGGTCTCCCGGAGCTGGTCTCACAGGGGCCCGGGCCCTTTCTCCCACACCAGGACCAAAAGAGAAGCTGGGGCTGCCCAAGGAAAGTCCTCAGCAGCTTGGGGAGGCGGCACCAGGGCAGGTCCCAAGTCCCTGCTTTCATGGGAAGCAGTGACACGTTGGTCAGCACATGCCTCACAACACCACCCTGGGGAATGGCTTCCTTTTTCCCTTCAGCGTCACCCCTGGTGACCACGCAGGGGACAGGAGGATGCTGAGAGGGAGCACGTCGTCCTTCCGTGGGGCATCCCCCTGGGTTGCATCCAGGCAGCCGCCTTGGCCGGGAAGCCGGGATGGGAAGGCTGGGATTTTGTTTCAGAAGTCCCTGGTTCTGTGTCCACCTGGCTTCCCCTTAGTGGAGACACAGCCAAGGCCTGTGAGGGAGAGCATTGCCTTTAGGGAAAGCAGAGTGGCAGCACAGTCCTCAGCCCACGGTCTAGGTCAAGCACAGCTTCCAAACTTGAATGTGTACACCAGGAGTCTGGGAATCTTGCTACAATGCAGATGCTGAGCCAGTGGGTCTGGGGTGGGCTGGAGTCTGCATCTCTAGCCAGCTCCTAGGACACCCGCTGCTGCTGGGCCCGGACCCCAGGGTGAGCAGTGAGGCTGTGGGGAGTCTTGGTGTGAGCAGGAGCTGTGGGTGGGTTCCCTTCAAGATGGAGCAGCCGGACCCATTTTTGTGCATCTGATTCACTCCCTAGTCTTTTGGGAAGGAGAATGCTGGAGTCTCCTCCCCTCACAGGAGACTCACAGGGACGGGGGCATCACATGGCCTGCTCACATGCGTGGGGTTCTGGGCCCCCCCGGGGCTGCTCAGCAAACCATGGATTGGATGTATCCCACTGCCCATCTGCAGAGCAAGGTGATTTATGCCTAAGGAACATGGGATAACCAATCCCCTTGAGGACTTTTATTAAGCACCTGCTGTATGCAGACTCATTATCAATGTGCTTGGAAACATAAGAGGAAGAATGGAGAGGAAGAGAATAAGCAACTCTGTGTAGAGAGAGCAACATGAGTGGACAAACTAGGGTCCTAGGCCCAGCCCTGCACTTCCCAGCCGGTGACCATGGGACAAGTCATACTACCCCTCGTAGCCTCAGGTTTTCTGAAATGCACGCAAAGCAGGAATGATCATAGCTGCCTCCCATACTTTTTTGAGAATTAAGCAAAGATGGGCATGGAGGAAACTGGTATACAGTAAGTGCTTAATGCAGGTCAGATTCTTCCATTGTCCACCTGTTTGTCATTTCTTTTGGGCCAACTGAGCACAGGCAGGGGGTGAGACCTTTGGAGCCAGGGGCAGGAGGCATGGAGAGGGAAATGGGGTACCGTGAGAAGGGCTGCCCAGAGGCTAGGTGGGGGTTGAGCATGGGTTTCCCAAGGTGACAGGGCCATGCAAGGCCACAGCATCAGGATTGACTTCCTGCTGAGGACTCTGCTCCCCTTTCCCCCTACCTGCACACAGAGGCCCTGTGAGGGAGGGTCTGGCGAGCATGCCAGGCTAAGCCAGGCCTGGTGGACCTCCTACTCAGCCTCCAGATTCTCTGGCGTGAGTCAGGAGCCCCCAGCCCGCCACACAGACAGAAGGTGCAGTGACTCGAGGGGGGTTGGATGGATGCAATTGAGAGATCACTGAGCAGCCTCGTCCTGGGACAACAGTTAGCCTGGCACTGCCCCATCCATGCAGTCCATGGGCAGGATGACTTTGCGTGCCGGAAGTGTACAAGTCCAGAAACCTTTAAGCCTTTCTCAGAGAGTGCTCTTTCATGCCTTGACACCCCCTGAAAAATACCATCATGAGTTTCTCAGCTCTGGGAAAAACAGGATGATAACAGGAAAAAATACAGTGATGGGATGCCTGTGGTTACTTTGATTATTTGGCTATGCTTTTACCCTGACATCAGAATTCATATCCAATGTCTGGTTGGCTACATGCTAGTGATCTGTTTCTAGAATTGCTCTCTGCTCACTAGAGGTTCAGACGCATAATAGGCACTCAGTAAAGATTTGTTGAGTGGATGAAGCCAGAGGGATTGATTCAGGCCATTGCATTTTCCTTTAGAAAGTCAGTTGAACTTCAGCAGGCCCAGCTGGGATTGAAAATCACCCAGACCCAAATCCCAGGGAGCAGGGGTGGGGCCGATGGCTGCATCCACCGGGGGCTTCCTGTGTGCCTGCCCTGCTTACGGTCTATGCCTTGGTCAGGTCATCTCCTTGTCTCATCACTCCTACGAGGCAGGTGCAGCTGCTGCTCCCATTTTATAGATGTGGAACCTGAGGCTCAGAAATCATGGCCTTGCCCAAGCTCTCCCATCTGGCTACGGGGTGGAGCCAGGATTTGTACTCAGATGGTCTGGCTTGGCCTCCCTGCTCTTCCCTGTCCCCCCCCACCCTGCCCCTCACCAAGACGGAGTCTTGCTCTGTCATCCAGAGCTGGAGTGCAATGATGTGATCTCGGCTCACTGAAAGTTCCGCCTCCCAGGTTCAAGCAATTCTCCTGCCTCAGCCTCCTGAGTAGCTGGGATTACAGGCGTGCACCACCACGCCTGGCTAATTTTTGTATTTTTGGTAGAGACGGGGTTTCACCATGTTGGTCAGGCTGCTCTGAAACTCCTGACCTCAGGTGATCCACCTGCCTTGGCCTCCCAAAGTGCTGGGATTACAGGCGTGAGCCACCACACCCAGCCTCCCCCCAGCTCCTATCCACCCACCACCTGCCCTTCATGCTGTCGAATGGCCAGACCATCTCCCAGGATCCCAGTGACTCCTGGCCTCTCAAGCTGGAGAAAGCCCAGATGGGAGGTTTCCACCCTGCCGTGTGCAATCTTGTCACCAAGGCAGGGCTCACGGTGTCACGTGGGGTGGCAGTGTAGAGGGGGCAAGGATTTAATGAGATGATTCCTTCCAGCCTTTGATCTTCCAAAGTTCCTTGGCAAAAGGAAACATCGCCTAAGGAGGCTGGGGGTGGGGGGGGGAAGCCCAGTGGAGTGGCCTGCCTCGCTTTCTGGTCCCCTCCAGCCCTTAAGTGCTGTCATATCACTGGGAGAGGACGTTTTTCTGAAGCTCTGAGTTGGTGACTCACTCCGGGGGAGGTTTTCAGTGGCATTCAGACTCTGTTGATTTACCAAACCAGTATTCTTGCCGGGTTCATGGTGACATTAACCGTACGGCGGCACGTCAGTTCAGAGGCAAGCTCAGGGGTGGCCACTGATGAGGGGGCAGCAGCGGAGGCTGGATTGTCCTAATGGGCAGGAGGAAGCCACCCTCAGGAGGGTCCTGCCGGGAGCCCCTGATAAGTGTGTTGTTCTTCAAAGTGGCCGGGAAGCACCAATGCTGGGCCAGGGGCGGGGGGCTGAGGGCACTTAGGTTGGATTTCCTGTCCCCTCTTAGCAAAGAGGAGGGGGCTGTAGAGAGACTGAGTGAGGCCGAGAGGGCTCTTTTCTGATCTCTGATTTGGCAGAAAGGGTGGCAGGGCAGAGGGAGATACTGTGTCATGTTTTGGTTCAATAATGTTCTTGTTCTCCCAGCCAAGATAAAGCCCGTGTCCAGTGCTGGGGAGGAAGTCCCCAAGTCAGGAACGAGCTGCAGCATGCTCTGGGAGACTTGTCTGATGGGACAAAATGTGTTCAACTCCAAGGGAGTGGGGAGAGTGATTCTCATTTTCCAGCAGATGGTAGAGTCCACAGAAAGACGAGGGAGTGTGTCTCCGAAGCTCTCCCAGCTGTCTGACAGACTGGGCAAATTATTATTTTACAACCTGGAAAATAAACCATGAGATGTTTCTTTATCCAGCTCGAGCTGAGGAAGACAGCGAGTGGCACTGTGTGCGAAATAAAGTCGGGACCTACTTGTTTCCGACGTTTGGTTTTTGCCTCCCCTTTCTGGATTCAGGCTCGCTGCACCTGGCAGAGATCAGGAGGCTTTGCTGTGCCGGGGGGAGTGAGAGGGGTCGGTCACGTTGGAGGGGCCTGGAGTCAGGCATTTGGGGACATCAGCGTTTTTTGCCAGCTGGGTGGCTATTTCTCAGCTGTTTTGTCTATGACATTGTTTTGACAGCTGATCCGGTCTTTTGTGTCTTGTTTTCTGTTTTTTTTTTTTTTTTTTTTTTTTTTTTTTTAAGGAGGAGCAATGCTTTGCCTAACTTGGGAAGTGCACCATTCTGAGCTTGTCAGGGTGTCAGCCGTATAATTGCCACAGAGCAGCAGAAAAAACAACACAGGCCAGCCAGGCATTTGGCAAGAACTGGAATAGGGGAGAGGGAATTGACCTAATTGAAATGGAGCAGAGGCTGCGGTGGGGCCAGGAGGCAGTCCGAGTTCAGCGGCCTCCAGTGTGCTGCCCCCACCCAGGGCAGACCCGGGCCAGGCTGCAACCAAATGACTTGAAGCTCTGAGGTAGCAAGGCCTTGGGAGTTTGAATCCTGCCCTCCGAGGGGTGGATATTCCAGCAGGATGCACCGGGCCAGTTATGGCAAACGTTGGGTGCTTCTGTTTTCATCGGGAAACGGCTGCTGCCTTGAGGTTGCCAATGCCTTTCTCCAGCCCATCAGCCTTGGCCTTGCTCTGGGGACCCTGCAGGCCCCCATCTGTGGCTCCTGGACAGTTAGCCCTGTCCCCGTAGCAGGCTGGCAGGATCCCAGCCCTGCCTCAGCCACTTCCCTGCTGCTTGGACTTTCCAAGTAACAGCCCCAGCCTCTCTGAGTTGCTGTCTCTCCCCATGAAAATGGAGAAGGCCACTTCCGTGCAGGGAGAGCAGATACAGGAGTTGCCTGTGGCCCCGCATTAGGTGGTGGCTCCAGGGGAGGAATAGCCAGGGCATCAAGAATGCTTTGAAGGAGGCCAGGTGCAGTGGCTCACACCTATAATCCCAGCACTTTGGGAGGCCGAGGCGGGCGGATCACGAGGTCAGGAGATTGAGACCATCCTGGCTGACACGGTGAAACCCCGTCTCTACTAAAAATACAAAAAATTAGCCTGGCGCAGTGGCAGGCGCCTGTAGTCCCAGCTACTTGGGAGGCTGAGGCAGGAGAATGGTGTGAACCTGGGAGGCAGAGCTTGCAGTGAGCCGAGATCACGCCATTGCACTCCAGCCTGAGTGACAGAGCAAGACTCTGTCTCAAAAAAAAAAAAAAAAAAAAAAAAAAGAATGCTTTTGAGGATTGTTTTCCCTCAATGTTTTATTACAAAAATGTTCAAACATATAGAAAAGTTGCAAGAGCTGTATGGGGCAGAACACTGTCCCCCTGGATTCTGCAATGAAGGTTTTGGAATATTTACTATGTTCCATGCCCCTCCGTCCTTGGAGTTCTGGAACTCTGTGGATGGGGAGCTCACATCGGTAGAGCGCCTGCTGTGGCCCAGGAGCCGGGCCCTGCACTGCCTGCACCCGACTGCCACCTCTTCTACTCACACCCCTTCCTGGGCTGCTTGTCCTTGGTTAGGGCCGCTCCCCCACTGCCTCCACTTGGAAACATCATGCAAATAGGAGATGGAGACCTGTACCTGGAAGATTACAGAGGGATCAGGCCACGGAGGAAGGGGGCCAAGTGGTGTGCAGCCCCAGAGCACGAAGCGAGTGACCACCCACGGGTGTCAGCAGAGGCTTCCTGGAGGACGTACCTTTGAGCTGGGACTTGAAGAGCAGGAGAGAGGAGGAGGATGGTGTCAAGGCAGGGGAAGCAGCATGTGTGGTGTGTCTGTGCCCGGGGTGTGTGAGGGGCTGGGCGGTGCTGTCATTGGTTGTAACAGGTCGGTGCAACTGGGCCAGGTGAGGCCCAGATGGGCACAGACCAGCCTAGGGCACTTGCCTTTCTTAGAACCCAGGTATCAGTTTTAGGGAGCTGGTGGACAAGACTGGCCCCTGCCCTCCAAGCTGGGCCTAGCTTGAATCCTGATTTTGAAGTGTTCAGCTTTCCCTCTTGGATGAGGCGAGATCCACAAAGGAACGGGTTAGAGACTGTCGTTCTGCACCTGAACTTAGAATGTGTTGATTGTAGTGAGGCCACAGCAATAACCGAGCCCGTTCTAGGTGCTGCCTGCTGGGCACATTCTTCTCCATGTCTCTGTTGATGCTCTAACCCTGTGACAAGTGTGAACTGTCCTCATCCCATTTCGCATATATGAAACCTGAGGCTCAAAGAAGTTAAGTGGTTTGCCCACAGTCACCCAGTGGCAGCGGCGGGATTCACACCCAGGTCTGTCTGCCTCCAGGGCTGGTGCAGTTCACCACCACGCTGGGCTGCTTCAGAACTGTTCATTGCATTGTGTAGATGTTTTGGAAACATTGGGGGCCGTTTCCAAATGTGGCATGGTCCCTTCCCCAGATTTTTGGCTTCAGGAGCCAGAATGAATGTAGCTTTGTCACCCACCTGGAGACAGCCCAAGTTCCTTCTCTGCAAAGCAGCTGACAGTGGTTGCACCCAGCTGGCAGGGCTGCTATGGGCAGTGGGTGCCAGTGTGCTTGGGGAGGGCCCTCTAAGCCATGCAGCACACCCAGCAGCCAGTGCCGGGTGTTCCTCTCTGAGTTGGTCTGACCTCCCCACTCCGCTGAGATGAACACTTGCTGAGCTCCCAGAAAGTTGCTGTTCACGTCTTCATTCATGCAGGACACACTTGGGACATGTGGTCGCAGGGGAGGGTTGGGATGGGGGCCCCTCTTCTGGCTTTGCCCCAGCTTTTGCTGGAAGCACCTGTGGTGGTTTAGCTGTCCTTTGCTCTGCATACCACTTGCATGAAGAGCGTCACACCCGTGGAGAACCAAGGGGCCTGAGCCCGCCCCCTCCGTGGGAACCGCAGGAGCACAGCTTGCCAAGGGCAGAAGACAGGGCCTGCCCAGAGGGTGTCCTGGGACCGGTAGGGCAGGAGGGTCCTTGCAAGTCACTTGTAGCTGCCTGTGGAGTGCTGGCCCTGCGAGGACAAGGTGCGGGGTGGGATCCTCTGCTTCCTGGATGGCCTCAGCGCTCAGGTGAGAAGTCCTTAGCACGTGTCTGGTGGTGTTGGGGGACAGCCTCTGGGGACACTTCCGGGGGCAGGCATGTTTGTGGATGAGATTCACGGATGGGCTGCAGGGCCCATGAACAGCCCGAGGCTGAATGGGACCTGGTGGGGTAGCCTGGGAAAACCCAAAGACAGGACTGGAGGGAGGGTCCCGGCTTTGGGATTTGCTTGTACTTTCTCCCCCTCGGCATGTGAAATGCACCTCTCTGAGCCTCAGATTTTTCATCTCTGCTATGGGGACAGTGACAACTGGATCTCCCTCTTAGGGTTGCCCTGAGTGGGGAGTGTGCCTGGCGGCGTGGTTGAGGTGCAGGGAGCGGACCAGTGTGCATGGGGCAGAGTGAGGGGGAGGGCATGAGAGAGGAGGGTGGAGGCAAACAGGGCAGGGGCGAGGGGTGAGGCAGAGCCAGCAGGGCCATGTGGGCCCACTGGGGACTTTGGCTTTGATCTAAGGGAGACAGAAGTCCCTGGAGGGTGTTGAGCAGAGGAGGAAGTGATGGGACTTAGGTCTGGGCAGGATCTCTGGCCCCTGGGGCAGGCATGGGTACCAGGGTGAGGGAGGCTTCAGGAGATGCTGCAGAGCTGGGTGCTGGGATCCTGGGCAGAGGCTGCTGGGATGGGCAGGAGCACGTGGGCTGGGGCTGAAGGCACACGGCCCCACCCTCTCTTTTCCCCCAACAATCGCCAGTTCAGATGGGAAGGAGAGAGAGGAGTGGAACCAAAGGAGTGGCTCCAGATGGGAGGGGCCGTGCCCATCTTGGCTGCCTGCAGCAGTTCTTGGAATGGGGAGTTCTTGAAACGGGGAGTTCTTGAAACAGGGAGTGAGGTGGTTGGCGACACCCCTGGACTCTGCCTCTGGCTTCCCACACCCAGGCCACTCCCCTCTTTCACCTTGAGGGAGGAGCAGCCCAAGCAGAGATGTTCACTTCCCTTGGGCTGGCCAGGACTTCTAGATGGCTTGGGTGAGGCTCCCGGTGGAGTATTTGGGCAGCACGGTGGCCAGGAGCCAGGACACAGACTCTGGGGCCAGGCCAGCAGCCTGAATCCCAGCTCCCTCCACATGCACCACCTGTCTTTGTCTTCTCTGGCCTGTGGCTGAGCCTCTCTGTGCTTCAGCTTCCTCACCTGTAAAATGGGGTTATAAAACCTCCCTGCTAGAGGAGTGGCAAGGATTACATCCTTGATGTATGTAACTGTGCACAGAGCCACTTGTATCATTATTGTTTCTTCTTTCTCTGTTGAGAAGGAAAGTGATTTTAGAAAGTCATGGAATTTAGAATCAGGTGACTTGGGTTTCAGCACATGTCTCTTATCTACCCACTTCTCTGCATAGTTAATGCTGCTGATTTTGAATCCAACCCTTTGTACGATGTGTTATCTCAATCCCTTTAACGCTGCAGCCTCTTCACATGTTTTAAAGTTGTGGAGTCTTAATTTTATTAAATTGAATTAGGGCCTCCCCGACAAAAAAGGAGGAGCCTGGAAAGTTCCATCCCCCTCCCACAGCCCATGACATGCTCACATCTCTGTCTTTACTTTCTGTGAGGCTTTACTCTTACCCAGCTCAGCAGTTGCCGGACATCGAGATGTGTAAAAATCCGCCACCTAAAAGGGGTGTGCGGGGTGACTCTGACCATCCCCTTTGACCCTCACCCCTAGGTTGGCCTGCTTGCCCTCCCTGGCACCTACTGTGAGCCAGTCTCTGGGCTAAGGAGTCAACAGATGCCCCCGTACTGGGGCTTCACCACCACCAACTTTCCCTTTCACCAGACGATCCTGCAGGGCTGTGATGGACCACATCAAATAATGGGAACAAAGGTGTCTTGAAAGTGTAATATTGTACGAATGAATGTCTCTCACCTAGGGATGGAATGTGAGGGGTTGCCGCCACCCCTCCATTGTTGATGAGCAATAATAGCAACCTTGATGACTGGCTATTTATTGTAAGCACTTGCCATGATTCTGTGAAGTGGGGAGCATTATTATCTCCATGGTATATATGGGGGAACTGAGGCAAAACAAAGCAAGGGTGGTTGGGAAGGTTGTGGTATGAGCAAGGATCAGCCAAGCATATCCCTATCAGAGCTGTCATCTAGACATTTTTAGGGGACTCTTAGTTTCAGTCCGTTTTGTTCAGAGATCATACTTTGTGTGATTTCAGTCCTTTTAAATTTGTTGAGACCCATTTTAGGGTCTGAGATGCAGTCTATCCTGGAGAATGTTCCGTGTACACTTAAGAAGAATGTTTTCTGCTGTTGGGTGGACTGTTCTGTACATGTTTGATAGGCCTAGTTGGTTTGTAGTCTTGTTTGTGTCTTATATTTCCTTGTTGGTCTGCCTACCTGCTCTGTTTATTATTGAAAGTGAGGTATTGATGTCTCCAATTGTTATTCTTATTTGTTAATTTTTATTTTGATTTAATTATAGTTTTTTTGAGAAAGGGTCTTGCTCTGTCATCCAGGTTGGAGTGCAATGGTGCAATCAGAGCTCACTGTAACCTCAAACTCCTGGGCTCAAGCAATCCTCCCTATCAGCCTCATGAGTAGCTGGGACTACAGGTGTGCACCACCATGCCCAGCTGATTTTTAAAATTTTTGTAGAGATGGTGTCTTGCTTTGTTGCCCAGGCTGGTCTTGAACTCCTGACTTAAAGTTATACTTCCACCTTGGCCTCCCAAAGTTCTGGAATTACAGGCATGAGCTACTGTACCCAGCCTCCAATTATTATTCTTTAATTGTCTCTTTCTTCCTTAATTTCTGTCAGTTTAAACACTTCATGTATTTTGGGGTTCTGTTGTTGAGTGCACAAAAGGTTATTATTGTTGTGTCTTCTTTTTCTTTTTTATTTTTTTTGAGACGGAGTCTTGCTGTGTCACCCAGGCTGGAGTACAGTGGTGCCATCTCGGCTCACTGCAAGCTCCGCCTCCTGGGTTCATGCCATTCTCCTGCCTCAGCCTCCCGAGTAGCTGGGACTACAGGCTCCTGCCACCACGTCTGGCTAATTTTTCGTATTTTTAGTAGAGATGGGGTTTCACCGTGTTAGCCAGGATGGTTTCGATCCCCTGACCTCGTGATCAGCCCACCTCAGCCTCCCAAAGTGCTGGGATTACAGGCATGAGCCACCACGCCCAGCCCTATTATTGTGTCTTCTTAATGGATTGTCCCTTTTATCATTATGAAATGTCCTTCTCAGTCCCTAGTAACAATGTATATCTTAAAGTTTATTTTGTCTGATTTTAGTTATAGCTACTTTAACTCATTTTGGTTACCATTTGTATATCTTTTTCCATCCTTTCATTTTCAGCCTATTTGTGTCTTTGAATCTAAAGTGAATCTCTTGTAGACAGAATGTAGTTGTATTATGTTTTCTATTATCCATTCTACCAGTCTTTGCCTTTTGATTGGAGTGTTTAATCTACATTTAATATAATTATTGATAAGGTGAGATTTATATATACAATTTTGTCATTTATTTTCTGCATCTTATATCTATTTTCTTCCTATATTCCTCCATTACTACCTTCTTTTGTGTTAACTATTTTTCTAGTGTAATATTTTAATCCCCTTGTTTATTTTAGTATATAGGGGACCTTTCAGAGCATGATAAAACTTGTTCTAGAGGCAGAACCTCCCACATGAATTTATCCTCACCCAGAGAGAATAAAGACAGGGGCAGGATCTGGACAGGGAATGTTGACAGTGAAGCCCAGAAAGTGGCAGGCCCCAGAGAAGAAAGCTGGCAAACACAGGTGCAGACCCATCACAAACTGGGTAGGCACCAAGGAACCAGCCCAGAAGCTTCCTGAAGACAAGGGGAGTGAATTATTTGTCTCTGCTATTTCTTTAAGGGGTCCTGCCTCAGGGTAGGTTTTAATGAATATGTATTGAATGAATGAATCAGCAAGTCAATTAATCCATCATTCAGTCACCGTAAGGTTTATTTGTTGGCCTGTAACAAATTAATTAAACATTTAGTTTTAAAACAACCACCATTTTATTATATCTCATTTTGCAGATCAGAGGTTGGGCAGTGCTTGGCTGGGTGGTTCTTCTGTTCCCTATGTTTTTAATGGAATACTCAGTGGTATTCAGCTGCATGATTGGCTGATCTGGAGGGTCCAAAACGACTTCACTCACACATCCGGCACCTTGTGGAGGTGTCTGGGAGGTGGGCTCAGCTGAGACTGCCACCAGAATATCCACATGTGGCTTCTCCAATCTGGTGGCCTAGGGGCCCCCAGAGCCAGTGTTCTAAAAGGCCTGTGTGGGAAATGTGAGGCTTCTTGTGATTGGACCTCTGGAGTCCCAGACATACTTCTGCCACATCTTATTGGTCACGCAGATCACAAGGCCAGCCCAAATTCAAGGGCAGAGGAATTGGCCTCCACCCTCCCTGGGAGAAGGAGGGACAATTTGCAGAGGTCCTTAATCTCCCACATTTGGTTTGCTCAGACTGGGCTCTGTCACTTCTCCCTGTCAAGGCTGCGGAAGTTTCAGAGTGGCCTGCCCACAGGTGGGCCTCGCTCCCCTCTCTCTGCCTGGAATGTGGCTGCTGTCCTGCCCCTGCTGAGCTGGCCTGTCTGTGGAGGATCACTTTTAGGGGTGGCTGTGTCTGTGGCATTCTCATCTTCCAGAGCAGCTCATCAGGAGGCCAGCACCCTGCCCCCCACAACCTGGCTTGGGCACTGAGGATGCTTCTTGGGCAGGGACCTGACCTGTTCCCTGGGTAGGGGATGGGAGTGGGCTGGGCTTCCCAGCCCAGTCACTCAGGGAATGCTTGCCTGTTCTCATCTGCATCCCCCTCACTCCAAGCTGTATTTTTAACTCCTGCCATATGGCAAAGCAGCCAAAACATCCAGAGAGGGAAAGGGGGTCTGGAGAAAATCATCCCTGCAGTGCGATGTGGATGGCTGCAGTCACTGAGAGCGCTGCCTTCTCAGTCCCACCTTCTCCCTGAGCACTAAGGACACCCAAGCAGCCTCGCTCCTGCCTGGCTGTCGTCCTGCCCTGAGGGCAGGAGTGTTGGCCTGAGTTCCTCTCTTGCTCACAAGAGTGCCCTGAGCCGGTGGCCAAGTGCCTGCTGGTTGCCTACCCCAACCCCCTGCACTGCAGCTCACTCCGGATGCCTGCCATTTTCACACTTCATGCTGTTCCCGCTGCCTGGAATACCCAGCCCACACCTCTGTTCTTGCCTTTTGAAACCCCGCACGTCCTCTGAGGACTGACTCTGATCTCAGAACGTTTCATGGTGCTGACACGTGTTAGAATAAATGTCTTCTCTTTATGTTGATTATATTTATTCCTGTAGCCCTGGTCCCTCTGCAGGCTTCCTGTCTTGTTACCACTGGGGGCCTGGGGGCTTGCATCTTCCCTCTCTGGGGCAGGCAGCAGCCATACCTTGCTCATCTTTGGAAGCCCTCCTACCAAACTGCCCAAATTTAAAATGACATATTTTGAATGAATCGACGATTGTTACATGGACAAGGGTCTCCAGAGTGGAATGCACACACCCCTAGGGGCAAAGGACTTGATTCTTTGAGGTGCAGGGAAAACGTGTACAATTAAGATTGTATTTGCACTTATTATTTAATTTCCTCCTGAAACATCTTTTTGGTGGGCCCTTTTACGGATATTCGTGACATCAGTGCAGTCTCATCTGCACATGACTTATAAAGACACAGGTTCATGGTGGGAGTCTTGCTCAACCCTTCTGATAGGGGAGCCTCATCAGAAAGTCTAGTGGCAGTGGCCTGGACCACAGCTGAGTTTTCACTGCTCTCTCCTGGAGACAGCAGCTTCCCTGGCAATAAGGGTCTCTTCTATGAGATGGGCTGAAGTAAGTATGTATTAAGCACCTGTTGTGTGCTAGCTGATCCTTTTTTATCTGTGCAGCCCCATTATGAAGATGAGAAAACTGAGGCTCAAAGAGGTGAAGTTCTTGTCTAGGGTTGTACAGCTAGTAAATGGCAAGGACCAGACATGGACCTGGTCTGTGGGACTCCCAAACCAGTGCTCTTGGCATCCTGCTTCGTGTCTGGTGGCCCTGTGGCCCTCCTCTGGCTGAGCTCTTGGGCTCTGCTCAGGGGTGTGCATTGGCCGTGACAGAACCTGGCCTCTGTGTTTCTGTGGTTTCTGCAAAGGGTGGTCCTGCTAGCAGTGGTGTGATGCTTGTCCCTCACGGACAGGACTCACCAAGCTGCTTCTTTTCCATCCCCCCAAATGTGAAAGCTCCAGACTGAGGATGTGGGTGGATCTGGAGGAGAGCTGGTTAAGGGGGGGCACAGCCTTCTTGTTTAAGAAATTTGCTGACTCTGGCCAGGCGCGGTGGTTCACACCTGTAATCCTAGCACTTTGGGAGGCCGAGGCGGGTGGATCACGAGGTCAGGAGATCGAGACCATCCTGGCTAACACGGTGAAACCCCGTCTCTACTAAAAATACAAAAAATTAGCCGGGTGAGGTGGTGGGCACCTGTAGTCCCAGCTACTTGGGAGGCTGAGGCAGGAGAATGGCGTGAACCCGGGAGGCGGAGCTTGCAGTGAGCGGAGATGGTGCCCCTGCACTCCAGCCTGGGCGACAGAGCGAGACTCTGTCTAAAAAAAAAAAAAAAGAAAAAGAAAAAAAAAAGAAATTTGCTGACTCTGGCCCCAGAAGGGCACAGGGCTGGGGGGACTTGTTTAATCTCCGTTTTTCCAGATTTTCATTCATCAGATGCCAAAAATCCAGTCCTCTTTGGCTGGAGGCAACCAGAGGGATGGAAAACGCGGCTTTTATTTCATCAGAATGTCAGCCTCTCTTCTTTGTGTGGATTGTTTTTATTGTAAAATGTAGTTTCTTTTATCTCCACTGAACTGGTACCAGGTCTGTCCTCGGCTGTTCAGGCTGCCATAACAAATGCCATAAACTATGTGGCTTATAAACAATAGACATTTATTTCTCACGGTTCTGGAGGCTGGGAAGTCCAAGGTCAAGGTGCCAGCAGGTTCAGTGTCTTTCAAGGGCCCTACTTTCCAGTTTATAGATGGTGTCTTCTTGCTGTCCTCACATGGTTGGAGAGGCGAGGAGCTTTCTGGGCCTCTTTTATAAAGCACTTATCCCAATCAGGAGGGCTCTGCCCTCATGACCTCACCACCTCCCAGAGGCCCCACCTCCCAACACCATCACCCTGGGGATGAGGAGTTCAACACATGAACCTGGTGGGGAGAACACAGACATTCAGACCACAGCAAGGTCCAATCGAGTAAGCGGTTATGGAGCCTCTTATGTGTGGGGGTTAGGGGTGCAGCCAGGGGTCAGGGGTGCAGCGGGGGCCCAGGGCGTTCCTGCCGTCCACTTCATAGCCTGGTGGGGGAGCAGATGTGCCCCTGGAGCACCCCGTTTTGGGGGCTGAGATAAGAGCTTGCTAGAAGGACCGCCTGGCTGGAGGAGGCAGCGAGCGTTGTTAGGGAGGACGGTGAGCCCCTAATTGTCCTGGCCTCCACTTTTGTGCTATCCTTCAGGGACCCTGGGGATTCAGCATGTGGGGTCTCCCTGTGCCTACCTTGGAGAGGGTTGGCTTTTGGTTTCTTCTTAAGGTGACGGCTTCAGCGGTTTTCCGTATTTCTCCCTGAATAGTTCTCCTTTGCTTGATTTTATTGAAAAAAAAAAAAAGCTGCTTCCTCCCCATCATCGGAGCTGCTGACTGCTGCTCTGTGCACGCTGTGTGGGTTTCCCTGAGCCTCCTGGTTTAATGAGAAAGTCCCTGCGCAGGGTCTGGGCCTCAGGGGCCTGTGGGCTCCCCGTCACCCAGCTGCACTGCAGGCTGAGCTTGACTTTTAGCCTGTAAGAGGCTGGCGTTTGGGCTAGTTAGAACTATGCTCCTTGGGCATCTTCAATACTTTCGAGACCTCCAGGGAAAGCTGTGTCTCAGGCTGCTTGATGCCACATGGAGTCCAAGGGCGATGGCATTGAGATGGAACACTGTCATCTCTCCTGCCACAATGTGCCAAGTGCAGTTTGACTAAGACAAAATTGTGGAGGTGGTGGGTGCATGCAGTCTGGGTTTGGATACTGGCTCCATTCTGAGCTCCGGGGGAGTGTTTCCTCATATGGAAAATGGGTTCAAGAACAGTGCCTCCCTCAGACAAGGCCTAGCCAGTGCCGGGGGTGTGGGAGCACTCGCTCCATAGTGGACCTCGGTCATGATCATTTCAGGTGTGGGGAAAGTAATAACAGGAGTCTCGGAGGTGAAAGGGAGCCCTGCACTAGATGGGCATGGGGTGTGTGGCTGAGATAGCTGCTTCCCGTTATCTGGTTTCCTTTTTTTTTTTTTTTTTGCAATAAAGCATCTTTTTTTTTTTTTAAATGCCCGTAGAGCAGAATAAAGCCTGCCCTTCTCAGCCTCTCTGGTGGTTACATGTGGCTGTGTGACTCTGTGGTAGCCAGTAGGAGGTAAGCAATAGTGTGCTGTGCAACTTCCAGAAAGTACCTTGAAAAAGGATTGTTGTATCCTTTGACCCTTGCTCTGCGTTCTGTTGGCTGGAATGAGGATGTGATGGCTGGGGCTTAGGCAGCCACTTTGGATTGTGAGGACAGTGGCTGCACCAGAGGGATGAGGGGGCTGTGAGCTTGCAGAAGCCTGTAACCTGGTAACCTGGAGGAACTGTCCCACCCAGCCTGGACTGCCCACTGCCAGACTCCTGCATGAGAGAAGAAACCATGGGTTTCAGTCTGTGTTCGTGTATTTGGTTTTGGTCTCTCTTTGTTGATCCTGACCCTAAGGTTATCTCGAGAGTGATTTTGCAGCTGTGCTTCATCTCTGGGAGCCTGAGACCTCAGAGTTTGAGGGAGTGGGGGTGGAGGTGGGTCCCCCTGGGGCCCAAGTGTTGGGATGGTGAATTGAGCCACTTAGCAGATGAGGGCTGGGTGCTTCACGCAGTGCCAGTGCACAGGCAGAGGCTCTGCCGAGGGCTGGGCCCTGATCCTAGGGGATGCTGGGTGTCTTGTCACAGTTAGGGCAGCATCTAGCTGTGGTGGGGCCGGCAGGGATCTCGCAGGGAAAGAGCCTTTGGGCCAGTGAGGTTGCCCTGCACGGGCCGAGGAGGAGGCAAGACTTGATTCACTTGGACAGGTTGAGGGGACGCATGACCAGACCTTCTGGATCAGGGTCACTTCTCAGGGGCTGGAAATGGTGCTCCTCTGCTTTCCAGGGGGAGAAGGGGTATCAGGGCTGCAGCTCCCACCTTCTTATCCTTCTGCCCTCAGCCATGCTGCTGAGAGAAAGAGAGGCAGACAGACAGACAGAGAGACACAGAGAGACAGAAACAGAAAGAGAGAGGGAGAGACACAGTGATAGAGAGACAGAGAGAGACAGAGAGAGGGACAGAGATAGGGATAGACAGAAAGAGAGGGAGAGGAGGGGGAGAGAACCAGAGGGATAGAGTGAGAGGGAAGGGGTGGGCTGGGTGACAGTCCCCCGAGAGAGGCAGAGACTGTATGTGTTTGACCCCTTTTGACCCTCCTGCCCTCTCCTCCGTCCTCCTCCCGCTTGTTGAATTAGTGATTGATTCGTTCACCCATTCACTTGCTTCGCGAGCCTGCCAGGCCTACCCTCAGTGCCAGCCTTCCTGCAGAGTGATGCTAGAGCCCGGAGATGCCAAGCCAGTCCCCCAGGGGTGCCATGTGGTGAGAGGGAGCTGGAGGGAGGGAGGGGAGGAGGGGGTGCCGGGCACCTGTCAGAAAATGCTACATTTTGTAGATGATGTCCCATGCGGTTTGACTTGGAGACAGATGAGAACTAGAACAGGAACCCAGGCGAACACAAGACCGAGACCCAGGAGAGCAGGCAGCGGGGCGTGTTTTCACCGTGTCCGCCCTTCTGCCCCTGCTGTCCTTAGAGCCCTCGGCCTCCGGTGGGCATCACGGCAGCCAGATGGTTTCCATGGGCAGGTCAGGGCCTAGTGAGTCGGCCTGGACTGGAAAACCAGTTTAAGTTTGGAGGGAAGTTGTGACAGACAGTGTGGCAGGCGGGAGACACAAAGCCTGAACTGGAGGCTGGGAGAACACAGGAGCCTGTGCTTGGTGGAGCAGCCACTCCAGGGAAGGGGACTTTCCAGCCAGGCTGGCTGGGGTCAGTGGCCTGGCCGGCGCCGTCCGGCTCAAAAGCCCAGGCCAGGAGCTTTAAGGCTATTTATATCCACTCCAGCAAATCTTTTGATCTTGATGATTCTGTACCAAGCCTGTGTGGTGCTGGCTTGTGCACGTTGGAAGCCCAGGCGGACAGGCGCAGGGACAAGGACGCAAATCCAGAGACCGGCTGGGCCAGCAGACTTTCTTGTCCACGACTTCAGCTCAGAGAACTGTGGCTCAGAGGGGCTGAGAGCTTGGCTGAGGTCACCAGCAAGCGTGCGCCCAGCCCGGCGCTCCAGGATCCACTCCAGCCTTAGGGCAAGGGGGAGGCTGGCAGGGACGGGGCACTGGGTGAGTACCTACTTTAAAAAAAAAAGTGGGGCTGGGCACATTGGGCACAAAGAGCCTGTAATCCCAGCACTTTGAGAGGCCAAGGCGGTCCAATCACGAGGTCAGGAGTTCAAGACCAGCCTGGCCAACATGTGAAATCCCATCTCTACTAAAAATACAAAAAATTAGTCGGGCGTGGTGGCGCGTGCCTGCAATCCCAGCTACTTGGGAGGATGAGGCAAGAGAATCGCTTGAACCCAGGAGGTGGAGGTTGCAGTGAGTGGAGATCACGCCATTGCACTTCAGCCTGGGTGACAGAGCATGACTCTCAAAAAAAAAAAGTGTCAGGTACTTTCCCCCCCCCCCCAAAAAAAAAAGTGTCAGGTACTTTTTTCCCCCCAAAGGAGGGTTGTGTATTTTATCTTTTAAAATAGTGATAAATGCACAAAATATAAAATTCACCTTTTCACCATTTTTAAGTGTGTAGTTTAATGGCATTAGGTATATTCACATTGGTTTTTTGTTTTGTTTTGTTTTGTTTTGTTTGAGACAGGGTCTCGATCTATCACCTAGGCTGAAGTGCGGTGGTGTGATATGGCTCACTGCAACCTCTGCCTCCGAGGCTCAAGAGATTCTCAAGCCTCAGCCTCCTGAGTAGCAGGGAATACATGCATGTACCACTGCACCCAGTTAATTTCTGTATATTTTTAGTAGAGACAAGGTTTCACCATGTTTACCAGGCTGGTCTCGAACTCCTGGCCTCATGTGATCTGTCCACCTTGGCCTCCCAAAGTGCTGGGAACATTCACATTGTTGTGCAACCGTGTTCACCACCGAGCTCCAGAACTCTTCATCCTCCCACACTGAAACTCTGCCCCTGTTAAACATTCACTCCCCCTCCCCTCCCCCAGCCACTTCCTGTGTCTGTGAACTGGATTGCTCTAGGGACTGCACACAAGGAGAATCCTGCAATATTTGTTCTTTTGTGAGTGGCTTATTCACTCAGCACAATGTCCTCCAAGTTCACCCATGTTCCAGCATGGATCAGAATTTCCTTCCTTTTTAAGGCTGAGTAACTTTCCATTGTGTGGACAGACCACATTTGTTTATCCGGTCATCTGTTGCTGCACAGTTGGGTGTTTCCACCTTTTGGCTATTGTGAATGAAGCCATGTGCATTGGGTGTGCTAACACTTCTTCAAGACCCTGCTTTCAGTTCTTTTGGGGGAACATACCAGGAAATGGGGTTGCTGGGTGCTGGGGTGATGTGGCAGGTCCTTCTAGCTCTACGAACTCCGTCCTAGCGTAACCCTCAAGGCAGGTGTTACTATCTGCATTTTATAGACCAGGAAACTGTGGCAGTGGAATGGTGGGTAAAGACAGGAATGGTTTCAGGATAGCCCCAGGCCCCTCCAGTGTGCTGGCTCCTACCCTAAGAGGGACGGGGACAGGCTTGCTCCCTCACCTCCTTTTTTTGAAAACAATTTTCATTATGTATTTATGTATTTATTTTTGAGGCAAGGTCTTCATCCTGCTGAGGAAGAAGACAGGAAAGTGTTGAGCGCACAGACCCCGGTGCATAGTATGTGGTCAGTTGTTATCGTGGCTCATATTGTCCTCTCAGGACTGACCCCGTTCACCTGGGGAAGTGTGGCTCAGGTCCAGCGGCTCATGACTCTTGAGCATCCAGCACACCAGGGAGCTGGCCTGCTCCAGGCCTGGCTTTATGGTCACAGGAAAAGGTGCTTGTTCCTGTTGCCTGAGTTTACAGCAGTGAGTGCAAAAATGGCTTCACGCTCTTACAGGAGCTGCCTATTTTCCCAAGATGTCAAGTGTACTGATTTATGAAAGTTGCCCAAGGAAAAACTGGGCAGATATTTTACAAATCCATAAAATCCCAGAGCACGGCATTTTTACGTTGGCTTCTGGCTCACCTGCTAGGGACGCAGCCACCCAGGGTCTTGCCTAACAAGGCTTGTAGCATTGAGTGCCATAAATTATGGAAGGAACTGAGCTGTGTGAATTTCATGGGTGAATTTCACGGGTATGTTGTCAAGGGGAGATTTATTGGGGATTTTGGGGTGAGGCTTCAACTCTGTAAGCTCTCAGGGACCATGCATCCCTGGCTCTGCCCTGGGAGCTCAGGGGACAGATGCTTGGTCACCAGCTCCTTGCAGCACATGTGATGACGGGGGTGGGGGATGGGGGAGATGGGAACAGACTGCAGAGGACATGATTCTGGAGACTTGGGGCTTTGCTCGCTGTCTGGGGTTGAGTTCTCCGGGAACAGGCTCTAAGATGGGATTTGTGTGAAAGGGGATACACTGGGAGCTCTCGGGCACAGCACTCATTCGAGGGGCTGGATGGGTAGAGGGGGCATCGAGGGGCATGGCGTGGTCTCTGCAGAGGCCTCCCATAGCCAATGCCACCAGAGCTCTGGAGCTGGGAAGGCTCTGAAGGGGTGTCCCTAATCAAGGCCAGGGCACTGCCCTTTGTCCCTCCACATCGACCGGACATTGTGTGTGGCCCCTGGGGGAGGGAGGCGTGACCTTGGCCAAGGACAGTCCTCAAGTGGTACTCAGCTGGGAGCCCTCAGCAGCCAGCACTCCTGGCAGGCGGGGACAGGGAACAGGTCCTGGAGGGCGCCTGGGCGGCCTCCCCAGTGTCCGCTATAGCTGGTCAGGCTGATCTTTCTATATACAAATCAAGTGCCATGTCCTCGCCTCTGAAAAATCTGTCCCTCACTCTTGGGAGGTAGGGAGAGAGTGATGGCAGCTTGAGGCCGTCGGTCAGGGAAGACCTTGGCCATCCCCAGTCCCCACACCTCTCAACCCTTCATTTCCACCAGTCTCTGCTGTGGGGGCTGGGTGGCCTCTGCACTGCCCAGCACTGGGGACTCCTCATATGCACCATGTGTCCTGCTCAGCACAGAGGACCCCCTCCACTCTCCTCTTCCTTCAAAGCTTTCAGCCTCCTTGGCTGGGCCTGTCTCCCGGGCCCCAGGACAATGTGGCTTTCTCCTTCCACGCCCCGTGCACCCTGCCAGGAGGACTGTGGAGCCGGCACCAAGGTCAGCTTCTTGGCCATCGTGGTCTCTGTGTCCTCAGTCCCTGCATAGTGTCTGGCACAGAGCTGGAGTTGGAAGAGGCAGCGGCGGGTCAGGCCTTGATGGTAGACTCAGGCATCGGTGAGGGGTGCTGCTTCTCAGGCAGCCTGGGACACCAGGACTTTTGCAGATTCCCTTAGGAACGTGGGCTTTGGCTGTCTTTGCCAGATGCACCTGTTTTGATCAAAAATTGTCACTCAGTGAAAGATGAGAAAATCATGCCCCTACTGGACAGAAATGAGAGTATTGTGAGGACAGAAGCCATTCAGGGATTAATGGGGGTGTTGCACATCAGCCCGTCGTGTATTGATCTGCGTTTCTGCATCACTGCATAGGTGCCCCTTCTCTGGCTTCCTTCAAAATGTCAACCTGGGAGTTAGGCAACCCCATACCTTTCTGGTTGGCTTCCAAGCAGCAGCAAATGTCAGGCCAGAGAACATCGTTAACTAGCATCATACAAATTAAGCCTCTGGGCTTGAGGGTTGCAACTTTCCTTCCCTCCACCCTCTTCCCTTCCTCCTCCACGCTTTCACCTCTCTTTTCTGTCTCCCTCACTCTCTTTTCTCATCCTCCTTCCCCCTCTTCCTCCAGCCCTGCAAGGCACTGTCCTCCAGGCGTGGTGAGCCAAGGCTGCTTCCTGAGATCCAGCTCCTGGTTTTGCCTCTGGCAGGCACAACTTTTGCTAGAACAATGTGATTCCTTGCAGAAGTCTGCCTGCCAGCACGACTGTTCTAATTAGTCATATTTTGAAAGCAGATCTGCTTAATTGCAAGCAGAACTAAATATTGGTATATAAATAAAGTCATTAATAACTGTATATGGTAGAAACTTCTCCCGCTGAGCGCCACAACAAGCAAGCCCCGTTGACCTTTTCTTGGGTGGCATTGGCTGCATGGCTTGCATCCCCTTGTGGCATCTGTGGATGACCAGAGGTGGAAGCAGGTGGAGGTAAGCATTGGAGGCTCCCACGGGAGGGCAGGAAGAAAGGAGGTTTGTGGGAGACCCCATGGACCCAAGGAGATGGTTGTGGAGCTGCTGGTTTTGAATGGCAACGAACAGCCTAGTGGGTCTTCTGCAATCATCAAGTTAATGAACACTTAGTGAAAACAGTTATGGCTTAAACACTGCATCCATCAGCCCGCCTCGAAGGCCTTGGGGAGTCGGCTGTATTTCCCTGATTCGGAGGTTGGGCTTCTGGAAATGAGGACGTGGCCGGCGATGACAGTGCTATCTCACCCGCCACTGTTTTGATGGGGTGCAGGGGAGAATATGGCACTGGGCTTAGTGCAGGCCAGCAGTCAGTTCCCCTGACGCTGCTCACAGGCTTGGTGACCTCGGGCTGTGCCTTGGTTTCTGCACTTAGAGAATACAGATGATAACATCTGTGCAGTGCATTGTGGGCTTCTTCATTCATTAGAACACCCATCAACTATTTACAGAGCACTTCCTCTTGTCCAGGTCCTGCTCCAGTGGAAACTGTCCCGTCCCAGGGCCTGCATGGCAGAGGGTGGTGGAGGTGGAGCGGTGTGGCCCAGTGGGGGCAGTTGGGATTTTTTTCTGGCTGCTGTGGGGAAGCATTGGGAAGATTTGAGCTTGGATGACAGGGTCCAGTTTATCATGTTGAGAGACCTCTCTGGCCATGGTGTGAGATAGACTATAGGGAAAGAGGGTAGGGGCTGTGCTGAGGCCCAGGGGAAAGATGATAGGTCTTGGGCCAGGGAAGGGGATGGAGGTGGCAGAGCCCAGACTTGGGGGCCGTTGTGAGGCAACACCTGCCAGAATCCCAGATGGAGTGGGTGATGCTGTGGAATCCTGGGGTTCCCTAGGTTCCTGGAGGTTACTGGTGCCAGCCCCTGTGGGGTGGGGAGGGGGGCGAGGGTGCGATTCGCAGCGTGAGAGGCTGCTTTTTCCCAGCTGGTTGTGCTCCTCACTGGCTGCATTCCATTATCTTCTCTGGGTTCTAGATTTATTTTTATTTTTACTTATTTATTTATTTAATCTTTATTTTCAGGATCTCATGCTGTTGCCCAGGCTGGATTGCAGTGGCACAATCATAGCTCACTGCAGCCTCGATTTCCTGCGCTCAAGTGATCCTCCCACCTCAGCCTCCTGAGTGGCTGGGACTACAGGCACATACCACCATGTCCGGCTAATTTTTTTAAAATAATTTTCTAGAGATGGGATCTCACTATGTTGCCCAGGCTGGTCTGGAACTCCTAGGCTCCAGTGATCCTCCCATCTCGGCCTTCCAAAGTGGGAGGATTACAAGTGTGAGCCATCACACCTGGCCCTGAGTTCTAGATTTTTTAAAAGGTTTTTTGTTGTTGTTGTTGCTGTTTGTTAATAGTCTTTACTTTTAGAGCACTTTAGGTTTACAGAAAAATTGAGCAGTAAGTACAGTGAGTTCCCATGCTCCTGCCGTCCCTGTTCCCTCCATTATTATCTTGCATTAGTGTGGCACATCTGCCGCAATGGATGAACCCACTTTGACACATCATTATTACCCATAGTTCATGGTTCACCACGGGCTTGTTCTGCCATTGTGGCATCACACAGAGCAGTGTTTCTGCCCCCGCCCCCCGCAAAATCCTCTGTGCTCTGCCTGTTCATCCCTCTCTCCCTCCAGGTCACCTTCTTTCACTTAGTCATATGCATTGAAGCTTCCTCCATGGCTTTTTATGGTTGATAGCACATTTCTTTTTAGCACTGAATAATATTCCATTGTCTGGATGTAGCACAGTTTATCCATTCACCTGCTGAGGGACATCTTGGTTGTGTCTAAGTTTTGACAGTCATGAATGAAGCTGCTATAAACACCCATGTGTAGGTTTTTGTGTGGACATACATTTTCAGCTCCCTTAAGTAAACAGCAAGGAGTGTGATTGCTGGGCCGTGTGGCAGGGGCGTATGTAGTTTTGTAAGAAGCTGCCAAACTGTCTTCCAAAGTGGCTGTGCCGTTTTTAATTCCTGGGCTTCTAGATTTTGGACCCCTTTAAGGGGCTCCGGGTTCAGAGGATTTCACAGGCTGTAGTGCCCCACCCCATTTCTCAGACCAGCTGCAGGGTGCGGAGCCCTACCCAAACTGAGTGGTCTCAAGTGAGCTCAAACGAGGAAGATGTCCCGAGTCTCCCTGAGGCTTCGTGGACTGCACCAGGCGGGGGCGGGAAGGGCTGGGGCAGTGCAATGAGCACCAGCCAGGGTTAGTCTGGTTGGGGGTGATGCTGATGTGTTCAACTCAGCTAGGAGGGCCATGTGAGGGAGCCTAGCGAGGTCACCAAATGTGGGACCCACAGCGTGGGGTTCAGTGTGGGCTGAGAAACTGGGTGTCCTTGGGAACGTCCTGCCTAGCCGGAATGTTATGTCTTCTGGAGAATGTCTGTCTGTCTGTCTCATATGCATGCACTGGGGAAGCTTCTCAGGGGCAGCTTACATGTGAAATCATGCCCGTGAGAATGACCACTTGGAAACGTTCGTCCTGAGGCCCCTGAGCTGTGAGGTGTGTCTCTGTGCCATCCTGACTCCCTTGTAGTCTTGATTGGACTGAAGTGCTGCCCTCCCTGACCCTCACTGCGTGCCTGGCAGGGTGGTGAGCAGTTTATACTCGCTGCCTCCCTTAATCCTCATGGCAGCACCAGAGGTAGGTTTTATTTTTTCTTTTTTACAAAAGGGAAAACTGGGCACAGAGAGGTTAAGGAGCTTGTCTGTGAACACACAGCGGGTTGGCTGGGATATGGGGCAGAGCTCCAGGCCTGTTTTTGGGTTGGGGAGCAGGGGAAGATAGGGGCCGCTGGCTGCTGGTGCTGCACCCGCTGCTGGTGCTGCACCCTCTCCCCAGGGTAGGTGAGGCTCTCCCTCTGCTCTCCTCCAGGGTCCCTCTCCCCTTCTCGTGCTTTGCGTCTCTCCATGGTGTTTGCCACCTGACGGGTCCTCCAGTTTGTCCTTTTGGTTTCTGTCTGTGGTCCACTTTCTATCTTCCCACCATGGCCTGGGGTCCCGGAGGGAAGGGTTTCTGTCTGCCTGGTCCCTTCTGCATCCCCAGCGCTTGCTCAGTGACTTTGGTTGAGTGAGATATCCCGAAGGCTGCTTTGGGGTTGGTGAGGTCAGCTCAGGAGGGTGTGGCTCTTAGGAACCCCAGTTCCCCTGGGCAAATCACTGGGCTGCCCTCCAATCAGTTTGCTTATCTGTCAGGTGGGGGATAAGGATGGGGCTGATGCCGTGGGTTATAACCACAGTTGGTACTTGCTGAACAGGCAACTTTGTGAAATAATTAAAATTATGTAGTTACATATAATTATATATGATATCATTATATCTGATGTGTCATAGATTTTTTTATGGTTAAAAGATAAATAACACAAAGTGTTTATTTACCATTTTAGCCATTTGAAGTGTGCATTCAGTACCGCAGATCACCGTGTACAGAAGAATGTGGGAACATGTCGTGGACAGTGCACCTGACACTCAGTGTGCAGCTGTCACCGTCACCACTATCCGTCTCTAGACTCAGCATCCCAGACAGAAACTCTGTACCTATGATATCACATACATTATTTATTATCTTCAATAGTCCCGTATTAATTTTTTTTCCTAAGGCAACTCTTGCCAAGGGTCCATCTGTTTGAGAGTTTCTCAGCCTTGGCACCACTGGCAGCTTGGACCACTTCACTCTTTGTGGTGGGGGCTGCCCTGTGCATTGTAGGATCCAAAGGCCATCAGGTCCAGTAACGCCCCCTCCCCAGTTCCCCAGTTGTGACAACAAAAATATCTCTGGACATCACCCATTGCTGCCTGCGTTTGAATTGCCTCTGAGTTGGAACCCCTGGTTTAAGAGGTTGAAGCTAGTTGGAAAACCAGGCATCCCATTTTGGGGAGCAAATCAGTCATTGAAACACTGTAAGGCCGGCTGAGTGCAGATTACAGTGGCTCGTGCCTGTATTTCTAGCTACTCAGGAGGCTGAGGTGGGAGGATCGCTTGAGCCCAGGAAATCAAGGCTGCAGTGAGCCATGATCCCTCCGCTGCTCTTCAGCCTGGATGACAGAGCAAGACCCTGTCTCTAAGAACAAAAAAAAAACCCCAAAACACTGTAAGCCCTTTTCCATCACCAAGAAGGGTCCCCTTCTCACTGTTGGATCCTCTTGCTGTCTGCCCCTTTGTATTATACAAGACTTTTTCCTGTGTTAGTTGAAGTGTTTGGCCTTGAGTTAACCACAGACTGAGACTGGGTTGATGCAGCCATTTGAATCTGGGCACATATTCTACTCTTCCAATACAAGCATAGGCCCTGCGTGTGGGAGCCCCAGCCCCATCCATAGCAATACACCTGTTGCCCCAGGTTGGAGAGGGCCCTTCAGGTGTCCTCAGGATCAGGGGACAGACCTCCGTCTCACAAGGCAGAGCCGTCCTCAGGAACCCCTGGCTGCAGCACCGAAGCCCAGTGTCCGGTCTGCCTCTTTTAGGGGAGAGAGGCAGTGGCTCCCCTCCCTTGGGCTGGGGTGCTGGGGGGTGGTCAGCCATGCGTGTTCTCTGTTAAAGCCCAGCTGGTTTGGAAAGAAAAGAACCTGTTCCTGGTTCCTTCTTGGGTACCAGAAAATTAGTTTTGAATTAACACAAAAGCAGCTTCTAGAGCTGCCTGACGTGGAGGTTGGTCTTCCAGACGTTCCTGCCAGTGCGTCCGCTCTGATTGTCGAGGGAGGTTGGGGGAGGGCTGTGTGGATGTGCCTTGTCGGATCTGGAGCTTTGTCAGGATGCTGGGGAAGCAGGAAGGCTGTGTGGATGCACAGAGACCGCATGGAGGCCCCGGGTCGCAGGTGGCTAACTCTGCGGCCTGGGAAAGCTGGGCAGCCCTGGGCCTCGGTTTCCTCATCTCTAATGTGGGGACAGGCAGGGCCGTCCAGGATTCTAAGCTGAGCTGTGGAGAGCCCTCCGGTGCAGGGCTCTGCCACCTGCTGCTCGCTGGGCAGTAGAGTGGTAGAACCTGGACTTGAGTCCATGGAGGAGGAGGGAGGAAAACGAGTAGGAAGCGCCAGGGAGCTGTGTCGTTGAAAGTGTTTGCCTGCGGTTTGGGCTTTACTCAAATGCCAAAGCCTGTCACCGAAGGGGGCTTGAGCTGGTTTTCCTGCAGCCGGTGCTGGCTGTGATGAAACCTTGCCTACTGCCCTTTTGCTCTTTGCAGCTCATCCCTCACTAACACCTTTGTGCAGGGGGGTTTGGACCAACCTCTGCTCAGAATGGTTTCAGGCACATCTTAGCCTTCCTGATCACCAGTTGGAGGTGTGGAGCAGGGAAGAGGGCTGGACATGGGGACTGATGGGCCGGGTGTGTTCATGGCGCCCTTGTGGCACTGCCATCAGGCCTCCGTGTCCAGCCTGGGCACCTCCTGGCCAGCGAGGCCTCAGGACCCCAGTGCGTCCCCAGGGTGTGGCCTAGCCATGGGGAGCGGGCTCGGTTCATGTTTGCTGAGTCTGCAATCAAACCAAGGCCAGGCTGCACGCCGATGTGGGTGGAGCATCTCATCTGGATCAGAAAACAAAGGGATAAAGCCAAAGTGAGGTCAGAGGGCAGCGTTGTGATGCCAGCCAGGACCTCCAGGTCAACGTGACGGCTGACTGTGGCCCGAAGTGCCCTCTGTCCTCAGATGCGACAGTGGAGGCAGGGCTTGTAGTTATGTGGAGGGGCTGCTGCCTGAGTGGCGCATCACCTGTTGGTCAGAAGCTGGGGCCCCAGTCAGGCATGTGCAGCTATTTCCAGCGGTGGAAACACAGCTTCCATCGGTGGCCTGTGTTCTTCACCCCGTCTTAATGGGGTTCTGCTTCTGGGGGCCCCGGGTATCAGAGCCATTTGACATAACCACCGAGGCACTTGGAAAAGCATGGGTGCTGGGTTACCTCTTCGTCAGATAAAACCGTGGCCTTTTGTCCTCCCTAATTTAGCTTTTGTCGCACAGCGGAGCTCCTCCTACATGCAGTAATCTTCCCAGAAAATGAGGCTGTTGATACTTCAAAAATAGAGTTGCTTAAGAGAATCATTCTGCTTAGTGCCCTTGTGTGCACTCACATTTTGCCTTTTAGAAATCAAATGCTGACTACCCCTTATCTAATATTTTGATGCATGGCGTTTTTAGGAAAATGGAGTTGAGTGTAGTTTTCTGTATGGCAGCGGGGAAATGAGTTGAAAGCAGAGTATTACCGAAGCTTCATTCAGCCTTGGTGTGAGCTCTTCCAACCCCCTGTCCAGTGTCACCGCACCACTCAATACCCGCCATCTTGGCTAAGCTGCCTCGGGTGGGGATGATTACTTCCGGGGAGGAATCTGCTGACCAGGGGGTGCCACACCCCTTCTCTGGGAACTCTTGCATTCTGGAGTCTGATACTCTGAGTTCAGATCCCGGCTCTGCCACTCATGGTATTAGCCTCTGTACCCTATGGCAAGTTACCAAGCCTCTCTCTGCCTCAGTGAAATGTTAAATCTATAAAACAGGGATAATAATGGTAACTATCCTATAGGGCTATTGGGGGTTTAAGTGAGTCAATATTTTCAAAGCACTTTAAAGACTTTCTTGTCCTGCTGAACATCATCAGGAGAAATCCAGTCAAAGCCACAGCGAGAAGCAACCTCACACCCACCAGGGTGGCTACTATCAAAAACGTAGATAATAAGGGACCGGGTGCGGTGGCTTACGCCTGTAGTCCCAGCACTTTGGGAGGCCGAGGCGGGCGGATCACGAGGTCAGGAGATCGAGACCATCCTGGCTAACAAGGTGAAACTCCGTCACTACTAAAAATATAAAAAATTGGCCGGGAGTGGTGGCGGGTGCCTGTGGTCCCAGCTACTCGGGAGGCTGAGGCAGGAGAATGGCGTGAACCCGGGAAGCGGAGCTGGCAGTGAGCTGAGATTGTGCCACTCTACTCCAGCCTGGGTGACAGAGCAAGACTCCGTCTCAAAACAAACAAACAAACAAAAACAAAAAAAAACATAGATAATAAGAAGTCTGTTGGTGAAGTTGTGGAGAAATTGGAACCCTTGTGCCTTGCTGGTGGGAATGTAAATGGTGCCGCCACTGTGGAAACGTTGTGGTGGTTCCTCAAAAAATTAAACATAGACTCACCATTGCATCCCGCAATCCCACTTGTGGGCATATGCCCAAAAGAATTGAACGCGGGGCGTCGAAGAGATACTCGCACACCCACATTCATAGCAGTGTTATTCACAGCAGCCAAAAGATGGAAGCAACCCCAGTGTCTAACCACAGATAAACCGATTCACAAACTGTGGTCTATGCACACAGTGGAATATGGTTGAGCCTTAAAAACAAAGGACATTCTGACACATGCTACAGTGTGGATGAATCTCGAGGGCAGGTGCCAGATGACATGAGCTGCTCACAAAAGGGCAGATCCATACGATCCCCTTATAAAGAGTGTCCTGGAGTAGTCACATTTGTAGAGACAGAAAGTGGAAGGATGGACGCCAGGGGCTGAGGGGAGGGGGATTGGTGAGTTCGTGTTTAATGGGGGCAGAGTTTCAATTTGGGAGGATGAAAAAGTCCTGGAGATGGATGGTAGTGATGGCTGCACAGCACTATGAATGTACTTAGTCCACTGAACTGTACACTTGAAAATGAGTAAGATGATACGTTTTGTGTTGTGTGTAGTTTACCACAATAAAAAATCGGGGAAAAACAGTATGTGGGGCATAGTGAGCACTGGGCTCTGGGTTTGCTCTGCTGCTGCTACTGTTGTACTTATTAAGCTTTCAGCTACATGAGGTCAGAAACTCATTTCTTTGGCTTTGTAGTCTCAGCACTCAGCACCCAGGAGGTACCTTTGTGGAACCTCCTGCCTGGCCTCTAATTCTGGCATGGGTATGTGCTTGTCACTCAATCCTCCTAGCTGGCTCAGCTGCCTTGGCTCGGTCCCTCCTGTCAGGAGTCTTCTTTTGGACATTGACTGTCTCATTAGAATATTGTTGAATGGAACAGAGTCTCATACCCCAGGTAGCGGGCAGTGACCTCTGCATGGTGCAGTCCTTGTCAGAACCTTTGTACCCCTTGGCCAGGCTCCAGCTCTGAGCTGGCATATTTCAGTCTTTTGGATGCCACTGTGTAAATACTGTGGTTTCCTTCTGGGTCCTCTTCTCAAGGTTTTCCTCTGCATCTTGCTGGTCGGGAATTGCAGCAACACTTAAAATATTCCTGAGTGTGAAGGTTCTTTCAGCAAACACTATTCATTTATTTATTCAATAAATATTTATTGAGCTTCTACTCTATGAGCCAGAACTGTTCCAGTTGCTGAGCAGTTACCACAGTGCACAATACAAGGAAATTCCTGTCTTCAGGGTTCTCATTTCAGTGAGGAAAGCCAGACAATAATGGTGGTAAATAGAGGTTATATGTAGTGTGTTTGATTGGAAATGTGCTTAGGAGAAAGATCGAGCTGGGGTGGGTAGGTGGTGTTGGCATGTTAGATGGAATGGAAGCAATGGCCTAAAGGAAGTGGGCAAGTGAGCTGTGTACACATCTGGGAAGAGCCAGCCTGGCCCAGGGCTCAGCCAGTGCAAAGGCCCAGAGGCCTGCAGGTGCCTGGCTTGTTGGGGGAATGGCAAGGAGGCTGGTGTGACTGAGGGGGAGCCGGGGGAGGGTAAGAGGAGGTGAGGACTCAGAAGTCAAGGAGCAGCAGTTCACACAGGGCCCTGGAGGACTCTGCCTTTACCCCCGGCAGGGAGCCTCTTCTGGACAGAGGAGGAGCGATGGGGACCTGGAGCCCTGGATGCTGCATGTGGCAGGGACTCAGGCATGTGGGTGCAGGGAGGGAGCCCAGAGAGGCCACTGCAATGATCCAGGCAAGTGATGACAGTGGCGGGACCAGAGGGGTGGCAGCAGGGGTGGGGGAAAGCTGGGTTCTGGATGTCCCTTGAAAGTGGGGCTGGCCAGGTGCGGTGGCTCATGCCTGCAATCCCAGCACTTTGGGAGGCCGAGGCGGGCAGATCACCTGAGGTCAGGAGTTTGAGATCAGCCTGGCCAACATGGCGAAACCGTGTCTCTACTAAAATAAAATAAAATAAAATAAAATAAAATAAAATAAAATAAATTATCTGGGTGAGGTGGAGGCGGGCGCCTGTAATCCCAGCTACTCGGAGGCTGAGGCAGGAGAATCATGTGAACCTGGGGGTGGAGGGTGGTGGTGGGGGGAGGTTGAAGTGAGCCAAGATCAAGCCACTGCACTCCAGCCTGGGTGACAGAGCAAGACTCTGTCTCAAAAAAAAAAAAAAAAGGAAAGTGGGGCTGATAGCACTCGCTGACAGTTGTCCATTAGACATCACCGTGGCACTGCTGGTCCCGCGGCTATTGCACCAGGTCCCCGCGTTTGTCCTAGCCTCTGTCATCCCACACAGGGTCGATGCTTCCTGTGTGTGCCGCTGAGCCTCAGCTATCTCGCTGTCTTGGCTCCCACCGCACCTGGAGGTTCCCCTGCATGGCTGGTTCAAACCCAGCTGGCCTTCGTTGAATCTGCAGAGCTTTTACTGTTTGCTGTGTCCCCTGAAAGCCTGTGACAAGCCCTAGAAAGGCTAAGAAGGTTATGTCATAACTGTGTCCTGCTCATGGAAACGTGGAGCCGTGCTGTGAGATGGTCACCATGGCAGCCACAAAAATGAGACCGCTCCACATCAAAGGCAAAATCTTAGAACCTCAGCTGCACAGGCAGCAATGGAGCTGACGGGCCCTCACCTCACAGGTGGGGAAACTGAGCCCAGGGAGGCTAATCACCAGCCCTTGGGCATCTGCGTGGTTAGTGGCAAAGTTGCCATGGAAACCTGTGGGGGTCTTCACATGGCTGAGTGCCTGGAATCAGTCCTGCCCCAAGAGGATGACGGCTGCAGCGTCTGCTCTGTTGGCGTCCTCCTCCTCTGTGCTTCCTTGGAGTCTGCTCCTGTGCTTGTGCCCATCCATCTCACCTTACGCTCCCCTTGACCCCGGCTCCCCCACCTCGTTTTTCAGAAGAGGAGACCGAGACCCAGAGAGATGGAGTGGTTTGCCTAGGGTCACACAGCAAGAGCTGGTATTCGAACCCAAGCTGGTATTCGAACTCCATAACAGCTCCGTATTGGTTCCTAATGTGACTGAAGTAAGGGAACATAAGCCGATGAGCATGACTGAGGGATAGAAATAGAATAAACTCTCTTCAGTGAAAGCATTTGAAGCCATAAGAAATTCCCCCAAAGGGCCAGGCAAGGTGGCTCACGCTTGTAATCTCAGCACTTTGGGAGGCCGAGGCAGGTAGATCACGAGGTCAGGAGATCGAGACCATCCTGGCTAACACGGTGAAACCCCATCTCTACTAAAAATACAAAAAAATTAGCCGGGCGTGCTGGCGGGTGCCTGTAGTCCCAGCTACTCAGGAGGCTAAGGCAGGAGAATGGCAAGAACCTAGGAGGCAGAGCTTGCAGTGAGCCGAGATCGCGCCACTGCACTCCAGCCTGGGTGACAGAGCAAGACTCCGTCTCAAAAAAAAAAAAAAAAAAAAAAGAAATTCCTTCCCCCAAAGGAAGTTTCCTTCTTTTCTATAATTGCGCATCAAAGTCCCACCCTTTGAGAGGTAGAGCTGAGACCCAACAAGGAATTCCAGTGATGAGAGACAGACTCTGCCCACAGTCTGAGTCAGGAGGTAGAGCCTCTCATAAGAGGGGAATTGAAGTCAGGAGCACGGACTGGGGCGAGAGTGTCTGGGTCCAATCCAGCTCTGCACTGATTAATTCTGTGACATTAGGCAAGTGACTTAACCTGTCTGTGCAGCTACGTGACCTCGGGCAAGTTACTCAATCTCTCTGTGCAGCTGTGTGACCTCTGGCAGGTGACTTAGCCTCTCTGTGCAGCTCTGTGACCTCAGGCAAGTTACTCAACCTCTCTGCACTCCAGTTTCCTCATCTATAACATGGATATAATAAAAATAGCCTGGTCTGTACGACGTGATTAGTAACTGTCAGCCACACCAGGTGCTATCCCAAGATTTATACTTACAGCACTTTATTTAACCTTCACATGACCTGTAAGGGGGCTACTTTTATTCTGAGAGTCACAAAGGGTACTGAGGGAGCAGGACTGCATGAGTGGTTTGGAGCTGCCAGGAATGGCCTCCTGGAGAAGGGGATGGTGTGGACAGGCCTTGGAGTGGGGAGAGGACCAGAGCCAAGGAAGGGGTTGGCATTCCACGTTCTCTCAGGGGAGACTGGGAGTAGGTTTTGAGGGTGAGCCCGATTGGAAACCAGAGGGACTCTAGTTTTCCCAGGACCTGGGCACAGGTGGGAGTCAGGTGGGAGGTGGGGATGAGGCCAGGAAGTCCAGAGCTCGGGGATCCTCAAGCACCAGCTGAGAGATTCCTTCTTTGTTGAGAGGCAGTGGTGTAGCCAGAACTGTCTATGAGGAAGATAAAGGGGAAAACCCCGGCTTCCTCCTGAACCCACGTAGATGCTGGATTTCCAGTGGCCTTGGGGACACAATAGGGGTCTGACCACTTGGAAAGAGCCCAGGTTTCCAAGCCCAGAGCTTGCCCTTCCTGCAGTCTGGGAGGTCTCAGAACCCAGCTTTGCAGCCCTCTGAGGGTGAATGGATGGGGGATGCCCCCAAACCTGGTGACTCCAGGGGAACCTTAAGAACCTGTAGGGGGCATTTTGACATCCAAACCTACACTCCCACGAGCTTGGACTTGACCACAGGCACAAGGCAGGAGAGGACTGTGAACAGTGGCCCACGGTCCTGGACAAAGAGCCCACTGGAACCCCAGGAAGACAGGCCCAGTAAGTGCGTCTCCTTAGGCCGTGGAGGCAGGGTTCCCACAGCGTGTCTGTGGGAAGATGGGGAACGTGCAGTGGGGAACAGTGCCTGCAATGCCTGTGTGCCCTGGGAGGTGGCTGGGGGGTGTCAACAGCCCAGAGGAAGTCCCCGGCCCTCCCTCCAGATCCAGATCCAGATGGAGACCATGAAACTCACTTATCAAATTTGCACTTGACTTGGAAGTGAGAAGGCGGCTGATGTGATGGCATCGAGACTGTAAGTGATTCTGATGCCCCTAACTGTAGGGCGAAGGCTCATGGAGTGAAAATTATGAGAGAGAAATTTCTGCTTCAGCTCCAGGCTGAAGAAAAGAAGGAGAGAGCCAAGTCCCAGCTTCTGGCGTGGAGCCTGACCATAGTGAGCTCTTTATCAGCCGAGGCAGGGTCAGTCCTTGTCCCAAGGGGGGCGATGAGGGAGGTGAGGCCACAGCAGCCGCAACATTCATCCAGGTGCTGCAGTGCACACCTCTGGCTGTCCCCGACAGAGCAGAGCCTGGGGGCAATGGAGGAAATGACAGCCGGACAGACTTTCAGATTGTCATGTTATGAGATGGGAACAGAATGGCAGCAGAGAAATCCCAGCACGTCCTGGGGGTGTCTGGGAGGGGTGGGGACCTGTCCAAAGCCAGTCTGGGCAGGCACATCTATTAGGTAACTTCTAGGAGATGATGGAGGTGAAGGTGGTTATGGATGAGTTAGCAACCGTCCCCTGCAGACCTCACCAGCAGGTTTTAGGCAAGTCCGGTATCAGACCAGCTTCCATCTCATGTAGAGACAGTTGCTGACAAGTGGCACCCACAGCGAGACAGCTGGACAGTGGTCCCACAAGCTGAAAGGCGTCATTTTGGGTATTTGCAACCTCCTTTCAAGAAAGGCCTACCCGAGGCAAACAGGCCAGCGTTCCAGGGGCAGGATTTGCTGGTCAGCTCTGGGAATTGGGAGAGCAAGAAGCCTCCCCATTCGCTCGTGGTGGGAGTCAGGTCTGGGTGGGGCCCCAGCTGTGTCCCCCATCCAGGAAGGGTGGCAGGGCTCATAGCTCGCTGTTCCTGCCCGGTCCGTGCAGGGAGGGAGGTGTCTGCAGTATTCTGCGAGGATAGGACATCGCCCCTGACCAGAGAACCCATTCCTGCATCAGCCACACTGATGAACAAGCTGTTTACCAGTTAGCAAAGCCTCTGAACTTGATGGGAGATCCACAGAGCAGGGCACAGGTAGCTCAGACGCTGGAGCACAGGGGTCTGCCGCCTGCCGCCACAGTCTTTCCATGTTTATATTTCGTAGCTATATTTCCTTTGCACTACTGTGGGGTTTTTTGCTTTTTTGTTTTTCATTGTGGCAAAATACGCTTCACATAAAATTTACCATTTTCGCCACTTTTCGTTGTCACTCCAGTGGGATTAGCTCCACTCACACTGATGTGCCACCGTCCCCACCGTCCATCTCCAGAATGTTTTCCTCTTCCCAGACTGAGCCTCTGTTCCCATGAAACACCAACCCCTTATTCCCCTGCCCCAGCCCCTGGAACCCCTGACTCCATTTCTGTCCCTATGGCTTTGGCTACTCCAAGTGCATCAGATCAGTGGAGTCCTGCTGTTCTCGGCCTTTGGTGATCGGCTTGTTTTACTCTGCGGCACACCCTGAAGGTTCACCCATGTGGCAGTGCGGCCCAGAACCTTCTTCCTTTGTAGGGCTAATAGTCCCTTGCATGGATAGGCCGCATTTTGTTTGTATATTCATCCATTGATGGATGCTCGGATGCACTACTATTTAGTTAATATTTCCCCACAAATAGTTTCTGAAAGAGAAAACACCTATTTTAAAGTAATCATCACATCACCGTTTCAAGTGGAAATCCTGTGTCCCTTGCCATGTTGGGACAGGCCTAGCCTTCAACTTCAGCTGGAAGTTCAGGTCCATGATAATAGAGGTGTCTCGGTTTGGGTTCCCCGGCAGTGTGCCACAAAGGGTGTGTTGAGTGAAAAACAAATCCCAGTGTCTTTCATCTAGCAGGAAAGGCCATGGAGTGTGGTGGGGTGATTGCGAAACGGCTTCACTTCCCCACCCTGCCTGCCACCACATTCTTTTTTTTTTTTTTTTGAAACAGGGTCTGGCTCTGTTGCTGAGGCTGGAGTGCAGTGGCGCGACCTCTGCTCACTGCAACCTCCACCTCCTGGGTTCAAGCGATTCTCGTGCCTCAGCCTCCCCAGTAACTGGGACTACAGGTGTGTGCCATCACACCCAGGAATTTTTTTGTATTTTAGTAGAGATGGGGTTTTGCCATGTTGGCCAGGCCGGTCTTGAACTCCTGACCTCAAGTGATCCACCCACCTTGGCCTTCCAAAGGGCTGGGATTACAGGCGTGAGCCACTGTGCCTGGCTTTGCGTCCACATTCTTGGCATGTGACTGTTCAGCGTCTCCCATCCAGAGGTGGAGCCCTTTTTTCCACCCCTTGAATCCAGACTGGCTGAGTGGCTTGCTTTGGCCAGGAGAATGTGGCAGAAGTAATGCTCTGCGTGTTCTGAGCTGCGGCTGCTGGAAGTTCTGCTCTCTTCCTTAGAGCCCTAACACTGCATCGGTGAGCCTGGGTGTGGTTGCTGGAGGATGAGACACCACGTGGAGGAGAGCCAAGTCTTCTCACCGTGGCTTCGTGGCTTCATGGCTTCGCTAGTCCAGCCAGCCCCTTGCTGAGCTGCCGGCAGCCCACAGACACATGAGCGAGCCCAGACTCGATCAGCCAAGCCCAGCTCAATCAGAAGCATCTCTGGCTCACCTGTAGACTCATGAAAGATAATAAATGTTGGCTGTTTTAAGCCATCAAGTTTTGGGGCAGTTTGTTTGTAGCATCATAGTGGCCCTAGCTAGCAGATACACAGTGCTTCTCGAGACTGTGGGCTCCATTTGCGTGCCTCCATTGAGGTTCTTAGTAGTCCTCAGAGGCATGGGAAGCTGCGACTGTGGGGTGGCAGAGTGTCACATGACCCCCCTTCCTGAGCAGTTGGCTGGTGCCACGGTGCCTGTCATTGTGCTGTGTTGTTTGAGAGTTACAGGCTTTTTTTGGTGTGTGCTTCGTGGTCAATGGCTGGCAGGTCTAGAGAAGGTGGAAGTCTTCTCCAAAGTCTTCTGCCCACTCCTTGACAGTCCTCTCCCTGCTGAAAGGATTCCTTTGCCACTGATTTATCGCATGCCCCAGCTGCTGAGGCTGGGAGTGGGGATCAGTATGGAGTGCCTGGGCTGGTTGGTCACAACTGCAGTCAGAGGCCTGAACCAGACATTTTTTGAAATCAATAGACTAGTCCACTCTCTGGGGTTACGTTATTTGGAGCTCAGTGGACCTCCCCATTAATCCACTCAGCAGACATTTATTTAGCACCACTATTTGCAAGCCCAGGATCCTACGTTTGAATGGCAGGTGAATTACATATACCGACAATCACTGGGATATTGGTGTGTAATTGTTGTAATTTCAGCTGTTTCTGCACTTTTGTAGAGGAGCGATTTCTAAGTGTTAAAAAATAGACATGGTAGTATTAAATTATCAGTTGCTAAGGAGGCTGAAGCAGGAGAATCGCTCGAATCTGGGAGGCAGAGGTTGCAGTAAGCTGAGATCGCACTGCTGCACTTCAGCCTGGGGGACAGAGCAAGACTGTGTCTCAAAAAAAAAAATTATCAGTTGCTTTTTGTTATCAACTTTTTTAAATCAGCTGCTTTTTAAAGAAAGCAACAGCATGCGCTGGAGTCAGACATTGCAGGAGTCAGACGGGCTGGAGGTTGATCTTCAGCTCTGCTCACAAAGTGAGGCCACCCCTCTGCCTGAAATGGTGGCCTGGCACAGAGCAGGCGCTCCACAAATGTGTGTCAAGCAAATGAAAGGGCATCATATCCTATTCGAGCTTCCTAACTGCTTTTGTGGCCATCTGTGGGCAGACACCATTGTCTCCACTTTGCAGAGGAGGGACTCTGGCCCTGAGGGCTGATGGGGCTGCCAGGAGTCGCACAGCGAAGATACAGAAACAGAACAGCAGGAATCCAGTGCTCTCCACTGCTTCCCATTCTGCCATACGCCCCCCTAGAAATACAGGCAGCCCCCAGAGAACAACTGCACATGCAGATGCTTCTGCATGTGAGACCAGAGAGGCATGTGCGGGCCCACATGCCCCTCCAGACAGTGAAGAGGAAGCGCATTGGCTCCTGCTGGTCAGATCTGTTACTAGAACTTCTCCTCGGTCTGGAGGGGAATGAGGCTGTCTCCTGGCCCAGCGCATCCGCTTGACCTCAGCTTCTACTGGGGTGTAGAGGCTTCTGCGAGAGACAGAGATGGGGTGGGCGCCAGGCCAGCAGCACCTCCTTGTAGCATCTGGAGCAGAGAGCACCCCTGGAAGAAGCTGTTGTTCCAGAAGGGTCTGTCTGCAGTGTATTCTCAAAGAGGCTCTTAGCTGGCTCTGGCAAAGGCAGCTTGTGGCCCTGGGGCCTCCGCAGGGCTCCTGACTTCCAGGCAGCCCTTCGTCCGAGGGTCAGCTGGCATGGTAGCTCTCAGTGGACACACAGGGTCTTGTTTACAGACAGACGATCCTCTCCCCTCCCTCAAAGCTTGGACACCACAGAGGGTCAGAAGCCCCTGCCCAAGGGTGTGCAGGAAGTTACCTCGGGGAAGGCTCCTGAGGATGGCAGGGCTGTGGGCCTGGCCAAGCACGGTGTAAATTCAGGTTAGGTCACATTTGTGAGCATCTCTGTGTGCGAAGGGACTTCACCTGGATTTACTCTTGTTCTCACAGCCATGAGACTGGCTCCTAGCTTGTGTTCAGGACAATTCTGAAGCCTAACTTACCCAGAAGGAGTCAACCCTGTAGGTTGGCGGAACCCTCTCAAGTTCTCCAATCAACCCCCTCACTACTGGGATTTAAAGAGTTTCCCGTAGGGCCCCCCACATGTGTGGAAAGACAAGCCCTTCCTCTGCATCCCTCCCTTTTCTCTTTTTTCCTCACCCTCCCCCTCCTCTCCTCTTCCCTCCCTCTCTCCCTTTGCTCCAGCACTGGGATGTTAACACCTGGTGTCTGCGTCAGATGAAACTCCAACCAGTCCCGGTGACGTGAAGCCTGAAGGGGCTTCACAAAGGAAAAGGCTTCGTTTTCAGGTGAGCCACTTTATTGAAGCAGAACATCCTCCAGAAGCACGAGCACCAATCCTAGGAGTGCAGCCCCAGATGCCAGAGTCACCAGGCCCATGTCGCCCACCCAGGGCAAGGAGCAGAGCAGGACCAGCCCCGCCTCCCCCTAAGGAAGACACTGTGTAGTGGACGGACACAGAGGCTTCAGCCACGGCCGGGATGTGCAGCTAGTGGAAGGCCTGCATGGGTGCCGCTAATGGAGCCAGCTGTGGCCCTGCTGGCCATGTCACTCTGCACAAGTGACTTTAGCTATCTGAACCTGGGGGTATTCCCCGTATGCCCACCTTGCTCTTGGGGGTACTGTGAGGTCAAGTGTAGCACAGAGCCAGAAGCACTTGGGAAAATTCTATGTCAAAAGGGTCACCGCACCTCATGTGGGTCACCTTCGCAGTGACAGCTGTCACTGATATTCTGTAGGCCAGGACTTCAGAAAGTCTGAGCAGCTCACCCGCATCACAGCCGCGGAGACCTGGAGACCAGCTCGAGCCCAGTACCTCCTGACTTCTTTACTTCCTCCAGCATTTCTTGGTTGCCCATGTGCCCAGCCCCCCACCAGGCCTGGGGCTCTCACAGTGAAGGTGGCACGGTCTCTGCTGTCACCTAGGAGCTGTCCCTTTGCCCTGTGTGGGTGGTTTTATCAAAAGACAAATATATATGCACACATACACACATGTGTGTATGTATATACGTTGTGGTAAAGCACATGTAATAGAAACTGCTCATCTTAGCCATTTCTAAGTGTCCAGCTCCTTGGCGTCAATCACATTCACTCAGTGGCGCCACCTTCTCCACCATCTGCCTCCTGATCTTCATCTTCCCGTTCCGTCTGTGAAAATGTGTTTCACAGCTGCTTCCTACGGCCTCAGAGGCTCTGGGAGGTTAGCGTGTGAGAGAGAGGGGTCCAGGGGCCAGTGGGTCCCCCTCCCGGGGCTATCCCCCTCTGGGATGAGCCCAGCTGGCAAGGACCTGCCAGCCCTGTTTCTGAAACACGGAAGCCCGGGAACTGGGCTAGAATGTGCTGGGGTTGGTCTGTCCTGAAACCAGCAGATGCATCCTCATTTGTCATGAACGGTGGGGACATTCGGGACTCATCCTGACACCTCTCCTATTCAGAAGAGGAAGACAAACCACCAAGCACTCATTGGCCTGGAAACCAGTCCCCGAGGGAGAGGCTGTGACTTCAAGGGCTGGGCAAGGTGGCTTTGGGTGAAGCGTCTAAGCTGAAGCTGCCAGCATCCTGGTTAAAGGACGTCACAGCGGACACACCTGCTCCCAGGCGTAGAAAATGGAGAAGGAAAATTGCTCCAGGGCAGCCTGTGGTCTGGTGGACAGAGCCCAGCTCAGGTAGAACAGCAGGGGATTTCCAGGTCGTCCTTCGAAAGCTTCCAACTTGACATATTTTGTTAAAAGCTGCTTTCGCCTGCTTGTGTCTGGCCTGTTTGCATAACAAGGTCCCGGAATTCAGCATTTTCCAAACTCAGATGTTTTTAGGGTCATGAACTAAAATATTTCATTATCAGTTCAATCGTGGGAATTCTGGGTTTCTTTACTGCGGGACTTCTCAGAGCCTGCAGTGGGCCCGTGGACATGAGGCGTTGACAAGGTGAAATTGGACTGTGCGGCACATTCTGGTGTCTTCAGACCATCAAGTGCCTGGTTTGGAGACGTGATCACACGGTGGGCCCACCTGTGCACTGCCAAACAGAAACTGGGACATGCTGCTGAAGTTGATCACTTAGGAGAAGGAAGAAGACTTCTGTTTTTTTCCAAGAACTACGTTAACAAATGACTGTAGTCCAGTGTGGAGGGCGCCCCTTGGATCTGGTACTCCAAATCAATGAACGTGAAGTCCACCCATATCCAAAGTGTGTCGGATTTATCATCTCCTCTGCCTGCCGCAACTCTGCCTGTTGGCACCTGCATCCTCCCGGGTCTTTCATGGAGCCCAGATTTCGTTCAATTCAGCTGTGAGCATTTCTTGAGCACTGGGTACTGGTGTCCTGACAGGGAGTTAGAGCTTACAGAGTGACGGACCTGCTCTCAGGATGTTCTGTGGGAGGGGGATTGTGAGGGTGGCGCTGAGGGGCATGCATTTTAGCTTGAGTTTACTGCAGCCCGTGAGACCCTCTACCAACTGGCGCCCACCCCTTGCCAGGCTCCCTTGCCATTCATCACAGCCTCTGCCACACCGCTGGTGTCTCCCTTGCTGTTGGGTTCCTCCAAGCCTCTGAGTGTTGGCTTGGTCTGTTCCCCTGCCCTCCACCTAGCCCTGGGGAGCCTCAAACAATGGCTCAGGGTTTTAATTTTTATTTATTCATTTATTTATTAGCGATAAGGTCTCACTCTGTCACCCAGGCTGGAGTGCAGTGCTGTCATTATAGCTCACTGCAGCCTCGAGATCCTCTCTCCTCAGCCTCCTGAGTACCTGGGACTGTAGGCACATACCACCTCACCTGGCTAATTTTTAATTTTTTAAATTTTTTGTAGAGATGGGGTCCTGCTATGTTGCCCAGGCTGGTCTTAAACTCCTGGCCTCAAGTGATCCTCCCGCCTCAGCTTCCCAAAGTGCTAGGATTATAGGCATGAACCACCACACCCGGCCGGCCAAGGTTTGTTTTTTTTTAATTAAAAGTTGTAGATGTTGAATTGTTACAAAATATGCATAACATAAAACTTACCCTTTTAACCAGTTTTCCAGTGCGCGCAAAGTGGCATTAGCACACTTACCCTGTTCTGCAGCCGTCACCATCATCTGTTTCAGAACTCCTTCCTCCTCCCAAACTGAACCCTGTCCCCACTCAACACTAACTCCTCACTCCCCACCCGCAGCCCCTCGGGGCCCCCATCCAACTCTGGTCTCCAAGCATCTGGCTGCGCTGGGGCCTCTTCGCAACGTGGTCCTGCAGGCTTCGTCCTTCTGTGTCCGGCTTATTTCCCTCAGCATCAAGTCCTCAGGGTTCACCTGTGTGGTACCACGTGTCCAGTGGCTCAGTTTTGCCTGTGGGCACACGGCTGGGAACCCCTGTGGGTGGGCTCCGAGGGTTTGTCCTCAGTAAGTGGGGTGCTGCTTGGGGGGCCTCCCCCATGGACCATCTAGGTTCCTTGCTGCGTCCCAAGGGGCGGGCAGCTTTGGTGAACGCTGCCCCAAGTTGCTGAGAGTAAGAGCAGAGACCTTGGCTTTCCCAGGGCCTCACGGCCAGGAGGACCCAGAACACGAGGGTCTTTCTGTCTCCTGTGTCCGCGGCTCTGATGCCTGGATGGAAAAGGGTGTGAAGCAGGCCCGAGATGGTGAGGACCACGCCCGGCGGTGTGCCAAATCCATGGGTTCCTGTCCCGCCTGCCTCTTCCAGATCTCAGCCAGGCCAGGAGGCAGGGGCTCAATGGGGCAGCCCCCAAAGCCCTCAGTTCATTCCGCACTATGTGCCTGTGCTGTGGGTGGCTGTTGCCTGTGGAGTGGGCCCAGTGGACTGGGACTGAGCCGCTGTCCGCCAGCATAAACCGGAGCCCTCACATCCTGGGCAGCCGGCTTCCAGTTTTAATTTAGTGCAACCAAAGGAAATCCATAACTTGCTCTAACTCTGCTCCTTTGAGAGACTCATTGTGTTGTCCTCCACCCCAGCAGGGGAGATTCACAGGGAGCAGGGGGCATCCTCGGGGAACCCCATGTCCTCAAGCGGAGACAGGAATGAGGAAAGGCTGGTGGGCGTGTCGAGTCCCCAGCATGGGCTCCTTGAAGCACAATCCCCCTCCTCCCAGAGAACTGGAGATGACGGTGTTGGTCTCTTTATGTCCAGCTCCTTAGGAGAAGCATGTGGGGCCACTCAGAGGGAGGCCTGTCCTTAATGGCCAGAGCCCTCCCAGGGACTGTAGGAGGGCCTGGGGGCTGCTGCACACCCAGGAGGTGGTGTGTGGCTTGGACTGGACTCAGAGTGGAGGCCATCCTCAAGGACATGGGGAAACTGAGGCAGGAGCTCACTGTTTCTAGGAGAGCATGGCACGGCAGGGAGCAGAGGATGGCCCAGCGCCCAGGTTGCTGACCCCTCCTTGCTGAGCCGGGATTGTGGTGATGCCAGCCATGTGCTGAGCCCTGCTCTAGGCTCTGGAATGTGGTGGGGACAAGACGTGGTCCTGCCTGTGTCGAGCTCCTACTGGGAAGGATGGATGACAAAACCTGACATGAGAGTGACAAGTGCCATGAAGGTTCTGTCGGGGATAGAGGTGGTGCCATCTCTGAGGAGGCCACAGCTGAGTAGAGGCCTGGAGGAAGGGGATGAGCCCTGGGGTTCTGGGGAGAGCATTCCTGGCAGAGGGAATGGCAAGTGTGCTGGCCCTGGGGCTGGAGCTTGGGGTGCAAGAGAAGTGCAAGGGGAGGACGCCAGGGCTGGACAAGGGTTGCTGTGCGTGGTCTGGACTCAGGGAGCTGTTGAGGGTTGTGTGGAGGAGTGACAGGGTCCTGCATGTGTCTTGCCAGGACCAGGAGAGGAAAGCAGGTGGAGGGCGGTGACCGCCGTGGGCTGATGTGTCTGCACCCCATTTTCCAGATGGGCACGTGGAGGTGCGAATAGTCCAGCTAGTTGGTTGGGGCACGCGGTGGGTGCCAGGATCTGCCCCAGGCCTGCCCGACCATGCGTTGTGCTTGTCCCATCTGCACGTGGATGCTCAGCGGTCAGTGCCTCCAGGTGTACCCTGGTGGGGAGAGTAAGGCCACAGCTCTGCAGTCCCCCATGCAGGCCTAAGGAGTGTCTCAGAGGAAGCATTTGGGGACTGGCCAAGCCTCCACAGGGAGTGACCTCGGCCCGCCCCCTGCCTGGGCTTGGCTGCTCTGGCTCTGGGCCCCTGGTTGAGCTCCTGGTCTCCTCCGAGCTGAGCTGGGCTTGGGAAGCATCTGCTTCATGCCAGAGCTCGCAGGAGCTATCACCTTCGATGTCATTTCCACAGAGTGGCCTCAGGGCAGGCATCAACCCATTTTACAGAGGAGGAAACCGACCGCGGAGCTGAGGATTTGCAAGTGCACCATCTCCAAGGGCAGGGCTGCTTGTGGGAAGTCCTGTGCTTTCCTGTGGAGTCCTGCCTTGCAGCCTTGGAGCAGCTTTACTGGCAGAAAACATGGCGGGGAAGTGCGCAGCCCAGCAGCTCAGCTGTGTCTGTGGGGGAACCGGGGCCTGCACCGGTTCAGAGTGCCCTGTCCTGATCACTTCCCTCGTGCGATAGCTCCATCATCCAGGTGTGCTTACTGGCAGGAACCGAGGGAATAAATAAAGATCACTGGAAGAAACCTTCAGAATGGGAGGATTCCTGTGTCCTGAGACCATGGTGGAGGCCAGTGTTGCTTGGTTTTGTGCAAACGGGAGGCCCTGTCCAGAGCCTCGGAGGATGATGGGGCCTGTCCCCACCTTCCACAGGGTGTCCCTGCTGTCAGCTCAGTGACCCCGTTCTGGGGGACTCTTGCTCAGGCGTCATCCCATCCACACAGAAAGGGCTCTTCCATGGCCACGGTTTTCAGACCCTTTACATTTGTAAATTGTTGGCAGCAGAATCCTATTTCTGAAAGAAACCTCTATGGAAGCAGCTATGGAAATCAGAGGAAAGTGGAGAGGTTCTGGGAGGCGGAGGGAGACCTTCCAGTGCAGCCCTGCCTTGGGATCCGTGTCCAGCAGAGCACAGTCACATCCCCTCCACACCAGGAAGCCCCTCCTCGGGCAGGTGTTGTGAGCCAGGTGTGGGGCCACCCAGTGCGCCCGGGCCGGGCCCTCGGCCTCAGACAAGCAGAGCAGCCTTCAAAACCTGGCTGGAGGGGGGCATTTTGTTGTTTCCCCAAAAACACCCCTTCCCAAAGTACCCTGGGTGGGGGTGGGGCATCATCAGCTGCATGGGGTGACCAGAGGCCTCAAGTGCAGACAGCCAGCTGGAGGCTGATGGCAGCGTAGATGATGCGTAGACTGATGGCAGCGAGCCCACCCTTCCCTCTGTGTCCCAGCCCTAGCACAGGGGCCCGGGTGGAGCTGGCGCCTTCTCACGTCTGTGGACCCAGCTGGCTGCTATCTCCACCTCTGCAGGGGGTGTCACAGGCAGAGAAGGTGGAGGGGATGGTTGGCTCAGTGAGAGGGGGTCTGTGACTCCGAAGCACCTGAGGATGGGGTGAAGGCCCTTGACAGGTAGTGAGCCTCTCGTCACTGCACCATGTGTTAGCAGGACAAGTTTGGAGCACCCTTAGGACCATCTGGAACCACCGTGTCCCCACTAACGAAAGCAGGGCAGAGGACCTGGCCCATGGAAACATCACATGCGCAGAAAAGATGGCCAGTTTCATGTCGAAAACTGGAAGATCTGGGGTTGTCAGAACAGTTTCCAGTCCAGCACAGCCTGGCTGTGTGCTTCACCCCAGTTGGCCTTAAGTATGTGAAGGATGCAGCCTTGGGGGACCTGTGAGGGGGCTGACATTGGCCTTGGAGGGTTGGAGGGCACACGCCCACCTGAGTGCAGGCTCTGATCTGAGAATTCATCCTGCCTGGCTTCTCAGTGGGGAGCTTGCAGCCTTAGTCTCTTGCCCTTGAACTTCTGTGCAGCGGGAACAAAGGGAACAGAGATGAGTAAAGGTTGGTGAGCCTGGCACGGCGCCAGGGCCCGGCATTCATACATCTATCTCGTAAGGCCCCATGGGGCAAGATCCATTCACTTCATTTTCAGGAGACAAACTCTTAAGGAAGCTGCGTTCCTTGCTGAGGGTCCCACACTACAAGGCGACAGGACCAGGAACGGGACCAGAACCCCCAATCTGTCTGCCGCAGCGGGTTGTCTCAGCGGGGCTGGTGGCTACAGGGAACGGGGCGGCATAAGAACAGGATTTAAAGACCAGGTTCACCAGAGTAGCAAGGACATGCATTGGTTCCGTGTTGCCCTCCCTCCCCTCTCTGCAGGCACTGGATGTTAAGCCTGCAGTGGCAATGACTTCAGACATTTCCCAAAGGGAAGAAGAATGTGATAGGGCATTTGCTGCCACCTTTGCTGCCACAAGGATCTTGTTCTTCCTCCGCCCGGGCCACCTGGGGTCCCAGAGCAATGTCCACAGGCAGCGGGAGTGATGTGCTGGCCTCATGGTGCCTGCGTGTCTGCAGACAGCACCCACCTCCAGCAGTCTCAGAGGGGCACCTCTGGGCAATTTCCCCCTCCTGCTGAGGTGCTCCCACTCCCCCAACCAGCTCAGCACCAGGGATTTTGTTGTTGGGGTGCACAGCCCCAACTTGTGAGCAGGGAGGTTTCTGGAGAGATCTGGGCTCTCCCCACCTTTGAGCCCAAGGATGCAGGTGCCTGCAGGTCCCCCGGGGCCAGCAGCAGTGGTTGGGATTGATTGGTAACTGCCACCAGCCAGGGGAAGGGTGTGGCCACACCTCTCAGACCCCAGCGCCGGGGAGGGTGTGGCAGGATGTGGGAGCCAGGCCACAGTGGCTCCCTGGAGAGCTGGGGGAGAAGCCCTGACTGAGGGGCCCACCAGGCCCCCTCTCTGTGAGACGGGGCAGCCCCACCCCACTTTGGATGGGGACTCTCCCTTTTAATCCTTTTCTGGGTCTCAGATCCCACAGAGGAAACCGATGGATCTCTTCCATCAGAGAAAATAAAATGCACAGACACACGAAGCCAGCCCACCTCGCTAGACCCCCAGAGCCCGTCCCCAGACCCGTGGGCCCCATGCCCCGGCTCCACACATCCACCTCTCCTGCACCCATCTCTTCCCAGGGCCTCAGCAATCACCCACACCTCGTGGCTGACTGCCGGCAAACTCAAATCACATTTGACAACCAACACTGTGTGTACAGTCAGGGAGAGAGAGAGATTTATTAGCTTTCATGCGGGGAGAAACACAGGGACCTCAATAGTAGCATACATTTCTCATTTGTTGTAAACTCCAGGAAAGAATTAAGGAACACTAATATTTTCCACATTTAGTCACACCCGAGAGTTGTGAGAGGCAGGGGAGGGAAAGGGAAGAAAATCCGATCTTGTGTGTGGGATTTGGGGACTGGGCATGCACTGGGCAATTTCACTTGATTCTCGCTGCTGCTGCAGGCATAACCTGTGTGGGTTTCTTTTCTCTTTTTCTCGTACCAGCCCACTTAAGTAGGTATTAGTGTCAGCAGCAGCAGTAATAGCGCAAGATGACATGGGGTAGGGGGGTACTTAGAAGAAATTCAGGTGTTTCAGGGAAGGGAGGGGGTCTCCCAGGGGCAGGTTCGACCCCAGGCTTCCTGCTGGAGAGGTGTCATCTGTGGTGTAGCTTAAACCATTGTCTTGGTCCCTTCCTGTGGAGCAGCTGCCCAGGCTCACATGGACATGGTGCTCACACCCATAGGCACACACAGACACAGGGCTCACACCCACAGGCACACACAGACACAGGACTCACACCCACAGGCACAGACACGGGGACTCACACCCACAGGCACAGACACGGGGGCTCACACCCACAGGCACAGACACGGGGGCTCACACCCACAGGCACACACAGACATGGGGGCTCACACCCACAGACCCACATAGACACTGGGGTACACACAGACAAACACAGGCACAATCTGTGCCAAAGTTTTGAAGCACGAAATTAGACAAACCCAGCATTGGAGAGCTAGGGGAAGCTTGTATTTTAAATTCCACTGGGATCCCGGAAGTGGCATGCAGAGCGCGTCAGTTTCGCCTTGTCAGTCATTGCAGCAGCCCCCACTTCAACAGCACTCACCTGCCTGGCCTCTTGTCTGAACAGTTTGCACATTTTATCTTGATTCACCCTCCCCACTTTTTGGGGGTTCTGGGTACTAGAATTATCCCCATGTTACAGGGCACAGAGAGGGGAAGTGCCCCGCCCAAGGCCATACCACATGTGAGCAGGGAGCCGGGCTTTGCTCCCCAGGAGCCTGCCGGGAGCCCTCACTCTTCCCTGGGGAGTTCAGCACCTCTGGACCTGTTTCTCAAGGAGCCAACCAGGAATCTGTGAAACAAGAGCAAGGAGAAAAGACAGCAGGCTACGTGGCAGGGAGAATCCCCACCCGGCTGTGAGGACAGTCAGGCGGAGGGGAGGAAGGGAAGAGAGTGGGGTTATGTCGAGCTGGGTGGGGAGGCTGGGGCACAGTCCGGGACCAACCCCTTGAGGCTTGGATAAACATAATGTGGTCTGTCCACACGGTGGAATAGACAGACTGTGGAACCTGCCACAGGAGGCTCCCAGGTGAGTGGAGGTTGGGAAATGGTAGCGGGTGGCTCAGCCAAGTCCACAGCACAGCCAGAACAGGGGCCTGAAGCCAGGACGGTCTGCAGCCGCCAGTGAGCAGGCAAAGTGGTGAGGCCTGCAGACCCCTCAGGATGGAGGAAGGGACAGTGCTGGATGGAGGGTGGCATGTCTCAAAGTGTGTTCCCAGAACACTTGCATCTGGTCCCTGGGGTGGTTGTTGGCACGCAGGTGCCCAGACTCTGTCCCAGACCTGAAGTCTGGGTCTCTAAGAGACTCTGCCCTGGAATCTGCATTTCTAATGAGCACCTCACGTGACACTTTGTTTTCTGTGATAAAATACACAGCGTAACATTTACCATTGTCACCATTTTTAAGTGCACATTGCGGTGGCATTAGTACCTTCACTTTGCTGTGCAGCCACCACTGCCACCCATCTCCAGGACCTTTTCCTCCTCCCAAATACAAACTCTGCCTCCATTAAACATCAACTCTCCATCCTCCCTCCCCCAGCCCCGGGCACCCACCATTCTACTTTATGTCCTGCTAGGGACCTCACACAAGTAGAATGAGACTGTTTTTCACGTTTCGTGACGGGCTTATTTCGCTTCACATAGTGTCCTCAGGCTTCATCCATATTGTTGTGTGGGTCAGAATTCCCTTCCATTTCATGGTTGGATTCGATTCCAAGGTGTGTATAGACCACATTGTGTTTATCCACTCAGCTGTGGACACTGGGGTACACTACTCTTTATTTATTACCTAATAATATTTAATACATAATTTTATCATTATTCTCCAAGTCTGTGTAGCCCATGAGGCTGTGGCTCTGTCTCCTGCGCCCCTGACTCCAGCTCACTTTCGTGGACTGTCACATCTGACCTGCCCCCTGCCCTCTCTCCCCAGACCTGCAGCCGGGCCAGGCTGGGTCCTCTCTCTGCTTGTCACCACCCCGTGAGAGGCCTCCCCGCCTTTCTTCTCCCTGCCACCTCCCTGCCTTGCTGGGAATGCAGATGACGCCTCCCTGTGAATTACTGCTACAAGCGTTTCCTGCGACAGCCTCCTGCCAGAGAGGGAGGTCATCAGGGAGGTGGACAGAGACCTAGCCTGGGTTGGGGGCAGTGGACCCCCTTCCTCCAGAGAAGAGGGCAGCAGAAGCCACTCGGCGTTGGTGCCCCCCAGATCCTGCTAGCTGGGCACCTTGGCCCATGTTCTTGTTTCCTCCTGTCTATGATAGGACAGTGGTGGGGCTGAGTGGCTAGTGCAGGGTCTCAGAACAACCCATCTAGGATAGCAAACACTTCGCAACTCCCTTTGTCGTCCTGAAGTGAGACTCAGCTGAGAAAGCACACCCAGCACGTATTTTATAAAAAAACCAGTACAGTGCCCTAACTATTATAAAGTAGAAGGCAAAGGAAAGTGAATTATGATCCAAGTAATCCAGGTTTCAACACGTCAGTGCACTAGGTTGGGGCCCGGCATGTTTCTCCTCCGAGGCAGGGGAGGCAGTGACATCCGCCTCTCGGCGTGGGAGCACCAGAATGTGACTGCTGCAAGTGCATTGGAAGAGCAGATGTCAGCAGCTCAGAAGTCATGCACGGCATCGCCAAAGGGGGTGTGAGTTTCTGAAACCATGAACAGCTTTGGTCAAGTTCAAAATAAAAATAGTCCAACTTCCTGAGGTTTAGAGACCCGTTGTGCTCTTGGGAAAGTCAGTGCTTAGGTGGAAATCAGAGTTAGGGTCTTGGCATAGTAATTTATAGTTTAGAAGAAACATTCACATTCATTATTGCATTTGGTAGAGACAGCAAAGTAGGGCTCATCATCCCCATTTTATAGAGAATAATAGTGTCTATTGTTTGTGTCCCCCAGGTTCACATGTTAAAACCCTAATCCCCATCATGTTGATATTTGAAGGTGGGGCCGTTGGGAGGTGGTGAGGTCATGCAGGTGGAGCCCTCATGATGGAATTTGTGTCCTTATAAAAAGAGATGAGAAAGCTAGCTTCCTCTCTCTCTCCCCACCATGTGAGGCTGCAGCAAGAAGACCAGATCCCCGCTATGTGGCACCCTGATCTGGACTTCCCAACCTGTGAGAAATAAATTTCAGTTTTTAAGCCACCTAGTCTATAGCATCTTGTTATAGTAGCTCAAACTAAGAGAGACAGATGCACACATGTGTGCACACGTGGGCACACACACAGACACACACACGCACGGGACTTCAAAAAGTTCATGGAAAATGAGTATTATTTTTAAAAACTCTGCATGGATTTCCAAATTTTTTGCATCAAAATAAACTTGTACTAACTTGTAACATGTCCAAACAGGATCTACTTTGAGGTCCTAAGAAGAATAAGACATCAGTTTGAAAAGAGCTCCTATCAGAGTAATAATAATTCTGCTAAAATTGAAACAAAAGCAAACATCAAATTTATGGTAAAATCATCAATACTTTATGAAAAGTTTAAGGGGACAGTGCCCCAAAGAAATCAGCAGTTTACAAATGGATACCTCCTTTTAAGAAGGAACAAGATGATGTTGAGGATGAAGCCCTCTGTGGCACACAATCCACATCAGTCTGCAAGGAAAATATTCATTTTGTCCATGCCCCAGTTGAAGAGGACCAATGGGTAACAGCAGAACAATAGCCAACACCATGGTCTTCTTTCTTAGTTCAGCTTATTCTATTCTGAATGAAAAATTATAGTTAAGGAAATCTTTCTTATAGTTAAGGGTGCCAAAACTGTTGCTTCCAGATCAACTGCAGACAAGGGCAGAGCTTTCCATGGAAATTTTTAGCAAGTGGGATCAAGATCCTGAGCATGACTTTGAAGAACTATAACAGGTGATGAAACACAGCTTCAGTACAACCCTGAAGACAAAACACAATCAAAGCAATGGCTACCAAGAGGTAGAAGGGGTCCAGTTAAAGCAAAAACTGACCAGTCAAGAGCAAAGCTCATGGCAACAGTTTTGGGGATGCTCAAAGCATTTTGTTTGTTGACTTTCTAGAGGGCCAAAAAACAATCACATCTGCTTATGATGAGTGTTTTGAGAAAGTTAGCCAAAGCTTTAGCAGAAAAACACCTGGGGAAGCTTCACCAGAGTCCACCACGACAATGCCACTGCTCATTCCTGTCATCGAACAAGGTCAATTTTGTGAGCGTTTGAGGGGAAATCATAGGCATCCACCTTACAGTCCTGATTTGGCTCCTTCTGACTTATTTATGTTTCTTAATCTTAAAAACAACTCTAAAGGGCACCCATCTTTCTTCGGGTAATAATGTAAACAAGACTGCATGGATATAGTTGAATTCCTGGGACCCTCTGTTCTTTATTCTTTAAAGATGGACTAAATGGCTGGAATCATCACTTACAAAAGTGTTTTGACCTTGATAGAGCTCATGTTGAGAAATAAAGTTTATACTTTCTATTTTTATCTTTTAATTCCATTTTTCCATGAACATCTTGAAGTCCCCTCATATTTCCTGTATACCATATGCCAGGCACTCTTCTGTATATTTTATGCATATTAACTCAAACTTCAAAGCAGCCCCATGAAATAAGTGCTATTTTTATTCTTACTTGACATATGAAGAAACCGAAGCAAGCACAGACAGGTTGGGTCACTTGCCCAAGTTCACACAGCTAGGAAGTGGTGTGTCTAGGCAGAGCCCTCTAGAGGTGCTGGCTGAGCTGTGCAGAAGAGGAGCTTAGCTCCTGGATGGACCTGGGGATAAGCATCCCAGCAGGGGGAACAGTGTGTGCAGAGGCTCCAGTGTAGGAACAAGTTTGGCGAGTTTAGGGGGAAGAACGAAGAATGAATAGATGGGTGTGAGTCCACCTGCCAGCTCAGATCTCTTTTCCCTGACGAAGTCCCTGCTGACCCCTCAAGGTCCCCCCTCCTCCCACCACATTTCCCCTGCATTTGTCTGTAATGCACTCGTGTGACAGTCAGTCCCGGGCAGCCTGTGACAGCTCAGCCATTACTGCCTCGATTGGGCATTCATCTCTTGCACAGCTGTTTAAATTGTCACACAGAAGGCCATAAACACTTCGACAGCTAAGATGAGGGCTTCCCCTGTGATGGCAGTGCCTGGACCCCTGTACACTCAGCAAGCATTTGAAGGCTGAGTACATTTATGCAGTAGCTGTTATAGGCCAGGCCCTGTCATCATAGTATGTGTACATCAAAACAGCACATGGTTGTGAGAGAACCTCACCATACTAAGAACTTGACAAACCAAACAATATCACAGCTTTAAAATTTGCAGGTAACTTACCAAATGCTGTTTAGGGGAAAGGTGAGATTTGAACCCAGGCAGTCAGGATTTGATGTTACTCTGTTCTGTGCTGTGCCAACTGTGTGAGGGTGTATATGAGAGTGTGTGTGTGTATGCCAGTGGTGCCAGCCCATGTCACAGGCTTATTTGTTTATTCCATAATCTATACTGTGTGCCAGGCACCAGGCCAGGCTCTAGTGGTGAAAAGAGAGACGGACAGATGGAGTTGTGGAGTTCTCAGACCAATGAGAGATTGTCCTAGGTGCCAGGAGGAGAAAAGAGAGGAGACAGACTAAACTGAGGTGAAGCAGTGTGGAAGGCCTTGCTGAGGAAGTAGCATTTACACCAAGTCCTGAAGGGATCCTGTCGGTACCGAGAGCCTGGGAACAGTGTTTCCAGCAGCAGGAACAGCATGTGCAAAGGCCCTGAGGTCAGCACAAGTTTTCTTGTTTAGAGAGCTAAGAGGTCAGCAAGGTTGGAGCACAGAGGGCAAGGGTGAGAGGAAGGAGCTGAGATGGGGGAAGTGAGCAGGGCCAGATCCTGCCACTCCTTGCAGGCCCTGCAAAGGTTTTGGTAAGGCTTTAAAGATTTCAAAAAATTTTAAGGTATTAGGACCTTTGCAAGCTAAAATAAGATTTTGGTTTCTTTTCAAAGTTGCAAGAAATAGTTTAATCTAAGATTAATAAAACAGTTACTATAATGTCTCCCATTCACCACGCATTTGGTGCCTGCTGTCTTTAATTCCGACCACGCCTGCCTGTAGGTTGTGGCTGTCTCCAGCTAACCTGGGAAAGAGTGGCTCTGGGAGGGAAGTGACTTGCCGAGGTCATGCAGTTCCAGCCCACGAAGCCCCACGTGTGCGCTTCCTTCCCCTGCTCCTTTGTTTCCGGTCTGGTAAATGGGGATCTTTAGTGATCTTGAGGCTTCTGGCACGTTCTTAGTACAGTGTGTTCCTATGCGCCTTGTAAAGCAAAAGCAACTCTGAACTTCTTAGCTCGCGTCATCAGCTGTTCCCAGGTGATGGCACCTGGGCACTCCCAGCAGGGCTGGAGGTGGAAAAGATGGACTTTTCAGTGCATTTACCAGCAGGAGCCGGGCTGCCTGGAGGTCAGGAGAGTAAATCACACCTCCCAGGCCTGAGAGCAGGAGGCGCATAGACAGCAGGGACAGCCGAGGGCCTCAGAGGAACCATCGCTGGCCCTTCACCCTGTTTAGAAACTGAGGCCAGGCTGCTGGGGATGGTGGGGGGTCCTCGGCAAGCTGGGGTGGAGGCAGCATCCAGGCTGAGGATCCAGCCTCAGGCCTCGGCATCCGTGTGGGCTTAGCCTGCCTCCTGCAGCTCCAAGCCAAGGCAGTGGTCTCTGTTCCTCACGTGTGGACGTCTTCCTGTGAGATGCCTCCCGGAAAGTCCCCACTTTGCTGCCTGTCTCCACAACCCCCTGTCAGCCACTAGTGAATGACGGTGGACCCCTTCGGAATCTGCCCCTCCAGCCCTCTATCGCCCCACCTGGCCCCGGCACTGCCAGCTCTCTCCTGGTTGTAGCCTTAAGAACGGTCCCCCTGCTCTGCCCATCAGCCCTGGTCCCTCCTCTGCTCAGCACCCTCCCACAGCACCCACCTCACCCAGGTGACAACCAGAGTCCTCACAGTGGGCACAGCCCCTGCACGATGTGTCACTATCACCCCTCTGACCTCATATGTTACTGCACTTCCTCTTGCCCCTCCAGTGTCCCCACTAGAACATGAGCTACGAGAGGGCAGGATTTTTTTTTTCTTTTTTCGTTTTCTTTTCTTTCTTTCTTTTTTTTTTTTTTTTTTTTTGAGACAGAGTCCCGCTTTGTCGCCCAGGCTGGAATGCAATGGCGCAATCTCGGCTCACGGCATCCTCTGCCTCCCGGGTTCGAGTAATTCTCCTGCCTCAGCCTCCCGAGTAGCTGGGATTATAGGCGCCCGCCACCATGCCCAGCTAATTTTTGTATTTTTAGTAGAGACGGGGTTTCACCAGGTTGGCCAGGTTGGTCTTGAACTCCTGAACTCAGGTGATCCACCTGCCTCGGCCTTCCAAAGTGCTGGGATTACAGGCGTGAGCCACCACGCCTGGCCGGAATTTTTTTTTTTAGTGACAGTATCTCTGTCCCCCAGGCTGGACTACAGTGGCATGATCATCGCTCACTGCAGCCTTGAACTCCTGGGCTCAAACGATCCCAAACGAGGAGTTCTGCCTCAAGGACTCCCTCTGCAGCAGGGAGGACTCTGCTGGGTGTGCGGAGAAGCTTTTCCAGTCCTTGGGGGTGGAGGCTGTGCCTGGAGGTGAGGAAGCAGAGACCTGGGGGTCTCCCTGAGATCTGGAGGGTCTCCATCCTCGTGGGAGGGTTTGGGCCTTTGGGATCCCTTCTAAACCTGAGTTTGTATATTTCCATGATTTCCTCCCAGAGCTCAGGCCTCTAACTGGGAAAAAGCCAATTATGCAGGAAGCGTTGACTTTTCCATGAAGATCTGACATGCTGGGGCATTATTGAAGGAGTGTGGAGAATCAGGCACAGCAGCTGCCACGTGCCCACTTACTGGGTTGATGAGGCAAATTTTTAACCATTTTTTTTTTTTTTTGGTAGAGATGGGGTCTCACTATGCTGCCTAGGCTGGTCTTGAACTCCTGACCTCAAGCAATCCTCCTGCCTTGGCCTCCCAAAATCACTGGGATTACACCTTGCCCAGCCTGGGGGGTCAAGAATTTTTATTTTGTTCCCGGATGTGTCCTCAGTGCTTAGAACAATTCCTGGCATACAGTATGTGCTCAGTAATTATTTGTTGAGTGAATGAACAATGATCTGAGGTGGATATTATTATTATCATTTAAAAATGAGTAAACTGAGGTACAGAGAGATTAGGTAACTAACACAGGGCCAGGCAAGTACTAAATGGCAAACTTGGGATTCAAATCCAGGCAGACACTGGTTTCAGAATCTGTGTTCTTAGTCCCTAAGCTATATTGTCACTTTAATTAAAATTTGATGAATTGGCTGGGCGCGGTTGCTCACGCCTGTAATCCCAGCACTTTGGGAGGCCGAGGCGGGTGGATCACCTGAGGTCGGGAGTTCGAGACCAGCTTGGCCAACATGGTGAAACCCTGTCTCTACTAAAAACAAAAATTAGCCAGGCGTGGTGGTGGGTGCCTGTAATCCGAGCTACTCGGGAGGCTAAGGCAGGAGAATTGACTTGAACCCAGGAGGCGGAGGTTGCAGTGAGCAGAGATGGCACAATTGCACTCCAGCCTGGGAGACAGAGTGGGACTCCTTCTCAAAAAAAGAAAAAAAAAAATTGATGAATTAACAAATCAAATAGCCTTTCTAGCTGCTTCTTGCACCCTATGCAAGGTGCAAGATCATCAAACCTTTTCTTCCTTACCCAACCTAAATTGCCCCTCTACCAGGTAGGGTTAACTTATCTCCTTCCTTGCTTCCATTGTCCTGTGGATATACCTTTCTCAGAGTCCTTAGAAGTGATCTATTTATGTGTGTTTCTGAATCTTCACTTATCCTTGAGTTTCTTCATGGCAGGGATCTATTCTTTATTTTCTTCATCTCTCCCAGCCTGTGTCTAGCACATGTTAGGGGCCTGATACATATTTGTTGAATGGGTGACTAGAAGGCTTTCTGGTACTTACCACCTGCCAAGTGAATGTATGCTTGTTGAGTCCTATTTATGATGAACTTTCATTTTAACACAGCCCATATGTTCCAGAGAGAGAAAAACAGGCCCAAATCATAACAGAATCGCATACAATCACATCTTGAGGTGACTTCATGTCATGCATTCAGTGGCTTCTGGTAAAACACTGTTCCATCTTTGGTGCATTAAACACACATTTAGTGTTATCCGAAGTACCATTGCCTTTCATCCCAGGATCAAAAGGCACCATGGGGCTATAAAACTAACTGACCACAGGGGAAGTCCACTTGGTTAGGGGACAAAAGGGACGTTCATGCCCCATTGGGTTATACAACTCCTGGTGGTTGTAAAATGCATTGGTGTCCATGTGAAGGTGTTGACCAAAGGTCATGGGGCGGACTATGGTAGCAAAACCCTTGCCCTGCATGAGAATTTGATCTCGGGTTAACTTTCTAGCTCTGTTTCCCTGGGAACCAGGTAAAGGCAGAATGTCTCACTACTGCTGGGCAGTATTGCTAATGGCACAATGGTATCTGGGCAGGGGAGCTATGAGTACCTGCTGGGCCACCAGGCTTGGGCTTCACAGAGCATAGTGACTCTGTGCTGGACACGTCCCCGTGGGGCATCCGGTATGCTTTGCTGATGGAATTGTTAGTAGAGGTGCTGGCTTCTGGGGGGCATGAGGCTTTTAAGCCAGGGCAGCTCCCATACCTGCCTGATGTGCCTCTGGTCTCCTTGCACCTGTGTGGTCACGGGAGTTGGCGGGGGGATTGACAATGGAGATGGCTCCCATGTGGCCATGTGGGCAACTACAGAAGAGGAACAGTCGAAGCTACCCTCCTGGCAGGCTATGCTCCCGTCCTGGGTCCATCTTGGTGGGCGGTGGCCTAGGTCAGGCCTGTGGCACTGAACGTCAAGTCGAACCCCAAGACATGCCCTGGTGAGCACTGCGGAGATCAGATGCTCTCAGGGGGCTGCTTCAGCACTCAGAAAGCTAAAGGAAAAGTGGATTGGCTGAGAGGATGTCACAAGGCTGAAGCCCCTCAACAGTCTGCCCAGCGCCCCTTCTCCCATTGCACCCTGGACAGCAGGCGGTCCCTGCCTGGGCTGGGCCCAGGGCCCAGAACTAGGAGACCAGTGATGCCCACATTGATCCCCAAGGCAGAAGTCATTCTCCTCCCAGGCCCTTCCACCCTTCCTCTCGGGGCCTGATAATTGGGTGTGGGGGCTTCTTTCTTCCTGCTGACCTCCTGGGTTCGGGCAGGACCTCTGTCTTCTCCCTCCTTCTGATTGGTCTGGACCACAGAGGGGACTCATTCCTGGTAGTGAGGTCGATGTCGGCTCTAACGGCCCCTGTGGTAGGCTCTCGCTCTGCACCGGCCCTGGATTGTGTAGTCTTCCTGCCTTTGCCACTGAAGCCTCCCAGCAGCCTCCCGAGGTTGGCCTCCTCATTGCTTCCATTTCTCAGATAAGGAACTGGAGATTGAGCAACTTGCTCAAGGTCACCCAGCAGCTCTGGGGCTGAGGGAGGACTCGGCCCCAACCCCCTGGCTCAGAGCCTGGCTCCGAGGCACTGCTTTGTGCTGACCAACATTCCCTTCCAAAGCTCATTAATGTCCGGTGACTCCAAACCAACAGCGCCTTAGGAGGGAGCTCTGGGCAGTGAATTTCTAGGGCACAAGATGTCCCCTTTCTTCCCTCCTCTCTCTGAGTCTGTCCATTTAGAAAATGCTGAGATGGGCCAGGTGTAAAGTCTGGAATGCAGCTCAAAAATGAATCAGCTTTTCCTCTTCCTGCTAATGCCTTTGCTTTGACTTCCTCTGCAGACGCCGCGGTCCCTGCATGTCCCCAGTGTGTCTCTTGTGGGCAGGAACTTGCGTTCTCAGATCTGGCTGATGGGTGCATGGGGAAGGTGGGCGCGCGAGGACCTGGGAGGCCAGTTTTTCCTGCCCTTCTGCTGGGAGGGTGGGACCTACCCACCTGTCCCCCATTCCCAGCTTCCCTCTGATGAGAAGGGCTGCCATCCCCAAGGAGTTCTGCCTCAAGGACTCCCTCTGCAGCAGGGAGGACTCTGCTGGGTGGGCGGAGAAGCTTTTCCACTCCCCAGGGGTGGAGGCTGTGCCAGGAGGTGGCGCGCTCCTATCTCTGGAGGTGGGGAAGCAGAGACCCGGGGACCTCCCTGCAATCTGGAAGATCTCCATCCTTGTGGGAGGGTTTGGGCCTTTTGGATCCAGTCTAAACCTGAGTTTGTATGTTTCCATTATTTCCTCCCAGAGCTCATGCCTCTAACTGGGAAGAAGCCAATTATGCAGGAAGCGTTGACTTTTCCATGAAGACCTGACATTCTGGGGTATTACTGAGGGAGTGTGGAGAGTCAGGCACAGCAGCTGCCATGTGCCCACTGGCCGGGCAAGCCGGGGGTCTGGATGGGTCACACCTCCCCCAACCCTGCCCAAACCTCGATGGCAGAGCCTTCTAGAACCACAGTTCTCAACCTGTCTGACAAAAGACCCCTTTTTGTTATTTCCCATCCATCACGATCGACACCTTGGTAAGTGGATGCCAGGGTGCTGAGGGGCTGGAGCTGAGTCTGGGCACTGCCTCTTGCTTTCTGAGTTTACCCTGCTGTGGGCCTGTGCCATGGGGGACCAGCCAGTCCCCAGGCTGCCCCTCAGAGAGCAGTTCCTCAGCAGCCCTAAAGGAAGCAGAGGGTCTGGGGCCCCACACACGTCGCCCTTTGTGGGTCCTGAGCTCATTGGCACATCGAGCACTCTGAGGAGTCCGGTGGGGAAGAAACGTGATCAGTTTCCCAAGCCTGTTTGACCTGGGAGTGCTTTCAATGGCCTCTACCACCGAGCTTGGCCCCCAGCGTCTGCTGCGAGAGGCCATTCTCTGGTTGGTGAGGATGTGGAGAAATAAGAACCTCTGTGGCTCCATTGCTGGGGGGAGGTAACGTGGTGCAGCCGCCGTGGGAAACGGTGTGGTGGTTCCCGAAGGAGTTAAACATACAATACAATTCCCATATGATCCGGCAATCCCACTTCTCAGTGTAGACCCAAAAGAATTGAAAGCAAGGCCTCAAACAGATGTGTGCACACCCATGTTCACAACAGCATTACTCACAATAGCCAAAGGTGGAAGCAAAGAAAGTGTCCGTGACAGATGAACGTGGTCTGTCCCTACAATGGAATATGATTCACCCTAAAAAGGAAGGGCGTTCTGTGCTGCGCTGCAACAGGGATGAACCTGGACGACAGGATGCTAGTGAATGAGCCGGCCACAAAAGGACAAATACTGCATGATTCCACTTCTGTGAGGTCCCTGGAGTAGTCACATTCACGGAGACAGAAAGTGGAATGGAGGTGCCAGGGGCTGGGGGAGGGGGGCTGGGGGTTCGTGTTTCATGGGGCAGAGTTTCAGTTGGGGAAGATGAGAAAGTCTTAATGCCACTGAAGTGTGCGCTTAAAATGGATGAGGTGGTAAATGTGTGTTATGTATCCTTTACCATAATGAAAAGGAAAGGGGACACTCCTCTGGGGGTTGCAGGGCTGTAGGCTGGGGTGTTTCTCCTCCCTCCTGCCCCTCTGCTCCGCGGCTACCATCTCCAGGCGGGCCTGGTCATGGTTGAGGAAACTGGCTCATTTTCGGAGCACACTAAATTTCCAGATCAGGCCCTGGAGTCCTTTATGAATCTAGTTTGGGAGGCTGGCTTTCCAGATCGCTGACTGCAGGGGAGTTCCCGGTTTTGTGGCAGATGCCAATGCCGGAGGCAGCTCCCTGCCGAGGAGGCCCGGCCTCTGTGATACAGTCATGGAGCCACACGCTGCCCCATTGGAGGGATGGAAGCCCCACTTGGGCAGGAGACGGAGAGCCGCCGTGGGCTCCAGGCGTCTGTTCCTGGGGCCCTGGGAGACCTGCAGTGTCTGAGCTTGTTAGGCCCCTGGGTTTGCCTTGGGAGGGCCTCCTTGGCCAGGCGGCCTGGGGTGGGCGGGCAGGGGCTTGGCCGCAGGCAGTTGGGGTGGGAGTCCACAGGTGGGGGCCCTCTACTTGGCCTTGCCTGGAAGGCCCTTCCTGTGCCCCCTGAGGATGCTTGAGGTTGAAGGAGGCCTCTGTGTGACAGAGGCTCTGTCCTAACTCCACCTCTCCCTGGCTCCTACCGCAGGGACATGTCCTGTTGGAGGAACAGTGTCACCCTTCTGGCTGAGACAGAGGGGCCTGCAGAGGGGCGTGGGTCAGGCAGCTGCCCCCAGAGCAGGCGGGCTGAAGCCTGTGTCCACCCTCAGGAAAATCCCTCTGGGCACCACCCAGGCACCCCACCGTGACCAGGGCGGGGCCTGGAATAGTGGCCTCAGGGGCAGAAACCACTTCCCTCCCCTCACCAAGGCCTCCTGGCTCCAGGCCTTGCTATGGTGTCACACTATAGGGTCCTTCCAGCGACAGCCCTGCTTATGAGCCCTGGCCTCCCCTGCTCACTGGCCTCCCTGCCTCCTTAAGCCTCAGTCGCTGCCTTTCTCTACAATGTTGTTCCCCTATGTCGTTTCCCCAACCATGGATGAGGCCAGCAGCTCTTGAAGCCGGTTTGAGAAATAAGTGGCATTAATGCCTGTGAAGTGGCCCGGTGGCTGGTAGCTGTCAATAGAAACAGGAGTTTGGCAGCAAAACCCATCCACGCAGATCTAGATGCCAGTGGATATGTGAGGAGTGTTTGGCCGGCCTGTTAATGAGGCCAGTTTAGCCAAATATCCCGGGACGTGAGTGTCCAGGCGGCATCGCCCTTCACACTTGGGGTGCTGGCTGTCCTCTGCAAGGGTCGACGTGCACCTCGGAATGTCTCAGGCCGTGCTCTGTAGGGACTGACTCCTGAGACCATGCATAAACCAGAGGAGCAAGTCAGCGATGGCCGTGAGGCTGACCTTGTCCCGACCAGGAAATAGGCTAGATCATTAATTAGTCATTTAATTCAATGAAAATTTAGCAGGGAGTCCTCTTCCCTGGGACTCAGAAGCCTTGCCTTTGAGGGACTCTCAGTCTAGACCCATGTCTCAGTCTAGATGATGGCCACAGAGCGGGAGAAGCCCCTTGTGGGGGCCAGTGGGGTGTGAGGGGCAACTGGCAGATAATGGGGTGGAAAAGGAGTAGGGGGCAAGGACCCCCCTTCTTTGCCCCCATTCTTCTCCTGGGCCCCAAGTCTCAAATTGGCAATGTTGGTCACAGGCCCTATGTGACCATTTCCAAGTTTGAAATTTGAGGCGATCAAGGTCTGGGGCTGGAACTGAGTGGCGCAGTCCCCTTGGAGGGGCCAGGCTGGCTCTCCAGTTTGCTCCAGGCCCACCTGGCCCGGCCACTGCCGGCCCCAGGAGGCAGTTGAGTTTGCAATGCTAACCCGTGCCAATTTAAAATCTTCAAAAGCACTGAAGTGCCTAAAGCTGGGGTTTAGAAATAGTGTCCCAGCAGGAGCCTGTGACGGGGGTGGTGGCAGCCTGAGCACAGGTGGCTGCACAGACCCCGGTTCCCAGGACTGGGGCTGCAGGTGACTTTTGCCACGTTTCAGGTTTCCGGTGAGGAGTTGCCACGCCTGGAGTGACTGGGAGAGAGAAGACAAATAAATGCATTCAAGTCCCAAAGTCAAACTCTCTGGATATTGTGGGCAGCAGTGGCATTAAGGAAATAAGCCACCAGCCTCTCAGGGCCTTGCTGGGAAGTGATGGTCCATGGATGAAGATGTGCCACCCCCCAGCTGGTTAGAGGCACCACCCCACCTCTGGTGGCCACGTGGCAGGCCCGGACTGTCCTCATGCTGTCCTGCTGAGGTGGCCGGGCCTTGGGCCAGCACTGGCGCCACTGCCCCAGCAAGCAGAAAGCCACTAAGCACTTGGCAGGAGCTGCTTGCTGTTGAACTATTTAACATCCTAATGCATCCACTTTCACACCTCCGCTGATCCCCGAAGACCGCCGGGTGGGTGTTGGTGAAGTGGCGATGAGTATTAATGAGGCAGCGCTCTGCGAGGTGCGTCTGCTTCATGTGCCTTCCCGCCGGGGGTGGGGGCACATCCTTGATGGTGGCCATCCCAATTTGGGGCCACCAGGGCCCCAGAAATATTTTTCCAATGTGGGGAGCTCCCTGGGGGGCTGTGGGGTGGTTACACTGCCAGGAGAAACTCCAGGGAGGGGATTTCCAGCACCTGGACAGTGTGGGCAGCCGCGGCCAGTGAAGGGCCAGTTCTGGAGTCCGCTGACCTTCGGCTTCCTCTTACCAGTGAACTTGGGAGCAGGTGTCAGGAGCACCATGCAGCCTGTCTCTGGGGAAGCATGGCTCAGCCAGGGCCTGCTGGTGAGGTGGATGGACTGAGCTTTTGGAGGGTTTTTGCAGGAGCTTGGGGGTGACATGGTGTGACGTTATTTTAAAGGCCTTTCCTGCTGTGGCACAAATTGTAGAAGGGCCCGAGGCAGCTGCCAGATCCGCTGGGAGACTGACATGGTGGCCCAGGGGAAAGCTGCTGCTGGCCTGGACCAGGGTGGCTGTGGCGACAAGAGCATTTTGGGTGCACGTGCAGCTGACTTGGTGGGTGGCATTGAGTAGGTGAGGGAAAAGGAGGCATTATGGGTGATTTGGGAGAGTTTGAGGACGTGTAGAAGCCTCTGGGGGTAGAGGTGGCGGCCGGGGCTGCCCTCCTTCCTCCAGGTTCCTTCCATTGCACACCTGCTGCCAGAGAAGTCATGCTGAAGCTGGATCTGTTCAGGCCACCCTCACTCAAGAATGTTCAATGGCTCCCCCATTGCCTGCAGGACCCAGTGCACACCCTTGAGGGTGGCAGTCAGGGGTCTCCCCGACAGACACCTCTGGGCCTGGGGCCACCCCTCACCTCCACCTGTGCATGAACAGGAGCAAATAGAGCACATGAACTTCATTTTCCAGTTTCCATGAAAAAATTTTAAAAACCTTTTCCCTTTTCCCCAGTCATGAGTTGTGAAAAGCATCTTGTGTGTTAGTGCAGCCACTATGCTGTCTCGGCCACAGGCTTCCCACACCTCCCGCCAAAGACTCTGTTGCCTTGGAGAGCAGCACCTTTTGAATGGTTCGAGTAGTTTTCAGATGAGTTATTCTGTCTGTCTTTTTCTCTCACCAGCCAGCTCATTCATGCACACACCTATGAGTCATTCATTCTACATTCCATGAGCACCTGCTGTATAGCCAGCACTGAGCCAGACCCTGGGGACTAATGGGATTAAAAAATGATCCCAACTTCAAGGATTCAGCACAGCAAGGTCCAGCCGCTCCCCACCCATGCCTTGCCCCAGGCCTCGCACACCTGGGAGCACCATAGGTGCATGTGGAAGGAAGTCAGCACACAGGAGGTGCTAGGTCACTCCTGCTCCCACCCCCGACACAGCTTTGTCAAGGTTCCCAGCCTCTGCATGTGGGAATCCTGGAATCCTAGAATGCCGGAGCTGCCAGGGGGCCTCGGAAGCCAGGGGTGCACCTGACTTTAGGTGGGGGGCTAGCATGTGATGATGGTGCTGCTTCTAGATGCTTCGGGTGCTGTGTAGAGGTCAGGTCATTACATCCCAGGTCTTTCCAGCTCTTCTGGTTCTGTATGGGACAGTGGCTCAGTTTGGTGCCAGTCTGGTGTCTGGGCCTCTTTCAGGGATCAGCTTGGGGTGAAACAGCAAGAGTCTGGAGCAAGAATGTGATGTCATTGTTTTGTGTTCCTGGTATTATTTTGAGCATTCTTTTCTATTTCAAGTAATGATAGTATTTTACATTTAAAATGTGAATATAAATAAAAGTGAATTTTCTTTTCAAAATACATTTAAGTAAAGGAGTGAGGCAATTTAAAGGAAAATACTAAGTAGTTTATAGGGACATGGCACAAAACTGGAGATGGGGCCTAGAATGAATCAAGTTGGGGAAATTTGGAGCCAGCCAGACCCAAGGCTTCTGGACCAGCTGTGGAGGTGCCTCCATTATGCTCTCTTTCTGGAGAGCAAGTCCCTCCCAGTGGTTTAAGGCAGAAGCATTGTGAAAAAAATGGTGTGAATGGAGAGAAAACTTGGTACTTCCACACAGTGGACTACTACTCAGCCCTGAAAAGGAACGATCTGCTGGTGCACCCTATGTCATGGATAAACCTCAAAAACACAATGCCAAGTGGAGGAAGCCCCGCCACCAGACTGTGGCATATGGAAGTCCTGAAAAGGCAACCCCATAGAGATAGAAGTAGATTAGTGATTGCTGGGGGCTGAAGATGGATAAGGGAATGCATTGGATGTAAATGCATGAGGGATCTCATTGGGAGAAGAAAACATTGTAAATCTAACATTATGGTGGTAATTGCACCATTCAGTGAAAGTTACAAAAGTCATTGAATTGTAAAACAAAACAAGCAAAAAAGCCTGAGTCAGGTTCACTCTGTTCAGTTGGATTTTTTTTTTAAAAGCACTAAGAATAAAATCAAAATCATCTTTTGTCATCTGTAATGGGGGAGAATGTCCTTCAGGGCTCTTCTCCATGGCAAATCCTTTGTCACCACCATTGGGCTCCTGTCATCAGCTAAGTTTTGCAGTGTGTTCACCTTGCCTGCGTCGTGATATGCTGTGTCCTATGCCATTAACTCTTCTAGGTCAGTGTGACCTAAACTCATCGGGAGAAAGCGTCCATATGTTCTGGAGTGGGCAGGGGTAAGTGAAGTTAAATGTGTGTATTCCATGTGCTAATGAATAGAATAGCATTTTGTTTCTCCACGGGGAAGAGAGTGCATCCGGGTGTTCTGTCCATCTGTCTGTCTGGACCCACTGTCCACTGCTCACCATACTCTGTGCCCTGGAGGGATGCCCTCTCTCACTGGCTTCCGCACCCTCCAGCTTTCTGGTGGGTTTACTGATGGGAGATCAGTGGGCAGGATGGAAAGAGGCTGGGATATTCATTTCTCTAGCCCCTCCTGCGGTCCCCCTGTCCCCAGCCACAGCTCCCCTCTGCAATCCCTTTGGGTTCAGGTGACTGCTCCCTCTCATCCCTTAGGTCCAGGGAGTGGACAGCTCGTCGCTCTGCTAGCCCTGGGTGTGTCTCTGGGGGGCTCCCTGCCCTCACCTGCCCTCTGTAAGCCGTCCCTTCATGTGGCTGGCTCAAGTGGCCCCTTCCGAGGGCCCCCTGTCCCCTGCTGGTAATGAGTCCTAAACATATTTGACCATGTGTTCCTCTGGGAGCTCACATGGGGCTGCTGGTGTAGGGGATGCTGGTTGGGAAATGCTGTTCTACAGCTGCGCTGTTGGCTGCCTATTTTCCCACACTGCATGGGTGCTGTTATTACATATGCAACCTCCTACCGTTGAGCAATTGGTCACTGCCAATCTTTGCATCTTTGTGCAATGACTGTGTCCTTTGGATAGATTCCTAGAATGGCCAAAGGACACGCCCACTTAAAGGCATTTCCAATAGGTGTTGGACAGAGCTCTGGAGGGCCTGCCCAGCCCCAGGAAGTGGCTCTACCCGTCTTTGAGGGCATCATCCCCTGCACATGGTGTCTGGATGTTTAGGAATCACTAAGAGAAGCAGACTTTGGCTGTGAGGGCTGAGACAGAGATTTGGTTTGGAAGCCCCGGGCCTGGTCTGCTCTGGGGCTCGGAGGATACTTGTTCTGTGAGCTCCACAGCAGATCCTGCCTGAAGGTCCCTGGCCCTTCTCAACAGGAGACGTTTGAGAAACGGGCTCTCCTCTCAGCCCAGCTGCTCCCCAGCTATATGGCATCAGCCACTGTGGAGGGGCTCTGAGCTTATGTGGGAATTGCTGATCATACCGGCCTCTCTGCCCAGCCCGTGCCAGGGGTGGAGTGCAGTGGCCATGTCGGCCTTCTCTGGGCCCCATCAACACATCCATGTGTCATCCATGCTGAGAAGATTTGGTAATGCCCTGGTGTTTTATTATCTGTGCAACTTTGCCTCCCTCGGCCCCAGGACCAAAGAGGCGTTTATCAAGCCTCTCAAATGTGCAGAGAGCTCTGTCTGGCTAATTGCAATTGTGAAGCTGTTCAGACTTAACATGGATTTTAAACGAAACTCTTGCAGTTCTTGTTCTTTGCTTTTCTGAGGGAGCCTGAGGCTGCCCTTCATGATGTCTGGCATGGCCAGAGCCTGAAGGTGGGCGCCAAAGCTCCGTGTGCTCCTGGAGCAGGTACTTTGGTTGTAGGCTGATGATCTGTGCTAATCTAGTTGGCGTGTCCTCTCGATTTCATCAGGCAGCCGTGTGGATTTCTCTGTCCTCTGGGCAAGGCCTCTGGTCAGCCATTCTGAGCCTTGGCCGCTGGTTTATTTGGAAACCTTTTCCATCCCACTGGCGGAGGCTTGGTTTGATTTTCCTCCATGCTCCTGTCTTGTGTACTGCAGGAGCCTGGCACAGGGGAGGGGTTGGTGGTAAAGAGTCACCTTCTCTTCCCTTGCCAGATGGTGCACAAGGAGCTGCATCCCCACCACCTGCCTCTCGCCTCTGCAGCCTTTGCATTCAGTAGGCACTTACTCATCCTGCCAGCCCTGAACCATGTCTGAGGGCCTAGTCTAGGTCAGGCACAGGGCTCAAGATTCTACTTATGGGTGCAGTAAATTCCACTCATCCGTTCACTCGGGTGCCTGTTCATTCGGCTAGTGCTCAGCAGAGCCCGACGTCGGTCCTGGCGCTCAGCTGCAAACACTGGGACCTGCTCTTGCTCTTTACACAGAAAGAGAAGTTCCAGAATGCCAGGTGCCGCACACCATCTGGAAGGTCAGAAAACCAGCTGCATGGTCAGGCATGGTGCCCAGCTGAGACCTCAACACCGCTCCCTGGAGACCGTGCTCCACCGGACACCAGCTCGTGTGCCACAGTGGCCCCTTGATGGCACCGTGGCCCTGCTCTTGCCAGGGTGGATTCCTGGAGGTGCCCCCTCCTCACCTCACAGGCTTCTGCTAGGATTCCTGCCCTGGTTCGTCCACCTGGCAGTGAGAGGCCCCAGGCTGCACCCACGTGCAATGGAGGCCATGAAAGGGAGTTTCCCATTTGTTTCTTGGAGGAAGGAGGGCTACGAGGAGGGACATGTCCCAGATTCAAGGCAGGGGGCCACGGCCAGAGTTCTGGCTCGAGCTTGCTGCAGCCCTGCCGTGTGCCTGCCTGTGCTGGCTGTGGGACGGGGTGAGGAGTCGGCCTGGGCAGCTCCTGGACAAGGGTGTTGGGAGCAGCAGATGTGGTGTTCCGGGTCCTCTGCAGAAGGCTGATGTTAATGACTCAGACAGGGTTAGTCTCACCCGGCCAGGGCAGGTTGGCTCTCAAAGGCTTAGAAGCCCCTGCAGTGCGACTAGAAGGGTAAGAGAGGGGTTCGTCGCGTTAAGGGTTGGGACCCTTTGGCAGGAGGGGAGAATGACACTGGAGCAGAGAGACCAGTATAGCAAAGGCCAGGAGGGGCTGGGCCGTGTGGACAGAGCACAGTGGACAGGGACACAGGGGACAGGCCTATCAGAGGAAGGAGCCGGGTGGCGGGGAGGGACCAGGAAGAGCCCGGGGGAGAGCGATGGGTCCAGGTTGGGGTTGGGAGAGGGCCCTAGATGGGACTTCTGGGCGGCAGAATCAGTGAGGCTCAGTGGCTAACTGGCTGTGGATACGAGCCCAGGATGGTGCCTGGCCCCTGGTTTTGGTGCCAGGCAGGTGGGCAGGTGATGGCCATTCCTGAGATGGCCTAGGCACTTATTTCCTTTCCTTGCAGCCATGTGCAGCATCTTTTCTACCTTGATGTTCCCAATCCCATCCCTGGGACCCACTCATATCCCTGGGACCCACTCACACTGGCCCGGTCATGTGGTGGTAATTGCTTAGCTTGCAGTCTGGTAATTACTAAATGTGTGGATTGTTTGGATTTCAGCAGGTGTAATATGATCTTTCATGACTAAAAACATGGCTCAAAGTGAAGGACATAAAGTTGAAGGAGCCGTGGATAAAATCCTGCCTTCAGGTTCCAAGAACGTGGGTGATGAGCTGATTCCATAATTCACAGAGAAGCTCAAGGAGCCCAGGGTAGCCAAAATGGTCCTGAAAAAGAACAAAGTAGGGGATCCCACAACTCCCGATGTCCAAGTTACTATAAACCAACAGTCATCATCAATACTATATGGTACCGAAACAGGAAGGACATCTAGATGGATGGAATAAAATTGGGAATCCAGAAATCAACCCATACACAGGGGGCCAAGATGGCTCAGTGGGGAAAGAACAGCCTCCTCAACAAATGCTGCTGGCACAATTAGATATCCACTTTTAAAAGAATGAATCTGGACTCTTGCTTCAGGCCATAAACAAAAAATTAACTCAAAATGTAACTAAATGTCAGAACTAAAAATGATAAAATACAAGAAAACTTAGGAGTAAATCTTCATGGCCTTGGGTTTGGCAAAGGATTCTTAGACATGACATGAAAAGCATGAGCAACAAAAGAAGTAGATAAATTGGACCCCATCAAAGTTAAAAACGTTTATGCTTCAAAGAATATTATCCAGAAAGTGAAAAGACAACTACAGAAAGGAAGAAAATATTTGCAAATCATATATTTGATAAGAGACTTGAACCTAGAATGTATAAAGAGCTCTTATAACTCAATAACAAAAAGACAACTCAACTAAAAAGCAGTCAAAGCAATGACAAAAATCACCTGATTTTAAAATGGGCCAAGGACTGGAATAGACATGTGTCCAGACAAGATACACCAGTGACCAGTACACATGTGAGAAGATGCTTGCCATCATTAGCCACCAAGGAAAGGCAAATCAAAACCACAAGGAGGTGCCGCTACCACCACCAGGATGGCTCTACTCAAAAAGTCAGACAATGACAAGTGTTGATGAGGAGATGAGGACGTGGAGAAACGAGCCCTCATGCATTGTGGGTGAGAATGTGAAATGCTGTAACTGCTTTGGAAGACAGTCCGGCAGCACCTTGAGCAGTTAGACATGTGTTACCCTGTGACCCGGCAATTCCACTCCAGGGCCTCTACCCAGGAGAGATGAAAACCTACAGAATTCATCCTTAAATGTTTGTAACAGCATTATTCATAATAACCAGAAAGTGGAAACAACACAAATGTCCGTCAGTTGATGAATGAACACACTGTGGTCTCTCCACACAGTGGAATATTATTCAGCTGTGTAAAGAATGAAGTCCTGATACATGCTACAACATGGGTGAGCCCTAAAAACATGCTAGGTGCAAGAAGCCATTCACAAAAGTCCACATATTATACAATTCCATTTATATGAAATGTCCAGAATAGAGAAAACTGTAGAGACAGAAAGCAGATTAGTGAGTGGTTGCAGGGGCTGGGGCAGAGGAGGCAGAGAGAATAGAGAGCTGATAGCACAACAACCTTGGTGGGAAGGTACGATTAGCTCCACTTTACAGCTGAGAAAACTGAGGCTCAGAGAGGTTAAGAAACCTGCCCCTCAGAGGCACAGCACACAATGGGACAGAGGTGGCATTCAGACTCTGGACTGCCTGACTCCAGAGCTGCTGAGCCACCGCTAGGGCCTCTCACAGAGGCTGGGCACCGACACGCGCCAGAGCCCACAGGGGCTCAAAAACACAGGGCCGTGGGGGTTTCGGGTCCTCTGGCCACGGAAAGGTTCTGTGGACACGAAACCAGCGTGGAGGGACTGTGCCTGCGAGGGTGGGCGAGGGCTGCATGGAGGGTGCGGCATTTGCCGTGGGCTTTTAGGGATTTCATCTGCCAGGATGGGGGCAGGGAGAGAGGGCCTTCCAGGAAGAGGGAAGTTCCAGGGCAAAGGCCTGGAGGCTGGGCACCTAGATTTGGGAAACGTGGTGGCTGAGCAGGGCTGGGGTGGTGCCAGTTCGTGGGTCCTGGCCTGGCCTTCAGGGATAGGCTGAGGGGATCAGACTTTCTTTTGGGGCCATGGAGAGGCAAGGATGGTGACTCTCCTGCTGGCCCTGTGGGCTCCTACTAGGGGAAGGGCGTCCAGGGAGGTGGCTGAAGACACTGCTCCCAAAAGGGGACTTGGGGGTGGATGCCTGAAGAGCCGAGACCCTGAGTTGGGGTCTTTGTTTGTAAGGTGACCTGGGGCAGGGGGCAGAGGGGGCCCGTGGGGGCCCAGAAAACAGAGACCTCAGGCAGGAATATTTCCTCCCTCCCTTCCTAATTCAGTAAATTTCATGGGCACGCTATTAGAAGTCCTGGGTTCAGGAGCAACAGGATGAAGAGCTCGCTGCCAAGAAGGCCTTTCATGTTCATTGCTGTCGAGGAGGTGGTGAGACCCCCGTCATCACAGGTGTGAAAGCAGAGGCTGGATCCTCATTTCTTCAGGCTGTGCTTACACTGTTCTCCTGCCCTGTGTCTTGTCCACACAGACTGCGAGCTCCATGAGGGTGGAGATCACTCAGTCATCCGACACACCTTTACTGCACACCTACTGTGTGTCAGGCACTGCTAGCCAGAGGATGCATCAGGGAACAGCATACAAGGTCTCTACCTTCTAGCAGACTCTTGTCTCTCTCAAGTGATAGTACAGGATGATCTTTCCAGAGGGAGGCATCTGGGGTCTGTGCTGCTGTGTTTATAGAGTCACAGCCTCCTCGCCTCCCACTCGGCCTCCCGGAGTCATTGACTGGCCATGTTCCTTTCAGTCCACAGTGGGCCGTGCCCTCCATGTGGATGGCGTTTGTTTACAAGGCCTCAGGGCCTGCCTCCTTCCCCTTCTCCCCTAGGAGTGTCCCCATCAGGGTGGGCACAGGGAGAAACACATGACTCCTGAGGCTGCCTGAAGCCCACTCAGCTCTGTGGAGTTCGGCCCCCGAGACACTCTCCTTCTTAGGAAAACTCAGAGCGGAGGAGCCCCGGCTGTTAGTGGACTCCAGTGGCTGTGGCATGTGTCTGCCTGCAGTTTCCACGGGCCTGGCTTTATCTGCGTAGATTGGGATAATCTAGAGTAGTTGCTGGAGCTCCTGGGGTTAAGCCGCATGGACACGCATCAACCCCCTCCTTCTGAGCACTACAGGCAATTATCCCAGGGGAGGGGCGGGTGGCCTGGCAGCTGGTGCCTCTGCAGTGGAGGTGGCAGTGGGGGCTTGGAGATTGCGGTTCCCTTCCCTGGGCAGCCCAGGGAGGTGCAACCCCTGCCAGCTGCGTGAAACATTCTCCTGCAATGAGTGTGCGGGGCTAGATGAGAAGCCGAACTGGAGCCCTGGGAGGGCACCCGAGGATAAGGGCACGACCTACCCTGTCCCGGGCACTTGGCGTTCATTCTACCTCACTGGGTCCCCCCAGCCTGGGGGATACCACAGCCAGGCCACACAGCCCAAGCCACATAAGTGGCATTTGATGAAGCCAGGATTAAAATCCTGGTGCGTTTGTGTCCGAGGTTGATGTTCATTCACCAGGCTGGGCTGCCTCCCCACTAACTCCCTGGGCTGAGAACCGGGACTCAGAGGCTGAGGACTGGGACTCAGAGGCTCAGAAGAGTGCAGTGACCTGCTCAAGGTCACACAGTGAGCCTATGACATTGCTGGGCTGAGACTCCTGAGCCTCCCACTGCAGGAAAATAAGGGATGTGTGGGTAATGCCCCCACTGCATAGCAATGGGAAAGGTTGGAGGATGGTGGGGCTGGAGCCCTGGGAGCATGTGAGGGACTCAGCCCCAGTGCTGGGTGTTGGGCTGCTGCGGTGCTCTTGGAAAGTGCAAAAGAATTCCCAAGGGAGCACGCACAGCAGCATCCAGAACTGGCCCATCCTCCCTGGGATGCAGTGGATTATTCACGCTCAGGCTCTCGGGAGGAAGGAGCTGTGGACTTAAGAGTTGGAGAGCCCCCCAGCATAGGCAGCTGGTATTAAAAATCCGAAGTGCAGGCCAACTAGAGACCTTCAGTGTGGTCCGAGAGGGCACGGAGGCAGGGGTGTGCTGCAGGGAGAGCCTAGCCCCAGGCACATGGGAGGGCAGGGAGGGCATGGGGGTGCTGGGCTGTGAGAGCCGATGCTTCCCTTGAATTGCCCAAGCTGCACTGGTCTGGAAGGAGGCCCCAGCACAGCCTGCGCGAGGAAGCTGGCATGCATGGAGGCCTTGGGGAATGATTCTGCAGCTGTGCAGCAAATATTGGCTATTGGTTTAGCTGGGCCCTGGGAAAGGAATACATTACAGGGAATTGCAGGCCAGGCACATTTAATCTATGCTAATTTACCGTATTGGAGAGGGAGGGAGAGAGATGGAGATAGAGCAAGCAAGTGCAACTGGACTAGTGGACACCATTTGCCTCCATCTCTCTTTGTACCTGAATTGGGAATGGGAGGGTTTAGTTTCTTGGGGCTTTGTGGGCTGCATGCCTCTTGCCTGCCAAATGTGAGTCCAGTGTCTGCCCACATGTGTCCCTGCCCCTGAATATAAACTGGCTGCCTCGCCTGGGCTCAGCCAAAGGGACAACAGCCATCCCTGTGATGACAAGTGGCACCGCAGTCCAGGCAGCCAGGACAGTCGGTGGTCTGAGTCACTTGCTCTGAGCCCGGAAGGTGCTGCTGGTTCACACACTGCTTCCTTGGGGTGTTGGTCTTGGTGTGACTCTTGCCCACCCCACTGACTTTGAACTGGCCCCTGGTCAGGGCTGACCCCTGACTTCAGACGTGGCCTCCCCATCCCGGGGCAACCCCCAGGCACTCCACGGCAGGGCAGTGAGCACGCAGGGGTGCATGCTGCGAGCTCATCCTCCAGGGTGGAGTGAGTGCGGGCAGCCTGGGGAGGGAACATGGCTGGAACATGAAGGGGGTCGGAGTTGGGGGCTCCTCTCGAATCAGCAGACTGGCTGACTGTGGGCAGAGCTTGGCACCACTTCACTCCTGAAACTGCTCATTCGTTCCCTCCCTCAAAACCATTGAGCCAGACCTGGCTATGGGTCAGGCCAGAGCTCATCTGGGGAACAGACATGCAAATGAATCCATCAAGAATGCTGGGATCGGGGACCAAGGCAGATGTGGGTTTGAGGGGCTTGGGCTCTGGGGAGATAAAAGGAGGTGTCCCTGGGTGGGTTCCCGAGCCTGGGTTGTTACAGGTGAACAGGAGTTCACCAGGTGGACGAGGGACGGAAGGAGGCACAGCCTTTGCAGAGGCATGGAGACGTGGCCAATGAGCTAAGGCTCTTAGAGCAGTTCTGGGATCTGGGGCTGGAGAAGACGCTGGTGGCCTGATCCGGAAGGGCCCTGTGTGCCCTTTGGAGTAGCTCCTTTTCTCTGTAGAGTGGGAGGCACCAAAGGCTGTGTTCTAGGGAAGGTATTTGGAGAGGATGTGTCTCCCAAGGCATTCTCCAGCCTGCCCTGCTCAGTTAAGCCCCAAGTGGCTGCTCCAGATCTAGTGGCCGTGCAGTGTCTTGTCGCTCATTGTTTTGCTCCATCTGTCTGGCCACCCACCCACCCAAGTCTTGCCATGTTCTGAGTCACTATCTACTTACAAATTTTTAAGTTGAATTATTTGGGAAACTCATTGTTTAATGAATCATAGAAAGATGTCTGTGATAGAAACATACAGTGATTTATTCGTTCATTCAAGATGCATTTGTTGAGCAACTGCTATGTGCCATGCTGGGGGTTCTGTAGTGACAAAGCTGTGCTCTCTCTTGGAGCTGATGTTGCAGTGAGGAGAGATAAATGGAGTAAACAAGTCAGCACAAAGGCAGGAGGGAAGGCTGGTCAGTGTATGGGGACCACACAAGGCTGGCCGGACCACGTGGCCGGGTGGCAGGGATGGTTGGTTTAGATGCGATGGTGAGAGAGAGCCTCCCGGGAGAGCTGGCGATGGCGTGGCCGGCTGATGGCAGGGATAAGCCCCTGCAGGAATCTGAGGGGCGAAGGAGCCCTGGGTGCAGAGGCTCTGGGGTGGGGACAAGTGAGGAGCCTCAGGGAGGCCAGGGCAGAGGCTGGGGCAGGAGACAGACCCAGATGATGCCAAATCCTCTTGACTGGGCTGCGAATGGGAACTGGCGTGGAGTACGAAGGGAACCCACTGGCACGTTGGCAGTGGGTGGTGACATTGCCAGAGTGCTCTGGCGGGTTGTGTCATGGGGAGAGTTAGAATGGCAGCAGGGGGTCTGGGGGTGGCCAGAGGGAAGCCGTCCCAGGGACCTGGCAGAGAAGACGGGGCTTGGGTCAGGGAGGTGGCCGTGGAGGGGGAGAAGTAGGCAGATTGGCGATGGGTGTTGGAGCGGAAGCTGTTAGGACCTGCCGACATGGCTGGATGTTGTGGGAGGGAAACAAGCCAGGAGGAATCTGGTGGGAAGGTTTGAGCGGAGGTGGGGAAGGTCAGGGTCAAGAGCTTGGTCTGGGTGTGTTCAGCCAGAGACGCTTGTTAGACATCAGGTGACAAGGATAGGTGGGTGGTGAGGGCACAAGTTGGGTGGTCCCACGATGCAGTAGTAGAAATTGTCAGGGCCAGCAACTCCCAACAGCCCTGCCCAGGTCTACGAAGCTCAGATGCTGTCCTGGCTAATATGCTAGAGATGGGAAATGACCAGTCCAGGTGTGGCTAACCAGGAGGCGGGAGGTGCCGGGAGCTGGGGATCAGGTTGTGACTGGCCCTGACCTGAGGCTGCTTCGGGGCCCACCTTCTCCCTCCTACTCACCCACCCAGGACCTCAGGTACACGGAATGCAGCCATCATAACTCTTGGTTCATGCCTCCCTCCCATCATTGGTCCATGCCTGGCCCCGTTTATTTATGATAGCAATACACAAATAAATACCAAGATGTGCACTCACCAGCTTAGTGTCTGTAAGCTGCGTCTCCCCATGTGCCCTCACCATCCCACCTGCCTCCTTTCCCACAGGTGACTGCTGTCCATCTTACATTCATCCTGCCCTGGCTCTGTTCTGGTTTGCTTTGTTATATAATGCATACGATTTTTAAAAAGTTTTGCTAATGATTTGCAAAATTTTAATTAAGGCATAGCTCATGTGTAACAAAGGGCACACATCTTAGCTGCAAACTCATGAGTTTTTACGGTCATATGTGCCTATGGAGATGAACATATCAACTACATTCATTTGGTGTTTTCAGTCTTGTTAATTTTAGCCACTCTGATGGGCATATCGTGGTGTCTCATTGTGGTGTTCTTTTGCATTTTCCTAATGATTAAGGATGTAGAGCGTCTTGTCATGGGTCTCCCAGCCATTAGACTTTCCTCTTTTGTGAAGTATCTGTACAGCGCCCCCCACCCCACCTTATCCAAGGGGGATGTGTTTCAACCCCTAGTAGATGCCTGAAATCTCTGTTAGTGCCACACCCTATATACATGATGTTTTGTCCTATACATACATAAGATGGGTGGATGGAGGGGTGGATGGGTGGATGGAGGGGTGGATGGGTGGATGGAGGGATGGATAGGTGGATGGAGGGATTGATGAGTGGATGGATGGAGAGCTAGATGGGTGGATGGAGGAATGGTTGACCGGATGGAGAGATAGATGGGTGGGAGGAGTGATGGATGGGCAGATGGGGGGATGGGGGATGGATGGGTGGATGGAAAGATGGATGAGTAGATGAAAGGAGGAATAGATGAATGGATGGCGGGATGGATGGGTGGGTGGAGTGATGGATAAGTGGATTGAGGGATGGATGGCTGGATGGATGGGGGATGGGGGATGAATGGGGGGATCGATGAGTGGATGAAGGGATAGTTGGATGGATGGGTGGAGGCATGGATGGATGGTTGGATGGAAGGATGGATGGGTGGGTAGAGTGATGGATGAGTGGATTGAGGGATGGATGGGAGGTGGAGGGGAGATGGATGGGTGGATGAAGGGATAGTTGGATGGATAGGTGGCTGGATGGGTGGAGGAGTGGATGGATGTTTGGATGGATGGATGAGTGGATGGAGGGGTGAAGAGATGGATGGATGGAGGGATGTATGGGTGGAGGGCAGGAAGGAGGGAGAAAGGGATAGAAGGATGAAGCATGGATCAGTAGAGGGAGGGAAGGATGGATGGGTGGATGGGTGGGTGGATGGATAGAGGGAGGGAGGGAAGGAAGGAGGAATAGGTAGATGGGCAGGTAGATGGAGGGAGAGAAGGAAGGATGAGGTGGTCCGGAAGCATCTCAGATGGGACTAACAGGAACGTTTCAGATTTGTGGCAGCTGTTTCCTGGTACTGGAGCCTGGGCACAGGTGGGCGTTTACAGTCCTGTCTGGTGCTTCTGAGCTGGGCTGAGTGACTGAACTAGTCTGTTGTATCCCAGGTGGAGGTGAGCTTATGGCACAGAATGGTTCCTTGTGGTTTAGGGGGTCCAATTTTGAGAACATGAACACGTCGGCTTGCTGCTGTAGCCTTCCTGTTCAGGATGGGGTGGGAGATGTGCGCTGGGCAGTTCGCTGTAGCAGTACCAAGTCAGCACAGGAAAGCATTTTCTGCTCAGAACTGTAGAAAACGGACAGCACGGGCCAGGCGCGGTGGCTCACACCTGTAATCCCAGCACTTTGGGAGGTCGAGGAGGGCGGATCACCTGAGGTCGGGAGTTCGAGACCAGCCTGGCTAACATGGTGAAACCTCTTTTCTACTAAAAATACGAAAAGCCCGGCGTGGTGGTGCGCGCCTGTAATCCCAGCCGCTCGGGAGGCTGAGGCAGGAGAATCGCTTGAACCCAGGAGGCAGAGGTTGCAGTGGGCCGAGATCGCGCCACTGCACTCCAGCTTGGGCAACAAGAGTGAAATTCCGTCAAAAAAAAAAAAAAGAAAGAAAGATAGAAAGAGAAACACAGAAAGAAAAAGAAAGAAGGAAGGAAGGAAGGAAAGAAAGTAAGATAGAAAGAAAGAGATAGAGAAAACGGACAGCACGAACGCGCAGGACAGGGACCCGAGCCGCCCCTTCTGAGCGCCTACTGCGTGCCCTTAACAGCGCTGGGCCTTTTCCGCCCAGGAATCCCGGGCGATCTCCCCGAAGCTCCGGAAGGCTGAGCGCCTCCGTCCCCATTGCAGAGATGGGGCAGCTGAGGCGCAGCGTGAGCCGCTCTCGCTAGCGGTGGGCGGCCCCGGCCTCCATCTTCTAGGCTGGGAGCCAAGGTTAAGAGCAGCTCCTGCCTTGCTGGACCGTGGGAGGGGGAAGTGCGACAGTGCTCTGAAGAGGCTTGGCGAACCTCGGCCGATGTGGGGCGGTGCTCTGTCGTACAGGTGTGACTCTTCTCCGTTTCTCCGTCTCTCTTGGCTGGGATCATCGGGGGAGTCAGTGGGCACCAGCGCTCATTTGAATCCACCCCCGTCCTGGCGCTGGCGCCCGCGCTGCTCACTGAGGTTTTCCTCGATGACAGTCGCACGTGGAGGCGGCGGGCGGGTGTGAGGCTGCACGCGGGGCCCCAGCTCTCCGCAGCTCTCCGCAGCTCTCCCTGGGCTTGGCGTCTTCCCTGCCCGGTGGAGAGTTACCCCTGCGGCCCATGAAGGTGTAGAGTGCCTGCGTCCTCCCTTCTGAAGGCCGGACAGCCCCACCCTGGAGGGGGTTCACAGATGGGCGGGGGGAAGGGGAGCTGGGGACATTCTGAGCCCAGTTCTACCTTTGGCTCACTTGGAGACAGGCCAGGGGCCTAGGGCAGGAAAGCCGAGTCCCAGCCTGGGACGGGGTCTGCCAGGCCCCACATACCCCTGCCCAAGCCTCCGTCTGTTCACTGGCACGCTCAGGGCCCCGCACGTGTTAGGTGCTCAGTAAATGTGAGGAACCATGAGAGGAAGCAGGGAGGGAAGGATGAATTCTTGGACATGGGGCCATGTGACTCAGTCTGGCTGATGGGCAGGGGCTGTCAGTCTCTTCCACCAGTGGTTATCTGCCCATCATTTGCCAGCACAGGGCTCCCTGACTTGCTTTGAGACCCACCACGTCCTCTCTGTGCGCGTGTGACTAAGGGTACTGCAAGCGCAGTGTTTCGGCTGCTGGTGGGGTTTGCTGATTCGTGGAGCAGCCACTCCTTGCCTCTCCGGTGTGTTTCCTGTGTCCCGGGCACCCTGCAGACCTCCTGTTCCTGCCACGGGCCTGGGGCAGGGGCATCACCAGGACAGGCTTGGGAGTCTCTGGAATCTGGGGGTGCCCACTACAGGAATTTGTCCTGTGCATGTGGGCAGAGAGATGGGCTATGGGGTTCTGGGGAACTGAGGAGCGCAGTTTAACAAAGGGACAACTTCCAGAGTTGTGCGAGGTGAAGAAAACCAACAAGGGCCGTGCAGCTTCCAAGAACTAGTGGCAGTGGGAGCCCTTGCTACGCCTCAGCTGCAGGGGCAGCACCTGTGGTCTGTGTGCCTGTGTGGGTGAGTTGTGTGTGTGTGCATGTATGTGTGTGTGTGCATGTGTGAGCATAAGAGTGTGTGTGTGTGTGTGTGTGTGTGTGTGTAGTAGTGGTAATGGAACCGAATGAGCAGCAGGAATGAATACCCTGGCCTCTCCTCCGTCCTTCCCACCTCCTGCTCGTGCCTTGTGTTGGCTCAAAGAGTCAGCCAAGAGAGCAGCGGAGCTGGGTGACGCACTATGTGGAGGTCAGCCTCCTAGGACACAGAGCCAGGCAGAGGGCCATCTGTGAATGGGCACAACCAGAGCACACAACTTACAGGGCACTGTGGGGAACACACAAGGTGCTGCATGTAGCATGCTCAGAATGGCGCCCGGCACACTGATCACGCGTAAAGGACATTAACAGTGTGATATGACTCTTTCCAGCCCTCACAGTAGGGGTCCAGCACAGGCTTTTTTTATCGTGGTGCAATGCAGATAACATAAAATTGACCATCGTAACCATCTTTGAGTGTACGGTTCAGGGGTATTAGTACATTCATATTGTCATACAACCGTCACTATCATCTATCTCCAGAACTTTTCATTTTCCCACACTGAAACTCTGTCCCCATGAAACACTGACTCCCTATGCCTCCTCCCCCAGCCCCAGGCACCCACCATTCCACTTTCTGTCTCCATGAGTTTGACTACTCCAGGGACCTCATCTAGGGGCAGTCACACAGTATTTATTTTTTTGTGACTGGCTTATGTCACCTAGAGTAACGTCCTCAAGGTTCATCCATGTTGAATTTCCTTCCTTTTTAAGGCTGACTATAAGGATGGGTGCACCACATTCTGTTTATTCCTCCATCGATGGTCACTTGGGTTGCTTCCACACTGTAGCTGTTTTGAGTAATGCTGCTATTCATGTGGATGTACAAAGATCTTTTTGAGACCCAACTTTCGTTTCTTTCCTATATATACCCAGAAGAGGGGTTGCTGGATCATGCATTAATTCTGTGCTTAATTTTTTGAGGAACCACCATACTGGTTTTATAACAGTGGCACCATTTTTCATTACCATCACCAGTACACAAGGATTCCAATTTCTTCACATCCTTGCAACAATTGTTAGCATCTGTTTTTTGATAGGAGCCATCCTAATGGGTCTGAGGTGCCAGCACAGACTTTTGCACGTGGTAGAATGAGTGGATAGAGACAACGTCTGATCACTGAAGCAAGACTCCTCTTGGCAGCGGCTGCAGTTGGCTGGAGTGTCACTGTGGATTGGAAAATAATGTAGTATTTCTTTTAAAGTACTCCATAATAATTTTCCCCACATTATTTTCCCATTTGTCCTAACTAGCAGGATTTTGATGTAACAAAGCTATCCAAAAAGCCACAAGGTTTATGACTATAAATGAACTCTCTCAGCAACACAGATGCATGGCATTGAGGCTAAATTAATGGCTGTGATTTCTGTGTATTGGAATCCTGGAAATGAAAATGCTGTTTCCCCTCTGGACAAAGCTTTGGTCTTGAATCATGGGGGAAAATGTAGTGCTTCTCTCCAGGATACTGGCTGTTGTGGCCATGCCTGTGACCCCGTGGGTCTACTCTTTGCATATGAAATCTTAAAGCAGTCTGGGCACGGTGGCTAAGGCCCATAATCCCAGCACTTTGGGTGGCCGAGGCAGGAGGATTGCTTGAGGCTGGGAGTTCGAGACCAGCCTGAGCAACATAGCAAGACCTCATCTCTACCAAAAATAAATAAATAAATAAATAAAATTAGCTGGGCCTGGTGGTATGCAACTATAGTTCCAGCTAGTCAGGTGGCTGAGGTGGGAGGATCACTGGAGCCCAGGAGTTCGAGGCTGCAGTGAGCTATGATCGCATTACTGCACTCCAGCCTGGGTGAAAGAGTGAGACCTGTCTCTAAAAAAGAAGAAAGAAATGTTAAATCAGCCTTTCCCAATGTCTCCTCCCCAGGACTCCTGCCCAGCTTGGAAACAGCACACAAGGGCACAGGGGAACTGGTGGGTACAGAGGGAAGGTTGGGAGCTTGGAGTCTGAGCTCCGGTCACCGTCCTTCCTGGCCATGTGGCCTTGAGGGAGCCGACTTCTGTTTCTTTGAGGACCACCAGCTCCCCCTGCTGCAGATGGAAGAGTGAGACTCACCTCACGCATTTGTTGTGCGGAGTAAATGGCATAACTCACAGGCAGTGCCCCCAAAAGTGAGTCGAATGCAGCTGCTTGTCATTGAAGCTGTGCAGTGAGGCAGGGCTCAGGGACTAGGAATGGGGTCTTGGCTCGATTTCCCCATCTTGCTGATACTTCTGTTTCCAGGTGCATGTTACGGCTTTCCACTGTTAACTCACCCTTCTATGCCTGTGATCTCATTGGATCGTCCCAAGAAATTATCATTTCTAACTTAGAAATGAGAACAAGGAAGCACAGAGAGGTTTAGTGACTCGCCCAGAGTCAAAACAGCAAGGCAGTAACTGATCAAGAGCTGATGAAACAGTGCAACATGTGTGTGAAATGTAAGGTGTTCATGCTGGGCCAGCTTGCTCGCCCTCCCTGCTGTGCCATCTTCCGGAAAGCAGCCCAGCCTGGAGAGCAGGGGCTAGCAGCCGTTCTTCCCCACTCTCTTGGCCTTTCAGCTGCCTGTCCGTCAGGAGTCAGGTGCACTTCCCTGCCAGGCGTTCACCCTGACCTGGGGCGCTCAGTTCACCTTCTCAACCTCGTTATCTGGAAAGGGATCCAGCCCTGGATTTTTATGGAAGTCCCCTTTTCAGGTTGTTGTTGGTTACAGATGTGATCGTTGTTTCTGATCTAGAAAGTCTGAGGAAGCAGAAAGAGAAACATGAGTCTGGAGAGGCCGCTCAAGTCGAAGTCAGTGAGGGGACACGGTGGAGAATTTTCTTCCAGTCTTCCCCGGTCATGGTTTGCTCATAGTTGAAACAACTCAGTAACTGCTTATAAATGATAAGGGGGGGGAGTATGTGTGTGTGGTGTGTGTGTGTGTGTGTGTTGTATGTGGGTGTGTTTGTGTGCACGTCTGGTGTATGCATATAGTGTGTGATGTGTTTGTGTATGTGTGTGTTGTATGTGTGTGTATGTGTGTTTGGTGTGTGTGCATGTGGCATATGTGAGTAGTCTGTGGTGTATGTGTGTGTGCGTGCGCGCGCATGTTGTGTATATGCATGTTGTGTGTATGTGTGTGGTGTGTGTGCGTGTGTAGTGTGTGGTGTGTGTGATGTACATGTGGCGTGTGTGTGTGGTGTGTGCATGTGTGGCATATGTATGTGGTGTGGTGTATGTGTATGTGTGTATGGTGTGTGTGTGTGTGTGACGTGCGTGGTGTGTGGTGTATCTGTTTGTTGTGTGTGTGTGTGGTGTGTGTGTGTGGCATATGTGTGTGGTGTGCTGGTTTCCCTTGCGGGGGCTGCTTCTCCACCCTGTCCCAGCTGCTTGCAGGGGTCCTGGCAGCATTTGCCTGGAGCAGAGGGAAGGGCATCCTCACGTCCGGGGACAGCCACGGAGGACTCAGATGGGGGCAGGGTGTCCTCGTGGGCGAGCAGGTTCCTAAGGGCCTCAGGGGCCACTCCAGGCCGTGGCGCAGGAAGCCTATATGGGGCCAGTCGCTGCACAGGACCTGAAAAGTACACTGAAGGAGGGTCGCGGGGCTGGCCTTGGTCGGTGGGAAGGAGCGGAGGGGCGACCACAGCACAGCAAGTGGGGAGTGGCAGGCAGGGACACCGGTGCTGCTCAGAGCTGGGCTGTGGGGAGGATTTGAGGCAATGTCCACACAGTCCTGTGCGAGCTGCCCAGCTTGGAAAGGGGCTGCTGCTCTGCACAGATGTCCCTGGACGGCCCCTGTCCCAGGGGGTGCCCTAGGAGCTTTGGGGTGGAGGTTTGGCCCACGCCCATTTTCTCAGTCACAACAATTGGAGCCAGAGTCCCCAGCCCAAGCTGTCAACCAGGACTGCGTCAAATGTGTTGGCTCCTAGAGAAGGGGCCAGGTGCGGCCACCTCCACAAAGCCTTCTCACTGCCCCAGCTCTCTTCCATCCTAAGCCTGGCCAGTGCCTCCTCCGGGCTGAGAGCTCTCTCTGATGTGAGGCTGGTCTTACTTTTTCACTGCCATGTTGTGTCGCCTGCCCCACCAGCTCCCCCGTCCCCTCGCACCCCCGCCGTGCCATGCATGTGGCTGAATGCAGGAGTGACTGACCACACCCTTTATGTGCATGGGTTTTCATTATGGAAGCAAGTTAAAACATTACAGAGAGCTTGGAAAATACAGGCTAAACACTCGCCCGGCAGCCTCCCAAGCCCAGCCATGGTCACTCTGGTGTATTCCGTCCTGGGCATTTCTCCTCAGCAGGCTTTTTCTTTCCCAGGAACAGAAAGTGTGGGATTCTGCTTTTCTTCAGCAGAATAATAACTCCTCACTCCAAGGGCATGAGCTCCAGCAGGCACTGGCTTCAGCTCCCACGTGCCTTGCTGTGTTGGGTGCTTTGGGTGGAGGCTTAGCCTCTTCTTGTGGTGGAGAAACACAGGCTAAGACATGGCAGTGCCTTGCCCATGGTCACATGGTGTGTAAGAGGACGCAGCCAGCCGGCATGAGAGCTGGAATTCAAAGGCAGTTGGCTGTGGTATGATCCCGGCTGTAGGTCACCACCAAGCCAAACTCAGAACATGTGCATTTCCCTGTGCCACCCAGAGTGTCATGCACAGGACTCTTGGTGGTGGCAGGACATTCCAGCGGTCATCACCGCCTAGGAGCTGAGCTGCGTGAAATCTGCATCTCACTCTGGGTGGAGCCCCTTCCTGCCCCCCGCCTACCCTGGTTGGTGAGTTCTCAGACTGGATCTCTAGGCGCGGTATGCACTCTTCAGATGAGCCACCCAGAACCTCCAGGGGGACAGCCCACGGCCATCCCAAGCTTCAGAATTACTCTTTAAATATTTTGTGTTTACATGGTTGCAAGGCTTATGCTTTTGGGAGAAAAAAGCCCACAAATGGGCCATAACAAGCAGGAGAAGCAGAAAGTAAATTACCTTTTAATGTCTGGATGAGCTTGTTGACCGTAGGACTAAATTATAGGGGTCCTCTGTGGGGCATGAGCAGAAATTGTTAGAATTAGAGAAAACAGGCCACGTGGCCTGAGCTCAGCACCTCTTCACACAATTCTCCTCCAGGCAAGGGTCATCATCTCTGTCCTTTCAGACCCTGCGTGCCCACAGAGTCTAAGCCCTGCCCCGGGGCCACAGGGCATAGTCCTCTCCACAGAGAGGCCTCGGGAGGCCGGGTGCACGCTGTGCACACACATCCAAGCCGCGGGCACCACGCTCCGCTCCTGCTGGGCAGCCTTGGGCAGGCCACTCAGGCCCTCCAAGACCAGGGTTTTTCTTCCCGCTGGCTGGGGGACTCGCTCCCACCTAGCTCATGTCCAGCCTGTACTAAAGCCTAATTCGGCCTTGACTATCTTCCTTGGCCTCTCTGGACCTCAGTGTGCCCACCTGTGAACGGGGCACACTTCCCTACCAGCTTGCAATGTTGATGCCCCACCCATGCCTGGCCTGTGCACCTCCCTGAACCACTCTGCTGGTCGTAAGGTGGGATGCTGACTAGCGACTACTGCATGCGGCCGTGAAGTTATCAGGGCCTGGGTCTGGACTCTGTCAAGATGCTGCTGAATAGGGCGGGCAGCTTGGTCGTAGGGGCCCTGGTCATTATGCAGCCTGTGGGGGACATTTGAGGCCCCCAGTCCCTGTAGCCTTGTGGAGAGTGGCCTGCCCTGCAGCTGGCCTGGTGATGAGTGTTGGCTGCTGGGACACTTCAGGATGGGGCCGGGCACCAGCACGTCCTGTCTGCCAGGCTGGGAACTCAGTGCCTGTCCAGCTCAGCCCCAGTGGGGCAGGGAGCACCCCACCCTCCAGCGCCCCTGGCCATGCATCTGCCGTTTATGAAGATGCCTCTTTCCCGCTGTTGTGGGCGCTTGGGGGCTGCAAATGTTGATTTTTAAAAAATGTGTGCAGGGAGCAAGCGTTTCCCGTTCAAGTGAAGGAAGACATGGTTCATGTGCATCCCTGACCTTCCGTAGGGGATATCTGTTCAGATGTCTTCAGGCTCCTGGAGAGGCAGACAAAGCTACACAGTCCCAAGAGGAGGTAGCCTTTGATGTCCTTGCTGTCTTGGTCTATGGTCCACAGTGTCCCAGGGCACAGGGGCCTCCAGGTGGAGGCAGTGTCGTGGCAAGGGTCTTAACTGCAGCCCTCCTCAACTCTCCCTACGCATCCTGCCTCAGAGAACACCCTTCCTGCCTCTGAGCTGGGTCTGCTGCCCGGTGACACCCCCACCCGGATCCCACAGACTCTCCTGCTCCCCCTGACTTGGGACAAGCCTGTGTGGCCTGAGAGACAAGGAATAGAGCCCCTGCGGCTGCTTCTTTCTGGACTTCCTGGGATGGGCTCTCCAGCCTGCTCCCCACCACACACACACACACACACACACACACACACACACACACACGCACACACATGTACATACACACGCACGCGCATGCCAGGGATATTCATTATTCATTCACTGAAAGATTTACCTTTCATTTGCAAAGGGAATCAGAAACGTGTGTTCTTCTCATTGGGAAAGAAGCAGGGAGACTTGGCAGGCTGCTCACGCAGCCCTCCCTGTGGCCTGTTCTCCAGGAGATGGGGCTGAGTGACAGCCAGACGTGCAGGGCAAGCAGCCTGGGAAATGCTGCAGTGACAGGAGCCTGTCTCAGAGGCGCTCAGGAAGGAAGCCACATTGAGCCCTCGGTTGAGGAGGAAGGAAATGTGCACCTTGGGGAACAAAGCTTGCCAAACCTTAGTGGTGTAGAACAGCAGGCTTCATGCGTTACCTTTCCTTGTCTCTGAGGTCAGGATGGCTTGCCTCTGCTCCACAACGTCTGCGGCACCAGCTGGAAGAAGACTCAGAGGCTTCAGGTGCCTGGATGGCTGGGCTGGGGTCACCTGAAGGCTCTGTCACTAACGTGTCTCGGTCGATGTTGGCATCCTCTTGGGACCTAGCTGAGACTATGGGCTGGCACCCCCTCCCAGGCTTCCCCACGTAAACTGGGCTTCCTCACAGCATGGTGGCTGGGTTCAAAGCGTGAGTGTCCCCAGAGAAAGAGAGAAAGAGAAGAGGGAGGGGACAAAAGCACCAGATGGGAGCTGTATTGCCTCTTTTGTAAAAAACCGAAACTCTTAGTAATTTTTTAAAAAAGTAACCTTCTATTCAGAGACCATTGTAGATTCACATGTAGTCATAAGAAATAATACAGACAGACCCACGTCCCCTCCACCCAGTTTCCTCCAATGGTAACATTTTACAAAACCACAGTCTAATATGCCAGCTAGAAGTATTATTGATACTGATACCATCCCCCCATCTTATCCACATTGCCCAGTTTTATTTGTACTCATTTGTGGGTATATTTAGGATTATGCAGTTTTGTCGTGCCCACCACCACCGTCAAGATGCAGAACGGTTTCAGGACCACAGGAACCCCTCATGTTGCCCTTTGACAGCCACATCCACTTCCCTGCACAACCCCATTTCTGTAATTTTGTCATTGCAAGAATGTTGTCTCTGTGGAATCATGCAGTGTGTAACCTTTTGAGATTGGCTTTCTTCACTCTGTGTAAATGTCCTTGGCTTCTGTCCAAGCTGTCGTGTGTATCCATAATTCATTCTTTTTGATTGCCGAATAGTGTTCCATGAATTGGATTCGCCACAGTTTGCTTTTTAAGTGCATTTGAGTACAGTTACTGGGTCATATGGTAATTGCATGTTTAGTTTTATAAGAAACTGCCAAACTGTTTGCCACGGAGGCTGTACCATTTTATCTTCCCACCAGCAGTGCCTGAGTGATCTAGTTTCTCTGTATCCTCTCCGGCCTCTGGTGTCACCACTCTTTCTTGTTTCAGTCATCACGGTAGGCATGCAGTGGCATCTCATCTTGCATTTTCTGCGTGTCTTACAAGGCTAACATCATTGAACCGTTTCATCTGCTTATTTGCCATCTGTGTATCTTATAAAGTGTTTGTTTGTGTCTTTTGCCCATTTTCTAACTGGATTGTTTGGTGTTTTACTGTTCAATTTTGAACATTTTTTATATTCTAGATACTACTCGTTTGTCAGATGTGGGATTTGTAACATTCTCCCCAGTCAGTAGCATGCCTTATCGTCCTCTTGACAGTATCTCTCACAGAGCAAACATTTTACAATTTTGCTGAGGTCCAACTTCCTGCTTTTTCTTTGTGTGGATTGTGGGTTTGGGGTCAAGTCTATGAACTCTTTGCCTCAGGCTAGGTCTGGGTTTTTTTCCTATGTATTTTTCTAAAGGTTTTGTGGATTGACATTTTCCATTTAAGCCGATGATCCACTTTGGGTTAGGGTCTGAGGTTGAGGCTGGAGTTTGCTCGTATTGCCTGCGGATGTCTGAGCCTGGAGGTCCCTCGGTGCCGTAATTCCCTGTTTGTTCTGCGGGTCAGGTCTGTTAGGAAGGCCTGCCAGATTCAAAGGAGGAAGCACGGACCTCGCCTCTCAGTCTTTGGAAAATACAGTCTACCTCGAGGGGTCTCCTCTGGGGTTTCTGGGTGGGCACCCTCCAACTCGGATCATAGGTTTGTGGTGGGCCTTACATGTTAACTACATGCTTGTAGAAAGCAGCTCTGAGAAGGGGGGTGGAAAGCGAGTTGGGGCGCCTTGACAGGAAGCAGCTGGCCCTGCGAGGGAAGTTTTAGGAATCACAGAGCGGTGGGCAGTGCCTGGCCTGGCACGCTGGGAGGAGGCACTCCCGGCACCTGAGGGACAGGGGACAGGCGGTGTCCCCAGAGCCCAGTGAGAGTCAGAGCATAGGAGAGGCTGCCTCACACTGGCTTCTGCTGTAGGTCAAGAAACACGGGAATAAACCTGCAGCCCAGCCGGGAGGCAGCTGCGGAGTGAGCACCCCAACCTCCCCTGCCTCTGCTGGCACCCCCCACTGACTCATTCCAACTGCTCCCGGCTGAGTTACACACCCCCAAATTCATAGGCTGAAGCCCTAACCCCCATAACCTTAGAACGGGATGAGGAGACAGGGCCTTTACAGAGGTGATTAAGGGGAAATGAGCTCGTGGTGGTGGCCCTAATCCAATCTGACTGGTGTCCTCTTAGGAAGAGGGGATTAGGTCACAGACACACACAGAGGGAAGACCATGCAGAGACTCAGGAAAGGGGGCTGTCGGCCAGCCAAGGAGGGAGAGAGGCTGCCAGAGAAACCACCCTTGCCAACCAAAGCCTTGCTTTCCGAATTCCAGGCTCCAGAGCTGTGAGGAAACCAAGCTTGGTCTGTGGCCGAAGCCCCAGGGCATGGTCCTTGTCAGCCCGGTTGACTGATGGACACTGGAAGCTGCTGGCCGCTGGTGGAGTCACACAGGCCAGGTCTGGGTGTGAGCAGGTGCAGGCAGGAGGGTGTGGGGCCGGGGGAAGTGGGACAGCGTCCAGCACAGCATGTGTCCAGGGAGAGCCCGTTGGAGGAGGGAGGCTTAAGCTCTGACATCAGCCTTTGGTCTCCAACTGCCTCTTTCCCGCATCTTAAGTGTTCTAGACCCCTAAGCTTGGCACACCCCAAACTGAACTCATGATACTTCTCTCCTCACCCCCTAAACTGCACCTTCTGTTCCCCTCCCTTTCTTCCTGTCACCCTGGCGGCCTGGGCTGGCACTCCTCTTCGTCCCCTCTGTGCCTTGTTCCCAGTCACCACCCGACCGTCCACATCCTTCATCCCCCAGCGTGCTCCCCTTCCTGTGGTCACCACTCTGTAGCCAGAGAGCTCTTTCCAAGCCACCTCTGATCTTTACCTTCCTAGTTTAAAACTCACTGGTGGATTTCAGACCTCCCACCCCCAAATATGTATTCAGAATGTAAAAGACATTGCCACAGGCCGGAAATGGCTCAGAAGCGCAGTCATCAGTGGGGCTGAAGCTGTGGATCTGTTGAACTCCACACTCACAGGCAGAGAGGGAGCTGGTGGGCGACAGGGAGCAGAGATGCCCATGAGAGTCCGGGGAATGGGGCAGGCTCTGTGTGTGAGCCCCGGGCAGGTGGGCATCCTGTGCTCGTAGGACAAGGCTGAGAAAAGACACTGCCCATCCCTGCTGCAACTGGGTTCCTGTCTGGCCACTAGGGGCTGGAGGATGCACTGCATGCAGCTACATGGCCAGGACTGGACCTTCGCCCACTGCCCAGAGATGGCCCCTGTTGCTGTCACTGGGAACAGAGGTCCTGGATGCCAGCGTGAGGCCTCACTCTGGTTCTGCACTCAGGCCTCAGGGGAGGTGTTGCTGCTGGGAGCAGGGGTGAGGCAAATGCTCCCCCTCAAGGTGAATCTGCAAAGCAGAACTCCAGAGCTGACACTGAGCAGGGCCCCAGCAAGCCCTACGTGGGAGAGGAGCCCAGCCAGGTGGACACACAGGGCCTGTGGGAAATGTCTACACAAGAAGTGGAGTTTGGGACTGTGTCGGGGGCCTCCATAACAAAGTGGGTGGCTCCCAGCCACAGAGCTGTGAAACCTCTCACTGCCCCCGCAGGCTGGTGGTCTGAATGCAGGGTGAGTCCTCTTGGGGCCCCGAGGGAGAATACTCACCTGGCCTCTCTCCCAGCCTCTGGGGACGGCAGGTGGTCCTGGCGCTTCCTGCCTATACCTGCTTCCCTCCTGTCTCCACCTCCACCTCCGCAGGGCTGTCTTCCTGCATCTTCACGTCGTCCGTCCCTGCGTGCATCTCTGTCCAAACTTCCCTCGCGTTATAGACAGCAGGCATATTGGACTGGGGGACCCCTACTCCAGTGTGCCACATCTTACCTAAGACATCTGCAATAGCCCTGCTTTCTTTTCTTTTCTTTTTTTTTTTTTTTTTGAGACAGAGTCTCGCTCTGTTGCCCAGGCTGGAGTGCAGTGGTGCGATCTCGACTCACTGCAAGCTCCGCCTCCCGGGGTCACGCCATTTTCCTGCCTCAGCCTCCTGAGTAGCTGGGACTACAGGCGCCCGCCACCATGCCTGGCTAATTTCTTTTTGTATTTTTAGTAGAGACGGGGTTCCACCGTGTTAGCCAGGATGGTCTCGATCTCCTGACCTCGTGATCCGCCCGCCTCGGCCTCCCAAAGTGCTGGGATTACAGGCGTGAGCCACCGTGCCCAGCCAATAGCCCTACTTTCTAATCAGAACATGGCATGAGGTACTGGAGGCTAGAACTTCAACATATTTATTATGAAGAGGGGGACACCATGGAACCCATAACTGAACTCCTTAAGAGGATACAGGGCACAATATTCATCAAATATTCATCTATTTGTCATGAAATGAAAACATCCATGGGACAAGGACAGGGAGGCATGAAGAAGGACCAGTGAGCCAGGCTACAAAGTAAGAACACTGTCATGGAAAGAAGGACTGCAAAACCTCCACAGATGGTCAAGCGAAGGAAATTATCAAAGAGGACATAGTAGCTTTAAAGCTAGTGCTGAGAAATTTACCCCAAAAGACAACCCAGGACATGTCTTTAAAAGTTTCTTTCTTATCTAAGAAATAAGAATAAAAAGATAAAAAACCAGTTTTGGGCCACATGCAAACTGTAATTGCCTGTAATCCCAGCACTTTGAGAGGCAGAGGCAGGTGGATCACTTGAGGCCAGGAGTTCGAGGCCAGCCTCGGCAACATGGCAAAACCCTGTCTCTACTAAAAATACAAAAAAAAAAAAAAAAAAAAAAAAAAAAAAATTAGCTGGGTGTGGGGACTGGGAGCTGCAGGCTGGAAATACACATGTGCTCACGAGTCCTGGTGGAGGCAGTGCCCGAAACACGGCTGTGGTTTTCCCTGGGGTTCACAGAAAACAAAATAAGTGAATACGACGAAGATAGCTATGGCAGCATGAGGAAGATGCCCAGCCTGTGCCCAGCTCTGGAGAGGTCTGGGTTGCAGTCTGTGAGGAATCGGGCGGACAGCCCAGCGAGGATGCAGAAAGATGAGTTTAGTGGTGCCAGGGAGCACCAGGCACAGACTGTCAGGCTTCTGTGTCCAGGCCAACCTGAAGCCCCACGTCTTAGTGTCAAATCGAGGGAGGATCCACGGCTGAATGTAAAACATGGGGTGACAGGCATTCTTCTGTGGCCTGAAGATAGAATTAGGTTATGCTGAACCGGGGTATGTCCTGCCCACAGGACGGCCATGGCAAGGGGTGTGTTGGGGGCAGGAGGAGGGGTGCTGTCGGAGGCATCAGTTTGCTGTCGCCCTCCTGGGCCTGCACTAGGGTACAGTAGAGAAGGGGCTGGAAATGTCTGTGTCAGGGGCCTGGAGTCAGGGATTTAGTGAGGCAGAGGGGTAGGGAGAGAGCCCTCCTCCCATTTGGGGACTGCTCTGGGACTTTTCTCCTTTCAGTGTATTTACCTGTACTCTCCTTTAACTTACGGCTTACTCTCAAGCAACTTACAGTGTTTATGTATGTAGACAATTTAGAAAAGAATGGCTTATTTTTGCTGTAGTCCATGAAAAGCCTGTATTCTCTGGCTACTAAAACAACAATGGCATGAATGATCAGACAGTGTCATTCCATCCTTCGTAGACACTGCCATGGCTGGTAGGAGGAAGAGTAGTTTGTGTTACAGGGAGGTCAAGGCCACACTTTATCTGTTTTTTTTTTTTGAGACAGGGTCTTGCTCTGTCACCCAGGCTGGAGTACAGTGGCACAATCACAACTCACTGCAGCCTTGACCTCCTGGGCTCAGGAGATTCTCCCATCTCAGCTTCCCGAGTAGCTGGGACCATGCCTGGCTAATTTTTTTTATTTTATTTTGTATAGAGATGAGGTTTTGCTCTCAACCCAGTCTCGAACCCCTGGGATCAGGAGATCCTCCCACCTTGGCCTCCCAAAGTGTTGGGATTTCGGGCGTGAGCCAGGAGCCGGGCCCCACTCGCACTCATGGAGCATCCGCCGCCTAAGAGGGTCTGGACCAGAACTGGAAGTGGAAATGGCTTTTCCCCTCAGTGCCTTGGGGTTCCTTCCTGCAGGCTGTGGTCTGGGGTTGGGGGGAGGGTTCTTGGACCCAGACAGGCTGTTCAGGCAGGAAGATAAGAACCTTGGACACTGGAGTCCAGTTTGCACTGAGGTGAGAGTCTGGGAAACTGCTGGAACTCTATTTAGGCAGCTGTGGCAGGTACCAGACCCAGGTGGTCAGGGCGGTGGGGCCATGAGCTGCTTGGGCAGCTTCAGAGCTGGCTCTCCAGGCATGACGGCTCTGGGAGGGTCAGGGAGGAAGGAACTGACATGAAAGGATTGCATGTCAGCAACAGGATGAGGGCCCCAGCAACTGGCCTAGATGAGTCACAGATGAGCAGAGATCAGCTGGGGTGTGGGGACAGCTCACATGGGTCTCAGGGAAGGCCCACTGAGGTGGTGGCCTTTGAGCTGAGACCTGGGGGAACAGGAGGACCTGGGGGAAGAGCCTTGCAGGCAGAGGGAACAGCAGGGTAGAGTGGCGAGGCAGGAAGCTCAGGGGTGGAGCTGGTGCTGGGCAAGCCTCGTGATCAGGGCTGGGGGCACTGGGCCAGCTGCACATGCCAGTAAGAAGGGAATGCAGTTCAGTTTTCCTCTGAGACTTATGTTCTGCTGTCACTTGTAGTGGGTGCAGGGGAGAAGCTTGTGGGGTTGCCTCTGGGGAAGTCTTTGGAGGACTTGTTCTGGCAAAGGAGAAGAATGGAATGAGAGATGTAGTCAGGAGGAGGGTCCTGGCAGGCAGGTGTGGAGGGTCAAGGCCTCAGAACCCTGCTGCCCAGGGCATCTGGGGAGGAGGGCAGGTGTTGGCTTATTAGCTTGGAGCAGGACCTCAACCGTCAGCTGGGGATGAATGGGGATTGGGGTTCACCCCAGGGCTGGGTCAGCATTCCCTGGGCTGGTAACCAGTTCCCAAACCAGGGCTATGCTGTAGGGCTGCAGAAGAAACTGGGTCAGAGGTCCTTAGCCCAGAGGGAGCCAATGTCATGGGCACAGGAAGGATGCTGGCAGTGTGGGGAGCCTGTGGCTGCAAAGTTCCTTCCTGGCAGTGTGGGGTCACAGAGCACAGCTCTCCCAACCTACCTGTTGATAGGAGGGGCTGCTCATCTCTTCTGGCCCTGCCCTGAGAAGCCTGGGCTGACAGGTGGAAAGATTTGGGACACAGGTGAGAGAGACTGGGCAGAGGCCAAGATTCAAAGTCTAAACTCCTCCTGAGGGGGTGCTGCCAGGTGTGGGTCCCAGGCTTGAAGTGAGTGGAAACAATCCCAACAAAAATGGACTTAAGGGCCCACTCAAATCCTGGTGAAGGAATTTGGGGCCCATGAAAACAAACAATCCAGGTCAACCTTCAGGCATGGCTGGATCCAAGGGCTGCAACCCTGGCTCTGTCTCTTTCCCTCTCTCAGCTCTGCTTCCCTCTAGTTGGCTTTTTCCTGTGGAGCCTCTTGGCTTGCAGTGGTCTGACAGCTCCAGGCCTGCGGTGAAAGAGGACTTCTAGCTCGGTAGGTTGAGCTCAAGTCTGGAGACTGACTCTCACTTGTGTGGCTTTGCCTTTTGCCCACATGGTAGTTTAGAGCATGAACTTTGGAGCCAGTGAGCATGGTTCAAAGCTGGGTTTGCCTCGTAAGAGCTGTGTGACTTTGGATAAGTCACCTAACCTTTCTGGGCCTTGGTTTCCCCATCTGTAAAATGAGGATTATAGTAGCACATCTATATTGTTGGGCTTTGTTGTAAGGGTTAAAAGAGTTAATGAGTGAAAAGTTCATACAACAGTGCCTGGCACATATCTGATGTTGACTATGACTCTTACCGTGATCCTCCCTGCAGTGGTCACAGTGGCTTGGAGTGCAGGGCTCTGATAGCTGGTCTGGGATCACATGCTGTCTTGGAGTGGAGGAGGGTGCTGTGCTCCATGTGAACCTTGAGGTGGGCATGAGCAGGAGGTGGTTCCTGGAGGAAAATGGTCAGGAGACAGTTCTCAGAAGACAGAGAATAGGAATGGGGTAGGATAAGCCCACAGATGCCCACAACAGGGCATGAAAGGAGGGACAACTAGAAGCAGTCTCAGTTTCAGGTCCTACCAGAGGTCTAAAGGCAGATGCACAGGCCAGGCGTGGCTGGCAACTTCTGAGGCAAACAGAATGGCTGGAGATGGGAGGCCCAGGCAGGTCAGTGGTCTGAATGTCTGTGTCCCCCAGAATCCATGTGTCAAAATCCTCACCCCCAAGGTGATGATATCAGGAAATGGGGCCTCTGGGGGGTGATCAGGTCTTGGGTGGAGACCACCTCAGTAGGATTAGTGTCCTTATAAAAGAGGTTACACAGAGGCCTCCTGTCCTTTCTGCCATGGGAGGTTAGAGTGAGCAGGTGGCTCTCCATAAGGAGGTGGGTCCTCAGCAGACACCGAGCCTGCGGCACCTTGATCTTGGACTTCCCAGCCCCCAGAACTGTGAAAAATCAGTTTCTGTTGTTTATAAGCTACCCAGTCCCTGGTATTTTTATAGCAGCATGAATGGACTAAGATAGTCAGGACCCAGAAGAGAAGTTTATTATTTAGTGTATAAATGTTTATTGAGCACCTACTGTGTGCTGGCCAGCACCCTAGGTCCTGGGATACAGCAGTGAACTAGACAGGAGCAGTCACTGCTTTCATGGAAACCCCATACCAGTGGGAGAGAGGGACAATAAACAAGTTAAATAAAATATATGTAAATATATTCAGATTAATTCAAAAATTTGTATTCCATGATAGGCTTCATATTAAAGTCATATTCAAAACACATTCAAAACAAGTTAAGCAAACTCATTCATCAGAATTAGGGCTGTGCTGAGGGCTTTTGCTGGGCTAGGTCCTGGGAGTGCCAACCCCTCCTTTGTGGCCCTGCTGCCTCCTCTGCTTCCATCTGTATCATGGCATCAGCCGTGCTGTGGGAAAGGTGATCTGTGTACAAGACTGTCTATCCAGCTAGACTGCAAGCTCCTTGAGGGGCTTGGTGCATCTCCATTTAGTATAGTGCCTAACCCATAGTAGATACTCAGTAGGGGTTTGTGAGGTAGGACGATGAATGGTTGGACAGGTGTGTGGGTGGATGGGTGGATACATGCATAGTGGGCAGAAGGATGGATGGGCAGAAAGTAAGAGGGATAGAAAGGAGGAAGGAAGGAGAGGAAGGAAGGGGGAAGGACTGAAAGTACGAAGAAGGAAGAAAAGGCGGCAGGAAGGAAGGAGGGAGGGAAGGAAGTAAGGAGCGGGCCATGGAAGAGAGGAAGGGCAGACAGTGTGCTCTTTCCTCATCCGAAGGCTTCAGGGCCTTTAGATTCTACTCCTGGGCTGTGGGATGCCTCCTCTGGGGTTTCTGGGCAGGATCCAGGTAAGACCATTCCAGCTGAGCCTGAGTCCCTGACGGAGCCTGGGTCTGCCAAAGGGTCGCCGTCCAGTGCAGGGAGCCCCAGCCCCTGTGCCTCAGGGAGGAAACCGCATTCCACCATGTTCACGTGTCTGGCCATCCCCTCCTCCTTGGGACCACCCAAGGACTCACCCTGAACTAGCTCTGCCCCGTCTGTGCATCCAGATCTCCAGATGGGCCTCTGCATAGGAACATGCCTGTGGCTTTCAGGCAGCTGTAGGCGGTCCTCACAGACTGGCAGGCGGCACCAACCCAAGCTAAGGATTCTTTTTTTAAAGTAACTGCAAGGTAGGCAAATCTTTAAAATACCAGAGAGTCCAATTCCCCAGCTTTTCCCACTCCCAGCCGACTTCTTTCCAGGTGTGGGGTATTTTAAGCAGTCATAAACACCCTTTTTGTCAGACTTTTCATCTCTGGTAATGATCATGTTTATACAAATTCTGTCACTGTTTCCTCCTTGATCACAATTCATGGTCTAAGAGAAGATCTCTTCCCAGTGCAAGCTTCAGAATATTTACAGAGCTTCCACCCAGAGGCAGGCCCAGTGCTGGACCCAATAGCAAATGAGACAGGCCCATCCCTGCCCTCAGGGAGCAGACGTTCCAGTGGGGTGGCTGAGGATCCTCAATTACCTATGTTGGGTAATAGATATAGACAGCAGCTTTAATGATTGCCCCTGCTCCATGTGGGACGAGAACAGCAGTGAACTCACTCCCACTGGTGCTAAGCAGACTTGCTGACCACCTCCCTTAAATCCTGCTGAGTGTGTCCAACTCAGCTAAGGATGGTTACAAGCCAAGTGAGTCATGGCGTCAAAGCCCACTGCTCATTGTCTTCTCTGAAGGGCATTTGCTATGGGACCCGCCCACCTTGGGCAGGTGCCCTGCAGCAGTTCTGCCCTGGACAGGAATGAAGAGAAATATGCCCAGAAAAGTGGGCCAGCCAGTGGCATCCAGGATGGATCACACCGAAGTTCTGCAGACACTGGCTCCTCGGAGAATGGATCTCCTGGTGTGTCAAAAGTGCTTTCCAGCGATTAGGATGCAGTGTAAAAAGCATTTGGATCTAATGCCATCTCTGCTATCCTGTGACCTTAGACAACCCCCTTCCTCTGTGAACCTCGGGTTCCCCATAGTCCTTCTAGCTACAGCAACGTTCCAGCCTTTATCTTTGGGTTTGTCTCTCCTGGAATGGGCTGTCTGCCATAGTTAATGATGCCTGTGTTTGTGGAAGTAATCAAGCTGCTGTTTTGGCCATTGTCACGCTTTATGCCTTCACACTGAAATATCTGCTGAGGTGCTCCCATATAGCAGGCGCAGTCCCAGGCACAGGACCCTGTGGAGAACAAGCTGACGTCCAAGGGAGCAAGGCACAGAATAAACAAGTAGACAAAGGAACAAGACAGCTTCGGAGAGCATTAGGTACAGAAGGGGCAATAGGACAGGTGTGACCAGGGAGGGCAGGGGAGGTTGCAAAGACTTCTCAGAGGAGGCAGCCTCTGAGTGGAGACCTGACGGAATAGTGGGTGCTGGCCTTCTAAACAGCCTGGGGAAGAACGAGGTGACAACTCCCATTGACAGATGAGGTGTCTTAGGTCAAGCCACTTGCGTAAGGTCAGGCCGCAGGTCACAGCAGGACCAGGATTTGTTCCTAGTTTCCCTGCCCAAAAGCCACTCACAGAACCTTTACAACTGCCCCAGTCTGCGTGGGTGGGAGTGGGAAACCCTCAGATCCCCCGAATCTGAAACCCCTGGCATCTGTGGTCTCCGACTCTTGCTCTCTGGTTTTCCCTGCTTGTCTGTTTGTCTGTGTGGAGGTAGGAACTGCTTTAGACCCATGGCCCTACTCGGGAACTGGAGCTTTACCAAGGAAGGTCCATCTATCTGCCTCACTCCTTTTCCCCATCCTGTCCCCTGACGCCCCACACCCAGACACTCCCGAACTAGCGTCTGTGTTTATCGCTCCCTTGCTTTTTCACTTCAATTCCCAACTGGCCATGGCTGGCAGATAGAAAACGATGGAATTGTGTTCACTCAGCTTGCATCCTGTGACCTCGCTAAGCACACTTAACAGTTCCAGCAGCTTTTCTGGAGATCCTTAGGGATGTTTACTGAGAGAATCCTGTCGCTTGTGCATGGAGACAGTTCTGGTTCTTCTTTTCCAATCTGTATGGCTTTTATTCCTTGGCCTTGCTCTAGTACACTTGTTAGGACCTGTGGGGTGACGTTAGATAGGGGTGGGAAAATGCAGGTCCTGGCCCGGTTCTCGATCTTAGGGGAAAACACCCATTCTTTCTCCATAAAGGTAGCTGGAAGTCTGTGCAGATCCCTTTATCAGGCTGAGGACATTTCCTTCTATTCCTGATGGGCAGAGAATTCTCATCATGAATCAGTGTTGAATACTGTCAAGGCTTTTTCTGCATCTGTTGACATGATCATGTAATTTTTCTTCTTTAGTTTGTGGATATGGTCAATTACATTTGTTAATTTTCCAATGCTGACCAGCTTCATTGTGGGATTTTATTTGCTAGCATTTTGTTGAGGATTTTTGCATCCATGTTCAGAGGGATACTGCTCAGGAGTTCTCTTTCTTGCTATGTCTTTGTCTAGTTTGGGTATCAGGGTAATGTTGACATCATAACATTAGTTGGGAAGTGACTCCTCCCTTCATATTCTGGAAAAGTTTGTGTAGAATTGGTGTTATCTCTTCTTCACTTGTTTGAATTCACTAGTGAAGCCATTTCATAAGCATGGAGTTGTCTTTATCAGAATATTTGTTTGATTCAACTACAAATTCTATTTCTTGAATAGATATAGGACTATTATTTTAATCTATTTCTTTTTGAGTGAACTTTGACAGTTTGTATCTTTTGAGGAATTGGCTCAAGTCATCTCAGTGTTCAAACTGATGGACCTAGAGTTGTCCTTGCTCTTTCCTTATTTGTCGGCTATGTTTTTCTCTTCTTTTATTGATCAGTCTGTGTAGAGCATGGGTCAGCAAACTATAGCCTGCAGGTAAAACCAAGCAAGGGTCCAGTTTTCAAGTGTTTAACAACCAACCAAACAAACAAACAAAACACAAGAATTGCATTAAATATTAAAATATTTACTTTCTAGCTCTTTACAGAAAAAGTTTGCTGTCCCTTGGTCTAGAGGGTACTCAATTTTACTGACTTCTTCCAATTTAGCCTAATTGATTTTTCATATGGTTTTTCATTTTTCTTTTTTTTTGTTTGAGATGGAATCTTGCTATGTTGCCCAGGCTGGAGTGCAGTGGTATGATCTTGGCTCACTGCAACCTCTGCCTCCCGGGTTCAAGCAATTCTCCTGCCTCAGCCTCCCAAGTAGCTGGGACCACAGGCCTGCACCACCATGCCCAGCTAATTTTTGTATTTTTAATGGAGATAGGGTTTCACCATTTTGCCAGGCTGGTCTCAAACTCTTGGCCTGAGGGCTCCCAAAGTGCTGGGATTACCAGCATGAGAAACTCATTATATGGATTTCTTCTCTTATTTTTATGATTTACTCCTTTCTACTTGCTTTGGATTTAATTTGCTTTTCTTTTTCTAATTTCTTTTTTATTTATTTATGTTTGTTTGTTTGTTTGTTTGTTTGTTTGTTTGTTTATTTATTGGTGGGGACAGAGTCTTGCTCTGTCACCCAGGCTGGAGTGTGGTGGTGTGATCTCAGCTCACTGCAGCCTCTGCCTCCCAGGTTCAAGTGATTCTCCTGCCTCAGCCTCCCGAGTAGCTGGGACTACAGGTGCATGCCACCATGCCTGGCTAATTTTTTGTATTTTTAGTAGAGACAGGGTTTCACTGTGTTAGCCAGGATGGTCTCAATTTCCTGACCTCGTGATCCACCTGCCTTGGCCTCCCAAACTGCTGGGATTACAGGCGTGAGCCACTGCGACCGGCCTACTTTTTCTAATTTCTTTGGGTGGAATCTTTATTTGAGATCTTATTTTCTCATAAAATCATTTAATGCTATAAATATTTCTTTCAGGTACTGCTTTAGCTGCAGCTCACATATTTTGATATGTTATATTTTCATTTAATTCAAAATATTTTTGAATTTCCCTTGCGATTTCCTCTTTGACCTGGGGAGATTTAGAAGTGATTATCTAATTTCTAGTTCTCTTAAATTTATTAAGGTTTGTTTTTTGTCCCAGAATGTGGTCTTGGTTGGTGAATATTCCACCTAGGTTTCCATTCACCCACCCATCTCTCTAGCCATCTATCCACTCATTATCCACCACTTATCTTTATATGCATCCACTCATCTATCCATTGCCACCCGTTTATCCACTGGTATAATCCATATAGCCATCATCTATCGATGTAGCAATCCTTTTACCCATTAGAACAGTGCCTGACACACAATATTTTTACCATGAATATTATTATTATCCTTGGACAAGTCATTGTGGCTCGTGAGTATGGGGCTGTGATTGCCCAGAATGGATTAATTACATGTCCACCCATTGAACAGAGAAGTAGGCTCAATCCCAGATGATGCTCACAGATGGGAGCATCAGACTGATGGTTTGCCAAAAGCAAATTGTCAGATATAGATACCAGAAAATGGGGAATGGATGCTGGGCAAACAAAGCCAATACATGCCCATGATGGCATGGAAGGAGGGAGAACTAGAGGGGATTCCAATGTAAGTCCTACAAAATCTCTGAAAGGTAGCTCTGCAGACCATGAGTGGTTGATAAGTTCCAAGGCAACAAGAATGGCTGAAAATGATAGGCAAAGTCATGGGACTTAGAGAGAAATACATTCACTAAACATATAAATGTTTATTGAGCACCTACTGCTTACTGGCCATCACTGTAGGTCCTGGGGCACAGCAGTGAACTAGACAGGAGCAGTCACTGCTCTTGGGGAAGTCACATTCTGGTGGTGGAAATGGACAATGAACAAGTTAAATAAAATATGTTTAAACATATTCAAAAATAATTTTAAAATATTCCATTATAGATTTCATTTTAAAGTCACTCAAAACATATCCAAAAGAAAAAACAAATTCATTCATCAGATATATGCTGAGGGCTTTTGCTGGGCTAGGTGCTGGGTATTTGGGTTTCCTCCTCCTTTGTGGCCCTGCTGTTCTCTCTGCCTCCATCTGTGTCATGGCACCAGCCATGCTGTAGGAGAAATGATCTGTCTACAAGTCTGTCTACCTGGCTAGACTGTAAACTCACTGATGGGCTTGAAACATCTCTGCTTAGTATAGTGCCTGGCCTGTAATAGATGCCCAGTAGTTTGTGGGATGTATGGATGCATGCATCAGTGGGTGGGTGGGTGTATATTCTGGTGTCATGTGGAGTATTCTGTATATGTCTGTAGGTCATGTTGGTTGGCAGTGTTGTTTAGGTATTTTATATTTTTGCTGATTTTCTCTCTATTCCATCAATTACTGAGAAGGAATTATTGAAGTCGCCATACTTGTAGATTTATTTCTTCTTTCAGTCCTAGTTTTTGCTTCATATATTTTGTTTGTTTGTTTGTTTGTTTGTTTGTTTGAGACGGAGTCTCGCTCTGTCGCCCAGTCTGGAGTGCAGTGGCGTGATCTTGGCTCACTGCAAGCTCCACCTCCCGAGTTTGCGCCATTCTCCTGCCTCAGCCTCCTGAGTCGCTGGGACTACAGGCGCCCGCCACCACGCCCGGCTAATTTTTTGTATTTTTAGTAGAGACGGGGTTTCACCGCGTTAGCCACGATGGTCTGAATCTCCTGACCTCATGATCCGCCCGCCTCAGCCTCCCAAAGTGTTAGGATTACAGGCATGAGCCACCGCGCCCAGCCTGCTTCATATATTTTTGTGTCCGGAATTGGTGGGTTCTTGGTCTCACTGACTTCAAGAATGAAGCCGCGGACCCTCGTGGTGAGTGTTACAGGTCTTAAAGGTGGCATGTCCGGAGTTTGTTCCTTCTGATGTTCGAATGTGTTCGGAGTTTCTTCCTTCTGGTGGGTTCGTGGTCTCGCTGGCTCAGGAGTGAAGCTTCAGACCTTTGCGATGAGTGTTACAGCTCTTAAGGCGGCACGTCTGGAGTTGTTCGTTCCTCCCGGTGGGCTCGTGAGCTCGCTGGCTTCAGGAGTGAAGCTGCAGACCTTCGCAGTGAGTGTTACAGCTCATAAAGGCAGTGTGGACCCAAAGAGTGAGCAGCAGCAAGATTTATTGCAAAGAGCGAAAGAACAAAGCTTCCACAGTGTGGAAGGGGACCCCAGCGGGTTGCCACTGCTGGCTCGGGCAGCCTGCTTTTATTCTCTTATCTGGCCCCACCCACATCCTGTTGATTGGTCTGTTTTACAGAGAGCCGAGTGGACTGTTTTGACAGGGCGCTGATTGGTGTATTTATAATCCGTGAGCTAGACATAAAGGTTCTCCACGTCCCCACTAGATTAGCTAGATACAGAGTGTGGACACAAAGGTTCTCCAAGTCCCCACCAGAGTAGCTAGATACAGAGTGTCCATTGGTGCATTCACAAACCCTGAGCTAGACACAGGGTGCTGATTGGTGTGTTTACAAACCTTGAGCTAGATACAGAGTGCCAATTGGTGTATTTACAATCCCTTAGCTAGACATAAAGGTTCTCCAAGTCCCCACCAGACTCAGGAGCCCAGCAGGCTTCACCCAGTGGATCCGCACTGGGGCGGCAGGTGGAGCTGCCTGCCAGTCCCGCACCATGCACCTGCACTCCTCAGCCCTTGGGTGGTGGATGGGACTGGGCGCCGTGGAGCAGGGTGCGGTGCTCGTCGGGGAGGCTCAGGCCTCACAGGAGCCCACGGAGAGGGGGTGGGGGAGGCTCAGGCATGGTGGGCTGCAGGTCCTGAGCCCTGCCCCACGGGAAGGCAGCTAAGGCCCAGCGAGAAATTGAGCACAGCAGCTGCTGGCCCAGGTGCTAAACCCCTCACTGCCCGGGGCTGGCGGGGCCAGCCAGCCGTTCTGAGTGCAGGGCCCGCCGAGCCCATGCCCACCCGGAACTCGCGCTGGCCCGCAAGCACCGTGCATAGCCCCGGTTCCCGCCCGCACCTCTCCCTCCACACCTCCCTGCAAGCTGAGGGAGCCGGCTCCGGCCTTGGCCAGCCCAGAAAGGGGCTCCCACAGTGCCGTGGCAGGCTGAAGGGCTCCTCAAGTGCCACCAAAGTGGGAGCCCAGGCAGAGGAGGCGCCGAGAGCGAGCGAGGGCTGTGAGGACTGCCAGCACGCTGTCACCTCTCATTTTGAAGCTCTGTTAAGTGCACACACATTTAGGATTGTTGTGTCTCCTTGGAGAATTGGCCCCTTTATCACTGTGTGATGTCTATGGGTGATGATATTTCCACGAGGTATAGGCTTGTGGGTTGACAGTTTTCATTCCATGGTCATTCCATTGTCTTTTGGATTGCATAATTTTTATGAGTAATCTGCTGTAATTCTCATCTTTTGTTTTTCTATAGTTAATGTCTCTTTTTATTCTGGCTGCCTTGAATGTTTTGTTTGGTTTTGTCTTCCAGCAGGTTGAATGTGGTATGCCAGGGCTTCTGCTGTTTTTGTTTTGTATTTGTTACTGAAACACCAGGGGTTTGGTCTAGGTCCTGCTGCTCACCTCACAGAGAGCCAACAACTGAGACTATTGAGTATTGCAAAGGAAGAAGGCTTTAATCAGGCTCTGCAGCCAAGGAGATGGGAGCTCAGTTTCAAATCCATCTCCCTAACTGACTAAAACTAGGGGTTTATGTAGCAGGGAGGAAATGTAACAATATATAAGAAACAGGAACTAGGGAGGGGCAAGGAAGCCATCATGATGAATAAGGGGTCCTGCATCTCACTGTCTGGATGTGGTGATCTGGTGAATTTCAGTTCTTTGATACTTTTTTGGGATGACCGAAGGTGTTTCCTGAGGAAGGAATTCAGATAAAACAAATGTAAGGTTCAAGCTTTAAGACCAGAGGGTCAGTTTCTATGTTTATAAAAAAGAACAGTCTATGGGACTGTTGGATTGGTTTCATATTTAATCTGCTTGATGTCTTATGCCTTCTTGGATTTGTAGTTTGGGAATGTCATTAATTTTAGCAGATTCTCAGCCGTTACTTTTTCCAGTATTTGGAGTAGGTTAGTGCTCATGTTTGCTTTCTTTTCAGAGGCCTTCCTTAGATTTTGAGTGCATAGGTTGCCTGCCACCTGAGATCTCTGATGAGAACAGAGCCCCAGGGGGCTTACTGCTCTCTGCCATGTGAGGGGACAAGGGGAAGCTGAGAAGGGTGCAACCCAGAAGAGGGCCCTTGTAAGGGCACCTGATCTCAGACTTCCAGCCCCTGCAGCTAGGAGCAAAATAACTTTCTGTGGTTCATAAGCCACCTAGTCTATGGTGCTTTGTAACAGCAGCCTGAAGGCACTAAGGCACTGGGCTGAGAGCCCCATCCTCACTCTTGACCACACCCCTGACCTGGCTTCTAGCACTTCCCAGTGTCTGAAATTGCCTCTTTATTTGCTCATTTGCTGATTGACTTTGACCCCAAAAGATCAGCTCCGTCACAGCAGGCTCTTGTGTCTATCTGGCCACCAGTGAATCTCCAGCACTTGGCACAGCAGTGGGCACAGTAGTTGCTGAAATATTTGTTGAAAGGAAGAAGGAATGAATGCAGGACAGAGACTGCCCGGGACTCGGGTAGTCTGGGAGTCTCATCATTCTCTGGTATTTGGTGTGTTTCCTCACGACTTGTGACCCATGGAGAACAAATGCAAGAGAACAGGTATCTCAGTGTGTTCAGGGTGTTTTGGCAGCATGGCTGTTGCCAGTGTGGCTGAGCCTAGCTGTTCAGGGATGTTGCTGTGGCTTTCTCCCCACCCAGCCCCAGGCCTAGGGGATGCAGGGGGCTTCTTTTCTTATGGGAGTTCCATCTGTACCCTCTAGTGTCAGCTGTTGGTATCCTCCAAGAGTGGCTGTGTAGCCCCTGCAGGCCCCTGCCTTCCCAGGCTGAGAGGTCCAGTGGCTGGCTCTGCATCGACCCTGGGACTTGCAGCATGGCCATTTGTGAGGTTGTGCATGTGGACAGCAGAGGGACCAACAGCAGGACAGGCAGTGTGGGTGGCCGTGAACAGCAACAACTGTTCTGTTAGCAGAAGGCCCGGCGGGGGACCCACATCAGCACAGCAGTGGAGTTCCCCTCTCACCTCCCCCAGGGGCCACACAAAAAGATCCAGGATTGAGACCCAGACACCTCTGTCCACAGGGATGGGGAATGGGGGGTGAAGCCCCATGTGGCTGCCTGCTGTGGCCCTGCTGGCTGGCTCAGGCTGGTGTCCCGGGGTAAATCATCACAAAGGAGATGAGGTTCACAGGAGTGCCCACTGTGGGAATTATTCCTGCCCTGCTCTGTGCTGCGCCTGGCCTGTCCCTTTTCTGGGCAGTTGTGCACTCTCAGGGGAAGCCATTGCTTTTCTCTCTACCCAGCATGGGGATGGGGTGGGGGTGGCAGGGCAGGAATTCTTGCTGTAGGCCCAGCTCCTGGGGTCCCAGCTCTGAGCAGGGCCTCCTATTAGAGCTCCTTCCTTGTCAGGGACCACTGGTCCATTTTGTTGTTTTAAGAGCTTTGTTGAGATGTAATTCACAAACTGTCACTTGGCCCTTTTAAAGTGTGTAATCCAGTGGTTGCTAGGGTATCCGCAGACTTGTACACCCCTCGCCATTGTCTAATTCCAGAACATTCGCATCAGCCCAAAAACCAACTCTCCACATATTAGCAGTCACTCCTGTTCCCTCTCCCCAGCCCCTGACATCCACTAATCCACTGCCTGTCTCTATAGTTTCACCTGTTTGGGACATTTCATGTCAATGGAATCAATGCAGTATGTACCTGTTGTACCTGGCTTCTTTATCCAGATGTGATGTTTGTATGTATCAGTACTTCATTCCTTTTTATGAGTGAACAGTATTCCATTGTATAGATACAACAGATTTCCCTATCTGTACCGAGCTGATGGTTTTTTGGTTCTTCCTCGCTATTTTCTTAGTTTTGTGGCAGCTCACTGACGCATTTAAAAGCTGGCCTAAATGCACGGACCTCGCCTGTTCCCGGCAGGCAGGTGCCCTGGGTTTCCGGTCGTCCCTTGCCAGCTCTGTGCTTTGGTGTGGTGTCCACATGCATCTGGGTGCTTCAAGATGCCGGCTGGTCTCTCAAAGCCTGGGGTCATGGTGCCCTGCTGAGAGGGCTGCACCCTGGGACCTGGGGCTTGTTTTGAGCTTGCTTCAGGAGGGGGAACTGATGATCTGTGTTTAGAATGTGTTCCCGACTGCTTTACTGGTTGGTGAGAGAGAGACCATGGTTTTCTGTGCTGTCACAAAATGGGGTGGAGCAGAGGCTCCCAAGGGTCAGGCTAGGGGTAAGGGTGGAAGAAGGTGTCTCTCATGGGGTCTGGAGAGTCAAAGAGGGGAGGACTCTAGTAGCAGTTTTCTGCTATATTACTAAAGACCCCCGAACCGTCTGGCTTCAAACCTTAATGAACACTTGTTATCCTCCAGTTCTGACGTTGTTCTGGCTGAGTCTCTCCTGAGGTTGAGGCAAGTTCAGGGTGGGGGCTATAGTCATCTGAAGACTTGACTGGAGTCGGGGGATCTGCTTCTGACCTGTCTCAGCCACATGGCTTTTGGCAGGAGGCCTCAGTTCCTCCTGAGTTGCTCCAGGAGAGCAACGTGGAGCTCTCCATAGGTTGCTTGAGTGTCCCCAGAGCGAGCAATCACAGAGAGCAAGACAGAATGGCAATGTCTATCATGACCCAACCACAGAAATCGCCCATTGTCACGTCTGCCCCCTTCTGCTCATCAGAAGTGTCTGGGTGCTTGTGTGCCCCCAGCATTCGTAAATTGCAAGCTAATTACCCAGGTGATGGTGGTAGGAAGTTTGGGGAGGTACTTAGGTCACAGGGGCAGAGCCCTTGGGACTGGGATTTGTGTCCTTATAAAGGACCCGAGAGGTGAGCCAGCCTCCTGTTTGGAGAGCCAGCTGCCTCTTCCACCATATGAGGACAGCACCAAAGTGCCATCTGTGAACCGGACAAGTGGCCCTCGCCAGATCCCGAATCTAGGGGAGCCTTCATCTTGGACTACCCAGCCTCTCAAACGTCGAGGAATAAATTTATCCTGTTTATAAGCCAGCCAGCGTATGGCATTTTTGTTATAGCAACCCAGATGGATTGAGACAAGAAGCAAATCATTAAGTCCAGCCCATATTCACAAAGGGAATCCAGTCCCACTGGTTGAAAGGAGGAGTGTGGCAGGCTTTGGGGATGTGCTTTAGAGCCATTGAGGGACTCAGCGTGCTTCCGGGCGATCCTGTGTTCTTCAACTGTAGGATGCCCTTTCTTGCCCTCAGTCACACAGAGCAGGGGGAGGTGAACTACAGCCGGCCTCCTGACTGCAGCCCAGGAAACTTGGGCCCATAGCAGGGAATGATGTCACTCATCATAGCTAATTGGGCATTTGCTTTGTTCCAGGCAGGTATAGTCCCTTAATCTCCATAACCACCTAGAGTGGAGGTGCATTTTACAAATGAGGAAACATGGGCCCAGAGAGGTGAAGTAACCTCTCTAGAGTCACACAGCTGGTACTCGGCACACAGCTGGTACCTTGCCATCACGGGAAGCTCCTGGAAGCTCAGCAGTGGTTGGAGTAGCTGTCACGTGCAGACAGAGACTTCCAGGGATCCATCTGGTGAGAGAGGGAAGGGTAGTCCACCCTGGTGGGTCTGGGTATGTGTGAGGCAGGTGGTCAGGGATGACCTTGCTGAGAAGGTGACATATGAGCCAAGATCTGAGGGAAGGGACGATGCTGTGTGCCTGGGGCAGCGCATGCCAGGAGGAGGGACCAGCAGGAGCCAGGGCCCTGCGGCAGGAGTGGCCTTGTGTGTGAGAAACACCGGGAGGACTGGTGGCTGGAGTGGGGGCGAGAGAGACAGTGGTGGGAGGAGGTGGGGGGGGGGAGCAGAAAGACCACCAGTGGGCTCCAGCCCAGGTGATGCTGGCTTGACGTGCCAGCGAGGGCAGCTCTGAGGGGGCTGTGAGCTTGTCCATCTCCTGAAAATCTGGCTGTGTGTGCAGGGCAGACATGGGGGTGACATGGAGCTGGGGACCCACGAGGACACACCTGCTACTGTTAGAGGGAGTGCTGCTGGTGGCCTGGCCCAGGCAGGGCAGGAGAGGGTTGGGAAAGGGCTGATTCTGGAAGGGGTGCCTCAGGCCTTCTGGGGGCTGACAGCAGGGTGTGGAAGATACAGAGCGACATGACAGCCCAGTGTTTTGCCTGAGCGCTGGGACGGGTGGAGGAGCCCCCGCTGAGATGGGGAGGCCATGGGGGTCAGCTGGGCCAGGCTGAGTGCAAAATGCCTGCTCAGTGTCCTAAAGGTGAGCTCAGGAGGCAGGTGGCTGTATAGTCTCCAGTGGGATGAAGGCTTCCAGCTGGCCACGTGAGTTTGGTCTGCAGCCAATGTGGACTCCCGGGGCAGTGCAGCCTCTTGCTGACCCAGAGGACAAAGCCTTTCCGGGGTCATCAGGCATGGGCACCTGCACCGCAGTGGCTGCGCTCCCAGTATTATCTGGTTGCCACACAGCCCCCAGTCCCCTCACCTGCTTCTTACTTCTGTGTGCACAAGATTCAGATTCCAGGGTCTGAGGCTGGGCGCCACCTGCCCCAGGAGCACCCAGAGCCTGCTGTGGGGAAGCGGGTAGGAACCCGGGCCTCTGGCTCAGTGAGTGTAGTTAGACTCTGTACAGCAGGATGGTTCGAGCCCTTGTGTCTTGGCCGCCTCTCCTAGGACCCATAGACTCCATAGCGAGGAATCCTGAGACACCATCTGCAGCAGGAGTTTGCACTCTAGCTTGCCTTAGAAGCCCCCAGAATCTCCCTGTTCACACAGAGGCCAGGCTCACTCCGAGTTCCTGATTCAGGAGATCTGAGTAGAGCCAGAGAATTTGCATTTCTAACAGGTTCCTAGGTGATGCTGATGCTGTGGGTGCCCAGGCCACACTTTCAGAGAACCACTACTCTGGACCCACCCCATGTGTGACAAATGGGGAAACTGAGGCTTGGAGAGAGATGGCCTGTCCAAGGCCCAGACCTACCTACTTTTGTTGCCAGCAGCACTTAACATGAAGATCTTCAGGGGGTTGGGGTCCTCATGCAGGGGCCTGACAAATGGAACCTTCATGTTGACAAGCCCTCTGGGATTGTCCACAGAGCCCACAGGGTTTGTCCAAGGGCCTCTACAGTCTGGAGGCAGGGCTTGGAAGCCCACTGCTTCAGGGTCCATGCCTTCCTCCAGGAGCAGGAGGCCTTGGGAGGCCAGCCAAGTCTGCTCTGGGCCGGTCCCCAAAGCCTGACCAGACAGGGCTGGTGCAGGGAGCAAGGCCCCCGGGGGAGCCCGGGCTGCAGGTGCTGAGGTCCTATTTAGTTCTCTGTCCAGCTGGGTCTCTGGGGACAGGTGGGTGAGGGTCCGAGGCCAGTGGGAGGGGACACGAGACTCAGAGCCGGGAGCAGCATCCCTCCTAACATTCCCATGGCCTGGCACATTAAACATTCCCAGCCATGTGGCCATCCCAGGACAGGATGTGGTTTTGTGTCAAGGTGACTGCTTGATCCAGAACTGAAATGCAAGGTGAATCCTAAAGTCCTTGGAGGTTTCTCAGATTTTATCAACACAAAATGATTCCTTCCAGACTTTTCCCAGGGGAGAAAACCCGAAAACTCAAAACGTCAGCTGGTTTGGTGAAAAGTGGCCTTTCAAGGAAATCTTTTGATGTTTTTTTCCTTTCTCCTGAAATGATGAGGCATGAGAGGGTTTCTCACAGGGTGATCTTTGCCCACAGTGCAGGGGATAGAACACAGCCTGGAGTGAGAGAGAACCACCCTGCGAGATGGGCAGTTACCACTCCCAGGGCACAGGGGGGAACACTGAGGCCCAGATGTGAAGGGGCCTCCCCAGAGGCACGTGGCTGGGAGGCGGCAGAGCTCACCGTACTGGCCGATGGTACCAGCCTGGGTAGACCCCCGGGTGTGGAGTCCTGCTGCCATCCCTCACCAGCACTGTGACCTCAGGCAGGTCACTGCCCTCATCTGCACCCAGGGGACAATGGCAATGTCCAATTCGAAGGGAACCCTTTGAGGAAGGAATGCAGTGATTGATACCAAGAAGTCAGGACATGCCAGGCACTCCATCTGCCCTCGGGAAGTGTTGGTCATGACCCCTGTTATTCTCCTTCCCGTTCTGTTTGACTTTTCACACCACTCCTAGATGGCAAAAGCAGTCTTTCAGGAACGTTATTTTTATCACAGCTCTCCTCTGCTCAAGATCCTGCTGTGGCTCACTATTGTCTGGATGAACCAGCTTCAGTCTTTCTGGGCCTGTCCTGTTTAAGGAAGGCCGACGTGCCTCCTAGTCATCCATGACTTTGCTATTCTCACCTCTTTGCTTCATTCAACACCTGTTTGTGAAAAACAGACCTCCTCTGTGCCAGGCCCCGCTCCCACACCCCTGGCCATGGTTCCATCTACTCCCCAGCCGCAAACCTCCCCCAACCATGGCAGGATGGAGGCCTTAGAGCCTTGCTGTGCCCGGAGGACTTGGCTGGGGAAGGAGGGAAGAAGAAAGTGTCACGAATGTTTATCCCTCAAATGCTATTTGGACAGGAAAGCTAAGTCCTGCCCGTAGACACGGCTTCTGCAGGGTACATTCTGGCTATGGGCTCGTGTGGATGTGTGGCCTCTCCCACCTGCTCCTGTGGGGCCTGCTTAGACTCACCGCTCTGCACTGAGCTTAGCCCAGGCTCCTGGGGGAGTGTGGATGTGTTTTGTGCTCTTGTCCAGGTGCCGGTTGCCCCTCAGCTCGCCTCCCAGAAGCCTCTCGGATTGCCACCCCTGACCCTTTGGCCCGGGACGCTTGCCCCTTACCTCTAACCAGTCGGGGAGCCTCTCACACACCAAGCCCTGGGCAGGAAGCTCTCTGCTGAAGTCAGACCAGGCTGGGACCCCTGAGCTCTGGCCCCAGGGAGAGGGAGGAGGATTTGGTTTTATTTTAAGGTAAAGAAGGCCTTGAAAGAGGCATTTAAGCATTATAGGGAATGGGTCTCTATAGATGTTGTTTGCATAACAAGTGTCTAAATCATCAGGAATAGGGAAGAAATTGCAAATGAGCACTAGCGCAGACACTCTGGAAGCTGAGGTCTTCGGGTACCTATTTTGAATTTATAACAACATCCCTGAGTTTGAGGTTCTCAAATGGAGGGGAGAAGGGAGTGGGAAATGGCCTGGGGGTGTAGAAGTGGTTGGGGCTGATCAGGTCTGTGGGGTCTAACTGTTACAATCACTTAGTTTTAGGTGGATCCTTTAGAGAAAGAACTCAGAATTACATGCACATTCTGAGAAAGAGCAGGTACAAATGGTTTAAGCCTCTGTAGCCTCCCAGGAAATCTGCCTCTGGAGGTGAGTCAATTACAGCGTTTAGGAAGAAAACCTTTTCTCCTGTGTCCACCTGCTTTGACAGTCTGTGTGCCCTTGAGTGGACCACCTCATCTGTCTAAGCCTCAGTTTCCCTGTATCACGTGAGATGGTGCATTTGAGGCCCTGTACATGCATAATGAAAGGATAGCAGTGACACTGCGGATTTCCTCAGGGAGAAATGAAGGGCACAAGGCTTTCTTTTTTTGTTTTTTTTGTTTTTTTTGAGATGGAGTCTTGCTGTGTTGCCAGGCTGGAGTGCATTGGCGCAGTCTCCAGTCTCTGCAACCTCCGCCTCCTGGGTTCAAGCTATTCTCCTGCCTCAGCCTCCCAAGTAGCTGGGATTACAGGCACTCACCATCATGCCCGGCTAATTTTTTTGTATTTTTAGTAGAGATGGGGTTTCACCATGTTGGCCAGGCTGGTCTTGAACTCTTGACCTCGTGATCCACCCACCTCGGCCTCCCAAAGTGCTGGGATTACAGGCGTGAGCCACCGCGCCTAGCACAAGGCTTTCTAAAGACTCCAAAAGGCTGCTGGACCATCTTTAAATACTGTTTGACTCTGGCACCCATTGCATTGCCTAATAGCTGGCTGCCGTGTCTCTTATTTTTATTCTTGCTTCAAAGCTAATAGCTTATGATATAAAGACCCAAATATTGTGGTGAAAACCTCCTACTGGACTAGAGCGGCCCTCTTGGTTGGCTGCATTACCCTGGCGCTCTGGAAGCTCCGTCCCTGTGGTTTTGCAGGGTACAGCCTCCCTCCCGGCTGCTTTCACTGGCTGGCATTGAGTGTCTGCAGCTTTTCCAGACACGTGGTGCAAGCTGTTGGTGGATCTACCATTCTGGGGTCTGGAGGACGGTGGCCTTCTTCTCACAGCTCCACTTGGCAGTGCCCCAGTAGGGACTCTGTGTGGGACTCCCTTCCACACTGCCTAAGCAGAGGTTCTGCATGAGGGCCCTGCCCCTACAGCAAACTTCTGCCTGGGCATCCATGCGTTTCCATACATCCTCTGAAATCTAGGCAGAGGCCCCCAAACCCTAATTCTTGACTTCTGTGTACCCTCAGGCTCAATGCCACATGGAAGCTGCCACAGCTTGGGGCTTGCACCCTCTGAAGCCACAACCTGAGCTCTACATTGGCTCCTTTCAGCCATGGCTGGAATGGCTGGGAGGCAGAGCACCAAGTCCCTAGGCTGCACACAGCTTGGGGACCCTGGGCCTGGCCCACAAAACCATTTGTTTCTCCTAGGCCTCTGGGCTTGTGATGGGAGGGGCTGCTGTGAAGACCTCTTGACATTCCCTGGAGACATTTTCCCTATTGTCTTGGGGATTAACATTCGGCTTCTCATTACTTATGTAAATTTCTGCAGCCAGCTTGAATTTCTCCTCAGAAAATGGGTTTTTCTTTTCTATCTCATTGTCAGGCTGCAAATCTCCCAAACTTTTATGCTCTGCTTCCCTTAGAAAACTGAATGCCTTTAACAGCACCCAAGTCACCTCTTGAATGCTTTGCTGCTAAGAAATTTCTTCCACCAGATACCCTAAATCATCTCTCTCAAGTTCAAAGTTCCACAAATCTCTAGAGCAGAGGCAAAATGCTGCCAGTCTCTTTGCTAAAACATTACAAGAGTCACCTTTGCTCCAATTCCCAACAAGTTTCTCATCTCCATCTGAGACCACCTCAGCCTGGACTTTGTTGTCCATATTGCTATCAGCATTTTGGGCAAAGCCATTCAATAAGTCTCTAGGAAGTTCCAAACTTTCCCACATTTTCCTGTCTTCTTCTGAGCCCTCCAAACTGTTCCAACCCGTGTCTGTTACCTGGTTCCAAAGTCGCTTCCACATTTTTGGTGTCTACAGCAGTGCCCCACTCTACTGGTACCAATTTACTGTATTAGTCCATTTTCACACTGCTGATAAAGACATATCTGAGACTGGGAAGAAATAGGTTTAATGGACTTACAGTTCCACATGGCTAGGGAGGCCTCACAATCATAGCAGAAGGCAAGGAGGAGCAAGTCACATCTTACGTGGATGGCGTCAGGCAAAGACAGAGCTTGTGCAGGGAAACTCCCCCTTATAAAATCATCAGATCTCATGGTACTTATTCACTATCACAAGAACAGCATGGGAAAGACCTGCCCCCATGATTTAATTGCCTGCCACTGGGTCCCTCCCACAACACGTGGGAATTCAAGATGAGACTTGGGTGGGGACACACCCAAACCATATCACCCACCCTGAGTTAATTTTTGTATATGGTGAGAGATACATGTTGTTTTAAAAGAATTTTGCAGGAACTCTATAAGGAATATGGTGATAAATAAGACAGATACAGTACCTCCTCTCATGGAGCTGACGTTCTATTAGGAAAGACAGACAATAAGCAAGTAGACAAATAAGACAATTTCAGATTGTCACATGTTCACAGGAGGATGAATGGGGTAATATGGCAGAGAATCTGGGGGGCCAGGGGAGGGCTATTTAGATAGGAGGGATACCAGGAAGGCCTGTCCTAAGAGGTGGTATTTAAAGTAAAATCTGAATTAGAAGATGGAGCCACTGAAATCAAAAGCCAGGGACAGGACAGATCTTCCAGGAAGACGGAACAGCAATGCCCTAGAGCTGGTGTTGGGGAGCTTGGCTGTGTGAGGGCAGAATGAAAGGGTGTGGCTGCAGTGGGGAGCCGAGGGGAAACTGGAACCCTAAGAAGGTGGAGGACTGAGCAGGGCCAGACCTTGCAGTCTTTGTGGGCTGTGTGTGGAGTTTGAATTTTGTTCCAAGGGCAGACTGCTGCAGAGTGAAGGTAGAGGAACCTGATTTGGACTGGGGAGCTGCTGAAGGCCTCATGGATGAGGCCCCTGAGATGTGCTTATGATCCGTGTTAAGTGAGGAAGACGGGCATAGACTGATGTAAACTGTCATTTCCACTGTATAAAAAAATGGACAGGAAACAAAGCCCATAAGCATACATGCAAAAATGTGATAGCGATTACCTCCAGGTGGTAGGATTAGAGATGATTTTTACTTGTTTTTCTTACGCTTTTCTACATCACGCCATATAAGAAAAATAATCGTGGTGATTTGAGAACTTGAATTTGGATCAGTCACAGCACTTAGTTGCAGACAACAGAATCTGCTCTTTCTAGTTTGAGCTAAGGGGGATTTATTTCCATGTATTTTGACTCAGAGTCCAGGACCGAGCTTGGATGTCCCATAGCCAGGAACAACACAACCTGGACCATCACCTAAATCCACCTGACTGTTGCCATGGAAACCCCACTGCCTGTGAGGCTTAAACCTGGAAACTGGAGCCAATTGCTTTGGGAGAACCAGAAGCCTGTGTTCCCTTCCAGCCGGGAGCTCATTTCTCCACCCTGCTGCTCATGCCCACCTTCTCAGTCTGGACAGGCCTCTGCCCAGAGAAGCTGAGAACATTTGCAGAACCAGAGCTGCAAGGGCATCTGGGAAAGGTAGATTTCAGTTTTCCAGAGGTTCAAGTCCAGTGAGCATGGAAGGAGGGGCTGCACACATGGCGAAGGGGGCAGTCTGCAGGTTCCACTGCAGAAGAGGAACCAGAGCGACAAACACTATCACTTGAGCCTTGGCCGTCTGAAGGCCACCTGGAGAAAGGCTTGGTTATCCTCTATGCTCTTGTGAGGACAGCCAGAGACTCTCCTTGTCCGGGGAGCACTGGCTGTCTGAGCCTCTTGCTTTTGCCCCCCCAAGTGCCACCAGGCTGACGTCCACCTGTCAGCACCTCCCCTTCCTTGCCTGGGGGAGCTCCTCGGCCACCTGTGAGGCAGGCTGATGCGTGCAGACTTCTCCTCCCCAGGAGCAGCCTTCAGCCACTCCCAGCTGCTTCGGCCCTGGTATAAGATTGCTGGAGGCAGCTTGAACTGGTTTCTAGGGCTCCCAGGTAAACTGAGCCTCAGCTTCCCACAGTGGTGGATATAGTGAGGTGCTGGGCAGCTTGATAACAGCCATTGTTAGCCCCCTTCTCTTTCTCTTCTCACCTCCCTAGCCCTTCTCTCTTCTCACTTCCCAAATAAACTCCTAGCTGAATCTTTATCTCCAGGTCTGCCTCAGGGACAGCCCATGCAAAAGCATCGGGGATCATCCTGTTCCTAGATCTCAGCTTCATCTGCAGGAACGAGAAGGCTCCAGGATGCTCCTGACCATCTGCTTCTTTGCCCATGCTGAGTGCCGCCATAATCATAGGCACACACACACGCACATACAGGCACACCCACATACAGTGTACCACACACGTACACACATGCACACATGTTTGCACATGCACACACGCACAGGCATCCTCCACCCCGGGGCTGCCCAGCCCCTCTCGCTTTTCTCCCCACATTATTGCTCCTTCGGCCATAGGACGGGCGATGTTATGCCAGGGGCTCCAGGGCATCCTCTGCATGTGCCATCCTTGGTGTAAAAGATGACTCCACTGTGTGTTGCTGTTGGAGTGTGGGTTCTGGGTCAGTGCAGTCCTGGCTTCCCACAGCAGACACTTCCTACAGCCTGCTCAGTGCCAGGCCCCAAGCTGGGCTCCAGTGTGTGGGAGGCACCATCTCCTCCAGATGTTCCTTCCCTGCAGGCCCCCACAGGTCAGCACATCCTCAAACCACACCTCGGGTAGGTGGTGAGAGAAGCAGCTTTATTCATCAGCCTCTGTGCTGGGAATGTACTTATCTCCTCACCACATTTTAGGGGCCAATTGTTGCTATCATCCCTAATCCGCAAATGAGGAAACTGGGGCTCATGGAGATTAAGTGACTACTGAGGCCACCTGGAAGCCAGTAAGGGATGAAGCTGGGCCTGGGACCCAGGAGACTCTGATGGCTCAGGGTCAGTGCTTGTCCCCTGGCGTCCCAGAATGTGGAGCTCCTGGCGTGACTGCACTGCTATGCCTCAGCCACATAACAAGCACTGGAGACCCTGCAGTGAATGTGACAAAACCCTTACCCTTGTGGCATTTTCGTCCTACTGAGGCAGATAGATCCTAAGAGACATAAATAGAGAGCTTCACGTGGTCCTGAGTGAAGGCCACAAGACAGAGATCTGGGATAGAGGCGCAGAGCAGGAACTGTGTGTTAGCTATCAATTACCATGTAACAAGTGACCCCAAAAACGTAGGAGCTGAAGACAGCAAATGCTGATGGTCTTGTGTTCTGTCCTGCTGAATCCATAGTTGGAGTTACCCTAAGAGCAGAGGCAGGGGAGTTTCCTGTAGGAGTGCCCCAAACCTTCCTGAGCTGGAGCCAGTTGTCATTCCGAAGAAAGGATCCCTGAACGCCTGGGTGACCAGTCCACAGCATTTATTAGGGAACTTACACACATAAGCCTGTGGTGTCATTGCCATGGACAGCGAGAAAGGAGCTGCCTACTCAGGCATGTCCGTAAGCGGGGCCCGGTTGCACCCTGTGTTTCTTGGTCAGCGCACAGTGGACCAGGGCACCCTACCTCTCCCTTTCTGAGGTCAGAAATGCAGGAACAGTGTGGCTGGTGGCTCTGCCTCTGGGCCGCTCATGTGATTGCAGTCATGATGTTGCCTGGGGCTGCAGCAGCGAGGGGTGGAAAATCTGCTTCTGGGCTCACACTCATGGTTGGTGGCAGGGGGCTCAGGTCCTCACCACCTGGGCCTCTTCCAGAGGGGCTGCTCACAGAACAGGGCAGCCGGCTTCCCCAGGGTGAGCAACCTAAGATGGCGATGAAGTGAAGACAGACAGACACACACACACACACACACACACACACACACACACACACACACGCCACCCCCCCACCCCCCACCCCCCCGCTTGCTTTCTTTTCTGTCCTGGCTATGATCAAATGGAAAACAAAAACAAAAAATAAGAACTTTCAAAAGCTGCTCCTGGGATCTCCTCTCCCCATCATCAGGCTTCCTGGGAATTCTGTGGAGGGTCTTCAGCCACCAGGGGCTGGTCTGCACCTTGTCCCATGGCCCCCGGGGTCAAGGAGATGCCACAGGTGTCTGTGCGCCATTCCCATCTCACATCACCACTTCACCTGCTGCCGTGGGGACCATGTGATCCAAGTTGCTGTGCATTGATGCTGAATTAGAATTGCTGGAGAGGGAGACCAAGGTCCTTCTAGAACAAGGGGTGTGCACTCAGGCACCTGGAGCACACATTGCTGGGGACTACCTGCCTTCTGTCTCATTTGCTACTGGTGAGCGCGACCAGGCTGGGCAGCACCAAGGGAGGCCGGGTCTGAATCTGTGGGCAAGCTTGGTTCAGTGGGAAAGGCATCCCCTGGGGCTTTCTATGCTGAAGGGTCGTGCAGCATGTGCTCTGACTTCCGTTCTGGAACGTTACTGAAAAGGCAATGAACAAAAAGACAAATCTCTGACTCTGGGTTAAGTAAGTTTTTATTTCTCTAGCTCTCTGGCAATAAAATCCAATTTGGGACATCCAGGGATTAGATTCCTGAATGTGTTTGCTCAAAGCCCTTTGCTCCTTCAGACCCAGGAAGCCCAAGCGAGGCTTTAGCCATCAGCTGCATGGAGTTTAATCCCAAAGTCCCTTTCCTTTGGTGTACAGAGCAGGAAGGCATCACTGTCAATACCGCGTAGTCACAGTCTTCGTGAAAGTTCAAGTGCGCAATACAATCTGATTGTCCAATTTCTTGACATTCAAGGTTGTCTCCTTTGTAATATGGTTGTAATTGATTTCTGAGTACTTGAAAATAGAGCTGGTTCTGGGGAAATAACACTGGAAATACCAAGTAGGGGATGCAGTGAGGCCAGTCGCACCGCTCTCACTTATTCATTCATTCATTCATTCACTCATTCATTCATTTAGTTGCTGCCCAGGTCAGAGTTCTGGAACCATAGACCCCTCCTCTGGCTTTGCTCTTGACTCCTGGGGTGTATTCAAATCCTGGGAAAACAATTGCAGTCAAGGTGATGGAAACAGGAAGAGGGTGGGAAAGGAACCCTAAGACTTCTAAGAAGAGTGGACTTTCTGAATACAGTTCCAGGTCAAAGGAACAGCAGCAAGAGACCCCGGAGGATTGGGCCTGCGGATGTCTGCTGAGGCTGGGGAGGGGATGCTGGGAGCAGCTGGGGCCTCAGGGTCCCCACATCTAGTGTCGTTGTGCAGGTCTCCCGGAGCAGAGGGTTCTGGGCTCTAAGCGTGTGCTCTTCTCGTTGCAGGTCTGAAGGAGAAAGCTCGCGGAGCGTCAGGTATGTGCTTCATCCACCTCTGTCCGTGTGTCTGAATCCTGGCGGTGAGCGGCGTTGATGAAACCATGTGCTTTGATTTCTCCCTGCGGGTCTCCCAGGTCAGACCTCTCCTCCCCTGGCTGCCCCCTTCAGCCCTGGCGTGTGCCCCAAGGGCCTGGGCATGATCTGCAGAGCACGTCTGTTGGCTCTGCATCCTGGAGCAAAAGCCCTTCCCAGCTTCCCTGTGTTTAGAGTGACCTCTGCAGAGATCACCTAGGTTGGTGGTTGTCCCTTCCTTTCTGGGGCTGGTGATGGCCCAGTGTGCCAAGGCTGTGACCCGTCTAGGACCAGAAACTTCTATACCTGACACCCCTGGGGCTGGGCTGGGCGGGGTCAGGGCAAGTCTAAGATGCTTGGTGGTGGGCCCGGCTCTAACCAGCCTCTAACAATGCAGGGGTGTCTCCACGGCAGGCGTAATGCCCCTGCCCATCCTCGCCCCACCAACCGAGGGTAGGTGGGGGTGGACATGGAGTGGGCTTTCTGCCAGAGGCTCTGACTGAACCTAGAAGAGGGTCTGGTCTGAGACAGTACCTGGGGTGTCAGTGCCCCAGCCACGGGGCCTGAGGCCCAGCAGTTCTCAAGGCATGAGCTGGGGGACCAAGAAGGCCATGGTCATGGGAGATGGGGGTCAGCATGGTGAGGCTGGGGATGCGAAGGAGAGGCCAGGAGGCAGTTAAGAGCCCACGGACCCCCAGTCCCCTCTGGCAGCAGATGGACTTCCAGGTCTTAGGGTGGTGGCCTGAGGTGGCTGGTTTGTATTGTGATGTTACAGGCTGGGGAGATGAGATGTCCTGAGCTTGGCCGTGAGGATGCCAGCTGGAGTGGGGTCCTCCAGGTGCCTGCAGAACAAGAGACAGATCTGGGGGAGGCTGCATCCCAGGGAGCCTCTTGGGTGGCAGCACAGGGGGTGCTGAATCTTATACTTGGGGCAGTCGGCTATGTGCTTGGAGCAGGGGACACTGGCAGGGAGTTGGGCTCCAGGGAACCAGAGTCCAGGGAGTGAGAGGCAGGGTCTCGCAGGAAGCAGAGGCATGCTCAGAAGGGGAACTGGAGAGAGAGAGGGTCCCAGAAGGACTGTGTGCAGGGGTGAAGCCCAGGTGAGGGGACTAGCTGGGGATGGTGCACTTGGGCTGGCAAGAGTGGGAGCTAAAGGGATAAGGGGGGGATGCCCGGGGGGATGGATGGACAAAGGCTAGGGTCTGGGGATCCGAGGGAGGGGGCAGCAGGCCCCTTGCAGCCTGAGGTGTGCACCGCCACATGGCTCCACCCTGGAACACAGCGTGGCCCTGAGGAGGAGGAGGGGAGACTGCCCTGGTGCACGATGGAGAAAGCTCTGGAATGTACCATTAAGTGAGCAAAGCAGGGTGTGAGAGTACACATCTCACACTACTTTGGGTAAGAAAGGGCAGGTGTAAGTACGTATATTCTTATTTAATTTGTCAGCAAAAAGAAGCAGGAAGGAAACAGTTGTCTCTTAAAATGGTCCCTTCAGAGGGAGGGCAAGGGGCAGGGCCTCCAGTGCCTGTATGCTTCCTCAGGGCAGACCTAGGAATATTCCTGAGGGTTCTGAACCCTGTCAATGTAATACTTGTTCAAACAATTAATTCAAAACAACAGGTTAGGGAGAGGGTGGGTTGCCAATCCCTGGGGCTGGCTCTGAGGTGGAAGGGGATTCCCACATGGACTCGGAGGGGCTGCAGGCTCAGGAAGGAGATGGCCTCGCAGCCTCTCAGGCCCTCCCTGGCCTGCCTCTCTGGGCTCCTTTGGGATCTAAGCTTCCCCCAATCCCCCCAAGGTGCCCTTCTCCCTCTGTCTTCCAAGAAGGCAGCTGCTTACCTGAAACCCTCATTCTGTGAAAGTTCATGGTGGGCAGCGGGTCCCTTACGGGGTCGCCCTGAGAACAGCCTGCTCTCACTGGTGACCTGAGCGGGGGCTAGTGAACATGTAGAGTGAATACACCCTCGTGGTGGGGATCTGGTCTGCCCCAGCCCCACCCGGCCTGGTGTTCACTCCAGCGGATCATCAGGAAAGCATTTGCCAGGCAGGCGCTGTGGAACCCAGCCCTGGGGGAGGAGGATGGGAACGACATTTCGGTGGGGGAACAGCATGTGCAGGGACCCCAGGAGTGAGCATGACTGGCTGCCTGGGGAGAATGAGGAATGGCCTCTGCGTTGCAGGGGGACTGGCACACAGAGCCGAGCATATGTCCCAGCTCCGAGCCACACAGCTCCCAGCAGGGTGCACAGACAGGAGAAGCCGGGCAAGGGAGATCGCGGATGGAAGTTCCAGCAGGGAAGGCTGTGTTTAGTTCTTCCAGGGCTGAAGAATCCAGCCCCAAAATGCCCTGCCGTGTGGACATCGCAGTAGACAGTGTTGCTGAGGCTAAGATGCTGGGGTCAGATGTGACTCGTCATGGCTTTACCTGCCCTGGCCCGTTGTCCCCATCATGCACAGGCATTGTGTTTCTTCCCATGCAGCTGACGACTTGGCTGCCAGGCCTATGTCATGGGTCACACCCTTCCCCCAGGAGCTGGGCCTCCCTTTTCTCAGGACCAGAGGTCCCAGATCATTCAGATCTACCCTGCCCCCACCCTCTGGACAGAGAGTCACCAGATCTGGGCTTCCAGAGCAGTGTCCGTGCGGGGTCTGCGTCCCCAAACCTGGGATCCTGACTGCAGTTCTCTCTGAGCGCTTCTACCCTCTCCAGACCCGCTAGAGGGGAGGTTGGAAAACTAAAGTGTGACCACGGCCCTCCCCCGCTTCTCCTCCCGCACTCCCCCTGGGCTGACACACTGTGGCAGTGGCCCTGGTGGTCCCTGGACGCCACACCCCTACCAGCGCAGCTGCGCTTCCACAGCCTTCCCATGCGCACCTCCAGCTCCCACCAAATGATGCCACTCGCCTTTCTAAATGCGGCCCATGATTCCTGCGTGCCTGCCCCCTGCTGTGTGTGACTCAGGATGTTTCCTATGTTTAGAAAATGCTCCACTCCACCCCCCGAAGATCCCTTCCTTTCTCAGAGCCCCCATGGCAGCTGCCTTTCTGGAGCTTTCAGGGGAGCTGGGGCTGACAGGGTGGCCTCCTGGTTGTCTCTGTGGCCTTTTATGCTTCACTTTTGATATCCCAGTCCCTTCTGCTTTGTGTCCAAATGACTTAAGCATTTGTCTTTCCTCTCAGGCAGAGGAAGACCCCCAGGACAGGGATGAGGCCCCTGAGTTGTGGCTCGATGGTGCCAGCACCTGTGGGGCACAGAACAGGCACCCAGGGGGTGTCTGTGCAGTGGATTCATCTTGGCCTTGCTGGGAGCCCTGGGCAGGATGCCTTGCACAGAACAGGCACATGTTCATGTGTGTTTGATTGGACTCAGGACTCATAAATATTTTCAGGCCAGAAACCAGAAGGAAGAGGAAAAATGGACCACTCCCATGCTCAGTGGAGACTGCCCCCGCAACACCCTCCCCTTACCAAACACTCACTAAAATTAATGGGCAGAGATTCTGCACTTGAAAAATCAGTGAAGCTGTGTATGGATTTTATTTGCCTAAGGAAAATATGACTGACCTTGAGAGCTCATGGCTTGTGCTAAATATTAAGGACACACAGGGGCAGGGCTTGGGGGCTCACACTTGTAATCCCAGCACTTTGGGAGGCCAAGGCAGGAAGATCATTTGAGGCCAGGAGTCCAAGACTAGCCTGGGCAACATAGCCGGACCCCGTCTCTACCAAAAATAAATTTAAAAAATTAAGGATAGCCCTGAGAGACACCTCCTCCCCACCAGCTCTTGCCCTGCCCCAAGGTCCCTGCTTGGTGAGATTCTTGTTCTTTAGACTCAAATGATCGGAGTTGCCACCTTTCTGGTTTGCTTTTCTTAGCCTCCGGAGCAGCAGGGAAGTGCTTTTGCATGGAGAAGCCTGTTTGTGAATTCACGCTCACTACTTTCCCCTGAGGCAAAACATTTGCAAGATCAGATATATTCATTTTCCACAAATGAAATGACTCATTTTTTGACCATTTTGCAAATGTAGGACTTTGCTCATTGTTCCCCGGGAGGATGTGTCTGCTTTTGACTCCACTAAGAGGAAGGCTCTGGAGGCCCTCAAATGTGAATCTTCTAATGATTTATTTATGGAAGAGGGACCATAGGAAGAGAAGAGGTTTGTGGAGTTTGGAGTCTGCAAAAATGAATGACCGGGTGGAGGGTCTAGAGAGAATGTGGATACTGGTTTGAAAGTGCCAGGGCTTTCTGCAGGGTGCAAGCATTATCTTTTTTCCCCCAGCACTCCGTCAAATCCTTGAAATTAACTCAGCTACATTCAGTCATAGGAATAAGTTCCATTCAATGAGTTCTCACTGTGGGTGGGGGTCTCACCTCATCTGCACAACCACCCGCACCCTTGTAAGAGAGTTATTATTGGCCCTTATTTTTTCAGCTCTGGGAAATTGAGGCTGAGAAGTACAAAACAGCTTGCCTAGGATGACGTGGATTTCGAGTGCAAAGGTGGGATGCTGTGCACCAAAGCCTTCGCAAGTCAGTGTCGCCTGTGGTGCTTGTTGAAAATACAGATTGCCAGGCCCTATCCCTTTCATGCCTCACTCAGTAGGTCTGGGCAGGGTCTGGGAATCTACATTTTTTTGAGATGGGGTCTTGTTCTTGTTGTCCAGGCTGGAGTGCAGTGACGTGATCTCGGCTCACTGTAACCTTCACTTCCCAGGTTCAAGCGATTCTCCTGCTTCAGCCTCCCGAGAAGCTGGGATTGCAGGTGTCTGCCACCAGGCCCAGCTAATTTTTATATTTTTAGTAGAAACAGGTTTCACCATGTTGGCCAGGCTGGTCTCAAACTCCTGACCTCAAGTAATCCGCTTGCCTCAACCTCCCAAAGTGTTGGGATTACAGGGTGAGTCACTGTGCCCAGCCTGAATCTGCATTTTAAATAAGCGCCCACATGATCTTAACAGGCTGCCTGAACATATGGTCTCTCCAAGGAAACAGAATTTCTCCAAGTATGCCAGTGTCCAGTGGCAGACACGTACCCTTCATAAGCATGAGCTGACTGAAGTGCAGAAATTTTGCTTCTAACACTTAGAAGAATTTTTTTTTTTTTGAGACCGAGTCCTACTCTGTCACCCAGGCTGGAATGCAGTGGTGTGATCTCAGCTCACTGCAACCTCCGCCTCCTGGGTTCCAGCGATTCTCGTGCCTCAGCCTCCTGAGTGGCTGGGACTACAGGCGCACACCACCACGCTTGGCTAATTTTTGTATTTTTAGTAGAGACAGGGTTTTGTCATGATGCCCAGGCTGAACTTGAACTCCTGGGCTCAAGTGATCTGCCTGTCTCGGACTCCTAAAGTGCTGGGATTACCACGCCCAGCCCTGACCTTAGAAGCATATTGCATGAGGTGGTCCCATGTAGGTCGCCTCCCCGTCAGGACTCTGAACGTTGACTGGCATTTTCCAAAGGCAACAGCAAGGCTCAGGGCTGGGACAATGAGGAGAGCCCAAGGACTGTTTTGTTTGGGGATGGTGGGGGAGATTCTGGAGACGGTGGGCCTGGTTACCAGCATTGACTCAGCTGGAACCAAGATGTGTGAGTAAACGTAATTAGTCCAAACAAATCCAGTTTTCTGTCTCCATACCAAGGCAAAGCAGCCTTTGTAATTAACTGGGCCTTTTTCCCCAAACCCAAAATGAGAACACACAGTTTATTTTGTTCACAAGGAGGTATGAAAACTGCTGAACGTGGCAGACAAAGCTGGGAGTGTTTGCTGTGCCAGGTAGACAGAGCTGAACTCTTTCTCTCCAGGAAGGAATGGGAGCAGGCTCCAAATGTGAGAGACGGGCTGGGGCTGGGCCGGGTCCCTCTGCCGCTATCCAGCCATGTTTTGGAGGTGCTGGACTGAGGGCTGAGCCGGCGGCCTCTGGAGGCGAGTGGACATTTCTTAGCACGGTGGAATCAAAAGAGTACAGACACTGGGGGCAGATAATCTTGAATTCAAATCCTTTCTCTTTGTCTTACCCTCATGTCACTATGCAACAGCCCCTGAGCTCTCCAAGCCTCAGATTTCACACTCATTTAACAGTCTTCATTGAGCACCTACTGTGTCTTTGTGCTAACTACTAAGGGTGTGAAGACCAATGAGATACAGTTAATTTCTGCCCCATGATGAAATCGGAGCAAAGACTTTAGCCTCAAGGCCATGGACCAATTAAATGAGGCATAGATGGAACAGCACATGCCATGTCATAGCATTCAGTTAACATCCATTTCCTTTCTTCTCCCTCTGCCACAGTCTGTGGAGACGCGGCTGCTCAGAATCCTGAGGGAGGGTCTGAGGCAAGCCCATGTTTACATGAGCAGGAGGTGGTAGCAGCTGCTTGTAGAGTGTGCCCTTTTGGCTGTCCTCCTTCCTTCCTTTGCTCCCCTGGGTTTATGATTGAGATTTCTTGGGCATTCTTGACTGTGGTGGACTTTACTTTTCCATCTCCTTGACTCTGTGCTGTATCCTGAGCAATTTCCTCAGGATGGTCTTCTAGTTCACTAGTGCTTTCTTCAGCTGTGTTCATTCTGCTGTGTGGCCTATGAATTGTGGGTCCCTGAGACCCTTGAATGGCCTCTGGATACCCTCAGCCTGCTTTCAGAGGCACTACTGGGCCTTTCTTTACACGGGAAGTAGAAAGATCTTATAGGAGCCACATTGAAGTCACTGGGCAAAAACCTATCTGACTGGGTGTATTTTGCGTTTTGATTTGTTTTCTGTGAACTTGTGTAGAGAATTAATAACTGACTGTTTAGAAGATGAGGCAGAGATATTGGTGTGGGGGCAAGGGAGTCTACTAATGGGGAATTAGACTAAATCCCAAAATACATTTGGTAAGCCTTGTCTAAACATCTGCTTCTATTGCAACCAAATCTTAAAGGTACTTAGAAGGTGGTGACACAATGTGTATGTGTGCATCTGACCCAGGTCCAGTGTTTGGGACAGTGAGGACTTTGAAACCAGGGTCTAAGCTGAATGACCTTGGTCAAATGACTCAAATTCCCTGAGCCTCAGTGTCCTTATCTCAAATGGAAATGAAAACATCAAGAGTTTTCTTGATCTTGTCCACATCTGACTCTCCATTCTCTCCTCCATCACTGTGGTCATCACACTCTGGCCTTCTGGTACCTCCATTCTTCCAAGCTCATTAGTGTCCCAGGGCCTTTGCCTGTGCTGTTCCCTCAGCCTAGAACATGCTCCCCCAGGTCTCACCCAAGATGAGTTCTCCTCAGTCCAATCCCCCTTCAGATGTCAGCTCCTCTTCCCTTATCATCTCACCTGAAGTAACCTAGCCAATCTCTGCACATCAGCCAGTTTACTTCTGTCCCTTATCTGCCTGTCCCCACTGGAATGTCAGCAGGAACTTTGTCTTATGCAGTGCTGTGCCTCAGTGCTCTGCCATGTGCCCTGGCACAGCATGCTATTTTGGTCTCTGTACTTGCCACTTCCCACATCCAAGGGGAGCACCTCTGGAAGGAGGCCAGAGCTAAATGTGCTAAGCTTGTCTGTCCACATGCCTGAATGCTCCCACTTCTGTCCCTCCATCATGCACTTCTTTCTCTTTCCTAATTGCCTATCTAGGACTTCCAATACTATGTTGAGCCCAAATGACAAAAATGACATCCTTGTCTTGTTCCTGATCTTAGCTAAAAAGCTTTCAGTCTTTCACTGCTGAGTATGATGTTAGCTGTGGATTTTTTGTATATGGTCTTCATTATGTTGAGGTAGTTTCTTTCCATTCCTATTTTGTTTAGTGTTTTTATTTTATTTATTTTATTTTTAATTTTTATTTTTTTGGGACGGAGTCTCGCTCTATCACCTAGGCTAGAGTGCAGCAGTGCAGTTTCAGCTCACTGCAACCTCTGCCTCCCAGGTTCAAGCAATTCTCCTGCCTCAGCCTCCTGAGTAGCTGGGATTACAGGTGTGCACCACCATGCCCAGCTACTTTTTTTTTTTTTTTTTTGTATTTTTAGTAGAGACGGAGTTTCTACATGTTGGGCAGACTGGTCTTGAACTCCTGACCTCAGGTAATCCACCCGCATTGGCCTCCCAAAGTGCTGGGATTACAGGCATGAGCCACCACACAGCCTTGTTTAGTGTTTTTATTATGAAAAAGTGTTGAATTTTGTCAAGTATGTTTTCTGCACCAATTAAGATGGCCATGTGTTTTTTTTCCTCTTAATTCTGGTATGCATTACAGTGAACAGTTTTTGGATGTTGAGCCATCCTTGCATTCCAGGAATAAATTCCACTTAGTCATGCTGCAGAATTCTTTTATTGGGCTACTGAATTTTGTTGCTGATATTTGCTGAGGATTTTTGCATCAATGTTCATAAGAGGTATTAGTGTGTTGTTTTCTTGTAATGTCTTTGTTTAGCTCTGGTACAAGACAATGCTGGCCTCACAGAATGATGTAGGAAGCACTCCCTACTTGAAGTTTTTGGAAGAGTTGGAGAAGGTTTGTTGTGATTTCTTCTGGAAATGTTTGGTAGAATTCATCAGTTGAAGCCATCAGGTCCAGGGCTTTTCATTGTCAGGAGGTGTTTGATTACTAATTCAGTCTCCTTATTAGTTATGAGTCCATTCAGATTTTTTATTTCTTTGTAATTCAGTCTCAGTAGGTTTGGTGTTTCTAGGAATTTGAATCATCTAGGTTATATGATTTCTTGTACAATTACTTACAGGACTCTCATATAATCCTTATATTTCTACAAAATCAGTAATAAAATTCTAACTTTCACTTCTGATTTTAGTTGAGTCTTTTTATTCTTGGTCAATCTAAGTGGTGAATCGTCAATTTTGTCAATCTTCTGGGAGAACCAACTTTTGTTTGGATTTATTATTGTTATTTGTTTACTGTTATTATTTATTGATATTATCAGTTTATCTCTGCTATAATCTTTATTATTTTCTTTTGCTGCCAGCATTGGGTTTACTTTGTTTGTTTCTTACTAGTTCCTTAAGTTGTAAAGTTATTTTGTTGATTTAAGATCTTCCTTTTTATTTAACGTATCAAGCTATAAATTTCCTCCTTAGTACTACTTTCGCTGTGTTCCATAAGCTTTGCTATGTTGTGTTTTTTTTCTTCTCCTCTAAGTACTTTCTAATTGTCCTTGTGATTTCTCTTTTGACCTATTGGTCTTTCTCTTTTGACCTATTGGTCTTTAAGAGGGTGTTGTTTAACTTATATAACTTTGTGAATTTTTAGGTTTTTCCTCTATTGTTGATTTCTTACTTCATCCCACTGTGGTCCCAGAAGTTACTTTGTAGGCTATTTTCTAAAATTGCTTGAGACTTAAATTGTGGCTTACCCTGTGGTCAATCCTGGAGAAAGTCCACATCCACTAGAGGACTCTGCGTTCTGTTGAGTGGAGTGTCCTGTTAGATCTAGTTGATGTCTTGAGTTGCTCAAGTACTCAATTCTGCTTCCTTACTTATCTCCGGTCTGGTTGTTCTATTGTTATGGAGAACAGGGTATTGAAGCACCACCTATTAATGAGTAACTGTCTAATGAATAACGGATGACTCCCTTCAGTTGTATCAGTTTTTGCATATATATATATATATATATATATATATATATATATATGCATGTAAGTTCCAGCTTCCTGGTGTGTTTCCATGTCAGGCAGTGAATCTGTGGGTGCAGATGCCCATTAGCACCCATCAGGGAGCTTCCTCCTGGGTTCCTAAGGAGCCTGAGGAAGATCCAGAAGGCCCTGCCCTTGTGCGTGTCTGGCAGCTTGGGGTGCACAGCCTTGAACATGCGGTGACCCTGCCCACTAATGATGGTGTCCAGGGATGGTCCTAGAGTTCCACCAGTCAGATAAGATTCTTCTTCCCCGCAACAAGAGAGCAGGACCAGGAAGCAAGAAGTGGGCTGGGGACAGGGTGGGAGTGTTGTGGGGACCCTTGGCTCCCCCATGTGGATTTTCTATATGCATAACAGGCCAATGTGTGGTCACCCAGTGCTGCTGTCCTTAAAATCCGTCCTCGATTTTCATCCCGTTGGCTTTGGGGCCCTCCATGCCCTGCCTCATGATGACCTTTCCACCCACTCCAGCCTTCCCCTCCCACTACACATGTTGAAGCGTCCAGTTTGCCACAGGCACACTCATACCTCCATCTCTTTGCACGTGTGGTTTCCTCTCTGGGGAGCCTGAATACCAGCCACCCAGCCAAGCTCCACTGGGCTCCTGGAGATGGCTCAGACACAGATCCCACTGTAAAGACCTCACTGCCCAGCTGGGAAGGTGAGACAAGGACAGAAACCATCTACAATCCAGAGCCACCTGTTCATAGCTACAAAGGAAAGACACGCACAGCACCGTGCATGCCCACCTGCTGCAGGAGGGGTGGGGACAGCTTCTGAAGGGGGTGGGTCTGGCAGGGCTCCATTGTCTGGGTGTGACCACAGGAATTGGCCAGGAGGCATCTTAGGTCGAAGAAAGCCAGAGTGGCAGGAACACATAGGACAGGGGTAGGCTGGGGACTGGGGCTGGGAGCAGCCCCCTTGGTGGCAGGGCAGCCCTCTATGAGTGCACTTTGCTCTGGGTCTCCAAACTGAACTATCCCTAGTTCAGCCCCGATGACTGAACTTCTGCTAATGAGACCTTCTCTCCTCTTCCAGGACCTTCAGGCCTGGCCGGCTGGACCAGGGGCTGTCTCTTACACCCCTCACCAGTCCAAGTCCACTTCCACAGGACGGGCTTGGAGTTTTGTTCTAAAGGGTAGGGGATTTGCTGGAGCAGTCCTGCAGGGGTTGCCTGCTTCAACTTCCGCTGGACCAGACTCCTCTGGCTGCTGGGCACAGGGGCTCTGGGCTGAGAGAGGAAGCCAGGAGCCCTGAGGAGGACACGGGGGTCAGCCCTGAGAGAGGAGCCCTAGCCTGGCCTGGACACTGGAGGGGAGAGGAGAGGGAGGGGAGAGGGGAGAAGGAGGGGAGAGGGAGTGAAAGGAGTAGATAGGGGAGGGGAAAGAAAAGGCGGGGAGGCATGGGAGGGAGGATGGGGGTAGGGAGGAGAGGGGACAGCCCAGAGGTATTCACTGGAAGGTGCCCCTACAGGACTTGCTTAGGGAGTGGCTGTCTCCTGAGAGAGAAAGAAAAGAACCAAGAACACTTTTTTTTCATTTGGTTGTTTTTGTTTTGTTTTGTTTTGAGACGGAGTCTTGCTCTATCACCCAGGCTGGAGTGCAATGGCGTGATCTTGGCTCACTGCAACCTCTGCCTCCCAGGTTCAAGCGATTCTCCTGCCTCAGCCTCCCGAGTAGCTGAGATTACGGCGCCAGCCACCGCACCCGGCTAATTTTTGTATTTTTAGTAGAGGCAGGGTTTCACGATGTTGGCCAGGCTGGTCTCAAACTCCGGACCTCAGGTGATCCGCCCGTCTCAGCCTCCCAAAGTGCTGGGATTATAGGCGTGAGCCACCACGCCCAGCTGGAACCAAGAACAAATTTGGATTTTTGACTTGAAGAACTGGGAGGACAGCAGTGCTTTTTACTGAGATAGAGCAGATGAGGAAGAGAGACTTGAGAGGAAAAAACAAGTGCCCTTTGAGACTCATGAAGTTTCATGTCTCAGAGAGCTCCATGGTTTCTACAGCTATTATTTGAAAATAGTGTATTAATATTTCTAAACATTCATTTAAAGCAATATGATATTTATTCTTTACTGTTTTCCCATTGATAGATCATTAAAGTTGCTTTCAATTTCAGTAATGCTGCAGTGAACATTTGGCATGTAAATCCTTGTCAGCCTCCCTGATTATTTTCTTCATTATGTTCCCAGAAGTAGAATTACTAGGTCAAAGGCTAAAAAGATTTCACAGTTTCTTAATCCATATTGCCGCATACGTTTTCCAAGAGAAGCATCTAAGATGCAGCCTCCCTGCATCCTCTCCACTCTGACTATTGCAATTGTTCTGATCCTTGCTAATTAGATATTTGGGAAATATTATTTTACTTTCAAATCTGATGCAGTATCTGTGGGGAGTCTGACTTATGAGGAATAGAACTCTCTCTTTTTTTGTTTTTGTTTTTGTTGTTGTTGTTTTGTTTTTTTGAGATGGAGTTTCGCTTCTGTCACCCAGCCTGGAGTACAGTGACTCGATCTTGGGTCGCTGCAACCTCCGCTTTCTGGGTTCAAGTGATTCTCCTGCCTCAGCCTCCCAAGCAGCTGGGATTACAGGCACCTGCCACCATACCCAGCTAATTTTTCTATTTTTAGTAGAGACAGGGTTTCACCATGTTGGTCAGGCTGGTCTTGAACTCCTGACCTCAGGTGATCCTCCCGCCTCGGCCTCCCAAAGTGCTGGGATTACAGGCATGAGCCACTGTGTCCGGCTGAAGAGAACTCTTTCTAGTGATGTAGACATGATGGTACTTCCTCCCTCCAACATGACCTTGTGGGTAGAATTCAGATGTTCAGGCCACCGAGCCTGCCCCTGTTTCGACCCTTGTCCTTTGGTGTGGGGCCTCCCCGACCCCATCGTGCTCCCATTCTGAACTTTGCTACTGTTCCCCTACTTCCCTGACCTGTCACCTTTGCATGCCAGAGAGACTCAGGGCTAGGAATGGACATCCACCAACCATTTTCCAGCAAATCTAATAAACAGCCCCTGTTGGGCCATGATTTTCAGCTGGTCCCTGAATGATGAATCACTCAGGGACCAGCACACACAATGCAATCTGTCTGACTGACACTCTGCTACAACATGCACTAGGGTTGGGAGTGACTGGGGGCAGAAGGGGCTGTGACAGGGGCTCCCGATAGCATCGTCCACCTCTCTCTTAGAGAAGCCCAATACCTGACGTTAGGTGGGCATGTGGCTGCTGAGACATAGAATTTCCCAGCCTCCTTTGCAACGAGGTTGCTGGTACAACCAAGCTGTCCTTCCAGCGTGGGAAGGGAAGTGATTTGTGTCGACTTCTGAGATATTTCCTCACAGAGACCCTTCTTTCTGACCCTGTGCCTGTCCTGCTGCTGGGGACTTCATCTCTGAGGCTGCAGCTCCATCCTGGCCCAGGAGGATGAGGGCAGCCCCCCTGGGATGACAGGGCCATGAGGGAGAAGAGCTCCCTGGCCCTGCCCCACCAGGCCAGCCCTGGACCATCTGCTTTCACACTGAAATGCCAGAGACACAAATTTCTATTTACCACTCTCAGGTGGGGCTCTTTGTCTCAGCAGCTGAGCCCTGTCTTACGCAGTACAGCAGTCTTGGAGGGCACTTTCCCACGTACTTGCCTGGGGTCAGGCTGTGCCAGGGACCACAACTGTGTGATTTTCAGCCCTCCCGCCGTGGGTGAGAGCCACACTCAGCTCCCACCCACTGTCCTCTCCAGGTGCTTGTGAGGAGATCGAATGCATGAAGGTGGAGACTCCCACTAAAAACATCAGGAGCCAATATCTTCCAGGGCACCCCTTGTTCCTCCTCCTGAACTCCTGCTGCCCCGACTCTTCCCCATGCAGGCGCTTGTTTGGAAATGTGGTGTGCTGTCTCCTTCCTGGCTGGTGTCTGCAGATTCTAATAAATAACTTGGGAACAGGCCACCTCACGCATGGTCCAACCTGCTTATTGCTAGAAAGATGGGTTTGGAACTGACAAGTTCCCTGCTAAGCTGACAAGTTTAAAAACTTAATTCGAAAAACCAACCACATTCCCTTTGCAGAATGAAGGCAAAGATCAGGACATGGTCAAGCCTCAGCCTGAACGCTCACTGTGAGGAGACAGATTTAGGACTTCCCAGGTGTCTGATCTTGTCCGTATAATTTCTTAGATGCCTTCCAGCCTATGCAGCCTGCAGTTTTGGAGAAAAGGAACTCTAATATGTATTAAAATATTAAACTTCTTGACCCTGTTGGGAAAAAGTGCATAGTCCATTTGTTCCTCATTTTTCACTCGTGTCTCTAAAGTGTCTCATCATTCAGGGCTGGTCTAGAGGTTGTGTATTAAGAGAAAATTTGAGGTGTAATAGGGCACTGCAGGTCGGATTCTTCTCCCTCCTCCCACTCTCCCTCTAGAACCAGGGTCTGGCAGGACCGTTCCCGGGAGCCTAGGGACTGTTTGTCACCCTTGCCTCACTGAGACCATCAATAGCCTGGATGATTTTTACTTTCAGTTTTCATTTCCTATAAACTTTGAAGACAGGTCATGACTGTACCCCTCAGTGATGAGAACCTGTATCATGTAGAGGGCAGGGGTCCCTCTGTGGTATCTGCACCAAGGCAGGGCAACATGGCAGTGCAGAAGGCGGAGGAGCCAGCTTTGCGGCTGGGCCTTGGGGCAGCGGACAGAGGGGAACACAGGGGTTGGGGGAGGCGGAGCTGCCAGGGCCTGGGTCAGGCAGGAGGGGGAGTCTGGGGCTTGCACACGGGGATGACACCTTCCAGTCTCACCTCCCATCACGTCCTACAGCTCCCGCCTCAATAGAGGAGCCGGATTTCCCAGGGTGCATCACCCTCCGGGCCTTTGACAGGCTGCGTCCTCCCCCGGGGACACCCTCTCCCCTCCTCCCCAGCTTGCAGTGCCCCTCGCACTTCAAGACTCTGCTCTTCGGGGGAATTTGGTCCTGTCCCTGCCTGTCCTCTGTCCGCCCCCCCACCCCGGCCCCCACGACACACTCACCCTGTCTGTGCTTCCCTCCCCTGAGTGGAATGGCCTGGGGAGCAGCCTGTCTGTGGGGAGGAGGTCTGCTCTTCAGGACGGCTTTCAAATCCTGCGGACCCAGGCTCTGTCCTCTGTGTGGCCTTGGGCAAGCCTGGCCCTTGGGAATCTGAGGTTCCCACTGTGAATGGGTCAAACAGCAGCCACCTCACAGCCCTGCTGTGCTGGATGAGCTGCGCTTTGGGATGTGGGGGGCCTGCACTCATCACTGTGAGAGGCTGCAGCTGTCAGTGCTAACCCTGGAATCCAACCCCCAGCATGGCGGGTGTGGGGACTGCCCAGACAGAGTAAGCAAGAAGGGGAGGCGAGGGGCTGGTGGTGAGGGGCAGCATTGGAGGATGACAGGGGATGCTGCCTTCCAGAGGACGCTGCCCAGCAGCGGTTCTTCCCAGCTCTTGCCAGGGTCCGAGCCTCGGCCACCTCTCCCTTCCCTGTAGCCTTGGCTCCCCTGGAAAGGATGCGGGAGAGGTTACCCTTCAGGGGGTCTCGCCAGCCCCTGCTCCAGGGCTGCATTCTCAGCCCCTTTAATCCACTTGGGAGCCAAAGCAGGCTAGCCTGACGTGTCCTCATTTCCCAGGTGACAGATGTGACACTCCACAGGCTTGAAGTGAGGACAACAAACTCAGAAGCCTGCAGGGGCCAGGCATGGAGAGGCAGGGACAGGGCCTGGGCCAGGGAGCCCCGGGGACTGTGGTGACCTGGAACCAGGAACTCCAACCAGAGGATGGCTCTGACCCAGCTCCAGAGACTGGTGCTTGAGGGAATGTCACCCAGGAGGCCAAATCCCATTTCATACCAAAAACAAAACAAAACAAAAACCCATAAACCTGCAATTTTTTTTCCCAGTGCCTTTCACTTCTTAAGTGTTAGAATGAATTCAGAAATTCTAGACGTGGCCTCTGGACCCTCCCTCAAGACTCCTGGTTTAAGATTCATGATTTGATTCGTGGCAGAGTGTAGGTATGCATGGGGAACAGCATGCATGGTGGCTCAGAGGCGGGCTGTGCCGGGCTTGGGGAGAGGGGTGGATGTGACCGAGGGCCCCCGGATTTTACCTTGCCCCCGTACCAGGCCTCCCTCCTCCCTCCCTCTGTGAGGATGGCGATGATGAGTGTCTCTATGGTGCTCTCCTGGGTGGGGAGGAGGGTCCTGTTATCAGCACCCCAGTACAGATGAGGACATTGAGGCAAACAGAGGAAGTGGCCTACCCAAGGTCATTATTAAAAAGTCACAAACAATAGATATTGGTGTGGACATGGTGAAAAGGGAATACTTATTCACTGCTGGTGGTGTAAGTTAGTACAACCTGTGTAGAAAATAGTATGGAGATTCCTTAAAGAACTAAAAGTAGATCTACCATTGGATTCAGCAATCCCACTACTGGGTATCTACCCAAAGGAAAAGAAGTCACTATATCAAAAAGACACCTGTCGGCTGGGCGTGGTGGCTCACGCCTGTAATCCCAGCACTTTGGCAGGCCTAGGCGGGCAGATCACCTGAGGTCAGGAGTTCGAGACCAGCCTGGCCAACATGGTGAAACCTCATCTCTACTAAAACTACAAAAATTAGCCAGATGTGGTGGCATGCGCCTGTGGTACCAGCTACTTGGGAGGCTGAGGCAGGAGGATCGCTTGAACCTGGAAGGCGGAGGTTGCAGTGAGCTGAGAGTGCACCACTGCACTCCAGCCTGGGCAATAGAGTGAGACTCTGTCTCAAAAATAAGACACCGGCACATACATGTTTATTGCAGCACAATTCACAATTGCAAAAATGTGGAACCAACCTAAGTGCCCATCCACTAATGAGTGGATAAAGAGAATGTGGTATGTCTACACCATGGAATACTACTCAGCCATAAAAAGGAATGACATAATGTCTTTTTGCAGCAACTTGGATGAAGCTGGAGGCCATAATTCTAAGTGAAGTAACTCAGGAGTGGAAAACAAAAACTGCCATGTTCTCACTTATAAGTGGGAGCTAAACTATGAGTACATAAAGGCATACGGTGTGATATAATGGACCTCACAGACTCAGAAGAGGGAGGGTGGGAGGGGGGCTGGGAAAAAAAATATGTATCAGGTACAATGTACACTACCCTGGTGACCCCTGCACTGAAGTCTCAGAATTCACCACTATACAATTCATCCACATAACCAAAAACCGCTTGTACACCAAAAGCTATAAAAGTATATTAATAATAACAACATTAAAAGGACAGCAGCAGTGGCTTGGCATGGGCAGGCCTCATCCCTGGCTAGCCCCTGGGCTCTCCTGCCATTACCTTCCAACCTGCAGAGGGAGGTACCATACTCCCAGCTACAGATGAGGAAATTGAGGTTCTCTTTGCTTTTTGTCACTTGCCAAGTGCTGGAGCTTTGAGGCCCAGAGCTGTGACTTCACAGTGATACTCTGAACCCTGCACTCTAGAGGGCTGGGCTGGCCCTCGGGACCCTTGACTTCCACACCCACGTTTCTTTTATGCAGCCCGGAGCAGGATTGCCACATTGACAAGGTTATTCTTTTTTTTAGCAGGGACAGAGTCTCACTCTGTCACCCAGCCTGGAGTGCTGTGGTCTGATCTTGGCTTACTACAACCTCCTGTGTTCAAGTGATTCTCGTGCCTCAGCCTCTCGAGTAGCTGAGATTACAGGCGTCCCCCATCACGCCTGGCTAATTTTTGTATTTTTAGTAGACACGGAGCTTCGCCATATTGGCCAGGCTGGTCTCAAACTCTTGGCCTTAAATGATCCGCCTGCCTTGGCCTCAAAAAGTGCTGGGATGACAGGCATGAGCCACTGCGCCCTGCCCTCGAGTGAGTTATTCTGACCAGCTCAGGCTCAGCCCTTGGCTGCAGCTGTCCTTGGTGGCTGAGGTTTTATGGGGGTCATCACTGCCCGCCCACCGTGTCGTGTGCTGCCGTTCCCTCCTAGCCTGGCTGTGCTAAATTCCTGGCTTCTAAATCAGGACAGAAGGGTGCGGAGGCACCAGAAAAGGAAAGAGACAGAGACTTGGGGTGAACTCTTACAGTGAAGTTGACACGTGAAGGGATAGTATTTATGTCTCTAAAGAGCAGGGACTGGCCAGACGCGGTGGCTCACACCTGTAATCCCAGAACTTTGGGCGGCCAAGGTGGGAAGATTACTTGAGGCCAGGAGTTCAAGACCAGCCTGGGCAACATAGCCAGACCCCATTTCTTAAAAAAAAAAAAAAATAGCTGAGTGTGGTGGTACATGCCTGCAGTCCCAGCCACTTAGGAGGTTGAGGCAAGAGGATCACTTGAGCCCAGGAGTTCAAGGCTGCAGTGAGCGATGATTGCACCACTGCACTCCAGCCTGAGTGACAGACGTTAGTCTCTTGAAAAAATAAAAATAAAAACAACATAAAGTGCAGGGTCTGCACCCGCCTGAGATTCCCTCCTGCTCATGCACCCATACCATGGCTCTCTGTGACTCAGTAACTGCATGTTGCCTGCCTGCCCCACGCCAGGACAGAATGTCACCCCAGTCCTGCCTAGTGTTTCCCCCACAACTTGTTCCCAATGATCAGGACCCCCCCCCCCCGCCCCCGGGCGCCCAGGTTCACTCCCCAAACCGCCCCTTTGCAAGAGCTCCCTCTGCTGTTCTGTTCCTTGCGCTTTGGGCCCCCAGCTACTTTGTCCACGCCTCCTCTGGGACAGGGTGTGGTTGGATGCTCACACAGTGGCCTTTGCCCACCCCGCTCCGCCTTCTTCGTGTGGAAGCTCAATTTGGAAAGTCATGGTTGGGCCAAGTCGGTCATGACTGTCTCTTTCCCTCCTGCTTGAGACTGGCTGGGGCAGGGGCTTGTGCCAGTTCTGCCAGTGAGACATTAGAGGGAGCCTATGGGGGCTTCTGTGAGGGATTGTCTTTTCTGAAAAGAAAGAAGTGGCCAAAAAGAAGATGCTTCCCTTGCTTCTGGCATGAGTACCGACTGCAGATGTGATGGTTGGAGTGGGGCAGCCACACTGTGATCATGAGGGAGTGACATCAACATTCTGTTAGGGGTGGAGTAGACAGCTGGGTGGCCCTGGGTCACTGATGAGAGTAGTGAGCCACCAGCCAAGCCCGGGGCTGCTCATGTCTTTCATGTCATCATTATCACCACACTTTAGATGCCTTTGTGTTCTAAGCTACTCTTCATAGGGTTTTCTGTCATTGCAGGCCAACCTGTTCCTAACTGATACAGCCGTTGAGGCGTGGTTACTCATCTTTGCCCTTAACTCATTCCTCAGCAGATGGGGGGGCTCATGCCAGCCCCCCCACCCTTCACAGGTGGAAGCAGCTCATGGGTGCTTTCTGCCTGACTGGCAGTGCCTTCCTGCCCATCTGTTTTGGGTCTGTGAACACTCCCGGGACTGGCCGCTGCCTTTTCTTCTCTGAGCCTGCCCACAGTGGGCCTTCAGTACATCTCAGGGACCTCGCCTTAGCCCTGCCATGGCCAGAGTCTCTCGCCATCAAAAGCCTGTGGATTCGCTTCGGCCCAAGCGCTGCTTCCAGACTTCAGAGGCCTCCCCAGCCTCTTCTGTGGGAAGCCTGTGTTCCTTCTCAGCAGAGCTCCTGGGCTATCAGTCCTGGCCTTTTCGTGCCTCCAGGTGCTGGGCTGTGGATTTCTTGTCAGCTCTGTCTCTCCAGTGGCAGCCGTGGGAGCCACGTGATGGAGGAGGGAGTGTGGGAGATGAGTTTCAGGGGCAGCATGGAAGGGACGCGGTGGGCTTTCTGCACATTCTGAAAAGGCCTCTGGTGTGCCCAGGGGGAGTAAAGTCTCTTAAGGCCCAGAGGAAGGAGATGTCCCCAGGGCTTCCCCTGTGAATGGGGATTGTCTGTGTGGTCACATGAGTGTGACTGTTGATGCCATGCCGAGGGAGGGAAAGGCAGGACAGGCGTGGGGAGGTGGTGAAGGCAGGACAAGAACAAATGTCCTGGAAAAGACTCAAGCCGCACTCTCCCTGCCTCCCTCTGATGTGGGTGGCTGCCATGAGTCTCCTGACAGCCACGTGGCGGTGACCAGATATCAGGCATCCACGGCTGGGTTTGGCCACAGCACACGGCTTTCTAGGCAGCCAGAGCCCGGGCGTGCAGTCCAGCTGCATGCTCGCCGGCCGTGGTCTAGTTCCCTCCATGTCCTGAGCCTCTGTTTTGTCGGCTAAAGAGGGGACAGGGGTTGGTACCTTGACAGGGTTACTTCCCTGAGGATTCATTTGGGTACCGTGAGTGGCCCAGCCTGTAGCACACCCTCGACAGATACTGCTTGAATTCATGATTTAATTCAAGATTAAAGCCTTGTTTGGAGTCTGTTTTGGAGTCTCACAGTGTCATCCAGGATTCTTGTTGGAAGCTCACCTAAATCCACATTGTTGCAGCTGCAGGGCTCTCCCTTTAGCCAGATGGTAGGAACCCTCTACCGGGGACAGAAAACCCAATTCAAAGTGGTGCAGACAACCGAAGCAGGAGGAATGATTTATGCAACTAAAAAATCTAAGGGCAGCTGGCATCAGGCAAGGCTGCATCTGGGTGTTCAGTGATGTCACCTGGACTTTCCTTTCCCAACCCCTCCCTGGCTCTACTTCCTTCCCTCAGTGTGAGTGTCATGCTCAGGTGGACTGGTTCCCTTCAAAAGTGATGAGGCGGCACCCACAGCCCCAGCCACCCAACAGAAATGGACCTTCTCTCCCTGCCACTACCAGCCCTTGCCCTGACCCTCACCACCTGATTGGTCACATGCCCAGACCTTAGCCAATCACTGTGGCCATGGAGGTTGGCTCTGCTGATTGGTCAGGCCGAGGTCATGTGGCCACTGTCTCCAGGGGCATTTGGAGCTGCTCCCCTGTTTGGGTGGGAGATGGCGTGATGGCTGAGAGAGCAGGTTCAGGGCCAAGGCTCTGCGTCCTCTGTGCATCACTTCCTGGATGTGCATACTTTTGTCCTCCTCACATACCCGCTGGCTTCTGTGTAACAGAATCCATGGTGGCATTTTTCCCTCTCTGACCACCTCCTCCCCAGGCCCCATTTCACCCATCCCAGAAAGGAGCGGGACTTCTGTCTGAAGCTAAGATTTGGGGTCCCCACCACCCCCAGCTTCGAGGCCTGCTCCTTCTCCTGGTGCCATCAGTTACTCAGTCAACAAGCATGCACTGAGTGCCCTCCATGTGCCAGCCTGTCATTAGGTGTGATCCAGGGAGGAGCAAGGCTGATGGGATTCCTGTCCTCCAGGAGCTGACACTCTAGAGGGAGTGCACAGACACATCGAAGACCAATTCGGATCAGATGAGTCCAGATGAAGAAAGAGACGGGATGGGGTGGAGGGCATCCATGGAGGTGTGGAAGGTGGACAGAGAAGGGCCCTGTGAAGAGGTGACATTTGCAAAGAGAACAGGAGGAAATGAAGGACCATGTGGCACACAGGGGAACAGTGTCCCAGGCAGGGGCAGCTGGTGCACATCTCCTGAGGTGGGAGCCAGCCTGGGGTTCCTAGAGGAGTAGGCAATAGCCGGATGGTAAACAGTTCGGGCTTTGTGGGCCATGCAGCCTTTGCCACAACTACTCAGCTCTGTCATTGTTTAAAAACAGCCCTTGACTGCAAGTAAATGAATGGGCCTGGATGTGCTGCAATAACAATGGACACTGGAGTTACACAGAACTTTGACTTGTGATGAAATGGTGTTCTGTTGACGTTTTCAACCATTTAAAAATGTAAAAACCCTTCTTAGCTCAAGGGCCCTGCAAAAGTGGGCAGCAAACCCTATGTGGCCTACAGGCTGTAGTTTGTAGATCTCTGTCCTTGGAGGATCGGAAAGCAGGCTGGTGAGGGAGCTGGGCAGCAGGGAGGAAGGCAGCCAGAGGTGGGTCAGAGAGATCAGTGGGGCTGGGAAGCCATCTCCACCTGTGCGGGATCCAACATCCTTGGGGAAATCACCTGTCTGGAGTTTCAGAGCTGATGATTATTCTGGGCAGTGGGCATGGCCTGGGGTGGCTTCCAAAGGAAAGGGGCTGTGTCTGAGCATGCATCTGGGGCTGCTGCTTCCACACCCACCCTGACTCTCCTGTGCAGCCTGCAGGGAAGCCCTTCCCCTCTCTGGGCTTCTGCTGTGTCATCAGCAAAGTGAGGCCCTGGGGTAAATGCACTCCCGCAGCCCGCTGCGCTCTGACATACTGTAGCATGGTCTTAGAATGCGTTTCTTCAGCCATAGAGCTGCGCTTCAGCACCACGGACAGAACCACAAGGCACCCATGGAGGGGATGACCTGAGCTGAATCCAGGATCACACAACTGTGCGTCTCAAACCTTTCCTCTTCGTGGCTGACAAGGTCACTCAGACAGGGGAGGATCTGGGCCCTTCTATGGCTACATGAACCCCAGGCTATAAGTTCCTGTGTGGTTGCCTGATGCTGCTGCTGCTGCCGAAAATCTCCTTTGGGGTGTTTGTGCATCCTGGCTCTCCCAGCTCTGACAGTCAAGTTTGGGCCTCTGAACGAGAAGCCACAGGGAGAGGAGGAGAAGATGAAGTGACGGTTCCATGGAGCCCATCCATCATCCACCTCCCTGTCCTTCCCCTTTCCTCTCCGTCTTTCTCTAACCTCTTTCTTTGTCGCACCTGAAATTGGCAGCATTTCCCAGGAAGAACACAGACCCCTGATATGTAGGTCGAGGAGGGGAGGGGTCCCTCTGAGGGATACCCAGTGAGGAGGCTTTCTTTTTCTTCTGGGTGAGTCCAGTTTCTCCTCACTTGAGCATTTGGGGACATGAATGAATTCCCCTGGTCACCTGCCAGTCATTTGTCAGTCCACTCATCAGCTCCCTGCCTCATTTATCCGTCTTCTCCCTCCCTTACTTAGCTCATGCTTTTTTGCTTTCTATTTTAAGCAAGAAGGGAGGTTTATTAGGAGAACCCAGGGAACACAAGAACAGACACAGACTGGGCACTCTGGACTCCCCGGGAGACGGCCCCATGGCTGGCAAGCTGCTGGCATGCGGCTGCTGCATTCCTCTTGCCATCCTGGGCCGCACATCTCTCATCTGCTACCCTGTGCACATCGAGGCTGCCTCTTGTCTTTAAATCCATCCATGCTTTTCCGTTTCCATTGCTCTGATCCTAGTCTTAAAGTTGTGTCCTTCATTTTTTCATGGAAAACCAAATTGGCTTCCTCATTTTTCTCCCCAAGTCCACTCACTCCTGCCCAGTTTCAATCTGTTGTTCTCCTCACTAGGACCAGAGTGATTGGTAAGGCATGGAAAACATAGTCAGCGGATTTTCCGTGCTCGTAGGAAATAAACATCAAACTCTTGACCATGGAGTGAGCGGGATTACTGCGTGCCCTCAGTGCCCTTCGTCGTGGTGCCCTCCCTGTCAGAGGGTCCGGCAGCCCTGCCCCTTGTTGCCTTCAGGCAAGGCAGAGGGTTGGCTGGTGACAAGTGAGAGGGGCACAGGCGCACACTATGACACCAGCGCTGGCAGGACACTCTTCCTTTCCTACTGCTGTGACAAAGGCAGAGGTCCAGTAGAGCCTGCTCTGTCAGCCTAAGTCCAGACCCAGGGGAGGGTGGGATGCGGAACAGAGCCACGGTGGCATGAAGCAGGGGAGACAGCACCCCCAGGCCAGCCCTGCACCCCTGAGGTCAGCCCTGCAACATGGGGCTTATCTGTCACTCAGCATTGCTCCCTGTGCTGGGGCGCGCATGGTCTCTCAGCTCTTGTTTATTGCCCCATCTCTGTCTGGGCACCCCCTGGCCTTTGGTAGCAACACAAGCTGCTCTGTCCCACGTTGATGACTTCTCCATGGGAATCCCTCTTGCTGAGAAGTTCCTTACACCCTCTTGCCCAGTTCATACTCCTCACCAGTGAGATCCCAGCTTACCTGTGAAGTTCTCAGGAAAGGATGGTCTGGCCTATGTTCAGGGAGCCTCAAATTCACTTTCTTTGTCATCATTTGTCTTTCACTAAACTATGATTTCCATGAAGACAGACACCAGGTATGTAGCTCAGGCTTCTTTGAATCCCTGCTCCATTGCCACTATGTGTCAGGTGCCCTGCAAAAAGGAGGAGGTGACAGCGTGAATCTGCCATGAGCCCTGTTCTCACAAACTTGTCCCTTGGTAGGGGACTGAGACATGCAAGCAGCAGAATCTGAACCCACTGTGTGTTGAGCAGGTCATGAGGATAAGGGATGCCAGGCAGAGGGAAGGCAAGGAAGACTGCCTGGAGGAGGGAGTGTCTGAGCGGGTTGGAAGGAGGAATTGGAATCTTCCAGGTGGGGAGCTTGCTGGGGTGAGGTGGGTTGGAGTGGGTGGTTGTAGAGCCAGAAGACAGGCTTGAAAGAGTTGGAGCTCAGGAGCAGCTGGGAGCAGAGTGAGCCTCCAACACCTTTATTCCTGAGAATCTGAGCAATCTTGTTTTTATGTGTTTGCAAGTGCAAAGTGGCCTGTGGTGTTTGCCTCTGGGAATTTGTGCATGGTGAGGATAATGGCAGGGTTCTCCAGGCCCTGCCATACCGCGGGTGTTCATGGCACACTCTAATCTGGCCCACATGGCCCCAGGTGCATTGTAGGCAGATGCTGGGGCTTTGTTTCCAGGAGAAGCATCAGGAGACACCCTTGTTTCCACTCTGCTCATTTGAGACTTGCCTTAAGGTTCTGTCCTTATTTTCTAAGAAACTCACAGTTCTTTCTAGTAACCAAGACTTCTGAGAACAGAGCCCCAGCTGTCATTTAAAATTTTCATAAAACGAATAAAAGGGAAGACAGATGAATCACCGCAAACACCCTGTCACTGGATGTAATGTCTCTCAATATGACCTTATCAAAATAATTGGCAGTAGCAGGATGAGACCTGCAGGTACTACTGTTTAGTGATTAGGGACTGTGGCCCCTCAGGGGTCTTCTGCCTTAGGGAGGGAAGTGTGTCCACCCAGGAGTGTGGTTTCAAGGACCTGATGGAACATGCCGGATCTTCCTAGCCCTTCGGATTCACCAGGCTGTGCCCTACAATGAGTCTTTTTCTGTCTCTTATAGAGAGGAAATTACGGACTCCAAAGGGGATCTTTCTGTTACAAAATAATAAAGCAATGCAAGTGTCAAAATAGGCTGGGCCACAGGCAAGCCAGGGAGGCAGGCCCAGGAGACTCTGCCATGGGAAGGAGGCAGTGATGCTGGAGAATCACTTAGCCCACGAGGCCCTTGAGTTTCTCGTTGTTAAAATGGCTAGCGAAGTGCTGTCCTCTGCCTACTTCACTGGCTGGGGCAAATGGAATCAGCTGAGGGTGCTTGGGAAAGCCATTTATTCCATGGGACCCTTGTTGTCACTCCTGATGCTACTATCATTCCCATGCTGGTTGTGAGGCAGACACTGAGGGCTCCCGGAACTGTGGGGGCAGAGCCTCAGAGCCTGGCCCCAGCCCAGCAGGCCAGTCTCCATCAGAAAGCTGAGCTCTGTGCCATGAACATCTGGAGGGGGCAGTTGCTTCCTACCAGAAAGGAAGGTATCTGGGGCAGGGGCAACAAGGAAGGTTCTTCCCAGCTGGGACCAGGAGGGGAAGCTCACAAGCAGAGGGGGCACACAGCAAAGGCAGGAAAGGAGGCCTGACTGCAAAGGGAGTGGAAGGAATACAGTCAGTTCTGCCTGCCCAGCAGAAACGGGGCCTTCCTGGGGGTGACCAGCTGCACAAGGTCATGGTGGCACAATAGGGCCATTTCCTGTGGTGCCCCTGAACTAGAGGATGATCATGGGCCCCTCCCTGGCCTCTGTGTTAGTCAAGCTATTTCCAAGTACAGCGAAGCTGCCGGGAGCCTGGCAGCATAGGACTACCAGGAGCCTACTCACCCACCTGGTGGGAGTAGGACAGCCTGGACAGATAGTGGGTGGGCAGCAAGGAGCTGGGCCGGCTTCAGGTGACGGGAGGCTGCAGGGGTGGGTGTTGCAGAAGCTGAGGCTCCACATGGGGCATCAGGGTCTCTGGCCCAGGTGGGGTTCCAAGGCCAGCCGCTCCTCTCGGGAGGCACCGAGACACCTAGGGCCTGCTTGCCAGGCTTCCAATCCCCCAGGTCCGAAGTGGAGGGACTCTCCACTCGGTAAGTAGGTTCATTTAGAGTGCCTTGTCTCGTCGATCGCTGGGAGCCTCCAGTGGCAAGCCGAGGACTCCAAAGCTGCCTGTGTACTTGTGAGAGAGAGTGCTGTGCCCATCAGCCGGGGCGTGAGGAAGACAAGACTTGTGGGAGGAGTGCCAGCCATTTGTCATCCCCAGTATGATCCCCTCTCATTTTGCATATGGAGAAACAGGCTCAGAGGGAGGAGTGCCCTCATCTGGGTTCAGGTCTCTGCCTGCGTCTCTGGCCACTGCACAGCCCTCTGGCTTCCAACTGTGACACATTGTTAGAACAGCTGCGAGTGACAGAATTCACACATACTGGGTCTGTCTAGTGGTCAGATACCGTGATCCTCCTCTTTTTTTCTTTGCAGATATCTTCAGATATTTAATGTGTTCTGCATATTATATATGTGCATTTTATTATTATTATTATTTTTAGAGATGGGTCTCACCATGTTGCCAGGCTGGAGCGCAGTGGCTGTTCACAGGTATGATCATAGCTGACTGCAGGCTTCAACTCCTGCGCTCAAGCGATCCTCCCACCTCAGCCTCCTGAGTAGCTGGGACCACAGGCACAGGCCACTGTGCCCCTTCTTTGTGCATTTCAAAGGATAATAAAATAATGATTATCTGTGAGCCTACCATTTAACTCCAGAAGGGGAACATTCCCAATGATTTGCACCCGTGTGTTTGCGACTTCTTCTACCCCAGAGATCACCATAACCTGGAATCTTGTGTTTGTCATTCTGTTGCTCACAGGTTACTGCAGATGTTGAGATGATATAGTGTTTCATTTGTTGATGAGTTTTATGGAAATGGTGTACCATACGCAGCCTTCTAAGATTGGCATTTTCCACCTAACATTGTATTGTTTCTAAGCTTTATCCATGCTATTGTGTGCAGCCATAGTTTATTTTCGCTGATGTGAAAATAAATTGTGTCAATATTCTACAGTTTATTTTTGCATTCTCCTGTCAGGGCGTGTTTGGGTCATTCCATTTATTTTCTATTATTAACAATGCTGCTGTGAGATTTTCTCATATCTGCTTTGTGTGTTGGCTAAGAGTGGACCTGCCGGATTACAGGTATGTGAGTGGTCAACCTAACAAGAAAATGACAAAATGATTTTCTTTTGAGATAGGGTCTCACTCTGTGGCCCAGGCTGGAGTGCAGCGGCAGGATCATGGCTCACTGCAGCCTCAAACTCCTGGGCTAAAGCGATCCTCCTGCCTCAGCCTCCCGAATACAGGGACCACAGGCATGTGCCACTATGTCCAGCTGATTTTTCATTTTATTTAGAGACAGGGGTCTCACTATGTTGCCCAGGCTGGTCTTGAACTCCTGGCACCAAGTGTTCCTCCTACTTTGGCCTCCCAGAGTGCTGGGATTACAGACATGAGCCACCGCACCCGGCCCCAGAATGATTTTTAAAGTGGTCCTTCCAGCTTACACTCTCATTGCCAGTACTTCCGTATTCCACCCGATCTACATGCAGTCAAACCCTGGGTCCTGTGAGATGTCTCATTTTTGTCCGTCTGGTGGGGTCACCCACATCTCTTTAAGATCCTGCTTGGCATTTCTCTGCTGCCTCGGGAGGTGGCGCATCCTTGCCTAGGTCATTTGCTGTCCCTGTTTCCTCCTCTCGGAAATGCCCGATTAGCCTTTGTAATCTGCTTCTCCTTTTCTGTGGACACATGCGAGCTCTGTCTGTATCCTGGATCCGCCTCCTTTGTAGGTCTCGCTTATTCCAGGTGTCTCCTTGCTGGGTGTGGTTTGTCTTTTACATTCTTCCTCGTGTCTGGTAAATAGGAATGCTCATTTCACTGTAGTCAGATCTACCAGTTGTTTAATGCTTGGCGAGCTTTTTGTTTCTCGTTTAAGGGATCATTCCCGGCCCCAATTTGGAAAGATAGTTCCCTGTGTTTTCTTCTAGAGGTTTTAAGGTTTTCCCGTTCACTTGTGGGTCCTCAGTGTCTGAGCCGGCTGGGGTGTGGTGTGAGTCGGGTGACCTTCATTTCCCACGTGGACACGCAGTTGTCCTTGCATCAGTCTCAGCCGGAGAAGCCTTTGTGAAATCCTCAGTCCCAAGGCCCTCACGTTGTTGGCTTGAAAGCGCCCTCAGCCAAGTTTCTATTCTGTGTCTTCTCCCTCCCCTGCTTTTTCCATGGCACTCACTGGAGTGCATGTCCCGCAGGCGGCCCTGTGGGGCCTCCCATGGCCAGGACATGCAAGCTTGGAGGAGGGCTGGGTCTGCACCGCCCAGCAGGGTAGTCCTCACTGTCCCACGCAGCAGAGTCCCGCACGAGGGTCTAACTGGGAGTCCTGGGGCAGGGCCTGCGCTTCTCCTCTCATGTCCACGATGCTAGGCACGGGGTCTGCGCACAGGAGGATGAGTGGAGACCTGGCTCCTGGGGCTGGCAGCAGAGGAATAGGGCCCTCGACAGCCTTCCCATCCCCCTCCAGTGGCTCTGCTGGCTGACCCAGAGGCCCTGTAACCCGTTCCTCCTAAAGGCCTGAGGAGCATGTGCTGCAGCTGCTCTCATTCCCTGGCTCGTCCCCTCCAGTGTCCTGTGCACAGTGAGGCGTCTGTGTCGAAGAGACCCCCTTCTCTCCACCCACTCCGGCTCCTTGCCTGGGAGCCCACTGGAGAGCTCTGGGGCTGCGTCCCGACTCCCTCAAGCCTGGAACTGGGAGAGCCCTGTCTTCATCAGAAAAGGTCCATCCCTGTCCCAGGGGCACCAGAGCTGGGGCCTTTGATGGCAGCCCAGCCCATGTCACCTCCTGGGCCCTGGCCTCACCCCTGACCCCAGGCCTTTGCCCAGAGGAGAGGTGGCCGCCCCTCCCTGGCCCGTGTAGCAGTAGCAGGCACTGGCTCCAGCCTTCTGGCATCTTGCCTAGTCCAGCCCCATCTAGCTCCCAGGCTCCACTCCTGAGCCCCACCCATAGGGCCAGTGTGGCCTGAGGTCCCAGGACAATCCCTTTAGACCATGACTGTGGCTCAGTCCCTTACCCTGTGACAGTAATGGCTGTGACAAGGACAACCTCCTTGAACTGTGCTTATGAGGCCCCAGGCACAGGTTTGAGCACCCCAAGGAGTCTGCTTAGGCCTATAAGGCAGCCCGCATTCACATGCCCATCCTGCAGATGAGGAAACCGAGGCTCAGAGTGGGGAAGTCATCTGCTCAGCCTCCCTCAGCAGACCCCTGCATGCACGGTGCTTACCACAACACGACGCAGTTCCTTCTGACCCTGACCAGGCCCGAGCTCTGCCTCCTGGGGAATGGTCAGATTCCCCAGTCCTCATGGGGTGATCCCCCTTGCAGAGTGTAGGACAGCTCTGTCCCGAGCCCTGGATTCATGGCAGGCCCGGGCCTGCCTCAGTCTCTCTGACCCCCAGAGGACACCCTCCCAGGTTCTGAGGCTGGACTGGGCCAGCTGTGGGGACTCTTGACTGCTTCAGGGAGGTCTCAGCTCCCAGTTAAAGAATTTTCTCTCTTGCAAGCTGTAGCAGCCCTGAGAACGCCCTGCTGCTGGGCTGGGGCCCTCAGACGTTTTCAGACTACAGGGCTCCTGGGTAGACCCTGCTTCCTGGAAACTCCTGCCTTTCATGCAACACACCTCTAGGGCCACCCAAGTCAAGGTATTGTTGACAAACATCATCACCCGCATGAGGCTAGAAAGCAGTTACGCCAAAGGCCATAGATCTGGGCTCGCGCTGCGGATGCCAAGACATCAGCTTCTGAAAGTGGCTAAAGCACATCATTGCCAACGGTGTTGCTGGCAGTTATTGGGCAGAGACAATGATGGGCTGCTCCAGGACGCCCAGGCTCCTGGTGAGCTGGCTGTGTGCCACAGAGGACCCAAGACTGGCCCTTGTCCTTACCACCCCATGCTCCTTTCACAGTCCTCTCTGGCTCCCACTGTATGGGATCACCAGTGAGCGGAGACTCAGGGTAGGAGGAGTTATTCACTTCTCCTGGAGGTCAAAGGTGGCTGAGAACATGGCCTGTGGGATGCCTCGCCCTGCAGCCCCTGCATATCTGGCCCCCAGCTCCAGCCCTGACGAGGGGCAACTGGCCAGGACCCTAGAGGCCATGCTATCCACACCCTCCATCCCACGTCTCTCTAATGCTATTTGGTGCCCTGGAGGGAGATGAACTCCCTCAGCAAATGGAGGTGTGGTCTTGATACCTTTTTTCTTTCCACTGACCCATTTTCGTATTTGAAAACACAGCCTTCTAATCATACCCAAAACATTTGTTGGAGGTTGCTGTAAGAAAGGCTGGCCTCCTCAGATTGAGAGTCATCATGGGCCCACGGTGGTGAAGGCTAGGTGTCTTCCCGCAGCAAATGCCTACCAACCCCACTGTGTGCAGGCCCGGTGGTGGGGAAGATAGCTCCTTGTCCTATGGAGGTCTCGGAGCTAAGCCAGCAGGCTAAGCGTGCTCCATGCCCCAACCCTCCCTGCCAGCTGGGCCATCAGTGCTGCCCGTTGGGCTGGGCCAAGCAGCATCCCCTTGGGGAGAGAGTTTAAAGCATTTGCAGTTTATAGTTGTCTGTTGTATTTAGAAACCCGAGCATCCCAGAGTCATAAATTACCTTGAACTAGTTTGCTAACCCCCGTGTGACTCGGTGCAACCGCTCTTCAAAGGCGGCCAATTACATAACTGGCTGTGTGCAGCAGTGGCCCTTCAGCAAGGTCAGGGCAGAGCCGGGCCTGGCAAGGGCGCCTGCTGCCCTGGACCTCAGGACCAATGCAGGGAGATGCTGCAGGTTTGTTCAGTTTCTGGTCTGCCTCGCTGACATTTCCGTGGAAACTCACCCCCAGCAAGCAGCAAGGGTTTATGAATTATCCAGGCTGGATTCTTATTCCCAGAGCATGGTGATGGAATCTTTGCCATTTAAAAAGGGCAGAGAGTGTGACCTGGTCCAGCCACTTCTGTAATATCCCTGCTAAGAGAACCAAGAGATCATCCAGCACCTGCTTGCACCCTTCCAGGAATGGGGAGCTCATCACTGCTGGAGACATTCTACACCAACACGAGTTAGGGTCCTCCTGCTTCCACTTCTGTCTTCTGGGACACAGTCTGAATCCAAGAATCGAGACAGCCTGGACAGAGTGAGGGGCAGTGATGGGAATGGCCCCTCTAGCCTTTCCTCCACTGCTCCTGCCCCTCTGGGGCCAACTGGTTAGACATATGGTGTTACCTCTGTGCTTCAGGTTCATTCAGGCCATGTCGATGTTGATGTCAAATTTTAATATGAAACAATCACAAGAGAAATATGTCTCATTTTCTTATCTTTAAACACAGCTTCAACCCCCTCCCTACTTCCTGTACTCAGCAGAGAGGTGATCTGTGCATTCGGGGGTTGTGGTGGGGGAGATACAAGTGCAAAGGAAGTCTCCGCTTGTAACATGGGATTGAGCTCAGGATGCCCTGTGTTTCCTAAAGTTTCCTGGTGAAACAAAATCCGTTCAGTATTCAAAATCAGGCTTCAAACAGAATGGGGTACCTGAAACATCCACATGGACAAGATGCATGGAACAAGTTTTCAACACCCTGGACATCAGACAATGAATCCCTGAGAGGTAGGAAATGAACAAGGTGATCTGGACAATTTGCCCAGCATCTGCCTTAGGGGAGTGTTCAGGTCACAGCTCAGAGAGAGGGAAGCCAGGCAAGGCCCAGAGAACTCTGAGTTGAGGAGCTGCTGCTCAAAGTCTGGGAACACTAAGGCAGCTGGAGTTGCCTTGAAACAAGCCTGGGAGAGGATACACTGCACAGAGCTCGAGGACTCTGCACACTGCCTCTGAGTATTCAGCTGAGTACTGCCCAGCTCGTGAGCGTGAGAAAACTACCAGAGGCTGGGGATCTTTTGGGCTGACTATCCAAAAGAAATCAGAGAGAACTCAGTGCCTGGCCCTCAAAAGTAGAGGGAAAAGTGCTTATTGTCACCAGCCAGAATGGAAAACCTCACGATTCATAAAGTGTTGGTTAAAGCATTCTCAAAGTCTTGCCCTAGCAGTGGAAACAATTAGCTCTAAACTGCTTGGGACCCACCTAACAAGCTTAAAAACAAGCCGCTAAGGATCAGATAGTTTCCATGCAATTTCACTGCATCTCATGACAAAGCTCAAAAAGATTTAGAGGAATACAAAAATATCTAGCAAGGTAGAACGTACAGTGTCTGGCATCCAGTGAACAGTTTTCAGAAATGAAAAGAAGCAAGAAAATATTACCCACATAAAGAGAAAAATTGATTAATCAAAACTGACTCAAAACAGACACTGATGCTAGAATTAGCAGAAAAGCCCACTAATATAGCAATTATAACTATATTCCATGCCCAAATCAAAATTATAGAGATTAAAACTACAATGGGACCATTATAGATATTTAAACAATCTAAAAGAAGGCAGAAAAAGAGCAAAAATGGAACCAAAAAGCCAATGGGACAGAAAGAATAGAAATAGGTTTAAACCTTGGCTGGCTGCAGTGCACACCTATAATCCTTGCACTTTGTGGGGCTGATGCAGGCGGATCACCTGAGGTCAGGAGTTCGAGACCAGCCTGGCCAACATGATGAAACCATGTCTCTACTAAAAATACAAAAGTTAGCCACATGTGGTGACACACACCTGTGATCCCAGCTACTTGGGAGGCTGAGGCACAAGAATAGCTTGAACCTAGGAGCTACAGGTTGCGGTGAGCTGAGATCGTGCCACTGCACTCCAGTCTGGGTGACAAAGTGAGGCTCAGTATCAAAAAAAAAAAAAAAAAAAAAAAAAAGACATAGATTTAAACCTAAACATTTCAATAACCACATTAAGTACAAATTGTCTACCCCTATTAAAAGGCAGTGACCTTTAGGTTAGATTTTTTTTTTAAGTAAGAACCACTTTTTAAATATAAAGTACAAGTAGGTTTAAAAAAATGGGAAAATATGCCATGTTAACACTAATGAAAAGAAAATTGGAATGGCTATATTAATATCAAAGTAGGTTTCAGAAATATTTGGAATATTTAGAATGTTACTAGGAATAAAGAAGGTCACTCCATAATCAAGGGGTCAATTTATAAAAATAAAAATTGCAGTCCTAAAGTTAGAACACACTCAAAATACATGAAGGCAAAATTGACAGGACAGCAAAGAGAAATAGACAAATACAAAATTATGGTTTGAGATTTCACCTTCCCTCCCTCCTTCCTTCCTTCCTTCCTTCCTTCCTTTCCTTCCTTCCTTCCCTTCCGTTCCTTCCTTCCCTCCTTCTTTTCTTTCTCTCTCTCTTTCTTTCCTTCTTTCCCTCCTTCCTTCCTTTATTGCTTATTTTTCTTTTTTTTTTTTGACACATGGTCTCATTCTGTCATCTAAGCTGGAAGCAATTCTCAGTCTCAAGCAATCCTCCCACCTCAGCCTCCAGCATAGCTGGGACTACAGGCATGTGCCACCATGCCTGCCTAATTTTTGTATTATTATTAGTATTATTATTTTTTGTAGAGATAGGGTTTCGCCATGTTCCCCAGGCTGATTTCAAACTCCTGGGCTCAAGTGATCCACCTGCCTCAGCCTCCCAAAGTGTTGGGATTACAGGCGTGAGCCAGTAATCCCAGCCAGTGCCCCTCTTTCACTACATGACAGGACAAGTAGCCTTGATGTATGGATAGGATATAGAAGACTTTAGCAACACTGTCAACCAACTTAACCTGATTAACACTCTACCTAACAAGAGCAACATACATTCTTCTCCAGTGCACCTGGAAAGTTTACCAAGATATGCCAAATTCTATATGATAAATCTCAATATATTTAAAAGGATTCAAGTCACACAAAGTATGTGCACTGACCACAATGGAATTAAAAGAGAAATATTTGGAAAATAAACAATACATTTCTTTCTTTCTTTCTTTTTTTTTTTTTTTTTTTTTGACAGAGTCTCGTTCTGTCGCCCAGGCTGCAGTGCAGTGGCACAATCTCGGTTCACTGCAACTTCTGCCTCCTGGGCTCAAGCGATTCTCCTATCTTAGCCTTCCGAGTAGCTGGGAGTACAGGCGCGCGCCACCACACCTGGCTAATTTTTGTATTTTTAGTAGAGGCGGGGTTTCACCATGAGGGCCAGGCTGTTCTCGAACTCCTGACCTCATAATCCTCCCGCCTCGGCCTCCCAAAGTGCTGTGATTATAGGCGTGAGCCACTGCACCCAGCCAAACAATACATTTCTAAATAACCCTTTGGTCCAAGAAGAAATCAAAAGAAAGTCTTCTGAAGTGAATGATAATTAAAAAAACAGTATATAAAAATTCATAAGGTGTGGCCAGGCGCGGTGGCTCACGCCTGTAATCCCAGCACTTTGGGAGGCCAAGGCAGGTGGATCATGAGGTCAGGAGATCGAGACCATCCAGGCTAACACGGTGAAACCCTGTCTCTACTAAAAACACAAAAAAACTAGCCGGGCGTGGTGTTGGGCACCTGTAGTCCCAGCTACTCGGGAGGCTGAGGCAGGAGAATGGCATGAATCCGGGAGGCGGAGCTTGCAATGAGCTGAGATGGCGTCACTGCACTCCAGCCTGGGCAACAGAACAAGACTCTGTCTCAAAAAAAAAAAAAAAAAAAATTCATAAGATGTTACTAAAGCAGTACATAGGAGAAAACAGAGCACTAAATGCCAATATTAGAAAAGAAAAAAGATCTCAGATCAATGAACCTAGATTTCACCTTAAAAACTGTTTTGTTTTGTTTTTAAGAACAAATTAAACCCAAAGGACGAAGAAAAATATCAGTGTGGAAATTAATGAAATGAAAAACAGAAAAACCATACCGACGATCAATGAAACCAAACCTGATTCTTTGAGAAGACCAGTGAAAGTAATAACTCTGTGGTCAGACCGATCCAGAAGAAAACGAGAAAAGACACAAATTACCAATACCAGGAATGAGAACAGTGACACTGCTACAGATTCTGCAGGTAACTGAAGCATAATAATGGAGTATTATGAACAACTTTATGCCAATAAACAACAACAACAAAAACTTAGAGGAAATATACAAACTTCTTGAAAGACACAAACTAACAAATCTCAATAGTAAATAGATAGCCTAAATAGCTTTATATCAAACAAATTGAAATTGTAGTTAAAATTTTTACAATGAAAACTCCAGGCTTCAGTGGTTTTACTGGTGAACTCCATCAAACATTTAAAGAATAAATAATACCAATTCTACACAAACTCTTCCAGAAAATTGAAAAGGAGAGAATATTTCCCAACTCATTCTATGATGTCTGCTTTATCCGAATACCAAAATTGGACAAAGCTAGAACAAGAAAATAAAACTGCAGACTTGAATTCCTCATTAACCTAGATGTAACATTTCTTTTTTTTTTTTTTTTTTTTTGAGACAGAGTCTTGCTCTGTCACCCGGGCTGGAGTGCAGTGGTGCAATCTCGGCTCACTGCAACCTCCGCCTCCCAGGTTCAAGCGATTCTCCTGCCTCAGCCTCTTGAGTAGCTGGGATTACAGGTGCCCGCCACCACGCCCGGCTCTTTTTTGTTGTTGTTGTTGGTATTTTTAGTAGAGATGAGGTTTCACCATGTTAGCCAGGATGGTCTCGATCTCCTGACCTCGTGATCCGCCCGCCTCGGCCTCCCAAAGTGCTGGGATTACAGGCGTGAGCCACTGTGCCCGGCTAGATGTAACATTTCTAAGCAAAATATTTGCATATCTAATCCATCAATGTATAAAAAAATTACACTGCAACTAAGTGGGATTTATTCCAGACATGCAAGGCTAGTTCAGTATTTAAAATTAATGTAACCCACTTTCTCAGCAGGCTAAAGGAGACATCATATGATTCATTATATCTATGACAGAGGAAAATTTAATGCCCATGCATGATTAAGAAAACTCTCAGGAAAAAAAATTGGAATAAAGGGGAACTTCCTCAACTTTATAAAGGACATCTACAAAAAACCTACTGATAGCATCATTAGTATATTAAAGATGACAGACTGAACACTTTCTCCCAAAGACTGGGAACAAGGCAAGAATGTCTCTCCCTACTGTGATTCAACATATCATTGGAACTTCTAGACAGAGCGGTAAGTCAAGAAAGGCAACAAAAGTCATACAGATTGGAAAGGAAGAAATAAAACTGTCCCTATTTTCAATAACACAATTATCTACAATGAAAATCCCAAGGAATCTATAAATAATGATTACCAGAAAAAAATGAATGAATTCAGCAAAATAGCAGGATTTGTGATCAGCACACACACACAGAATCAACGCATTTCTGTATAAGAACAGCAAAAATTTAGAAATCAAAATTTAAAACACATACCATTTATAATTGTTTCAAAGAAAATTAGATTCTTCTGCATAAATCTAACAAAACATGTACAGAATCTGTATACTGAAAACATATGGGATTTGTATATGTAAACATGCAGATGAAAGAAAGAAAAGATGATATAACCAAATGGAAAGACATACCATGTTCGTGGATCGGAAAACTCAATATGGTAAAGATGTCATTTCTCCCCGAGTTGATCTTTAGGCTTAATGCAGTTCCTATCAGAATCCAAGCAAGGAGTTTTGTCTTTGATTTTGTCTCTCTAGACATACATAAGCTTATTACAAGATGTATCCAGAAAGGCAAACGACCTAGAATAGCTTAAAACAATTTAAAAAAAAGAAAAATAAATAGGAGGACTCACTCTACCTGATGTTAAGACTTAATATATAGCTACAATAATCAAGACAGTATGATATTGGCAGAGGGACAGATACATGAATCAATGGAATAGAGAACTCTGGTTTTTTTTTTTTTGTTTGTTTGTTTTTTTGTTGTTGTTGTTGAGACAGAGTTTTGCTCTTGTTGCTTAGGCTGGAGTGCAATGGTGCCATCTCGGCTCACTGCAACCTCTGCCCCCAGGGTTCAAGCGATTCTCCTGCCTCAGCCTCCCAAGTAGCTGGGATTACAGGCGCCTGCCACCACACCTGGCTAATTTTTTTTATTTTTAGTAGAGGCGGGGTTTCACCATGTTGGCCAGGCTGGTCTCGAACTCCAGACCTCAGGTGATCCACCTGCCTCGGCCTCCCAAAATGCTGGGATTACAGGCGTGAGCCACCGCCCCCAGCCGAGAACTCTGAAATAGACTTACACGTATAAGCCAAAGTGACTTTTAACAAAGATGCAAAAGCAATTTAATGGAGGAAAAATAACCTTTCAAACAATGATTCTGAAGCAATTTAGATATCCATAGGCCAAAAAAGTGAACCTCATACCTTATATAAAATTTAACTCAAAATGGATCATGGACTTAAAACTATAAAACTTTTAGGAAAAAAATAGAAAATCTTTAGGACCTAGGGCTAGGCAAAAAGGTCTTAAACTTAATACCAAGAGCATGATCTATAAAAGCAAAATGTTAGACTTCATAAAAATTGAAAACTTTTGCCCTGCAAAATACTGTTAAGGGGATGATACTCAGCATCATTGCATATTAAAGAAGTGCAAATTAAAACCAAAGTGGCATACTACTACATGCTGATTAGGATGGCTAAAATGAAAATGGCTGACCATAAAGTTCTTGTGAAAATGTGGAGAAATGGAAACTTTCATCATCTGCTGGTGGGAATGTGAAATGGTATAAACACCTTGGAAAACAGTTTAACAGTTTCTTAAAAGGTTAAATACACACCTACTATATGATTGAGCCATTGCACTCCTAGATGTTTACCTGAGACAGATGAAAGCATATGTCCACACAGAAAACTTGCACACAAACATACTTAGCAGTGTAATTCAAGATAGCCAACAGGTGAAAGTGACCAGATACCCCTCAAAGGGCTAAAGGATAAGCGAGGGGTAGGACATCCGTACAGTGGAATGCTACTTGGCAAGAGAAAGAAATGAACTTTGATATGCGCAGCAACTTTGATGGATCAAAAGTAATCATAACCAAGTGAAAGAAGCCAGATTACAAATGCACACCATATGATCCCGTTTATAAACAAGTCTAGAAATGCAAACTAATCCTTCTAGAGGCAAGAGGGAAGGATTACAAAGAGGCATGAGAGAATGTTTGAGGGCATGGATATGTTCCATCATGAGTGTGTTTCACATGTGCAAATATATGCTAAAGCTTATTAAATTGTACACTTTTAATATGTCCAGAGTATTGTGTGTCAATTTTACCTTGATAAAGCTGTTAAAAACAACAACAACAACAACAAAACCAGCTTCAGGACACAAATGAAAGTTTCCCTTTAATATTGAGAACACCAAATCTCATTTTTAATTAAGACTCATGCAGTGCAGGAGGCATCTTTTTCCTCTGGTAGTCCCAGTGAGAAAATTATCATCACCATTCCCAGGTGGCCAGGTCCCTTTTAGCAGGACCGCACTGGGAGGGGAACACCGGGCAGCCCATGGCCCTCAGCTGGCTTCGGCTCCTCCTTGTCCCGTTGTTTTTCCTGGCCAGGGCATAGGGTGGCAGAGGTGTCTGGAGTCTACATTCCTTCTGTAACAAGTGCCAGCATGAGTAGGGCCCTTATCCCCCACAAGCGGAATCCCAGTATGGTGGATGATGCTGTTATCTCATTGCACAGATGGGGAAATGAAACTAAGACCCAGAGGGCTGTCCAGGGACAAGGACACAGCTTCTAAGAGATTTGTACGGGATTCACCCTGGGCTGTGCAGCTCCAGAGTCCTTGTTCTCAAGCGCCACACTGCACTGCCAGCTCTGGCGGGCTGGTTCCCGCACCTCCAGCACTGCCCAAGCCCTGTCCTGCCACCACCGCCTGCTCCGGGACAGACCGTGAAGGAGGGAATGCCTACTCATTAGATGACTGTGATTTAAGCAACAAGGCAGAGAAAATGACCTGGGAGCAATGACAGAGAGCAGCTGGAGGGCCTCACCTGGTGGAGGTGGGGGTGGGAGGTCAGGGAAGGTTTCTCTGTGAAGGTGATGATTAAAAGGACACCTGAGGGTACGTAGACAGCCACAAAAAGAGCTGAGAAGGCACATTCCAGGCAAAGGGACTAGCAGGAGCAAAGGCCCCTAGCTGGGGGTTTGCTTGGCATGTTTAAGGATGTGGAAGACAGATGATGTTATAAGGATTCAGTAGGCAAGGGTGAGGGGTGGCAGAAACCATGCTGTAGAGTTACCCAGGGGCAGTGGGGAGCTGCGCACTGCTGCAGGCAGAAGGGTGGTGCTGTCTGAATTTTGCGTTAAAAGGTCCCTCTGGCTGCTGTGTGGACTGGAGAAGGAGGATGGAGATCCCTTAGGAGGCCTCCCTGATGCCCTGGCCAAACATGACGGTGGCCAGGCCAGGATGGTGGCACGGAGGTGGTGAGGGCGGGTGGATATGGATCGGGGACCTACCCTCACCATAATGCTGAACGACTGCTGGCAGGTGCTGTGTGGGGCTGAAGGCAGCCACTGGGAGGAGGGCATGGCCCATGACTGAGCCAGGACAGTCTGGGGGGGATCCAGGAGCTCCCATGGGACGTTTGCCCAAGAGCATCGCTGGTCTTGGGTCTGATGGGCGGGGCCCCCGAGCCAAGTACACCACGAATAATGACAGTCCCGCCAGTGCCCTTTCTTGAGCTCTTAACATGTGGCAGCCTTGCCTAGCCACCACAGCATGGATGTCTCTTCAATTTGCACTTTGCAATCCAGTGTGTGTGGAAGGGGGCAGTGCCATTAACATCCCCACATCACGGATGAACAGCTACTCTCGGTCTCTGTTTTCTGTTATCAAAGGAAGGGCTCCAAGCTCTACAGTCACTCATAGAGATCCATGGACCGCCTTGCAGAGCAGAGCCTCAGCAATCACTGGATGTGATCTTCCTTAGAGATGAAGAAACTGAGGCTGGGGAGTAGAGAGTGACTTCCCATGGTTAACATTCTAGAGTCCTCGAATTCTCTACTTTGGAGGCATAAGCAATGTTGGTGAGCTCGGTGGGGGCCCTCGTGAGCCCTAGGAAGCTGGGTCCCCCCAGCCATTACCATTTCCTAAAGCAGCCAAGGTGCAGGTGAAGGTGACTTGGGTCCTGATGCTCTGCAGTCACTGCCACTCCCCCAGCCCCTGGAAGCTGTCTGCACTCACAGCCAGTTGCAGACGAACCCGTATACCCTGATGGAAGTCTTTTCTGTGGAACGAAGCAGTTGCTAGCTCAGGGTGCAGGCCCACACCATGCCTGCCGGTTATGACAGCAGAAGGTCAGGTTGAGTTGGCAGCATCCCTTGGCCGCTGTTGTTCTCAAAGCTGTCATACCCAATGCAGAAATGAACAGGTGTGGCTGCGTTCCAATAAAACTTTATTTACAAAAGCAAGCCGCAGGCTAGATTTGGCTCGAGAGCCATGGTTTGCAGACCCCTGATCCACATATGCTAAATCCTGTCATAACCTAGAGTCTGTAATCAGTCTCGCCAGGCTCAGCTGAGCAGTGACAGGAGGCTGCAGGTCAGCGCAGGGCTCTGGGTTGGGCGGGAGCACAGCCAGGCTTCCATCCTTCCTTTCCCACCTTGCAGTGTGTTCCTGAGCAACCTGCTTCACCTCTCTGGGCCTCACTTTCCATAAGAAGGCTCAATCAAGGGGTGCAAACTCAGGGGTCTGCAGAGGACGCTTGGCCTTGTACCTGACAAAGGCTGGCTGGTGGCACTTGGGTACCTAAAGTTTCAGCCAATCATTTCCAGGGGCAATGCTGGCCAAATTTTCCAAAATGGCGAAGTCACAAGGCCACATTTGGACTTGGAGACCAAAGGAGGCCCTCCACATACACATGTAAGACCTCCCAGTCGTATGCCCACTGGCCCAGGCCAGCCTCCCCTGTAGCCACAGGCCACCGTCCCCATGGGAACCGGAAAGACCTGACTCCGCCAGCACCAGCCTTCAGTGGGGCTGTTAATGTCTTTTTATTAGAAGATGTCAGAGACAGGCTTTCCCACAGACATCATTTACAGGTTTGAAATAAATTATGAAGGGGCACAAATATTAGAAATGAATTCCCTCCCCTGGACTGGACACCTGTGTTCATTACTGCCTGGTAATAACCTTCAAAGGCCTTCCGTGTTGAGCCAAGTATCTCAAAACCAACCGGTGCAAAGCCTTCTTGGCTGGATTTTATCTTAATCATTTGCTCAGCGGGTGTATTATTTGACATGTAATTGTCTTCCTCGGGGAAATTAATTTTCAGGGCTTTGAACAGTCTTCATTAAAATAGAGAGAGCCATAAATTCCAGCTCTGCCCTGGGCCTGTGGCACTCAGCACACCTCATGCAGGGAGGGCGCAGAAAGACACTCCTGGGGGCAGGGCCGGGTCACCAGCCTGTGTCCTGGGAGCGTGACCAAGGCTCTTCCTCCATTAGATTGATGTGGAAGTAGCCCCTGCAGTGGCAGGGTACAGGGACGCTGCCTCCCCCTCGAGGGTCTGGAATCCTGGGTGTGTGATGGGGAGATGTGGATTTGAATCCTGGCATATCCAGTAATCACACTGTGTGACCCTGGCAAGCTTCATCACTCTCTGAGGTTCAGGGTCCTTGGCAGCAAAGTGAAGCCAATAACAGAGACCAGGTGGGATGTGTCCCTTCCCGGGGCCTGTGCCCAGCTCGTTTTGAGTTTTGAGGACATCAGGCAAGGTCTGCAGGACTTGGTGGCATGTGAGCCACACACTGCCCCTACCTCACTCCGTGTGTCTCCTGGGGTGGAGTTTAGCAAGCTCCTCATTCCCCTTCCCTCCTCCCTCCCTCCCTGCCTTCTTCATCCCATACCCCTCACTTCCTCCCTCCCTCTCCCTCCCTGAACAGCCAGAGGGACCTAATAAAACCCAACTGCGTCCATGCCCCTCTTGTGCTCAGCACCTTCCCGTGGCTCCCTCCTCACTCAGTCAAAGACAAAGTCCTCAAGGGGCACTCGGGGCCCTGGCCACCTGCCCTGCCACTTCTCAACTCTTCCTGGACTCGCTCCCTGTCCCGGGCCTTTGCAGGGGCTGTGCTCTCCGCCCATCTGGCACATTCTTCCCTGAACACTCACGTGGCTCCGTTACCTTTTGCAGGTCTTTATACGGGTGTTTTCATCTCAGGGAGGCTTTCCCTGCCCAGCTGGTTTCCAGGTTTACACTCGGGCCCGGCCCCTTCGGGGGTGGGCATTGCTCTTCACAGGGTGCATGGTGTCTGATGGGTTTGGCTTATTATTGCCTCCTTCACTGGAAGGTGAGCTCCCTACAGGCAGGCTGAGCCAGGGCCAGTGCTGTCAGCTCCTGCCTGCGCCTGGCCGACCTGAACTATTTCAGATCCAGCATTGTGTTGACTTTTAATCTGGATGAAGGTCCCCATTCAGCCTCCCACTGCCGTGGCCGTCCCCGAGCCCAGGGGGCAGTTCCGTAGGACGGTGCTCTGGTGTGCCCCTGGCTCCCAAGGCGGCCTAGTCTGTCCCCTCAGTGCTCAGACCCCAGCCCACTGCCCCATCCTGGGGGCCGCCCTGTTGCTCCAGCGACCATGGAGCGCCTCCTTGCTGTGGTCCTGGAACTGACCTGCCCCATTCTCTCTGCTCTCTTTTGCACCTCACAGTCAGTGGCCAGGCTACCACTCTGTCCCCCCAGCGCTGGCCTTGGTCCTGGCTGCCCGAGGCATTGGCAGATGCCTTCTCAGAACACATCAATTACGGGTGCATGACTACTCAGGGCCACCATTCCAGGTGCAGAGAGCACCTTCTCCCCCACAGGCCACAGGGATGGTCCCTGTGATGCTCAAACTCCATGCCGAGCACAGGGGCATTTGGTCACATCATTCATTCATTCATCCACTCACTCAGCAGATAACCACCGAGCCGCTGTTCTGTGCCCAGCCCTGCCCTGGTGGGACTGGCCTCACCCCTCCCAGCCGTGGGTTCCTCACTTGGGAAATGAGAATGACATTGGCTTCTTCAGGTAGCTGGGAGGAGGAGGTGAGACAGATGTAACACAGGGCGTGACAAACTTTTTCTGTAAAGGGCCAGACGGTAACTATTTAGGCTTTGTGGGCCATGGGGTCCTGTCGTAACTACTCAGCTCTGACGATGACTCAGGCAGAGGTGCAGGCATGGCTGCAAAGTCCTGCTCACAAAAGCAGGCAGCTTCGTGGAGCGTGTGGGCAGGTACAGCATAGGGCAGCGACTGTGATAGTCAGGGCCGAGGACGATGCCGACCATGCTGGCCTCCTCCAGGATAGGGAGCTGCTGAAGACTTGTGGTCAAGGGGTTGCAGGGTGCTGCTGGGGCAATAGTCAGGAGGTGACATTTAAATGGAACTGCCTCCTGTTTAAATGTGTAAACGCCATTGAATCTGGGATTCCCCGAGGCCATATTTAATCCCTAATGCAGCAGGCTGAGTTCTCTGAGAGAGGAGTGCGAGGACTTAATTCATGACTAAGTTCTGCCAGGAAGCCTGGCACAGGTGACCGGTTTGGCCCTCTGTCCCCTGCCCCTCTCTGTCATGGTGAAGGATGCCTAGGCTGTGCCTCTGAGGGTACCGGTGTGCAGGTGGGAGCCAAGCAGGCCTGGCGTCCTGCCTCTCTACCTGGCCAGCCCGTCGTTGCTCGGCCCTCCTCCCTTGGTGCACCAGATCACTTTGCTCATTGCTCTATTCAGTCCCATCTCAGATTGCATTGTAAGTTTCCTTAATTAAATATTTAGATCCTCCCTCTAGACTGTGAGCAGCTCCTCCTCGGGGAAGAGGAAGAATTAACACTAATCGAGTGTGTACCACGTGCAGGCCTTAGGGAGGAGTACACGGAGCCCAGAGAGGTTACTTTCCTGACTGAGGGCACACAGCTTGCGGGCAGCAGAGCAGGAATGGGACCTTTCCTCCATCCTTGCCCTACTTGGCCCGTGTCTCCCTTCTGGGAGAGAGCAGAGGTGAAGAGCTCAGGCTTTGAAGTCCTGGACCGAGTGTGCCCCCTCCTACCAAGCCTCAGTTCCTCATTTGTAAACTGGGGGCAATGACAGTCACCACCTTACTGAGTGGTGCTGAGGAGCCAGAGAAGTAAGGAGGGTGAGGATGTGAGAGGGACAGAGTCTTTGTCCTGTCCCTGGGGGTCGGAAGGTCATTGCTGCTGCAGACTGCGTTCTGGCTCTGTGCAGCCTCCTCCCCGGGAGGGAGCCGCTGGCAGCAAGCCATGTGCATTCAGCTCCCCAGGTGTCCCTGTGCCAGGTGAGTGCCTTCTAAGGAACATGTCTTGGAGGCCAAAAACTGCTTTCTAAGCCTGCCCAGGCGAGCAGAGAGCTCTCTCTGGGTCCCTGTGGCCCACCTCCAGCGTTGGCCACCTTCGAAGTAGAGCTACAGAGAACTGCAGAGATTGCCCAGGGCTGAGTGAGGCAGAGTGTGGACGGCCTTCCATTCTCACCGAGAGGGCTGTCAGAAATGCCATTCTGCCCTGGAGAAAATAGAGACAGTGCCATGTAACAAAAGCTCCATCTTATCTGGGCTTCCAGATCCACACTCTCCTGCCGCCTATCCTTGGCTTCGGTGTCATCCATCACAATCGTTACATGCATACCTGCTCCTCCTGAAGCTCCCACGTGCAGCCAGGCTGCCTTAGACGACACTGGGGGTCCAGAAACCACGGCCCCCAGGCCACATCCAGCCCACCGTCTGCTTTTTGTGAGTGCATGAAAGATTTCAAGTTTTATTTCCTGAACAGCATCAGTGATCACAGGAAGAAGCCAGGATGTTGTTGGACCCACCTAACCTTACTGTGTAGCTTATTGATACTGCTCCATTAAACTGCAAAGCATGGCTGCAGCATGCAGACGGTATCAGGTCATCTCAGCTCAGTACCATCCAGCATTCATTTCCTCCAGCCAGCTCCCCTTGCTCATTCCTTCATCATCAAACTTTCTTTAAACAAATTCAGTTTTTAAATTGTTGTTGGCAGAAGCAGATTTACAACTGAAGAAGCTTCAGCTTTGGGCTCCTCAGATCCTTGAGGCCCTTTTAATGACAGAGTTGGAGAGACAATTTCCTAACAGTGTGTTCACATGGGCATATGCTTTTTAAATTCTTATTATTTAAGAATAATAATATTCTTAAATATTATTCCAGCACTTTGGGAGACCAAGGCGGCCTCCTTATTCTCTTATTGCTTTGTTTTTTAAATTGTTGCAAAACATATCTAACATAAAATTTGCCATTTTCACCATTTTTTTTTTTTGAGACAGAGTCTTGCTCTGTTGCCAGGCTGGAGTGCAGTGGCACGATCTCGACTCACTGCAACCTTTGCCTCCCAGGTTCAAGCAATTCTCCTCTGCCTCAGCTTCCCAAGTAGCTGGGGCTACAGGCGAGTGCCACTATACCCAGCTAATTTTTGTATTTTTAGTAGTGACGGGGTTTCACCATGTTGTCCAGGATGATCTTGATCTCTTGACCTGGTGACCCACCACCTTGGCCTCCCGAAGTGCTGAGATTACAGGCATGAGCCACCGCCCCCAGCCCATTTTAACCATTTTTAGGTGTCATGACGTTAAGTACGTTCGCAGTGTTTTGCAGCCAACACCACCATCCATCTCCAGAACTCGTTCTTTTTTTGCAGCTGAAACTGTCTCCATTAAACAATAACTTTCTATTCCCTCCTCCCCAGCCTTTGGCAAGCACCATTCTACTTCAGGTCTCTGAATTTGACAGCGCCAGGGACCCCATATAAATGAAATCATTCAGTATTTGTTCTTTTGTGACTGGCTGATTCCACTTAGCACAATGTCCTCAAGGTCATCCGTGTAGTAGCCTGGGTCAGAAATCCCTTCCTTTTAAGGCTAAATAATACTCTGTTGTATATATGGACGAAATTTGTCTATCCGTTCACCCATCAATGGTCACTTTGGCTGTTTTCACCATTTGGCAACTGTAAATAATGCTGTTATGAACATGTGTGTGCAAACATCTGTTCGAGACCCTGCTTTCAGTTCTTTGGGGTCTATACCCAGAAGTAGAATTGCTAAATCAGATGATAATTCTGTGTTTGATTTTTAAATTATATTTAAGTTTTTAAATGGACACATAATAACTGTACATATTCATGGATTACATCATGATGTTTGGATATATATAATTCCTGGTGATCAGACCAGGGTGGTTAGCACAGCCATCATCTCATCGGTCATTTCTTTGTGTTGGAGACATTCAATAGCCTCCTTCTCGCTATTTGAAACTATACGTTATGATTAACTGTAGCAAACACTACCTACAGCCACCATACTTACTGTATTCCACAGTGGCTGCAGCATTTTACACTCCCACCAGCAGTGCACAGGGGGCCCGGTTTCTCTGATAAGGATACTAGATCCTTATCAGATATGTGATTTGCAAATACCTCACCGATACTTATGTGTTGTTTGTTAGTTTTTGAGACAGCGTCTCACTCTGTCAGCTAGGCTGGAGTGCAGTGGTGTGATCTTGGCTCACTGCAACCTCTGCCTCCCGGGTTCAAGTGATTCTCCTGCCTCAGCCTCCTGAGTACCTGGGACTACAGGTGCACTCTACCACGCCCGGCTAATTTTTGTATTTTCAGTAGAGATGGGGTTTCACCATATTGGCCAGGCTGGTCTCGAACTCCTGTCCTTGTGATCCACCTGCCTTGGCCTCTCAGAGTGCTGGGATTATAGGCATCAGCCACTGCACCCAGCCGTGGCTTTTTTTTTTTTTTTTTTTTTTTTTTTTTTGAGACGGAGTCTTGCTCTGTCACCAGGCTGGAGTGCAGTGGCGTGATCTCGGCTCACTGCAACCTCTGCCTCCCGGGTTCATGCGATTCCCCTGCCTCAGGCTCCCTGGTAGCACGCCACCACGCCCGGTTAATTTTTCGTATTTTTAGTAGAGACGGGGTTTCACCATGTTGGCCAGGATGATCTCGATCTCCTGACCTCGTGATCCGCCCGCCTCCGCCTCCCAAAGTGCTGGGATTACAGTCGTGAGCCACTGCATCTGGCCGTTTTTTTTTTTTTTCTAATGACCTGTTAGGTGGTATCTCATTGTGGTTTTGATTTGCTTTCTCTGATGACTGGTGATGTTGAACATCATCTCATGTGCCTATGGGCCATTTGTGTATCTTTTTTGTAGAAAGGTCTATTCATGATTTAATCGAGTTGCTTATCTTTTGGTTGTTGAGTTGTGACACTTCTTTATATCCTCTGGATACTAGATCCTTATCAGATATGTGATTTGCAAATATTTCCCATTCTTGGAATTGTCTTTCCACTTTTCTTCATAGTGTTCTTTAAATCACAAAAGTTTTTAGTTTTGATGAAGCCCAATTTATCCATTTTTTCATTTGTCGCCTATGCCTGTGGTGCCATCTAAGAAATCATTGCCAAATCCGATGTCATGAGGATTTACCACTGTGTTTTCTTCTGTGGGTTTTATTGTCCTAGCTCTTACACTTAGGTCTTTGGCCCATTGGGAGTCAGTTTTTTTGTTTGTTTATTTGTTTTTGTTTTTGTTTTTTTGAGACAGGACCTCACTCTGTTGCCACTACCACCTGGCTAATTTTTGTATTTTTAGTAGAGACGGTTTCACCATGTTGGCCAGGCTGGTCTTGAACTCCTGATCTCAAACGATCCACCCACCTTGGCCTCCCGAAGTGCTGAGATTACAGGCGTGAGGCACTGCGCCCGGCCGGGAGTCAGCTTTTGTGTATAGTGTCATGGAAGGGTCCAGCTTCATTCTTTTGCATCTTTTGCATGTGGATGTGCAGTTATCACAGCACCATTTGGTGAAGAGACTGTCCTTTCCCCATTGTATGTTCTTGGCACCCTGCTGAAAATCATTTGACTGTATATGCGAGGGTTTATTTCTGGGCTCTCTATTCTAGTCTGTCTGTTTTGGTAAGTTGGGTTTTATTAAAACACAGCCACACCCATTCATTTATATATTGTCTGTGGCTGCTTTCTAGAGAGAATGGGCAGAGTCAGAGTAGTTGTGACAGAGAACATCAGGATCGCAAAGCCAGAAACACCATCTGGCCCCCACATATAGCTCCTACCTGCACGGCCCCATCGGCTGCCCCTGGGCCCTGAGTTTCCCGCAGCCAGCACCTGGCCTGGCACACAGGCACCTAGTCAGCACTGGAGTGACTGCCCTCAGGGAGCTGGGAGGACTTCCACGCGCCTCTGCCTGGCTCACCCTCCAGGGATAAAGTAGCAACAAGGTTAAAGTCCTATGGGACCCTTCTTCATTGCCTGAGGGATCCTAAGGGACCCTTCTTTCCTGCTGATTTGGCTGAAGGAAAAACTGAGGGGGCGTAATTGCAGGGAATTGGTTAAACTTTCATAGCATTCTGGGGGCTCCCTGATGCTTCCGATGCTAACCTTTTGGTTGCTGGAGAATGGGAAGGTGGGGAGCAGGTCCAGGCAGGTAGCCATGCAGTGGGAGGGGTCCACTGGGGGCTCAGGGCCAAAGGAGAGAGTGTTTTTCTGTTCAAGGGTAGATATGGAGTAGGCATCTGCCCTCAGTAACAGTGCCTAGCTCGCCTGTGAAATGGGCTAGCGTGCATTCAGCGCCCGGAGAGGGTCTGGTGAGTGCCCACTTCAGGCGCCCAGCCTTGGGCCTGCCAGGGCCAGAGACAAGTGACAGGGGCCAGAACGTTCTGACAGCCTGAGCCCAGGTGCCAGTGTGTGCCCCTCTCGAGTGACTCTGCAGTGAGACAACGTATTCTTGTTCCTGCTCTACTAGTGAGGAAATAGGGCAAGAGGTGGGAAGACTCATCCATGGCCACCATGGTAAAGTGCAAGGCTAAATCAGGGGGCTCATGCAGACCAGCAGCACCAGGACTTTGCTAAGAGGGCCAGGCTGAGGGAATGGGGACAGGAACACCTGTCAAGAGACATCATGGGGGCCCAGACCCCAGAGGGACACAGCAACTCAGTACCACTTCTGGCCAGGCCCTCATCCTGAAACTGAGCTCCTCAGAGCACCTGGCCAGGCAGGACGCCCCAGAGTGAGAGGGGAGAGGACTTGGCTAGAGGAACGGGGGAGGGAAGCGGGGGAAATGAGCTCCAGATGGGGGAAAGGGATGCATTAAATCAGGCCAGGACCAGGTAGGGAAGAGCCAGACTCCCTGGGCGTTACATTGCTCACTCAGCCATGGCGCTCCTCAGCTCACAACCCATCTGTGGCTCCCTGTGGCCGCTAGAAGGAAATCCACATTCCATGGCTCTACATTCAAGGCCGCACCTGAGCTTCCAGCCCCCACAGCCCCCCTGCCCGGCACCTCCAGGGCCTCCCCACACTGCCCAGCCTGGGGCTTCCTGCTTGTCCTGCCTCACTCACCCACGCAGGCTGCTCAGCCTCTCCTGAACCGTGCATGGGCCCTACCGGCTCCCGCACTGGCTGAAATGCCACCTCCTCTCCAAATCTTCACAGTGCTTGGCTCTTCTCTTTGGCACCCGTCACCCATCGTCCTTCCAAGGTCACATATTTGTAATTCTTTTTTTTTTTTTTTTTTGAGACGATGTCTCACTCTGTCACCCAGGCTGGAGTGCAGTGACGTGATCTTGGTCCACTGCGACCTCCACTTTCTGTGTTCAAGTGATTCTCCTGCCTCAGCCTCCTGAGTAGCTGGGATTACGGGCACCCACCACCATGCCAGGCTAATTTTTTGTATTTTTAGTAGAGACAGGGTTTCACCATGTTGCCCAGGCCGATATTGAACTCCTGGCCTCAGGTGATCCACCTGCCTCTGCCTCCCAAATTGTTGGGATTACAGGCATGAGCCACTGCACCTGGCATATATTTTTTTATTTTAAAAAATGTCAGACCCAGGGAAAATTTGAAATAACAACACAATAAATACCTATACAGACTTTTCCTGGGTCCCCCACCTGTTAACATCTTCTGTGGCCAGTCCTTCTCTCCCTGTGGGAACATTCACCTGTGTCCCCCTTTTGCCCACCTGCAGGCCATGAGTGCCGTGACACCCCACCTGTAATTCTTGGGCATATATCCCCTGAGAACAGGGACACTGTCCTAGAGAGCCACACCCGAGAAAAACACCACCAATTCTGTATCCCCACCCGCATCCTGCAGGTGTAATCAGCAGCACATGCGTGGGTTCTCCTTCAGACTCATTCAAGCCAAAATGAGGCTGAAGTCACTTCTGGCCCAGCCTGGCCCCTCAGCACAGGTGTCTGCTGTCATGTCTGGAGCATTTCCTTCCAGAATCTTCTGTGCATTTGCATCAACAGTGTGTGCACACGCTAAGCCTACTGTATCCCATGTAAGCTTTCTTTTCTCGTGAACAGAGTCTCATCGTATGTGGAGACTTCTGCAGTTGGCTCTGTGCTCCCAGCACGTTTTGACATGAGTCATTTGGTGACCTGCAACTTAGCAAAGGCACTGTAGCACATTTTAGCCAGTCCGCCATGGATGGCCATCGGGGTGCTTCCACTGTTTCGCTTTCACCAACAGCTAGGCACACGTGTGAACAGTTCCGTGTTGTAGCCACCAAGACGGGATGGCCTGGCCAGAGTGCGGGCACACTCCTGTCGTTTGAGTAGCCCCTGCCATGCGGCCCACGCTGGGGGCTGCCCTGGTGACCGTTCTCGACAGTGTAGGAGGCTCTTGGCCCCTCACACCATCACCACTGCCTCACATTCCCACCGCCGCATGCACTTCTCCTCCCCTCCCAGAGGGTGGAGGCCTCGTCTTCTCTCCGCGCCCCACCTCCCTATGCCCAGGGCAGTGCCCACCCCAGGAAACAGTCCTGAGGGGCGGCAGGTGCAGGCTTCTTGCTGTGTGCCAAGCTCTCCTCTAGGTGCTGCACTGCTGCAACTTCCCTCATCTTCACACAGCACCCTGGGTGGGCAAGCGTCATCCCCACTTCACAGATGCACAGGCTGAGGCCCAGAGAGGTCAAGGGGCTGGCCAATATCACACAGCAGTAAGGGGTGAGCAGATTGGCCTCAGGGCCTATGTGTTTACCTGCTGCCTCTTCCATATTGAACCCACCCTGGTCCCCAGCTTCAGCATCAATCAGCCCTTCCTGACTAGCACTTTTTTTTGCCTCCCCCAGACCAAGGCAAAGGGGCAGCCGACCAAGATTCACATCCCTCTCTCTGCTTCCCCCAAGCTGTGTGACCTCAGCTGATTACTTGCCCTCTCTGGGCTTCTGTCTCCTCACTGTAAGGCAGCTAGTGGCAGCCCACACCTGCCACACCAGGCATGCAGCAGGAGCCTGGAAAGAGCAGCAGCTCCCAGAGCAGCTCTAGGCGTGTCTGCTTGCGACCCGGTGACTGATGCTCACAGTGAGTTTATGATGCGCCAGCCGCTTTTTAATCACAGCAGAATGAAATTTGGCACATTCAGAACTGATTCATGTGACAGCATTGTCTCATGTCTCACCAGGCTCTCCCTGGCCTGGCCTCAGTGACGACGTGAACCTCAGTGGTGGCTTCCACTCGTGGGAGCCTCCAGAGTCATTCAGGCTTCCTCCTCCGTGTGTCACCTGGGCCCTGTGGTCAGGCCTGTGTGGCCAGGTCAGGGGAGGGGCATAGGGGCAGGTGGGCCTGCTCGCCCCCGTACCCAAAGCTGCAGGCCAGCAGGCAGCTCCCTGGCCCTGCAGCCCACACTCTGCTGCGGGACCACCTGGCCCACTGTCTGTGCGAGGCTCCTGCCGCATCCACCATGGCAGGTGCTCAGAGGTGCCTGGGGGCCAGCACGCAGTGCCCTCCCTGGGAAGCCCTCCCTGACCACCCTAGACAGACTGTCCTCTTCCTGGCTCTCAGGGCTGGGCAGAGCTTTTTCCGGACGTCTCTTTGTTGATTGGTTGTCAGTCCCTCTCACTGAGAGTGAGCGCCACCTCCCATGCAGCACTGCACATGTGCCGGGGACTCTTCCGGACTGTTGGCAGGTGTTACCAGTCTTGCCTCCCTTTTCAGAGGGAGAGGTCGGGGAATTGCCCAAGGTCACCCAGCTGGTTTGGCTGGGCTGGCTAGTGACCTCCGCGCTTGCTGCCCTGTCCACTGCAGAGCTCCAGCATGGGAGTCCTTCCAGGCACCTGCCGTGGTGAATGTTGAACTTAGAGCAGGGGCCAGGAGGAAGCCGCTAACTCCCTCTGTGTGTTTGCATTAGGGTTACAGATGTCAGGAATGGCTCCAGGGGAGGTGACAGTTCAGGTGCCTTGGAGGCTGAGTAGGAGTCCAGCTGGGAGATGGAAGGCAGGGCAGCCCACCAGGGGAACAGCGTGTGCAAAGCGGGCAAGTGCAGGGAACAGCAATGAGGGTGCAGGGGCTGGGGCAAGGAGAGGAGATGGGAGGGCTGTCCAGGGCAATGGCAGGGGATGCTGTAGAAAACAAAATCACCCAGTGTATTAGTCTGCTGGGAGTCCTATAATAATCTACTGGAGACTTGTGGGGGCTTAAACTACGGGAATATATTTCTCAGTTCTGGAGGCTGAAAGTCCAAGATCAAGGTCAGGTTGCTGGTGGATTGGGTTCCTGGCGAGTGCCTTTTTCCTGGTTCACAGACGGCTGCCTTCTCGCTGTGTCCTCACATGGCAGAGAGAGGGAAGTTTGATGCCTCTTTTTCTTCTTATGAGGACACTGATATCATCATGGGGACTCTACTCCCATGACCTCATCTCAGCGTAATCACCTCCCAAAGGCCCCACCCCCAAATACTGTCACATTGGGGGTTAGGGCTTCAGCATATGAATTCTAAAGGAACACAAACATTCAGTCCCTAACACTCAGCTCTCAATTAGAAGGAGTTTAGCCCAGGGGTCAGGTGCTTACCCGCAGTGGGAAGTTTGCAGGTACAGACTCTTGGAGGGCCTCCAGGAACAATCCCAGAATAGCCCTGCAGAACTGGCCTGGCCAGCGAGCTGCAGCCTCGGCCCCATCAGGAAGGTGGGGTCAGGAGGCTGTCAGTCTAAGGATGAGAAAGCCACCAGCAGCCCCTCACCACCCACGAGGCTGCCAAGGTAGCAGAGCAGTAGCCTCACCTCACTTAGGCATTACAGCTCTCTCTAATGAGAAGCAGGAAGGAGCCAAGCTAGTGGGGTGTGGTGAGCCCTGGGCACACTGGGGAGGTGGGCTGAGGATCAGAAAACGTAAGTCAGGACAGAACTCTCCTCCCAGACTCAGCTGTATGGTACCTGGGAAATGCAGTGTTTTGCTCTCCAGCCTCTGCAGGGCAGGAGCTGTGCTGGGGCAGTGGGCATGAGCACTCTCTGGCGCACTTTGCTGGGTGGCAGGGGCCCTGGCCGTTCCTCTTAGTTTCTCACCCACTTTCTGAACTCTCATCTTCATGCTCCTCCAACCACCCTGTTTTTTCTTATGGGGGTGACAGCTGGTGCGGTAATTCCCCCCAGGCATCGTCATTGTTTACTGCTGAGCTGGCTGTCTGTTTCCTGGGTAAGCTCTTTAAGACAGGGTTCATTTACTTCGGCCCTTTAATTGGTGTCCCGACTCACCCAGTGTAAATCTCCACACCCGTGACAGGAAGTGCAGAGCATAAATCTCAGGCGGCTGAGGCTGGGGAAGCTGGCTCTTGCAGATGCTCAGCAGCCTGGAAAGCCCCTGTGTCCCCAAGGTAGCAGGCAGGGCTTTTGTGTTCAAGAAGGCCAGAGTGAGATGTCAGGCTCAGGTGGTAAGGGGTGTGGTGGGTGTGCAGAATCAGGCCTGTGGAAGACAGAGTCAGGACAGTTTGGTTGAAACGAAGTCTCGCTCTGTTGCCAGGCTGGAGTGCAATGGCGCGATCTCGGCTCGCTGCAACCTCGGCCTCCCGGGTTCAAACGATTCTCCTGCCTCAGCCTCCCAAGTAGTTGGGATTACAGGCATGCACCACCACGCCTAGCTAATCTTTGTATTTTTAGTAGAGACGGGATTTCACCATGTTGGCTAAGGTGGTCTCGATCTCCTGACCTCGTGATCCTCCCGCCTTGGCCTCCCAAAGTGCTGGGATTTCAGGTGTGAGCCACCGCGCCCGGCCGGGTTTCTTTAACTACAAAATGTTTCAGGCCTACGGAAAATAAAAATGATAGCCTAATACTGCTATAACACCTCCTATATGCCCGGCACCATTCTAAGCACTTCATAAACAAAAACGAATTTAATCCAGCCGGGTACCGTGGCTCACGCCTGTAATCCCAGCACTTTGGGGGGCCAAGGCAGGCAGATTGCCTGAGGTCAGGAGTTCGAGACCAGCCTGGCCAACATGGGAAACCTTCTCTCTACTAAAAATACAAAAACTAGCCGGGTGTGGTGGTGCCCATCTGTAATCTCAGCTACTGGGGAGGCTGAGGCAGGAGAATCGCTTGAACCTGGGAGGTGGAGGTTACAGTGAGCCGAGATCACGCCACTGCACTCAAGCCTGAGCGACAGCTAGACTCCGTCTCAAAAAAAAAAAAAAAAAAGAATTTATCCCTTGTAACAGCCTGTATTAGGCCATTCTTGCACCGCTATAAAGAAATTCCTGAGACTGGGTAATTTATTTAAAAAAAAAAAAAGGTTTAATCAGCTCATGGTTCTGCAGGCTATACGGGAAGCATGGTGGCATCTGCTCAGCTTCTAGGGAGGCCTCAGGGAGCTTCCACTCATGGTGGAAGGTGAAGGAAGAGAAAGGGCAGGGGAGGAGAGGGGAGCAGGAGAGAGAGAGGAGGGTCACACACCTCTAAATGACCGGATCTTGCCAGAACTCACTATCAGGAAGACAGCATCAAGCATGAGGGATCCACCCGTATGACCCAAACACCACCCAGCAGGCCCCACCTCCAGCATTGGGGATGACATTTCAACATGAGATTTGGGTGGGGACAAATATCACAGCCTCTGGGGGCAGGTGCAGTTTCTTTAAGCAGTTTTGGACCCGGGGAGTGGCAGAGCTTGGATATGAGCTCAGGTTACCTGATCGAGGGCTCTGTCTATCCACACACTCACCACCCAGATTGGCTGGTATTTGTATTTCACCTTATTTCCTTCATCTCTCTTCTTTTAAGAAAGAAAAAGAAGAAGAAAAAAGAGTGGTGGGAGAATGGGAGGGAGGAGGGGGGCCTCGGCTGCTCATAGCTTCCCCACCCTCCCCCAGGTGGACCGTCCTTATGTCACAGCCTCCACCTTCACCATGCAGCATTGCGCATGCCAGTCCCTCGGTAATGCCTGTACACCACCCCGCGATTCCCCAGTGAGAGTCATTCTGCCCACGCTCTGGCCATCCCCTTCCATGTTGGTGGTTGGAGGCCACTGGAGCTGCCTCTGGGAGCTGTTTGGACGCATGCATCCATGGCCAGGCCCCAGGACGCATTGACCATGTGATGCCTGAACTTGTAGAGGCCACACTGTCTCTGACTGATGTCCTGTCCACTGTTTACCGCATTTGCCTTCAAGACGTTTCACTCGGGGGCCATGACCTGCAGGTCCCCCTACCCCATCTCCAGCAGAGGGGCTGTGTGATCCACAGGCTTCTGTTTTATTTGTGAGATTTACACACATTCTCTCAGATGATGCTTATCTGGTTGCGACTTACCCTTTTTGATTCACTGATGTGTTTTTAAGTTTTGTCCATGCTAAGCAGACCCAAATGGCAAACACACAGGAGCAATGAGGTTGCTGCTGGGTTTTCTACCCTGGAGCCACTCAGCTCAGGATTCCAAACTCAGAGGGATGAGTTTGTCCACCCAGGGCCTTGGCTGACTTGCCCACCAAGTCTAGCTCACAATGTAGGGGGGTGTTTCGTCAAAAGGAGAATCTTGGCAAGAGGAAACATGAGTGCTATGTGGCTAAAAAAAAAAATAGAATGTGCATGCCCATTGCCGCTGGTGGAGATACAAATGGGACGTGGTGTCTGGAAGGCAGTGCAGGCGCTTGCACTGAGAGCCCCAAAAATGGCCACATGTTTCCACCCATAATTCTGCTTCTTGAAATGTTCCTGAAGGAAATCCACTAGATAAAAATAAGAAAATGCCTCACCACACTGCTTTATGATCACAAAATGTTAGCAATAACAAAACTTAGGGATTCCATGTCATGATTTATATTACAGCCACATGTGTGGGTATAAGGGCGTTGTTAGAAATTAGGGTTTTAAAAAATGAGGGGAAAGAATGTTTGTGAAATAATGGTCAGTGAACAAAGTGGAAGGCAAAGCTAAAAACTCTATAGCGTGGACATCAATTACGGAAAAACAATCCCCTGGGGAAATTCGCAGAAAGGTAGACTGGTGGGTTCCAGGCGGTGGGGTTATGAGTGATTCTTTTTTTTCCTTTATGCTTTTTTATAATTTTTTTGTTTGCTAGGTGTAAATAGCCATAAGATACGAGTGGCAGCATGCGGGGCTGCTCCCCGGCGCCCTCTGGGCTGGAGTCCGGAGCTCACTCAGGCCATGGCTGGCCAGGCTGGTGTGCAGCAGGCATGAGCTCAGCAAGTGCCCTGGGGAGGGAGCAGGCCGCTGGGCGTTCCGGACATGTATGGCTGGCCTGATTTTGAAGCAAGGACCGCATCACCGTGTCTGTGCCCACTGGGGCTTAACTGGATCATGAGACCCAGCGGCCCAGGGGCGGGATTCTGCTGGTCAATTGAGTGGTCCCCACCAGGGTCTCGGGCCTAGGGAAATGGGGCCCACTGGGAAGAGGTTATAGACCACCATGATGCCAGTAGAAATTATACCTGTTGTTGTATTTTGGGTTCCAACTTGGTGCTGAGCAAAGCCTCTTCTTGGAATGTGTATGATGAAACCAGCCTTGGTTGAAATCTGAAATCTGCCACTTACCAGCTCTGTGGCCTTGGGCAAGTGACTTAACCGCTCTGAGCCTGTTTCTCCATGTGTAATATGGAGATGACACTTGCCAGAACTGGTACTGGAAAGATTAAACATCTCGGAAGCATCTAACACTGCGTGCTGTATAGTAGGCACTTAATTAACTATAGCAACCGCAGGGGGCATGGTCCTGTTGGCAATGGCCGCTGCCTTAACTTGCCTGAATAATTTATAGAGGATCTAGACCTCAAAGCTTGTAAGTAGGAAAGGGCTTTGTTTTTCTCTAGCCTCTGCCCTGACCATCTGTGCATGGGTCTTCTGGTTTCAGGAATACCTCTTGTGCAGATCCTACAGTCTATAGACATCTCTCGGGAGTGGATGGAGGCCCCCAGGTTTCTGTCCCTGGTGGTCACCAGAGCCACTCTGTGCCTTCTCCACATCAAAAAGGACACGGGCCATGAGATACGGCCAGGGTTCTGCCAGCTTTGTGGTGTCTCACAAGTTCACTGTTACTTTTCCTTGGCATTTCATGATGATTTAAGCCATTCTAGAAAACCACCCAAGTCTTTTACTATTTTCATCATTCCCACAAAATCTGCACAGTTGGTTAACTTTAATGGGCCGTGGAGCTGGCATGTGGTGTCTCTTCTCAAACAGTCTTAAAATGATGTATTTTGGATAGAAAAATGTATGTTAACGATTTTAAGGTCATAAACTCCAAAGAGATGATATCTTCCAAAAACAATCGTCCACCCAGGATGTTTGCTCAGTTGCTCACTTTATAAGCATGTTTTGAGTGTGTACTCAGGGTTCAGCCCTGCACTAACCCATGGAGCCGCAGGAGGAGGGCAGTGCCCATTCATTGATTCATGCACTATTTATTATTCATCCACTCAATGTGGATCAGCCTTGTTCTGTGGAGAGGCAGTGCTGCCTAAGGGTTAAGGGCAGGGAGCTCTGACACCAGATGGCCTAAGTTTAAGTCTTCTCTGTCTCCTACTCCTATGTGATTCGGGGCATGTCACTTGGCCTCAGGTTCCCTCATCTGTACAATTTCATGGGCTTGGCCTCAGGATTACATGAGATAAAGAGCTTAGAACCACACCTGACATATAGCAAGTGCTCGGAACAGAGACTCTGATTACCCCAGGTCTCAAGCTGAGTCCCCAAATAAGAAGGGGACTCCAGGGTCCTGGGTCCCAAGGAGCTGCCAAGCAGGCAGTGGCTGAGGCCTGGGGGAGGTAGAGAGTCACAATGGAGTGTGGGCAGTGGGAGCCCAGGAAGGTGCTGGGGAGGGGAGGGGAAACGGGGAGGCTTCCTGGAGAAGTCTAGTTTCATGGGTTGAGCTTTCCCAGGCTGAGATTATGGAAGGCTTCTGGGCAGTAGCTGGATATGGATTCCTCTCTCTGTTCAGAATGCAGAGGAAGCAGGCAGCCTGGGAAGCTGGGGGGCTCTGCTCCACAGAGTCACCCAGGAACCCAGGCTCCCTCTATTGGTGGCTCCACCTCCATCATAGCGCTCCTCTAACCAGGAAGGAACCAGCCCAGGGCTGCCGGATTTTCTCAGCTATGGAGAGAAGACAAAGCCCAGCGTTTCGCCTGAAATCTTCTATTTGCCAGTGCTAGTAGGTGATAACATGATCACATTTAAAAATCATTTTAATTTTAAGCCACATGCTGCAGGCCAGCCATCCCTTAGGGGTGGAGGCTGATTTGCCACCTCCCCACATGGAGAGGGGACAGAGGGTGTGACTCAGATGCTGCACACATCCCCATGGCCAGAATTCAGTCTCATGGCTACTCTTCACGAGGAGGGAGGCTGGGAAATGCAGTCTTTCACTGGTCAGTCATGGGCCCTGCTGAGGCTAGAGGAGGGAGAATGGCTCTAGGGGGACTCTTAGATGCCCGTGATACAGAGAGGAGGGGATGGAGGGGCAGTGGAGGGAAGGAGAGTGTGTGTGTGTGCATGGAGGCTGTTGATTTTGTTAACTGGGTAATATTTTAAAATGCAACTGCCAGCTTCCACGTGTTTTTCAGGATTCACCATGCCCCTGATTTTTCTTGGTTTTCTCAAAGCCAGAGGTTCTGTCCCTGCCGGCAGGGGTGGGACTGGTGGGAGCGGGTGGCTGTCCCTGAGCGGCATCTGTCTGCTGGCCATCCCAGAGGACAGCGGGAGAACCCTGGGATGTGTGGCCAGGACCCTGGACTCCAGGCCTCGCTCTGCCCCTGGCTGTGGAGGCCTGGTCAGGAGACCAGATGGGTGTGAAGTAGAGAGTGGTAGAGTCCCCTGGAGGGGAGGGGATCAGGGCCCACTTCCTAGAGGAACAGTGCTGTTCTGAGTAGAGGGTGTTGGAGACACAGAAGTGTTGTCCCGTGTAGAGGTTCCTTGTGGGCTCAAAGGGGCCAGACCATGAAAGACCTTGAATGCCGAGCCAGAGAGTTCACACTGCACAGGGCAGAAGTCACAAACTAGCAGCCGACAGACTGCCCCTGGCCTGCAGCATGTGTTTTAAAAGTAAAATGACTTTTTAAATGTGATCATGTAATCAACTACTAGCATTGGCAAACCGGAAGATTTCAGGTTAAACACTGGGCTTCGTCTTCTCTCCACAGCTGAGAAAATCTAGCAGCCCTGGGCTGGTTCCTTCCTGGTTAGAAGAGAGCCATGATCTTCATCCTGGTCCTGCCGCAGCACACGCTGCTTGTTTCACCCCCCGACCAACCCCTGCAGACCTGGCTCCTACAGCCCCTCACATGGGTCAGGGGCCAGGCAGGACCTAGTTGGTTGTTGGGTTAGCGTCCGCTAGTGGCCGGAGTGAGGGGTGAAGAGGAAGGGGCCATGATGGGCCCTGCACCTGGGGTCCCGTGAGAGCAGCTGAGTCCGGAGCCAGGGCCACCGGAGGGGGAGAGGTGGGGGAGGGAGACTTGGAGATGAAACTGCTAAGATGTGGCCCCAGCGTGCACAGGGGAAAGAGGATGGCACCCAGGTGGTCCCTGTTCCGAGTGCTGGGTCAGCGGTGGAAATCTACTTGCCTGGCTGGAAAGCTGCAAGAGTCCGCAGAATAACAACATCATGGCTGTGAATGTATTTTTGTATAGACTACAGAGAGCCCAGAAATGTAAGGGATGGGTGAAAAGGAAGATGGAAGTGGAATTAGAGGGTCCCTAATGTTGGCCCCAGCAGTGTACTCACTGGGAGGCTTGTCACCCCAGGGTCACCCAGGGGACTCACCCCATCTCTTCCCTTCATTTCCAGATGAAATACTCTAGATTTGCCCCAACAGACTGGTCAACTAGGTTGTTTTGGGAAGCAGGGAGTGCAGAAGTCACCATTTATTCACTCAGCAAACATGCTATGTTTGTGTGTGACAGAAGTTACACCAGGCACAGGACCCAGTCCTTGCCCATCGGAGCTGACAGGCCATGGGGAGCAGGTAAGGAAGAGTGGGGCGATTAGTAGCAACAGCTCTAGAGACAGATGGCCTGGGTTCGAATCTCAGCTCCATGACTAACTAGTTGTGTGACCTTGGGCAAGTCATTGAAACTCTCTGTGCCTGAGTTTTCCCATCTATAAAATGAAGATACTAGTAGCACCCACCTCAGGGAGTGCCGTGAAGATTAAATAGAAGAATACCTGGCACAAAGGTAATGTCCTAAGTTTTGGCAAATATTGCTGCTCATTTAGTGACTTACTGAGCACCTACTATGTGCCGCACGCTGGGGAGAGAGCAGTGATGGAGGCAGACACAGCCCCTGCCCTCGTAGGGTGGTAGGCAACATGGAATACCGGGGAGCTCCCAGGGGTAGGAGGCGCACCCTCTGGGGGTCAGGCCTCCAACCTTCCCCTGCTCTGAAATCACAGCTGCCAGCCCCGCTCCCCTGCCAGCCAGACCCCCAGTGCGTGCTGCATGTGAAGCTCATCCTGCAAATTGCCCACCCCAATGGCACACTCGGCTCTGGCTCTTGCCAGCTGCTGCTTGGCCTCCCTGATTCTTGGTTTTCCTCATGGTGAAGGGCCCAGCCCCTTCCTCGGGGACAGGTGTGGATGGCATCCAGGCAGCACGGCCAGCTCTTCCAGTGACTGAGGATGGTGATCATACAGCTTTAAACACACCTGCCACTCCCCCGAGGCTGGTGGAGCTAGTGGTCTGTGGTCCACAGAGGTGGAGGGGAGAGGGTGATCTATTGGTGCCTCGGGTGTGTTGGCGGGGGCGGTTAATTAAAAAGGTGGCTGGGAGATGAATTTCTGGAAACACAAATTGGAAACCAGTGGAAGCTATTGATCTGCTTAATGGGAAGCTGATGATATCTGAGCAAGCAGACAGCTCTGGCTTAGGGAGGTGGCGAGAGTTCGATGCAGGCCCCTTCCCTGAACTGACCTGCCTGGGGCCAGCCGGGGACATGGGCCAGGGAGGGGCTGGGGCAGAGCCCTGGGGCCCTGGCTCTACTTCAGAGCATGGGAGCAAGCTGCATCCCTGCGCAGAAGTCAGAGTCCCTTCCGACATCCAGCCCACAGGTTGAGGTAGGGGGGCACCAAGCACCTGATCTGAGCCCCTCTCTGCCACCTCTGACGGGGCTGAGCTGGACAAGGTGCCAATTGTCTTCAGCTCTCAGTTTTCTCATCTGGAAACTTCCGACCTCCCAGGGTGGTTGTAAGGACTAAATGCAGTAATATGTGGGCCGTGGCAGGCACAGCCCTCAGCACCAGGGGTGCAGCCGTGAACGAGCTGTGCTCAGTACCCGCCTCCTGGAGCTTACATTTTAGTGGCAAGCAAGCAAGTCTGCTGACAGTGGAGTGCCAGGGAGGGCATCCAAGCAGGGAAGGCTGCACATGCAAAGGCCTGGAGGGTGGGACCTGTGGCCTGCAGTTGACAGTGGGAGCATGTGACGTGAGGGGAGCTCCGTGGTTACCAATAAATATCTTCAAATCCCCAATCCCCACCCGACCGGGGAAGGACAGTGCTGTGGAGAACCATGGGCTCACACCTGCTCCTTTCCTCCTGCCAGACCCCCGTGAAGCACAGGTTTTCACGCCTATTACTCAGATGAGCAAACAGAAGCTCAGAGAAGGAAACCATGGGCCCAAACCACACGGGTGAGGAAATCCAGCCTCTAATCCAGCCCCCCACCAACACCAACCCCGGCAGCCCCAACATGGGGCTGGGCCCAGGCCTCCGCTCCCCAGCCCATCCCAGTCTCAGGCTCTAGGATGGGTGTTTGTTCGCATGGAAGGCAGAGGTTATTTATTATTATTATTATTATTTTGAGACAAGTTCTTGCTCCATCACCCAGGCTGGAGTCAGTGGCTCCATCACTGACTCCTGGGCTCCATCATTGATCTCCTGGGCTCAAGCAATCCTTCCACCTCAGCCTCCTGAGTAGCCAGGACTACAGATGCACATCACCATGCCTGACTAATTTTTGCATTTTTTGTAGAGACAGGGTCTCGCCACATTGCCCAGGCTGGTCTCAAACTCCTGGGCTCAAGCGATCCACTTGCCTCAGCCTCCCAAAGTGCTGAGATTACAGGCATGAGCGGGCAGAGTTTATTAATCGATGGCTCATGAGTGGGCCCCTGGCTCACTGCACACCCTCCCTCCCACCCCTGCAAGGCCAGAGTCAGTTTCAAAGCACTTAACTCGTGAAATCCTCTCCCAGGATCTGGATGGGGAAGGAGGCCAGTGTTAGTCTCTGTTTATTGATTCCTGGACTTCATCAGGGTTTATCTCTGAAACAATAAAATTGAAAGATGGCCCCAAATTTATATCTCCAGCCTGTACCACTCACCACTCCACTGCTACCCATCCAGCTGCCTCCTCCATGTTTCTACCTGGAGGCCCCACAGACATCATACTGGACACAGCCAAAACAGGACTCTGAGTCTCTTCCCAGCCCTTCCGCCTGCAGCCCAGCCTGACTCCCCTTCCTCTCCCACCCACTGCAATCTGTCGTGGAAACCGGGAGCTCCCTCCAGACAGACTTGGGCCTGAGCACCTCTCCCTGCCAGCCCACCATCTAGCCAGGCACCACCATCGCTCATCTTCCCGGGGCCTTCCCAGACCTCCTTGTTTCCTTTCTGTTCCTTTCTGCCCTCTCAACAGTAGAAGGGTGCATTTTTTTTTTTTTTGGAGATGGAATCTCACCCTGTCTCCCAGGCTGGAGTGCAGTGGCTCAATCTCGGCTCATTGGAGACGCCCGCCACCACGCCCGGCTAATTTTTTGTATTTTTAGTAGAGATGGGGTTTCACCATGTTAGCCAGGATGGTCTCAATCTTCTGACCTCATGATCCACCCACCTCGGCCTCCCAAAGTGCTGGGATTACAGGCGTGAGCCACCGCGCCCAGCCTAGAAGGGTGCTTTTAAAAACAGAAGTCGCATCGTGTCACTGTCAGGCTTGAAGCCCTCCCATGGCTCCTCGCTGCGCTTAGCAGAAAATCCACACTCCCCTCAGCAGCCTCCCTCTTCCACCTCCTCTTCCCAGCTCAGTCCCTCCCAGCCTCTCGGCCCCCTTGCAGCTCTTCAGACACATGGGCTGTTTTCTCTGTCTGGAGCACTCTTGCTCGAGGTCCTCCCATGGCAGGCCTCGTTCAGGTCTCAATTCAAAGATTGCCTCTCGGGGAGGCCCTCCCTGGCCGCCCCTCTTCATCTTCACAGCACTGGCTGAGTGGCCTTTCAAAGCATCCTTTGTATGCACTTGTTTATGGGTTTCCTGTCGGTCCCCCCGACGCTGTGGCAGCAGAAGCTGTCTTTCCTACTTACTGCTCAATCCCCATGGCCCAGACCAGTGTCCAATGAACATTTGTAGAATTAATCGATGAACGAAATGTGAGGCTCGGCAGGAATTCAGCTGGAGACGCCACCTGACGTGGCCCAGAATTCTGGGTTTTGCTGGATTTACCAGTGCTTTGGTGGCGTTGTGCCTGTTTCTCCCACTCACCCACTCCCAACCGCTGACCTGAAAATCAGTGACCTTGTAGTTGCCTGGGCGCCCGCCGCTGTCCCAACTCTAGCTGCAAGAGGCGGAGCTCAAGGAGGTGTTCAGGAAGTTGGTCCATGCTGAAAGCCCAGACCCTCCAGGTGAGTGGAAGGGAAACCCCACCCTGGGGTGCCAACCCCAGCAGAGAGAGTAACTTCTTCATACAAGGGGTTAGGCACTTGAGGATGAACATTCACCAGGAAGATAAGGAGAGAGGGAAGGGTGTTCTGAGCAGAAGGAACAGCGTGTGCAAAGGCCTAGATGTAGGAAGAGTGTGGTAACAAGAGAGGAAGGAGCCAGCCAATTCTTCTGTTTTGGAGGGAGGACCATGGTCTGCACCTGCCTTATTTACCTCCCCACACCCCCCAACTCCCTGTGCACAGCTGAGGGGTTAGGACCACGGAGTCTCTCCCAAGCCTAGTTGCCCCACCTCCTCACTGCTCTCATGGCTCCCGCAGCCCTCGCCACGCCACTGTTCTCAGCACAAATCCAGCGGACTCCTCCCATCCTCCTACTCGGAACTCTCCCAAGGCTCCTGCGCCAGAGTGAAGGCCGAGTCCTTCCAAGGCCTGTCCCACTGTCCCCGTCACCTCCGACCTCCTCTCCTTTCCTCCAGCTCTCTCCATCCCTCCCTCTGTTCCAGCCACCCTGATTCCTTGTTCCTGGATCACACCAGGCACACTGCTCCCTTGGGGCCTTTGCACATGCCGTGCCCTCTGCCAGGGGTGCTGAGGTGCAACTGCCCCCTTCACTGATGGCTGTGGTTTCACAGAGAGAGGAGCTGGGGGTAGGGGCTTGAACAGGGACTGCTTTGAGGTAGAGAGGGCTTTCCTGGCATGTGAAGTTGTCCCGGGTTGGCGGGGAGTAGGGGGCACCTTTTAGGAAATAATGATGGCTGTTTTCCTAAAACCCAGAATGAAGGAGGGAGCCCCAGCCCCGGGCAATAGGTAAGGTCCTTTTACTTCTGTCTGTTTGATTCTTGCACACTCTGGCTTGCGTTTCCATGGCCACCGCGCTCTGCCAGCCTGAGTGAGGTGGGCGCTTCTGAGGGCCACAGATGCACCCGGGGACACCCAGCTCGGGGGAGGAGTCCACCATTGCCTGTAAGCCCTGAGCAGCACCACCTTCACTCTTTCGAAAGTAGCCTGAGCCTAAAAACCATTTTTCCTACCAGCTTTGAGATGTTGCAACTCTTGCTGATTTAAATTTGTCAAATTCTCATAAAATGCAATCCTGCACACCCGAAACCTCATTTGCCCATGCCCCACCAGCTATATTCTGGTGCCCCTAGTGGACCCTGATATAGCCGATGTGCCTCACTGTGGCCTCAACTTCCCTGAAGGTCTCACTTGCCTCTCCTCACCCCTCTCCAGGGGCTATGGCCCCCAGGGCTACACTCAGTGGTGCCCCAGGTGGCAGGTGCGGGACAGGCTAGTCTAGCCACCACCCTATTCCTGGACCTGTAGCTCAGCCCAGGTCTCTGCTTCAATATCACCTCTTTGGGGACACCCGGCCTGTTCCCCCCATCCCCCGAAAGTCCTCTTATCCCAATGTCTTTTCTGGAACTGATCGCTACCTGACATATGACAAAGTTATTCTGTAACAGCTTTACTGGAATTTACATACTGTAAAGTTCATTCATTTAAAGTGTATCATTCCGTGGATGTTAGTGTATTCACAGAGTTGTGAATCCATTTCACAGTCGGTTTTAGGACATTTTCATCATCCAGAAAGAAACCGTATACCCAGTAGCAGTCATTTCCCACTTCCTCTTCCCCTAAGTCCCTGGTAACCTTGAATTTACTTTCTTTTTTCTAGTGAATTGCCCATTCTGGACTCTCCATACAAATGGAACCATATACACTGGCCTTGTGTGACTGGCTTCTTTCACATTGTATAATGTTATTTTTAGCCATCCATTTTCCCCTAGCTCAGAGCCTTTCCACTGCTGTTTCCTCTGCCTCAGACACTCTTCTCCAGGTATCTCCTTGGCTCCCTCCCTCACCCCCTTCTCAGTGAGGCCCTCTCCATCCTCCTATTTTAGTGGAAACCCTCACCCTCCTCTTGACCCTCCTGATTCTTACTGGCTTTTCTTTTCTTTGTAGACCGTTCCCTTTCTGGGGTTGTGCTTTCTTTACTTATCCCCCCAACCCCCAGAGAACTCCTCTGCATCCTTCAAAACCCACTTAAGATGGCGCCTCCTCTGTGGTACCTTCCCAATGCTAAGTTAGATTTCGCCGTCTATGCTCCAAAAATTCCTGATTCTTGCTAGACTGTAATTTGTTTGCTTCCTCGTTGGTTCCATTGATTGCCAGGCTGCCCCTGCAAAAAGTCAAGGACCTTGTTTTGATCTCTGCTGTGCCGTCAGCCTCCAGAAAGAAGGCTGCACATCATAGTTGCTCAATAAATGTTTGTTGAATTAATGAAGAAATGCTGGGGTCTGCTGGGGACCTGAAGACCTGACCTAGGGTCAGGTAAGGCCATGAGCCAGCACAGGGCAGGACAGACATTGAGGGCACCACTGCCCCAGACATCTGGGGTCGGCCCTGAGATGCTCAGGCTTGGCCTTCAGAAGCCCTCACATGCCCAGGGCACAGTGGGCTGAGGCTGCCAGGGCTTTAAGTGTCCAGGGCCTTCCATGCACCCCTGTGGGACAGATGGGCACCTCCTATACCACTGAGCTGGTCATGAAGAAAGGGGCTGCACACAGGCGCAGGCTCCAGCCTTCCCCAGTGACAAATGGTTGATAATTAATGTTGGGTCTGCACGTTATTAATCAATTTAAAGTTGAATGCGCAGCCAGAAGCGATTCCAGGAAAAAAAAAATGTTCAGCCCTGCATCCTCCTCATTCTTACTCATCAATCACCAATTTTGTAAGCAGCTTATTAAAATGTAGAGAAAAGCATGGCTGGAGAAATAAAAGGCCCTTAAAGGCCCAGAGGAGGTTTATCAGGCGTTCACAGCATGAGTGCGGGAGTTGGGAGGTGGGGGCTGGCGGCTGCAGAGCTGAGGGGCCCAGCCCCGGTTCACAGATGGAAAGACTGAGGCTCGAGCTGGCAGGCCGTGTGAAATCCAGAAAGTTGACGCCAACACAGGAGCATGGCCAGGGTCTGGGAGCCTTGGGCACAGGACCTGCAGGGCTTATGGTGGACAGCCAGGTGGAGTATGGCTGCCAAGCTGGAGACTCAGTGACTGGAGGGGACCAGAGCCACGTCTGGAAGCAGGGAGGGAAAAAGGCATTGTTCTGGAGTCAGGCAGATCTGGATTCGAATCCCAGCTCTTCCAATCGTGTGGGAGGCAAGGTACCTTCCCTCTCTGAGCCTTGCTTTCCTCTTCTGTGAACCAGGGGCGATCGCTTCCCTCTGGAAGGTTTGCAGAGGCGAAGGGATGCCATGTAAAGAAAGGCCTAGGCCGGGCGCGGTGGCTCATGCCTGTAATCCCAGCACTTTGGGAGGCCGAGGTGGGCGGATCACGAGGTCAGGAGATTGAGACCATCCTGGCTAACACGGTGAAACCCCGTCTCTACTAAAAATACAAAAAATTAGCCAGGCGTGGTGGCGGGCGCCTGTAGTCCCAGCTACTTGGGAGGCTGAGGTAGGAGAATGGCGTGAACCCTGGAGGTGGAGCTTGCAGTGAGCCGAGATCGCGCCACCGCACTCCAGCCTGGGCAACAGAGCGAGACTCCATTTCAAAAAAAAAAAAAAGAAAGAAAGAAAGGCCTAGGAGAGGGCCTTAGGTGCACAGCAGGTGCTCATTAAATGATGGTTGTCTGTCGAAGGCCCAGCACTGGTGGGAGGGTAGCTGGGGCAGCTTCTGTGCCTCCTTCAAGCGTGACAGTGCTATTCTGGGTATGTAGCCAAGTGGCTGGGACTGTGCTGCCCTTTGCCAGCATGGTCTTCGGAAGCACCAGGAGGCTGCCGTGCCTTTGCTCATGTTCCTTCCTCTCTGGGGTGTGTTTTCTTCACATAAACCCCAGGCCACAGCGAACTCATATACATCCTTCAAAACTCACCTCATATGGCACCTCCTCTGTGGTGTCTTCCCAATGCTAAGTCAGCGTCTTGCCCTCTATGCCCCCCAAATACTTGATTCTTGCTAGACTGCGAATCCCTTCTGGGAAGGGCGTGTGCCCTACACGGCCCAGTGTATGGTGACAGAGTAAATTTTGTTGAGTGAATAAGCAAAGGAATGAGTGAATAAATGAATGGATGGTTCTCACAACACTGACCCTGCCCTGAGATCACTTAGAGGCCTGTCCCCCACATGCCCCACCTCCAAGACTGTGAGCTCCCCAAGAGCTAGGGCGTAGCCTGGAGGTCTTACCTGTGCCTCCCACTGCCCAGGTCAGATCTTGGTACACACTAGGTGCTCAATACGTGTCTGAATGAATGAGAAGAAAAAGAGGGGATAGGAAAGCTGAGTCTACACTTGGGACCTATGAAGAGCCAGGGAGGGTGCTGGGCATTTTCACCCATGGGGTCCTTTCTCTGCCTCATAGCAGCCCAGATCACAGATGCGGATACTGAGGCAGGAGGAACCAAGGATGTGCAGGAGCCAGGATTGAAGCCATGGAGCTTGGACGACTCAGAGGGTTCTTCCCACCCCATCATGATGCCTTCCAAATGAGGGAATGCAGGCATGTGTGAATAAATCAGTGAATGCATGAGGTCTCACGTGAATCTCGCCGCCCCTCCCTCAGCCTCATCCTTCCCAGGCCTCTCTCCTCTGCAGCTGGCTCAGCGCTTTTGCGTGGGGCTGTGGAATAAAAGCTGCCCCGCCCGCTCCCTGCCAATCAGCCTCCATTGTCCTGCTGCATCTGGAGCCCTCTGCAAATTGCCCGTCCCGACAGGCGTGCTCAGCATCCTCTGAGGAAGGACGTCCCCACCTCTTTTACAAGCGCCAGTTCCTAAAAGGCTGGTGATTGCGTCCTCAGCGTCCCCACCGAGCCACCCAGTGTCATGGAGTGGCGGAAAAGGCCCCAGATGGCTGGGAAAGGAGGGGGGAGTGGCAATGATTATCACTGAGCAGGAAGCAACTCGGCCTCTGAGGAGGCGCTGGGTATGCATTAAGTAGGAAACACATGTCTCAAATGTTCTTAGCTCTGTCCATCAGCCCCCGGTGCTGCTGTTTCCACGAAGCCAGCACTTCCCTAAAGGAGCGCACACCAGCATCGCCAAGGCTGGTTAAATCCCAGATGGCTGGGCCCCACCTCAGGGTTTCTGCTTGGGAGGTCTGGGTAGACCCGAGAATGTGCATTTTTCACAGGTTCCTCAGAGATGCCCTGGGAGGTGGGGGTCGGGGATTGACCACACCTTTCCAACTCCCTGGGGCCTTCAGGAACGACGGGGACCATGCCAGGCTCACCTCTGGGAAAGACAGTGTATACTGTGGACCAGACTACACATCGCAGCCTGGGGTCCACCCACAGGCAGAGATGGAGGTAGATTCTTGGGCTGGTTGACTTGTGGAGCATTGTTATTAAACTGCAGTAAACCAGAAGCAAGGTGGAGAGGAGGGGGGCTCTCGGTGCAATAGCGTTTGCCCAGGTGTGGCTCCAACAAATGGTCATGATCACCACCGAACAAAACCGCAGCCACAGCCACAAGCTTAGGAGCACTTGCTGGGCTCCTCTCTCAGCGTGTGGCCTGCAGCTGGTTCAGTCTGTGTCCATGGTCCATCGAAATGTATCCCTTGCCTGGGGAGGTAACAATTGAACTCAACTATTGATCTTCCCTGAATTCCCAGTGGAGGCCCAGAAGGGTCAGGTGCTCTCGGCAGGTCACACCGTGCTCAGTGGGAGAAGATCCCGGAGCTCGTGGCTGCTGGAGCCTGTCAGCCTGAGTTTGAGCCCTGCAGCCCTCTGTCCAGTAGTATGGCCAGGAACAGGCCATACTCCTGATTTATCTGTCCTCAGTTTCCACAACTGTATTATGAGGGGAATGGTGGAAGCAGTCTCACAGGCTGATCCACGAACAGTACTTAGTGCAGGGTCTGGCACCAGGTGGGGGGTGTCAGGAGGAGAGAGAGGTTGAGTGGACACAGATCTTCCTGACAAAAAGGAACAAAATTAAAGGGGCTCAGACATCACTCTGCATCTCGCCAGCCTCTGTGGTTTGTGTTTTGTATATGATTGGGGGAGGGAGTCTAGAGCAGGGATGGGACTTCCAGGTGGCTCCGGGAGAGGGGTGGAAGTGAAATCCTTCTTTTCAAGGTCAGCCCCTGCAAGCCTTGCCTTCGCCTTCCATCTGGAATGCCTGATCACTCATCTTCCTGTGTTAACTTTCTCATCCTTCAAGGCCTGATGCAGTCCCTGCCTCTTCCATGATCTCCCTGCCACAAGTGCCTTCCATCCTAGAACTCCCACAGCACCGGCTTCTCCACTGTGATACGAGGTGCCACCTGCTACCATCGGTGTATCAGTGAGGACCCTGATCGGATGTCACGGTTCTCTCTCTCTCTTCATCCCTCAGCCCTGTTTCTTCATTCTTGGGAAGGTTTGCTCTTACAGTATAACACGATAGGCACCAGGAACCCCAGGCTCACAGCCAGTTAGTTCAGTGGCCCCAGCCGGAAGAGGTCTCTTTTTCAGATCTGCAAAAGCGCCAGGGCTGACTCTCATTGGCCTGACTCAGGTTACAAGCCCATCTCTAAGCCAATCACTATGAAGAACAGAGGGATTTATGCTCTGATTGGCCAGGCTGGATCACGTGCACATCCCTGGACCTAGAGGGTGCTGAGAACGGACAGGGGGAGACCTAGCGGAGTCACGTGGACCAACAGTGGGGAGGAGGTTCAGGGATAAGAGGGGCTGGATGCCAGACAGTGGATCCAACTGTGTATGCCTCAGTCGTCATCAGTGCTCGGGCCTGATCCTGCCGCCAGGCTGTAGCTGCATGCGTCTTGTGTCCCCTTGTCCAGGGTTTGCCACACACCCCATGTGCTGGATGAAGGGGACACACGTAGGAATCACACTGAATAACCTCCTCCCTCGTGGCATCCCCTGAGCTTGGGGAGGAGGCAGCCCTGCCTCCCCAGTTCCTGCCCTGAGCCACAGGGACCAGTTACTTGGATGAAGCCCCTCGTCTGCGCATGGCAGGAGGTGGAGCCCAGCTCCTCCTGTGGAGGAAGCTTCCTAATGGTCTCCCCTGGGGCCCGGTGAGGACATAAACTCTGCATCACTGAAGGTGCTGGGGCTCAGATGGCACCGCCTGGGATGCTGGAGGAGCATGCATCCCTGCAGCAGGCAGGGCTGGGATGGAGGCCCCAGGTCTCCTTCCGTCCTTGAGCCCGATTAGTCTTGTCAGGTATGGGGCTGAGGCTCTGGCTGAGGGACGATGTCTCCTTTATAAGTGAGTTTGTTTATTTGCTCTTAATGCCTCTCTGTATCCTCTCGCCTCCCCAGCTGGAGTTGGTGAAACCACAGACTGTGCCCTGGGCAGGGGCAGGACCTGTGTGGAGCCACCGAGATGTGATTTAGTCACTTGTTACCTGGGTTAGGCTAAAATAATCCCAAGTACTGAGATGTTGCCAAGAAGACACAACACAGAGATAGGACCCTGAGGACTAGGAGCAGCTTGTGCCTGGGTGCTGGGGGCCTCTCTGAGCCAAGAGCTAAATAATGGGAGGAGCCGGCTACGGGAGGGGGAAGAGTGCTCGCGGCAGAGGGAACAGCAAGGGCAAAGGCCCCGGGACTCGAAGAAGTTCGGCCTTGGAGATGGAAAGTTGGCCAGCGTGCCTGGAGCAGAGTGAGGAGGGGCTGGCACTGGGACAGGAACCCTGCAAGGTGGGTGGGGCCAGAGAGCGCAGGGCCTGAATGTTGGTGGACTGTTTTACGCGAAGAGGCCACCATCAGAGGGGTTGATAGAGGAGACACCATTGAGATTGTTCTGGTGAGGGAACAGAAATAATTCGGGTTAGGGGCTAAAATTGACTTCTCCCATTATTTAGCTCTTGGCTTAAATGTCGCCGTCTCAGAGAGGCCCCCAGCACCCAGGCACGCGCTGCTCCTGGTCCTTAGGGTCCTGTCTCTGTGTTGTGTCTTCTTGGCAGCATCTCAGTTCCTGGGATTATTTTAGCCTAACCCAGATGGGGAGAGGACATGTGGCCAGGGAATGAGGCCTGGGCAGGCCTGGGAAGGAGCCAGGTCAACAGCGTTCTGGGACGTCCGTGGTCAGCCGGGGCGTGTTTTGCAGGTATCTCTTTGCAGGACTTTGCAGCAGCCGCGCGCTGCCCTCTGCTGGAACTTCTGAGCATTACACCTAGCGCCTTTGAGCTGTACTAACCCCAGAACTTACTTCCCTGAGCACTTTATGGAAACACCCCCGTGATACGGTGTCCTCAGAGCTGGCAGAAGCTCACAAGGTCTTCTTCTCCTGCCTGGTATGTCCCTGCTGGCTTGCTTAGCCCTAGGCACAGGCATCTCACTAGCCCCTTTTGATGCAGTCAGTTCTGACCCTGCACAGTGCAGGGCAATTGACCCCGCGCAGTGCAGGGTAGCTTGACCCCAGAAAGAGCTGTGCTTAGCTTCCTCCTGGCCTCGACCATGCACAGGCCCTTAGAACTGCCTGGGGGGCCTGGGGACACTGACCACCTCCCCCATGACTGCCCTGCTCCAGCGCCTCCAGGTCCTGCCCACCCCGACCCCACCCAAGCTGCCCTCCCAGACCAAAGAGGAGACCTGGGAGGAAGCCTGAACAGTCTAGGCTTCCACAGAGGATGTGGCTTTCCTAGGAAAACCCCTGAAGACTCCCCAAATGTGCCACACGTGTCCTCTGCCTGCCTGTGTCTTTGTTTTTTATGTTGGAGCTTCAGGCACCTCTCAGTTTCCCTGAATACAGAGGGAGGGCTGACAAGGGCCTGGTCATAGGAACAGCTGGGGTGAACAGACAGGTCAGCGGGGGCAAGGCTGAGGCACAGCCAAGTCGGGCTTCCTGGGAGCATTGTGGGCCCGTCCCACCTGGGCTTCTGGGTCCTTTCACACCCCAGCCCCTGCTCCTGCAGTAGTCACAAAGGAGGGCTGTGCTCAGGGAGGGCAGGGAGGCCAGGAGGCCAGGGGAAGAGATGGGAGAAAAGATGCATGGGTTTCAGTAGGCCCAAGCCCAAGTCAAAGGCCCAGCAACACTGTCCTGGGTCTCATTCCAGCATCTGTCCTGTAAACAAACTCCCTCATTCATTCGGCAAATATTTTTTGAGCATCTGCTATGTGCCAGGCACGGTCTATGGCTTGAGCCTGCTTCAGTGAATAAAACAGACTCCCCTGGCCTCCTGGAGTCTGTATGCCAATGAGGAAGGAGGACAGCAACCAGCAGCCTGGCAGAGAGACCGATGCTGCTGCCCTCGGAGAGTGGTGACGGGGTCAAGGCATGCACCTGAGTGAGCGATGGCGTAGGGAGTGCAGGACAGAGGTGGGCAGGAGCCCTCCCTGAGAGAGTGTCCACTGAGTCAAGACCGGAGTGACGAGAAGTCTTTACAAACCTCTCTGGGAGAAGGCCGTAGAAACCGAGCACAGAATGGGTCATCAGGGCAGAGGAGTGTGGGCGGTGAGGAGGAGGCCAGGCCAGCCAAATCCAAATTAATCTTCCTCCTGGCTGGTCAGGCAGCTCCGTGCAGTCTTCCAGTGCTGTCCCCGCGGCTGGGGTTCAAATTCCGCACAGGGCTTTTGGTCAAGGGAACTGTGGATACCCGGGTTCCATTCTCAGCCTGTCTGTGCCTGAGTGTCCCCGGCTGAGGTCCTTCTGAGCTCAAGGATCGAAGTCTAAAATCTCTACGGAGCTCATACGAGTCACAGGGTGCCAGGTCCCCTTAGTGTGCCTCCTCAGGCCCAGCAGAGCACCTGGCACATGGCAGAAGCCCAGCAAAGTCCCTTTAAATCAACACCAGGCTGTGGGGAGGGAGAAGGGGCTCTCGGGATGTGGTGGGCTGTAGAGTCTCTCAGCCCAGCGTGGGGCCTACCTCTACCAGGACCTGCCCCTGCACCAGGCCTGTCACCAATCACCCCACAGACTCCATGAGCATGTCCTGTGGGGGACTTGCAGCCAGTGGGTGGCACACATGGACACAGAGAGGTGCAACACGGGATGGGGGTGTGCCTGAGTGCTGGGACTCACTGGGGAGCAGCACCTTGAGCTCAGATTGCAATCATTCATTCATACATCCACTCACTCATTCAGTCACTCATTTCACATTTTATTAAATACCGGTGGTATTCCAGGCACTAGAGTATAGTGAATAAAACAGACAAAAATCCTTACCTTCATGAAGCTAGCGTGCTAACAGTAGGGAAACAAACCAAAATATAGAATATAGAAATTTAAAATATACAGTAGTTTGTTTTTGTTGTTTTATTTTTTTTGAGACAGAGTCTTGCTCCGTCACCCAGGCTGGAGCGCAGTGGCGCGATCTTGGCTCACTGCAAGCTCCGCCTCCCAGGTTCACGCCATTCTCCTGCCTCAGCCTCCCGAGTAGCTGGGACTACAGGTGCACGCCACCACACCCCGCTAATATTTTTTGTATTTTTTAGTGGAGACGGGGTTTCACCGTGTTAGCCAGGATGGTCTGGATCTCCTGACCTCGTGATCCACCCGCCTTGGCCTCCCAAAGTGCTGGGATTACAGGCGTGAGCCACCGTGCCCGGCCTAAAATATACAGTGTTTTTAAAAGTGTACAATTCAATGCTTTCTAGTAAATTCACTGAGTTGCACAACCATCCCCACAATAGGTTTTAAAACATTTTCATCACTCCAGGCAGAAACTCCATACCCATTCGCAGCCGTCCACATACTCCCTAGGCCTCCTCCCATTCCCTGGCAGCCACTCATCTGCTTTCTACCTCTATGGATTTGCCTGTTCTGGACATTTCACACCATTCGAATCATAGAAGATGTGTCCTTTTGTGTCTGGCTTCTTTAACTTAGCATCATGTTTCCAAGGTTTATCCATGTTGCCACATATATCGGTACTTCATTTCTTTAAAAACAATTTTTTTGAGACAGGGTCTCATTCTGTCACCCAGGCTGGAGTGCAGTGGCACAAACACAGCTCACTGAAGCCTTGACCTCCTGGGCTCAAGGGATCCTCCCACCTCAGCCTCCTAAGTAGCTGGGACTACAGGTGTGCACCACCACACCTGGCTAATTAAAAAAAAATTTTTTCTGTAGAGACTGAGTCTCACTGTGTTGCCCAGTATGGTATCAAACTCCTGGGCTCAAGTAATTCTCCAGCCTCAGCCTCCCAAAGTGTTGATATTACAGGCATGGGCTAGTGCTCCCCAAATTTTATTTCTTTTTATGGCTAAATAATGTTTCATAGTATGGACAGATCGCATTGTTTATCCATCATCTGTTGATGCACACTTGGGTTGTTTATATTTTAGGGCTGTGTGGTTTTATAGTGACAAGTGCTAAAGTAAAAGGCCAGGATGGGGTGTGGCAGTGTATTTTGGGGAGGGGCCCAAGGGGGCCTCCTGGCCAATAGGAGAGGAGTGGGCCAGGCCAAGTCAGGGCATATGTCCAGCGGTTACACACCTGTCGTTACAATACTGAAATCTTTTCATGCCCCTGGGTTAAAGCCCACTGTCTGGACCCCCAGAGGGGCTCCCACTGCTGCTGTCTCTGTCCAGCCCTTCTCCTGGCCCTCTTCAGATGTCCCTAGGATCTGCAATAAAGGAGTTAATACTTAGCCTAGCAGGAGGTGTTTTGGAGTGGTGGGGGCCAGTGCCTGTGTTAAATATTTTGAATATCCCCCTGGGCAAAAAGCATGACACATGCAAAGGCCCTGGGGCAGGAGAGCCTGGAGCTGGAGCTGGAGAAACTGCAACAGGCCAGTGTGCCCGAGGCAGAGTTAGGAGGAGGATAAATAAGGCCCAGGGGGTAAAGCAGGGCCTGTGGATCATGGCAAGGATTGGGGTTTTTATTCTGAGTGGGGTGGGGTCCCCGGGAGGGTACTGAGCAGAAGAGGGCCATGGTCTCATGTAGGTTCAGCCAAAGGATTGGTCTGGCTGAGAGCTGAATCAAGGAGGGTAGGGAGGGTACTAAGGCCATTCAGAGGAGCGGGGAGGGCGACAGGAACCAGGGAGGGGTGTGGAGGCTGGGAGGAGTGAGAGTGAGTGGGTGGGGGCCTGGAGAGAGCAGGAGTGGGGAGGAGCAGGCTTCGGGAAGCTGGTGGGCCTCGGCATACTAAGCTTGTGCTCTCATAGATGTGGTGGAGGTATCTGGACCTCAGCCCTGCAGTGAGCAGAGGTCAAGCGAGGGCGTCGTCAGCATGCAGGTGCTGGGTGAGCACATGCACGAATGGCCAGCAGTTCCTCTTCCCCCTCCACTTTCATCTGTTCCTTCGCCACCCACTGCGTTAGCACGCTGCCCTGCTTTAAGCCCTGGGGACTCAGCAGTTACGGGACAGACATGAAACTAATCCAGTGTGAGAAACAGATGGTAAACACACAAAGTGATCAGTGGGTCACAGAACACCAGGCACCAGAGAAGAGAAACAGGGAGGGGCTGTGTTAGACAGGGTGGGGGGACTGTGCTCTAGTGCTGTGGTTTCAATTTGTCCCCCAAAGTTCATGCATTGGGAAGTTAGTCCCCAGGGCAGCAGCGGTGAGGGTTGGGGCCTTGAAGAAGGGGTTGGGCCAGGAGGGGTTCATGTTAACTCAGAAGTGGGGTAGTTGTCCTGGGAGCGGGCCCTGATAAACAGGATAAGTTCGGCCCCCATCCCTCCGTAGTGCTCTTTGGCCCTTCCACCTTCTGCCACGGGAGGATGCAGCAGGGTGGCCCTTGCCAGGTGCAAGCCCCTTGACCTTAGACTTCCCAGCCTCCAGAACTGAGCAATAAGTCTCTGTGAGTAATACATTTATAACTACCCAGTCTCAGATATTCTGTTACAGCAGCACAAAATAGACGAAGACAGCAAGTGATCCTGGTTTTCCGTTTGTGGTAGTGAAAGAAAAACTCCCTTTCAAATGCATTTAACTAAAAATAGTTAAAAGAAAAACATGACTGGGATAGTGGTGCAGAGGCTCTTAGCAAATTGCAAAGTCATCACGGCTGTCAAGGTTTGGGATTGATTCACGGTCTCCTCCCCTGCCAGCCAGGTTTACCAACCCATTTTGCAGATGAGGAGACTGAGGCTGAGAGAAGCGAAGGGGCTTGTCTGCAGACCTCCTGCACACACTCTGGGGCTCTTTCTGCACCGAGAGCCTCTCCTGCACCAAGAGGCAACAATGCAGTTCTCTGAGTTATTCTTTCTTGCTATTTCTCTTCCTTTTGGTGGATGAATTTGGGAGCTCTTTAAAACATCAGGGGAACTTTCTAGATGCAAATATTCCATCCAGCCCATTAACTAAAGTCGCAGCAAATAAACTGTAATCACAAGACCTATTATTAGTGTGGATTTGAAAGTAATTACCCAGTGTAGATTTAGACTGTAGGAAGAATGTTGTCTGGGGTGGGATTTTCACCAAACCTTCAAAGGGTGTGGCATGTGAAATAAGTAGAGCTACAGTGTGGCACCCACGATCCCCTGAACCAGCTGGGGGTGAATGAGGGAGTGTGGCTTGAGGTCATTCATTCGTTTGGTTGGCAAACATTTATTAGCACCTGCTGTGTGCCAGGCCCCATTCAGTGCACTGGGGGATGCCACGATAACCAAGACAGGGGGTGACCCTGCCTTGTGGACAGGATATTTTCTTGAGAGAAGACAGATGTTGAGAAAGAACAATTAAACAGGATGCCTGTAAATGGCCTAGAGGAAGTAAACTGGGTGAGGAGACAGTGCCTGGGGGCTACTTCTTCAAGGGTGCTCAGGAAGGCCTCCCTTGCAGGTGATTGCTAAGCTGAGACCTGAAGAGAGAGCTGTGCAGAGAGCTGAGGGAGGGAACAGCAGATGCAAAGGCCCTGAGGCAGGAACGAGGCTCTCATGGAAGGGAGCAGGCAGGTGCGGGGTGGCAGAACTGTGGGGCAGAACCAGGCTTTCGGTTCTGAGTGCAGTGGGAAGCTGGCGGGATGGGTCTGATTTGCATTTACCACGATACACCGCAATACAGAAATAGGCAGTGGCTCCAACCAGGGTGAAGAAAGGCCCTGACCCTCCCAGGAAAAAGACGCCCGCTGGTTCCCAGCCCTGCAGGTGGCTCTGTGTGCCAGTTTCTTCCACACCCATCTCCCAGCGCTGAACCAGCATGGAGACTGAGGTAGGCTTTCCAAGGCCAACAGTGCTGTCATGATGATGGTGACAAGCAGCCCTCACTGAGCATGTGCTGTGTCATCCCCGCCACGGTGGGCACAAACCGGCATCATCTCCTGTCACCCTCCTCAGTCTGTCCATTCTGGGTAAGGAATCTGCCTTTCCCATTTTCCATATAGGAACTAAGACTCAGAGTCAGCAGCCCCTTGCCCAGGGTCATACAGCAGGCAAGCGGTGATCAGAATCTGAGCTGAGGTCTGAGGGCAGCATCCATGCCTGCTGTGTCCTCAGCTGCCTACCTCACTCTGCCCCAAAACAGTCTCTCTAGTCTGGGTGACCAGCAACCTCAGTCCTCCAGCGCCAGCCCTGCGGCGGCCCAAGTTACCAGCCAGACTGGGGGTAGAGGAGAAGTGTGCAAGCAGAGGGGCCGCGTGGAGCCACCTTCCAAATTCCCTCCCTGGGTAAGGATAGCGGGTGACAGCCACCTGCAGGTGAGGACTGTCTGAAGAGAGAGGTGAAGACACTATGTCTGTGTTCCCCGCAGGAAGGGCCTGGGCAGCCTCGAGAGCCTCGCATTGGCCGATAACCACATGCCCCTCAGGCCAGCGACGAGTCTCAGACGGAAGTCCAAGACGTGGCCTCGGGCCTCCTGTCCGTCTGTGAAATGGGGTAACAGCACGTGGGCCTGAAGGCTTCAAGGGGTTCACTTTGGTAACGGCTATTCTGTCACAACCACTAGCCTGTAAAACTGGAAAGAGGCTATGAAGGGGGAGCTGTTGTCAACCGTGGGTGCTCACTCCAGCAAGGACCCACCTGGCTGCAGCTGGACACCCCGTCTCCTGCAGGCTCTGCTGGCAGGGCTGCCGTCACGGAGGCCTAGTTTTCTGGTCCTTAAACACACTATCCTTCTTACGTCAGAATCCCAGGATTGAACGAGTATTGAAGGTGACCCTACGCACTGAAGGGTTCCTGTCTGCCATGAAGCCCCGCCCTCCACGTGACCCCTCTGCTTGCACAGTTCCCATGACAAGGATCTCACTCTCTCACCAGGCAGCTCTGATAAGGGTGCTTGCCCCGACCAGAGCTGAAGTCAGCATCCTCCTAACATCACCCTTGCTGCTACTGGGGCTGCTCTGGTCGGTTCAGTTCTGTGCTGGCTGAGTGACACAGAGCAGGTCTCTTTGTGTCTCTGAGCATCAGTTTCCTCATCTGTAAAATGGACTCAGTAATAGCTTTCTTCATATGGCTGTTTGGGGCATCCGAGGAGATGTCGTAATAAGCGGGAGTTCGATAAATGCTAGCACTCTTCCCTGTTCCTCTTTGTTCGAGGGTCCTATCTATGGCCTCTGAGCCCAACAACCTGTTTTTCTGTCCGAGGACAACCCTACCCAAGGACTTGGGGGCTAGAATTGCCCCCCCACCCCACCCCGAGGCTGTTTCTTCTTGTTGGTGACATTTTCAGGCCTTTTGCATCCCATACACTCCCTCTAATCATAGCCCAGGCTGCCCTTATCACTTTCTCAGGGCAGGAACCAGAGCTGAGCTTGAGACCCAGACAGGGTCTGAGCAGGACTGGGAAGACTATCGCCTCCCCAGTTCTGGGCATAGATCTTGGTTACTACGGCCAATGATCCTGGGAAACCGCTTTGTACCAGTGACTTCTGGTGAGCTGAGTCGGTTCAGAGCCTGAAGCTGGGCCCATCTCCCCTGTCCTCAGTTCTGCCCATCCCAGAGTTCTAGGCTTAGGCATCTGGAATGGCAGGCAGGAGAATGGGACTGGCAGATGCTGTTGACACTGTTTCTGCCATCAGAGTGCCCAGGGCCATCATGGCACCCGTCATCATCTGATGTCCGTCTCCTCCACTGGACGGTCAGCCCCACGAGGCAGATTTTTATATCTGTCTTATTCACTGCTAAGTCCTGGTGCCTAAAACTGTCTGGCACACAGTAGGTGCTCAGTAAAGTTTGGATGAATGAATGAACAGGCTACCCCCTGGGATGTTGCCAGGCCAGAAAGAGCATCCGGACACAGGCTTTGAGCTGAGTATGTCAGGGGGGATGTGGGGTGTGGAAGGAGCTTTGGGGGCCCCAGACTCCACACCACCTATGTAGTGATGCCCGTTCCTTGGGCTGGGTGACCTGCCGTGTGCCCCACGCCTTACTTAGCCAGGCCCCAGGTCGTCAGGTGCAGCTGCCCTCTGAAAACCCCACCTGAGCTGGAAAAACCCACAACCCCCACCACAGCTGGGACCAGCTGAGTTCTCTTCTTTTTCTACCTTCCACCCCACCCTAGAAACCACCAGAAGAGGAACAGAGACCCTGCAGGAGGCATGAACTCAGCCATGCGCTTGGAGCCCCTGGTACATATGGCCTTCCGCCCTCCCCTCAGTCCACCCCTTCCCCTCACCTCCCTGGGGAAGGCTAGGGGATGGGGGGAAGGCTCTCTCACTGGAAAACCGCGTACTCCTCCAGGGCAGGACTCTGGCATGAAGTGGGGACCGAGAGATATTCACTCAACAAATAGTCGCTGAGCTCGGCTCCATGCCAGGCTGCGCACAAGGTGCTGGGGAGACAAGGAGAAAGTGGAGCGAGATCTCATCCTCAGGTCGCTGACACTCTGTATGCCAGGTGCCGTCCCAGCTATGCACGGGACATGTGTCCCCTCATTTATTCTCCACAGCTCTTGGAGGAGACACCATTTCATGCCTGTTCTCCAGATGAAGCATCTAGCAAGGCTGCCTAGAGACCCTGCGGCCACAGGCCAGGCTTCTGACTGCAACGCAGGCCCCGAGGCCTCTGCTTTCAGCCAGTCTGGGATGGGCATTTGTGCAGTGGGAAATGCACACCCAGTCAGAGTACCCTCCCAGGTACACTTATCCAGCAAGCCAAATGTGCCACCCCATTGTTCAGAGTAGGAAGAGGAAGAGGCCCAGAGAGGCTGAGTCGTTTGCCCAGGGTCACACAGCAGGTGAGTGGCAGAGCTGGAATTTGAAGCCCCGTCTTCTTGACTCCACGGTTGTTATCTGCTGCCACACTGCCTCTCAGTGGGTGAAGGACCAGTGAGTGACTGAGGCAGGGACTCAGATCCTGGGAGAATGTGAGAACTGCCACCTTCTCTCAGCCCCCATCTGCATTAATGGGAGACAGGGTAGGCACGTAGGTCCTCTCTCTCCTTGAACACTAGTGTCACTCAGCTGCCAACTTGTTCAGTCCACGGGCATTAATTGAGCACCTGCAAGTTATCAGGCACAGGGGATAAAGCAGTGACTGACAGACATTGTCCTTGCCCCCACCAGGCTCACATTCCAGTGGGGGAGGTGGTCACATGATAGTAAACCAGTGTGTAATTATTACAGAGTCCCTTCTCAGGTCGACGACTGTGAGGGAGCTGGCGGGGCAGGAATAGACACTCTGCCGTGCCTGGAGCCACAAGAAGGAGCCAGCAGTGAGTGTGGGAGGAAGAGCATTCCCAATGAGGGTGGCAGTCGTGCAAAGGCCCTGGGGCCGGGAAGAGCTTGGGAGTGGGGGGCTGACAGTGGGCCCCTTGGCTGGAGTGGCATGAGTCGGGGCATGGCCGGAAAGGAAGATGAAGGTCAGGAGGGGCAGGGGGAGGCGTCCGCACAGGTCTCCGAGAGCCAAGGGTGACCAGCACTGGGTTGGAACCAGAGCTACGACATGGTCAGGTTTCAGGTTAAATAGATCCTTCCCAGTGCGGGGCTAGGGGTGGTTTAGAACAGTAAGAAGGGAGGCAGGAAGGGGCCCAGCATGGCAGCCAAACTTGCAAGGAGATGCTGAGAGCCCAGTGACTGACAAGGCAGAGAGCTCCTGCCTCTGACCTCCAGGCTGGCCAGGTGGGCACCTGGGCCCTATGGCCATGCAGTGCTCAGTGTGAAAGCCCATAGAGAATGCCCGCTGGGTACCAGGCCAGCTGAGAGGCTGGTCTCACTCTGACTTCAGCACCCCAGCCATTGTAGCGGTCCAGGCCTGCGCCTTCCTCCCCAGCCCTGACCTGAGGGAACTGCAGAAGAAGCTTAACTGCCCTTTGTCGGGGATAAAAAGAGAGTCAGGGGTGGTGAGACTGTGTGTGCCCAGCGGTGTGCAGGGTGATGATAAGCACTCGGCAGCCATTTGCTGTGATTAGCACCTGCACACATTAGATCATCAGACTGTCACAACCGACCGACACGTTGATTCCCTTATTATCCTCAGTTTTGGAGATCTGCCCAAGGTCACACAGCTAGTAGGTGACAGAGCTGGGATGCAGCACTCCAGAGACCACATGACCACACGCTGCTGCCCTGCGCGACTCGGGGGCCACTGCTTCCACTCAAGGATAAAGGAGCTGCACCCATGGAGTTGGGTAGTGCACAGCCTGCACCCCTCGTGCTGCCCGGTGGCCCTGCTCTCATTCACCCCACTCTACCGACCCCTGCAGTCTTTGGTCGCCTTTGTCGAGCACCTGTCATGCAGCACCCACTCCTTTAGCACATCAAGTGCATTCAGTCATTTGGTATTCACGTCAACCCTCTGTGAACGGGAGGACCAGAATAGATTCTTAGAGAGGGAAAGCAGGCTCAGAGAGGAGCGAAGACCCGCCCAAGGTCACTGGGCCAGGCGGTGTCGGAGCCAGCTTCAAACCCACATCCGACTCCACCCCGTGCACTGGTCCCTGCAGAATCCCAGCCTCCTCTCCCTTTTAGAATTAGTTCATTGGTGTTTTCAGTGATTTTTAGATGACTGAAAAATTTTTGTAGTAATATATTTTACTTTTTTATATATTGTTAAGCCTGTTGTAGAAACTTTGAAAAATAAAGAAAATTGAGGCCAGGCATGGTGGCTCATGCCTATAATCCTAACACTTTGGGAGGCCGAGGTGGGAGGATCCATTGGTGCCAGGAGCTTGAGACCAGCCCAGGTGCCAAAGGGAGACCCTATCTCTATAAACGATTTAAAAATTAGCCAGATGTAGTGGCATGTTCCTGAAGTCCCAGAACTTTGGAAGGCCGAGGTGGGAGGATTGCTTGAGCCTAGGAGTTTGAGGCTTCTGTGAGCTGTGATTGTGCCACTGTACTCCAGACTGGGCAACAGAGCAAGATCCTGTCTCTAAAACAAAAGTAAATCAATAAAGTTGAAGGAATAAATAAAGCTGACCAGTTATTCTGCCACCCAGAGATGCCAACTTTTATTGGTGGCATGTCTGTGTGTCCTTCCAGATGTTTTTCTAGTTGTGTGTTATGGACACGCTGTTATATTCATACTGACTATGCACTTATATAAGCTGCTTTTTTTTACGCAGTCATCAAGGTTATTCCCAAACATTGTAAACATCTCTTTTAAAGGCTGTATAATATCCCACTGTATGCAGAAACCTTGCATTTTTAGCCAGCTCCCAATATTGGACATTTACCTTAACATTTGTTTGAGCTTTTAGCTTGTTTATTGTTGTTATAAATAATGCTGTGAAGAACTTCTTTGAGCATAAAGCTTAGCCCTTATTTTGGATTCTTTTTTACTAAGAATGTTGTTCTTGTATTAGCTCAGATCCCCGGGGAGGAGGGCAGGGCCTGAGTCACTGTGGCGGGACAGGACAGACGGCAGATCCCCTGGAACAGCGGCAGGGCGGGGGCTGGGGAGCACAGCCCAGTTCCCAGGCTGAGGCTGAGGCAGGGAGGGAGCGCACTTGCCCAGGGAAGTGGCCGTTGGAGGGTAGGTGGGCAGCTGTGGGTAAGGATGCCTGCTGGGTTTCTTCCCACCCCTGCAGCGGCTTTTGCTGTTCCCTTAAATGTCCATGTCCCCAGGGCTCTGTCTGACCTCTCTTCACCCCTCACACTCTCTCCTCTCTTCTCCTGCAGGGCTGAGCCTCCAGCCAGACGCTCAAAGCCTCCTGGACTCTTCCCCAGGGGTCTCCCTGGCACCTCACAAGGGGGCAGGGGTTATATCTCCCTCCACCCTGCATCTCTGCCTGTGTCCCTGTATAGACAAAGGGTGCCACCATCCACCCAGTCGACGAGCAGGTGGATGCCTTGTCCCCACCCCATCTCTCCTCTCCCACCCACACTTCTCCCAAAACACCTGTTCTCTGCATCCCCACTCTCATGCCTCAGTGCAGGCCTCCACCTCTTCCCTCCAGACTCACCATCCCAACCTCTCCTCTGGTATCCCAGCCTCTAATCTCTCCCCACTAATCCTTCCCCCATGAGGGGATCTATTTAATCACAAACCTCACCATGTCCCTCCTCTACTCAGAAACCTCCTGGAATGCCATTACCCGCATAATGAAGCCCAAACCCCTGGCAGGTTGTCTCATGACTTTCTGCTGCTTTTCACCTCCAAGCCTCTGCACATGTTGTTCCATCTGCAAGCAATACCTTTCCATGCACTGTCTGCCTAACAAGCTTCTGGCCACCCTTCAAGACTCTGTTTCAACATCTTGTCCTCCAGGAAACTTCTGTTTTTCCTTGCTATATCTCTTTTTCTCAAAAACCTTGCCCCTCCTTCCCTCATCTTACATAGTATTATTTGATCTACATTTCCATCGAAACAGTCAGTTCTACCATATTATAACTGTGATCATGTTCGCTCAGTATTGTGACTATTACAAGGTACTTGCATTAGAACGTTTGGTTCTGTGTGACAGTGAGCCCGCTTCAAACTGGCTCATGTAAAATGGACATATGGGCGGCATAACCTCCAGGTTTCAGGTGTGGCTGGCCCAGGGCTCCGGTGATGAGAACCTGCAGCCTCTCATGCAGGCTCCTCCCCATGGGGGCCCCAGTAAAGAAGGGGCCTCTATCTCTCAGGGGTAAGCTCAGGTCCAAGGTGGGATGTTCTCTGTCTCCACGACACTGGCAAACCTCTGGGCCTGCCTCTCACAGCCCTGCTTGAGTCATGCCCTGGTCCTGGCTCCCCCAGAGTCCCAGAGATTAAAGAAGCGGCAACCAGAAGGAGGCAAGTGGCTGGGCAGGAAATTTGCTGGGTGTCCACCACCGCCCAAGGCATGCTGCTCCCTTCCTCCAGGCAGGAAATGGGGCCTTGGCTCACCTTGTTTCCCATGCCTGGCCTGGGTCTGACCCAAAGCAAGCATTGGTCAGCACTTACGGATGCAGGACTGGGCAGATGGAGCGTGAGGTTTAGGAAGGCTCAGGGCCACAGGGATGGGGCCAGGCAGCCAGTGGCCTATGCTTGCCGGTCCCTCCGCCCTACACACAGCCCAACTCCACGTGCACATCTGTGCTGACTCAGCCTCCACAGGCCCGGCCCTGCTCTGCACCTATCCTGTCTGGCACCCCAACATCAGTGCAGGAGTTGCCAGGTTGGGACACCCAGGGCCTTGTGAGGGCCTCAGGAGAGCAGTGCTTCTCTCTAAATCGTACTTCTTTGAATGTTTATTGGTGGAGGAAAGTGACTAGCACGTGGAATGCACAATTTACAATACTGATAGAAAAGATCTGCTTTAGTGAAAATTATTTTAAATTGAGATAAACATATTAGGCCAATATGAACACAGGAAGGGTGAGAAGTAGGGGCAGAAGGGCGGTTGGCACAAGGTACGCCAGGCTTGGAAGAACCCCCTGGGGCAGCTGGGAGAGGGAGGCACCAGCCCTGCCCAGCCCAGACCTCCGGCTCCAGCGCCCCATGAATGTCCCTCCTGTGAACTCTCCAGCTGCCCTGGCTCTAAAACAACTGCAACAGCAAAGCAAACACCAGCAGAGCACGCAGCTGGATGGGCCCTGGTCTGACTGCTCCACTTGTGTGCACTCACGCAGCTCTCACCTGCAGGTGGACATAGATGCCCTGTTAATCCCGGCATCTAGATGAAGGGCTGCAGTGGGGTCCCCTTCCAAAATCCCATAGCTGGTGGCAGAGGAGGCTCCTGGCCTTCCCCCCCAGGCTACACTGCCTGCTGAGAGGTGCAGGGTTTGAGGGGAGAAAGGAGGGGTATGGCAGCCGTTGGGTGCGGGAGGGAGCCCACATCCTGGGGCTCTGTCTCTGCACGCAGGGGCCCAGCATCTCTGATTTAGTGTCTGTGGCTGCTCCATCCTGTCCTGCCATTGGCCACCACTTTTTAATGATGCCTTCTCTCGCTCACATTACACCGCCCTGCATCCTTCAGGGGCCTCTCACAGGCTCCTGAGTAGAGGCTTAGAAGCACAGGGGCTGCTCTAGGTGCCCTCTGCTCATGTGTTCACTGGTTCTCTCCCCAGGGGAGCAGGACTCTTGAGTCCTGCAGCAGCCGAAGCATCTCAAGCAGCATCTGTCTCCCACGCCCCCTTCCTCCAGCCAGCGTGGCCCCGTGCAGCGTGAGCTCCTGCAGGGAGTGTCTGCAGGGCCACAGCTCCCTCACTCATCCGCGGCCCCAGCAGGCTCCATTGGCCACGGCCGTCCTTGGCACAGTCAGCAGCAAACCTGGCAAGGCGGCAAGTGGGGACCGATGCCAGCCCTCGTGGCTTTCAGATCTCCATCAGCCAGGACTCCAAAATAGCATCGAGAAGCAGTGGATGTGCTCCATTTCAGGAGCATATCAAGGACTGCTGCTCAACTGTTATAGGGCCAGGGTCTGATCTTCTCCCCCAAGACAGGGGACAGGGCACCTCAGTGATACTTGGTTTGCTGCAGAGGGAGGTGTTTGCCAGGCTTCCAGAAGCCCACACACATTTCCAGAGATAATTGCTTCCGGCTGCTTCCTCCCTCCGTCAGCCACCTGCACGTGAGGGGTGGGGCTGGGCAGAGATGTTAGGAGGGCCCTGCACGAGCCTGCCAGCGAGGTCCTCCCAGCACCAGAGCCCGAGCCCATGTCTATGATTAGAAAAGCCTGTGATTTGGGAACTCAGCATGGAAGAGTCTGTGGTTTAGAGATTCCATGATTCAGTCTTCCAGACATAATGCCGAGTGGGGAAAGAGTTGCAGAAAAAGATATGCAATGTGATCCTACTTATGTAAAGTTTAAAAACGTGCACAAGTGTTTATATGGTTTGTGGATACCTCTCTATGCAGGAGATTCACTACAGAGTGAATTCACCATGGGGATGGGAGGAGGGCAGGGCTGGCGAGGGGATTTAACAGAGGTGGTGACCCTGGGCTTCCATCATATTCGTCATGTTCTGTTTCTTGTAGTGGGTCAGGGGTATATCAGAGTTCACGGTATTCATCTTTATGCCTTTTGGCACATTTTAAATCTTTTATTAAAAAATTCTTAATATTCTGGGTTTGGTGGTGCATGCCTATAGTCCCAGGCTAAGGCAGGAAGATCGCTGAGCCCAGGAGTTTGAGGCTGTAGTGTGCTATGGTTGCTCCCGTGAAAGCCACTGCACTCCAGCCTGGGCAGCATAGTGAGACCTTGTCTTTAAAAAAAAAAAAAAAGAAAGAAAGAAATTTGTAAAATGATGCCATTTTTTTTAGGGTCTATGTAATACTTCCTATTTTCTATAGGCATATATATGTAGATAAATGCATAGAAAAAGTTCTGGAAGGATCCACTCCAAACAGATGACAGCGGTCACCTCTGCAGAGATTGGAACGGGGAATAAGATTTAGGAGGGTGGGAGGTAAAGGGGGCTTTATTTTGTTTAAAGAGAATACATTTTCTTATCATTTGTGCAGTTAGGATTTCATTTCTTTAAAATGTGAAGCTTCAGCTAAAAGAAAATAAAGTCCCCAGACTTGAAGACTGTGTGGTCCTGAGATTTAGAGTCAGAGTGTTGACGGCTTTGCAGTTCCACAGTTGGAACGGAGCAGCGGGGGTGGGGGGTTCACTTCTGCCCAGCCCTGGATGAAGATCCTGAATCCCTGGGATTCGGGGCTCCCTGCCTTGAAGAGCTCTGTGACTGTCAGATCTGTGGACTGCATGCTCCAACCTTCTCCGTCCTCCCTCTTCCCAAATGCTGTCATGTTCCTCCCACCTTGGGGACAGATGGCCGCAGGTTGCAGGAGTGAGCCGATCTGCAGGAATGTTCCTGCCAGCCTGCAGGGTGGAAATTTTCCCGTTGAGGGAAGGGAGATGGATGTGAGATGTTTCTGGACTTACCCCTTGGCAGCTGCTCTCACCTTCTGATCCAAGCGGCTTCCCACAGTCCACAATGATGAGGCAAGGGCAGGGGTGAACTTGGGCACTTACAGAAACTCCAGGGGATGAAAACGCTGTCTGAATGCTAGGTTCCCACTGTGCCTTAGTCTCCAGCCTGCAGAGGTGGGTGAGTGGGTGGATGATTCTGTGATATAACCAGGGTCACAGGGCAGCAACCCCAAGGCTGGCTGCCCCTGCTTCCCACTCCAGACATCTGGTTACAACTGCGAAAGTGAGGAAAGTGGACAATTCCATCCAGAGTTCTGTAGCTCCACTTCTTATGTGATCAGGACCCTCTCACGACCACAGGCTTTGCATCTGGGAGGTGTGGCTGACAAATCTGCCCTGAGATTGGATGTCGAGGGCTTGGGGTCATGAGGTAGGTGAAGCTCAGCCTGCACAGGTGGGCGCGCCCCTTTTCTGAGACTCTCTGACCTCTCACTGCCTGAAGGGATGAACTTGTGGGTTCCGTAGTCAGAGATCAGAGTCGGAATCCCAGCTCCACGCTTTTTGGAGCCTCCTCTGTGCCTGGTCCGGCGCTGGATATTGAATGTCAGAAATCAAAACCGCGCCAGTGCAGGTGGGTTGTAGGCACTACCCACGTGCCCTGTAAATGATGTTTTGTAAAAGCCTAAAATCTTGGCATTTGTATCTGAATGCCAGGGTCCTTGCCATTTCCTCTGCTTTGAAATAACAGCATAACATGGAAGGAAAAGGAGAGTACGTTTATAAGAAGAAGTGCTGAAGAAGCAACGGATGTGCAGATGCATGTCATGGGCCTCCCAGGGAGCAAAAGAGGAAGCCCAGGAAAGGGACACTGGGTGCTCCACACTCAAGGCATCCAATTCACCACTCTGAGCCTGTTTCCGCCTCTGGAAGATGGAAGTGAGAAGAGAATCGCTAGTTGAGCAAGGCGGCTGAGAGGGGCATTGCTCTAGCCCGAGCCAGGCTGTGAGTTAGTCTGGGCTCTGCTGCTGCCTTGATGGGAGACCCCCGTATGTGGTGCAACCCATCTAAGCAGGAGTGGTAATTATGTTCACTTCGTAGGGCGCTTCTGAGAATTCACTGAGACCATGAAACAACTGGACCTGACACAAAGTGAGCCCTCCTGATGCAGTGGCTGAATTTTGATGTTATTAAAATCTTTTGAAACTCCAGTGAGGAGAGGGGTGGGGTGGGCTCTGCAACATGTTAACCCACAGAAATATGAATTCCTCACATGACTCAGGGAGGGAGGTCCGTGCTACAGGAAGATTGGTCATGCATATGGATTCACCTGGAGAGGGCAGATCGGGAAGCGTCATGCAGTTCTGTTCGATGCCTCACCTTGGCCACCTGAGGCCGCAGCTCCAACCTCTGCTCCCTACCAGGACACTGAGCTGGAAGACTGGGGTCCTAGTCCCACCTCTGCCACTCTTTGCTGTGCAACTTTAGGCAAATCGCTCACCCCCTGAGGTTCATTTCCTCCCCTGTAAAGGATGGAATGGAACTCAAGGATGCAGCATCACTCCTTCTAAATTCGGTGAGTGTGAATCTGGAGAGAATGGAAAGAGGAAGGGAAATGGCCCTGTGGGCTGCCATCCACATCCAGCCGATTCCCAGTCTCAACTACTCCCTCTCTCATTTATTCCTCCCAGTGAGGCAGCTTTCAAGCAGTCAAGAACCAAGACTCTGGAGCCAGACTGCCCGCCAGCTATGTGGCTTGGGCCAGTTGCTGAACCTCTGGCTTTAATGCGCTCCCCCGTGAAGTAGGATGATAGTATTAGGCCTCATTGGGGTTGTCTTGAGGATTACCGTGCACGGAAGAATATTATCTACATGCCTCTGAGATAGGTCTGGGATTCCTGGTTTACAGATGAGGAAGCAGAGAGGATCAGATGAACATCAGACAGGAAGAGAGAAATCTGTGTGGGAAAGGCGGGTGTGGGAGCCGAGGATGGATGTGCGCTTCTCCCCTCCACCTCCCTGTCGCACACTGCACCACGCTGGCCTCCTCTGGGCCAGTCAAATACACCAGGCTGCCTTCCGCCTCAGAGCCTTGACGCCAGCTCCTCCCCTGCTTCTTGCGTCATCCGAGTCTCAGCCACACGTGCCTCACAGAGGGCCTTCCCGACCACCCCGTCTGATGGCAGAAGCCTCCTTCCCGCCTCTCTTGGGGTCCCTGCCTCCCCTCTTCCTGCTCTCTTTTCATCCTGATCCTTATCACCACGTGCAATCCTATATCTGCACACTTACTTCCTGGCTTCCCCTTAGACTGTAAACATCATGAGGGCAGATACTTGCCCGGCACATGGAAGGTCCTCGGGAGAGGAAGAGGCACCATAGCTAGACCAGAAATTCTCCCTAGCCACGTGCAGCCCCCTTTGGGACAGGACTGGCACAAACGAGGACTGCTCTGCCATCCACCGTGCAGCTACTGGCGTGGTGCGCCCTCCTGGAACCCCGTGGTATAGCTGTTATGATCCCTTTCACAGTAGCATAATCAAGACTCCCAGGAGAGACGCGGCTTGCCAAGGTCTCATCGCCCTTCAGTGGCAGAGACAGCCTTGGAGTCGGCCGGCCTCACTCCAGGGCCAGAGCCCCGAGAGCTCCGCGGCTCGCGTGTCTCAGTGCCGAAGGCAGAAAAGCCGCCTTGGAAAGTAGTGTCATCGTAGGCTCCGCGCGGCGCGTGCATTTTAGCAACAGACTTCCAGGTTTCCAGCGCGGGCCAGGAAGGGGCCGGCGCCCCGCGCCCCGCCGGGTGTGTGACTTTGCCGCGAGGGCGCAGCCGAGCGGCCGCGCCTGATGCTGCTGTTGCCATGGCGACCAGCGCCTCGGCGATTGGTCCGGCGCGGCCGCACTACGTTGCTCCTTGGGCGCGGGGGGTGGGGGAGGCTCCGGCGCGCCCGCCCCTTCTCCGGATGCTGCGAGAGCAAACCCGGGGCAGCCTTCTCTCGACCCTCCCCTCCTCATCCCCGCGCCCCGCACCCCGGATGGACGGGAGGGAAAAACCCCAAGGTGGGCCCAGGTAGCAGCGAGGTGGACGCCCCCGCCCAGCCTGGCGACCACGGTTACTCGACGTCCTCGCTCGCTCCTGGGCACGGTGTGAGCGCGCGCTACGTGCCAGGGCCCTCCACAGCCCGCTGCTGGCGCCGCCCCCCGCTCCCGCCCCAGCCTCCCTGGAGGAGCCCGCCACCCCCGGGAATGTGACTCGCCCCGCGATTTAATTTTATTCCCCTCCACTTCTTGCCTGAGCCGCCTGCTCCTCTTGGAAACACGTTGAGCCTCCCCGCTGGAGAGGGAGCCAGAACAGGGAAGAACGGATTCACACAGGATGGCTTGCAGAAGACGCTATTTGTGAGTATATGTGGCAGGTTTCTGCCTGAAGCCAGAGGCCAGAGGGGCCCGGCTGAGCTGGGAGCTGGAGTGAGGGGCATCGTTGGGGGAGGGGCAGGTGGATGTGCAGGTGACTTGCAGAGGGAGCTGGCCACCCAGCAGGGATGCCGGCGCTCGGCCCCTGCAGCGGAGGTGTTTGTTGGTGATGACGATGAGAAAAAGGCTATTAGTCAGCAGGTCTTCAGCAGGCTGTGAAATTCCCAACTGTGAGAGCAGGTATCCCCCCTCCCAGATCCACATTCAGGGTGCCCAGACCGGCTCCTACTGTTTTGGCTTTGGTTTAGCCCATAGCCTGTTTAGGAAGAGAATCTCTGCCCAGCACGCCCATGGCCAGCCCTTCAGCCATGCCTGATAGAAGGTCGCAGGCAGGCTGAGGCAGTGGCCAGGATGCTGCGTCCTCCAAGGGCAGGTGAAGGTCCAGCCCACCGTCCCTAGCACGGAGGCATCAGTGTCCAGCTGTGTGCCCAGGTGTTCTGTGGGCTGGCAGCAGAGCGGCTGTGTGCTGGGCCTCACGCCAGCAGCAGAGGCTGTGAAAGTCTGCACGGGGCGGTGACATCACGGGCCCGGGTATTTATGGAAACCAAAGCCTGCGCTTCGGTTAGCCAGGCTTCCCAGGGGGCAGTGGGGTTCGAATGCCAGCTTCCCTCACAGCTCTCTGGGCGCTGCACTGTGCTGTTCTAGGAGGAGCAACCTTTGCCCTCCTCTGGGACCCTCGGCTGCGGGGGTTGAGGCCCAGCGTCAGGTCTCCACCTGCCTAAACTATTTGCCCAGGACCCACTCATTTGGGGCTGTGCAGTGACCTCAGACCTTAGGAGGTTAGAGAGCATGGCTGAGTCCTCTTGAGCTGGGCTCAGTCGCAAGGCTAGGAAAAGGAGGCCTGGAGCAGTATGTGGGGAGCCTTCTGGGGGCTACCCCAAGGCCTCCCTAATCGATGGAGGCCCCTTACCATGGCAGGGGCCTGTGGAACCCCTGATAGAGTGGCAGCTCCCCGTCACCTCCACTGAGGGAAAGTAAACACACCTCTGCCTCTGCTGCGTCAGCAGTGCCAGGCGGCAACCCACGGGGGATGGCGGTGGCCTCTGGTTCGGGGGATGGCGGTGGCCTCTGGTTTGGGGGATGGCAGTGGCCTCTGGTTTGGGGGATGGCAGTGGCCTCTGGTTCAGGGAATGGCAGTGGCCTCTGGTTCGGGGGATGGCGGCCTCTGGTTTGGGGGATGGCGGTGGCCTCTGGTTCGAGGGATGACGGTGGCCTCTGGTTCGCTGTGATGCTCACTTGCTTTTTTAGTGGAGAAGCTCACAGGTTGGTTTGTCGATGCGAGCAGAGCACACCAAAGTTCTCACTCCCTGTGGCAAGGCCCTCGCTGCATTTTCTGAAACAAATAGTAAATCCTTTCCCAGCGTGGAACTTCCACCCCAGTGGCTGGGAATAGGTCCTCCTGAGACAGCTGTCTCCTCCCTGCCACACCTTTGCCTGGGCCCAGGAGCCTGATGCCAGAGAAATTCTAAACTCTCAGGGCTGTTACATCGGGGAGGGGAGATGTCATGAGGATGAAATGTGACAATTCATATTCAGATTACTTGGCCCAGTGCCTGCTTGCCTCCAATGCTCAGAAATGTCATCCTCACAAAGGCCTTGTCTGGGCAGGCACTAAGAACCCCATTTTAGAGATGGGGAAACTGAGGCTCAGCACAGTTCTACTGGAACCCTGGAGTATACTAGCCTGGGGTGGGGGTTGTAGCCCAGGAGCTATACTGGAATCACTTGAGGAGCAGTTAAAGAAACAAACAAAAAAAAAAAAACAAAAAAAAACTGTGTGGGTCCCACCCCCAGACATTCTGGTTTCTAGGTTTGGGGGAGGGCTCAAGCCTCAGGATCTTTTTCATTTTCCGGATGATTTTAATGTCCAGGTGTGGTTGATGTTCCCGTGATGCAGCTATTCACTGTGGCTGCGTTGCCCAAGCCTATCCAATTGCAGTTTTGCAGGGACAATGTTCTATATGGATTCCAATACTCTTCCCTGGAGAGTCTGCTTCAATCTGTTGGGGGCCCAGCCACCTGCATTTGAACACGTGGCTCTGGTGGATTTGCTGATTCCTGGAATAAGCTCGTCTAGCCTTCCTGCCTAAGAGAGGGGCTGGCCCGAGGGGGCTTAGCGCTCACTGTCTTTCTTTTCTGTGGGTCTTTTCACTCTTCTCCAGCTCTCAGGCTCCCAGTCTGAGCATTGTGACTCCCAGGCCATCCCCGCTCTGCCACCAAACCTATTGGCACCAGAAATACCAAAGATACTTGGAGGGGGTGGCTCTGTTTGTACGCAAGGATCTTGTAACCAAGAGCAGGCCTTTCCTGAGGTTACCCTGCTGCACTTGATAAGCCTGTGTTTGCCCACCATTACTCCCCACCCAGAACCCGCGGCAGGCCCACTTCTAGGCCCAGGCTCTCCCAGCACCTGCTGCTCAGACCTTATTGTTACCCTGCCTTTCAGTGTGGAAAGGAGATGGGGTGTTGAGCATCTCTAGATGTTTAACTTTCCCAACAGTTGCACTGTAGCCACTATCAGAGCTGCCCAACTTGATTGCAAAGCGTTCTCATGCTTAGTTGCCTCATGGGGTCTCACCAACTGCTGTAAAATGTGATACTGTCGATCCCGTTTTACAGAAGAGGAAACTGAGGCTCAGAGAGGGGAAGGAACTTGACTGGGGTCACACAGCTGTTTCCTGCCGTACATTTGGCAGTGGTGTCCCTTCCCCAGCATGCCACATGTCAAATCGGGACAGACTTGCTCCAGCGGCCCTGTGCATGGCACAGCCAGGCTATCCTCAGCCTAGTGGAGCCCTGCCGGCGGGCCCCCACCCCCACCCCACTGTCCTCACTCCCTAGCCTCCATTTTCGCCACTTCCACTCTCTGGGCCCCTGGTGTGCACCCAAGGGAGCTTTATGGAATCGAGACTCTGTCCCGGTCAGGGCTCAGTCCATCGTGAAGGTGGCACACTGGATGGGATAAAGGATGACAACAAAAGCAGGAGAAGATTTCTTAACCCAATGGGGGAACATCAGGAGGCTTCCAAGAATCAGACCCTGAATCAAACTTGCTAACACCTGAGGTCATTGCTGTACTGGCAGCTTCATGAATGGTGTCTGAATGAAGGATGGCCCTCAATTCTGTAACTACAGCATCCTTTTCATCATCTCTGCAAGGGGCCCCTCTGTCCTCATGGGCATGTCACATCCTGTCACTTGAACACAGGAAGTGAGGCTGTGAGGAGTTTGTGGTGTGTGAGATGTGGGCTGCTTGGCCAGGCCAGTGGAGCACTCGCCTACCCATGCCTGTTCAATCATTCATTCACTGCCTGGAACTGTCCCGACCCCTCTCTTCCTTCTGTTTGGGGGACATGATGACCTGCCGGCCCCCGCAGGAGGCAGTGGTCTCCCTCTGGTGGGATGCCCTGACCTGCTGCTTGCAGTGGGGCCTTCATGAAGGAAGCGAAGCCCTGGTGGGTCTCCCCTAGACAGAAGAAGGGACACTGGTGGGACTGGGCCTGGAACATTCCACACACACACACACCTCCAAGAAACTTGTGCATTGAGCCTTCACCATTATCACCTTGGCTGGGTCAGTTCTGCAGGCACAGTTATCAGCATCTGCTGGACAGTGGGCCTGGGCTGGATGCCAGGGAAGAGCAGCCCCAGCCCACCGAGAGAGATGCAGGGAGGGAACCGGAGGCCCAGTCTTCACTCAAGCACGTGTGATGACCGGTAGCCTTTCTTGCCATGCAGTGATCACTATTAAAAATGGTTATTATGAATGACCCACACAGCACTGGGCTATTTTCCAAGAATGCTGTAGCATCTATCCACCCTTTACAGCCCCAGGAAGCCACTGGGCAGGTCCTGGTTATAACTCAGAAAGACTGGGATATGCAGCCAAGGCCGCATAACCAGGCCTGGGCCTTCACTTCCCTGCCTTCAGCTAGTGTTCATGGTGCACCTGCTGTATGTCCAGCTCAGTGCTGGGAACCACTGAGAGGGTGCTGCTCTCAGGGGATACTGCAGGGGAGAAGGACACAGAGAAATGAAGAAGATAGAGAGCCCAATGGGAATGGATTGAGTGAACTGTGTGGCCACTCAGGAAGTGAGGAGGGCTTCCTGGAGGAGGTGACCTTTGAACAGAAATCTAAATGATTAGGAGGAACTATCCAGGAGAAGAGTGGGGGCCCCGGGTGCAGGGGACAGCAAGTGCAGAGGCCCTGGTGAGGGCATGCTTGACAGGATTGGGCCACAGAGGGAGGATGGTGTTGCTGGAGCAGAGTGGACCAAGAAGAGAGGTAAAGGGGCTGGGGCTGTTCATGGAGGCCCTGGAGTAAAGAGTCACATCGTCATGCTGGAAGCTAAAGATATGAAGAAAAGACTGGGGGTTAAAGAGGTTGGGGAACTGCATTGGGGCCTCCCAACCATGAGGGGGTGTCATGAGCCTGGGGCCTGAAAATTCAGAGGCCTGGCCACTGCCTCTGCCCCTTTGCAAGGCCAGGGCCCAGGCCTGCTCCCCGTTGTATACCCAAAGCTGGCATGGCCTGGCATGATGTTGGGACTTAGAGACCCTGTCTGGGGTGAATTTTAGAGACTGAGAGGAACAGACTTTTCTGGTAGTTGCTGGACAGGCAGGGCAACAAGTAGCGTCTGCTTAGGCAAGCACCTACCTCTGACCCACCTGCCACCATCTTCCACCAAAGGATCCGTGAAGGACAGGTCCGACATCCACATCCTCCCTGGGCCTCAGAGGAAGCGTAAGGCCTGGATTGGCCCCAGCCCCGGGGCAGGACCCTGCTGGGCCTTGGTCAGCCCATGGTCAGCATCTTTTCCCAAGTGCCCCAAGCACAGGCACTGGGCCTAAGCCTCCTGCTCTATGTGGTGGGGCTGATACTCCCCTTCCAGGGTTTGCCTGCGGGCCAGCAAGCAGGCTGGGCCCCAAGCTCAACAAGTGTCACGCCATCCTTGTCCCTCCCTGGAGGCCCTTTGTTGAAGCCCCCCAAGGCCCCCTGTGCCCCTAAAGGACCTGGCACCATCTCCTCAGGGCCCTGGCCTGCCTCCTTGCACTGACTCACTTGGTCTTTAAGAATAACAACAAAAGTGCCTTATCTTGTTGAATCCCACAACTCTGGCAGGGTGGTTGTGTGCCATCCTGTTTTCCAGGGAAGTGCCTTGCTCAGGGTCACAGCCAGTGAGTCTGCCTGACTCCAGACCCTGCTCCTCCCCAGCCAGATCTGTGTGCCCTTGTGGGTGGGGCCAGTGGGCACCCAGTGCACAGAGATGGGATGAGGAAGGGAAGGAGGGTGGTCAGGGGGCCCAGGTGTTGGGGGACCTGACGCCTTACCCTGAGCAGGTTCCAGATCTCTTGGCCGCAAGGCTCTGTCCCTCCCCACCCCTTCCCCACTGCATGCACTACCTGGAATGTGTTGGTCACTGCCACTGTGGCATGGCTGCCCCCAGCCTGCTTGTCCTGGGTGCTGAGGGTACTTGTCCCACAGTGGCTGGGAGCCCCCCACCCAATGCCTGTGGACCAGACCAGTTTTGTCACCACCAGTGGGGGCTTAGGAGGCGTTGCTCCTGGGTGCTGGCTAAGCTGCTCCCAGGCTTACCTTAGAGCCTGCTGCTTTCCCCCAAAAGCCTACTGACGACACAGCCCCCGTCTGCCCTTCCCGCTCTTTCCAGCCTGTTGGATGGCTCCTGTTCTCTCAAATCTCACTCTTACCCCCAGGAGGCTCCCTGCAGGCAGAGTGGATGAAAATATCCTGCCCCTTGGTCTCTGAGGCCCTGGCCCACCTGGGGCCTTACAGAGCAGGACAAGGAGGCTCCACTCCAGCTCTGTCCCTGCCTCACTATGTGACCCTGGGCAGGCTGCTTGCCCTCTCTGGGCCTCTGACCTCATCTGGAAAGTTCCTGGTTATGCTGCGACACACAGGGGACTGGGAGTGGGAGGAGTGGTGTCTGCCAGGCACAGCAGCTCCAGGCATGCTGGCTCATTCACATGGCCCCATCCTGCCGATCACTCACCCATTCATTCACTCAGCCCACCATGGTCACTGGACATCTAGTCCACGTCCTGACACACGCCAGGCCTGTGGGCTACGCCTGTAAATGGACCAGGCCCGCCCTGCCTGCATGGAGCTACCGCCCAGAGAAGGGACACAGTAAATAAGACCTGGTGGCACCTGCCAGAGCGGCTCCTGGATACAGCTGGGAAGAGAACGGGGTGGGGCAGTGGGCGCCCCTTCCTGCACACACCCCTCTCTCCTCAGCCGCTCTGGGGCCTGAGGCCCTCTCTCCTGGTCCTCCTGGCCTCCCACGATCCCACAACGTTCCAACTCCTGCCCAGCCCTGCCTGGAAGGCTCACCCTGCCACACTCTTGCCCATGCTGGCTCCTCTGCCGGGAGTGCCCTTCTTCCCCTTCACCTCAGACCTCACAGCCCAGCCTGTGCCTCTTTCCTGACTCCCCCAGGCAAATGGGCCCCCTCATAGAGCTCCCGCATGGCGCGTGGCGAGTCCTCGCTGTGACAGACACAGTGCCGGCCCCTCTGTTGTCACCAGCTGCCCGGAAGTCCTGCCTTTGCTTTCTAGCATCCCTGAGGGGCCTGGCCTGACAAGGTACAAATCACCATTTTTAAAATTGTGGTAAGATAGACAGAAAACTTCCTTTTTTAAAGCTGAACACTGTTGCGTTGTGCAGATCGACCACATGTTTGCCTTTTTTAATTACACACATTTCAGCGGCAGTAAGTGCATTCACAGTGCCGTGCAGCCAACACAGCATCCATCTCCAGAACTTCACTTTCCCAAACAGGGCTCTGTGCTCTGTAAGCGCAGACTCCCATCTTGCATCCCCAGCCCCTGGCACCCACCATTCTGCTCTCTGTCCCTGTGAATATGACTGCCCTGGGGATGTCATGTGAGTGGAATCAGACAGCATTTGTCCTTTCCTGACTGGCTTACTTCACTTAGCCTCATGTCCTCAAGGTTCATCCCTGCTGCGGCAATGGGCAGAACTTCCTTTTTAAAGCTGAACACTGTTCCATTGTGCGGATGGACCACATTTTGTTTGTCCATTCACCCATTGATGGACACTGGGTTGTTTCTGCCTTTTGGCTGTTGTGAATAGTGCTGCTGTGAACATGGGTGTGCAAATACCTCTCCGAGTCCCTGGTTCCATTTCTGTTGGGTGTATACTCAGAAGTGGGATTGCTGGGTCAGATTGTGATTGGATGCTGACTGTTTTGAAGAGCCGCCATACTGTTTTCCACAGCAGCTGCACTGCTTTACCTTCCCTCCACCACTGCACAAAGGTCCTGGTTTCTCCACATCTTCGCCATCACTCATTACTTTCTGTTTTTCTTTAATAATAGCCATCCTAATGGTGTGAAGTGGTATCTTGTGTTTTTAAATTTCCCCCTCTTGAATAAAAGTGTGAGTGATGAAGTTTAGCTTACAAAAGGGATGGTTACGTCTTTGTTGTTTTTCAAATATAGTCATATAACTGAGAGATTATTCATCCACATGGTACAAAAAAAGGCTGCACATATTGTCTATTTGGTTCCCTTGCTTCTTGTTCTTCTGCCCAGAGGCCACGGCTGTGTCCAGTTCCTTTGGGTCCTTGGTGAATTTCTGTGCATTTATATGTGTGCTTCATCATTGAAGTGCTCCCTCAGCAAGCTGGTGACACAGAGCAGTTTAGTTTTCCCACCACTGTTTTGTGGTTTCTGGATTTGAGCCAATGAAACGCTCAACTTGGGGGATGTGTGACCAGCCGGCCCCTGCAGGAGGTGGTGGTCTCCTTCCATGGGAAGCCCTGGCCAGCTGCTTGCAGTGGGGCCTCCATGAAGGAAGCCAAGCCCTGTGTGTCTTCCCCAGGCAGGAGAAGGGAGGCTGGTGGGACTGGGCCTGAACATTCCAAGATGAACACCCCCACACATCTCCAGGAAGCCTATGCGTCAAGCCTTCATCATTGTCACCTTAGCTGGCTCTCCGTCCAGGTCAGTCCTGGGCACAGTTATCAGCATCTCTTTGACAGTGGGCCCCAGATTCAGGCAGAGCTGCCAGAGGGCATGTGGGAGCAGGGCCAGCCTAGGTTGTGCAGGACAGGCCCCCACACCAAGAATCCACACAGATATTTATGGGCATGAAAATCTGCGAGCAACTATCCGAGTCTGGTCCTCACTCCTCTTGACATCTAAACCACAAAATGCATTTTGTATGATTTGAATATGCATTGAGTTTTCCAGGAATGCAACTGCTCTCGCAGTCGAGGGAAGATCAGACTCTGATATGTTCGGAGCTCAGCCAAGAGCTGCCACCATTCAGAGCACCACATCACCAAGGACAGCATCTCTCATGGTGCCAGAGTGCCCAGTGAACTCCAGCATCCATCTGGGTTTGTGGTCGCTGTCACACGACCAGGCAGGTGACTATAGGGTAGGCCCACCCACGATTAACATGACAAATTACCGTTTATTTTATTCTAAATTATTTTCCTCTTTTTTTTTCTCTGTAATTTTACCATTCAGCCATTCTCTTGGTTCTGTTTTAAATATGTGTGTGGATGGATCACATGAGTCATCAGCTTCATTTGAGAAGAGAGAAGAGGATAGTGCAAAGCTCTGGATTTAAGGAGCGGGGTGCTGGACAAGGGATCTTTGTGGTAATGGAGCTATTGTGTATTTTGACTGTGGTGGCACTTGTATGTGCCTGTATGTGTGTGCATGCGTGTGTTTAGTTCTATGCAGGCGTATCATGTATGCAGGCTCCACGGTACAAGCAAAATCGGAAAGCTACCTAAGATGGGAGGACAGTGCAGTGTCAGAATCCTGGTAGTGATGGATCCTATAGTTTTGTAAGATGTTACCATTGGGGGAAACGATGTATATAAGATCTCTCTGTATTGTTTTTTGTTTTTTTTTTTTTTACAACTGCAAATGAATCTACGATTATCTCAAAATAAAAAGTTTAATTTTTAAAAGGTGAGGGTGGGTATCAGGTCTGACAGGCTGAGATCCCTGGTAATTGAGGACAGCAGACAGCCAGTGACCTCCCAGTCTCAGTTCCTTGGTGGTGCACCATGGTCACCAACCTCTACTGCCCTCCACTCCCTGACACCTGAGACACCTTGGGCCCTTCTCTCCAAGGCTGCATCCCACCAGGGGCACTGGGGCCGGCCCCTCACCCCAGAAAGGAAACACAAGTCCCTTTTGCTGCCAGCTGGGGCCTGGCTGGCCCCCAGGGGTTCTGAGTTTCAGACCCTGCTCTGCCAGCAGGCAGTGGTTTCAGCTGGCTGATGGAGCAGAGGTCTTATCCATTGTCCCCCAATGCCTCCCAGAACCGGGGCCCCAGCCCCAGCCCAGGCCTCTTCTCAGGTGGGCCTTCCTGCTCCCCTGGGCTTGCAGAACAGCCCTGCTGACGGCCACTCCTGCCCTCCTCTGCCCTGTGCCCGCAGCATTCCTGATGACACAGTCACCATGCTTGTCTGTGCCTCCTGCCACCACAGTGGGCAGCTGGGACAGAGACAAATAACATTCCATCAAATGCCATTTTGAAGACAAAAATGGACCAGTCAACTAAAGCTAAAAGGTTAAGGGAAGGAAGCAAGTACTTTTTATGACTTTGTCATTCTACAAATTGACTGTTCTATGAATTAGCTTTCAGTGAATTGACTTGTCACTGGTTGAAGGAAAGCTGGGACATGGCTGGTGAGGTTGTGGGCAGGACTAGGGCAGTGAACAGGGCAGTGGGGAAGCCAGGCTGGGCGTGGTGTCGGCTCTCTGAGGGGCCAGGCTTTGCCCACTAGACTGCCCAGCCCAGGAGTCCCGGCTCTCCCTCCCCTGTGCATCCCATTTCCTGAGCATGAGCTTGGGATATCAGGGCTCTGAGGAGCTGGGGCTGCGCCAGAGATGCCCGTCCCCCTTTATATCCCATGGCGTGACCTTGCCACACTGGCCCGACCTCCGAAGGATGAAGGTCCTGTCAGAGCAACCCCTGTGGCTCAGCAGGCGGCTGACCTGAGCGTGGCTAATAGAAAAATGTTTTATTGGCACCGATGGCTTCATCCCTCATCAAGATGTCCCTGACATCTGCTTGGCATGGTTACTAAGGGAAGTGATGCATCTTAAATCACCAGGGCCCTGGCTGAAATTCACTGCCTGTATCTTAAGGCTCTCATTGGCCCCACGATAACACCGAGCGTTTTCCTCCCATTTGCTCTCCACCATCAGATAAAAGAGAAATGCCCTCAAGTCTCTCCAACCCCCTTCCTTGTTCGGGTGTCTGTCCCCTGGCCATCTCTGGGCTGCAGAGAGGTCAGGCCACCTCAGAGGAGCTCTCCAAGACCAGGTGAGCTCAGCAGATGTGGGGTCCAAGATCTGGGGGTAATCAAGACCTTTCTCTGTGCCTCCCCTGCCAGGACCCCACCCCTCTCCAAGGAGCTGCTCAGATGGAACTCCTTATGTGCTGCCCAGTGTCTGTGTGACTTGGGGCAGAAGACAACCTCTCTGAACCTATTTCCTTTTCTGTAAAATGAGGCTAATAATTCCAGCTTTGCAGGGTGGCCATCAGGACAGAATGAGGTAATAAGGCCTGTGGTATCTCTGTGACCTATAGAGATTATTCCTGTCCCCTTCCTCCCCTGGATTCTCACGGCACAGGGCTGGGCTTCAGGACGTGCTAGGACTTAAGAAATGTGAACATCTGGGAAGGGAAGGGAAGGGAAGGGAAGCTGGGCTGTAATGGTGTATCCATCAGGAGCCTTTGGGTGGCAAACGGCAGAAACTCAAGTCAAAGGGATTTCCGTGATTACTGTCAGTGAATAGCCCACGATCTGGCTTCAGTGTGGCTGGCTCCAGGGGCTCCAATGCTCCTGTGGCCATGTCCTGTTCACCTTTCCCCAGGACACGTTCCTGTGTGGAGGCTTCAGCCCCCTCAGCAGCCTCAGTCCCCCTGGTCAGCCCTGGGACTCATGGCCATTCCTGAAACCATCTCCATCCCCAAGAGGAGCCATGTGCTGACTGGCCAGCCTCTTTGTCACTTGGCCACACCTGTAGCTGGAGCATGAGGTCAGCCCCCCGAACCACTGGGCTGGGAATTAGGGGAATTCAAATGTGTGTGTTTGTTGGGACGGGGGTAAACCAAGTCTAGAAACAGGCCACAGGCTTTGCTTGGAGTTAGAGGAGAGCCTGGCAGTTTGGGGCAAGTCTGGACGGAGCTGGCAGCCTCAGTAGTGTGCAGAGGCCCAGGGCAGCCAGATCCCTGGCTTAGGCACCAGGGAGGCCAGCCCAGCACCCCCACCGGACGGCTGGCCCCTGGCATCAGCACAGGGCCTGGAGTCATGGGCTCGGTATGTTAGGGGCTCTGTGGACCTTGGTGGGGGCTGGGGACTGCATGTGCTAGGTAAGTCCTGGGACCCCTGATGTTCAGGATCCAGCTGCACCACTGGGCTGGCACATCCCCCTCTTGCTTTGCCAACTGGGACCTATAAACGAACACTTATTCTTACCATTTTATCTTTCCTCTTTTCCTAGTGATAGATATTTTTTAAAACTGCCTAGGGCATTGTATGTTACATGAGAAAACTCATCATTTATTCCAGATCAACCTGAAATCCTTTTTACCAGCATCTCAAGGAGGGGAAACCCTTCCTGGCTGCTCTGAGCCTCCCTGGGGAGGAACGATGAAGAGAGGCAGTCATGCCCATGCTGCCGGCTCTGTCCCCATGTCCCCATCTATAATATGGGTCATTCCCAGCCTCGTGGGCCAGAACCGAGGGGTAGGAACTGCACAGGGGGTTCCTGAGCAAGAGCAACTTCTCAGGGAGGGCCAGGCCACGCGTGGCCTGGGATTCTGTGGCTGGAATTAATGTCACCCTTGTGTATGTGTATTGGTTTACTGAGTGCTCACGTAGGAGGTAATGGGAAAAGACCTTGGGAACTACCCTGGAGGCAGTGCAGGGCTCGGAGCCCGTATGCAGAGGAAACTGGGGTCCATGAGGGACATAGCTCCTCTCAAGGCTCCCCCCTGGGCTGAGGTGGGATTTAGACTCTGGATATCAGGCCTGGGGCCTGGGCGTAGCCCTGTGTTCCCTCTGCTGAGTCTTGGTTCTCTGGGTGCCCCTCTCAGGAGCAAGGGTGCCTGTCTTCACGGCAGCCGCCTCCTCCAAGAGCTTCCGGCTGATGAGTCTCCCGGTCCTGGAGCCCCGCCGGGGGCAGGGCTGATGCTGCTGGCCAGACATACCGGCCCCCACCCTGCCCCAGCAGCTGTGGCTTTGCCTCTGTCCTGTCCTTGTTCCTTAGATGTGCCCTAGGCCCGTCATCCAGCCTTGGGCAGGTGGCCCCCTTGCAGGAAGCCCAGGTCCAGACAGCATGAGTCCAGAGAGGGAGGGGACTTTTTCCAGGGCTACCCCGCCCATCGGTGGAAAGCCAGGGCATGGAGTCAGGCCCTGAGACTGCAGGAGCTGGTCACCCCTCTTCCTACAACTGCATCTGCCTCCGCTGACTTCAAACCCGGATCCAGCCGTAAGGTCCCGGGCCCCACCGCAGGAGCCTGTTCACTGCAGGACTCAGCCATTGCCTGCCCTCTTCAGCCTTCCTACTCCCACCGTCACTCCCTTCCTTTCAGCCACATCTGCCTCCTCTTTGCATCCCAACATGCACAGACCATTTCCACCTCCCCGCCTTACTCTCCCATGGTGCTGACTGGCCACAAAGATGGCCCTTACCTGCTATGTGACTGCAGACAACCCCTTTACCTCTCTGAGCCCCAGCTTGTTCCTCTGCGAGGTGGGAGAGACAACAACCCCTGCCCCCAAGGATGTTTGGAAGGACAGAGGTCATATACCGGGCACACAGTGGCACTCAGCACATCGTAGTGGCACTCAGCACAGTCGTTCCCGCTGCCTGGATGCCATCCCCAAGCCGGCGCCTCATCCCTTTTGAGGCCAGTGCTGAGCACGTCACCAATCCAGCATGTAGCACCCCACAGCAACCCTGAGCATACCCAATCCTCTCATCAGACTGTGGCCTCTGAGGGCAGGCCATGCCTGTCGAGTTCACCGCTGCTCCAAAGTCATCCCTGGACCAACAGAGTGACCAGAGACCCACACTGTCTCCTTTAGCCTGAAGTCTGTTGTTTCTCTTTTCCTTCCCTCCTTCCTTCCTTCTTTCATTTTTTAGAGATAGGGTCTTGCTCTGTCACCCAGGCTGGAGTGTAGTGGCCCAATCTCAGCTCACTGGAGCCTTGAACTCCTGGGCTCGGGTGATCCTCCCACCTCAGCCTCCCAAGTAGTTGGACTACAGGCACCCACCACCACACTGGCTAATTTTTTTTATTTTTTTGTAGAGACTGGATTTTGCCATGTTGTCCGGGCTGGTCTTGAACTCCTAGGGTTCCTCCTGCCTCAGCCTCCTGAAGTGCTGGGATTCCAGGCATGAGCCCCCATGCTGCCTCTCTCACATCACCCAGAGGGCACCCCGTGCCAGGCCTGTGCTGTGTGGTCAGGGGGTGATAGGAAAAGCCGGAGGTGGTCTGATGGGGAGGCCGAGGCAGCTGCTGGAGCAGAGGTGCCCAGGGTGCCCACAGAGACTCAGCCCAAGACTGGGAGGGAACAGGGGAGAACAGGGCATCAAAGGCATAGTAGACCATAGTGCCTAGGGGTCTGGCCTGGGGGTCTGATGGGTGGCAGCGCCATTGCCGAGATGGGCCCCTGGGGTGGGGCCTGCTGGTGTAAGGAGAGCCCTATGGGACACCCAGGGAGGAGCCTGGGAGCATTGAGCTCCTTGTGTCTGGAGGTCGGGGGTGGAAGGAGGTCAGACTCAGGACAGTGACCTTGGTGTCACCAAAGGGTGGAGGGAGCCCAGGAAGAGATGGCTACCGCAGGAGAGGATGTGTCAGAGGCTGGCACCATCCCCACTCTCATGCCCTGGTGAGGGCACTACCCCCCCATCCACCTCCTGCACCCAGAGCTCAGCCCACCCACCTGGCTGAGGGCAGCGCTGTCCGCCGCTGGCCAAAGCTACCAGGCACCCCGTGGGCCGAGGGCACCCAAGGCCTGCCGCCCTGCTGCAGCTCTCTGCCAGGAAAATGCTCTGTGTCCCAAGTGGAGACAGATGCATGGGGAACACTGTGTGTCGTGACAGCATCTTGCGCCCCTAAAATAGAAGCCCCCACACTCAGACCGAGCTTTCCAGCTCCTTCCTCTCATGCATGGCGAGGGATGGGAGGCAGGTTGGGCTCTCTGTTTATCCAGAAACCAGCACACCCTTGTACCCACAGGCTGGGGGTGGGTTCTCCTTCCAGGGCCCCACTAAGGCTTCAGGTCCCCTGCAGCTGCCCTCCAGGTCCTCCCCTGGATGGTGCTGACTGGCCACAAAGACAGCCCTCACCTGCTGTGTGACTTCAGACAACTCCTTTACCTCTCTGAACCCCAGCTTGCTCCTGTGTGAGGTGGGAAAGATAACAACCCCTGCCCCCAAGGATGTTTGGAAGGACAGAGGTCATATACCAGGCACACAGTGGCACTCAGCACATCATGGCCCTAGCCTTTATTGGCCTCTCCTAACCTTCATGCCCCTGTGGGGTTTGTATGGAAGTGCCCAGCCCAGTGTCTGGCCCACAGGGGTTTGAAAATTATTTTTTCCTTTTCTTTTTTTTGAGACAGAGTCTCCCTCTGTCGCCCAGGCTGGAGTGCAGTGGCGCCATCTCGGCTCACTGCAACCTCCGCCCACCAGGTTCAAGCAATTCTCATACCTCAGCCTCCTGAGTTGCTGGGATTACAGGCACCTGCCACCACGCCCGGCTGTTTTTTGTATTTTTAGTTGAGACAGGGTTTCACCATGTTGGCCAGGCTGGTCTTGAACTCCTGACCTCAAGTGATCTGCCTGCCTTGGCCTCCCAAAGTATGGGGATTATAGGTGTGAGCCACTGTGCCAGGCCTGAAAATGTTTTTTCTTAATGAGAAGGATGTGTGAGTTAAGCCTGAGCTGTTTTGTCACCTGCTGTCTGGGTTCCTGGCCCTGAGCTGCAGGGAGCCTGGGGGCAGATTTTCCTTTCATGTAGTTGCTGAGTGCAGGCATGGGGTGGGGGAGTGGGTAAGGAGAGCCCTAAAACAGCAGGGAGTTTTCCAGACTCAGGCAGGCTGAGCTCCTGGGCAGGGCAGTTTGGCAGGATGGAGGAGCATTGGAGGCCAGCTCTGGGACAATCATCTCACTGTGCCCAGTGGTAGGGCCCCCAGGCTGGCAGGCGGGATGTCTGGGGCCCCATCCTAGCCTAATCCTTGCTCATTGTGTGACCCTGTGCCAGGTGCTTCTCCTGTCTGTGCTCGGCCACCTAAGACCAGGGCTGGGGACAGTGGGGTGTTCCCCGCCACTCACTGGAAGAGCCCGTGTGCATGTGCCTGCTTGCACATGTTGTGCATGTAGTGTCTGCATGTGTATGGTGCTAAGGGTGTGTCTTGTGTGTGTGCTTGTCTGGCCGTGTGAGGGCAGCATGGTTCTGAGTGTGTGTTGTGGGTTGAGGGGCTGTCCTGTAGACCCTCCATTGGGCATGGAAAAGTCTACAGGGCCAAGATTGGCCTGGGGCCTCCACTGCACCCAGCAGGTATACGCTGTGTCCCCCACCACTGTTTTAGGTCAGGGGCTCAGGTCTGGGAGGGCAGCTGTGAAGCAGAGGCCACCTCCATCCCCTGGCTGTGTCTTCAGTCCACACGGGGAGCTGTGCCTGAGACCGAATGGCCAGAGAGTGAGTTCAAGAGTGTGGTGCTTGGGGAAGGCAGGAGCACATTGCAGTCAGGATAAGGCCTCTGTGTAAGGAACTAGAGACCAGGGGAACGTGTATGCATTGCAGGCACATAGATACCGCCCGTCTCTGTGTGCATATGTGTCCGCTTATGTTCACATAAAGAAATCCTATAAGGGGGCCCAAAAGATGGGGCTCTGTGTAAGGAATAAGAGACAAGGGGAACATGTATGCGTTACAGGTATGCATTGTGTGCCTGGGAGCCTGGTGGATATGGAACATTTAGGAGGGAGACCTTCTGCTTGACAACTTCTGTATTTTAGTTTTGAACCATGAGTATACATTAGCGATTTTAAAATGAAATTTTTAAAATATGTAAGTTGCTAGGTGAATTGGGTTGCTTTCTGAATATCCTAAGGACTTCCAGTGGAAGGACACCCTCAGGGAAAACTCGCCTCAGCAAATCCTCCATCCTGAGGTTGGGAGGGCTCAGAATGTTCTTCCTGGTTGGAGATCAGCCGCCTGAGCTGACTATGGGTGGTGCGGGACGTTACAGCAGGGAGCAGGGGACAGAGCCCACAGGCTCAGGTCAGGAGCTGAGTGGATACGTGTATCTGCTGAGGAGGCTTGGGGAGGTCTCCACCTTTCTGAGCCTTAGTTTCCTCATATGTAAAATGGGAATAAGAAACCTAAGCTTCCCAGGCCGGCTTGAGGATTAAATGAGATCCTGTCAGCACCTGAAGGGTCTGACATCTGAAGGAGGGGAGGCTGAAAACCCAGGAAGGACCCCCCAGAAAGGCCAGGTGGACTCTAGAGGGTTTGCTGGAAGCTGTATTTGCCCTGTAGATGGGGTGGTGCCAGATGGTTCTTTCAGGGCCAGGACATGAGGTTGGGAGGGCTGAACTCCAAGGATTGCAGGTACACCCCTCCCCCAAGCCTGTACTGGACTAAGGCTTCTCTCTACTTCTTGCCTATCAGTGAATTGGGCCTAGAATGAACAGGACTTGGCAGCAGTCCTGGACTCAGGACCACAGGACACCGACACACAGGCTTGGTCAGGCTCCGGGCCACATGGTGAGGCCTTGATCCCACCCAGGCAAGCCCAGGAGAAGTTGGACATGGCCTGACCCGAGACACTCATGACTCGTGCTGCTGTCTTAAGAAGAGAGTCCTTGGTGGAGCCTTTGGGGGTCACAGAAGAAGCTGGAATGGTGGTGGGGGGGACATCTCGGTGGTGCTACTTGGCAGGTGTGGTGGGCCAGGTGGGCCTCTCTATGCAAGCCAGGCCTTCACTCCTGCAGTAGATGCCTGGCCTGCCCCACCCCGGGCCTGGACCCTGCACCCCAGGGCCCCTCCGCCAGGATGTTCCGAGGTCACTCTGCAAGTTTTGTCCTTGCTGGCCCCTTGCACAGCATGTACTCCCTCTGTGACCTTGGCCCAGTGATCGCCTCTTCCTTGAGGCAGCTCTGGACCGGGTTAGTGGGGGCAGCCCCCTGCTTCGCCACTCTACCCATCCACTATCTCCTGGTATTACTTTCTGGATCACTTGAGGTTACCTTGTTTGTGTATTTTGCCTGTGCCCCTGCTCTACACGGGTGGTGAAGGCATCTGTCTGATTCACTCTTTGAGTTATGCCTCTGATCATGGCTAGGTGCCTCCGTTTTCACATCTGTAAAGTGGGGAGGAGAATATCTCCTGTCACAGGGTGGTTGAGCGTGAAATGAATTAGTGCTAAGCTCTTAGACCTGGAATTGGGGGCTGCATGGAGACTAGATTGGATGAAGCATCATTTCAAAGTGGCCTGAGACTCCCCCTGCCAGAGTTAATAACCACTTCTCTAGACCAACTCCTCATGACACTGATGGGGAAACTGAGGCCCAGACAAGTCTCACCCCAGGGCTTCCGCCTCGCTACCCTGGGCTCTCTGTCCAGGAAGACCTCACTGAGACCCCCATCTGCCCCCAGAGGAGGGAGTGTTCCAGACACAGGCGGGCTGAGCTCCTGGGCAGGGCAGTTTGGCAGGATGGAGGGGTGTGCAGGCCAACCCCGGGACAATCGCCGCACTGTGCCCAGTGGTGGGGCCCCAAGCCCGCAGGCAGGGCGGTCTGTGGCCCAGAGCCAGGACAGGAAGGCCGGCGGTGGGTGGACAGGAGCCTTCTGTGGCCTTCTGAGGGCTTGGGAGGCCTGGGCAGGACAGGCGGGCGTCAGCCAGTGTAGCAGCCCCTCAGGCCAGTTTATGAGGTGCCTCCAGCCGTCAGCTTCTGGGAGCCTCGCTGTAACCTCTGATCAGCCCCGTTTTACAAATGAGGAAACTGAGGCTCAGGCGGGGTCATGTGGCTTCTGAGGCCCAACAGGGTCCGTCTGACCCGAGTGCCCTGCCGTGGCTCCTGGGGTCCCACCGTGTGACACTGGCAAACAGCCTCCCCCCTCGGGGATCATGGAATGAGACCACAAGGTGACACGGTGGCTTTCCTGGGCTCAAGTCCAGAGGCCACCTCTTCACTTCTCTGCGCCTCAGCCTCAGGAGGCCCAGGGAGGAGGGCTGACTGCATCCCGTCCCTGAGCTCAAGGGGCACAGTAAGCCTGGGGGACCTGGCATCGCTGTTAGGCTCCCTTCTTGCTGGCAACGTGACGGGGTGGAGGGAGGCCAGGAATGCAGACCCAGCGTGCTCTTGTTCACTTCATCTGTGACACAGTTCATAGCTCGGCTGTGGACACCAATGGCTGACACGTAAACTGCAGGGCCAGGGCCTGGCGTGTGGGGGACAGGGTAGAAGGGTGCCCACTGCTTCCTCCCTTGCCCTCGCTTCTGCCCCAAACAGAGAAACTTCTGGAGCCCTAAGAATGGTCCAACACTCACAGTCAACTGCTGGTAGGAGTGTGTTGTTGGTCCCATCTCTGGGTGGACATCCGGGTGTACCCATAGCCCAAAAAACATCCCTCCTGTGCCCCAGCCATGCCGGGAATTGGTCCTAAAGGAGAGACTGTGGCTGTGCATAGAAACCCTATTGAAGCCACTGCCTTGTTTACCAGGGCCAACGAGAGAGACAGCCAAGCTCAACACCCACCGTGGGCAGGGGAACGCCTGCCAGGCTCCACCAGCTTTCCATGGGGCGAGGGGAGGAATGCTTCCAGACCGAGAAACACACTCGAGAGACGGTGCGAAGTGGGGGAAAGTGTTTCGCAGAGTGGAGCGTATTTTTGTGTAACTAAAACACATCTACACCCAGGCACAGGCACAGCCAGAAAGTCTCCTCAAATATTAACACTGGGGTATCCCCAGGGAGTTGGAATGGTGGATAATTTTATTTTCCTTGTTGTGTTTCACTGTTATTTTCTAAAGTTAGTACAGTGAATATATGTGACTTATTTAATAAGAGGGAGGGGGACAGTGGAACAGAGAGGTCTGTGGCCTCCCCACCCCTTTGGAAACTGAGGCAAATTACTCACACAACCCCTTCCAGGGTCTGTAGCAGTCTGAGGCGTCCCTGCCTCAGGCCCCTCCTGGGTCATGCCCTCACCCCAAACCACAGACCCAGCCCACTCGCTGGTAGGAGTGTGTTGCCGCTGGTGAGCCTAGTCATGGCAGCTGCTGGGGCTGTGAGCCGACTCCCAGAGTCTCCCTTCTCCCCGTGGTCCCTGCATTCCTTCCCTTTTCCTCCCATTCCGTCTCAGGAACACACAAGGTCATCGTCTGGCTGAGACAGCTCAGAGCTGCCTTTGGCCACCTAGACCCCGCCCTGAGGCCTGGATCCAGGTGTTCCTTCCAGAAAGCACAGGGTGTTCTGGAATAATTCTTACAGCAGCGAATGGGTTCTTTTAAAACGGACAGAACTGTCTAAGCTTGGAAGGCTCGAGGGGATTCACTGGTTCTGCATTAGGTTTGGGAGCTTCTGAAGCAGAAGGTACACATAGATGCTCCAGCAAGGATGACGTGCAGGTGGCAGAGAAGCTCATGGAAGGATGGGTCGCAGCATCCCCAACAGGGAAACAAGGTTAAAACCACAGCCAGTCCCCTCTCTTCCTTTCTCCATCATCGTGGTGTGTGCTTGAGTCCGCTTCTCGCCATGTCTTCTCACAAGACTTTCAGGAGTAAGCGATTCCTGGCCAAGAAAATAAAGCAAAATCGTCCCATTCCCCCGTGGATTCGGATGAAAACTGGTAATAAAATCAGGCACAACTCCAAAAGGAGACATTGGAGAAGAACCAAGCTGGGTCTATAAAGAATTGCACATGAGATGGCACACATATTGATGCTGTCTCAAGGTCACAATCATGTTGCCGTATCAAGCAGAAAATGTCACCACTATCTGGAGAGTTGGACATGTTTTATTGGGAATATATTTTTCTCTCTGAATATGTTATGAACGCGTTGGTTGGCTGGGTTCAGTAATAAATATGTGAGACCTTTCATTTAAAAAAAAAAACAGACATGGCACCACGTACGTCTGTCTGAATGGCTAACATAGAAAGGGACAACGTGAAATGCCAGGAGGGCTGTGGGGAAACTGGATCACTCACCCGTTGCTGGTGGGAGTGTGAGATGGCACAGCCATGCTGAAAAACAGTTTGGCAGTTTCTTTTAAAACTCATCATACACACACCATACGACCTACCATCTGGGCTCTTGGGCATTTCTTCCAGAGAATGAAGACTGGCGTCTACACAAACACCGGTCCAAGAACACTTGCGGCAGTCCTAGTCATAACAGCCCCCAAACTGGAAACTGCCCAGATGCCCTCAGCGGATGAATGGTTAAATACACTGTCCCAGCCACGCCGGGGAGCACTGCTCAGCAGAGAGGCAGAGCGGACCCTCCACGCCGAAGAGTGGCTGAATGCAGAGGGCATGGGGCTGAGTGCAGAAAGCCGGTCTTAAAAAGTGGCACACTGGATGATTCCATTTGTGTGGCACTTGAGAGATGAAAATATGATGGGGATGGAGAAGAGATAGGCAGTTGCCAGGGATAAGGGCTGGTGGGAAGAGGTGAGGGGGCTACAGAGGGTGCCCGGAGAGCCTGGTGAGGAGACGGTCCTGTGCTGTATCATCATGCTGGCCACACACAGCTAGGTGAGAGGGAACCATGTGGACACACAGGCATGTGTAACTGGTGAAGTCCCCATAGGCCCAGTGGGCTGTGGCTTTCCTAGCATTGATGGTGTACTGCAGGTGTGCAAGATATTATCTCTGGAAAAGGCTAGGGGAGGGGCACACAGGATCTTGTACCTTTTGTTTGGAACTTTCTGTACATCTATGGTTATTTCAAAATAAACAGTTTTTTTTTTTAAGCCCTAGGCGCAGGAACTTGGTCTGCATTAGGGCCCAAGCGTCCATATTTCTTAAAAGCACCCCAGGGTGTTTACCCTACAACCAGGATAGAAACACTGACCACTTCCTCATTTAGCAGAGGGAAACTGAGGCAGGGAGGGAGGTTTCCAAGACCACGCAAGTGCTGTGCAAGAAAGGGGATGACCACCAGTTCCAGCTGAGCCTGAGGCCTGAGCTTCTGTTGCTCCAGGCTGGTGCTGGAGACTGAACGTGAGGCAGACGGTTTGGTTTTTGTCTTCGTGTAAATTGATACTGAATTATTATATATGTACAGAAAAGTGCACAATTCATCAGCGTATGGCTTGTAGAATTGCCACAAACTGAACACACTCATGTAACCAGCACCTGACCTCAGAACAGACCCCACCCCAAGATCCCTGCCCCTGCCCCTGCCAGTCACAGTCACAGCCCATTCCCTGGGGCTGCTCTCCTGACTTTGTGCAGCACAGAGCAGCACTTTTTCCTGCTCTTGAACTTTGCTTCAATGGTCGGGTGCTGTTTAGAAGCAGTGCCAGGGTGTAGGCCTGGGGCAACCAGTTGGTTCTGAAAAGGAAAAGGAAGCAGCCTCCCCAGGAGGCTGTGAAGTGGGACTGGGGACAGAGGAGGAGGGGCCTCACTCAGCATGGCTGGAATGGGCTGCTTGTCTCTGAGCCAGAGGTGAAGGATGGAGGAGGGGCTGGAGCCCTGCCTAGCTGACTGGCAGCTCTGTGTCCATGAGCCTGGACCAGGGTCCTCCAAAGATCCTGGGGGTGAAGCAGGGGAAGCGATGCAGCTCTAGCAGGTGGACAGAACTCTGGACTTGGGGCTGGCAAACCTTCAGGGAAACTGGGTGCCACTGAGCTCGTTGCTGCACCTCTCTGAGCCCCAGTGCCCTCATACATAAAATGAGACTCATATATTCATATATATAACAAATATCTATTAATATAGAGTTAATGTGTTAAAAAATATGTGTGCATGTTAACATAATATATTTTATTTGTATTTTGTTGGTATCACACATTAATATATGTAATATAATACAATATAAGGTATATTGAATATCATGCAAATCTTTTGAGTCCTGTCCTAGTCAGAGCTAGCTTTTATGGAATGCCGACTCTGTTCTTGGCACTGTTTTAAGCCTTTTAAATGTATTAACCTGTTTAATCTTCCCAAAACATTACAGATGAAAAAGCTAAAATGGGGCACAGAGAGGTTAGTTAACTTGCCCAAGGGCACTCAGCTAGTAGGTGGCATAGCTGGGATTTGAACCCTGGCCCTCTTGGCTCTAGAACTCATGTGTTAACCTTTAAGCTCTTACGTCTCAACATACACTAGTCTATGTAATGATAATAATGATGTATCTCAAATATGCATGCAATGGCGTTTTCTGGTTTGCAAAGCCCTTTTACTTTATGGGCACTATCTCATTTCTCAACAGCTCTGGGAGGTGGGCGCTGTTATTGCTATCCCCGGGGCACACACAAGTTGGGGTTGGTTCCAAATTCAGGACTGCTGGGCTGAGGGTTCTCTCTGGGGACCCTGTGCACCCTCACTCTGGGCCTTTTTTGCTGGGGCCTGTTCCTGGCCTGTGCACTGCTGTGCTGAGTGATGAAAAAGGACGGCAGGGAGAACAAGGCCTCAGTCTTGGCTGGACAAGGCTGCAGACAACTTGGACCCAACAAGGCAGTTGACAGAGGGAGGGTCTCCATTCAGAGCCAGTCCTAGCTATACTGTCTTGGAGGGGTGGGGCACCGAGGCAGCTGGTGGGAGGAACTGCTGAGTGTTCCAGGCCACTGAGGATTTCTGGGGCGGGGGGTGGGGGTGCAGGTACACAGGTGGGGAGAAGTGGAGAGGGCAGGCAGGGGCCACTGCCTGCTGTGGGGTTCAGCACTGGGCCACAGCAGGCCTGCAAGGGCACATTGCATCCACCTGACAGTTTCCCGTCTTCACATGCAGACTTCAGCGACCGTACTGTCTGGTTGGAGAGAGAGTATTGCACACAGCTCAATTCCTTGGACCCATGTACCACAGCATGTAGGGTGTGACCGTACCTCTGTTGCATAGCTCAATGAGTTAATACCTGTGAAGTGTTAACACTCCTGCCACTCAGAAACTGCTCAAAAAATATTTGCTATTATTAGGAAAGTGAGAGAGAGGAGAAGAAAGAAAGGAAAGGAGGGAAACAGGAAAGGAAGAAGGAAGAAAGGAGTCCGCTGAGGGAGGGTGCAAGGTAGACAGAGAAAGGGGTTGACATTTGAGCAGGGTTTTGAAGGGCGATTAGGAGTTTGCGTCTGGATAAGGAGGCAGGGAATGGAATGGTGTTCCGTGTGTGGGGTCTCCGTGAGCCATACCTTCAGCCTCTGTGAAGTGGGAGCATGATTCCATGTACCTCATAAGGTTAATGCAAGGGTCGGATGAAGTGTGTGGGAAGAACACAGCCTGAGGTGGGCTCCCTGCAGTAGGTGAAGATATTGCTAGTTTGTCATGATGTGGCCAGAGTGAGATCAGAGCTGGGGAGTTGAATCTCTATGGCTGTGGCAGGGCAGCCCTGGGCCTGGGAACAGTGGGCTCTGCCTGTGGGGCCCAGGAACCTGGCACCATTTTGCAGTATTTTCGTCGCATCGTATCGGTATCATCTCATGTGGCTCGTGTGCAGCTGAGCGGCCAGGCTGGGGGATGGAGGGCTGGGTCCTCTTGTCCAGATCCAGGACTCCCTGAAGGCCAAAATTCCTCACCATGCCCAGTGTGGGTTCTGGCACTGGAAGGCAGGGAAGGCCTGCTTGCCACCCCGCTAGCTCTCCCTCCTATAAAACCTGTTGCCCATCCCAGATTGGGCACAGGACTGTGACCAGTCCAGGAAGTGAGCTCACAGCGTCTTGGCACCACCCCTCATGTCTTCTTTTCTTCATGAGCTTTGGCAAGGCATGGCTGCCACACAGGTAGAGCTGCTGAGCCAACAGAGTGTGGCCCTGGGTGGGTTCTGGCTCAAGGGGAGAGGGGTGCCACCTGGGGCCTCTTCTGCTGGGGCTGGAGAAGAAGGAGGCATTGTGCTGTGGATGGGAGTCCCTAAGGGATGGCGTGTGGAGCAGGGCCTGGCATTGGGGATTCGAATCTGCTGAACATAGGATCTACCAGCGGCCACAATGGCAGCTAGACAGGAAGTAGCGGAATCACAGGCCAGCATGGGACACGGGAAGGAAGGTCAGCCTCCTTCCAGGGGTGTGTCCAGCAGGGCTCTTGTATGAGAGCAAGTAGGGAAACGGAGGCTAAAGCTGGGACGACCCATGGCAGGCACCCAGCTTGGGCCCAGAATGTCAAACCCCACTGTGGCCAAACATAGGCCCAGGCTTGGCCTGTGCCCTGGACTTCTAAGGCCTCAGGTGGGGAGAAGTGTGTGAGGCAGCGATGGGGGGTGTGGGTGCCCCATGCCGGAAGGCAGGTGGCATTGGAGAAGAGGGTATTCCAAGGGCATGGTCTCTAGGGATGAGTTCTGTGTCATAGCTGATGCTCCCCAGGTGGGCAGGTACAGGCAGTGTTGTGGGGATGGGGCCCCCCAGCCTCCAGGAAAGCATCACTCCACGCCCTGAAGACACAGAATGTGAGGTGTGCTGCCAGGCAGAGCAGACAAGAGACAGTCCTTTCAGATGCATTCGTTGCCCCTGTGAGAGATCTGCTTTTCCTACTCCCATTTTACACATGAGGAAACTGAGGCACAGAGAGGTGAGGGGACAGGCACCAAGTCTATGGCTAGTCATGGGTGGAGGTGGGATGTGATCCTAGTTGGGCTGGCTCCAGGCCCACACCCCATAGCACAGACCGAACTTGGTCAAAGGCAGGAGGCAGGACCCAGGCTCCTGGGCCCAGATCCAGAGCTGGACGCCGAGTCTCTGGGCAGGAAATCAGGGCTCCAGGGCCCCTGGGCTGCCGGCATGGAGGCTGGGTGGGCCCAAACCCATGGGTCTGCTGAGATTCCTGGTGCAGGGCTCTTTGGGGAAGGAGCATGGTGGCTCAGGTCAAACATACCCGAGGTTAAGTCTGGGTCCAGCCAGAGAGGACCTTTAACCCTGCCCACTGCGCTTCCTCTCCTTGAGCCTCAGTTTCCCCATCTGAACAGGGGGCAGTGGGACTTGACATTGCCATGGGGTAGAGACAAGGCAGCTTCTCAGTTGAGCCAGCAGGGGGAAAGAAAGCACATGGTTTCTTGCATGTGGGGCAGACGCTCTTCCCAGGGCTGCTCAGTTGCCCCAGGACCTGTCCTGGGACCACCTGCTGGGGCCTGAGTGGACATGGCCCCCAAGGGGTTTGCTGTGTGTGTGGGACCATAAGTAACCCTGTCTCGCTTTTGCCACCTCAGGAGCTCCCTGGACACCGGAAGCAGCCTCTCCACTGACCGCTACAGGTACTGTCTTGCCGTCCACCCCAGCCTGCCCCAGGATCTCCTTAGGTCCTCACTGCCCATCTGCACCCAGAGGCAGGCCTCCAAGAGCCCTTTGGGGGAAATTAGCTCCACCATTTGGCCCTGAAATTCCCCCAAGGGCCAGAGGTACTACTGATATGTCCCCTGAGAGCTTCTACAGCTTGGAGTGGTTTCCCCTCAAATCAAGGTCCCCCCAAAGACCAGGACTGCAGTCGAAGTTCTGCCCCCAAAGACCAGAGCTCAGCTGAAGGCCCCTCGGAGGATCAGGCTGCAGCTGATAGTTCTTCCGAGATCCAAGGCTGGTGGGTCTCCCAAGGACCAGCCTGCAGCCGGCAGTTCCCATGACGACCAAGGCTGCAGCCCAGGGGAGAAGCCTGTTGGTTTCTATTGGTGTGCAGCTGCGCTTGGTGGGAGCTGGGGTGTCTGAGGGTCTCTGCTTCCGTGTGCTTTGTATCTTGATGTCTTCCAAAAAGAGCATTTTCTGTTTTCACACACACAAAAAAATACTGGAGACTGCGCTTAGAGGAAAGCTCCCTTGATTGGAAGCCAGCAGATCCTTGTTCCAGTCTCGTGGGCAAGAAAGACAAGTGACAGGCAGACTGTCCTGGCAGTGGAGGTGGCTTAGAGGGCTGTGTTCGGTGCATCGATGTGAATTGGGGAGGAGGGGACATCTGTGCTGCGTTGTAGAGGTGACTAGAGGTTGACTGGTTCCCTGTTTGGAGGGTGGGAGACAAGTGGTCCCGGAAGGGAGCACCCTGTGTAAGGACCTGTGGAGGGTGGATGTGGCCGGGCCATGGAGAGGGAGGAGGGGAGTTGGGGGAGGTTTGGGAGGGAGCTTCGTCCTGCTAAAGAGCTTGGCTTCTGGGAGAGGGGGTTTTTGAACAAGCCCAAAAAGAGACTCACAAGGTCGTAGGCCCTGTCCCTGGAGACAGCAACCAAGGGCTGGGCCCCACGTGTCAGGGTTGCAGCAGATGCTATACAGGAAGGAGATGTCAGAGCGACCGACTCTGAAACTCTGGGCTGCAGGGAGCGAGGGGGTGGCCATCTGGGCCCTGCTTCCCTGAGCCAGCTAGGGACTGGCAGCCCCGCCGCGTGCGCTCCTGGAGGACACAGCCAAGTGGTACACACGTGTACACACATGAGCGACACGCTCACGCAGTCACCTGATCCTCTGCACGGACACTCCACAGTCACACCCACATATCATCATAACAGTACTTCCTTTGCTTTGTGAAAGCTGACAGCCCTTATGGCCCAGCGAGTCAGGGCTATTGTTAGCCCACTCCACAGACGTCACCTGCTCAGGATTCGAGACTGCGGGGGCAGAGCCGGGATTTGAACATTTGGGTATCCTGGTGTGAATACTGCCCAACACCGTAGCACACTCCCTGCCCTCATACTAGTAGTTCCTCATATGCCCATTGCATAATCTCACACGCACACACGTATACACACAGACTCCAGAACATTCCCACACCCAGTTCTTCCTGTAGTCAAATGCTAGCATTGTCACTTTTGCACATGGGTGAACACACAGCCCCCATTTTGACACATATGTGCTTGCGGGCTCACACTGGTACACACACTCTCACCCCTGATGGGATGGCTCAGGGTGCCAGCAGGCGTGTGGGTTCCTGTGTCAGGGTGGCCCCAGGGAAGGAGGCTGAGGAGGCTCCTGTAGGGGCTGAGCCTGGCCTCTGCACCACCCACCCATGCCACGGGCGCCACTGCAGCTCCATCTGAATTGTCCACTCCGCCGGCCAGTCAGTCAGGTGCCCTGCTCGAGGCCAGCCCAGGAAAGTTCTGGTATGCAGGGAGTGTGGATGGGGCTCTTTGTTCTAGGATGTGTGGGGGCCTAGCAGGTTCCGTGCTCCTGCCCACTTGGGTCTCACTGCACAGCCCTCCATCGGATGGAGCCACACTTGACCTCAGAGCCAATGCCCCAGTGCCTCACTCCCTGGAGGACAGAGCAGGGATCAGAGCGGAGGCCGTAGGAGCCCCTCAGCTCTGCTGTTTCCCCGCCTGCATTCAGCCACATTTCCTGAGCACCTGCGGGTGTCGGGCACTCAGGATCCCTCGTTGAGCAGTCCTGCTGCCTTCACAGAGCATCTGTGGCAGGCAGGAGCACAGGCAGCAAGCAGAAAAAGAAACTGGTTTTTAACATAACGTGTCAAGTGGTGACAAGAGCTATGGAGAAAATAAATCCAGGTGAAGGGAATAGACAGAGATGGGAGGGTGGCCAGGGAAGGCCTCTGGGCCTGGAAGCACAGGAGGGGTGAGGAGCATCCCAACAGTCTGGTGGGAACAGCGGTGCAGAGGCCCTGGGGTGGAGCATGCCTGGAGGAGTGGCCAGGAGGCAGATGCTAAGTGGGGCCTGCCCCATCCTGCCATCTTGCCTTGGCATGCGTCCTGACTCCCAACCCTCACAGCAGCCTCAGACACAGACAGGGCCAGGATCAATGTTCCCCTTTCACAGATGAGGGTACCTGAGACCAGAAGAGCATTGGTGCCAGGTCCAGGACTAGGGCCCAGGGCCCCCGCTGCTACCAGAACTCTGTGCCCTTTTTGTGCAGTGGAGGCACCAGCTCTGCTGCTGGGGGCAAGCTTCTGAGAATCCCAGCCTTCGGAGGTTCTGGAGGCCTGTGCACAGCCTAGGAATTCAGAAACAAAGGTCCCAGCCAGTAATTGCTGCCTTTCAAAGGCACAGCCGGCTTCCTCTGCCACAGGCGTGAGAGGGAAGCTAATGTCCTTCTCCAGGAGTGTGGGGGGGCGGGGGAGGAGTGGGCAGCACTTCAGGGCTGCTGGCCCCGCCTGTGCTACCTTGCCAAACAGGCTCATCACACTCGGCAGATCGCCTCTCCCCTGCCTGCCCCCAGTTATCAGCCCAAGTTGGGGTGTCTTGCGTCCAGCCTGGGTCCATTCCGATGACACTGGGTGTCCCCCTTTACCTCTGGCCTCGCACTCCCCGACTGTATTATAAGAGGCTTGGACCCAGCCATTTGGAAAGCTTTCCCTTTCCAGCCATCCAGGACGGGTACCTCCAAGGGAAAGTGACTACAGACAGGGTCTCCCAACCTTGGCACTACTGACATTTTGGGCAGGACCATTCTCTGGTGTGGGGGCTGTCCTGTGCATGGTAAGGTGTTTAGTGACATCTAAATGCCACTGGATGCTGGCACTCTCTCCCCATTTGTGACAACCAAAATTTCTCCAGATATTACCAGATGTCCCTGGGGGTGGGGGGATGACCCAGACGCCTCTGGTTGAGAACCATTGCTCTAGAAGCAGCATTTTTGCTAATGACACTGAGAAAATGCCACCTGAGGTGGGAGACTTTGTTCTTTGGCTTTGCATGGGGTGAGATCAGGCCTCTGGTTCCCAGCCTGGCCCTTGGAAGCTGAGCAGCCTTGCTAGAGGCACACAGAGCCTTGTCTTTTTTGTGGCACCAGCTCCCATCCGACCGCCTGGATGTCACCCCCCTGAGCAGCAGCTCCTGGACTCTGTGTGCACACCTCTGGGGATGGGGTCTTCTCTGTGCCTCTGTTTCCTCATCTGAGGGGGAGTGGGGAGGTAGCAAGACCTCCTCGTCTGAATGGAGTGTGACCACTGCTTTGCAAACGATGTCGGGTTGTGCAAACCTGGGCCCCAAAGCGGCCAGAGGGGGTGAGTGTGGTGCCTCTGAGAGCCTTTCACACACTATACAAGATCCTTCCTTCCTTCCACAAATGATTATCGAGGCTCCTCCAGTGGGCCGGCCCTTAAAAGAGATGTGGCCCCTGCCCTGGAGTCGTTGCTTGTAGTCAGGAGAAAGACAGTTAACAAGTAAACATGCAAAAGCAGGATCCTTTCAGAGGATGGGATGTCCCATGGAAAGAATCAGACAGGGTAGTGGCTGAAGGGGGCTGAGCTGCTATAGCTTAGACACGAGGGGTGCTGGAGTGGGACCTGACTGACGAGGAGGAGCGGAGCTGCAGGAAGTGCACCCGAGAGCAGACTGCATGGAACCAAAGGGTGTGCCGGATTCATGGGGGTGAGGGTGGCTACTGTATCTGGGACCCAGAGCCTCAGACTTTCAGGTGGCTAGTGTGTGGGAAATGGGCCATGGGAGGGTTGGAGCAGACGCCGGGACCAGCCAGATCCCAGGAGATACAAGGGGAGAGGTGAGGGTGGGCCAGGGACTCCTTTCCTATTGTCTGTGACTGCCAGGTCCCCTGGCCTGTGGGGCCACCCATTCTGCCTGGGGTCCCTCTGCCCAACAATGCGCCTGGTTGTCTGTGGCCCTGCAGCTCAGCCGCTCCCCTCCCTGGTTAGCGACAGGATTCCCCTGCCGGCAGCCAATGAGCGGCTGTCATAGCGGTTCCATTTTAGATTTTATCAATGTGTCCCCGTCGCCCAGGCAACGGCAGGCGCTGGGCGACCCTGTCAGTCTTCCTTCGCCTGCCTTTCAGAGCCCAGCTGCCCCCACCCCAAGCACCATGTGGCTACATGGTGAGTTTTCCCTCGCACAGGCCGAACAGGGATTCCGCCAAACGTAATTTATCTGGCAAAAGAGGCCAGTGTTTGCCTGTCATCTGGCCCCCTCCCTACCTGCTCTCCCTGGGTCTTCCTGGCCTCAGCCACTCTGGGCCAGCCAGGCGGGTGTAGGACTGTCCAGCCAGTGCCGGCCCCACCACCCGGAGCCCCAGGGCCTGGTTGGAAGAACAGACTTGCAGAGCCACCGTCAGGAGCCCTAGCATCCAGACCCCCCAGGATGATGGACTGGGGGCCCCCACAACTTGATACAGCCAGAGCTGCCTTGGTGTGTCCCAGGGACCCCCAGGGAAGCCCTCGGAGGCACCAGCTAACAGAGACAGCAGCAGCATGAGCCGGGCCAGGCGAGCTGCGTGAATGAGTTGCTAGGCTTTTGTGCTGGCTGCTCTTTGTATTGGAGGCGTGTACTGTACAAGCTGCGCCGGGCGGGCTGGGCCATGTGAGTGGGGGCCGCCGTGGCAGGGACCAGGGCGGGCCGAAGCAGCCGGTTCTCCACCTCCCACTAGCCCCTCTCCGTGTCTCCGCGGAGACGTTACCGTGGTCCAGCTGGAGACCAAAAGGTGAAAATGCTCAAGTTCAAGGCCTTTTGCCTGGATTACTGGCAGTTCCTGTGCCTACAGCCCCTGCATGGAGCCTACAAAAGGTAAGTCGACCCTCTGGGGAGAGCCTTGGCCACTAGGGCAATGGGACCTGGAGAGAAAGTTCGCCCTGATCCTGCCCGATTGCAGGGCTTCCTCCTCTTGGCGGAGGGTCCCCGTCACTGGCCAAGACCAGCAGCAGCGTTTGTCGTGGTTCACTTTGCAACTGGGCTTAACTATTCTTTCCTCTCCCTCTGGCCTGAAACTGGTAGAGTTTCTGCAGAGAAAGAGTCACCCTGGACTGCTCTGTGGCCAGGCACTGTGTTTCATTGTTCCTTGCTGCCGGGGTGAGCCCTAGGCAGGGAAGCTGCACCGGCCCGGGGTCCCCGGCCTGCTCTTTCCCGGTACACTTGCTCCGACCTCGTGGGCTGGATGACTCAAGGGTTGGCCTGCCTCCTCCCTAAGCACAAGTTTGGGGAGGCAGAGTTGGGGGTCCCCTGGTCAGGAGATCAGGAGCCCGAAGTTCAGTCCCTTTCCTGGCTGCGCGATCTTGGGCGAGTCACTTTCCCTCTTTAAGCCTGTTTCCCAACTGTAGGGATTCGGATTTGATGACATGGATTTGGGGACTGCTCCCTGAGGTGACAGGGGCTGCAGGCACCACAAGCCCGAATGTTCATACCTCCGGCAGGTTCTTCCGAGCGTGTGTGTTCTGTCCAGTGCACACCTTGGTCAAGAAAGAACCACATCCGGGCCAGCAGGAGATCATCATGGAGCCGTCGCCATGGTCACCTTGAACGGCGTGTTATTAAAGACCTGGAGGAGGGAATTGTCCCGTCTATTCTGAGGGAATTAGTTTTTCCTGATTTCACACTCTGTGAAGTCTGCGGCCATTAGCATACGAGCAATTCTGGGAAAGTGTGGGAGCTTTTCTTCTTCCTTCCAGTGGGCTTTCTCCAAAGGGGGCGGGCACGGAGGGTCTCACGGCAGCTGTAGAAAGGAAGTCCCTGCTCTTGGGAGGGTGCCAGCGAGAGAGGCCTGTCCTGCGTCTGATTAGTGCAAGCCACATCAGAGAGGAGCCCGACACCCAGTGGGCCCTGAGCGCTGTGGTGCAGCCTTTCACCCCACCCCCCGCCCCCAGGCTTGTTCATGCGGCCTCAGGAGGGCATGTCCGGCTGTCAGTGATTCGGTGTCTACCGCGGTGGGGCACTTTATATACTTAATTGTTCATCCTCATCCCTCCTGCAAAAGAAGCATTAAAGCCCCTGTGCGCAGGTGAGCAGAATAAAACCAGAGGGCAGGCAACTGCAGAAGAGTGGCCACGAGATCTGACCCCTGTCTTTCCTGTCTCGAGATGCAATCTCTCTTGAATGTCTACAGTCTCAGTCCATGCAGACGCCGGAGTCCTGGGCCAGGCAGGGACAAATGAGGGACAGACCCTGCTCCACAGGGCTCAGCTAGCCAGGCATGAGTCGCGGTCAGAGTCTTGAAAGAGGAGCAGGGCTGGGTGCGGGGGCTTCATGGAGGAGGTGACAGCTGAGCCAGGTGGTAAAGTGTCTGGAGGAGTTTGCTGGGTTGAGATGGGGAGCACAGGTGTTCCAGACAGAGGGGAAACCACATGGGAAAAACCCAGAGGCTTTAAAAGGGAAGGGTGTCTTTGGGTCATGGCAAAAGGCCATGGAGCTGGGAAGGGGTACCAGGGGCTGGGGCTCAGGACCGGAGCCTGGGCCTTGTCCTGCATTCAGTGGGGAGCCCATGAAGGATCTTAGTGGGCAAGTGGCAAACTGAGAGTCACACTCTGGGGGCCACGTGGTCCAAGTGTGAGAGGCGTGGCTCAGGCTCTAGGAGGAACCCGTGAGAGCGCTCTTTGTCCCCTCCCCTGACCTATGGAGGTTCTTACTCAGAGCCTGTGCTCTTGTTCTTAAGCCCTGACTGTGCCTGAAAGACAAATGAGACTAATCCTTGAGGAACTCCCAACCTACAAAGGGAAAAGACCTATTAACAACTCATGAATGTTAAGAATGGGGTATAAACAGAGGGTGCACAAATTACCAGCAGCCTGAGGGAGGTCTTATTGGAAGGCTTCCTGCAGGAGGTGGCATCTGATCCGGGCCTAGACATGGGAGTTGGAATTTTCCAGACAGGGAAGGGCACTGTGGGTGGAAAACAAAGCACGAACAAACGTATGGTGTGGGACCAAGCCTCACATGGTGCATAAATGATCAGAGGTGAGGCTGAAGCCTAGGTGTGTGTCAGGGGAAGAGCTAGAAAGGAAGGTGGGGCAGGGAAGCTCAGTGAGTGTCTGCTACATGTGAGGCTTCATTCTGAGCACCAACTCTGCGCGCTAATGCCACGAAGTGGAGTCATGATTCTTCCATTTTCCAGGTGAAGAAACCAAAGCACGGGGAGAAGTAGCTTGTCCAAGGGCTCATGGCCAGTCGGTGGTGCCACTGGGATTTAACCAGGGGATCCAGCTGTGGAGGCTGCATGCTGCCAGCTGAGCAGCTCGGTCTGTCCACCCTGGCAAATGACATGCTGAGGGCTGGGGGCAGTCATCTTTCCAGCAGTTGTCGACCAGAAATAATGATAATGCATCAGCCAGGTGGGCAAGAACTCAGACTTTGTGGTCAGACCTCGCTGTGGCAGGGAGCTTAGAAAAGTCACTTTTCCTCCACAGCTGTGTAACATGGGGAAAGGGGGATGCTCAGCTCACCTCTCATGGCCCTTGTGTGGGGATTTCAAGGGTAAATGCTGGAAAAGCACTGAATATACAGCACTTAGTAGAGGCTTTGCAAGCGGCTGTCCTCACCCAAACGGATCCTTCCCCAGGAAAGCTCTGCAAATGGAGCCACTTGGCTTTTTGCCTGATGCCATATTCCGTTGTTTAAAACGGCGATCCCAAACTTAAGAGTATGAAAGGGGTGTTTTGCAGACAATGCATAATTAACCACTTCTAAACACAGGGTGTGCCAGGCTCCCTCAAAGCTGTTAATTATTCTTCATTAGTGATCTTAAGTTAATGTAAAATAATCCTGGAGCTCTGCCAGAGGCTCGGGCAGGGGAAGGAGCAGAGCCGCTTATTTCAACTAGCAAACGGAAAGAAATCTTCACGGGGCGCCTCTGCGTTCTGCCTTGGTTGTGGGGAGATGCCTCTATAGACTCTTTAGCTCTGGCCCAAAGGCCATTGTGGGAGGCGGCAAGCCCTCTCCCAAGTTCCCAGAGCCCAGCCGACCTCAGGGTACTTTGGTTAATGAAATAGTTCAGGTGGGAAGAAAATATGGAGGAGAGTAGTATACCCATCGCCCAGCTTCCAAAATAAGCTGTTAATGGTGTGGTGGACTGCCCCTGTGGGCCACCCCACAAATCTTATCCCTTTCCTGCTTCCCCAGAGCTAAGCCTAAACAGTCCCTCTTGTTTGGTGTGTAGATTTCCCATGCACATTTTTTTAAATTGCTGTAGGTACATAGTAAGTGTATATATTTATGGGGTACGTGAGATGTTTTGACACAGGCACGCAATGTGAAATACACACTTCATGGAGAATTCATGGCTTAGTGAGCTTGCTTTCCAAAGTGGCCCTGGCAGTATGTAGCCTTACCAGCAGTGGGTGAGAGTCCTGTGTCCCTACATTCTTTCCCCCGACATTGAGGGTATCCATCCCCTCAAGCATTTATCCTTCGAGTTACAAATAATCCAATTATACTCTTTCAATTATTTTTAAGACGTACAAATCAGTTATTATTGGCTATAGTCACCCTATTGTGCTATCAAATAGTAAGTCTTATTCACTTACTCATTCCTTCTATTTTTTGTATTCATTAACCATACCTACCTCCCCCTCTGTCCCCCGACTACCCTTCCCAATTCTGATAACTGTCCTAGTCTCTATGTCCATAAGTTTAATTGTTTTGATTTTTAGATCCCACAAATAAGTGAGAACATGTGATATTTTGTTTTTCTGTACCTGGCTTATTTCACTTAACATCATGACCTCCAGTTCCATCCATGTGGTTGCAAATGGCTGGATATCATTTATGGCTGAATAGTACTTCATTTTATATATATATATATATATATATATATATATATATACACACACACACACATATATATACTTGTATATTTATATATCCTTATATATTTCTATATATTTTTATACATACTTATATATACTTATATATATATTCATATATATACCAAGTTTTCTTTATCCATTCATCTGTTGCCATGCATATTTTTACAGCGTTGCTAAAACAAAAGATGGTTTTACATGTTTTTAAACTTTAGATCATAGTATTATAAATTGCAAGTTGCTTTTTTAAAAGTTTTACTTGTGGTAAAATACACATAGAATTAAAATCCACCATCTTAACCATTGTACAATTCAGTGGCATTAAGTACATTCACGTTATTGTGCAATCATTCCCACCGTCCATCTCCAGAACTTTTTTATCCTCCCAAACTCTGTACCCGTTAAACACTAACTCCCCCCTCCCTTCACCCCCAGCAGCCACCATTCTACTTTCTTTCTCCATGAATTTCACTGCTCTGGGGACCTCATATGAATGGAATCAATACAGTATTTGTTTTTTTGTTATTTTATTATTTCACTTAGCAGAGTGGCCTCAAGGTTCATCCATGTTGTAGCATGAGTCAGAATGTCCTTCCTTTTAAGGCTGAATCATACTCCACTATAAGTATGGACCACGTTTTGCTTATCCTTTCATCCACGAATGGACGCTTGTGTTGTTCCCACCTGTTCACTATTGTGTGTAGTGCTGCTATGAACATGGGTGTGCAGATATCTCTTCAAGGTGCACCTTGTTTTTTCAGTCAACATTTTATTGGTAAGATTCATCCATATTGCAATGTATAGATCTCATCGATTCATTTTCACTGGTGTATAGTATTTCATGGTATAGCCATGCCCCGGTCTAAGTATCTGCTCTCCTGTTCTTGTGTATTTTGGTGATGTCCCATTTTTCGACATTACAGACAGGGATGCAGTAAGCACCCTTGCCCCTGCCTCCTTGTGCTTGGCTGCGGGCATTTATGGAGGGTTTGTACCAGGATGGCACATGAGTGTCTTCAACTTTCCTGGGCTTAGTGAACTTGCTTTCCAAAGTGGCCCTGGCAGTATGTAGCCTTACCAGCAGTGGGTGAGAGTCCCATGTCCCCACATTCTTTCTACACTCAATATTGAAAGCCAGGTGGTTTTTTTAATGTAAAGAGGAGAGAAAGAGAGATTCAGAGAGGAGAGCATGTAAATGGTGTGGGGGCACAACTGTAGCTTGACGCAGCCCCAGGCATCCTGGGGTGGAGGGTGAGGCACACATGTGCTGTTCCCTTGGTCTGTGTAGTTCCAGGCCCTCCACAGTAAGAGGCTTCCAAGGGTGGTAGGAACTCTGCCCACACGCTGACTTTGCAACCTCACCTTCAGCATGCCGTGGATGCCGTTGTCTGGTTCAGGATGTGGGACTAGTTCTGATCACACAAGGTGCCAACTGATCTCCTGATGCGCAGGTTTCACAGATTGCTTCTGTTAGAAAGAACAGAGGCCGCCAGGGATCTCTAAAACACAGCATCAAGGAACTCACTTTGGGACAAGCTCCCCAAACTGCCAGCTCAGTAAGGGAGCTCAGTGGACGGGATTCCAAGCACACAGCCTGAGAAGCTGGCCGAGCTTCCTGGGCTCATCCAGGGCTGTCGGGCACCCCCCACACCGCTGATGCCCTGGGCCTCATCTGTTGGCCAGGGAAGTTCAGTCCAGGGAGGAGTGGCTCTACAGGGGGCACCCTGGGTGGCTTTGTGGCTTGAGGGGACAGTGCAGTTCTGAAGTCAGGCGAAGTGGGAATGCAATCTGACTGGCTCCTTTCATAATTTTCTTTTTAAAAAAAATTATTTTTGTTTATTATTATTACTTTCTTTGAGTGTTTATATGTGCTAAGTGGCTTTGCATGTGGTATCTCTGTTAATCCTCACAACAGCCTTGTGAAAGGGATACTATTATTTTTTCCATGTTTCAGACAAGGAAAAACTGAAGGCAGAGAGGTTAAATGACCAGCCTAAAGTCACAGAAATGGAGTGCAGTTTATCAATCCAGGTGACCACCTCCACTGAGCTACACTATCTCGTGTCTCCTCCACACTAATGAATACTTTCTGACTGCATGTAACTGTCGCGGTTGTTATGACGGTGTAACACATCACCCCAAAACTTAGTGGTTTAAAATCCCATAGAACTGCAACTTGGGCAGAGCCTGCTCTACTCAATGTCAGCTGGGCTTTGAAGACTAGGAGCTGGATTCCTAGGAAGCCTCACCTGCCCACGCACCCACCCAGCCACTCACTCCCTTCCTCACCTTGCAAATGCTACTGGCTGACAGCTGAGACCTTAGCCAGGGCTGGCAGCCAAAACACCTGCACGGGACTCTCCATGTGGCCTGGGCGTCCTCAAAACATGGCGGCTGGGTCCCAAGGGCAAGCAATCCAAGGGAAAGAGAGCCAAGTAGAAATGGCCACCTTTTATGACCAGGCCTCAGAAGACACACAGCATCGCTTCTATGGCATGATCTTCACCAGGACAGTCACAAAAGTGCTGCCCAAGCCCATGGTGAAGGACTTAAACTCTACCCCTGCTCAGGAGTGGCAGGGTTCTGGCAGAGCGTTTGGGACAGGAGATGAGGTTGTGGCCCTGTTTGGAAATAGAATCTACCACAATAGCAAATCACTTCTCCGCTCTAACCCTCAGCATCCTGGGGTTGGGAAGAGGACCTAACAGGTGTAGGGACACTTGGGACCCAGTGGCATTCAATCAGTGGCAGGTTTTCTTTTTCTTAATGGAGTAAGTTGAAATGAAGTGTGGTGATTATTCAAGAGAGGGGGCAATCATTTCAGCTGGGGGAGCAGGAGAGGATTCTTAGAGTTTTAGAGCTGAGATGGGTCTTGAGGGCTGAGGAGGACTTCTCAAGTCCACGTAGGGAAGACAGTGTCCTTGGCAGAAGAGTCCTGAGAAGGATGTGCAGATGGTGCCTAGTGTCTGATGGAGTCTTTGGTGGAGGGCAACAGAAATCGCCACAGGCCAACTACAGCAAAAAGGGAGTTTACTGAGCCACTCTTAGGAGGTCAGGGGACCAGCAGGAAGCTGGATGTGGATTAGGAGCCGGGGCGCCTACTCTGTACCCCCAAGGGCAGGCTCACAGCTGTGAAAAAGGCTCCCTGGGAGCCCATGGCCCTGTGCCACCACTCAAGCTGTCAAGTCTCAGGAGAGTTTCACTGGCCAAGTTCAGGTCCTGTCCTGCCCCTTGGCAGTGCTGGGATGTCAGTGGAGGAGGAGAAAGCAGGACAGAGCCTCCAGGGACCACTGGGCTTCCATGGGGCACAGGCTTCTGAATTCCCACCCCACCAGCACTGTGCCCTGTCGGGGCGAGGCCGATCCCTGGGAGCATGGGAATACTGTTAGGGGAGCCTGTGTGCTGGACAGGAGCTGCATGTGGGCCTGTATTCCCTGCGATGGCGAGCATTAGCTCAGACACTTCTGTTGGGCTGGTGAGATTCAGGAGCCGGTGCAGGTGAGAAATACCCCAGAGGGTCAGGTTGACCAAACTGGCAGGGCCTTGAGAAACTTGTCCTCAGCAGAATAGTTGCAGTGAAGGAATGAGAATCAAGCATCCAGAGCTGAATCCGGCTGGTTTAGAGAGAGCAGCTGATCTCCTAGTGCGAGTCACGGGCTGCCTGGCCTCAGTCAGCAGATCCTCACTGAGCCCGTCCAGAGAGCATTTAAAGTAAGCGTTGCAGGTGCCAACAGGCTCCACACTGGCTCAGTCTTTCACTACGCCCTCTCCTCCTCCCCGGCTGCCTTCTGTGTTAGCAAGATCCCACTGGTGGCAAGAGGCGGGAAACGGGTGTTAGGTTCATGGAGATTTGATTCGGGGAAACGTTCTCGCTGGGTCAAGACCTTACGAGCTTCTCACCACAAACACTTCTTGCTCTTGGTAACTGCTGGATTTAGCACGTGAGATAAGTCCATCCCAAGTGACTGTTTGCACCTCAGCGGTTTCTTGGCAGCCACCGGCTTGGACAGGTCCTTCCTTCCGGAGGGGGAAGATCATGGCAACCTGAGGAGCTCCACTTGCCCAGTTGACTCTGGGGGGAGACGCCTGGGCCTGAGTGGTTGCAAGCTGAGCCCTTCGCCTGGCAGGGCCTGTCACAGGCTGAAAAGTGTCTCCCTGAATTCACATGCTGACGTCGTAACCCCAGTACCTCCAAATGGGACTGTATTTGGAAATAAGGTCTTTAAAGAGGAATGAAGGTGAAATGTGGGGATTAGGGTGGGCCCTAATGCAGTCTGACTGGCACCCTTATAAGAAAAGGAAATTGGGCCACCAACAGCGGGAACACCGTGTTCATCTCATGTGTCACCTTGCCTAGGCCATAAGGTGACCGGATGTCTGGTCACACATTACTCTGGGTGTGTCTGTGGGGTGTTTCTGGATGAAATGAACAATTGCACTGGGCTGAGTGAAGCCGACTGCCCTCCCCAGGCTGGGTGGTCCTCTTCCAATCAGTTAAAGGCCTGAATTGAACAGAAGCTCAGTAATCAGTAAGAGGGTCTCCTGCCTGGTGCCCACAGGCTGGGACGTTGGTATTTTCCTGCCTTCAGACTCAGATTGAAACACGGACTCTTCTTGGGTCTCAAGCCTGCTGGCATTTAGACTGAAACTAAGTCATCAGCTCTCCTGGGTCTCTTGCTGACTATAGATCTTGAGACGTGTCAGTCTTTGTAATCATACGAGCCAATTCCTTATTTTAAAAAATATATGTATATATATACATATACATATATATGCATCTCCTATTGGCTCTGTTTCTCTGGAGACCCCTGACTAATATGCCGTGTGAAGACACAGGGAGAACACAGCCACATACAAGCCAAGAAGAGAGGCCTCAGGAGAAATGCGCCTCGCTCTGACTTCCAGCCTCCAGAACTGTGAGGAAACTCATTTCTGTTGTTTAAGCCTCTTGGTCTGTGGTGTTTTGTTACGGAAGCCTCTGCAAATCAATACAGGGCCTCTCTGTCTTGATCTGTGAAGTGGGTACGAGGACCTGTCCTCGGGCTCGTCAGGAGACGCTGTCTGGGCGTGTATTCTGTGCCCTCAGAAGAGCTTATGTGCCTGGTGTTTGGTGGTCAGGGCTGGGATTAGGGTGAGACAAGTGAGGTGTTCACCTCGAGCACAGAATTTAAGGGGTGCCAAAAACTCAATAATCAAGTAAACAAAATATTGAATTTTAAAATAAACACAGGCTGTTGTTTGTCTTGCAACACCACGTGAGTATTGTAAAGCGAGAGGTCATTTCCAAAGGCACTGCAGTTTCCAGGCCCCGAGGCCCTCGTGTGCCCTGCAGAGCTGCTTTATGAGGGTTGACGGGGACATGTGAACAGATCGACCAATGTGGGGCTTTATATATAATGTTTTAAAAAATATTTTTAAGGCCTGTAATCCCAGCACTTTGGGAGGCCGAGGCAGGCGGATCACGAGGTCAGGAGATTGAGACCATCCTGGCTAACACGGTGAAACCCCGTCTCTATTAAAAATACAAAAAAATTAGCTGGGTGTGGTGGCGGGCGCCTGTAGTCCCAGCTACTCGGGAGGCTGAGGCAGGAGAATGGCGTGAACCTGCGAGGTGGAGCTTGCAGTGAGCCAAGATTGCGCCACTGCACTCCAGCCTGGGCGACAGAGCGAGACTCCATCTCAAAAAAAAAAAAAAAATGTTTAAAGCTTTATTAGTTTTTTCTACTTGGTTCAAAATATGGGGGGCTATTTTGGTGTTTTAGGGGTGCACACTTGTCCTTCCGTGTCAGGATCCAACCTGGCTCCGTGCAGTGCAGTTGCTGGCCCTGGGCTGGCCCATCCGCATCCTGCAGGTTCGGCCTGCGGAAGTCACGGCAGCACAGCCTTCCCCGTGCCGCCCTGCGCTGTCCACTTTCACAGGGCCAGCCGGGGTGTGTGTGAAAGGCTCAGGAATCAGGGGTTGTGTCTCCATAGAGGACCGCATGAGGTCAGTTGGCAGCTCTGGATGAGCTGTGAGGATTGGAGAGTAGTACCGAGTCAGTGTCAGTGCCCTCATTTTGAAAGTGGAACCGTGATTATGCCAGAAAACGTTCTTGTCTTTAGGAAAGACACTTTGAAGGAGTAGGGGGCTTGAGGTGGGCACCTTACTCTCAAACAATTACAGGGGGAAAGTGTGTATGCGAGCACAGGTGTGTGTGCGTAGAGAAAGGAGAATATGAGGAAGCAAATGGGATACAATGGTAACAAGTGGGGAGCCTGGGTGAAGGCTATACAGGGGTTCTTTGTGCTCTTCCCACAACTTTTCTGTGGGTCCGCAATTAACTCAGTATCTAAAGTTTTAAAAACAGAGCCAGAGGTTGCTGAGGGCTGGCTGCAGGGGCTCATGAAGTTCTCTACCCTAGACCTCCTCCACCGCCTTCTTAGTCCTTCAGGTGTCAGCCCCATTGTCTCCTCCTTAAAGAGGCCCTCCCTGTCACCTTGTCTAGTGTAGCACCGCCCTCTCCTCACCTTTCACAGTCACTCAGTTTTGTTTTCTTTGTCGCCCTCACCGTCCTGGGAAATTATCTCATTAATTTGCTTAGCGTTTTTGTCCTGCATCCCCTGTCTGCAAATGTCGGCTCCATGAGACTCTGTCTTGGTCACTCCTGCCCCTCTGCCCCCTGTGCCTGGCACACAGTAGGTTCTCAAGCAATATCTGTGAACGAGGGAAAGGTTAGATGATCACCGTTCTAAAGGTCAGAAAACCTGGAGTCTTGTCCTTTCTGATTATCCCCCATGGGCTTGCCGGGAGACCTGGGACACTGTCTTGCCCCACTGTGGACCTCGGTTTCCTCATCTGTACCCAGCCCTATAGCTTTTGGATTCCATGTTGCAGAAAGCCCCAAGGTTCTGCAGAGGCCGAGTCCCCCAGCTGAGCCCCTCCCTGCTGTAGGCAGGGGCAGGCAGGGGCCCTTGTCTACCAGCTGGGGTGGACCTGTCCCTGCCCCCAGGCTTGTCACCACCATTCCCTGATAGAGGAGAAGTATGTGGCAGAGAGAATGTGCTGTGTGGCCCTTACCTGTAGGCCAGTGCTCCCAGAAAGGTGGGTCCAGGTAAGAGTGAGTTCACTTCTGTCCCTGGGCTTCTTTGTAACAAAAACGGGGCAGTTTTTAAGCCCAGCATCTTTGGCAGGAAACAGTATCTGTGTGAAACTCGGTAACATTGTCTTGTTTTCATGGTAACCTTCTACTTACAGCAGATGATCCTAGTTTTCCATTTAAAGGAGTGATATAAAGTTTCCTTTTAAAATAAATGTATTCAGGGCTGAAATCCAACCAACGTATTATTTTGTGCATTGCTTTTAGCTTCTTATTGTTGAAAGTGTGAAACATGCGTGGAAGTGGAGATAGCTGCTTGGTGAAGGTGAACCTCGGAGTTGTAAGGCGAATCCCACGCCTGCGTGGCACAGCTTTGCGCCTCATGCTTGAGTTTCTTCCACCCACTCCATGCTGTTTTTCATGTTCAGCTCTCCCAAAGGGTCTCCAAAAATGTCTTTTTACAGCTGGTTTGTTCAAATCAGGGCCCTAACAAGACCCACACAGTGCACGTGTCTCGTAAGCATCCTTTTACCTAGAGGCTCCCCTTCCTTTTTCATCCTTGCAGTACTCATTGAAGGAACAGGGCCATTTGCCTGTGGCATGTCCCACATTCAGGATTAGGCTGATTGCCTCATGATGTCATTTAAGCTATTCCTCTGTCACCTGTAGTTCCTGTTAACTGGGAGTTAGATCAGGAAGCTTGATTAGACTCAGGTCCAATTTTTTAAGCCAGTTGATTTTAAAAGAAAATATTTAATAAATAACTAGAATGGCCCATAAAGAGAGTGCACCATAAAGGTGGGGCGAAGCTGAGCGTGGTGGCTCATGCCTATAATCCAGGTACTTTGGGAGGCCAAGGCAGGAGGATCACTTGAGACCAGGAGGAGTTCGAGACCAGCCTGGCGGATATGGCAAAACTCCATCTCTATTAAAAATACAAAAATAGCTACGTGTGGTGGTGCATGCCCGTAATCCCAGCTACTCAGGAGGCTGAGGCATGAGAATCGCTTGAACCTGGCAGGTGGAGGTTGCAGTGAGCAGAGATTGCACCACTGCACTCCAACTTGGGTGACAGAGTTAGACTGTATAAAAAAAAGATTTTAGACAGAGCATGATGGCTCACGCCTGTAATCCTAACACTTCCGGAAGCTGAGATGGGAAGATTACTTGAGGCCAGGAGTTCAAGACCAGTCTGGTTAATGTAGCGAGACCTCATCTCAAAATAAATAAATAAATAAAGGTGGGACGAGGGTGGAGCTGGGAATGGTCTGGGAATGGAGGAAAGCCATGGAGCAGGTTCAGGCAGCAGACTTACCTCTACAGGTCTGGGTATTGGGAAACAGCCCAGAGGCAGCAGATGACAAGGAAAGGAGGCAGGGAGGCCAGTGAGGAGGTGAGGACCCAGCCCAGGGTGCTGCAGTCCTTACCAGTCCTCACCAGTCCTCTTTGAAGGGGATTTGTGTGGACACGTGCACGCATGCACGCACACACACATCTCACACCGCATGTGCGCACACACACTCACGCTCACGCACAAGGGGAGGGTTCCTGTTTGGCCCCCCTTGACCTGGACGGCAAGACCCAGGGAGTCAGGATACAGGGGCTAAAGAATTGAGGCCTCTCAGCACAACAAAATGGAGATTGAAGGGAGCAGCTTTCTTCTTTGTCTAAGGAAGGGGGTAGTGAATAGGCACAGCCTGCAACAAAAAGGATTTAGGTTAGACATTGAGAAAGACTTCCAAGCCAGCCGAGGAGAGCCGTGTTATGTAGCGGTTATGAAGCATGTCTCAGAACAAAGCTGCTTCAGTTCAATTCCCCACCCTGCCATGTTCTATCTGTATTAACCCTGGGCGTGTCTGTGGACCTCTCTCTGCCTTCCTTTCTTTATCCTATAGATCAGATAGTAATAGCACCTACCTCATGGGATGAGCCTAAGCATTAAATGAATTAGTCACACATAGAGCAGTGGCTACAGGAACCATTCAGTAGCCCTTAGGTATCACCGTTCTTGTTGTGTTGATGGAGAGCTGTGTCACCCTGGAAGTTTTAAAGACGGCCATAGCCAGAAACTTTCAAGGCTAGAGGCTTAGAAGGGCAGTTGCTATATATTCGTGATCTTCTATATAGCTTTACACAGTACAGTCACACAGCGTTAGCTCCTTCCATTTGTTTCATCTTCACAACCCCTGGAGATAGATCCTATTTTTCTCCCCATGTTGTGGATGAAGAAACTGAGGTAGGCCAGAAGGTGTGAGGAACGGCTTGTGAGGATCCCTTGGCCAGCGCAGGTCTCAGAATCAGGACTTCTGATCCGGAGTCCCAGATCTGCGGCTTCCTTACTGTGTGACCTCAGGGCAAGTCGCCTCCACCTCTGAGACTCCATTCTCCATCTCCAACACTGAAGAATGAGGCCAGAGCCTCCGGTGCCTATGTTGTCTGATTTCCTTGCATAGAAGATCTGAGCACAAACCCTGATGGTCAAACCCAGTACCATCTGCCCTCCCCATGGCTGAAAGGAAACGTGTCAGAACCCTCAGAAGGGACAACCCATGGGGACTGGCTGTCACTTTGACTGATTGCTAATGTGAGTCCTTCCATCTGGGGTGTCATCTGTCCCATGACCATGCCACCTGCAGAGGCACCCAGTTCTAGGGTCTGGCTCTGCCCTGACCCCGGTTGGGGTCACCTTAGCAAGTTCTTGGAAAAACATCCCCCAAACAGCCTCTACCCAGATGCTCAAGAGCTGCTCAGGATCCTGTTTCTACCCTCCCATGGCATAACTCGATAAGACTGTGCAATTGTCTTTATACTTCCTGCCGGCCTAGCCTGGCCCAGCCTCGGGGGACAGCTGACAAACAGAGGCCAGACGGTGAGCAGTCCCTGGCCCCAGATCCCACCCTGGCAGGTCATGTCCCTTATCTGGGACTCAGTTTTATTTGCAAAATAAGGGCAGAGGGATCAAGTGAGCTACTTGTTCATTCATTCATTCGGCAGGTATTCATTCATTAACTCCCCCTCTGGGCCAAACCCTATGCTTGAGGCGTGAGAAATGGATAAGCAAACCCCCTATTTGTCCTCCTGTCACTTCCAGTCTGGGATTATCAGCCCTGCGGGGCTTTGAGGGGCCACAGGCGTCTCTGGAGCTGAAGCAATCATGGGCAGCTTCCTGGGGGAGGAGGCAGCTAAGTGGACCTTGAAAGACAAGAAGGAGCGGAGGATACAAGAGGTATCCTGTGGGCTAGACACTCACAGATGTATTTTATTTGGCTTGCATAGGATTAACCTACATATCATTGTAAATTTGAATTTATTGCAAACATATAAAAATCAAGAGCTGTTACGTAAAAACCTGGATTTCTGATATCTGAAAAATCAGAGCCCTTATTCCTACAGAGCAGCCATCAGCCAGAGCCAAGCCACAGTTGTTCTGTTTGACCAGTCGGAGTCCCCCCGTTCTGCCTTGCCTCATCATCCCTCCAAACCTGCTCCCACTGGCCATCCCTGTGTCCCTGTCACCGTGGATGGAACCTCCATTTTTCCAGTTGTTCAGGCCAGCAACCCAGGCATCATCTTCCACTCCTCTTTTCTCTCTCACCTCCTCATCTTATTGATCAGACATTTCTACCAGTTCCACTTTGAGAATGTCTCTAGAATCCAACCTCTTGTCCTCACCTTCCTGTCCACCACCCCAGTCCAAGCAACAGTTCCTCCCTGGCCCCTGCCTGGCCATTGCCCCCTTGCGGTCTCTTTTCTGCACAGCAAGTAAAGTGAGGCCCTGCAGGCCAAGTCTGGCAACTTGGACGCTGGCCCTTTGTGCTCCATAAGATGGACTTGCGGAAGCTCTTCTCTGCCTTCTTTCCCAGCTCCTGCCCTGAAGTGAGTGCCCAGCCCCTGCCTGCGCACTGGATATTAGTGGCCATCCTAGGCCCGAGACAAGATGGTGGAACTCAGGATGCCAGCTGCCTGGGAGGCTGGGAGCCCACTACTGTCCTCCAAGACCCAACGCTCTCAGCACCCTGGACTTTCATTTTTCCATTTGGAAAACGGGCATTCCAGCACCCATCCTCAAAAGGCCAATGCTTCTTGAGAAGGGGGATCCAGGGTTTTGAAGTTCGGCCAACTCGGTGTATGTGCCTTCCTGCGCCTTGCATGGCTCTGGGCACCATTGGAAGACTGCAGATATAAATGACAAGTGATTTATTTTGTTTTCAGCCTCCAGAGCTTTAGCTTTAGAGTCAGATAGGCAGAGCTGGGTTTATATATCATCCTGAGTAACTAACCTCAGCATCTGAACCTCAGTTTATTAATTGGTAAAAAAAAAAACAAACAAAAAAAAAAAAAACTGGGGAGATAATAACTGCTACTTCATAGGGTGATTGTGCAAAGAACTAAGCTACATAGATCTCCTCACCTGCTCATGTGAGCTCTCAGAGCAGTGAGGGAGGGATGCAGAGACAGGTCATCCAAGTGCAGGGAAGAAATGGCTGCAGTCCAGGCTCAGGGAACGGAGAGGATGCAGGGCAAAAAAGGATGGACTCCTGGAGAAGGGAAGTGTATCATCCAGAGAAATGATCTAGTTTATACGCCTTCTTCATGGCACAGCCCACTGTGGGAAATCGTTTTCATTTGCTCCCTTGGTACAGAAGGAAGGCCAGCCCCACCAGGCTCCACAGTTTTGTTCACCAAATCCTCAAGTGATATCTGGCACAGAGTAAGCCAATTAATGAATGTTGACTGGGTGAAGGAACAAGCCAATGGAAAATTGGCTTCCTAGAGGAGGTGTCGTCTGAGTTTGAGCCTTGAGCATTGGGTCCTGGTAGGAAACATGGGTCACTACACAAGCTCCCTTGCAGTGTGGCCCGTGATGGGGCTGTGTGCAGGGTGGGATGGGGTTAAGGGAACTGGACACCTGGGCTGGCAGAAGGGGGGAACCCTAACCAGCCCTGGGCCAGAGGGTTGGGGGAGAGAACAGTTTCATGAACCAGAAAGAGAGAGACCTGGGTGCAAACAGCCACCCATCAGGACTGTGGCTGCCGAGGGGCACAGGAAGCGAGGACAGAGCTGAGGCAACGAGTACCCTGACCTATCATTCTCTCCTCCACCTCCTGACCTCCTGCCAGGGCCGCTGCTGGCCACCCCGTCAGGAACCAGGAGGCAGTGGGAGCCTGGGAGCTGCAGTCCCGGGCCCAGAGCAGACTGGGGCATGTGGAGAATAACTGGGCAATATGTGCAGAATTCCTGGCCCAGGGTGGACAGGCCTGGAGATCTGGGAGGGCTCAGGGGTGTTGTGATGGAGTGGGGGCCACTTGGGGGTGTCAGGAAGCTCAATGCAGAGAGAAGATGGCAAAGGGCCTTGCCCACCCCACCCTGGTCTCCTGTGGGTGACGGTCAGCATGGGAGAGTGGGTGGAATAGGAGAGGCTGCACGGACCCCCAGTGAGTAAGGAGAGGTCTCATACTGTCACCTGCAGTTCCCCAGGCGGGAGTCGAGTATAGTGTGCCCATTTTGTGGATGAGAGATGTGGAACAGTGGCTTGCCCCTTAAGCCAGAGGCAGAAATTAGAGGGTCTCAAGGCCCTAAGACCACAGGCAGACACATCTCAACAGGCGAGGAGAGGGCACACATTCAGCAAGGCCTAGAGGCCAGACAGAGGCTCACTGACCCTCACTAAGCTTCCAGAGTAGGGGGCACCCCTTCCAGTCCTCATTTCCCCAAGCAGGGTCCCCTTCAACACTGTCCCTCCACTGTGCCTGCTGCCTTCCTCAAGTGCACACAGTCCCTGAGCTGTGCCCTGCCCTCAAAGGCCAAGTTCACAATGGCATCAGCATCTCCCAGGGAACAAATGTGTCCTTCCCTTTGCCTGGGCGGCAGTGACTTCATCCCCAGCGGGCTGTGTGAGTCACTGGACTGAGGTTGGAGGGCGAGCCAGTTCTCTGCAGAGCCCGGCTTTGGCCTTGTGGCTGGGGAGATGGAATGGCTGAGGGGGTGAAGGCTTCCACGCAGACCTGCCCTCGCTTCCCCCACTCTTTCTGGGGCTCCTTGTGTCCTACAGGGCAACTAGCACTGAGCACCTAACACGTGCCCGGCAGTGCCAGGGGCTTTTTAGGTGACAGCTGGTATTTACTGAGTGCACTCTCTGTTTCAGAAACCATTATGAACTCTCACTTCAAGAACTGGCCATGCTGTCCTGCAGACAGTGATGTTGAGAGGTTAAGTCTTATACCCAGGGTCACACAGTTGTGGTATCACTCATTCCTCATCACAGCCTGGAGGGCAGAGATTTTTTATTCCTGTTTTGCAAAGGGACAAACTGAGGCTCTGCAAGAGGAAGTAGCTTGTGTAGGGACAAAGGAGTCAAAGATGAGTAAGGAGTGCCCTGTTCTCAAGGATGAGCCCCCGAGGATGGCAAAGACAGATAGAGTGTGACATGTCCCCGATGAGTGGATGGATGGGTGGATGGACAAATGGATGGACAGATGGGTGGATGGGTGGGTGGATGGACAGATGGGGTAGATGGATGGATAGATGGGTGGATGGATGGACGGATGGGTGGATGGATGATGGACGGATGGGTGGATGGATGATGGACAGATGGGTGGATGGATGGATGGGTGGGTGGATGGGTGGATGGATGGATGAATTAAGGCTCATTTGCAATGAATTCAAATTTACAATGATATGCAGACAACGTATGATATGTGGATGGGTGAATGGATGGACAGATGGATGGATGGGTGGATGGATGGACAGATGGGTGGATGAGTGGATGGGTGGGTGGATAAATGGGTGGATGGATGGATGGATGGATGGATGGATGGATGGATGGATGGATGGAGTGATGGATGGGTGTATGTGCGGGTGAGGGAACAGATGGATGGATGGGTGGATGAGGGGATAAATGAATGGATGATAGGAAGGAAGATGATAGATGGATATGTGAATGGATTAATGAATCCATGGATGATTCATTGGAGAGGAAGGTGTGTGGATGTGTGAATATATGAATCAGTGGGTAGAGATAAAGCGGGTAAGCAGAGGCTACTTCCACCCACAAAAGACATTGTGAAAACTTCCCCTACTAGGAGGACAGGCCAGATAAACATTTGAATGGAGGCCTTAGTCTGTGTGGCACAAGGAACCGAGGCCAGTATGAAAAGTGACAGGGAAGTAATGTCCAAGGGAGAGTTTCCTTAGGTCAGTGGGGTTCCATGATGGAATGGGGAAGCTTAAAGAAAAAACAAGGAATGGGGAGCCTTGAAAGGTAGTGAGCTTCACATCATTGGGGGTGTTCAAGAAGAGGCTGGGCAGCCACTCCCGCTGCATGCTGTGGAGGAGCCCCTGTGGCAGGTGGAGGTCTGCTGTGGTGGCTTGTGAAGCCTCCTCTGATGACAGGGAGAAGAATTTGGGTTTCCGAGTCCCCCAGGGAGGCCACAGCCTTTGTAGAAACCTATCTTGTTTTTGGATTAAAAGTTCTTTCCTGGCTCAGGGGATGGAGAAGCCTGCAGCTGCTAATCCTTGATGTGGGAATCAGGCTGGAATCTGAGACAGATTTCCCATTCTGCACAGGCCGGGGGTGGGGCCTGGGGACAGAGCAAGGCTTTGGAGCCCTGGCCCCACCCTCCCTGTTTCTGCAGACAGGTGATGGCCCTCTCTGAGCCTCAGTTTCCCCCGGTGAAATGGAAGCTCTGCTGCCCACTATACATGATGCCCAGGGCCCTGCTGGGTGCCAGGTGCTGGGTGCACCTGCCCTTCTGGGGGACTTCCTGGGGGCTGTAGGTGGGGAAAAGTAGATCTGTGAGTGTTGACCTTGATCCGTGAGTCATTATCCCTGGGGGCCCTGCCTGGGAAGCCCCAGCTGCCTGGCCTGGGCTGGGCCTGGGAGCAGCTGGTGGAGACCAGGGTGGGGGCTCAAGCTGGGGCCTCAGTCTGGAAATGCCCCAGACCCAGCCTGGGCCCAGACCCCAAGGCCTTCAGCTGCTCAGAGGCTCCAGCCCTTCATCCCACCCCACTCCATCCCTACAGAGAGGAGCCAGCTTACACCCTGACTCCAGCGTGGGCTCTTAGAGCCAGACTGCCAAGGTTCAAATCCCACCTCCACCAATTCCTAGGTCTGTGACCTAGGGTAAGTGACTTCCTCTATCTGTGTCTCATGTAAACCAACACTAATCATAAAATCCACTTTCTAAGGGCATTGGGAGAACTGGATGAGTTAGTTCTTGGCCTGAGGAGGGCTTAGGCCAATTCCCAGAGCTCCACAAGCCCACAGTAGCCTGAGGTGAAACTAAGGCCGGAGGGGGCTGACCACGCCCAGCATCAAACAGCAAAGAAGTGGCCCAGCCAGAGCTGGAAACCGTCTCACTCACCAGCTGGAGACCCTTGGAGGGCCAACCACTGTCCAGAGGAGCAGCCCTGATTTTGTCTTTATTTTGCTTTGTGTCAACCCCAGGCTTTCTCTAGGAGTGAGGTGGCAGAGCAGCCCCTTCCTCCACCCTCATCTTGGCCAGCTGGTCGGTGGGCCGGGCTGCAGGCTTTGGGCTGCAGGGCGGGAGTTGGGTTTAAGCCTCTGGGGAAATGGGGAGGATGTGGGCCCGCCCTCGCCTCCCCGCCCGCCTCCCTCTCTCTGAGCTCGCCTCTCCCATCCCAGGCCAGCCTCTGGACGCAGGGCCAGCCCCTGGGCTCCGGCAGCTGAGCTTTTCCTCACCGGCGGACGCCCCTCACCCATCCCGCCCTGAGTGACTCACTGCTCCCCTGGCCTGCAGCCACTGCTGTCTCCTGGCAGGAGGCAGGCGCAAGGTTGTGCAGAAGCCACAGGGTCTAGTGTGTGAGGGCCGCTTGGCCAGGAGGGTCTGGAGCAGCTAGACAGGACCAGGGCACAGAGGCTGGCCGGTGGATAGTGGGGCCTGTGGCTCAGCCCTGCAGTGGCCTGTGGCAGCCAGTGCCTCCTCTTTTCCCTAACTTTGGGGGCTTTTCTTTCTTCTTCCTACCATGAAGAAGGAAGGGACCTGAAAATCCGTGAAGAGAGCCGTTCCCTGGCCAGGAGGAGACTCTGGGTGGTGGGGCAGTGGTGGTGGGCCCCTTGGCCACTCGCTCCTCCACCGAGCCAGGCATGAAGGGGTATGGCAGTGCCGTGTGGAGCCTTATGTGGAAGTACTGCATCTCTGTGAGGACACTCAGGTACCGGGACGCGTGCATGGCTGCTCTGCCTGGCTGTCGACTGTTGGGCCGGATGGTTTGCATGGCTGTACAGGGTCCAGGAAGGAGCTGGGATGGAGGGAGCTGGAGCAACTTTCAGTCTCTGGTGGAGCGGGAGGAGGAGAGTGGAACAATGACCAGGGGGTGTGCTGCGATTGGCTGGGATCCAGAGCACACGTTCGGCTGGGATCCAGAGCACACGTTCAGGAAAGGAACGCCAGGGGCAGGTGCAGCATGTGTTACATAACATGCTGGCACAGGGCACAGCTGTGTGACCCTGGCCCTGCCCCACAGCATCTCTGAGCCTGTTACCCACCAGCGAAATGGGGCTCACACGCGTCCCTTCAGCGCTTGGTGTAGTGATTCCTTCGTGTGACCGTAAACGTCAGTCACTGAGTGGCTGAGGGCTCAGCCCGGACTCAGACACCAGGCTGCCCAGGTTTAATGCTGGCTTTGGCATTGTTAGTGGTGTGAAGCGGCTTCACCTCTAGCCAAAGTTTCCCATCTGCAGATCCTTTTAGGATTGTTTTGAGGATTCAGTGAGGTAATACACACTAAGATCAGGGCCCGGTGCGGTGCCAGCATTCAGTCAGTGTTGGATACGATGACCCTTGCCGTTGAGCTTTCTCCCCAGCTGGACAGCTGTGGGGGGTGGTGGGGGTATCTGGAATGGCGCCTGCATGGTGAGAATGAAAGGGTGGAGCAGAGCTCCTTGGCCCCCTGGGGAGGGGACACCATCTGTGATCGCTGCGGCCTCTGCAGCTGCCAGAAGGAGGGAGACCAGGGCGCAGGAAGCCAGGTCCCTTGTGATCTCAGGCAAGGCTGGGGTCTCCCCATCTGTAAAGGGGAACTACACGGGGCCCGAATTTGTATATGGAAGGGCTTAGGGGCAGCCACCTATTTGGAAGATGTGTTTGTACTTGGATGCCGCCTAAGGGCATATTATTTTATTTAAAGGGGTGGATTTGCAACAGGTAAGGGATTGAAAGATTGTCCCTCTTTCTTTCTGCCCTCACTCTCTGGTGTATAAACTTTATAAGCATTCCTTCCTTCCTTCCTTTTTGCCTTCCTTCTATTTCTCCTTCTTTCCTTGTTTCTTTCCTTTCTTCCTTCCTTCCCAAAATACTTGTGACAGCTTACAGAAAATACCTGCAACAAAATAGTTAATAAAAAACATCAGAAGCCAGGCATGGTGGTGCATGTCTCTAGTCCCAGCTACTCGGAAGGCTGAGGCAGGAGGAATGCTTGAGCCCAGTTCAAGGGTAGTGTGTGATGATCATGCCTGTGAATAGCCACTGCACTCCAGCCTGAGCAACACAGTAAGACCTCATCTCTAAAAAAAAGAATCAGGAGTGGAAAAAGCACAATTTAGAATAGGATGTCATGAGCTAGGGTAGAAAAATAGAACAGAACAGAGATATACAGGGTCCTGAGGTTCTTCTGTTGGGGTAAAAATTGCCAAGTTTCCTGGCAGCCAAAGGGAAAGGGGAAACCCAGCCACACAGTTTACTCTCACTGTAATAAGAAACCATAATTACAGTGGCCATAGTTGTCTCTGCTGCTGGGTGAGAGTGCCTGGGGCCCTGGGCCTCAGCCTCAATGGCGGGTCTTGGGCCTGGGCAGGTTTGAGGGAGCAGGGCAGACAGTGAGGGCTAAAGTGTTCTCTTGGGATGAGGATGCCGGCTGGCTGTGGGAAAGGAGAGAGGCAGAGCTCAGCCCTGGAGTGAGTCAGCGGCTGCCTGCCCCTGCCCCTGCCCCTGCCCCAGACCCCGGGATAGACCTCCTGGGTGGGTGACTTGGGAGCTGGGCCAGGCAGCGGGTGAGTCCTGGACTTTGGTGAGCTCTCCGTGTGCTTTTCCTTGTGACCACAGCTGGATTTTCCTGAGTCCCCTTCTGTCCCAAGGTTTCCAGGTATTGGCACTTTGGAAACCTCAGGGCTTGTTGACAGAATGCAGAGGGCTCGGCACTGGGAGGCCCGCTGTGCCCTGTCCAAGGGTGATTCGCTCGCTCCCTCTTGGCTGCCGTTTGCCCACATGGTCTGTAGGAGAAGCAGCACCGCCTCACAGAGCCTGGCAGACTGGCCTCTCTGTGCCTCAGTCTCCTCATTGAATGGCACGGCCACCTGACGGGGCTGTGGGGCGGGGCCTTACGGGAGGCTTTGTGGCTGTCAAGTGGTGATAGACAGGTAGCTTCACAGGGGTGTCACGAGCACTGGCGGGTGGCCTCCTCACCACCAATGAGAGGAGAGTGGTGGGGTGGGTGTGGGCACCATAATTGGCACTGGGTTTGTCCCAAACCCACTCTTAGCACCCATAACTGCCAGGCGCCCCTGTGGTTAACTGGGGAGGATGGGCCTTGGGCTCCAAGAGAAGCACTCTGCCCTCCCGACCCCTACCCCATTCTGTTGAGAGCCCCTGAAAGGACTAAGGCCACGCCCCAACCAGCCAGCCAGCCAGGAGCAGGCCCTCTGCGGATCCCAGCCCCCTCGGCTGCCAGGGAAGCCCTGAGTCAGCAGGTCTGTGGCCCAAGGCGGAGCTGCCGGCGGCCACAGGGACAGATTGGAGGGTTGCGATCGGACAGCGCATAGTTTTCCACTTGCGTCTTCAGATTCCCCTCCGAGTGAGCCTGTTGCCCCTGGCTGGGTCCCATTCACATCTGGAAAAGCGAGAGGTGTGTGTGGAGCAGCTGTGCGCCTGCCAGCCCTGGCCCTCTGCCCAGGGGTTTGGCGACCGCAGTCAAGGAGCCGGGAGAAGGGTCTCTGGAACTTTGGCCCGAGGACTCTGAGAGGGACGATCCTGGCTGCAGGCTGTATCCTGGACAGAACAGCTTGGGAGCTGGGCACCCCAGGGTTTAGAGCCCACAACGGTAGGTTGTGAGATGTGCAGCCCTCGGGCAAGTTGCTAAACCTCTCTGGGCTTGTTTCCTCGCCTGTAGAGTTGGGGGGGAGCCATGCCAGCTGGGCGGGCTTCTTGGCAGGTCATCACTGGGTTCTGTTGGCTTGGCATCCAGCAGGGTGCATGGCTGTGGCACCCCCTCCTTGTCCTCTGAGTCTCAGCGTGGGGGCTTAGGGGGATAACGTGATGAAGTGGGAAGCACACAGGCTCAGAAATCAGGCTGACCTGAGTTCAAAACTGGGCTCAGCCCCTTCCTACCGTGGACGTGACTCTTAGAGACGTTCTGAAGCTTCCATGAGACAATGCCTGTAAGCTTCCCCCAGCTGCAGTAGGTGCTGCTGAGGCATTGGCTGTTTGTATAACAGGCAGCCTCCCTGAGCCCCTGTTTCCCCGCCTGTGAGATGCGTGTGGGGATACAGTAGTTCTGGAGGGTGGATGAGACCCTTTAACCAGCTCCCCGCCCCTCCCCTCCCTGCGTCTTCCCTGGCTGGCCTTTCTCTGGGCACTCACCTCTGGGCCCCTGGCAGACAAAGGCCTTGCTCTGGGTACAGGGCAGTGCCCTGATAAATCCACAGCCCCTCTCAGGTCAGGCAGGAAGATCACTTTTGCATCTGGCATTATATTGAAAAAGAAAGATCGTTTTGTGCCTTGAGAGCCAATGGGGCGTTTGAGCCTCTTCGTGGGCCAGGGCAGCTCACTTGGAACACATGGGGCCCAGGGTGCTGGTTGATAAGGAGTGGGGTGGCCTTGGCTGCCCTGGCCCTGCCCCCCTCTGCCTTCCCACCGTGGCTGCATCTGGGCAGGAGGGCCGTGAACAGCTCAGCTGGCAGCCAGCCTTTGAGAGCTTCCAGGGAGCTTCCTGGACAATTAGCCATCTGATGCCCCTCTGCAGGAGGGCCAGTGGGCGTTCCTCTTGGGACAGAGTGCTCACCACCTCCCAGCCTGGGCCATGCCTAGGCAGCTCTGACGCGAGGACATTTGTTCCCACTTGGAACTGGCACCATCCTTCCTGCGGTGCTCGCTGCCACCCACCCACACACTGAAGTGGCCTGGCCCTGTCCTCTGAGCCTCACAACCCATCTGCTCCCCAGCTCTGGACAGCCTGCAGAGACCAGGACTCCCTGAGGCTGAGGAAGGGGTCACCAGCCTCCTCCCCACCCACGCCTTCTGGACACACCCTGGCTCGTGCTGTCTATCTCCGGGAAGAGCCCAGAGCTGAGTTTGGGATGGGCAGGAGGTCCTGGGCAGAGCAGAGCAGAGCCGCCACTTCTCTGGCTCTGGGCACTGCCTGGAGCACACATAAATTCCCTTATGGCTGCTTTCCCCTTTCACCCGTGGGCCTCACCATTGCCTCAGCCCTGCCAGCCTCACCTCCCTCTCCTCGGTTCCCATCTCTGCTAGTGACTGCCGCCCCCTCTCCCTGCATCGAGTCTTCGTTCAGGGGATGAAGACCTACTCTGTGCCTGACACTGTGCCAGGTGCTAACTATCCATTCCCACATCCAGCCAGCTAGCGCCCACCCTGTGAGGAGCACTGTCCCACAGCACAGAGGAGGACCTGAGTCCAAGGCTTTGCGTTACTGGTTTCCTCACCGGAGTTGTGGGTGAGGCTCTTCTTGGCAAGCACCACAGGGCAGCACTTGTCGCCGAGAGCTCAGAGCCCAGCAGCAAGGCGGCATGGGCATGAGCCACTCTGACACATGGGAAGAGGCTTTCTTCCGCTGATCAGCAAGTAGTTTGCTGAGCACCTATTGTTTGCTGCCCCGGGCTAGACCCTGGGGATACAGCAGTGAGTGAGGTGGACACTCAGGCCTCCTGGAGCAGATAGATGTTCAGGTGAGAGAGAAATGATAAAGAGAAAATAAACAAATGAAGATGCCTTCAGGCAAAGATCGGTGCCAAGAAAATAAAACAGGGAGGGATGACAGAGTGATCGGGGAGAGGGAGCCACATGGCCTGGGGAGGTCAAGAAGGGCCTCTCCCAGTGGCCGTCAGTGGATGAATAGATAAACACAATGTGGTCTGTCCATAGTGTGGAATATTATTCAGCCACAAAAAGAAATGAAGTTCTGGCACGTGTTACAGCACAGGTGAACCTTGAGGACATCATGCTAAGTGAAAGAAGCCAGACGGAAGACCACAGAGCGTATGGTCCCGTTTCTAGGAAATGTCCAGAACAGGCAAATCTATAGAGACGGGAGGTAGGTTTGCCGTGATCCAGGGCTGGGGAGGGGTTCTTTTTGAGTGATGAAAATATGCTAAACATAGATAGTGGTGACAGTTGCACCCCTCTGGGAATATACTATTAATAAAATCATTGAACTATACATTTTAAATGGGTGAGTTGTATGGTGTGTGAATTATATCTTAATAAGACTGTTTGAAAAGAAAACAAAGACTCGTCTGCAGTGGTGGCCTTGCGTTGAGAGTGACAGGGTGGAGTGAGTTTGTGAGGACCTTGGGGAAGAGCAGGCAGAGAGAGCAGCTGGTGTAAGGACCCTGAGGTCTGTGTGCACCTGCAGGAGGAGCACAGAGGAGGAGGCTGGCAGGAGTCGAGAGGGCGGGAGGAGCAGTCCCCGTGGTGGCAGGGCCAGATCCTGGAGAGGGCTTGAAAGTTGACTGGGGCGGGAGAGCCACGGCTGGGTAACATTGCTGTGCTTTCTGTTTTAAAACCGTCACCCGGGCTGCTGTGAGGAAATGAGACTGTGGAGAGGGAGTGGTGGGGCGTTGGGGGCAGGGAAGGCCGGTTGAGATGTGGCGGCCGGCCACTGTTTAGATGAGAGATGACAATTGAGACCCAAAGAAGGAGACAGACAGACTGGCTGGCGGTTGCAGTGGGAATTCAGACAGGGACAGAGCACTCCTGGCGGAGAGGAGGCTTCCTGGAGGAGGGGCCTGGGCCCGGACACTGGCAATGTCAGGATGGGCTGGTGGCGGCTCTCCAGATGGCACCCCTGTGGGGGATGTGGGGGGCCCTGCCTGGCCATGGGGAGACGAGACTGGCCACCCTACCCTGGCACCACCCCTGGGTCCCCTTTGGGCCCAAGCTGCTAAGTAAGTAGGGCACCCTCTCTCCAGGGACCCCTGTCACACTACTTTATGCTGCTGGCTCCAGCTGGCCCTCCGTGACAGTGCAGTGCCCATGTGGCCAGAGACCCAGAAGGGGCCCGGCACTCTGAACAAAGCAGTCTGCCTGGAACTTAAGTGGCCCTGAAACACGATCAGGCACCAGAGACTGTCCAGGGAGGTGGGTGTATTATTTATTGACTGGGGCCTGCCCAGTGAAGCCATTTGGGTTTGCCAGACCTGGAAGGAGCCCCCTCAGCAGTGCCTGGGGGCCTTTTGGAGGGCAGGTGGGCGGGGGCCCCAGGGTGCCTGGCACCCTCTCCCCTGGGTGTGGTTTCCTGGATGCCGACTGAGCAGGGAGGAAGTCAGACGTCAGGACCTGCTGTGGGGATGGACCCACAGCTCATCCCCCGGGGCCGCAGAGGCAGGCCAGGCACTGGGGTTCCAGGGACACCTCCGCCCCCTCCACTTTGAGACTGTGAGTACCACCCACCTGGCCCGGGGAGGGGACCTCAGCAGCCCTGAGAAACCTGTGAGGGGCTGGCGACTGTCAGGGCAGCCTGCCGTGGTGAGGGTCTTGGGGGCTGTCGTCAGAGTTTTCACTGTTTCTCAGAGCTGTATTCTGTGACCCGTTTCTCACTGCCTGGAATGCACACAGGCTCGCCCTGGGCCCAGGAACACCAGGTGTTTCCCCACAGCCGCAAGGGGAAGTTCTTTAGCTCCCCTGCGCGTTAGACCAGCCCCAGGCCCCATTAGGGTTGAGAACCAGGGCCCCGCAGCCCACCTGGATGGCAGGGAGTGTTGGGTCGCTGCCTACGGCCCTCACAACCACCCTGAGAAAGATGGACTCTTGACAATGCCCAGTTTACAGCCGAGTAAACTGAGGCCCTCAGAAGTCACACAGAAGTCAGAAGTCCTCAGAGGCCCTCAGAAGTCACACAGTGGCCCAGGGCTCCTGGAGCATATTTGGTGTGTTTCCTTCCCACACTGCTGCCCCCCTCAACCCTATGGTGCATAAACTTTGAGCAAATGGAGGTTTATGGCTGAGGGAACACAAGGCTTCCCCAGGCTGTGTTGAGGAGACACTGCCTTGCAGAAGTCTTCCCTGCCCCAGGCTCGCTGGGGCCATTTCCCATCTGGCAGTAGCCCAGTATGTGTCCCCCCAGGAGCCCCTTGACCCACTGACAAGTTCAGTATCTTTCTGAAATGATCCAGAGTGGAACCTTGAGGATCTGTAGATCCCTGGGGCTGGGAGCGTGTTGGGGGATGTTCCCTGGGTTCTGAGCTGTAACCCCTGAGCCTGACCTCTTGGGGTCCTTGGGCCAACAGCCCCTGGCTCACTGGGGTCATCAGGGAGTTCAACAGATGGGTCAGAGGAAGCTTTTACCGACCCAGCCTCAGGGAGCAGCCTGGGAGCTCTCACTCCCAGCCAAGCCTCCCCCACCCCAGCCCTGGCTCTTGGGGGCAGGCAAGACAGATAGCCCTTTCCTTAGGACTGGAGCCCAACCAGTGGCAGATGGAAAAAGTGAGGCCCAGTGATAAGGAAGCAATGGGCACCTTCACCCCTGCCCCCACGCTGCAGACAGAAGGCTGCTCAGTGCCCTGAGGGGTCAGTCACTCTGTCTCAAATCCCAGCTCCCCAGTGTGCCCCAGCCATGTGACATGGGACAGATGTCCCAACATCTCTGGGCCTGGGTTTCCATATAACCCATAGCGAAAGTCCTCCCTTCCGGGGTTGTTGTGAGGCTTAGATGGTGAAGCAGGCCTCTGTGGGGAATCTCCCTGTGGGCGTAGGTGACTCTGGGTTCCCATCTCACTGAGAGATTTACCAGGGCACAGTGCCCCTCAGGCTGGTTAGGGGAGGCTTGATGACCCCAGTGAGCCAGGGGCTGTTGGCCCAAGGACCCCAAGAGGTCAGGTTCAGGGGTTACAGCTCAGAGCCCAGGGCTCTGGCCTCCAGCTCAGCTACCTCCAGCAGCAACCTGCCTTTGTTGGGCGCCAGGGCTCAAGCTGGGGAGCCTGGCCAGGTGGCTGCCCACACCTGTGTTCAAGGCCCATTTCGGTCCAGCCCAGCAGAGGCACAGAGCAGATCAGAGCCCCTGCTGCCTGCCTGGGGACTTCAGGGGAGCCCATCCTGAGGCCTCATGTCCTCACCTGTGAAATGGCCAGGTGTAACCAGGAGCCTTTAAGCACTCCATGACTCTGTGCAGAGTTTCATGCACATCATTCATTTGTTAATTCAGTCATTCAACAAACATTTATTGGGCACCTACTGTGTGCCAAGTACTGTCTTGTCTCTGAGAGTACAAAGGTGATAAATCAGATAAACCATCCCTTCCCTTCTTGGTGTTGGGGAGTCAAGCAATATATGACTAACGCAATGCATGCATGATAGGTCATGGGGATGACATGTTCTGTGAAGGAGAGTAGGGCAGAGGAAGGAGATGGGCGCAAGGAGGGGTAAGCGGTTGGTTGTATTTTATTTTAATGGACACATGTCACCTATTAGAAAACACCTGTAGGCCATCAGGCAGCTGAGGGCAGGTTGGAGGGTCCACACTGTGGCCTTCATTCCCTGAGTCCCTTGTGGGCTAGGCCAGTGTGAGCTGTCCTCTGACCTGCATGCAAGGGTGAGCTCATTAGCCCCATCTGATGGACTTGCAAACCAATGCCCAAAAATCCCAACCAGTGTAACTCCAGTGGCTTCTGGGAAAGAGGTGAGGGGACTCCGCCGGCAGAGTGGGTATCTGGACTGTACTCAGCGTGTGGGAGCATTGAAGTGGCTATCAGCCGGGCCTGGGGTGTGGTCAGGCTGTGGTTAAGAGCCCAGACCTTGGGAGGCCAAGGCGGGCGGATCACTTGAGGTCAGGAGATCGAGACCAGCCTGACCAATATGGTGAAACCCCATCTCTACTAAAAATACAAAAATTAGCCGGGCGTGGTGGCGCATGCCGGTAATCCCAGCTACTTGGGAGGCTGAGGCAGGAGAATCGCTTGAACCTGGGAGGCAGAGGTTGCAGTGAGCCTAGGTCGTGCCACTGCACTCCAGCCTTGGACACAGAGCAAGACTGTCTCAAAAAAAAAAAAAAAAGCCCAGACTTTCATGGGAGTTTCTGTTCCACTGCTTTCGTAGCTATGTGACCTTGGGTGTGTTGGGTCCCATCTCTGAGCTTCACTTGGTCAGTGAGGGCTGTCTTAGTAGCAAGTGACAGAAAATCCAAACCTAACGGGCATAAGCAGAAAAGGGGTTTCATTGCCTCCTGGAACTGAAAAGTCTGGAGGGTAACTAGCTTCGGGAATGGCGGAATCGCAGTGTTCATATATGGATTTGGACTTTTCAACTCTTACCTCTGCTTTCCTTCCTACTGTCTTCACTGTGAGGCAGGCCCTCTCCATGTGGGCATCCCTGGCTCTGTGCCCGGCATGTAGCAAGTGCTCAGAAAACATTAGGCATTTCCTTTCATTCGGTCGTCACCAGCCCTGTGACAGGCCAGCTGTAGGGCCCAGGCTGTGGTGAGCAACACATCGTTTCTGTCTTGGGGATGTTCACAGTGCTCTGTGGGAGAAGGGACTAGAAAAGAGGAAATGACTACACATGGCACTCAGGGCTGAGAAGGGGGTGAGCTCTGAGGCCTGTGGGAGCCCAGAGGAGGGACACTGGAGTTTTTATCTGGAGGAGTTCCCCAAAGGCTTCCTGGAGGAGGTGGCAGATGAGCTAGATTTTAGGAGCAATGGAGGAGGTAGCCTGGCAAATGGCAACTGAGGGAGCAGGGGCCTAGGGTCGGGTTCAGGACTCATACACAGTGGAGCTGACCTGGCTGTGCTAGGTTCTTGGAAGTCCTGGCTGAACTCAGAGAACTGGTTCTTGGGCCATGCCGGGGGTGCAGGCAAGTAAGCCTGCATGTGGGTGAAAGGTAGCCCCAGCAGCAAGGCTGTAAGGAAAAGAGGGAATGAGCACTTAGTGTACACCTACCGTGTGCCACACCCCCTCCATATGTTGCCTCATTCTGGCCACTCCGCAGCCTCTGGTGGTGCCTCATGCCCACTTTGCAGAGGATGAGCCACAGGTTCTGATCAGGTGCTGGAACAAACCACCCTTCTTAAGTGAGTCCCCCACGAACTTAGAATTTGAGACTCACTCATTGGCCAGGCTCAATGGCCTCTGTTCTGCTATCAAGAGGCTGCTGGGATGTTACCCATGGCAGGGATAGATGGGGAAGTCACCATATTCAAAACAATCATGTGTTGAAACACCTCCCCAGCTTCTGATCTACCGGTAGTGGCAGCGGAAGCAAATACAGCAAATCTGAAACCCGATGCCTACAGAACAGGGGTGTGAAATGTGACGCCAGAGGCCCCCACACAGAAGTGGGTGTGGACAGCCACCTGCCTGTGAGCAACCAGGGGAAGCTAGCTTGGTGCCGAGTTTACACAGTGAATGTTAAAAAGACTTCGAAGCTGGCCCCAGTGTATTCGCACACAGTTGAGAAAGGCCAGGGAGGATAACAAGGGCTAGAATATAGGGTCAGCTCCCTACAGTTGCTGTAACCCCCTGGGCAGCTCCCTTTACTTCTCTGAGCTTCAGTGACCTCCTCTGTAAGTGAGGATAACATTTCCCAGAGTGAGGATTAAATAACATTATGCATGGACCTGCCCATAGACAATGACCTAGCAATGGCTCAGTGAGTGTCAGTGATGATTATCCCCAAGTAAAATAAATTTGAATTTAAAATTTTAAAAATGGTCATTTTTGCATCCATTGTCTTGAGCCAAATGGGAAACGGTTTGGTTCAGCCTCTAAGCCCCTGCGGGTAGGCCCTGGGTCTTTCAGCCCTGTGTCTGCTGGTACGCCTGGGGCTCAGGAAATGCACATGGTGTGTTAAAACCAAGTTTGAATTTGTCAAATCCCAAGTCAATCCAGGATGTTCATTTCTTAAATGATACAGTGAGACAAAGTTTTTTTGAAGAGGAAAAAGAAAAAAAAAAGTGAATTTCACTCTGGGGAAATAAGCAGAGTGATGGGAAGCTGGAGGTAGATGCCACTGACACTCAGAGTGGTGGAGGAAGTGTGGGGAGGCTTCCAGGAGGAGGCAAGCTCTAGTGAGCAGGCACTGCTCAAGTGGGGAGTGGAGGAGAGTTTGGGTAGAAACTGTAGGTCGAGTCTTCATGGTGTGTTTGGGAAACAGCAGTCTTGGGTGATACCTGTCTGGGAGGGATGAGGGCCAGAGTTCAGGACAAAAAGGAAGGCAAGTGGGGCCCAGAGCCCAGGGTGCTGGCCTCTCCCTGCAGGCATGAAGGAGCCGCCAGGAGCTTTTGAGCAGGGAGTTTTATTAACCAGTATTTGTTTGGTTGATTAAAAAAAAGAGGCACCCCAGACTGGCTTGACGGGCTTAAGGCAAAGGCTGAATTTATTGCCTTCTGTTTCTGAAACAGACAGGGCTTCAGGTACAGTTGGATTCGGGGGCTCAAACCATGACCCCAGACGCCGGCCTCTTTTTCTCTTTTTCCATCTCTTTGACTTCATTCCCGGACAGCCTTTCTGCCCAGATGGCCCCAACAGCTCCAGGTCGACATTTGTCATATCCAGGCAGAAACTGTTCTGACAGAATCGACTCTCCATGGTTAGCTTAGACCACATACCCATCCCTGGACCAGTCACTTGAGCAGGGGGGATGAACTACTCTCTCTGATAGACCAAGCTCGGTACTGCATTCACCCCTGGAGGTAGCTGACCCAAATTAGATGGACTGAGAATGGAGGATTGGATTCCCCAAAGAAAATTGGGGTGTCTTACCGGAAGTGAGAATGGAGGCTGGTCAGGCAGAAACATCCTGCATCCACCATTGCGACCTGCTAAGACTTGTGGGCTGGTCATTCCGCCACTATGACCTGCTAAGACCTGCCGGCTGGCCAGCTGAGCCATGTGTTCTGCTATGCATCATCCCTTCGGGTCAGCCCCGTGAGGTAGAGTTTGTTATGATCCCTATTTTGCAGATGAGAAAACTGAGGCTTAGGGAGACACAGTCACTTGCCGAAGGTCACACTGTTAGCAAATGTCCTCAAATCCCAAATCAGCTTGACCTGAAGCCCAGAATCTTAACCACATGCTCCACTGCCTTACAGCAATCAGCAAAGAGTTTGAAGAGGATGCCTAGGGAGCTTGGATGGAGGACAGGCTGGCAGAGGAGACTGGAGGCAGAGGATGGGAGTAGGAGGCGGGCGCCACACTGGCAGAGAGGAGGGATCCTAAGACATAGAGCTGTGGTGTGCTAAAGCCCGGCTCTCAACGCACTGTCAGCTTCACTTTTGTTGTTGTTTCCTTATATAGATAAGATATCTGATAAAATATCTAATCAGCAAAGTACATACACACACACACACACACACATATATATATACAAACATACTAATTATTATGCCTACTGGTTTCTGCTTGGGGTGATCTTGGCAGGAGGAGGTGAGGGATGAGGGTCCTGAGCCTGGAAGTTGGAGTTATACTTGGGCTGCGGGCATCTGGGGCATTTCCGGGGGAGTTACCCCAGGAAGTGGTCAAAGGGAGTTGGCCGCCCACCTGGCTCAGGGCCAGGGCGGAGAGCGGGCAGGATGGGGAAACAGCCACTCTGCGCTTCCCTTTTCAGCCCTAAGGCTTCTCAGGCAAGGTCCCGCCTCCCTGATGACATTACACCATGTCAGAAATCAGCCTGCCCACACCCTCATGGCACAAAGGGGAAATCAAGGCAGCAGGCCATTTAGCTTCACCGCCACCACATGGAGAGGTGTGGCAGTCCGGGCACCGGTCCTGGATTGGCTGTCACCGCACTGTGTGACCTAGGGCGAGTCACCAGGCCTCTCTGGGCCTCAGTTTGACATCTGTAAAATAGACCTATGAAGACAGAGCAGGCACATGAACAAACCTTGGCAAATAACCTGACCCAGTGCCAGGCACTTCACAGGCTGTCAGGATTCCTTCCCTGTGTGGTGATCTCTCGGAATCACAGCCTTGGAACCCTGGAGAGGAAAAGGGCTGTCGATCTCAGAAAGCCAGGCCAAGACCCAGCTCTGCAGCATACAAGCCATGTGGCCTTGTGCAAGTCACTTCACTTCTCTGGGCCTCCATTGCCTTATCTGGAAAATGGCTTAATAAGCACCCCCTCATGCATGAATGAGAGGGTTAACTGAAAGCCTAGCCCGTGGGATGGGGTTTGCCAGCGTGTCTGGTTCCCACTGGGTTAGCTGGATATCCCCTCCTCTGTGAGCTCCCCTTTCTGCCCTGGAGCCGGATCAAGAGCGTTGTTCTATCAGTAACTCGACCAACTAATATTGACTGTGTGCCCAGCACCGCTCAAAGCAGTGAGGACACCAGCGTGAGACCCCCTCCCTCACAGAGCTGGCATTTGGGGGTTGGGGGAGGCAGAGAGGTGACAAGTAAACAAACACACAAACGAGCATTTCCAACATCACAGTCAGGAAAATGAAGCAGGAGGCTGCAGTGGGGAGCGACTTGGCGGTGGTCAGTGAGGGCCTCCCTGAGGAGGGGAACTGAGAGCAAGAAGGAGGTGGCTAGCAAAGATGGGGGCCAGCCAGGTGGCAGAGGGAAGAGGAGTATGAACAGCCCCCTGGGGATTCAGGCTCAAAGGACAGAGGGTTTGGAGACTAATGGCAGCACTCTCAGAGAGGACGTCTGGGTTGGACAGTGGACAGCCTGACGGTCACTGGTGGAGGATGCTTACCTCATTCTCTAAACATTTGCTGGAGGGAGGGTCAGCTGAGGCTCACCTCTGAGCTTCGACGCGGGAAGGAGAGGTGTCCAGCTTGGCCTCAGACCCCAGACGGAGGGTGACAAGGTGGTGATGGTAATGGACGGACATAGCCAGGAGAGGCAGCTAGGTTCAGTCCTGAACTTCAGAACTGCCAAGAAGTACCTAAGTAACCCCGTTTCATCTTCAGGTACAGACACTCAGAAGGCCAGGCACCTGGCCCCTCCCTGGGGTTCCTGGGGTGGGCTTATGGAAGGGTAGTTCCTCTGCTCTCTCACCTGGCTTCCTAGAGGAGTGCAGGCTTAGAAGGTCAGAGCTGCAAGGACTTTGAGAAATCACCAAGCTCTCCTCCCACAGGACAGGGGATTCTGTGACCTTGCTCCGGGGAAGGGTGGGCTCCATTGGTAAGCTGGACGTGCTGGGGGCTCTGGACTCTGGGGCGGGGTACGGGTGGGGCCCCAGAGACAGGGAGGGATGGCTGGGCTCAGCCCCAAACTTCCAACAGCCAAGAATTACATTTCATCTGCAAGCACAGAAACCGCAGAGATAGGCAGACCCAGAAGTGAGGAGTGGGTGGCCTGCGGAGGCTTTCAAGCAGCAGCAAAGAAAACGGGATGTTTTTCAAGTGCGAAATGGGTGATAAGCTCTAATGTGTGTAGGAGTATGGTCCCAACTATGATCTCATTCCATTCTCACAATAAATCCTGTCCAACAGGAATATCTGCCCTATCTTGCAGGGGGGGAAACTGAGGCAAGCCAAGTGACTCGCGCAAGTTCCTTGCCAGCCAGAAAGTGGCAGCATCAGAATTGAGACCTAGAACCTAGCTTTCCTTAGAGACACGGAGGGTGGACCGGTGCAGTGGGTGGGGCAGGTAGAGAGCCAGGCTGGCCTCTGCCCTCCTCCCAGGGGCAGCTGGGCCCACAGCTGGCGTCCCCACTACTCAGTTCTCTGGATGTTTAGAACGGCCGACAGGCCAGTTACAGAGCCAGCCCCACCTGCTCTGTCTGGATCCCGCATACCAGCTGGAGACAGAGTCCTTGCTGCAGCTCCCCTGACCCTCTTCCTAGGGGTTCTGTCCCCCGACCCTAAGTGCCTTGGGCTCTGTCTGCATGAAGACACGTGATTCCCTCCCCACAGTCTCATGCAGCCCCTGCCAGCTTCCTCTCCTGCACTCCACCCTTGTGAATTAGGGGCACCCCTACCACTGCAGGGATGGGGGCCAAAAAGACCTGGAGGAGGACAAAGCCTAGCAAAACCGACTTTGGACAAGTGTCTCCTGCTCCTGAATCTGTTTCCTCATCTATAAAATGGGGAGAGAGATACCCGCCGGTAGCAGAGCTTTGTGATTTTGACTGCAAACATGTCAGGAGAGGCCAGGCTGCAGGGGCTCCGCCAGTCAGAGCCCGGCCCAGAGCACAGACCCCAGGCATCTGCCAAAGACGGCCTGTCTCTGGGCTCCACGTGGGTTTCTGCTCTGTTTAAAAGGTAGAGTTCCCCAGCGGCCCATGGACACTTCTCATGCCCCTGCCCCTGGGCCCAGGCAGTGCTTCCGGGTGTGCTGCTGCCTCCTGGGGCCGTGGGTGGGCCCTGAACTGCAACACCAGCTGGCAGTCTCTAGAGTGGGGGCTGTGTGCGCGTGTGTTTCAGTTAGATTTTGCTGTGTAACAAACTACACAGAACATAGTGTCTTAAAACACGTGATTGTGTGTTTGGAAGATCTGGGCAGTTGTGCTGGTTGCCCTTGGCTATGCTCAGCTGGGCTGGAAGTTCCAAGAAGGCCCCACTCCCATGTCTGCCAGTGGATGCTGGCTGGCGGCCAGGCAGCTCAGGCCCCTCCATGTGCCCCCACCACAATGGTAGACCAGCCTCCTCACATGGGGGTCCCCTTAGTTCCCTCCACATGGCCCCCACAATGGCAGACAAGCCTCTCACACCGGGGTCCCTTCAGTTCCCTCCACGTGCCCCAATCACACCTTCCACATGGCATCTGAGGCTGCACTTCTAGAATGAACCAGAAGCCGTGAGGCCTCTTGAGGCACAGCCATCACCTCTGCCACCTTCTCCTGAAAGGAAAGTCGTATGCCCAAGGGGAGGGGAAGTAGCCCCCAGCTCAGGTGGGAGGAGGGGGCTACCCAGGAGAGGCCTGGGTACCAGGATGGGAGGAATTTGTGGTCATATTTGGCAATCACAAGATATGTATCATTAGGATTTTGCTGGGCTGTTATTTCACACAGGTTGGGGTGAGGGGAGTAAGCTCTAAAGTCATTATATACAAAGTCAAAAAGTTACTATCATAAAATTCCCCTTGAAGAGCCCTTAAGTTGCTCATATCAGACAGAGTACCTGGTTTTGTGTGCACTGCTCTGGGCAGTGGCACTCTGTGTGCTGTGATGTGTGCAGATGCCTGGACCGGACCAGGGAGGGAGCTGAGGCTTGTCCAGACACTGCAGCCTTTGCTCTGCAAGGGGGACCCTCAAATCCTTGCTGAGAAGGGAGGGGGAGCTAAGCTGGCTGGCTCACCTTCAGGGCCATTTCCATTCCCCGTCCCTACGAAGCCTCCAGAGCCAGGCTGCCCAGAGCAGTAGCCACCAGCTATAGGTGGCTATTTAAATGTTCACTGATTAAAATTCACAAAATGAAAAACTCAGTCTCCATCACCCCAGCCACATCCTGAGTGCTCAGTGGCCACACAGCTAGCAGGTGGAGAGCTGGGCTCAAAGCCCTCAGCCAGCCCAGCCTGCTGTGAATGTCAGCCCCCTTGTCCAGGCGCCTCCTGCCTGCCTGCCTCCGTGGTCACCCAGCTACGTGCTGACTGCCCAGGACTCCTGAGAGACTCAGCCTTGGCCCAGCTGCTGCCTTGGAGGACTGCTGGTCTGCTGGGGGCAGGCAGGCCAGTAACACTGGGGTGCCTGGCTCTGGGCCCCCAGATCCCCTCATCTTCCAGAGCCCTGCAGAGCAGGGAGCCCTGGGCTGCGGTCTCCACCCGAGGTCCAGCAGTACAGGCCTCATCCTCTGATCCTTCCCCCACACCGTGAAGTATGGGAACTCCATTTGCACTCCCGGGCTTTTCAAGTAAAGGGAAGAGACCTGTTTATCATCAGAAATTATGAGACACCCCCTGCCCCCATGCCATATTAACCCCACACACAAGGGTTAATATCCAAGATTGAAAAACTACAGGATGACAGGAAGCTGTTAAGAACCAATTTTTAGATAACTTTGGAGTCTGTGAATTTTATTTATCAAAGCAGCTTCTATTTTGGTTTGAAAGATGTTCACGTGTGAAACATAGTATTTGTTTGGTCTACCAGCAGTGTTGGCTGCACATACGGGATGAGAGATCCCCTAAAATAATTCAGGGGTTCCCAGCTTGGGAATCCGTGTAACCTCCAGGAGCTGGAGTCCCTGAGCAGCTCCCAGGAGTCAAGGGCTTACTGGTGGAGGTGGAGGCTACCTCGTGGATATTTGCGTGGCCAGCACTGTGGCTGGCCCGATGCTGGGTTTTTGGTGGGAGGTGAATTAGCCTCCCCCCTTGATAATGCTTCCCTCCATCCCTGCAGCCCCTCACCTGGACAGCCCCCAGCCACCCTCCCTCCCACCTACTCTTGCTGATTCCGTTCTGAGCTTTGCTGGTGGAAAGTGGCCCTGCATAGATGCCCTGTCCCTGCTCTGGGCCTTTCGAAGCCTGTGGGCCCCAGCGGTCAAAAGCTCTTTGCTGTGTGGAGACAGTTTGACTTCCTTATAATCCAAGGAGAGGGAGGAGGGAGGCGGGGAGAGTGCACAGAGGTGATTCAGACACAAATCCCTGCCCTCCAAGGCTCCAGATCTGGTGGGAGGCTGGGGCCTGGGTGTAGCTGAGGGGTTTCCACATCGGCTTCCCCCTCCTGCAGAGCGCTCCCCCGGCCCCCAGCTGCATCTCAACACCTGAGGGCAGGGATTTGATCATCTCTGCTTCACAGCTGATTACCCTTGCACATGATGGCACCCAGGAAATATTTGTTGGGTAAATGACTGAATGAATGCAAGCTATGGCATATACAGACACATGCTCTCACCCTACCCTCTGGCTGTGTCTTTGTCTTCTCTTTGGGGTGCAACAGACATGATGAGCAGGGGCACCCTCTCTAGGAACTCTGTTCACAACTAGCTCAGGGCTTTTTCTCCATTCAGGGTCTATAGATTTATTCAAGGTCCCAACAATAATTTTTTAAATGTGTGGATTCTTTAAGAGTTGTAAGTTATTTTGAAGTGATTTCAATCTTAAAGAAGAGTTACAACAATAATACAAAACAAAATTCTCCCGTGTACCATTCACCCAGACTCATCACTAATAACATTCCACCAAATTTTGCTTTCTCTTAAAAACCGATTTTTCCCTTAGAAGCATTTGAGATGTCACTGCAAACATGCCATATGTAACTTTCACCCCTAAATACTGCTCCAGTACATAATTACTAAGAACAAGGACATTCTCTTACATAACCATGGTCCATTAGTCAAATTCAGGAAGTTTAACATGGACATGATACTAGGATCTAAAATACAACTAACTTAAAAGTCACATTTCGCCTGTTGTCCCAGTAATGTCCTTTTTACCAAGCTTTCCTCCCAACCTAGGATCTTATGTTTCATTTAGTCATCACGTGTTTTCTTAAAGCTTTATTGAGGGATACTTTACTCTATGAAATTCACTCATTTTAAGTGTACAATTCGGTTATTATTACTATATTTACAGAATCCTGTAACCATCACAATTTTATTTTTAATCGTTTCCATGGCCCTGAAAATAAACCACATACCCATTTTCCCTCAGTCCCTTGTGCCATCCCAAGTCCTCAACAACCACTTTTTGTCTCTGTAGATATGTCTTTCTGAGCATTTCATATCCTTTTGGAATCATACAACACGTGTCCTTTTGTGTCTAGCTTTATTCACTTAGCGTGAAGTTTTTCAAGGTTCATCCATGTTATAGAATAGAATGTATCAGTACTTCATTCCTTTTTTTTTTTTTTTTTTTTTTTGGTAGAGACAGGGGTCTCACTTTGTTGCCCAGGCTGTTCTTGAACTCCTGGCCTCATGTGACACTCCCGCCTCAGCCTCCCAAAATGTTGGGCATGAGCCACTGCGCCTGGTCTTTCATTCCTTTTTACTGCTGAATAATAACATTCCATTGTATGGATACACTGTAGTTAGTTTATCCATTCCCCGGTTGATGGACATGTGGGTCATTTCCACTTTTTGGCTATTGTAAATACTACTACTATGGATATTTGCATACAAGATTTGATGTGGACATATGTTTTCATTTCTCTTTAGTAGATACCTAGAAGTGGAATTGCTGGGTCACATAGTAACTCTCTGTTTAACTTTTTAGAAATGGCCAAACTGTTTTCCAAAGTGGCTGCATCTTTTTGTTCCCACCAGTGGTGTGTGAGGGTTTCCATTTCTCCACATCCTGTCCCACATTTGTTATTGTCTGGCTTTTTGCTTCTAGCTGTCCTAGTGGGTGGGAAGTCATATCTCATTGTGGTTTTGATTTGCATTTCTTTGATGTGGAACATCTTTTCATGTGCTTATTGGCCATTCATATGTCTCCTTTGATGAAATGTGTATTCAAACCTTTTGCCCATTTAAAAATTGTATTGTCTCCTTGTTATTGAGTCATGAGTTATTTGCATACTCTACATACAGGTTCCAGTATCAGTTATATAATTTTCTCAGTTTCTCAGTTCCTTTTTTTTTTTTTTTTTGGAGATCAGGTCTCACTCACTCACCCAGGCTGGAATACAATGGCATGATCATGGCTCCCTACAGTCTCGAACTCCTGGGCTCAGGCAATCCTTCTGCCTCTGCCTCCCAAAGTGCTGAGATTACAGGCATGAGCCTATGCAGGGCCTTATCTTTTTACTTTCTTGATGGTGTCTTTTGAAGTGCAAAAGTTTTTAATTTTCATGAAGTCCAATTTATGAATTTGTAATTCTCTTGCTTATGCTTTTGGTGTTGTATCTAAGAAATCATTGTATAACCCAAGGTCACAAAGATTTCTTCTTATGTTTTTGTCTAAGATTTTTATAGTTTTAACTCTTTCATTTAGGTCTTTGATTAATTTGAGTTAATTTTTGTGTATGGTGGGAAGCATGGGCCCAAATGTATCCTTTTGTGTATAAATAGCCAGTTGTCTCAGCACTACTTGTTTTTTGTTGTTGTTGTTTGTTTGTTTGTTTCCAGATGGAGTCTTGTTCTGTCACCCAGGCTAGAGCACAGTGCCTAGATCTCAGCTCACTGCAACCTCTGCCACCCCCCACCCTGCCTCCGGGTTCAAGTGATTCTCCTGCCTCAGCCTCTGGAGTAGCTGAGATTACAGGTGCACACCACCACGCCTGGCTGATTTTTGTATTTTTAGTAGAGATGGGTTTTCACCTTGTTGGCCAGACTGGTCTGGAACTCCTGACCTCAGGTGATCCGCCCGCCTCAGCCTCCCAAAGTGCTGGGATTACAGGCGTGAGCCATCGCGCTCGGCCAGCACTACTTGTTAAAGAAATGATTGTTTCCAATGAATTGTCTTGGCACCTTGTAAAAAATCATTTGACAATATTTATTATTATTTTTGACCACTCCAGCTAAGGCCAAGACAATACATTTTTAAACATCATTTTCGTGAAGACGAAAACTCCTCCCCCATTTTAACAAAAGCATGCTGCAGGTCATCTGGACGACCCTCTACCAACTGAGCTCTGCTCCCTGATGTTCGTGGCTGCCTTTTCTTTATGAACATGTGGTCATCACAGGACCTTCCAGTGTAGCAGCGTTTACCACTGGATGCAGTGTTTCTAAAAGGTGGGGCCTGATGGAGCTTGGGAACTGTATTCTTAGAGGCCCATCAGTTCTTAAGTTTGAGAAACCCCTAATATAGAGCCATTTCTCAGACGGGAGAGCAGAGTTCCAGATAGGGAACATGAAATGTCCAACCTCATGCATCTATCAAGTGCCCACAAGCCAGCACAGGCAGTGTGGGGTAATGATAAGAACTCACTTAGGATCGGGCATGGTGGCTCATGCCTGTAATCCCAACACTTTGGGAGACTGAGGTGGGCGGATCACTTGAGGCCAGGAGTTCGAGACCAGCCTGGCCAACATGGTGAAACCCCATCTCTACTAAAAATAAAAAAATTTAAAAAAAAAGCTGGGCATTGTGGCAAGCACCTGTAATCCCAGCTACTTGGGAGGCCTGAGGCAGGAGAATTGCTTGAACCCAGGAGGTAGAGGTTGCAGGGAGCCAAAGTCGAGCCACTGTACTCCAGCCTGAGTGACAGCACACGCCTCTGTCTCAAAAAAAAAAAAAAAAAAAAGACTCACTTGGGTAAGTCACTCCCCATTCCTGAGCCTCTGTTTTCTCACCTGTAAAATGGAGGGCACACCACCCATCTCAAAGAATCTGCAGGAATAGAGATAGTTTGGATAAAGTATCTGGCACAGTGCTCTCTGACACAAAGTGGGTACCAGTTCATGGAAGTTGTGTTTATTGCAAGCCTGGGGCTGTGCCCACCAACTGGCCCTCCTTCAGCCCTCCCCTCCACAGTGCCTACTCTCCCCAGCAGGGCAGCCCTTGAGGGCTGGCTCCTGGCTTCAGCCTTCCCTCTGCTGCATATACCTCACCTGTCTGCTTACAGGGCATGGCTCTGTAGCAGGCCCTGTGCTCGTCCTAGTAAAGCAGTGATGAAGCAGACTCTATTCCTGCTTTCAGGGACCTTCTGGGCAGGTGGACAGAACCATTAGCTGATGACCACAGAACAGCATGGTAGCTGTTATTTTTATTAATAATAGCTAACATCTATAGAATTTCTGCTCTGTACCTGGCCCCACTGTCTCAAGATGTACAGGACACTGTGGGAGCCAAGAAGATGACGTCTAGAGGAGGTGACATTTTTAGAGCTGGATTTAAAGGATGGGTTTGGACTTCAGCTAATATACAAAGAGACATGAGCTTTCTATGAATTTTTGCCCATTTGATGGATGAAAATGAGATTATCATTTGATTTGTGTTTCTGTGTAAGGTCGTACATCTTTTTGAATGTTTACAGGCCATTTGTATTTCTTTTTCACTGAACTACCTGGTCAAATTGATTGGACATTTTTATTTTGAGTTGTTCATTTTTTTTGTTTTTGATTGATTTGGAATAACTCTTTATATATGGAGGAAACCAAGGGAATAGTATGTGCTAATACACAATGATATGAAATAGTACAGTGTGCTTGAAAAGCATTAGGTTTAGCCTAATTTTGAGAGACATAGTTGAAGATAGAGCTAAGCAGGGAGGCAAATGCTAGTTCCTAAGGAGCTTGGACTTTATTACACAGGACATAGGAGCTACAGAAGCGTTTAGAGCAGGGAAGGGATGTGATCGAATGTGTATTGTTGAAAATTACTTTGATAAGGGACAATAATGGACAGAGTGAAGAGCTAGAAGGGACAAATTGAGGCCAGAAAGTACAGGAGCTTGAATGTCCCCTGAAGAGTGTCTACCTGGTTTGGTGGGCAGTAGGGAGTCACAGAAGGTTCTGGGTAATGACCGATGGTGAACTGCAGAGACAATGGGAACTGAGAGTTGCCTGCTATACTTCCTGCTTTGTGGACAGCTATAAAGTGCAGGGGGCGGGACGGAGGCCAAGGCTAATCTCTGGGTGGGGTGAGCGGTTTTGTTTCCCAACATGACGCTTTGTTCCCCTAGATGTCCCCGCCCCACGTGGGCGCCCAGTGCTGTGTCATCTGTCCCCACACCACAGGACTGACCTCCAACCCAGACAGACGAGACCATTGCCAGGGGTAACCTAGAGAGGAAATATGAACTAAGAGTTTCCAGGCAGGGCACTGGGAATGGGAGAATGAAGAAGGAACAGCACACTGCCGAGCTGGGAGGGATTTTAGAAGTCATGCAAGGCAGTTTACCCTCAGCCCTGCTCCCATGAGCCCAAGGACAGGGAGTCCCTACCTCCCCAGCAGCCATTCCATATCTAAGTGGCTCTTCCAGGGAGAAGGTTCTGGAGCTGGTATGGCATCAGAGTTGTAAGGAGTCTTAGTACTCGTCTTATGCTTCTTGATAGAGGGGACCTTGAGGCTCAGAAGGGACACCTGCCTTCCTGAAGTCACACGGGGAGTCATCCTGAGTGCCACAGCAGGCTCTTAGAAATCAGGCTTCTCAGCTCCCCACTCAGAAATTAGTTTTAAACATAATATTTTACAAACAGTAATACATGCATGTAGTAATACATGCAAAAAATACTTAAATGAAACATTTCAGTGAAAAGCCAGTCTCCTTTCCACTCCATCCCCCAGGGCACGAAGACGTCTAGGGGGGCAAAGCTTCATGTTGGGAAACAAAACCACTCAACCTACCCAGAGATCAGCCTTGGCCTTGATCCTGCCCCCCGACCCCCCACTTTATAGCTGCCCACAAAGCAGGAAGTGTAGCAGGCAGCTCTCCATCCCCACTGTCTCCACAGTTCACCCTCGGTCATCACCCAGAACCTTCCCCAGGGCATGGCAACATGGCAAAACCATGTACCAGTTTCTTGAGCATCTTTGTCAGAGACAACATATGCAGGTACCAGCAGATATTCTATACCCCCTCTTTTTTTTTAATTCCAGATTTTTATTTTTATTTAAAAAAAATTTTTTTAAGAGGGACCCTTGCTACATTAACCCAGGCTGCTCTTGAACTCTTGGCCTCAAGTGATCCTCCCACTTCATCGTCCTGAGCAGCTGGGATTACAGGTAAGAGTTGCCACACCTGGCTTACTCCCTCTTTCTTACATAAAAAGTAACATACCCTACATCCTTTATTGCACCTACCAAAATATCTTGGGGATTGTTCCTTATCATATCAGTCCATGTAGAGATGCCACTTTTTTGTTGTTGTTTTTGTCTTGTTTTGTTGTTTGTTTTTTTTGAGACAGGGTCTCACTCTGTCACCCAGGCTGGAGTGCAGTGGAGTGATCACAGCTTAGTGCAGCCTCAGTCTCCCCTGGTTCAGGTGATCCTCCCACTTCAGCCTCCTAAGTAGCTAGGATTACAGGCACATGCCACCACACCCAGCTAATTTTTGTGTTTTTAGTAGAGACGGTGTTTTGCCATGTTGCCTAGGCTGATCTTGAACTCCTAGCCTCAAGTGATCCACCTGCCTTGGCCTCCCAAAGTGCTGGAATTACAGGTATGAGCCACTGTGCCTGGCCGTAGAGCTGCCACATTCTTTTTGATGGCTGCATAGGCTTCCATCATATGGATGTGTCTTAATTATAATCTGTTTAACAAATCCCTCACTGGTGGACTTTAAGGAACAAGAATACTTCAATAATTTTTATTCACTTTAAAAACATTTATAGTAATGTGCATTATGACATTTCGGTCAATGACACACCACATATATGATGGTGGTCCCATAAGATGATAATACCATATTTTTACCGTACCTTTTCTATGTTATGTTTAGATACACAAATATCTACTACCTGGTCAAATTAATTGGACATTTTTATTTTGAGTTGTTCATGTTTTTTTCTTATTGATTTGGAATAACTGTATATGGAGGAAACCAAGGGAATAATTGTGATTAAGTGCCTGCAGTGTTCAGTACAGTCATATGCTGAACAGGTTTGTAGCCTAGGAGGACTAGGCCATACCATATAGCCTAGGTGTGTAGTAGGCTGTGCCATCTAGGTTGTGTAAGAACACTCTATGAGGTTTCACAATGATGAAATCACCTAAGGACACATTTCTCAGAATGTATCCCCATCATTAAGCACTGCAAACCTGATTGTTTAAATATAAAGACATGTCAAGAAGAGACTTCAATTGGCCCATCAGCTTGTGCCCAGATAACCCCTGTTGACCTTTTAAAAATCAATTATTACAAAAAAGTATAAAATGAAAAGTAAAAGCGCCTCACATATCCATTCCATGCACCCCTCAGTCCTCCCAAAAGGTATCCATCAATAAGAGTTTTTTTGTTTCGGCATATTTGTGTCCTTTGGGAAAATTAGGAAATTCCCACACACATCTACATAGAGCCTTTTAACTTGTACACAAAAGGATCATGATATACAGTCTTCTGTTCCTTGAATTTTTCAGTAGAAATATGACCTGGAGATCTGTCCATCCTAGGACAAAGTCCCAGTAATGGGTATCTTAATGAAGTTACTCCCTCTCCTACTGCTGGACCCTGAAGATGGCTCTTTTCTTTCGCTGTTTACTGGTACACACAGTGCTGTGTTGTCTGTCCTTGTATTTTTATATTAGCATGCTGTAGTAGCTTCGCCATACCCTTCCCGATTGGTTGCACCATCTGGCACCTCACCCTACAGCATTTTTGAGAGTGCTCATTTCTTCCCACCTTTAGCAGCAAAAGTATTAGCAAACTTATTCGTTTTTGCCAACTTGGTAGATTAAAAAATGGCAACCATGTTGTGTTTTGATTTGTATTTCTTTAATATACATTTAATTACAAGTGAGATTGAAGATCTTTCCATGAGCTGCTTGTTCATATCCTTTGCTCTTTTTTCTAATGGGTTAGTCATCTTTTTCCTATCGATTTGAAAGACCTGTTTATGTATTAGAGAAATTAACTTTCATTGCATTTTCCTCAATTAAATTCTGTCATATGTGCTGCAGCAGACATTTTTTTTCAGTTTACCATTTGTCTTTTTTACTTTGTTTATGGTATTTTGATTCCATTTACATAGTTTTAATTTTTATGCAGTTAAGTGTTCGACATCTTCCTTCACGGCTCCTGGGAATGAAAATATTTACACAGTGCATTTTGTGCAGGCTTTCCACACATTATCATAGTTAATTCTCACAGCAGCCTTGGAAGCGAGGCAGGGTGGGAATTTTTAGCTTCAGTTCCATTTTAAGGATGAGTTCAAATGAGTCTCAGAAAAGTCGTGGGACTTGCCCAGGTCCAACAGATTCTAAAACCTTTGTCATTCTCACTTCCTCACCTGCCTTCCAACCAGCCAGGTGACCTACTCCTGGCACTGACAACAAAAGTATATGGCTTCTCAGGGACTGCATTTTTAAATATTAAAACTACAAGCATCTTATCTTCCCTTAACTGCTCTTTAAAAAAAAAAAGTGTTTTTAAGAGACAAAGTCTTGCTCTGTTGCCCAGGCTGGAGTGCAGTGGTGCAATGATAGCTCGCAATAACCTTGAACTCCTGGGCTTAAGCAATCCTCTTGCCTCAGCCTCCCGAGTAGCTGGAGCACTACCATGCCTGGTTAATTTATTTTTGAGATGGAGTCTCGCTGTGTTGCCCAGGCTGGCCTCAAAACTCTTGGCTTCAAGTGATCCTTCCACCTCAGCCTCCCAAAGCACTGGGATTACAGGCATGAGCCACCACACCTAGCCCTTAAAAATATTTTTTAAACCTCCAATAATATGGAAGGGTAGAATATGCAGTGGGGATGGGACTCACATTTCAGCCCACAAGCCCATTCCCAGGGGATCCACTGTACAGTTGGCTGTGAGCACTGATAAGAAGCCATGGGCTTAACTCTTGCCACGAGGCAGGAAGACCCACCAGGAGCTGGGCCGTTCCTTATTCGTCTCTGTCACCAGTGCCTTGGGTATTCTAGGGACAACTTAGATGCTCAATAAATTCTGCAAGAGTGGGGAGTGGGGCAGTCAGGCACACTGCTTAGACGCTACAGCTTCGCAGGTGGGTGTTCAAATCCCAGCTCACCCCTTAGCTGCTGTGTGAATGTGGGCAGATGACTTTACCTCTCTGCCTCGGTGTCCTTGTCTGTAAAATTGGGATACTAGTTTCTGCCTCAAGTAAATGAATAATCCTCCTCCAGTGCTGAACAGTGTCTACATCTCACTTCTGATCCGTCTGTGCCTTTCTGGATCCATTTGCCCATTCTCACCTGACCCAGATGTCCAGGGTCATGAGATGTCAGAGGTAAAAATCAGGGTCCCTCCTTCTGTCCTTTCCTCCCAGAAGTCCAGAGGGGGAAACGTCTTGCCCAAGGTCACACAGCCCCTCGTGGCAGGACCCACAGAGCCGGGTCTCCTGACTCATGACATCACTCGCTCAGCTTCTCTGGCTGGGCCCTGGCGGCCCCGTCCCTCCGGTCTCCGGTCTCGCCGCCTCCGGGCACCAGGGGGCGCCTCGTCCCAATCGCAGCCCGCCACCTGACGCCCTCGCTCCAGACCGGCGGGGTTCCGGCTGCGGGAGAGAGGCCGCCGCTCCCGGCCCGGCGTTCAGGGCTTCCGGGGCAGGTCTGCTCTGCGACCCACCAGGGAGGGCACTCGCGCGTCCTCGCTTTCTCCTTAGGTGCACCCCCGCGGGCGCGCTCCCGCCCATATCCCTTCCAGGCCCAGCCTCTGCTATCTGCGCCACTTCTTCCCCGTCTTTGGGCTCCCTTCCGATTGTGCCCACCCCATTCTCTGTAACAGTCGCCAGGCCACCAGGGCCCGTCCCAGCATCTAAATCGAGGTCGGCTGAGGGATGGGGGCGGCACCGGCAGGCCCAGGTCCCCACCCCGTCCCCAAACAGTCAGGAGGGTGTGTCCTGGAGGGGACGCGGAGGAGCGTGGTGCAGCTGTGCGCCTCTGGGCCAGTGGCTTCCCTGCTGTGGGCCTCAGTGTTCCCATCTGCGAACTGGGGACGGCGGCGGGGGTGGGGCGTTTCGGCCGGGGCTGCAGCTTTCCCTCGGAGGAGCCGGGGGACTTGGCCTGAGGTGCGTTTGTTCGCTGTTTATTGGGGGTCTGGGGTAGTCTGAGGGAAATGCCGGGGGTCGCAGTGCCCCCGGTTCCGCGCCTGGACCCCGCGTACCCCGCTCTCCTGACCCATCCGCTGCAGCGGCTGCACCGACCTGAGCGCCCTCCACTCGTCCAGGCTCGGGTGACGTCGGCGGCCGGGGCGGCACCGTCCTCCCCGCCCCCTAGCACAGCCGCGCACGCACACACACCTTCCGAGGGGGGAAACTGAGGCCAGGCGCGGCGAGGCCACCCGCCAAGGTCACGGCGCACGGGCGGTGGGGCGGGCAGGAGGGCGGCGCGCGGGGAGGCCGCCCCGCCGGTGGCGCTGGTATCGGGCTCGGGCTCCGGCTCCGGCTCCCGAGCGCCCGCCCCCGCCCCCCCGCGCCCGGCCACCGGACGCTCTGGGGCCGCGCCGGCCGCGGGGACGGCGCGCTCTCGGCGGCTGCGGGCGGACCCGCGAGGTAGGAGGCGGGCCGGCGGGGGACGCGCCCGGCGACCGGTGCGGTGCGGGGCCCCGGGCGGGGGTCGCTGGGGCTGCAGCCGGGAATGCCCTCCGCGGGGCGGCCTGGGCGGCAGCTCCGCCCCCGGGGCCGCGGTTGCACCGACACGCAGTTGGCTCTCGGGAACCTGGGGCGCGCGGGGATCGCGGCGGGCTTCGCGGAGCGGGTCTCGGAAGGAGGTTGCGAGGCCGCAGTTGCTAAGCCCGCACCGGCCGCAGGGTTGTGGGGTTGGGGATCAGCGGCCGCCAAGCTCACGGGAATGGGGGCCGGGGCGCGCCAGCGCCAGTCTTTCTGAGCTGGGCTCTGCGGTGTCGCTCTCTGGGACTGGAGCGGTGAGGACGCAGAAGCCCCAACCTCCGCGGCTATGCAGACGGCTTATCCCGAAGCCTTGCGAACGCTAAAGGCGCGATATTGGGGGTCGGGGAGGGGCGGGGTGCTCCATCTCTTCATCAGTGCAGTTGGTTGCCTCCCCGAAGCGGGGGTACGTGAATCCAGACCCCGAGGGTCGCCATGCAAAGCATTCCCCACCCCCCGACTCCGCACTACCCTGCTTCTCTTCCCCACCCCCACCCCGCCTCCACCACCGCTGCTGCCTCCGGGCGGAGAAATCCCGCCACCGCGTCCAGGGTCCCGAGCCTGCGAGCGGGAGGTTGAGGCATCTCAGGAATTCGCTGGGAGCCACACGGACGCGCCTTGGGAGGGAGGGAGAAGCTTTGGCAGGGCTGGAGGGCTGGGTCCAACCTGGCCCTGTCCCTGCCTCCCAACCCCGTGTGACCTTGGGCAGCCCCTCCTGCCATTACCACGTGGGGAAGAGACTGGTTCTCAGTCTTGGGGTGGAGGGAGCTCTCCCGGTAGACCTCCAGGAGAGTTGGCTTAGGGAGCAGTCTTGGGGACCAGAACAGCCTTGGCGACCTCTGGACCCTGACCCATAGGGGGCAGGTGGCAGCAGGGGGATGAGGTGTAATGGGGGCTGTTGTTGGAAACCTGTCCCACCTGCCAGCCTGAGGATGAGACACTCCTGGGCCAGGGTCTTAGAGTGTGGGACCCCCGCCCCCACCGCAACCTCCCGCTACAAAACCACCTGCCCTTGGGCTCTAAGCAGGCAGGGTGGGTTGGCAGAGGTGAGTCAAGCTTCTCCCCACCCCTAATAGTCCTGGGGAACTTCCCCTCCCATGTTTCTGCCAGGCAGTTGTCACTTTAAATTGCCAAGCTCTCAACTGTCACAGCTGATCTGTTCCTGGAGCAAAGGGAGCAGAAAGGTGACAGTGGGTGTCCCCTCCCCCTGGCCTTGTCCAGGAGATGAGGCTCACAAGGACAGCAGTCGGCTCTGCCTGGTCAGCTTTGTGAGTGTTGCTCTGAGCATGCCCAGTGATCTGTGGTGGTGAGGGACCTGTCCTAGACTGGGAGCAGGGGTCTGGTTGTGCACTTTGATGAGCCACCGTTTCATTTTGTGGTCAGGCTCCACCAGGCAGTGGACACATTGGCCTGTGCAGCCCCCTCTGAACAATTCTGAATTAAGGTGACACAGGAATAGCTTTCTCGTCACCCTCCCCTGCCCCCAGTATGATGCCCACCTCCTCATTACAGTTGGCAAGATGGCCAGGCTGCTGAAGCCATGTGCAATTAGAGCCCAGAAACCAGATTTAAGGGGAAAGAAGAGAAATTGCCTTAGCGGTGCCATCTCCTCCCACCCCCCACCCCCCACAGGAAAAGATAAACTGAGAGGTGACTTGGGGTGGCCACAATGCCCACAGCCCAGCCATTAAGCATCAGTGCCGGAGGGAGCATCCCGGAGCCACCCTACTGTGTTAGAGATGGAGAACTGAGGCCAGAGAGAGGCAGGGACATGTCCAAGGTCACACAGCGTATTCAGAGCCGAGGGGCCCTGTCCCCAGCTCTCCAGCAACCCAGTCATCCTGAGAGGGCTGCTTCCTGGGGAATGCTCGGAGGACTCGGTGTCCCCTCAGAGGTCTCTGCAGTGGAGGGACAAGGGAGGGGGCCTGTGCTCACCTCTGCAGGGGACTGTCTCCTGCACGGTTTGCAAACATTAGGTAATCTTGGGTCTCATGACTGGAGTTGCCACTCTCTTTCAAGGCTGCTTAAAGGGCCCATGGCAGCCCGCCCTTCCAGCCGCTGCTCTGACCAACCTGCCCTGCCCTGCCTGTCCCATGCCTGCTGTCCCCACACCACCACCCTTGGTTTTAGTCATGCTCCCTTCCCCCATTGTCCAGAGGGGAGTGCTGAGGCCACACCAGAAGAACTGCGACCATTTGTGTCCTCAGCTTTCCTGCACACAGTTTCAGCCATTGGTATAAGGGGTGGACCTAAGCACCTAAGTGTCCCCAGCCAAGAATACAGCCATCCTTTGTTCTTGTAGGAAGCTGCCCATCACTGGGCTGTGCAAGCTGGAGCTGCCTTTGTGCTGGTCAGGGAGTCTGAATCTGGCCTCTGGTAGGAGAGTTGACCAGAGCCCTCATCACTCCCCCTGCCCCTCATAATTAGGCAGGTGGGGAGTGGGGGGCTGCTCATTCCTATCAAGAGGTGTTTCTCACGTGCAAGAGGCTGGCAAAAGCCCATTCTGTTGGTGAGGTCCGTGTAGACTGGGGTCCCACGCACTGCCGCATCTCAGATCAGCATTCATTACCACCATGCAGTGAGATGCAAACCTGCTTGTGGGAGCAGCATTTTCTGGAGCCCCCTGCCTTTCCACTGGGCCCCCGCCTCGCCCTGCTTTGGCTCCTGCGGGAAGGAACACCCCACCCCTGCCATCTGGCAAACTCCGTTCATCCTTCATCACCCTCATCCATGATACCTCTTTGGCAAATCCTGCCCTGAGTCCCTGAATCTTCCCCGCGGGGATACCATTATCACTGAACAGAAGGGCGATGCAAAGCAGGGCGCAGGTAGGGACTGACTTTAGACCCCTGGTAATATACCAGTCTTCCAGACTCCCTCTCACCCCCTGCCTCGGGGCTATTCAGTGGGGCCATCATAGCAAGCGTCAGTTTGGAAAAGCAGGAAGCAGGCTGCTAAATTCTCAGTGACTTAGAGAACTGTGACTCAGAGAACTGTGTATGTGGCTTTCTAATCCAGCAGGATTGCAGTGCAAACCCAGCGAGCATTTTTTTCTAAGCATCTACTCCATGCCAGACCTGATCACAGGGGCTTTCACATGTATTTCCCATTTCGTCTGCAAAACCACAAACCTATCATTCCCTTGTATGATGGTTCTCGAAGCATAATATTAAAACAGTGTCAATCCCACAGGCCAGCTGGAATGATGTAGGATGCTGCACCATTGATTGTCCTTTCAGCGTTGCTCGGTTGCCCCAGAGCCCCAGCAGTTTACCAGTCTGTGTACCCAGACACCCTCAGGGTGGCATTCCTCTGGGAAGGGCTTCAGACTCAAGTGCGCGGAGTCCAGACTGACCCAAATAAATCCCTGCGTGCCGTGTGTGACAGCATAGAAAGCCAGCTGTGGGAGCTAATGACCTCTGTACACACAGCTTGGGCCTTACCTGCTGTCTTTTTAGAAGGTAACCCTGGCCTGCGTCATTCCTTATCCAGTTGTGCTTACACAATTTCTTCTTCCAGACTGTGAACTCCCTGAGGGCAGAGTGGGGCCTGAGGCATTACTTCATCCCTAGTGCCAGGGGAGGATATAAGTTCTTGTTGTGCCTGACTGAGACTGAGCTGAATCCAAACAAGGAACAGGCTGCCTTAGAAGGCAGTGAGTTTCCCTCATCGGTGTGTGGAGTGAGGCCAGGTGGAGGATTCACAAATTTCAGTTAGCTGAGATGCCCTGCAGGACCATTTTAGCTCCAAGACTCCCACAGCCAATGATTTATTTTTTCAGTGATCCAAGGACTTGGTGGAAAGCTATCAGGATAGTAACACAGGTTTGTAACAATCCTAAAAGTGCCAACGTGTTTTAATAAAGCCAAGTGCCGAGGGGTATTATGGGAGCATTTCATTATTTAGCTCAGCCAGATGCTGAACTAGGACCAGGTTTGGGGCTTATCCAAGTGGACTGAGGGTTTGGTATAAAAGGAACCAGGAAGAAAATTGAGCATCTTATGGCTAATCCTTGAGCAGCAGCTGGGGTCTCTGTCTGTCACTCTAACTTAGGAGGCCTTTAGGTCAGAGAGCCGGACTCTTTGTTGCTCTGGACAAGTCCCTTCCCCTCCCTGAACCAAAGCTTCCCCATCTTTATCATGGGGGACCTAATCCCTACCCAGGCTTCCTTACTGGGGGCTGCGAGTTTGGAAGAGACCGGAAAAACACTTTAGAAGTCAGAACCAGCACTCAGGAGGGTTGAGGGCGGGTGAGGACAAGAGGGACTGAATCCCACAGATCGTGGTAAGCTCAGGTGTGTGGAGTGGCCCAGGGCCAGCCAGCCTTTTGGGGGCTTCAGAGTCATGGATGGGGTTCAGCCTTTCTGTGCTTCCAGTTCAGTGATCCTAGGGGTGCTTGAAGGCAGCTGGGCTGGGTTCGAATTCCAGCTGTCAGCTTCCTAGCTTTGTGCATGACCTTGGACAAGTCACTAGGCCTCCCTGTTTTCTCCTCTTTAAAATGGGGTGATGATGGTACCCACCTCCTAAGGCAGTTATGAAGATAATTCTGTGAAAGTGTGTCAGTATCATACAGTTGTTTTTCTGTTTTCTCCTTTGGGATATCACAGAAGCCACCAGGGATTTCTAGGATCTGAAAGTGCAAATAGAAGCATCAGCTCCATTCATTTACTCATTCAGCAAATATTTATGGAGCACCTACTATGTGCCAGATTTTCAGTTTGGTGCTGGGGTTACCACTGGAGCAAAAGAGACCGAAAGCCATGCCCTCCGGGAGCTTTTATTCTAGTGGCAAGAGACCCACAATACATAAGCAAACAAAATAATTTTGGAGTGCTAAATGCTAAAATCAACCCATCTGCTCCAGTTGGTGTTAAATGTGATTTGCAATGGAAGAACTCTTCCAAAGAGACCAGAGAGGAGAGCCTTGGTTTGGGCTTTGCCTAACCTAGATTCTAGTCTTGGCCCTGCTGGCTTCTAACTTGCTTTGCATCGTTGGGCAAGTTCCTTCCTGTCTCTGATCCTCAGTTCTTGTCTGTGACATAAGAGAGCAAGATGAGCCCTTCTAGCTCGGATGCTGCTGCCTGGTGGCTCTGCAGTCACAGCTTGGAGTCCATGCCTTTCCCCACCCTTATCACATGTACCTTTCTATTTTAAATGTGGTCACCTGTCATAGAGAAGGGTGCAAGGACAAACATGCACAGCTTAAAGAAAAATAAGAACATGCGTGTGACCACTGCATGGGTCAAGAGACTGAGCATTGCCCAAAGCCCCCGTGTGCCCCTCCCCAGCCTGCTCCTCAGAGATTGTCGTCATCCTGACTTTGTGCTAATAATGTCCCTCTTGCCCTTCCTGTCGTACCACCTATGGAACAGCTTTTTACAATATAATTTTGCTTTTATTATTTTTGAGCTGAATATAAACAGGCTGTGGATATTTGTTCAGGTCTGGCTCCTTTTGCTCAAAGTTGCATCTGCGAGATTCACCTATGCAATAAGTTGCTGTTCATTCTTTTATTTTTATTGTATTTATTTTTATTTTTATTTTTATTTTTTTGAGATAGAGCCTCGCTCTGTCGCCCAGGCTGGAGTGCATTGGCGCAATCTCAGCTCACAGCAACCTGCACTTCCCGGGTTCAAGCAATTCTCCTGCCGCAGCCTCCCCAGTAGCTGGGATTACAGGCTCCTACCACCACGCCTGGCTAATTTTTTGTATTTTTAGTAGAGATGGGGTTTTGCCATGTTAGCCAAGCTAGTCTCAAACTCCTGACCTCAAGTGATCCACCTGCCTCGGCCTCCCAAAGTGCTGGGATTACAGGCGTGAGCCACCGCGCCCAGCTGTCCTTTTAAATAAATAGTATTTCATTGTATCGACAGGCCACAGCTTATGTATGCAGTCTACTGTGATGGACCACATGGGTTGTTTTCAGTTTGGGGCTGTTGCTCTTGAACCTGTGTCCCAGCACACATGGCATGAGCTGTCTCTGGGGCACATACTGGCTGTAAAGCAAGCATACAGCCTTGCCCCAACCCCACACTGGGCATTGTCGGTCTTTGTCGTTTTCACTCACCTGGTGGGTGGGTAATGGTTTCTTGCTGTGGTTTGAATTTGCATCTCCCCGATGAGGTTGGGGATCTTTTGTTTGTCCATTGGCTGTTTGGATTTCATCATTGGTGGAGTGCCTGTTCATGCCTTTCACCCATCTTGGGCTGTCTTTTTATTTCTTTACGATTTGGAGGCTTCTTTGGGTGCTACAGATTCTAATCCTTCGTCAGTTATCCACATTGTAGACCTCTTCTCCCTCCCTCCTGCCTGCCTTTTTCACTCTTTACAGGGTGTTGGGATAAACTTCTCAATTTCAGAATTCTTAATTCAAGTAGTCAACTTTCTCACTTTATTAACATTTTTCGTGTTTTGAGAAACTCATTCCTACCCTGTAATCATGAAGATTCTCGTTATTCACCTTTCACATTAGGTCTTTAATCCACCTGGAATAGATTTTCATCTACGGTCTCTCTCTCTCTCTCTGACACATGCACATGTGTGCACATGCACGGCCCCAGGTGCACACATATACCCATTCCCAGGTGGCCCGGCACCATTTGGTGAGAACCGTGTTCTTTTCCCTACCTGCACTGCCCCCAGCACGTACCATACCTCTCGCTACAAGGCAGGCAGTGGCCCAACTGCAGGCTGTGGGCTGGGAGGTGGTAGGGACAGGGCGAGGGCAAGGCGGACAGCCCTCCCCGCCCCCAGCAGGACCAGCTGCTGCTCCTGCCAAACAGGTCTGTGGGGCTGCAGTGTCACGTGTCTGGCTGGCGCTGACTCGGGAGCTGGCGGATTAAGCAGGGGCTCAGGGTTTATGACCCGCACTGGCCGCAGCACCAGATGGGGGACGGCTGAGGGAGCTCATCTGTGTGGGCAGCAGAGGAGGCCTGAGAAGCCAGCCAGGCTGCGGCTGTTTGTGGCAGGAGGCCCCCACCCACAGCACTGGACCAAGGTAAGGGAAGGGTGGGATGGGCCAGCCCCACTATTAGTATCTCTAGCTGGAAAATAAAATGTCCCCTCCCAAGCTCCTTCTATCTTGGTCTGTTGGGGCAGCTGAGATCTGGGAGATGCCACAGCCCACAGCAAGCCCCTGCCGGGTCTCGGTCCCCTGTGGGGAGCACACATGAGCTCACATATGCGCACAGGCACCCTGCCAGCCTGGTTCTCGTCCCAGCTCCTCGTCCTCTTCAGTGCCTAGTATGTGCCTCTGGGTGGGAGGGTCACTGCCAGCCGTTAGCCTGCCCCCTAGACCCTGGTGCCTTTCCCCAGGCGGTGCCCCATGCCTGGCCTGGCAGGACGCAGCCAGTAGAGGACCGACCTCCCACTCTCGGGTTCACCAGGCAGGGGAGAGGGGAAGGGAATGAGTGCGTGCTGAGCACCTCTGTGTGTCAGATACCTCATCTTGGGCCATCGTTACTCCTGCCTTCCAAGGTAGGAAAGATTCACCTGTTTCATAGATGAGGAAACTGAGGCTCACAGAGGGGCTGAGGATGGCCACCTGCATCTCAGTAGTCTGCCTGTGTGACCCCAAGGAAGCTGCAGGCTCTGCTCCTGGCCCCCGGGGAACTCTCAGTTGTCTGACAAGGCACATTGCCTCTGGCGCAGGGCTGCTGTTACCTGGGGCTCCAGGGAACTCTAGGCCTCTGGGGAAAAAGTCGGGACAAAGAGCAGGAGCCAGAGCCTCAGGTCCCAGCCCAGCTCCCAGCCCAGCCTGTGACGTAGCCTTCCCTGTAGCATGCTGTCAGCCTTGGCCAGTGGGTGTGACCTGGGCGCAGGGGTCCAGCCTGCGGTGACCTTGCTCCATTTCCTCGTTTGTAGCATGGAAGATGTCAGTAATAGCATCTCCCTCCTCAGGTCGCTCAGGCTGAAATGAGATGGTAAAGAAGGGCTTTCAAAACATGGCCCAACAGGCAAGGCCCATGGGCACTCAGTCAACCCTAGCTTTCATTTTTACAGAGAAGGTCAGTATCTGGGGTCCCTTCATCTTCTGAAATTCTGAGCTCCTGTCTCTTTCTTTTCTGCCTGGGCCATTTATGTATGGGTTTAGATCTATGAATTTAATATTTGCTTAGGAAATACAGGCCCATGATGAAAATCTTAAACATTATAAAAGAATATGCAGTGAAGACTATGTATGTGCCCCCCTAGAAACATGGAAAGTATTTTTCAGGTATCTGGTCAAAAACATATAAACGTTTATCACCCTCCATCCCAGACATACTTGGGCAGTTTGGTCCTCCCCTATCCAGTGACCCCCCCCACTCTGCCACCCGTCCTTTAAATCCGCCCACTCTGGCCTGGGGAACCCAGGCTGCTGCCTCCCTCCAGAAGTCACACATATTTGTGGGTGCTGGCACCAGATTTTCCTTGTCAGCAGGACTTAAGGAAAGCTGCAGCCTGGCACAGGGCAAACGGTTGGCGGGGGGGGGGGGATTGTTAAGCAGTAAAGAACGGTGTCTCTGTGCCCAGTGAAGGCCCAAGTTGGAGACCAGCTCTCCCACCCCCAGGCTCCAGCAGATCTGGATCTAGAGCAAGGGCGGGGCCTGGGGACCTGACTCGGGCCCAGCCTGACTGCCAGCTGGCCATTGGGTGACCTTGAGGCAGCCCTGGCCCTCTCTGGGCTCCTGACTCAGTGTGGGAGCCCAGCGTGTATGGCAGCCTCAGTGAGAGGGCTGAGGGTGTGCCCCCTTCAAGACCCAAGCAAGCCATACCTCACCCAGCCCACTTGGGCTAAAGCCTGTGATGTAGGGATGCAGTCTTGATTGCCTTAAAAATTTGACTACTTAAAAATGTAATTGCGGCTGGGCGCGGTGGCTCACGCCTGTAATCCCAGCACTTTGGGAGGCCGAGGTGGGCGGATCACGAGGTCAGGAGATCGAGACCATCCTGGCTAACACGGTGAAACCCTGTCTCTACTAAAAATACAAAAAATTAGCCGGGCGTGGTGGTGGGCGCCTGTAATCCCAGCTACTCGGGAGGCTGAGGCAGGAGAATGGCATGAACCCAAGAGGCGGAGCTTGCAGTGAGCCGGGATAGCGCCACTGCAGTCCAGCTTGGGCGAAAGAGTGAGACTCCGTCTCAAAAAAAAAAAAAAAAAAAAAAAAAAATGTAATTGCTTTAAAAGTGTTAATAGTGCACTGGGAGGAAGCTGAAGGCAGTGCTAAGTCTGGCTAACATGTTTTCTCTTGATCTTGTGACTTCTGGACCTGTAAGCGACTTATCTTTGTCCATGTAAATCTCCTAGGGGGCTGAGGGGTGGGGCTTTATCTTTCCCCAGGAAGGCAGCAGGTGGTTCCATGTGGCTACAGGTCGTGCATGCATGGCCCTTAGGCTTCCCAGCCCCCTGAAAGGAGGAGCAGCATTCACTGTTGGTCTTGGGAGGGTGGCAGGTACCCAGAGTCACTGTCACCCTGTGGGGCAGAACTCCAGGCACTCCCAAATGTACAGATACTCAGGTTGTGCACTGCATGAGGGCAGTTGGCAGAGGAACAACTGCACTCTAATGGCATTCTTGTTAGCTCAGCCCTGGGCCTGTGGGGCTGTATCCACCAGAAGAGGGCGCCTTTTACAAATTTACTCAGGGGCCCTACATGTGGATGGTGAAACTAGACTTGAGTATGCTCGCTAGCAAAGGCATGGGGTCTCCTCCCTATCTCCCCGTGGTCCTCCTGTGCTCAGTTGTCTAGAATCTCCCTCCAGGGACTCTGCTGGTAACCCCAGGGGAAAGGAAACTCCAAACACCTTCCCCGATCCATGGGAGCGGCTTGAGTTAGACCCAGCCTGGTGAATTTCAGAGAGAACTGGACCATGGACCTGACCTTGGGGGCTGGAGGATGGCCTGACTTAGAGAAGGCCTGGGTCCCTATCTCAGTTCCAGCTGTTTCTGGCACTCTGTACCTTGGGTCAGGACAGCTCTGTGCAGACCATCTGTTTACCATGTTACTATCCCCCAGAACCCACGTATGAAAGGCCCTTACCTCTCTGCCTGCCCCCTTGAAGGTAGGTGCTTTATTTTTAAAGGCATGTGGATTTGGGGACAGGGACATACATGAGCTGGGCATATTCATTTCATCCACAAATATTTATCCAGCAGCTAGTTGTGCCAGGCGCCGTGCTGAGGCTGGGCATAAGTGGGGTATGTCGGACAACCTTATTCTTATCCTCACGGAGCTGTCCAGAGGGGAGAGGGAAAGGGAAATTGTCCTCTGAACAGCATCGCCCAGGTGCTGGGAGGAATTGCCCAGCGTGGCCTGTGAGGTCAGCCCAGGCGTCCCTGAAGGAGCTGAGCCAAGAAGGTGGAATCGGGGCTGAGTGGGCTCCAGGGGCTGGCTCAGCACCCCCTCTGGGCACCCTGCTCAAGGCTGGGGCATCACTTCATCCTGGCCGCTCTGTCTCGGGGCTAGGAAGGCCAGGCTGCAGTTCTCCAGCAGGGTGACAGGTGGTGGGTGGGCTGGACCTGCCAAGACCAACCCAGTGAGAGGTGGGGCTGGGGATTGCTTTGGTCAGGCCAGGAGTGAGCCATGCTTCCTCCTGCTCCTCACCCGCCCCCAAGCCAGCACCCAGACTGCAGTTGTCACCACGCCACCTTTCATCCCCTCCGAGGACTGCTCTACCAGCTGTGCCCTGAGCTGTCGTTTTAATCTGATCTAAATTTGCCACCATGCCCAACCTGGGGAAGGTTGGGTGAAACCCCTGTTTGCAGAGGATGGGGCTTAGGTGCTGGAGCTGGAGCACCCAGTTCAGATCTGGATTATGCAGCTGGGGCCAGCGGAATGCTGGCCATAAAGTCCCTGTCTCATAGGAGGGGCAGGTGCAAGTGAGTTACAGTGGGGAAGGCCCTCAGGAGCCCCCAGTGAGCAATAGCACTCCTCACCCTCCATCCCACGCACAAGCACCCAGAGAGGGCAGACAGCTGTACCTTGCTGAAGGTTGATTACCACGGCCAGGGCCTCCCTCTGCAGCCTCAGGACAGGGTTACCTGGGCCCGCACCTTGCCACTGTCTCTTGCAAGCTGGGAACGTTTGGACTAGTGATTTCTCAAACAGCCTCGGTTTCCTCCAGTGCCTGGTGCATGGCAGGCACACAGCAGATGGGGGCTGATGCTGTTTTGTTTCCTGAAGTGACCAACAACAGCCCCACCACAGGCAGGCAGCTCTTTCCTGTCAGTACTAGGGGCTGCAAGCTGTGGTGCTGAGCAGGGTCATGCAGCCTCAGCCACCAGGACTAGAAAGGGGACCCCCCAGTCAGTTCTGCCTATAGGACCCAGAGCATGTTCCTCTCTCTCTTTCTAGAACAGGGCTTAGACTTAAACACCCACGGGGGCCAGGCAAATGGCATGGGTGCTGGCGTTGGTTGTGGCTAAGAACATTTTTTTCTTTAATGGCAATGTTTCTCAAAGTGTGGTCCAGGGAGTTCAAACCATTTAAATAACAACAAGCAGCTGTTGTTTGCCTTATCACCATCATTCTTGCACAAGTGTGCTGTAGAATATTCTAGAGGCCACCTGACATGTTGGTGGATAGACTGAGGCTTTTGCTATAAAGATGTCTCAAGGTTGATGATGTCTTAATTTTAATTTTTTAATATGGTAAATGATGATAGATATCACACCCATAAACAATTTTGGGATCCTCAGTTGAGAGTGTACAGGGAGCCTGACACCAAAAAGCTTGAGAACCACTGGCCTATACTTTTTTTAAGCGTGTTTGATAAAATGCTAAAGGACAACTGATGGTGGGTTCCAATATGGGGCGCAAAAGAGAATGGGGGGGATTTTGGCAGAACAGTGCTTAACCTGCTAACAGGGCACCACAGTGACTCAGCACCAGTCCCAGGTGGGCAGGCAGGAACTCATGTGGGCCCCATGTGGCAGTGCATCCAGCTTTCACAGGAAGCCCCAAATCCAGCTCAGGTCACACAGAAACCATCTGGGGCCAGAGCTGTCTGGGGATCTCCAGTTGCAGCCTGTGACCTGGGGTCTTAGTGTCCCCATCTATGGAACAGGCAGCAGTGGCCCCTTGTGGGATGCCAGGAGGCAAGTGCTCAGGGTGCAGATGGGGAAGAGGATGCGGGCTGGTCTCACCCGGCTCCTGACCCCATGGCGGACTCGAGGCTCACCAAGCTGCTGCAGAGGGGACAGGCAGCAGGAGGCGGGTCCTCCACAGCTAGCTCTTCCGGGTGTCCTTTGTCAGCCTGGCATTAGCATGTATATATGAGAGAGAGATTTCACAGCTAATTCTACAATCATACTTCACAATTCTTTATGATAAAGAATAATTTTAATGGTAATTTTTTATCTAGCTTTGTCTATGTTTCTAACATGTTTATTTACATGGTTTACAATTCAAAAGATACAAAAGGGTATATGGTGAAAAGTTCCCCCTGTTGTTTCTACTTGGGGAGTGAAAGGGAACGGGGGAATTGTGACGAAACAACACTAGTCCCCCAGCAGCCGGTTCTCCCCCCCAGAGATGTCTCGTGTTATTAGTTTCTTGTGTCCGATTCCAGAGTTTCACATATACATAAGCAAATGCCTAGAAACAAATGTTATCCCCCCATTTTTAAACACAAATGTGGCAATGCCATACACACAGTCTGACACCTTGTATAGCTAACTTTATCAATGACTTAGCCCTACAAGGTAGATATTACTATCCTCATCTATAGGGAAGGAATTTGAAGTTCAGAGTTTCTGTGATTTGCCCAAAGCAACACAGCTAGGAAGTGGCAGAGCCAGGATTCAAACCCAGGTCTGGCTGGCTCCTGCTCCCCCTAAGCACGACCCCGCCAAGCCTCACCCCTCTGCTGCCCTTGGAGTGGCTGCTGTGGGGCCTCGTTCATCCATCAGATGAGGCGAGCTTCCATCCTGCATTGATCTCTCAGGACACTTGGGTTGCAGTTGACAGAAACTCACCTGAACACTGCTTAGAGGAAGGGAGAATTGATTGGCTCCTCTCACCAAAGTGCAGAGGGAAGGAGTATAATGGAGCAGGGTCCCTCCTGAGGTCAAGAGGCAGGATCGGCTAAGACAGCCATGGTTGTCACGCTGCTCACAGTGCTCCTCCCAGGAAGGAGCATCCACGCAGCCCTACTTGGGTCCCTGCAGGCAGGGCTGGACAGTGAGAGGCTCACCAGGTCCAAATGCCTGGAGGACCAGACGAGGCCCAAAACAGGAGAGAACAGAAGGGCTCTTAGGAAGAGGAAAGGGCCTCGAGGAAGTGAGGAACACAGGCAAGGTCCCATCCCAGCCCCTCCCTCCTGATCTCCCCTCCCCGTGCATGGCAGGGCATTGAATGTGGAATTATCCTTAACCAGGGTAGTAATTACTGAAGATGTAGCTGGCATGTTGAACAAATTGTTGTGTGTTTGTAGTTACAAATCATGTTCCTAACACTCCAGGGGGTTCCAAACCTTGATATCTTTGCTATTAACACATAAATTACAGTTATTTATGGAAATTGCTAGAGAAACAATTGTCTGTGGATTGTGTTGCATGAGGGATGCTCATCATGGATCAACTCCAGGAGCCTGAAGTGGTCCGTCTGGGTCTCAAGACTGAAGACTTTTAGTTCGTGGGGTCAGGTTCTTGTACCAGCCAAAGGCTGACTTGGCTCAGGGGCTCCTAGACTTTGTCACCAGTGCATGGGCAAACAGGTTGGATTCCCAGCTCTGCCACCACCAGCTGAGTGGCCTGGAGGTGAGTCATTTAACCCCTCTGTGCCTCTGTTTCCTATGGACTAAGAGGGCCCACTTGAAGGGGTGGTGGGAGCATTACAGGAGATAACAGAGGTGCAGCCCCTTACACCTGCCCTGTGCAGAAGGTGCTCCTGGGCCCAAGCGCCTCTCCTTCTCTCTGCACAGCTCAGGAGGCACACAGTGGGGCAGCAGCCAAGTCTTGTTCCCAGGAAGAGTGGAACAGGACGTGGAGGCCTCCAGCTGCATGCCCCTGGCACCAGGCTGCCTTCCCCCACCTCAGGTAGTCGGGAAATCATTTCTCGCTTGAGTATGCTGTTTCTTGTTGCGCAAAATGGATTCTTAGATCCTTGTTACCCACCAAGCAGGGTTTCAGGAAGTATGAGATCCAGGCCGCGAAACGATTCCGGGTGAGGCACAGGCTCAGCTCTTGGTGACATGGAGCATACCACCTGGAACATGAGAGAGAGTTCTCCTTCCGGTGCTCTTTCCGCCCTTCTGATGACATCAGACAGGAGGGTCGGCATGCTGACAGACCTTTAATGTCTCTTTATCACCCACAAAGGCTTAATGCAATGTATTGATTATATAGGGAGTAATACAGTCATGGTTCAACAGTTAAACATACAGAAGGGTACACAGTGAGCTATGCGCCACGCCCTTCCACGTCCCATTCCCCTCCCCAGAGACAACCGCTGTCCAGGGACATCTTAGAGTGTGTGTGTGCGCGTGCTGCGTGCATGTGTCCGCCTTTTTTGTAACCCAAATCCAGCATTCTTCAGCTTACCTTTTTCATGTAGCACTATGTCTTGTATCTCAGTCCCTATCAGGATATAAAAAGCATGCTTCTGTTTTATTGGCGGCGTCCTGTCATGTGGATTCTCTGTGCTTGCTAATCTGTGTTGTAAACAAAACACAGCAGGCCTCAGGGATGGGGCTGATAACAGGATCAAAGCAGGAGTTTATAACAGCATTTTGTTTTTGTTGATTTATTTTCATGGGAAAATTCAATTTATGCTTAGTGAGGCTGGCTTTTCACTTGTGGAGCAGATATAAAGTTTTCTTGATAGAATGAAGAGCGTTAAGTAATTGGAATGTATACAGGTGCTATGTGGTTGTTGGGAAAACTAAACCCAGGTCACTCCCACTCCTGCTTACACCCTCACAGGATGAAGCTCCTGCTCGGTCCACTGGCCTCATGCCCCACAGCGCACCCATCCCCACACTTCATGCCCCATGTAGATGCAGAACTACAGGAATATTTTCCAAGTTAACCAAGCCTTTGCCCTTGCCACTTCATGTACCTGCAATGCCTTTATCCTGCTGGGCCACCCGGTGAATTCCCATTCATGCCACAAATCCCAAGACAGGCATCACCTCCTACAGGAAGCCTTCCCTGAATGACTAATCCACCAGCTAGCAATCATTCCTGCCTGTCTACCAGGTTGCTCCTATTACTGCATTTAGTGGCTTTAGTGGCTTACTGTTGTGCAAAGATTCTTTTTTATTTATTTATTTTTTTTTTTGAGACTGAGCCTCGCTCTATTGCCCAGGTTGGAGTGCACTGGTGCAATCTCTGCTTACTGCAACCTCCACCTCCAGGGTTCAAGTGATTCTCCTGCCTCAGCCTCCCGAGTAGCTGGGAGTACAGGCACCCGCCCCACGCCCGGCTAATTTTTGTAGTTTTTTTTATTTTAGTAGAGACGGGGTTTCACCGTATTGGCCAGGCTGGTCTCGAACTCCTGACCATGTGATCCGCCCGCCTCAGTCTCCCAAAGTGCTGGGATTACAGGTGTGAGCCACCGCGCCCGGCCCTGTGCAAAGATTCTTAAACTGCTGCAGGTATTACAGTCATCTGGGGGGTGGGAATTTGCATTTCAAATGATTCCCAGCTGAGGCTGCTGCTGCTGCTGTTTCTAGGACCCCACTTTGAGGACAACTGTTGGAGTGCAAGGAACACAGGCTGAGTGTCAGCCTACTGGGCTCTAATCCCAGCTTCATCACATGGGCTGTGTGTCTTAGTGCAAATTACTTACCTTCTCTAGGCTTCAAGGCCTCTGTGATAAATCAGAAAACAATCCGCACCTTGTAGAATTTCTGTCAGGATTATGTGAACTCATGCAGGAATGTAGTTGACGCCAATTGTGAATTACTTTCACTCCCCTTACCCAACCGAGTTTCCTGAGGGCAGGGCCCACATCTGCAGCCTCTGAGATGCCTAGTGCCTAACACATAGTAGGTGGGAAGGTATGCTGGGAAGTTATTGAGCACATTCAGGAATGCACACATTCTCAATGACAGATTTATTCAAACAGTGAATCACACGTCACACATGTCCTGCCTCCATTAATTCTCAATCAGTGGAGTTGGGTCAGGTCTTCCTTCCACTGGGACAAAAGAAGGTGTTGTTTAAATCAGTAACATAAAGATGACTGCAAAAAGGGATGTTTAACTCACTTAGGAGACGCTGTTGATTTAGGAGCACTTAATGGCATCCATTTACAAAACAGGTGAACCCAGCACTTATTATAAATGAACGTATCTATTCATTACAGCAGAGGCCCTGCATTCCCTTGGTAGCTGTTCTTTGGTGTGAACTCACTACATAAAAGGCAGCAGGCTGTCTCCCCAACAGCTACCAGGAATGCAGCCCCGGCCCTGCCACGGTGTCTAAGCCAGTGACATCCAGGTGAGATGTTCTGAAGGAGGGCAAGCCCTTGCAGCTTTCTCTCTGTATTTTTTCTAGATTCCCTCAGTTTCTCCACCCATTTTCATATGCAGATAAGCCCCAGTTTTGGTAAAGCTACCAGGAAAGAAACCGAAGTATACCAAGGATGGCCATTCGTTTTGCCAACGGGATAGCGCTTTTTTTTTTTTTCCCTGGAGACAGGATTTTATACTGTTGCCCAGGCTGGAGTGCAGTGGTGCAATCATGGCTCACTGCAGCCTTGAACTCTTGGGCTCAGCTGATCCTCCCACCTCAACCTCCCTAGTAGCTGGAACCACAGGCATGTGCCACCACACCCGGCTAATTTTTTATATTTTTAGTAGAGATGAGGTTTCGCCATGTTGCCCAGGCTAGTCTCTAACTCCTGAGCTCAAGCAATCTGCCTGCCTCAGCCTCCCACCTGTAATCCCTCAGCTGGGATTACAGGTATGAGCTGCTGTGCCCAGCCTGACGCCTCCTTTTTAAATAAAATCTTTAGCTGATGGGTTCCTTTAAATACTGAGCTCTCCTAGCACACTAGAGATGAGAATCAGTGATTTTGAAAAACCATTTTTCCAGCCCTTCCAGAATCTCTCTATGGTATAAAGAGGGGTGGGGTGCAGGGAATTGCTGAGATTGAGACAAGGATAAGCATGGGGAGAGGGAAGGAGACCTACCTTAGCCCTGTGGGTGGTCCCTGAACTAGAGTGAATCTGGATCAACATGATTCACCTGTCCAGCAGACATTTATTGAGCACCTGCTATAGACGGCAGGGGATACAGTGGCAAATGAACAAAGTTGCAGAGCTACTTTCTGGTGGAAGTGACAGTGAGTACATAAGTGATTAAGCCAGATAATGATGGACTGTGAGATGGGCTTTAAAGGGAATCGATGAGACAGAGAGAATGTGGACGAAGGTTCAGGAAGGTCCCGAGGAAGAAGTGACAGAACATACATGTATTGTCGTAGAGCCCTTCATGTATGAGGTCTGTCTCCCAGACTCTATGCCTGAGGGTGGGGCTTGGAAGCTGCAGAACCCAATTCTGCTCTGGTCCCAGGCTCCCAGGGGGATCTGTAAGGGACCCTGTGAGTGTTGGCTCCACCGGAGGATGTGCTTCCTTGAGTGAGGAATGGTGAGGCGCAGGCAGCCGGGGAAGAGGTGGGGAAAAGGCAAGGACCGCTTCCCCACTGTGACCCCACCTGGGCTTGTGGGGTGTGCTCAGCAGGGCTGGCAGAGTCCCTCCTGGGGCGGCCACTGCTGCCCCCCTCCTGCTTTTCCCCAGTGTCACTCCCTTCCAGAGGGCCAGGGGCAGACCCCAGGAGGAGAGTACAGCAAAGGGAGCGGGGAGTGGTGTACACTCTGGGAGTGGGGTTCAGGGAGCAGGCTGGGTGTAAGCAGAGCACCGCTCAGGCCCAGCACCGGATGGCTCACTGAATTCTTTTCAGCAACCTAAGAGACATAGATTATTCAGTTCCATTTCACAGAGGAGGAAACTGAGGCTCAGAGAAGTGACGCCCAAGGCTATACAGCCAAGAAGGGAGCCGAGCCAGGAGTCTGCCTCTGCAGCCGTTGGGGGGCAGATGCCAAGGTTGCTTTGGTTACTCACACATCAGCTAAGGCAGAGACTTTCTTCCCGCAGAGGTCTTCCTCCTGGGCCTTGAAGGTCAGATGGAATAGTGTTGTAAGAATGAACTTGGGACTCAGTCCTGGGTTCTCATCCCTCACTAGCTGTTTGCCCTTAAACAAATTCTTTAATCTTTCTGAGCCTTGGTTTCTTTTTCTGGATGAGAAGATAGAATAGTCCCTACCTTAGAGTTCCATTGTGAAGCTTAAATGAGACAACCTGTCATGCATTTAGCACAGAACCTGCATTCAATAAGCACCTTGGATATGGGGAAAGAGGGACTGTGGAGCTTCATGGTTAAGTTCATGGTTTGGGGACCAAATGGACCTGGGCTCAAATCCCTGATCCAGCCAGGCACTAGCTGTGTGGCCTTACATAAGTTATTCAACCTCTCTGAGTCTCAGTGTATCTGTAAAATGGAAGGTTGTTGAGGATTAAGTGTGGACACTTCTGTAAAGTGCCTGGTCCAGACTGTGTGCCCTGTGAGAGGAGGCTGCAGGAAGAGGCAAGAAGAGGCAGAGAGTTGGGAAAGGAGGCTTAGGAAGACCAAACCACTTGCCCAAGATTCAAGATCATGCTCCAGAACATGGAGCCTCCGTAAGCCATGAGCATCCCCACTATGGGACGCAGCCAATGGCTGGAAAAGGTGCTTACTCACTCAACACACCTTGGCTCCTCTTGCACTTTTGCCCCCGTACAAGGTGCCAGGGCCATAGTGAAGCAAGGGGAGGAACTTGCAGGCTCTGAAGGGCTGCCGTGTGCCTGGCCCTGGCTAGGCAGTCATGGGTGTCATTGCCAAGCCTCACACTGCGCCTGAAAGGAAGGTGGCACTGTCCCCACTTTGAGGCTGAAGATGCTGAGGCCCTGGGAAGCAGAGTAACTGTGTGAGGTCACATAGCGGGGCTGGGATATCTGCTGGGCCTGCTGCCCACAGGCCTGCCTCTTCTATCTGGGGCACAGAGAGTGGACACGGGGGACAGAGCTCAGGGGCGACAGCTGCAAGGGCCTGGAGCCCTGTTCCAGGAGCTGTGCCCCAGGGGGCCAAGCCCACCCAGCATAAGTGTCCTCCCTCCCTGAGGGTGCTGCTGTGGCTCCCTGCGCCACCTACCAGGGAAGGTGGGATGAGTATGAAGGGCTGAAGTGGGGGCATTTTTGATCGTCAGCTGGGGCTGGCAGGCACCTAAATGGGAAGGGTGATAGCAGTGTGTTGGGGGGAGTTTAGGGAACGGTCCTCTACCGATAGAGGCAGCAGCTCAGTGGAATTTCCTCCTGAAGTTGTCTTGCCCCTTGAATCCTGCAGGAAGGCTGGCAAATGGCCATTTCCCTTCCACTTGAATAGAGACCCATAACTCAAGTAGCTGCCCTTAAGACACCACAGGACTGTTCTTCGCGGGCCCTGCCCCTGGATTTGGGAGAGGCAGTCCAGCTCACCCAACTAGGCTCTGCAGGGGGACCAGGAGGGATGGGTTGTGTCCACAGGAGCAGCCAGACTGATGAGGGATGCGGCAAGCATATTCTCACCACCTTCTTTCACGTTTACAACAGACCAGCATTCCCTGTGTGGCAGGGGTTACATTGGTCACCGAGGACCTAGAATCATGGAGTGCTCTGGGGATCCGGGCTTGGAGGGCTTCTTGGAGGAGGTGACCATTCCTGGCTGTTTTGTGTGCTAAAGAAAACCCTCACCAACCACTGAGCACCCATCATGTGCCAGGCTCCTCAGAGCCCTGGCAGAGCCACCTGTACCCGTGCTGGGTTTCATTTCTCCTTGCGGGGGACACTGTGGCCTAGCTGCAGTGGTTCTTTATTGCAGCCCTTCCCTCAGGGTCTTTCCCATGCATCCTCAGCAGGTGAGTCCGTTTGTCAACTAATGGCACCATAACAGCTGCGTCTAATTTTTATTCATCTAAAGACCACAAGAAAACAGAGCCTCCTGACACCTCAAACCACGACGGGTCTTAGGTTTTAGCAGTGCAGAAGGAGCTGGGGAAAGGAAGCCAGATAACCAGTTCTTGGATGTGTCCCCACATGATCTGGGGAAGTGCTCCCTGCTTCTGTGAGCCTCAGCTGCCTCATCTGAACAATGGGTGGGCAGCACTGGGTCTTGGTGGCTCCATCAGACTTTAACATTAAAGCCACTTTGTTTATTTAATTTTTAATTTTTGTGGGTACACAGTAGGTGTATATATTTGTGGGTCACATGAGATATTTTGATATAGGCATGCAATGCCTAATAATCACATCAGGGTAAATGGGGTAAGGCTGCTTTAATCTTACTGTCATGGTTGGGTCTTGGCCAACCCAAGTACCATTGTAGTTGGGATGAATTTCCCTAGGGCTGTGGTAGCTGTCTGGAACCAGGCCAGTTACACAGGACAATGGCAGTGTCTGGGCCCCACCACCAGGAAGGTGCATGGAGCGCAATGTTCCCTACCGTCGAGGTGCCCACAGTCTTAAGTAAGGGGTTCTTGCTCTGCCTGGGGGTAGAGGGATTAGGGGAGGCCTCAAAGAGAAGGGGACATTTGAGCTGGGCTTTGAAGGTTGAATAAGAGATTGCCAATCAAATGAAGCAACAACCCAGGACGTGGAAACAGGATAAGCAAAGGCACTGGGGCTGGGAAGTGCAGGGTGCATTCTGGGAGTGGCTGCGTTGCAGGGATCATAGCTGGGAATGAGGCTGAAAAGACAGGCAGGAGCTGGATTACAATGCAGGTGTGGTGCCTGAGCAGTTCAGTGTCACGTAGGAAACCCGGGCCAGAAGCCTAGGTCAGGGTGGACAACCCTATACCACCTCCAGCAATCCCTAGTTCATTCCGTTTACTTTGTTTAGTAAGATATGGCACGTCCCAAATTCACAAGTGGTTTCTGTGGAAAATGGTTGGAATTTTAAAGATAATTTGGCACTTGGTAAGAACAGCTTTATTTATCTGGAAACATTTCTGTTCTGGGGGATGGGCTGGCTTCCCTGAGGTGCCACTCTATAGAGTGCTGTGTTCCATGCAGCTGTCTCTGGCTTTTTACTGCATCTAACAGTCTTAGGAATAGGTTCTATTCCATATTTGGATGAGAATGATGGTCTTAAAACACACCCGCCCAGGCTGGATGCTGTATTGTCCAGGCTGGGTGCTGTATTGTGGTGGCCAGTGTGGCATGAAGCCTCGGGTCAGTGTCAGTGTTTATAGTTCTGGGGCACATCCCTCCACCTCTCTGGACCTCAGTTTCCCTGTCTGTAAAATGAGGATTTGGGGCTAAGTGGCAGCCGCAGAGCTCCCTCGCAGACCCAGCATTCTGGCTGTGATGGGGGAATGCTCATTTCGTAAGATGAATGGTAACATAGTGGTGGTTAACAGACACTGAGCAGAAGCTCAAAATGTGCTACACCACCAGTCTTATCGATTTTTGTGGTTGTCAGTAAGACACAACCTGCTTGAAAGACGAGGAACCTGGAGTGGCCCAAGAGGTGGCTTAAGTACCATCAAGCGTTTGGGGTCTTTGTGGACTAGTTCTGGTGGGCTTCAGAGCCTCCTAGAAGATGTCAGAAGACCTTCAGTCCCTTGATTTCTTCATTTCACTGGCTTTTTTTTTTGTGACAGGATCTCAGTCTGTCATCCAGGCAGGAGTGCAGTGGCACAATAACAGCTCACCACAGCCTTGACCTTCCTACACTCGGGTGATCCTCCCACCTCAGCCTCCTGAGTAGCTGCGACTACAGGCACATGCCATCATGCCTAGCTACTTTTTCTGTTTTTTTGTAGAGATGGGATTTTGACATGTTGCCCAGGCTTCACTGGCACATTAAAAAAAAAAAAAAATTGCATTGGTTCCAGTCCAATCCATAACTGGCCTTTTGTTTTTGTTTGTTTGTTTGTTTGTTTGTTTGTTTTGAGATGGAGTCTCACCCTGTTGCCAGGGCTGGAGTGCAGTGGCACGATCTCGGCTCCTCTGCCTCCTGCGTTCAAGTGATTCTCCTGCCTCAGCCTCCTGAGTAGCTGGGATTACAGGCACCCACCACCACGCCCAGCTAATTTTTGTATTTTTAGTAGAGATGGGGTTTCGCCATGTTGGCCAGGCTGGTCTCGAACTCCTGACTTTGGGTGAGCCACCACACCTGGCCCATAACTGGGTTTTTAAAAAGTAACAAACACTTGTTTAAAAAATTTTTTTTGGTGTTGGAGGAGGGTACAGAGTCTCGCTCTGTCTCCCAGGCTGGAGTGCAATGGCACTCTTGGGTCTCTTTTAAGAAGTAATCTATGATTATACAATCTTATATAAGCATACTAGTGTTCTGTAGATTCTTTTATAAATACACTTCACATTTTTCTGGACTTTCTATCACAATGTTGTGTCTCAGATCTTTTCCTATAAGTATGCAAGATGCTGCTGCCATCTTTTTAACATGGGACTCCATTGATGGGTGTAATACAATTTACTTAACCAGTCTGCATTGAGAGGCATTGCACGTTTCCTCCCGAGTTCTGCTTTTTCAAATAATTAATATCCTTGGGCATGCCTCTATGTGCACATGGGCAGGCGGCGCTGTAGGATTCGTTCCCAACAGTGCATCCCATCTTGTGGCCATCTCATCTGAGGATCATCTGGCCCAGCCCTATCATTTCAGTCACTGTCTTCCCCCATGTTTGGATTCTGCTCTTGCATGGGGTGTCTGGCTGAACACGCAGGGGGTTTGCCAGGGTAGTTGGAGCCAATGTAAGACTGCCTCAGGAGAGCTTCATTTATTTCAGAGAAGGGCTGCATGTGCGCATTAATATTGTATGTTTTGCAGGTCATGTGTCTGTTGTAACTGTTTAACTTCATCATCATAGCATGGAAGAAGCCATTGACAATACATAAGTGGATGAGCGTGGCTCTGTTCCAATAAACCTTTATTTTAAAAAAACAGGCAGCAGGCTGGACTTGGCTCTCAGGCCATAGTTTACCAACCTTTGGCGTATTCAGCTGTCGAAGACCTTCTGTGCACCAGGCTCCACTGTCGGCACAGGGGCTGCTGCAGGGAAGGACATAGAACCAGCCCTGGCAGTTGGAATACAGCTCACTGGTATAAGCAAGCAGGTGCAGAGTAACCTGATGCCATGTAAAAGGAGTTTCTGACTTGGACTAGGCGCTGGTCATGGGTGTCTTTCTGGGAGCAGTGACATAGGAAGCTGAAAACCAAGGTCCTAGCTGTGAGCCAGGCACAGTGGGGAGTGTGGGGAACTGAAAGAAGCTTAGTGTTGCTGGAGGTGTGGCAGGCATAGAGTGGGCAGGAGGAGAGGTAAGGGATGGAGAGATGAACCAGGCCACGAGGCTGGCTGTGCAGGGAGGCTGGGCTTGATCCTGACAGCTTGGAGAGAGGGGCTGCAAAGGCTGGGCTTTGGGAGAGTGCCACACATCTGGCTGGAGGAAAGCAGGGAGGCTGTGGAAAGACTGGAGGCTATCAGAAGCTGGGGAGGATAGAGATAAAGTCGGGTTGTAGCATGTGAAATGGGCCAAGGCAAGCAGCTCAGGACTAAAACATGGGGTGATACAGTGGAACTAAACGTCTCCATGACTTTTTACATCCTGTGACCCCATACATGGGGCCCTCCTCATCCCTCAAGGTCCAACCCAAAATGTCCCCCCATTAGAGCCTCTCCTGGGGCAGAATTACAAGCTCTTTCCTCCACTGTCACGACACCATACTGGGGAATACTTGTCACAGCAGTGTTTCCCCACTGAGGCCTCAGAGTAAGTACTAATTAATGCTTGCTAAATTAAATTAAACAGCAAGGTGAATTAGCTGGGGTAGAGGTGGCTGCTAAGCCACTCTTTACAGTTGCAGAAACTGAGACTCAGAAAACTAAGCAATTTGCCTGAATGGTGCATGCAAGGATTCTGACCAGTCTGGTCATTTCTGCAGAAAAATTGGCCTTCTCTGCCTCTCTAGGCTGGAACTTTTCTTGCTTCTGCTCACAGTTCCCTAAATTATTAATCTGCAAGGCAGTTAGCGGAGCAGGAGCAAGAGGCACACTTTGCAGAAAGATAAAACAAGAGAATCAAGATGCATTTGGTTTCCAGAGTGTCCATCATCTGGTATTCCAAATGCTAACAGCGAAATTCAATCCCCTTCTAAATCCCAGCCGAGACAATGTCGCCAAGACCATCCTGCTGGGCGGCAGGGCCCTGGGCCTGGAGAAGTGCCTGAAATTCTTGGACAATCCGGATGGTGAGGCTGTCAAAGACCGTGCCCAGAGTGCTCCAGCAGCTGGGCTGGGGGAATTATTTTGGCTCCATTTATTGCAGTCTATTTTTAGAGAGCACTTCAGACAGGGGTGGGAGTTTTCTGCTGCCTCTGCCATCAACTGGGTCATGTGTACCCTATCCTCTCCCAGCTTCCTACCCCTACCCTAACCATGACAGATGCCAGATGTGGCTGTGGTCTTTGAGCAGTGCAGCCTAGTGTTCTTCTCCTTCCAGAACCCTCTATGTATAGGTACTTTTGTCCATCTTTTTTATTATGGCCTTCCTTGTGAGTGTGAGGTGGTATTGCGGTCTTGATTTACAGTTCCCTAAAGATTAGTGAGGTTGAGAGCATCTTTTCATGGGCTTATTGGCCACTTGTAGATTGTCTTTGGAGAAAAATCTACTCAGATACCTTGCCTGTTTTTAAATTGGGTTATTTGCCTTATTATTTTTGAATTGTGAGCGTTCTTTATGTACTATGGACACTAGACCCTTACTAGATACATGATTTGCAAATATTTCCCCCCATTCTGTGTCTTCATTTATTTTTAACAGAGCAAAGAAAACATGGGAAGCTGAGAAGAGGAATGTGGAGATGGGCAGTGAAGGGGCACTGGGTTCCTGCTCAGCCTCTTGCCTCGGAACCCAGGTGCTCTAAACTGGCATAAGGGGCACTGGGCTCCTGCTCAGCTTCTTGCCTGGGAACCCAGGTGCTCTAAACTGGCTTTAGGGGCTGCCCTCCTCTGCTGCAAGCTGGGCCACCTCAGCCCCCTTCCTTCACTGTCCCCCTCCAAATGAAAGATTCAGAAGGGCACAAGACAATGCCCCTGCCTTGATGGCTTCTTGCAGCTTCCTGACTCCCGTAGGCCTGCCAGCTGCCTGGCCCTCCAGGAGATGGACTTGTAGGTGGGTGGCCCAGGACAGGTGGGGTTTTGATTGTTCCATATCTGCTTGCTGTCTCCCAACCACGTCTAGGCATTCCACAGGTGTGGGCGCTGGGCACTGTATCTGCCTTCATGGAGCCCAAGGACAGATAATAAACAAGTAAACATACAAATGGAGGACTGCAAGCCATGAGCGCTCATAGTAGGAAGAGCCTGGGAGAGGAGGAAAGAGTGAGGGAAGCCGTCTCTTAGTTGGCCCAGTTAAGCTGAGCCTCAGTTTACTCATTGGTAAAATGAGGCCAGGGGTAACTCCACCTACTTCACAATGTTGCCTTGAAGGCCAACTATCACTAAAGAACTCTAAAGTGCTAATTAGTATTACTTTAAGCTTGTCATAGGTGCTTGAAGGGTGTCTCTGGGTGGAGAAAGGGTAGGGGGCTGGGTGGGCTTAGGGAGAAAGAAGCAACTTTCCATTAGATCTTCCCCCAAAAAGCCGCCAAAAGGGTGGTACCAACCTCAGGATAGGGCCCATTCCCTTCTCTGGGGCGCATCAGAGCCCCAGAACCACACGGTTCGGTCCAGGCAGGCAAAGGCCAGGTTTTATAAACTGAAGGCAAAATCGGGATAGGCAGATGTTGAGTAGGCATCAGCGGAGTAGGCTCTGGTTGGGGGTTTGGCGCTGTGCATTTGTTGTGGTTACACGCTGGAGAGGAAGACATGGCTCCCGGGAGGCGCCAGTGTTGGAGGGGCTGCGCAAAGTCCTCCTTCCAGAACAGAGGCTTCGCGCGCTGGGACCTGGATGCAGTGTCTGGGACTCCGCCCTTGCGCTCTGCACCCCGCGCCTCGGCTCGGCCCCGCCCCTGCGCGTAGCCCCGCCCCTGACGCCCCGCCCCTGACCCCCCGCCCCCTGTGCTTCTTCCGCGGCGCCGTGTGGCCACGCCTCCTGTGCTCTCTTCCCCACACGCTCCGTGCAGTCTCGCCCCCGCGCGCAGCCCCGCCCCCAGCTCGCCCTCCGGCCCCGCCCCCAGCTCGCCCTCCGGCCCCGCCCCCGCCCTGCCCCGCCCACTTCAGGGCCACATTCCTCCGGCCCGGCCTCGCGCTGCGCCAAGCGGGCGGCGGCGGAGGGGCGGGCTTGGCTGGCCTGGGGCTCGGACTTGGGGCCGGAGCCGCGGGAGCCGGCGGACGCTGGACCAGGAGCCCCGACGTGATCGCGTGGCGGGTGGTCGGGTCTCCGGGTGGCCGGGTGTCGGCCCCGGGATCCGGCGGCTCGCTGGCGGGAGTCGGCGGCCTCTGCTGGGCCTGGGTCCCGGCTCCCGGCCCGGCCCGCTCCCACTGCGGCCGCCATGTGGTGCCTGCACTGCAACTCGGAGAGGACCCAGTCCCTTCTGGAGCTAGAGCTTGACAGCGGGTGAGGGCGCGGCGCGGGGCGAGCGGCCTTCCCGGGTGCTGAGCGGTGGGCTGGCGCAGGCTGTGGGGATGCCTGTGCGGGAGTGCGGGTGACCGTCGGGACCGGGCGCCCGGCGTGCGAGAGAAAGCTGCCTGCGGGGCGGGGTGCGTCCGCCAGACTGTGGGTTTGGGTGAGAGAAGAGCAAACAGGACCCGAGTTTGTGCGTGGGAGAGAGAGACGCGCCCTTGGGACAGGAGCGCTGTGTGTGCCCTGGGAGGGTCTCAGGATGGGAGTGTGTGTGTGTGATCGAGGGCCTGTTGGAGTGCAAGTTGGTGTGGGGGTGAGTTTGAGTTTGGGGGCTTGAGAGGGAAACAGTGGGACTCGGTGTGGGTGTGAGGTGAGGGGCAGGAGGGAGAGCGGAGAGTTGGTGGGAGGGTGCCCAGCGGGTCTGTGCCTGTTTCCAACTGCAGGCAGGGCCGGAGCTGCCAGGAAGGCCTCTTGCAGGCCTGTCTATTCCAGACATTGGGCCTATGTCTGGATTGATGTGTCTGTCCTGTCTGCAAGACCCCAAGTGTGTGTGAGGGTGGATGACCCTGAACAAACAGGCGTCCCAGGTGTGTCAGCAGCTTCTGTCGGGTACTCTGCCCCTGGCAGGGCCACTTGGGGGTGCACTGGGGTGTGTGGCTGCTGTTTGTGGCAGAGTGTGGATGTGAGGGGCTTTGTGTGGTGATGCGTGTGCACCTGGTGTGGTCAGGGATGGAGTCTGGTGTGTCAGAGGGGCCAACCCTTTTCTACTTAGGGGCCTGTGGGCGGCTGTCTGAGCTTCCAAGGGCCCGTGTTTATGGAGAGAAAGGGAGAAAGGGAGTGTGTGTGTATGTGCTGGGAATATTGATTTCCTCTCTGCGATGGCCAGCACAGCTGCCCCCTGAGCTATCTGCAGGCCCTTCTGAGGAGCAGGGGGGTGGGGCTAAGGGGATTTGTTGACAAGCTGACTTGGCTTATGTCAGGCCCCCTCTGGAGGAAGCCCACCTGGAGCTGTTTGATCTTTCAGTTCAAAAATTGTGCAGCGCATGTCCAGCAGTTGCACTGAGAACATGCATATGTCTCCCTCTGCCCCTTCCTCACCCCAGAGGCCTGGAGCGCTGAGCCTGAGCCTCCAAGTGGGGTTGGGGGGCTTCTCAAGGACCCCATTGCTCCTTGCATCTGGGGTGGAGGCCAGGCATGCTGCAGCTGCAAGACCATCTGTCTGGAATCAGTGGCAGCAGTCTGGACATGGGGGTCATGTTATTCATATCCCACACACACCCGCGGCCCTCATAGTCCATCAGCTGTCCCACCTGGTATTACAATTGCTTCTTACCCTTGTGGTACCAGCATCCTCATATTGCAGGAGAGCAAATCGAGGCTGAGCATTCAGTCTTGTCAGTACTAAAGCTCTGTGGTTTATTGAGTGCCTGCTATGTACCAGTCCCTGCTCTAGGCACCAGAGACACAGCAGTGAACAAAACATGGAGTCTTTGTCCTCATGGAACCAGCAGTCTAGTGGGGAACAAGAAACCATTAGCGTGCTCTCCTGGCTGCACCTCCCGCCTCCCTCTGAGCTGAAAGTAACTGGGGAGGGGTTTCTGCCCCTCCATTAGGACCATTCCAGTTGACATGTCCAGGCCACCTCTCTTGCATACTTCTCAGTCCCACATCCCTTCTCATTAGAAGTCCCTCCGGGCATCTCATCTCAATCTTCCAGCTTCAGGGAAGCCTGCTTGGATCCTTCTGTGGTCTGGGTTGGTGATGAACAGCTGCTCCCCCAGTCTCAGAACATGAGGCAGAGGTCTTGGAGGTTGAGAAGCCTCGCTCAGGTGTAGCCCATAGTTCACGCATCAGCCTCAGAGCAGGTGGATCCCATTTGCTCTGGAGCACCTGGTATGTGGTTCCATGGGAAGCTTGGGGGAGGGGTAGAGGAAATCAACCCAGTCCTTGGCCTGTGGAGGCAGAGCTAGATGCTCCTTGGGCTGGCTCCCAGGGGCCAGAGCCCTTTAAGCTGGCCGTCTCCCCCTCTCTAAACCCGGATGGGATGCAGCACGGTCCAGAAACCTCAGGGGACCCCCCTTAGTCTGTAACGGGCCCAAGATAACCACTCCCAAGTCCAGCCATGCCACCATGCACCACTCTACAAATAACAGGCTTCTTTCCAAGAGCGTGTGTGGCACTTTGCTGTTTGAGCCTTGTGAAACACAGGACTCTTCTTATCCTCGTTTTTTTAAGGGTACACACACTAAGAGAACCCAGAGACTGGGCCAGAATATCACATGGGGAGCCTACAGGAGAACCCCAATGTTGTGATGGAGGCCTCTGGAGGCCCTGGCTAGCCCTGCTAGGATTTTCAGGCTTTCACTCAAGGAAGTCGGACTATGAACTGGTTGCGCTAATATTTACACAGCTTCAGTTCAAAAACATGGACAGGACTGACAGCTGCATAGTCAAACAGTGTGACAACTGGGCAAATAGATGTTTCTGGACAGTATTGGACAGGGTACCCAGGGCTGCAGGAGCTCAGTATATGTGTGTGTGCATGTGTGTGCATCTGTGTGTGCATACGGTTTTATCTGTCTGGACTCTGCATACTGTGGAATCTTGGTTTACCAGGATAATCTGGAATCCAGGGCAGCTTGAGACTTAAGGAAAGAAGGGCCTGGGGAGGCAAACAGATTTTGTTTCAAGTCCCAGCTCAGTTTCGTGAGTGTATGCAAGTTACCACACCCCTCCAAGCCTGTTTCCCCTTCTGTGAAAGGGAATGATAACACTGCTTCATGGAGTGCTCTGAGAATGTGGATGTCTGAAGGCCACTGCACAGCTGGCCATCCTCGGGACTCCAGTCAAATGCCATGTTTGTCCAGGTCAGCACTCTGCTCTTCCCAGGCACCAATGACCCGCTGGATTTTCTTGCTTCCTGTTTTGTAAATTTCCTTTGAATTATGATGACATGTGGAATATCCGCCCAGTAAGCACAGGGGCAAGATGATGCACAGCCCAGATGGGCTCAAACACCACCGGAGGCCTTGGGAGAGATCTCCCATGGAAGCATGTGTGTGTGTGTGTGTGTGTGTGTGTAGGGGGAGTATGCTCAAATGCTGTTGAATGTGATTTATTGTTTGTCCTCAAAAGCAAATTGTAATGAGTTTAGAGGCCATTAAGGCTCTTGAAGAATTAATTGGCATGGCCTTAGAGAATCTGGCTGCTCCCACTGCATGAGCTGCTGCAGAGAGGAAATTGATGGCATTTATGGTTGAAGTATGGCATGATGCCACCTGGACCTGCCACTATCCTGGCTGCCATGGCTGTACCCTGAATTGGGCAAGTGTCCCTCCAAGTCCTGGCCCTGTGGCTAGTACCCCGATGCCTGCCTAGCATAGCGCCTGGCCTCATGGCGGACATAGCCAGTTGTCAGTGAATGAAAGCATCCATAAATGCAGGTGTTAACAAGTGCACACATGCTGTCTTGGGCTTGGAGGAGTGCGTTGTTCTCTGGAGAGATGTGTATGACCCAGGGGACACGCAGCTTTTCACTTTCCTGTGTTCCTTTATGCACACAACAAACATTTACTGAGCACCAACTTTGTACCAGGCCCTGGGCTAGATGTAGAAGCACTGAGGTTAGTAGTGTGAAATGGTACATCACAGAGCACAGGACTTGGGGATCACACAAAACCCTGACTCCACCTCTTCCTGGCTGTGTGGCCTCAGATATGTTGCCTTCCATCTCTGAGTCTTGATTTTCTCATCCATGAAATGGAGCCAAAAGAAACCCCTGGGGAGGGGGTGGGGGATGTGCAGCTTTGCCTGGTGACCAAAGCATACAGATAGATCCCCAACAAATGGTAGCTGTTATCACCATCATCATTATTACCACCTTTTCCCGTTTGTGAAATTGTTGCTGAGTTAAAATGATTCCTCACAGTTTTCTTTTTTGCTCGTTTGTGAGGTTGAAGACTGATTTCTAGAGCCTGTGTGGCTTTTTGTGAAATCTTCCTTCTTGGGGTCCCAGCTGCTCTGACTTGAATTTCTTTTTTGCCTTGTTCATAGGTACCTGCAGCTTCGCTGCTCCTTGGAGGAAATGCCCATTCTTTCCGTTTTATCTCCTCGGTTTGCAGTTTCCTGACATGGTGACAGTTTGATTTGAACTTAAGGTCCCGATGGAGAACCATAGCAAGCGTCCCCTCCCTGTTTCTAAAGATGAGACACTGTGACTGCATTTGTTTTTTCCTCTTTGTTCAAAGCTCAGTAGTAATAGTAATAGCAACAGTTGCCATTTAGTGCTAAAGTTGCTAGAGTGCTAGAGTTAGCGTTTGAACTCCGCCTGCCTGGCTTCAGGGTCTGTGTACTTCATGGCCAGGCTCTGCTTCCTCTGGGATTAAATAATCTTTGGCAAAATATGTCACCACCATGAATGGAGCCTTTTGCTTCTTCCCTATACTGCCACAACAGATGTCTGGTATCCCCAGGTATCAGGATTCCCAACATGTTCTCAGAAGTCTCAGCCCACAAGCTGGTTGATGACCACTCACCGGGCCTTCCTGGCATCTTGTCTCTTTCCCCACAGAACCCAAGAGCTGCATCCCCAGACTCTCCGGCAGGATTCTGGGACAGTGTCCTTTGCACTTGCAGGCTCTTGAGGGTAGCATGCTTGTGTGCTGTGCGCAGCCCCAGGCCAAGACTCTGCTTGGAGCAGGGTCCTGAGGACTAAAACTGACTGTCCCCTAACTCACTGAGGGACCCATGCGAACATGACAGGCTTCTGCATGGTGAGGAAACCCAAGGCTAGGGCTTTTGAATCACTAGAGGACACACAGGTGTGTGGGTGCTGAACTGGATCCCATGGGAGGGGAGAGGGATCATTAATAAACTGGAAGAATTGGAACGAGTCCCCAGCTGGGAGGAGTCCTCCTCATTCACACAAACTGGAAGGGTTCTCCCAAAATCCCCTGCTGCCCAGACCGGATCAGAGTCTGTCTGCCAACATGAATACTTTCTCCCTGATGCCATTTACAGAAGCCAGTGGTGTTTGCTTTTCTATTTCTGGCTGGGAGGGTAGGTGGTATAATCATGAGATGCATGAATACATGTAAAGCAATTAAACGGTGTCTCATAGTAACATAGCAAGGGCCCGGTAGATGTTAGTTGTGATCATTGTTGTCCTTATTCTGGCTGCCCTTAAGCTCAAAGGTCTCCCATCCTGAGAGAGGAAACCTTTCAGAAAGGCCTGTCCAGAACTGGCCCTGATTGACCGTTGGTCGTCTGCCTCCCTAGAGCCCTGGCGTCAGTCACCCATCTCATCCCATCCCTCCCTGGGCCTCAGTTTCCACATCTGTGAGAAGAAGAATGAGCCTCTTGATCCTTGTAGTCATTTGCAGATGCAGGATGTTTAGCCCAATGGTTAGGGAGGCAGATTCTGTAGTCAGACTACCTGTAACTCTAACTCCAACTCTAAAGCCAGCTCTGCTCCTCATTGTCCCTATGATCTTGGGCACCTTCCTTAGCCTTTCTGTGCCTCAGTTTCCCCATTGGTAAAAGATGGATGACAGGAGGAGGCCATGGAGTTGTTGTGAGGATTAAATGAATGAATCCATGTGAGTGCTTCAACAGTGCATAGTCAGCACCAGAAACATGGCATCCTTTAGCTGATGTTTTAGGCCCGAGAAGTTTGACTGTGTGGAACTGGACCGTATTACTTGTTTGGGGAGATGTGTTCCTAGATGGGAGTGGATTGTTTATCTTTTTGGCACACAGACAGGACCAGGGTTAAAAGAGAGGGGTGCAGAGAGATAGTGGTGAGGGGAAGAAGTTAAAGGGCTAAAGGGCTGCAGGCTGTTGGTGGTATGACAGATGGCAGACACAGTAAGAAGTGACTAAGCCCATGGACTTTAGCTTGTGCTTGTAGCGTGCTGTCCAAACAGCCCACAAAGAAGTGGATGGTTAAGGGTATTAAGAAAATCGCTTTGCCTGTGGATTGGGGAAATTGCAAAGTAAGGCAGCTTGCAGTTGGGCTGGGATGAAGATTTCTTTAGATAGGAATGGGCAAATGGCCTGCACCATGTGTGAGACACCCTGAGGTGTTAGGACATCAAGGTAGAGGCCCCCAGCCCTGTGTCAGATGGAGCAGAGCTGTGGTGCGTCTGGAGCCCTCAGCTGGTGGCCTGTGCTGAGCTTCTGAGGCTTTGGGCAGGTCTGGCTTCCTGGTGGTACCTGGGGCTGCTTCTGGAGCCTAATAAGGCCCAAAGCTGCAGAGCCTGGCCTCAGGGGCAGTGGCCTTCAGTCCCTGGTTCTGCTGCTCTGTCCTCTTCAGCTGGTCTGTCTGCCTGGGAGGGGAGGCAGCTTGCTGCAGTGGGCAGAGGTGCCATCTGGAGCTGGAGAAACTTGGATCCTGTTTCTGCCCTTTCCTGGATGTGTGGCCAGGGCAAGGTGGTCCCCACTGCAAGCTGCTGCCTCCTTGCCTGTCAAATGGGAACAATGGAGGGAGAGGCAGTGTGGGTAGACACAAAACAGGTGACTATGCGTGCCGGCAGGAAGGGGAAGGGGAGTCAGCTGGGTTTGGGCAAAGCCTCAACTGTTTTTGGTGGGTCTTAAGTTGGCACAAGATTGAGACTGGGGCTAGAACAGGCTACAGAATGAAAATGATGATACTGGCATTTGGATGGCCTTTGAACTTCACACATACCTGTCTGATTGGAACCAAGAACCTTGTGAAATCACTGGCATTATTCTCATTTGACAGATGAGGAAAGAATGGCTAGAAAATGAAAATGACGAATTCAAGCTCTGCAGAATATAGACCTGGTCCTCTGGTAAATGCATGGACCCTCTTTCCCCTCCCTGGCATTGCTGGGGAGCAGCTTGTTAGAATGCAGCCTGAGGCAGAGGCAGGGAGGAGCAGGGGGCCAAGGAGGAGCCGGAGAGACAAAACCTGCAGGCCCCAGCTGTGCGCACTCCAGTGGCAGCATTGGGTTCCCTGTACAGCCACCGTGGATGGCTACAGAGGTGCACTACCATCAGCAGAGTGGAAGGAGAATCCTTGGAAGCTCTACCCAGTGCCTACAATCTCAAAAACATGTTCGCCAGCCCCAGGAAGTCATCTGGGCTAAGAACGATCCTCAGATTCCTGACAGGATCAGGACGACTGTCCACCCGAGATGATGGGAAAGAGAGGCTGGAGTAGCGCCCGGCACCTAGTAGGTGTTCAGTAAATGGCAGCTGCTGTGATGACCCCTACCCACTGCACTGCTATTCTCTCCAGCCGTCATCGTTATACCATTGCAGTGCCGCTATTTCCATGGGGTGAGGGTAGGGTGGAGAGGAAGTGTTTGGGGAAGCAGCTCTTTCCTCTGCTGCTGGGGGAGGGGGAGGTGCGGTCGCAGGAACGTGAATTCTCTGTTCCCTCTGGGCCATTGACTGTTCTCAGAGCCGTCATTTAAATGAGCAGGGTTTGAGATTTTTTGTTTGTGCTTCGTAAAAATGGCAAAATGGCCCAAGAAGATAATGGACCTTGATGTGATAGCAGAGTCTTAGCGTTATTTTTAGCTTTTTGTTATGTAAAATGTGCAACGTACAAAAGTAGAATGGTATAATGATCCCTATGTGCAGTTTTATTTCATTGCTCGAGATTAGTTTTAATCCCAGACGTTTTGTTGATTTTATATCAAGGACCTGTCTCATGGTTGGCCTCATTTCTAGCCTTGGAAAAGTCATGTCACTGGGGCGGGTGCTTGGGGCAGGCCACAGTGTCTCTTGAACAGCCCTTAGCTCTGTTGGCCCAACTCGGGAACTCTGAGCTTGAGCCAGTTTCCCAGCCTGGTGACCAAGTGGTGTCTGACCCATTTGGGATGCCCTGTGTCTGGAAGTGACTGGGAGAGGCTAGGCCCGTGACTCCTCCATCAGACAGGGCCTTCCTGGGTCAGGGTAGGAGAACTCGCTTCTCTTCCATCTGCCTAGGACCTCTGGAGGGCGGGGTGTGGAATGGGCTGTCAGCCTCTCTCATCGGATTGGGGGTCCCCTGGATGGTATTGTGGCTCTCAGCTTCAAGCTCCGCAGGGTCTCCCTGTTGCCCTGGCTTTCCCCTTGCCAGGACGTGTAGCCAGGCTGCGCCCCTGCCACCCTCCCAGGCCTGTCAGCCCCTCGTCTTGCTGGGCCCCTGGGTGGCCATTCAGCACTGGGGGTCCCTGGGCCTCTGCCCAGCCCTCTTTCCTTCTCTACTTCACACAGTCTTTTCCTTCCTGGGGTTTCTGATCTGGCTCCTGCCCAGGCCCTGACATCCTGCCACCCACCCAGCAACCCTCTCTAGGGGTCTCATGGGCACCTGCAAATCTGTAAGTTCCAAAGGACACATATTATCTCCCTCTCCCCAAATTGGCTTCTCTTCCATGACATCATCTGATCCTCTTGGGCTTCACTCAGAATACCAAAGTCATCCTAGACAGCTCCCGTCACCTTTACTCACCTTTGTCATCATCACCCGGTGCTGTGCCACCCCACAGTGCTGGGCTTAGAGCCTGGCATGTAGCAAGTGCTAACACATTTCAGCCACTGTCCTCAGTATGAGTGTGTTTGCTACCCTAGCTCCTAGCACAGTGCTTGGTACATAGAGTGCCCCCAACCCAGCTTAGTTGGCTTAGAAGCCAAAACAAGCCAAAGTCACACCCTAGGCATGGCCACATCCCAGCCAGGCACCCCTCGTGCTCCCCAGGTATGGGTGCTAGTGTGGAATCAGATGGTCTATGTTCCTTCAGACCTCTTCCTCTTTGGCCAGCTCACCTCCCTCTAGCACCCATGGCACCATGCAGTGCAGCGACGTGATAACAGTCTTAAATCGTGACAGTGGCAGCAGCTACTCTCTGCTTTTCCTGGGTGACAGGCCCCAGGCTGAGGATTTTGTGTGTGTTATTATATGGCCCTCACAGCAGCCCTGCTGGGTGGACAATACTCCCATTTTATGACTGAGAAACAGACACAGAGAGGCCAAGTCATTTGCCCAGGGCCACACAGCTCCTGCCTGCTGGGTACCAGACAGTTGCCGGGGAAGAGCTCTGTGTGCCAATGTTGTAGGTAGGGGAGGTTGAGGGGGATAGTGTTTCCTACCCCCAGCCTTCATTTGTCCCCAAGACCCTTTCTGTGCCCCTGTGCTGGGTGCTGTGGGCAGATTGCTGACTTGCTGTGGGGCCTGGCAGCTGCCGTGCTGCAGGTCTGGGCAGCACCTGCACCAGGTCCTGCAAGGGCAGGGGGAGCTCGATGGTTAGATAGGGTGGTGGGCTGGCCCCACAGAGGTAAGAACATGACAGGCAGGGAGGTGTCCCGGGGCCTCAGCCAGCCTCACCCCTCCTCACTTTCTTTGTGAGTCACGCGGCCTTGGGTAAATTACATCAACTCTCTGTGCCTTAGTTTCTTCATCCACAAAATGGGAAGATGATATAGTACCTGCTTCAAAAGGTTGCTGTTTACAACACCAAGTGTGGAGCCGAATGTAGACTGTGGACCCTGGTGATGATGATGTGTCACCGTAGTTCATGGACTGTAAAAACGTGCCACTCTAGTGTGGATGTTGATAGTGGCTGTGCCTGTGTTGGGGCAGTGGGTACATGGGAATGCCATACTTTCCTTTCAGTTTTGCTATGCACCTAAAAAAGACCAAGATTGTCTGGGCCAAGATGGCCCCACCACAGGCCCTGGCTGGCAGGGCGGGCCATGAGGAAGGCCTTCTGCGCGATGGGCATCTGTCTCCTCCTCTCTGTCCACACCCTGTCCAGAGCCAGCCTCCCCAGCCTGTGCCTCCAGCCTGGCTCTCCTGGGGTGTCCCTGGGGCCCAGCCTAGCTCTCTCTGCTGGAGCCTGCCACAGAGAACTGCTTTATTTAAGTCCATTTGGTGCGTATGGAAATAACTAGAGGCCTCTGTATTTAATTTGGCTCAGCCGGGAAGATTTTTGGCTCTGTGCGTGTGTATATTCTGAAAAATCTTTCCGAGTGAGCCCAGGGGTTGGAAGCTTCTGGTCATCTCCGTGCACTCAGAACCAACAAGAACCACCCTTCTTAGCCAGGGACAAGCGTCTGGCAGAGGGCAGGCTATAGGAATGGTTAATGAAGAAAGTAAAGGAACAAGGGGAGAAGGTGAGGCCATGCAGATGAGGTCATGGCAAGGGAAGCAGTCTTGTAAACTTTGTATCTTGAGACCAGGTAAGCTGTGGCAGAGTGGAAGGAAGGAGGCCTTTGGAAGCATAAAGCCCTCTATGCAGGCACAGAGATGGACGTATCTCGTTTCCTGATCCCTCAGGGCTTAATTTGGCGCTGGGCTGGGGAACACTTCTCCTGATGTCCCTCTTTCTGACCTGGACAAGCCCAGCCACAAGACTTGAGGAGTTAAGGGCGTTGAGCCTTTCCTCTCTGGCTGATGGCACAGAGCAGAAACAGCTCCACGTGGGATTTACAGTTGGTAAAGTGTGTCTTCCCTCGATTCCCACGCTCCCGTTGGGCAAGCGGAGCAGGAGTGACACCCGTTGTGAAGATGAGACCACAGAAGCCCAGAGAGTGGAGGGCACTTGCCTGGGGCCACTCAGCCTGGAAGTAGGGGAGCTGTAGAGAGACCTGGTCTCCCGATTGCACGTAGAGCTCCCCCCACACTCCCCAGGGACGCTTCTGGAGCCATTGGGCATTCCTCCAAACTCAGGTTGGCATTCTCACAGGTGGACAGAGGGGGCTGCCGAGGGTGGGAACAGCTTGAATTTGAACCCAAGAACATCCTCTTAGAATCCAGTTTTGGAATAAACACCAGGTATCAGATGGCTTTGAAAATTATATTCTAACCCTAGGAAACTTAGGAACGAGGGCGTCTGGTGAATTGAGGCTTGGTGGTTATGATGACCATGGGATTGTGGATTGTGGTCACTGCGACGGTATTAATTTGCTAGAGCCTTGTAAAAACCACACACTCACAGGACCCAGTGGAGCAGAAGGCCTTGGTGTTCCCACCAGCCATGCAGAGCTGTGGGAGTTCTTGAACCCTGCCTCTCGGGAATTGGTGTTCTAAATTAGGTTTCTTGGGAACAACTGGTCCCAAACTGTAGATCCTAGTTCTGTTCTTTGCGTTGGGCCTTGAATTTTGGTCCTGTGTAAGCATCATAGGCAAACATGGATGCCGTCAATAGGCAGGAAGAGAAGGGGTGGCCCAGGTGTGGGTGGGCGATAAGGAGTGGTGGGGACTGTGGCAGTGGTGGGGACTTTGGTGGTGACAGAACATGTGCTGTCTGATGGATGCGGCTGCCACCTCGCTTTGTCTGACTGTTATCAAGTGGGAATATGGACCCAGGGTGGTCAGGTCCCCAAGATGAGTCCGAAACTTAGATTTTCATATAAAATCTTAAGTTGCTGAAATGTTAGTGATTCGTTCTAGTTTTTGAAACACTGTTTGGGCCACAGAGAGCATGTTTTGTGGACCAAGTTGGGCCAGGGGCTGCCAGTCTCTATTGGAGACCTCGTGAACCCCCCACACAGAATCTATCTTCCAGAGAGCTCCGTGCAGTCCGAGGTCTCCTTATGGGGAGCAGCTGGGCAGGTGCCAGGTCTCCTGACCAACTCTCCCAGGGGCAAGGCCGAGGGTCCCTGAGGGATGGGCCTCATCCTCACCTTGGCCCTGGCCCGGTGGCGCTCGGGAGAATAAAGGGCTTTGCCCAGCCCCTCTCTTTAAAGGCTGCCTGTCCTGGGGTTGGCTGCAGGATTGGCGTTAGGGGTTGACTTTTCCTGTTTTAAGCCTGTTACCCTGGTTTGGTGCTCTGGTCCCCAGCATGTGGGGTGAGATCCTCGGGCAGATTGGGGCCCCTCTGTGGCACTGATAGTGATGCCTGTTGTAGTGACACCTCACCAGGCAGAGGCCCTGGCTGGGGTTGATTGCAGGGTGTTGGCATCGGCCCCCTATCCAGAGCCTCACAGCCCCCCTGCCAGCTGGCTCTCGGCCCAAGTGAAAGTGCAGGTTGCCAGCCTGCGGAGCCAGTCTGCCCCCTGCTTCCTTTCTGAGGCTCCGCCAATGCCCGGCCCAGCCCGGCAGGCCTCCTGGGACTGTGGGAGGGTGGGGTAGGCACAGGGCTGAAGCAACACACAGAGAGCTGAGCCCAGGGCATTCTCAAGGGGTGGGGCTGATCTTGGTAGTTCAAGTTCCTTGGTGACTTGAGGCCTGCAGGACAGTGTTTTCAGCACAGTGAGCATGTGTCTGTACGGTGGAGAAACTCACAGTTTCCATAGTGGTTTGGTGTCTCCACAACCCAGCTGCAGAGCAGAGGAGGGCTGTGGACACAGCTCCAGAGTCACGGGGCTCTGCCAGGCTGGGCTGCGCATCAGCTATGTGACTGTTGAGCCCCTGTTCTCTCCAGGCTTCGGTGCCCCCACCTGTAAATGAGAGAGCAGCAGCCCTGCCGTTGGCCTGTGGAGTTGCGGGAGAAGAAGACAGCCAGCCAGCTGTGCCTTGGCACTGAGGACCCGTTCTGCCCCGCTCTGTGGCTTTCCATCCTGACTGCGGGGCATCCTGTCCTGACCCCTTTGTGTTAGGAGTGCTGGCATCTACTCCCAGGGTTGTGCAGGTCCCCAAGTCACTAGCAGCATCATTCATTCATTGAGCAGATTCAGACTGAGCGCCTGCCATGTGCCCAGCCCTATTTAGGCACTGTGGAAACTTCAGTGAGGAAAACAGACAGACACTGCCCTTCCCGAGCTGACCTCCTCAAGGGGAGAGACAGAAATAAAAAAGCAGGATAAAAGATGGAGTCAGATATGGAGCCATGCTGTGAGGAAACCTAACTTGGTGTGATAGACAGCGGAGATCTGGGGAGATGGTCCCTGCAAATCCCTCTTTTCCTTCCCTCCTGCTGAGGGGAACCCCTCTCCCCCATGTTTGCCACGCAGCCCCCATCAGACGCCCTGTGCTGCCATCCACATGCCCCAGGGCCTCTCCCAGCCCTGGGCTCCACACTGCCATTGATCCACAGCCACCAAGGCCCTCGGGCTCTTTCCCATGCGAGCCCCTGAAGCTGTGAGGGGGGAGGGAGATCTGATTCCAGGTTCTAGGGGCTGCCCTCTCATCCCCAGCCTGTCTCCTGGAACCTGCATTCTCATCTCCAAAACCCACTCAGGTTCCTGGGCTCTTTGAGTGAGAGAGGGTCTCACAGCAGCCGTGGAGGGTGTGGCCTGGCCCCTGCAGGCTGACGGTACTCTTTATGTTTGGGAGCGAGGCCTGGGCTGGGGAGGCTGGAGCCATCACCTCCCTGGGGCCGGAAAGACTGCCTTTGACAGGACAAGGGCTGCCTTGGCTGTGTGGCCCTGGGTTCACAGGACACGGAGACCTTTCTTTCTGTCCCCCACCCGACTACGCGCTGATGAGAACCAGCCATGTCTGAGGACCAGAGGTCTCTCCTGAAATAATTACCCTCTAATTAGGCATGGCATTAGCTGTTGGTGGGGCTTCCTGGAACACTCTCACTGACTCCACTGTGATGCTGTGAAGGGGCGGCCTTGCCCCCACTGTGCAGGTAGGAAACCAAGGCTCAGAGAAGTTGGGGTTCCAACTCAAGTGTTGGACTCTAGCCCATAATGTTACTGTCACTCCTGTCATGACAACATTAGGGTGGTAGATGCCTGACGGAGCTGTACAGAGCATTCGGGACCAGAGGGCAGGGGCAGTGCGAAAAACTGCATCTTCCTTCATGTGGTTGGGTGGCCTGAGAAGCCCCCTGTACGCTGACTGCTGCCCGACTCCTCGTGCCGTCTGCCCATCTCTCCAGCAGCTGCTGACACATAGGGAGATGCTCAATGTTGGATCAGTCAGCAAAGCTCTAAAAATAGCCTCCCGCTTTGAAAAGTTCATTGTTCGAGTCCTATATTTTTCTATATATATAAAAGCCACTTCTGGAGGTCTGGGTGACAGTCGTTAAAGATAATGCTGCAGCCTGAGGCGGACCTGGGCCGGGCCTTATCGGGCCTCAGCAGGGCAGGCCTGAGGCCAGGGCGGGGGCATGTCAGTGAGGCCGGTCTCCGCCCAGGCTCATCTTCTCTGGAGGCAACCGGACAATCAGCCTCAGTGTCCCTCGCGGATCGGGTCGGGCTGCCCCGGCAGTTCCAGGCTCTGATGGGCCATTGGACAGGTCTGTCTACGGCGCACGGAGACCAAGAGGCATGGAGACAGCGCTGTGGGTGTGCTCCCTGCAGCCAGGCACAGGGTGGGAGACATTCTCTGTTTCCCCCTGGCTTGCTCAGTTCAGACCTAGCTTCCTGAAACTGTCCCTGGCTGAGCCCCACCTTACTGAGGGGATGAAGGATCAGGCCCTATCAGCAGCTGACTGGCCTCCCTTCCTGCCCCTCAGAGAACAGTGAGGCCCCAGAGGAGGATTTCTGCCTCCGGTGGTGTGCCCACCCACGAGCCCGACCTCTTCCTCCGGCCAGGGTCGCTGCCTGTCACCATTCAGATATGCTCAGGTCTCTTCCAGCTCAAACCACATGCCTTCTTGGAGCCCTCATCCCTCTTCTGCCACCTCCCCATCTTCTCCTCTTCCTTCTCAGCCACATCCCTCCAGTTATCTTCAGAGACCTGGATGGAGTGAGGGAGGGAGCCAGGCAGCCTGGGGGAAGTCCGCTCTGAGCAGTGGGAACAGCACCTGCACAGGTCTTGGGGTGAGAGCGTGCCAGAGCGGAGAGGAACAGCCAGGAGGCCAGGGGGCTGGGCTGGAGTGGCCAGGGGGTTCAGAGGAGGGTGGCAGGAGGAATGGCTGGGTCCTGCAGAGTCTCCTGGGTCCCGCCAAATGAGAGGAGAATGTGGTCAGGGTTGTGTTTTCACAGGACCTCAGTTGCTGGGTGGAGAGGGGCGGGGTGGGGTGGCATGTGAGGCTAGAAGAGCCTGGAGAGGCCATGGCAGTCACACAGGGAAAAGATGAGGGCCACACAGGCTGGCAGATGCGGGCTCTGTGTTGAAGGCGGAGCAGCCCGATGTGCTGACTGATGGGGAGGAGGGTCTGAGAAAGAGTTGCCAAGAGTGACGCTCAGTGAGCAGCTCCAAGGACCCCAACTGCACCCCGCTGAGATGGGAAGGCTGTGGGGAGCTGGCCTGGTGTAGGAAGCTCAGTTTGGAGCCTGAGGTTGGGCTGTCTACTAGGCCTCAAAGGGGCAGTGCCTGGACAGCGGGATGTCCGGTTTCTTGGGTTCCTCTGCAATTCCTGGATATCCTCATTTCTCCAAACCTGGGAACTGGGTAAACGCAGAAACCCTCCTGACCCCCACCTTCTCCCGCCACGCCCTGTAGGGGTGACTTCTGTATTGTCCCGTTTTAGATATGGTGCTCCTGGTTAGCCAGCGGAAGTCACATGGGATGTTTAGGTGGCCGTCACTTTGTGCCAGTGCTTCCTGCAGACTCTCGCTCTAAATCTTTCCATGTGAGGGCTCCATCTCCACCAGCCCCTCCGTCCCAGACCTTGGCAGCGTCTGGAGGCTCTGAGCACGGGACTCAACATCTGTGCCCATTACGTGTGCTCCTCCAGGGCTCACTCGTTCCCTTTCTGTCCACCCTCCCTAGGTTTCCACTGGGGGTGCTGCGACCTCACCCCTCCTCCTCACCACCCGGTCATGTTCATCCAAACCCTGCCTGCCAGGGGAGGCGACCAGCATTGCTGGGCCTCATCTAGGAGGTCCTCACCCTACTGCTCCCTAGGAAGGACCTCAGGAGTCCATAAGTCTTTTTGGTCAACAGCCAGGCATCATTCTCCTAGAACTGCGTGCCAGGCTGTAAGGCTTTAGGCATCAGTGGGGATGCTGCCTCCGCTCAAGACTAGAGAAGTGGGTATGGCTGACCGGCACTAGAACAGCCTCCCCTGGGAAAGCCCTCACTGTTCCTGTCTTGCTGGCTACACCAGCTCTATGTCTCTTCTTTTATTCTAATTTTTTTTTTTTTTGAGATAGAGGTTCACTTTGTTGCCCAGCTGGAGTACACTCCGAGTTTCACTCTGTTGCCCAGTGGTGCAATCTCAACTCACTGCAACCTCCGCCTCCCGGGTTTAAGCAGTTCTCGCGCCTTAGCCTCCCGAGTAGCTGGGATTACATGCTTGCGCCACCACACCCAGCTATTTTTTGTATTTTTAGTAGAGACAGAGTTTAACCATGTTGGCCAGGCCAGTCTCGAACACCTGGGCTCAGGTGATCCATCCTCCTTGGCCTCCTAAAGTACTGGGATTACAGGCGTTAGCCGCCATGCCCAGCCCTTTTATTATAACTTTTTAAAAGTTTTTTAGAGGCAGGGTCTTGTTCTGTGGCCCAGGCTGGAGTACAGTCATGTCATCATAGCTAACTGCAGCCTTGAACTCCTTGTGGTCAAGGGATCCTCCTGTCCCAGCCTCCTGAGTAGCCAGGACTACAGGCAAGAGACACTGCTCCCAGCTATTTAAAAAATTTTTTTGGCCGGGCGCAGTGGCTCACACCTGTAATCTCAGCATTTTGGGAGGCCAAGACGGGTGGATCACGAGGTCAGGAGATCGAGACCATCCTGGTGAACACTATGAAACCCCGTCTCTACTAAAAATACAAAAAAAAAATTAGCCAGGCATGGTGGTGGGTGCCTGTAGTCCCAGCTACTTGGGAGGCTGAGGCAGGAGAATGGCATGAACCCCGGGGGTGAAGCTTGCGGTGAGCCGAGATCACGCCACTGCACTCCAGCCTGGGCAACAGAGTGAGACTCCGTATCAAAAAAAAAAAAAATTTGTAGAGATGGAGTCTCATTATGTTATCCAGGCTGGTCTTCAACTCCTGGCCTCAAGTGATCCTCCTGCCCTGGCCTCCGAAAGCACCGGGACTACAGACACTTGCCATCATGCCCAGCTAATATTTTTAAAAAATGTTTTGTGGAGACAGGGTCTTGCTACGTTTCTCAAACTGATCTCAAACTCCTGGCCTCAAGCAGTGTCCCACCTCGGCCTCCCAAAGTGCTAGGATTGCAGGCGTGAGCCACCACAGCTGGCCAACTTTATGTCCCTTCTTTGCACATTCGGTTTTCCTTTGAGGTCCATTTCTTTGTATCCTTGCATTCTGCTCCTTGGGGCCAGGCTAACTCTTGGGGACTGCAGTCCCGAGAACATTCCAGAATGGGAAGGACTAGAAGAATGACATGGATTTGAATCTTGGCTCTGCTCTGTGGTCTGCAGTCCTGGGCAAGGATCACAGTGGGCCCTTCTTGAGCCTCCATTTTCTCATATGGAGAATGGGAAGAGCAGTGCTTTCTTGACAGGCTTGTTGCAGGGGTGAAATCTGTGTACTTAGCTTGTGCTGGGCTCCCCCGTCGCATAGTGGCATAGTGGGTGAGCATACGTGTGGGTGACCCAGCCCCAGCCACATCAGCCCAGAAAGACTGATTTTTCCAGACCCTGCTTGAACACCTGCACTAGCCCTTAAAGCAGCCCCTTCTTAAATTGCTGAACTGTTCAAAACTGCTAGCTGTCTGAAGCTCCTGCCCCTGGCCTCACAAACCTGCCTGTTCTCTCTGCACCAGGACCACCCTGCAGAGACCTGGCAGGGGTGGCGGCCACCTCTCTCCAGCTGTGCCATCCCTGCTCTTGCTCAGAGGATGTGCCCCCACCCGCCCCCCAGACCCTGCCTGGCTGTGTCCCATCCCTCCCCGAGACGGGGGCATAGAGGTGAAGATAGCCCTGTGCAGAACAAGACCATCCCCTTCCTTCCTCTGGGTGACTAACCTTGGTTAATGTGGCCTAGGCAGAGAAGAGCCACAGAAAGCCCCAAGAGGGAGCTTGTGAGGGCTGGAAATGAATTGTGCCTGCCCAGTCTAGGCTCCCTTTCTGGAAATCAGAAACCCTGAAAGCAGAGTATAGGGGAAGCCATGAGGCCTGGAGGCGTGATGGGCATACGTACTTCAGGAGGCTGTTTTGCTCTGGCCTGTGCAGACTGCCAGGAGTCTGGCCTGAGGCTGCTGGCATGGACATTTAACCACAGACAGGCTTTCAAGATTGCCTGCTTCCTCTAGCATGGGGCCCGGCCCCCTCTGAAGAGGGTGGCTTTGCCATGTGATGTGGCCACCCTCTGGCCACACGTGGCTAGGCTTATTTCTCTGATTTATCTCATAACTGTGCACAACCCCAGGACCCCTAGGCTCTGGACCCAGCCCTGTCCAAGCTGCCAGCAGCATGCTTTTCCCCTGAGCAGCTGGGCAGGAGAGGCATGGTGTGGGGTCAGGTCCCACACAACTCTGTCTTATACTCACAACCTTGACTTGGTGACTCAACTCTTCCATCCCTGAGTTTGTCATCTGCAGAAGGGAGCAGTCCTAGCTACCTCCCAGCGACGGTGGTTGAGTTACAGGTCATGTATTTTAAACACACCCACCACGGCATCTTGTACCTGGCAGGTTTGTGGAGAAGTTGCTGCTGTATAATTCAGACCCGTGTATACTTGTGTTTGCGTATGTATATGTGTGTACATACATGTGTGTTTGCCCTCTCCGTAAGAAGTTGCATGAACACAATGGGCAAGTGTTCGGGCGTCCTGGCCAAGCTGCCCATATGCCCTTGGGGATGGGTGCCACCTTTCCGTGCCTGCAGGGTATTGAGAGCACTGAATGTGTTCCATATACAGCTTAGAACATCACTAGCCATATAGACATTCGCTGTTACTACCATTGTCGTTGTCGATATTGGGGGTGAACAGTGGGTCACTGCTTTCATCTTGTACCCTCACTGGTGCCCAGAACCTCCCCTGGCTAACATTTTTCTTGAGAAAAGTCATTCATTACTTCATAGGCCATAATTAGAGACATCCGTGGCTGAGAGGCCACAGCCCCCCAGCCCTGACTCATTCCCTGGCGAGTCGGGACGTGGCATCCAACAGGTCTGGGCTGAGGGGCTGGGGTTGGACTGTCTGCCTTTCTCACCCATCCCCATGAGCTCCCCAGTCCAGGGAACAGGCCAGTGGAAGGTGTCTGGGTCCAGGTCTCCCTCCACCCTGGGGTCAGGCTCTCCAGCCTGGAGGTGGGTGTCTCGAAGAGAGGGTCTCAACAGCAGGCAGGGTGCAGGGCAGGTGACCCTGGCTTGGGGCACTAGGCTTGTCTGCCCTTCCTGCCTCCAGCTGCTGGGGCTTGTAGATCAGAGAATAACCCAAGACAGCCATTGAAAAGTGCTTTTTAAGAGCCAAGCACTTTCTTAAGGACCTCACTGTATTAATTAGCTCCACTAAGTCTTCACAGTCCTGTGAAGTAGATACACTAATTACCCCAATTTTAGAGGAAGGAACCTGAGGCACAGCATTAATTCCTCCTGTGGTCACACAGCTGGTAAGCAGTAGAGCTAGAATTCCACCCAGGAGCCTGCTTGGCCCCTTGCTTGGCAGAAAGCCTGGGTGGGGCGGGGCAGCAGGAGGAAACTCTTCAAGTTGTGATCTCTATTCCTGCGAGGTGTCCATTGCAACACTGTCCTATAGGGATCTAGCGCTTCACCCAGCCATGTCCCCACATAAAACACCACATACCACTTCCATCACAGGAAAACATGTTTGGAAAACTGGAGAAGGGGGAAGAGCTTGGCGACCTTTCAGTGACCAAAGCTTGGAGTCCCCAGTCTGGGAAAGGAGGGCTCACTGTGCCTTAGCACGTGATGGGCTCTGGGGCAGAGTGTGGATGCATCCACATGCAGCTCCAGGCCCTTACGTGCTCTCTGGCCCTGTCCTTGGCCTGTCCCACCACCAGGGGCCCATCCAGGACATACAGAACTCATCTCATGGGAAGGAGCAGGCCTCCTGCTCATGGCCATTCCCATCTTTGCTGGAGGCCAGGGCTTTGGGGGATGCTTGGGCAGTTGTCTCCCACCCTCACAGAGCAAGACTCCTCCATGGTGCAGATGGACTGCACACGAGATCAGGTGATCCCCGGGGTGGGGAAGAGTGTGTGGGGTGAGGGTGGCCTTGTGGAGGAAGTGGGGTTAAGCTGAGACCTCGGTGTAAAGATGGCAGACTCAGACAGGTCATATGGCCCTGGGATAGAGGCTTCCAGCCAGGATTGGAGTCCCTTGTACCACCTCTCTGACGGGTGTCTGACCTGCCGCAGCTTGCACACCTCCAGTGACAGAGAACTCACCACCTCCTAAGCAGCCCTAACCACATGAGAGTGTACTTCATCACGTCGGGTATTGGCAGTCATAGTTCTGCCTGCAGGAGAAATCTCTAGCCTCGGCTTGTCAGCCTGTCAGAGGCTTGATGATGGGGATCACATCATCTCCCCGAGGCTGCTTTCCTCCCGGCTGCACAGCCCCAGCTCTTGATAGGAGCATACTGTTATACTGCTTCCTGGCATACTGTTATTTGGCCTTGGCAAATAGAGTCCATCTCACATGCTAGCTGGGATCAGTTGTATGGAGTGCTGTGTTGGAAGGAGGCTGAGGCTTCATCCAAGCTCTTTAGGAGGGAGTCTGTGATCAATTAGCAATGTCTGCCAGGGAGGAGTGGGTAGGGCATGCAGGTGTCCCAGGTCTGCTGTCCCTGCCCTCAGGCTCTGGACTGTCTGTGCAGCCCCCAGACACTGTCTTCTGCTGTGTCTGAGAACTGTGGCGGGCAGCAGGGCTATTTTTGCTCCTGGCTTTTTATTCATGTTGGTGACTGGCTTCTCGGCCACATCATGACATCAGCTCACATTCATCTTATAGTCCACAAAAAATCCCCAAGGCTTTTTCATAAGAACAGCCATCAAACTAGATCTTTACCCCATTTTGATGTTATTTCCAGTGTGTGGATACAGAATTAATTTCAGTCATCCCCTTGTCGATGCTCATTTAGGTTATTTCCAGATGTTTATAATCAGAAACAACACTGCTGTGGACATCCTCGTATGTACTGCTGCACACATTGGTCTTATTTCCTTTGCACAAATCTATGGAAAGGGGCTGGGCGGCAGCCACCTAACGCTCATAGGATGTTCCAGAGACTCTGAACTGCCAGGAATATTCAGGGACTTGGAAGAGGTGCCTCGGCCCATTCCTTGGTCTGCATGTAGCCCAGGTGTCTGAGAGAGATAATAAATTCAGAGGCGCAGTTAAGGACTCACACTGGTGTGTTCACCAGTCCTGTTCAATGGGCTGGGTTTTTGGGAGAAGCATCCCCAAGGCAGCTACAGTGGGTGGTGAGATGTCCAGCAGCTGAGCTCAAGAGGTCGGGGCAGGGATATAGGAGCCAGTCTGGCTGTTCTCTAACCCAAAAGTCCCACCTAGAGACTCATGTATGCTGGTAAAATGTGACCATCACTTTATAGCCAAGCTCTGTCACTAAGGTATCTGTGTTTCTGCCCTAGAAAGGGAAAGGTTGACATAGGATAGTTCTTCCTGCCCCAGGAAGAAACTGGGTAGAGCTGAGTCCTAATCAGGAAGGTGGGGCTGAGAGCCCAGAGTGTTGCTGTAGAGCAAAACATCTTTACGAGTTCAGCCAGAAAATAGTCAAGCGTCCACATCATTTAAGTTCGATAACTTCCTGTCCTGATTTATACTCCTAGCAGCAGAGTCCTAGAGTGCCCATGGCTGCATGTACTTGTCAATACTGGGTATTTTCACTTAAATTGTATTTTTATTTATCAGTTCAGATAAACTCAGAAAAGCCACTTTTTTAGGGTCTAATACTGCACTGCGTAGTTGCTGATTGGGGCCATCAAGAGGTGATGTCCTCTGGCTCAAATGGGTTCATAGCTATGTGGAAAATTCCACACTGTGCTCACTTTTGTCCACGTTTGCTGAAGAATCCTGTGGTGCCACACTGGTTGCAGTAGGATGGCCCAGCCATTTCTTTTTTTTGGGGTGGTTTGAAGTTGGGTTTGATTTTTTTTTTTTTTTTTGGAGTGTGGAAGGGCTGCCACATTGCACAAGCTGATGCTATTCAATAGACTGGACAGGACCCGGTGACAGATTGAATGGGGGCGTTTGAGTCGGGGGAGGGATTAAACTGATGACCCCCAGGACCCTGGCTCCAGGATGGAAGGGAAGACTGTGGGTGACTGTCAGGCCTTCCCTTCCTGGAGAGGGAGGCCCGGCCACTCCCAAGCATGTTCTGGACCTGCTGACCCAGGGCAGCCAGGAACCCAGGAGTGCCCAGAGCGGAATCCTGGGCTGCCACAGGCCCAGAAAGTCTGCCCCAGGCCACCACCATTGCAATCCTATCCCCAAAGATACCCTGCCCCGGGGCCCAAAGCCACCCTGAACTACCAGCGCCAGGCACTCCCATCTCCTGCCCATTCTGAGTTCAGTGGCTGCCGCCTGATCTCTTTCCCCAACCCCCTCTGCCCCACACCGCGGCCAACTGGGAACAAAGGCCCCTCTCAAGTTCTCAGGCAGGCCTGGGCCCTCACTCACCCCCAACCATCAGGGAAGGATGCCCTGCTCTGCCTGCTCACAGTGGTTTCAGGCCAGGTTAGAAAGGGCTTGGTGAAGGGTGGAATTCCTTCAGACTTGAGGTGAACATTGCTCCTCCATCCTGGGTCGGGGGCAGCACAGTGAGGGTCCCACACTCCCCTCCCTGACGGTGCCTCCCAGCAGCTCAGCAGCAGCCTGTGGGCCACCAAGGGGCTTCCTGCTTCAGCTCCAGGGACCTGCAGGGAAACTGCTTGTCTGTCTCTGTGCTTCTGTGAACTTAGGGTGATGAGATTGTTTTGAATCCTCCTCTTAGGAGCGGAGGCCCGGCTGCATCTCTTTAAGGACCAGCCGTTGTTCCCTGTGATCTGTGCCTGGAAGCACAGATTTGGCGCCTGACTGAAGTGCTTCCAGTCCCGGGCGTGTGTGATGTGCCCTCGGGCTGCAAAGACGAGGCGAGCCGGAGGGAGGTGCACAGGCCTGGAGCAGAGGCGTGGGCTCTGGGGTCAGACAGGAGGGAGGTGCACAGGCCTGGAGCAGAGGCGTGAGCTCTGGGGTCAGACAGTGTGGGATGGGCTTCCCGGCGAGGCCAACGCTCCCCTGCAACCTGAGGCTCTGGGGCCTGAAGTCTGAGATGGGGACTCATTTGCTCCTTTGTACAGTTGATTAGGTTGGTGAGTGTTTATTGCGAGTCCCTGCTCAAAGCTTTAGCAATAGAATGGGAGGATTTTCAGATCTGCCTGTTCTCCCCCTCGCCCCCTACCAAGGCACACACACCAGGTCCAAAGGAGGCTGCTGTGGGTGGGGGCTGTAGGGGAGGGGCTTGGGAGACTCTCATGATGTGGAGAATCTCGAAGGGTGGTGTTCCTCAGAGGGCTTGCAGGCATTGAGTCCAGCCCACCGTGTTACTGATAGGGAAACTGGGACCTTGAAGGGAGGGGCAGCCTGCCCTGATTCTCAATCTGATGAGGGCAGAGCCACAGAGGGCCCTGGGACCCCCTCTTCATTCAGGCTCTTCCTCAGGAAGACGCCTCTGTCATGGCCCAGCTCCTGGGGAGTGGGGTGGGCATCCCCTGCCTGACCCCGGAGGCCAGAGCCAGAAGTCATGTCCTAATCTGCAGGCTGGAAAGCAGGTGCCAAGATCTGCAGCCCAGCCCTGGCTCAGGGCAGAATTGGCAGCAAAGGGCCGTCACTCCCTACCACCTGGGCCACTGGTTGTGCCCTCTGCTCCAGGCCGCCTGCTGGGGCCCCCACTCCAGGCTTCACGGGAGCCGGAGACGTCACATTCTGCACTGGGCACTGGGGTCCTGCAGGCCTCGTGAGGAGCAGCAGAGACAGAAGCAGAGCAGAACAGGGCTGGACCCACTGCCCTGGGTCTGAAGGAGGTCTGAAGGAGGCACCAGGAGGGGGCACCGCAGCTGAGTGGGGTCTGTGTGCCCATCTCTCTGCTGTGCCCATCTAGTGGGACCTCCACCCCGGCCCGTGGGAGCAGAGGGTCTTTCAGGGTCCTTCTAGCCCAGGGTTGAGTGATCTGACAGGGACAGGGCACCTGGCAGGGTGACTGGATGTTGTGTTGGAAACTGTGACATAACTCGCTCCCTTCCCTGCTCGTCCTACACTGAGAAGCCACCTGCAGCGGAAACCAGCGTCTGCACACAGTGAAAAGGCTTGCGAGTTCCGAGTCGGGATGAGCTCGTCAGCCCGCCCCGCATGGCCCCACCAGGGGCACTGCTCCCCCATGGTGCTTGGAGATGTCAGAGAAATGTGTGCACATTGCAGGGACAGGAGGTGGTGAGGCGGAGGGGACCACTGGGTCTCAGGGTCCCACCACTTGGGCTTGAACTCTGACTCACCTACTTCCTACCTGGGTCATCCTGGCACCCCCTGTAGGCCTCAGTCTCCTCACCTGAAAAAGGGGAGTCGATGATTCCTCTTTGTAGACTGCTTTTAAGATTTAGAGAAAATGTATATACAGCAATGTATGAGTTTCCAAATTCGCCGTGACACACACCACACACAGGGGCCTTCGACAACAGACATTTATTGTCACACAATTCTGGAGGCTGGAAGTCGGGGATCAGGGCGTAGGCAGGGTGGGTTCCCCCATGGCCCCTCTCCTTGGCCTGCAGGTGGTCTTCTCCTCCTCGGGTCCTCGCATGCTGCTCCCTCTGTGCGCGTCCGTGGCCTCATCTCTGCCTACAAAGACACCAGTCAGGCTGGATCAGGACACCCCAGTGTCCACAAAGACCCTGTTTCCAAAACACAGTCCCGTGCTGAGGTGGGGGCCAGGGCTTCAACACACAAATGTGGAGGGTACAGTTCATTCACAGCAAACACCAGCACAAGGGCTGGCCCCATGTAGGCATACAGTACAGAATCGCTTTTGTTAATTATTGGGGCTTTTCTTTTTTTTTTTAGAGACGGAGTCTTGCTCTGTAGCCCAGGCTGGAGTGCAGTGGCGCAATCTTGGCTCACTGCAAGCTCTGCTTCCCGGGTTCATGCTATTCTCCTGCCTCAGCCTCCTGAGTAGCTGGGACTACAGGCGACCACCACCACGCCCGGCTAATTTTTTGTATTTTTTAGTAGAGACAGGGTTTCGCCGTGTTAGCCAGGATGGTCTCAATTTCCTGACCTCGTGATCCGCCCTCCTCGGCCTCCCAAAGTGCTGGGATTACAGGTGTGAGCCACCGCGCCCGGCCTTTTTTTTAAGTTTAAAATCAGTGGTGTATTTAATGCAGGTGGTAGGAGAAAAGGCGACAGAATTCGCTGAGTCAGTAATTGCTGAGCACCTGCTGTGTGCCAGGCACTGCTCTGGGCTCTGGGGGTGATCAGCGACCCAGTGGCCAAAACTGCTGTCCTCAGGGAGCTGGCATTTGCATGTGGATGATGGACAGTGAGCAAAATCAATGAGGAAGGTATATGGGATGTCAGAGGATGGTGCACTTCACAGAGAAACTGAACCCGAGTGGGTGGGGTGCTGAGTGGAGGGGTTTTGCAGGGTCCTGCCAGCTGCACATGTGGACTCAGCCATGGGGTGTGAGAAGAACGGGCATGGGGGCTCCTCCAGGAGCATGGTGGGGTCACGCCCCACGGCCCGGTGTCGTGTTCAGATTTCCCGCTTACCAGAAGCTTCTCACCTCTCTCTCCTCTGCAGCGTCGAGGGCGAGGCCCCCAGCAGTGAGACTGGCACATCCCTGGACAGCCCCTCAGCCTACCCCCAGGGCCCCTTGGTGCCCGGTTCCAGCCTGAGCCCGGATCACTACGAGCACACGTCAGTGGGAGCCTATGGGCTGTACTCGGGGCCGCCGGGGCAACAGCAGCGCACGCGGAGGCCCAAGCTGCAGCACTCGACCTCCATCCTGCGCAAGCAGGCTGAGGAGGAGGCCATCAAGCGCTCACGCTCACTCTCCGAGAGCTATGAGCTCTCCTCGGACCTGCAGGACAAGCAGGTAGGAGAGCACAGCCCCTCAGGCCACACATGCAAGCGCAGGGCAGCTCTGCCCACCATGTGTGCCCCCACCAGGCATGGTGGCAGATCTCTCCCATAGACTTGAGTTGGGGTGCATGTGGGCTAAGGCTGAGGGCTCTGCCCCAGTTCCAGCTCCACCTGTAGCTGCTCTCAGGAGCCTCTTGCCCCAGCTGGCTCTGGCTGGCGTGTATGAAGGACCTGGGTTGTCTGGCGTTCCTTCTGGGGACTTCTAGAGAGTTGTCTTCACATGAGGCCTTTGCCATGGCCCGGGTTCCATGACCCGCATGGCCCAGATCTGGGGGGCCATGATAGGTGTCTGAGCATGAGGCCCAGTGTCATCGGGACACACTGGGTACGTGGCCGGCCACTGAGGTTCTAAAGACCCAGGAGAGGGCTGAGGGAGGGAGGTCCATTGACAGCATAAATATCACAAGCTCTGGAAAGAACCCCATCGGCAGCCAGCCAGGGGAGGCTGCTTGCTCTATTCCTCCTGGCTCACACCTCCCTGCTCCTGTGGGAAATCCCCTCATTGAAGACTGCACCCCTCCCCCAGGGGCCTTGGCCCTTAGAGGTGGCCCAGACCCACAGTGTGCCTAGGGCTGGGCTTGAGGGAGGACAAGAGGTAGCCTCTCAGGGTTGAGCCAGGAGAGGAGAATCCTGGGGTGCAGAGGAAAGAGCGAGGCCCTGAGCGGTCCCTGGGGAGGCCAAGAGCTCTCGCTTCCAAGTCCCTCCAAGTGCAGGTGCACAGTAGGTGTTTGAATGAGGATCTGAGTGACTGCACAGATGGATGAGTGAGGGGGTGAGTGGGCCAGTGCATGGACAAGCCGCTTAGCAGTTTGAGGCTTCAAGAGAACCCGGGCTCCCAGGCAGCAGTTCTGCAAGCTTGCAGGGGCAGGCTGGGGAGGGCTGTCAGACTCTCCCCAGCTCCTGGGCACTGAGCTCTAGACAGCTCCTCCAGATGCCCAGGCAGCTGCCTCTGCCCCTGCTGGCCCCAGGGCCCTTTCCCGTCTTCCCAGACTCCATGCTGCAGAAGCCCCTGGCCTTCACTCCCACCCACACCCATCCTGTGGCCCCGCCCGCCCTCTGCTTGCTCCCAGATCTTCCTGGTTATCCTTTTTCTTTAAAAACAATTTTTGGGTTGTTTTTGTTTGTTTGTGTTTGCTGGGAGTATAGATTCAAGTTGCTCCCCTTTTTGTCCTTTAAGGAGTAGAGTTCTGGGCCTGGTGTGCCCCAACTTCCTAAGGGAGTGGTGCAGATACTGCCTGGGGTTGGGGGTCGTCCACTCTCTTGACAGGGAAGCCCCCATCAGCCCCTTCCTCACCTGGCTGTCGGTGCTGCCTTGCAACTTAGGCCGGACCGACACAGGGCAGAGCAACCTCTGTTCCTTTATCCGTGATGCCCAGATCCAAAGTGGACCACGGTTTATAGTAAGAGATGTCTGCAACAGAGCCATTTAAACAGAAAGGAGAAAGGTTGGGACTTAATAGAGGCCTTTGAAGAGAATTATATGCTTACTGTGGGCCTAATAGGACTGCAGCTATTCATTTTCATTCCATGCATATTATCTGAACGCCCACTATGCACCAGACACTGTGTTGGGTGCCCATGACCAAGGCGAGGCCCCTGCTCTTGAGCTCCACTGTGGCACAGGAGCTGGACAGGAGCAAGTTAGCAATGCAGAGGCAGTTGACTTCCAGAAAGTAATGCAAACTCTAGGGATTCTAAACATTGGGGAAAGAAATAGGGCAGCTACGGGAGGCAATAGCATTGGGTAAGGCTGGTTGGGAAGACCTCTCTAAGGAGGCATTAGAGCTGGCTGTCCCAGGAAGAGGCAACAGCTGATGTAAAGGCTGCCGAGTGTGTGAAATGGAAAGGAAGGCCTGGAAGAGGTTCCAAAGAGGTAAGAGGGAGGAGGCGACATCAAGGGCCACTGAGCATTTGATGGTCCACTGAGCTTCCTGGAAAGCTCAGCAAAAGTGGGAATGGGACAGATTGCATGGGAATCACCAGATGAAAAAGTAGGGTGCCCGATTCCACGAGGAGTTTTAAGTCTGGATAACACAGAGTCCATTTTAGTGAAAGGAGCCCAAGGGCTAGTCTCCTGTGCTCTTCTGGCCCCTGACCCACTGTGCCCTCCAGTGGCTTTCTGTCCCTGAAGCAGGAAACTTGAGTGGGTTTCAGGTACTGTCCCTGTGTCATCAAGAAGTGACAGTTCTGCTTTGCTGAAGGGCATTCTTCCGGGTTCCTCTTCTGTACTGCTCAGAAGTTTCCCTTGAAGGGACAAGTGAGGGCCGGATGGGGGAGCCCTGGCCACGGGGTCGACTCCTCTATCCAGGAACCATGTGCCCTGGGGCAGCGGCTTCCCTCCGCTGAGCGTCTTCCCTCCGCTGAGTGTCTTGTCCTTGCTGAGAAGTGGGGTAGTGAAACCCCTCGGGAGAGCAGAAGCTGCTGTGAGGTGGCATGAGGGTATGGGGGTCCCCAGCACACATAGTAGATGAGCACATGTTAGTAGAATCTCATCCACTGGGTCCCGGGAAACTTTTCGACCGGGCCTGGCAATAGTTCCATCCCAGAAAGAAGAATGACCCACGGTAAGTTTGGGGACGAGGAAGAGTAGCCCCAGGTCCATGTGTGTCCCCCTGGGGGAGGAACTGCCAGGGGCTCTGGTGAACAAATGCAGAGCCCATTGCTGCCTTCCTGAAGTCCCTTCGCCCCCAACACACACAGGTTTGGGCAGGAGGTCTCAGGAAAACAGGGTGGCTGCGTGGTCTGCGAGGTCCGGAGCCAGCAGGTGAGAAGGCCCTGCGGGGAGCTCTAGGCCTGAGCTGGAGGTCCTCGTACTTGTGCCGCCCACAAAGTACAGTGAGGGAAGAAAGGCTTCCTAGATCCCAGCCTTGGGCCTCTTATGGGCCCCAGGGGCTTTCTAAGCTCCACTCACAACCCAAAAAATAGAAACTTTCTGCTTACAGTTGTGGAAGTGAGGTCATTTCTTGGATGGCGTTCAGTAACAGGGCGAGAGAGAAAACAGACTGTGGCCTGGGATTGGAAAAGTCATTTTGATCTGCTCCCCTCAAGCCCCCCCAGCTCTTCTCCTCCACCCAGCCTGCTGGGACCACCCAGAGCCAGGCAGCACGCATGGGCATGCAAGGCCCTGCGTGGCCCTGAGCCAGTCTCCCTGGTGCAGGCCACAGCCTTCGATTTGCTGGACGTCTGTTTGGCATTATTTCAGTTCTGCGCCTGCAGCTGCCTGCTCTCCTTGACAGACCCCTCGCTCCTCGAGGGCAAGGACCTCCATGCCTCCCATTCCACCTCCAGGTGTGATGTGATGCCCAGCATGTAGTGGCATCTGGGACCATACAGGCAGGTGCAACGCTTTGCCTGGCTCCTAGCCCCACATCACATGCCCACGCCACCCCAGCACCCCAAGAGGCCTGGCTTGGCGGAGAAGCCAATTCCTTATCTTGGCCGCAGGAGTGTGTTCATTGTCCACTCAGGAGCAAGGTGCAGGGAGTGGCCCTCAGGACCGTCCTTGGTCACGGGTGCCTCAGGAATTCGGGAGGTCTGTGTGTCCCGCTGAAGCACCCAGGGTTCACCCCGCCCTCTCCCTGCATGTAGCTCACCCCTCACAGGAACGAGCTGTGTAGGCCAGACGAGCCATCTAGGAATGGCGGTGCTCATGAGGGAAAGCCAGCTCCAGAGCCTGAAGGCCTCTTGAGTATGTGTTGAGTCTCTTCTCTGGGCCACAATTTGCCCATCTGTAGAGCAAGGGAGCTTGGGGGCTTTACGAACTGTAAATCCCTTCCCAGAATGCAGCTGAGGGTCTTTCCAGCCCAGCTGCCCCCGTGCTTGGCATGTGCCAGCCCTTGGCCTCTGTCTCCCAGGCTCACCACAGTCATAGGAGGCAGGTCCCAGCACTACCCCATTTAATAGATGAGGAAACCGAGGAACTGCATGGGCTCAGTGCTTACTCTGGGTCACCCAGCTACCAAGGGGCATAGCCTGGATTAGAACTCAGGCACCTGGCCTCAAAGCCTGCTTCTCAGTGCAGCAAACCCCACAGGTCTCCCTGAAGCTCAGTGACCCATCTGGCCACAAGAGCTGCCTGGTTGATGCTGTGGAAAGGAAATGAGTCCAGAAGCCTGTGGGCCTTGCTGGGATCTTTAGCCTATCTCTTGAACTGTGCATACTTCTTCCAGGGTCTCCAAATGGGTTTCGTTAGATGGCATACCTCAAGATGCACCAGGGCCAGGGGCTTCTGTGACCCAAGACACTGGGGACACTCAACATAGTGTATCTCACTGCCTTTTAAAGTTTCTGAGGCCCTGCATGGTGGCTCACGCCTGTAATCCCAGCACTTTGGGAGGGCGAGGCGGGTGGATCACCTGAGGTCAGGAGTTCAAGACCAGCCTGGCCAACATGGTGAAACCCCATCTCTACTAAAAATACAAAAATTAGCTGGGCGTGGTGGTGGGTGTCTGTAATCCCAGCTACTCGGGAGGTTGAGGCAGGAGGATCGTCTGAACCCAGGAGGCGGAGGTTGCAGTGAACCGAGATTGTGCCATTGCACTCCAGCCTAGGTGACAGAGCGAGATTCTGTCTCAAAAAAAAAAAAAAGAGGTCTGAGAGAGGAAAAACATGGTTGCACTCATTTTAACTTGGTGCTTCTCTGTCCAGTTTGACCTTGGGACTCATATTTTGCATAAGCCCACCAGCATCCCTCAGCAGTTGCTTTGACCAACTTTGGGACCTTCCCAGGTCGCACAGCCACGTGGCTAGGAAGTGGGAAGGAGTTTGGTAAATGTCGCACTGTGCCTACATGCAGTGCTGTTCTCATTCTCCTCTCCCACCCGCAGGTGGAGATGCTAGAACGAAAGTATGGGGGGCGCCTGGTAACCCGCCATGCGGCCCGCACCATCCAGACGGCGTTTCGCCAGTACCAGATGAACAAGAACTTCGAGCGCTTGCGCAGCTCCATGTCAGAGAACCGCATGTCACGCCGGATTGTGCTGTCCAACATGAGGATGCAGTTCTCCTTTGAGGGGCCTGAGAAAGTGCACAGCTCCTACTTCGAGGGGAAGCAGGTCTCAGTGACTAACGACGGCTCCCAGCTGGGAGCCCTGGTGTCCCCTGAGTGTGGTGACCTCAGCGAGCCCACCACCCTCAAGTCTCCGGCCCCCTCCAGTGACTTTGCGGACGCCATCACCGAGCTGGAGGACGCCTTCTCTAGGCAAGTGAAATCACTGGCCGAGTCCATCGACGATGCCCTCAACTGCCGCAGCCTGCACACTGAGGAGGCACCGGCCCTGGATGCGGCGCGGGCCCGGGACACCGAACCCCAGACAGCCCTGCACGGCATGGACCACCGCAAACTGGACGAGATGACGGCCTCGTACAGTGATGTCACCCTGTACATCGATGAGGAGGAGCTGTCGCCCCCTCTGCCCCTCTCGCAGGCAGGGGACCGGCCGTCCAGCACCGAGTCGGACCTGCGGCTACGGGCTGGGGGCGCAGCCCCAGACTACTGGGCCCTGGCCCACAAAGAGGACAAGGCTGACACGGACACGAGCTGCCGGAGCACGCCGTCGCTGGAGCGGCAGGAGCAGCGGCTGCGGGTGGAGCATCTGCCGCTGCTCACCATCGAGCCACCCAGCGACAGCTCTGTGGACCTTAGTGACCGCTCGGAGCGGGGGTCACTCAAGAGGCAGAGTGCTTACGAGCGCAGCCTTGGCGGGCAGCAGGGCAGTCCCAAGCATGGTCCCCACAGCGGCGCCCCCAAGAGCCTCCCCCGGGAGGAGCCTGAGTTGCGGCCCCGGCCCCCCAGGCCCCTGGACAGCCACTTGGCCATCAATGGCTCAGCCAACCGGCAGAGCAAGTCTGAGTCGGACTACTCAGACGGTGACAATGACAGCATCAACAGCACGTCCAACTCCAACGATACCATCAACTGCAGCTCCGAGTCATCGTCCCGTGACAGCCTGCGGGAGCAGACGCTCAGCAAGCAGACCTACCACAAGGAGGCCCGCAACAGCTGGGACTCGCCTGCCTTTAGCAACGATGTCATCCGCAAGAGGCACTACCGCATCGGCCTGAACCTCTTCAACAAGTGAGTACCATGGGTGACCCCTCAGGGTGGGCAGCTGTGGCTTGCTGGGCCTTGGCGGGTGGGCGTGGCTGCATCCTTCCAAGCACGGAGCTTGAGGTCCACCGTGGCCTATGAGCATAGGAAGCTGCCACACAAGGTCGGTGGCTAGGACGGTGCCAGCCTGTGCGCTGAGGCCTAGCCCCTCCTGGGACTGCTGGTGGGGATGGCAACACACACAGGCTGAGCAGGGGCAGAATGGGAGCTTTCTGTGCCGAAGCAACTTGAGTCCCGGGCCCTTCCGTCCCATCCCCCCCAAGTCCGCCATAGCAAGTGGGGTATGTTGGGCCATGCCCTGCGCAACTTTGGATGTCAGGCCTAGGGGTGATGTGGGACACAAAGGCCTTTGAGCAGGGGTATGACCGGTTGTGTCAGTGGGGGGCAGGGGCAGACAGGCGAGACCCAGGGCTGTGTCTTGTGGGGGATGCAGGCCAGACCTGAGGCCATGTCTGGGGGTAGGAGTGCTCAGGGGCAGTTGCTGGCCAGACCCAGAACCGTGTCCTGGATGGAAGGAACTCAGACAGATGCAGGCCAGACCCAGGGCTGTGTCTGGGGGTCTTGGGGAGATGCATGAGTTGGGTTCATGGAGTAGCTGCTCCCCAAGGGGGTCCTGGAAAGGTGCCGTTGACCATCCTGAGAGCAGATCCAAGGAGCGATGGGTATTTAAAGCAGACTATTCTTAGCACAGCCAAAAATAGCAAGAGGAAGGGGAGGAGGGCTGAGCACTTGGCCTGGGGAACGTGCAGGCTCCTGTCCAACCTGAGATTTCTCGTTATTTCCACTCCCTGGGCTACTGGGATTTGGCCTCATCAGATGCTGGCCTGGCACCAACTCCCCTGGGCTGGTGGTTCCTGACACACATCCGGGGAGCCAGGGGCAGACGACAGTTTTCCCAGGAGGTCAAACTAGGGTGATGAATGGCGCAGTGGGACCTGGCCACCTCAAAGCCAGTGCCTGAGCTGGCTCCCTGCTCCGTCTGCCCCCTGTTCTCTCTTCTTCTAGACTGGGGGAGATGGTGCTTTTGAGCCATTCCTGGGACACATGGAAGCACTATCTTGGGATGTCAGAGAGGCCTGTCTCAGGAAGAGCCTCTGGGGAATGGTGCATTCACTTGGGGCCAGTAAGGGGCAATGGCTTACTGGTTTGCTCAGCTAAGAACAAAGAGTCTTGGACATCTCACATCTACCAGGATGCTCTCTCCTGAGCCTGTGATCTGCCTGTGGCTTGCTGCAGAGTACGGCTGCTCTCACTGCTGCACAGGCCACGGCCGGAGCAATGCGCTGGACAGGGGAGGGTTGCATCCTGCTGGCCCACCTGACACGGTCCCTGAAGTCTGTCCCCACTGCTCCTGGGCACAGCCGAGCTCCAGGATCATCTCTCGACCCAGGCCCATGTGCCCTAGAGGGGAGGCTGGGATAACCAGGGGTCCCTGCAGAGTGGACAGGTGGAGGCCAGCAGTGGGGAGACAGGAAACCAGGAAAAACCACCTCCCTCAACCAGCCAGCTTTGGTCTGTGTAGATTCTTTCTTATTCAGTTAACTTTTAATTATCTGTGTAGCACGTGAATACATTCTTCACAGAAAATGCATGCCTTGCAGCTCAGGATAACATCCTCTTGGACTCAGCATGTTGCAGTCTCTCCTTCCAGATTTTTTTCCTGTGCATTTGTGTGCACTTCTAGGAACTCTAGACAGCCATGGTTAAGAACACAGCTTGGGGCTTGCTTGCCTGGCTTTAAATCCTGGCTGTGCCCCATCGTATCTCTATGTCCTTGGGCAGCATAACCCCCCGTCCCACAGTGGCCGCATCTGTGAAATGGCTGATGCCAGGGGCACCCTCCTCCCAGGGCGGTGAGGGTAAAGCGTTGGTCTGTGTGAAGTGCTGAAAGCAGGACGTGGCACAGGATAGGGCCTTACTATGTATTAGCTGCTACTGTTGGATCCTTGCTGACATCACTCAGGGCGCGGGACTGTGACATTGTCTTATGAGGGTATCGCTGGGCTCTACACACAGGCTGTCTTGCTCCTGTGTGCTGCTGAGTGGTAGTCCCCGCCGTGGCTATAGGTTATTTGGCCAGTTGCTTCTAGCTTTTCATAACTAGCACTAGTGTGACAGTGGTTGTGATCCTTACACACACACCTGGCAGGCCTCTAGATCATATGGCTGGAAGTGGAATTGCTGGGTCTTAGCTAGGCACGTTTTTAGTTGAAGGAGGAACTGCCCTTTCCCTTCCCTTTCTTTGGCCCTGCGCCTGTGTACCACCTCCACTTCTCTCCCTGCGGGGTGGTATGTCCCGGCCTTTGCCCGGCCTCCAGCACAGCTCTCAGTTCCCACCCCTTCCTAGCAACGAAGCAGTGAGCGTTCCTGGCACAGGCCTCTGTCTGGGGGGACGCCCCCTTTAAGGGAATCATGTACCAAAGTGGGAGAGCCAGCAGCAAGCGGGGAGGAAGAACAGAAACGAAGCCTGAGAAAGTGGTGTAGGTTGGTGGGGAGGGCATCCCGGGGGCTGCCGAGGTCTACCAGGCCTCCAGATGTTCCTCTGGGCATCTGCCGCTTACTCCCAGCTGGCCCAGCTGACAGCCACACAGCTGATCTGGCTGGCGGTGCTGCGGGAGGGCAGGGGTGCAGGAGCCAGAGGCAGGAGGGTTTCAGTCCTGGATCTGCCACCTATCAGCTGTGGGACCTGGGGCAACTCCCTGAACTCTCTGAGCCTCACTGCCTGCACCCGGAACATGTTTGTGCAGTGGATGGCAGCTGTTGTGGTCAGCAAGGGCTTCTGTGTCCAGAGTGCCAAGGGAAGGGAGCTTCCAGGGCTGGGCTTTAGGAAGACCCAAACAGGCATTGTGATGGGCCAAGCAGTCAGAAATAACGAGAATAGCTAATCCTTCCATGTGCTGACGGTGCGCCAGGCATGGTTCCCAGGGCCTGTCACGCGCTAACGCACGTTACCCTGTGCAGTGGGTGAGCTGAGTCTCACATAGTTGGTAGACGACTAGGGACGTCACACCCTGGCCACTTGGCTCCTGAACACATCCTCTTAAAATCCATGATGTAGGAACTGCTACCACAGGTATCCCTGGGCTCCCTACCTCCTCACTGGGTGACAGATCTGTAAACTGAGTCCAGGAGGCAGAGCCACACCATCTGTGGGACGCCATGCAGCCCTGCAGCACATGGAGCTGGGGCAGGTGCCCAGCAGGGACCTCACTGAGTCTGTCACCTCCGCATTGGAACCCCACCCCAGCGTCTCCTGCTCCTGTACCTGGTACACACCGTCAGGGGTACATGCCTGGCTATGTCCACTTTCTGTCTGTCACATTCCTCCCTGGAATGAGCCCAGGTGACCATGTCACAGGTGAGCCACACCAGACCTCTCCCACCTCTGCAAGAGCATCCTTGGCCCCAGAGCTGCTTCATGATGACACGGGCACCCTCAAAAAGGAGTGAGAAGCTTGTCTCTGAGAAACATGTACGCAGGGCTTGGGTGGCCACCTGGTGTGACAGTGTGGTTGGACTACTTGGCTAAGAGCTTTCCACAGGGGCCTCTGAGGCCCTTCCAGCACAGGGCCCTGTACCTGGAGGCAGCCCCCTTCTGTGGACCTGGCCTCCCCTACACTCGGCGCCCAGCCCCTGGGGCCCAGCAGCCTCGGGTCCCATCCACCTGCTGGAGCTACTGCAGAAGGGAGGCAGGGGATGCTGTCACTGGGATCCTGCAGGGAGCGTGGCTGTTTCACCCTTCCAGCGCCCCCAGGGGGCCATTCCCCTCCACCTGTGGGAACAGGGCTCAGAGAGTACCCCTGATCTGCATGCTCCAGCTCTGTGCTCCTTGTGTTTAACGTGTCTGCTGTCATTGATAAAAATAGCAGTGAGCAGAGCCGGCCTGTGCAGAGCCTGGACCAAGCGCCAGGCCCCATGCCGAACACCTTCCGCCTATTGTCTCACTGATTCGCCACAGCCATCCTGGGAAGCGTAGGTGCAGGCAGCGAGGCTGAGAGCCCAGGCCCAAGCTCAAGGCCACACACCAGAAGTGCTGGGCCCAGAGGATGTGCAGTGCTGCTCCCGTAGCCTGTGGTGCTGATGATGGAAAGGATGGGCTCTCTTAGGAGCACTTTGAGCTGGGTCTTTGGAGGTTGGGACCCCTCTCCCCTAGACACAGGCCACTGTGGCCTGTGGCCCTTGATGCTACCCGCAGCCCAGGATCCCGAGCCCTGGCCTGGGTCTGAGGTGGCTGGTGCTGAGTCTTGGAGAAGAAGACAGTGCCAAGGGAAGCCCTGCAGGGGGTGCTTGCCACACTTCAGAGGGTGATTCTCCTGCCTTCTCTCTGGGATCAATACCAGGGAAGCCACTTGGGTTCACGCTACCAGAAAGTGCGTGTAAAAGTCAGAGCTGGTGGAGCAGGCAGCCTCCGGAGGTGGCGAGCTTGCTGGCCCTGGCAGTGTGGGAAAGGCTGGAAGTGGCACCTCTCTGCAGGACCCTAGGTTGCTGCATTGGAAGGGCATTTTCAGGTGTGCAGGGACTCTCCGAATGCTGAAGTTGGTGAGTCTATCCTCACCCCCACAAGCAGTTAACAGTTACCAGGGCTCAGACCTCTGACCACGGAGATCCTCGGGCACTCCAAACCCTGTGTTGGTCTCTGCGTTAATCATGGCCTTCTCTGTTGCATGTGACAGGAACTCTATCAAACTGGGTTAAGCAAAGAGGCTTTACTGGTTCACGGACCTGAAAAGTCCCGGGTATTTCTTGGCTCCATCTGGCTTAGGGTTGGCCCTGCCCCTTGCCAGATCCTCCCTGACCCAGGGCAGGAGGGCCATCAGAGAACCCCAGGCCTGTAGTCTGACCTCAAGGCAACCCCAGTAGGAGGAAGAGAGATTCTCCTCCCCTCATCGGCTCCTTCTGGCTCTTGTGCCTCTCCCTGAACCACTTGGGCAAGCAGGATGCAGGGCTCTGACTGGCCTGGAGCAGAGAGTAGAATCTGCCCACTAGGTCTTAGGGCCTGAGCTGGAGGGTAGGCTGGGAAACCTGGGGGCTGAAGCTAGGTGCTTGGGCATCCATCCACTTCCACATCTCTTAGGCATCCTGAACAGTTAAAAAGGACTGGAGCCAAGCACAATGGCACATGCCTGTGGTCCCAGCTGCTTGGGAGGCTGAGGCGGGAGGATCACTTGAAACTAGGAGTTTGAGGCCAGTCTAGACAACATAGTGAGACCTGGGTCTTAAAAGAGAGAGAGAGAACCCTTTCCTGGATCCTGCACACCCCTGCTGGGAAAATACCAGGGTAAGCACTCAGTGCTTTGCTCCAGCAGGTAGGTGTTCCCCACGTGCAATCCACAGCCTTGCAGCAGCTCTTCCTCAGAGCCTCACACAGCTCACTCTTCCCACCAGCAGCTCAGCTTGCCGCTGAAAGACGATGAGAGATGCGTGTGCAGGAAGTGACTGGTGCAGTCTGTGCTTACCTGTCACACTTGAATCTGAATCGTCATCTGATGTGAGGAAAAGCTGGCTCAGCCAGCTTTAGAGGAGGCAGCTAAGGCCAGACCTGGGAGCACACAGCAGGGATGGAGCCAGGAGGCTCCGACTACACTGCCTGCTGGGGCATTTTAGGGGGCAGCAGGGCCGGGGGTACAGAGGTGGGTCAGGTATAGATGATGAGAATGTTGCAGGCAGCACCTGTTAATGCTGGGTCCTTACAGGGTGGAATCAAGAAGAGCTAAAGAAAGAGTAACGGGTATACACAAAGGGACTGTGGGAATGGGGTGACTGCAGAGTTGGACGGAGTGGATTTTCAGCAGCAGGAAGGGCATCCGGAGGGTAGAGGGAATTTTTAGGGACTTCTGGGGCAGAAGCGTGGATTATAAGTCCTGGTACCCATCATCTTGCTGGGCAACCTGGAGCCAGTTTTTTGACCCTTCTGTGCCCCCATTTTGTTACCTGTCAAGGCTTTTGCATTGGCTGTTCCCTCCACCAGGGACCTTCTTCCTGGCTCTCTGCCCAGGCTCAATGCCATCTCGTCAGGGTGGGCTTTCCTGCCCGTCCTTCTGCCCCTTCCAGCTGAAGTCGATGCCGTCCCAGCTTTCTGTGGCATCACCCCGGGTGAGTTCTTCTAGCCCAGGCCTCTCCTTCCAGCTGTGAAGCCTGAAATGGTTTCTGAGGCCTGAGGCATGGTACGTTATGAGTACGAACTCATGGATTCTTCACAGTAACCATTGTGTGAACTGCTGTCATCCCCATTATACAGACACACAGAAAGGCTAAGTTCACTCACCCTGGGTCGCCCAGCCAGAAGTGGAGCTGAGACGGAAGTGTGGGCTTCTGACTCTCCCAGCCATGCCCCTGATGCTTGTACTGTAGCATATTTCTGTATTCTTGGACTTTATCTCCGTCTGTATCCCTCTCTAACTAGAAAGCATGTTTTTTGACGATGGGGACCATAACTGTGCTAGCATAGCACCTAGCCAGGGTAGGTGCCCAATAAATGTTTGTGGAATGAATGAAGGAGGTGGGTGTCCATAGGGGACCGCACAGCTTCCCCCTTGAAGTGACACAGACCCCTCAGCTCACAGTTCAGTGGCTGAAGCATGTCCTGCAGCCCTCTCCCCAGGGCAGGCGGGAAAGTAAAGTCCTGCCAGGAGAGGAGGTGGTGGGGGTCCAAGGCCACACCAAAGGCCCACCTTCGACCTGTGTGATGCTTGGCAGACCTTGTGGAACTCTGTGAGGCAGGGCACAGGTGGATGGAGAATTCACCACCCAGCAGGGCCACCAAGGACTGATTGGGGAAGGAAGGGCTTCATTACACGGGCTAGGAGTAGGGGAGGGTAGCAAGGTCCCAATGGCAGGGGATTCCCACCAGTAAATGCCCAGTGCCCTGGCCGTCTGCTGTCAGGGAGGCTGTTGAGGGCCTGTCACTCCTGCAGGGAGCTTTGCGGAGACTCCCAGCCCCACCCTGGAGCCGGCCCTGGCTGTCCAGCTGCAGCTTCTCCCTAGTTCCCCTCAGGTCAGCAGCGAGCTCTTCATCACCGGCCTAGGCCCCCTCACTGAGCATCCTCACTTCTGCGGTATGGCCCTTGAGGCCTGCCGGGTGGAATCCATCGCCCGCACTAGGTTCAGGCTAAAAGCTGACGCCATCCTGGACTCACTGCTCCTTGTCCTTCTTGCTCCTACCTCCACCGCCCCCACCTCGGCCACCCCCACCCAGATCCATCAGCAAATATTGACACCTCTGCCCTCAGACTGTGTCCTCAACCCGGCCCCCTCCCACCTCTGCTGCAGCATGGCCAGGTGCCCACAGGAGCCCCTCACTCAGCTGCCAGCTGGGCCCTGGCCCACGATCTCCCCAGCATGGCATCGCTCTTGTGGACTTAGGACCCCATCACCACCCTCTTGACCTCACACTGGGGCTTCTCAGCCCACTCGGGAGAAAGCCAGACCCCTCTCCATGGCCTGCTGTACAGTGCAGTCTGCCCACCGCCCCACTACCCCCTTCGCCTTCCCCCAGGGTCCCTGTGCTCAACCCTGGAATAGCCTCTCAGGTCTCCCCACCCACCTCAGCACCTTTGTCCTCACTGTCACCTCTTCCCAGAAAATTGCCTGATACCTCAGTCTCTGTCCCTTGCCCCCTGCACAGACTAGGCCTCTCAGCTGCACCCGCAGGGGCCCACGGCCTACTCCCAGCCAGTGTTCACCAAGAGGTGCCTGGCCCAGCAGACACATGGTGCTCACCTAATCCTGAAGAGCCCACGTGCCCGCTTCCCACAGCACCTTCCCCTCTTCCCTCTGTGCTCTGAGCACCTCCAGGGCCGAGGAGCCTTGTCCTGGAAGTCCCTGGATGTGGCACATCCACATCAGAGGGTGGATGGGGGCAAAAAAAGAGCAGCGGCAGAAGGCGGGACCCGGCTGGGCCTGGACCTGGTCACTGCAGCGGTGGCCTGGAGGGACCAGACAGCCTGGGTGGAGTTAGAGCATGCACCTATGTGGGGAAGGGACCAGACAGCCTGGGTGGAGTTAGAGCATGCACCTGTGTGGGGAAGGGACCAGGCAGCAGGGGTCGGGGAGCCTAGCCCGGCTCCCCCACTCACTGCCGTGGAGGCCAGGGAGCATAGGCCCAGGGACGCCAGAAGGTCTGATTTTTCAGAAGCCAGAAATCCAGATTTTTTGTGCACTCTTCCAGTTTTTAAATACTGGCAACGAACTAGAATTCTTTTTGTTAACAGTGTGTGGGCCAAAGAAAACCCAACTGTAGGTGAGCCATGGCGACCCCTCACCTGGAAGCTGAGGGAGGGAGAGAAGGGTGTGGGCTGGTGCTGGCATGGAGCAGGATGGTGAGGACCCAGAATCTGCTCTGGCCTTGGCTGTAGAGGCCTGGGGCATTGGAGCAGTTCTTGTTTGGAGACCCCCGAATCATAGCGAGGCATGTGATCTTGTGAATAGTGAAACCCTGGTCCTTCCATCCTGGGTCCCTGGGACAGGTAGGGACCGGGGCCACTCCATTACCACTTCTGTGCCAGGACCAAGCTGGCTGGTGTCTGCTCCCTGCCACACTCCTGGGGACAAGCTTACGGGTGTGGCCATCCTGGGATAAAAATAGCAGGGTCACCTTGCAGCCAGGAGGCTTCCTTTCACTTGCACATGGAAATGCGGTGTCTGCAGGGCACTGCTGTCAGCCAGGAACTGTGCAGGTTATGGGGCAGGTGGACACCGGTTTCATCTCCATCCCCCCCACCCCGGGGACAGAAGAATGCTGACTTCTACCTGCTGGGGCAAGGGGTCAGGCCCGGCCCCCTAATTAGTGGATGACCTGGCCGATTACACCCTAGCACAGGTTCTAGGTGTGCCATGAGGCAAGGGGGCCCAAGCCACACTGGGCTCCTCATGGACTCTTGAGGAAGCACGTGTCCCTGGAGGGTGTCCCCAACCACTTGACAGCCCTCGGTGACTCTGAGGACTCCGTCCAAGGGGACATGGAGCCAGTCTGGCCTGATGGCTCCATACAGCTCCCTGAGTGGCCTGGCAAACTCCAGAGAGGACACCCATCCTTCAGGGTCACATGTGGCCATCTTCAAAGCCCTCTCACACCAGCCTGTCTCCTTTTTTGTTTTTTTTTTTTTTGACATGGAGTCTTGCTCTGTCGCCCAGGCTGGAGTGTAGTGGTACAATCTCGGCTCACCGTAACCTGCGCCTCCCGAGTTCAAATGATTCTCCTGCCTCAGCCTCCTGAGTAGCTGGGATTATAGGTGTGAGATACCACGCCCAGCCAATTTTGGATTTTTAGTAGAGATGGGGTTTCACCATGTTGTCCAGGCTGGTCTGGAACTCCTGACCTCACGTGATCCACCTGCCTCAGCTTCCTGAAGTACTGGAATTACAGGTGTGGGCCACCACTCCTGGCCCAATCTCTCCCTTTGACCACCAGGACCACCCTGCCAGGTCAGCCAAGCAAGAGACCTACCACAAGATGGGCAGGACGTCTGAGGCCCCAAGGGAGAAGGGGCCTGCCAGGGCTCACACGGCCGGAGTGCCACAGCGGGGCAGGGCCTGCTCCCAGGGCTGGTGTGAGCAGCAAGGTCAGTGCCATGTCCCTGCAGCCTGCCTGGCCCTACAGACACCTGGCCAGGTGCAGACCTGGTGTGCTCTGGCCTGGCGCTAGGCCCCATCAGCCCACGACACACATGCCGTGCCCTATGCACATCCCTGCCCAGGCCTGGTTCTGCACACACCTTGGGCACCAAGAAGCTGGAGCCAGTGGAATGACCCATGCTCTGGGGGTCTGGTCTCCAGTGGACACACTCAGCCCTGCATGGCCAGCCCTGCCACTGGTGCTGTGACCTCCAGCTAGAAATGCTGCCTTCCTGCACCTTCATCACCCTCCCATGAATTAGGACTCGGCATAGAAACCTCTTACGGTGCTTACTGAGTGCGTCGTTGCAGGCATCTGACTACTTCCTCAGTGTTTACAGCAGGGGAAGCCAGGACCCCTGGAAGGTTATATGGCTGTTGGGCTCCCGAGTCTGGGCTCCTGAGCACCGCAGGTAACCAGAGTGCTGACCTCCTGGAGTGGGAATTGAGTGAATTAGTGTGCACAGGGCGCCTCAACAGCGGCGGCACAGAGCGATTTCTCCCCGCCGGTGCTGTGGTTGCTGTTATTACCCGTTGGCAGGCGGGGAGGGTTCCAGTCTGCTCAGAAGTGCAGCCTGGCATGGCGGCTTTCACACTGAGGGGAGCAGGGAGTTGGGCCGGACAGGGAACCCAGTTCTGAATGTGTGTGCGGGAGTTTGGGGCCAGTGCCCGGCAGCCGAGAAGGGGCTGCAGGCAGGGCAGGGGAGTGACGGTCCAGCTCCAGCTCCCACAGAAGCACCCCTGCAGCCAGCCCAGCCCATTCTTTGTACAAGGTCTGGGTGAGTCTAGGTGAAGGTGTTTGTACCAGGTCCCCCATATTTGGGTTTTGGGACAGGGCAGGATGCCTGGAGCCCAGGGTCTTCCAGTGCCAGCCTGGGTTCTTGAGTTCCCACCCAGGCTGGAGATGGAACTAGAGACCCCTGAATGCCTACAGGGATGAAGGCCGGTGCAGGTGGGCAGGGAGGGAGAATGTCGACCGTCCACTGAGCGGAGATCCCCTCCAGGTGCCTGGCTGGTGGCCGGGCAGCTGGGACTGAGTGTGCCTCTCGTCCTACCCCAGGAAGCCTGAGAAGGGAGTCCAGTACCTCATCGAGCGTGGCTTTGTGCCCGACACGCCCGTCGGGGTGGCCCACTTCCTGCTGCAGCGCAAGGGCCTCAGCCGGCAGATGATCGGCGAGTTCCTGGGCAACCGGCAGAAGCAGTTCAACCGTGACGTGCTCGAGTAAGTTCTGCATGGGGGTGGTGGGGGACCTGATTCCACACACGCCCTCACGCACCCTGTGTTACCCGTGGGCACACACAGGGCCAGGCCCACCCTACTTGCTGGGACATGTGGTGGGCCCCCCTTTCTCTCTTCCTAAGTCCTAGACACACACATGCAGATGCCCCACATCTGCCCAGCACGCAGGTGGGCACCTGCCCTCCAATGCACCATCCCACATGCGAACCCCACTGCCTGTCCGCCCACCCTCTGGCATGCACCCTTGGCCCCTCCCTTCCCTCCATCCCTAAGCACGGTTGATCCAACCCAGCACCAAGCATCACAGCCCTCAGTGACCCATGTTCCTGCAGCTTCTCATGGCAGGGCTGGCAGGAGCAGGCAGCTGGACGTCAGGGCCTCTTCCCCTGGCCTGGCTGTTGTCCTCCTGCATGGACTGCATGCCCTGTTTGCTCCTGACTCACCCCTGGGGAGAGTGGTGGGGAGTCAGATCAAGTGACCTGCCTCCCCGTGGGCGGCCCGTGCCACGCTCTGCCCCTGCCTCATTCTCCCGGCTGGGATATTGGGGCTGTGCGTCCTGCCCCCACCTCCTGATTCCACAGCTCTTCTCAGTTCAGAGAGCTGGTGAGCATAGCACTCCCGGCTACTTGAAAGCCTGCAGAAAAATGGGTTCCCAACTCCCTGAGCCAGAAGGGTGGGCCAGGAAGAGCACTCAGAGCAGGGTGAAGTGCTGGCCATCCAGGGGCAGTCCCTTCTAGCCGCCCAGCCCTGCCCATGTGCAGCCGAGGGGACCAACGAGGGCTGGGGAGAAGGTGCCCGGGAGCAGCAGCCCCTGGAGCACGAGGCCTCACGTTCCCTGGGGCTGGCCAGTACGCCTGCCATCTCTGCTGCTTCTCCCTAGGAGGCAGAGGGTGCCGTCGCCCTTTTTGTCTCATGGGTGGGGAAACCAAGGCTCAGAGTGGGAGGGGCTGGCCTGGGCACACATCCCCACACACGCAGACTCACATACACGGCACTCATGTAGTCCCCGTCCCACACCCAGGAGGCTAAGTGTGGCCAGCACATGGCAGGCACCAGCAGAATATCTGTGCCCTTGGTCTGCCAAGCATGCACAGGCTGGGCATCTTTCTCCCTGCTCAGCACCTGGAGAAGCCTGCTGTATCGTTAGGGTGGCTACTGCCCCCTCCCCTCTTTGAAGCAGGCGTGAGGAAAGGTCCAGGGGAAAGCCCATGAGCTCCTTGGTAAATGCCCAGCTCCCACCCCCATCCCCTGCAGCCATTCCTATGCTGCCCCGACTCCCCACTCCAAGCCGGTCCCTGGTCCTTAGGAAATCCGCACATTGTTTTCCTCAGGTCAGAAAATAGCAGTGGCCTCAGGAAGTGGCTGGCTCCCCCGGGCCACCACACCAGGCATCTGCAGGGCCGCTGCTCCTGCTGCTCAGCAAATCCTCTGCCTGCTCCCTGCTTGCCCTCTCCCCACTGCTCCGAAGTCACCTCCAAGGCTGTTGCCCCAGGAGGCCTTGAGCGCTCAGAGGAGGGTGGGAGCAGCTGCATCGCCCCCATGTGGAGATGGCCCTGGGAGAGGGGTCAGGCCCTGTGTGGCCAGGCCTCTCTCTGCCCCATGGGAGTGACCGCAGCATCATTAGGGAGCTTGGCCAGAAGCTGGAGCCTGCCTCAGGGCTCCTGGTGCAGACTCCATCTTCTCTGTTCAGGGGTCACCATAGGAGGGACTGGAAGGGTGTGCCGGGGCAGGGCCATGGGAAGAATGTGGAGACCATTCATCAGCCGCCCCTCCAGGCCCTGCCCCACAGATGAGGGTGCATGGCCCTTTCAAGTCCCTGGAAAAGCATCTGCAAAACCCAGCCCACCACCCCGATACTCTCCCCACAAGAGAACAGGCTTATTCTGAAAGTCAACACCCTGGGCGCCCCTTTCCTCACTGTGAAAATGGCAGCAAACTCCCCAACCCCGTGCAGAAGGAGAGGAGACTCACAGTGGCGTCCACTGTGTGCCTGGTGAGGGCTGTGCTTAAAAATGCTTGTCTCTTGGGAAGGGCTTTGATCCAGATAACCATATGCTCTGCCCCACTGGGAAAACTGCCAGCATAAATATAGGCACACGCGCTTCCCTACAGTTCCAGGGGCTTTGTGGGCTCCCCAGAAGACTGGAGGTCTTTTTGCTGCATTCTGAGGGCTCTTGGCTGATTGGTCGGAGTCAGGCAGGGGCTCTCCCTGCCAGGAGGCGGTCCATTCCCAGGGCTTCAGGCACCACCACCTGGGGGTGGGCTGGGCGTGTCGCACCTGCAAGGGGTGCTTATGCGGGGCTGTCTGTCTCTATTCCAGCTGCGTCGTGGACGAGATGGACTTCTCTACCATGGAGCTGGATGAGGCCCTCAGGAAATTCCAGGCGCACATCCGTGTCCAAGGGGAGGCTCAGAAAGTGGAGCGGCTCATAGAGGCGTTCAGGTGGGGCCCGGGCTGGCTGGGGCTGCTGCATCAGGGAAGAATGGTGTCCCCCAGCTTCAGGGCCCGAGGATGGACCAAAGACTGCATCCCCACCATCCCTAGACAGGGCCAGGTGTCCCTGAATGTTGCTTTGGGGGTGATCGTACTGGCTCCTCCTACGTTCCAGGCACTGTGACGGGCTCCTTTCAGCCATTGTGAGGTGGTGGGGGTGGAGAAGACTGTACCGATTATTTTAATTGTGAAGATGAGGAAACTGAAGTTGAAAGAGGTTATGATTGCGACTGCTAGGATTCTGGCTGTTCACATCAGGATTCTGAATGCTCTTCCTCTAATTCCCCCCAAGCTCTGCATTCATCCACAAGTCCATCTATCTAGTCATTCATTTGCTCATTCACAGTGACTCGGAGCACAAGCCAGACAGCCAGATGCCTGGTTCAGTCACCGACTCTACCACTTACCGGCTCTGTGGCCCTGTGCTGGTTACTTAACTTCTCTGTGCCTCATTTCTTCACCTGTGAAATTGAATAACAGTAGCACATACCCTAGAAAGAGGTGCAAGGATGAAATGACACAGGACATGTGGGCACACTTAGCCCAGTTCCTGACACAACAGTGAGCTCGCGGTCACTACGCAGTCATCCATTCTGGGATCACGTGCAGACTGGCAGTGTAGAAGCCTGCATGTTTGGTGCTGGGTGTGGGCGGCACAGGTCAGCTGCTGACCCAGCCCTCTGGGCTCCACACTGGTGATGGGGCCAGGAGGATCGAGGACACAGAGGGAGGACAACCCCAGGGCCCTGGCGGGAGGCAAGGTGCACCCACCTCCTTCCAGGACGGCTTCCTGGAGGGGAGGGCACTAAGCTGGGCTCCTGAGCCTCAGTCCCGGTACTTTGCCTGGCTCCTCTACTCTGTCCCTGCCTCTTGTCACCTGCCCCTCCACGAGGTCACCAGTGGAGGGGCCCCTGGGGTGGCAGCGGGAGTGGCAAGCGGGCTGACTCCAAGGCAGGGGGGTGTTCTTGCAGCAGTCGGTCCACAGCTGTTGAACCTGAGGCCCCTCAGTAGCCATGGCTGAGACAAGGCAGAGTGCTTCTCCCTCTGAGCTGGTGTGGAGGTGCCCCTGGCTGCTTTCACCTCAAGGTCCCGGAGGGCAGGCCTGACACCCACTGTGATGTCCCCATTGCAGGCAGCGGGGAGAGGGGCCCAGCCTTACAGGCACTCACATCACATGTGTTCACATCCCATGGGCTGAATGTGGTGGTGTGGCTACTCTGAGCTCCCGGGAGCTGGGAAATGTAGTCCTCCCCAGGACGGCCATGTGCCCGGCTAAAATCCAGGTAGGAGGGACTACAGTAGAGTGAGGAGGGCAAGTGAGTAGTCAGGGCCAACTCCGACAGGCAGGTGTGATCCTCGCTCACCAGAAGCAGGAGCTGAGGCTTAGCGGCACATGACAGCCTCAGCGGGTGAGAGAGGGGCCGTGTCACTTGCTGCGCCATGGCCCTGACCCCCTCCCTCCCGGCCCGCAGCCAGCGCTACTGCATCTGCAACCCTGGGGTGGTGCGGCAATTCCGGAACCCAGACACCATTTTCATCCTGGCCTTCGCCATCATCCTGCTGAACACCGACATGTACAGCCCCAATGTCAAGCCCGAGCGGAAAATGAAGCTAGAGGACTTCATCAAGAACCTCCGAGGTGAGCTGTCTCAGGCGGTCGGCCAGCCACAGATTTGCTCCAGCACCTGCCCCAGCCAGGCCCTCCCCAGATGTAAGGGGCGTGAGGCAACCTCCAGTTGGGGAGCTGTGCTCCGGCACTCCAGGGTCTGGCATGGAGGGGCCTTTGGGGAGCACAGATGACTGGAAAGAGCATTGCCTTAGAGGAGCCCCCGTGGGACACAGGCTGCATGACACAGGCCGGGGTCTCGAGGTGTTGGGAAACCTTCCTCACAGAGAAGGTGACACTGTTAGCTTGTCCTTGAAGGATGAAACTGGCCTTTTTCTTTGTGTCTTTACCTAAAAGTATATATTTTAAAAGGGGACTTGATATCGCTACTGTAAATGGAGAATGAGTAGCATTTGCCACATGTAGAAAGTAATTATACATTCTTTCTTTTCTTTGCAAGAAAAGAAAGCAGTGCTGCTGAGTTCTAGCCCAGTGCGGCTTCCGGCTGCTGGCACTGGAGTGCAGACCCGGCTCCCTGCCCTCAGGGAGGTGGGCATGTGCTGGGAGGTGTTGGTGCGGAGTCTACAGGCAGCGAGGCATCCTTGTGTGATCAGAAACAGGAAAGGAACTAAAAGGCCGTGACCTTCTCCCAAGTGGCTCTGTGCCAGCCCAGTGTGTCCCCTGTGTGCCCCAGGGTCCCCGGAAGGAAGGAGGAAGGCACCGCATCCCTCAGTCCCTGTGGGAACCCTGGCTGCAAGAGCTGAGGGTGGGTTGAAAACAGGGGCTGAGGGTTCCTTGGAAAGGTTGTCACTATTTGTAACAGCAAAGAAGAGCCAGTGTGAATACAGCCTGGCTCTAAGAGCGTGTGGAGCTGACAAAGCTGTTCATTCTTAGTTTATTCAACAGCGGTTCTGCCGTCCCTTCTCCTTGAACAGTGTCACTCTCCAGGGAGCAGCTCCAGCTCTACTCCGGGGTCTCCAGGTGCCCTCCCCTTCCCCTGGTGGCGGGTGCCGCTGTGGCAGGAAACCCAGGTAGCAGAGGCCTCAGGGAGATGGCACCTGAGCTAGGCTCCAAGACCTGAGTGGTTCTGCCACCTCCCTTGGGAGGCAGGAAGGGGCGCTGAGCAGGCTGGGGCGTGGCTTAGAGCTCATGGACAGCCATTCCCTGCACCCAGCAGTTACTGTACGTGGCCTCCTGCAAGGTCTGAGGGGCATCGCAGGCCCCAAGTCCATCAAGTCTGTAGTTCCTGGGAACCAAGGCAGCTTGAGAGCTCCCGAGGGCCACCAGTGGACACTTTGATGGTACAACATGTACTCCCAGGCCCAGGTGTCCAAGCAGCAGCCAGGAGGCCGGGCCTCCTCTACATCCACCCGGGGCCTCTCATCCTGAGCCTCCCTTCTCATGGGGCCAAGCCTGTTTCTAGGATTCACAGACCTCCGCATGACCCCTGATGCAGGCTGGCCATCGCCTCCAGGAAAGCCAGCTGTGTGCTGCATGCTATTGGCAGCCCAGGGGGAGTTTGAGGGTCTCTGATTTGTTTTAATTACTTCATGTATTTATTTATATTTAGAGGTCCCTCTGGCAGCCCAGGGACAGTTTGAGGGTCTCTATAATTTGTTTACATTTATTTATTTATTTATTTAGACATGGTCTTCCTCTGTCGCACAGGCTGGAGTGCAGTGGTGCAATCATATCTCACTTCAGCCTTGACCTCCCAGGCTCAAGAGATCCTCCTGCCTCAGCCTGCCAGGTAGCTGAGACCACAGGCGCGAACTGCCATGCCCGGCTAATTTTTAATTTTTATTTTTTCTAGAGGTAGGGTCTCACTATGTTGCCCAGGCTGGTCTTGAACTCCTTGGCCTCAAGTGATCCTCCCACCCTGGCCTCCCAAAGTGCTGGGATTAAAGGCTTGAGCCACCGTGCCTGGCCAGGTTTTTTTTTTCTTACTTTAGAACCTCCTGCACGTCATCTGGGATATGCTGGATGAGACATAGCAGGAGGAACCAGAAATGACTGGCCTAGAGTAGAGAAGGCTTGGCAGGGCAGGGCTGCTGAGTCAGGTGGCGGCCAGTCTGTACCTCAGTGGCAGTGGCTCTGTGGGTCCTGTCCATGGTTGCACCCAGTACTGCCAGTTCTCTGGATGACAGGGTGGCAGGAGCCTCCCCACTTCCCATGGAAGGGGCTGTGCACCCCATTCCCAAGAAGGGAGCTGCAGGTTCTGTCTCCCAAGCCTGGGCTGTCCCCACCAAGTCACCCCTTTTCAGCCCAGAGCTCAGGGACATTCTTTCTCATCTTCCTCATGCTTCAGAATGGGTGATCAGGGCTCAGAGAAGGAAGGGACCTGCCCAGGGTCACATCAACCAAGAAATGGCTGAGGCCAGGCAGGTCCCTGGACTCCTGGAGCCAGCCTGGTGCTCTGTGCCGAGTGCATGGACAGCTTGTCCTTTTTGTAGGGAAATCCTCACCCCCTCCCCAACACACATCCTCTCTGGAGTGGGTCAGCGCAGTTTGTCCAGTGGGTCCCGCAGCGGGAGAGCCCTGGGGGCTGGAGGACTGTGAAGGCGGAGTAGCTCACCACGGAAGCCAGTCCAGGAGTCTTTCCTTGTTATTAAAGTTTGTTCTTAAATTTTTTAATTTATTTTTTGAATGGATATTCACATAGTTTGAAAGCCAGAAAGTAATATGATCCAGCAGTTGTGCTCCTTGATATTTACCCAAAAGAACTGAAAACTTAGGCCCACAGAAAAACCTGCACACGGATACTTATAGCATCTCCATTCAAAACTGTCAAAATGTGGCAACCACCAGACGTCCTTGAGCAGATGAAGGGATAAATAAACTGCGTGCCTCCAGACAGTGGAATAGTGCTCAGCACGAAAGAGAAGTGAGCTATCGACCATGAAGAGATGTGGAGGAAACTTAAGTGTGTAGCACTGAGTGAAAGAGGCCAGTCTGAACAGGCTGCGTGCTATGTGATTCCAACTCTATGACATTCTGGAAAAGGCAAAACTATGGAGACAGGAAAAGGATGAGTGGCTGCCAGGAGCTGGGGAAGGGGAGGATGGGTATGCGGAGCTCAGAGGATTTTTAGGGCGGTGACACTGTTCTGCGTGGTGCTATAATGGTGGATGAGGGTCGTTCTACGTTTGCCCAAACCCACAGAATCACAGCATCTGGAGTGGACCCCAATCTAAAACATGGACCTCGGGTGACGCTGATGTGTCCGTGTAGGCTCATCATTGTGCCAATGGAGCACTCTGGTGAGGATGGCGACAGCGTGGAAGGCTATGAGTGTCGGGGGGCAGGGCATACATGGGAAGTCTGCCTTCTGCTCAATTTTGCTGAGAACCTACACCTGCTCTAAAAATAATGTCTATTTAGGAAAATAAAAATAAAAAATACTGGAAGGTGCCTAGCAGTTTCCTTCCCACCCTGCCCCACCTGCTCAGGGCATAGCCTCTGCCCCTGAAGTTCCTCGATTTTGGCTTCTCCTGGCTGTGCCCCCTAGTTGTGCTCCGCTCATGCAAGTGCACATATGCAGGAATGGTTTTATCCCCTGCTACTTTGCACCTTGCTTTTCCCACTTACTAAATCTAAGAGAAACGGCCCATGTGCTTTACTGTGGCCTTCTTCACTGTTCTTGGCAGGTGCGTAGTAAGTAGTCTGTCGTGCTGATGTGGGATGATTGAGCACTCCCCTGTTAATGGGTACACAGGTTACTTCCAGCCTTTTGCCATTTGGAAACAGTGCTGCGATAACGTTGTATGTGTCTCATTTCCCATGGGATAAGTTCCCCAAATGCAGTCAGTGGACCAGAGGGTGCTAGAACTTGTCATTTGGACAGGCATTGCCAGGTTGCCTACCCCGGGTTGGAGCATCTCCTGTCCTGCCAGCCATCTGTGGGAGGTCCATGTTCCCCAAGCACTGCAGCCTTTTGGACTGCAGTCTGGCGGATGGGTGAGGGTAGAGCTCACTGCAAAACGAGTTTGCATTTCCCATATGTATAAGGCTGTTTCTCTGCTCACAGCGGTTTTCAGAGTGGGGAGGAAGAAAGAAGCAGTGTGTGCTTGTGGTTAGGGCAGCCCCGGGTCAGAGCCCAGCCTCCAGCCTCTGCCCATGTGATGTGGGCCAGCAACAGCAACCACTGCAGCACTCCCACCGCTCAGATGCAGAGCTGGGCACGCCCCAGGCGCCCCTCGTTTCCTCACAACAAGCCTGTGCTGTGGGCAAGGTGTTTTAGAGGAGGACACCAAGCATGGTTGAGGCAGTCACTCGCCCATAGTCACACAGCTAGTAAGGGTGAAAGTAGGACGTGGCCCCAGGTCCATCGGAGCCCAAACAAACCCCAGCCTCCCTATACTCCAGCCTCCCCACACGTCAGCCTCAGTCTTCCCATCTGTGGAATGGAGATGATTATACCCACTTCGAAGGGCTGTGGTTAGCATGGAGCAGGGTAGCATTTATAAAGCCCTCTGAAAATGGCTTAGAGGTGGCTCAGCCCCTGACACCCATCGCCTACTAGACCGGGTCGGATGTATTGGGCCCGTTCTGGTAGGAGGACTGAGGAAATTTGTGTTGACTGAAAATGTCCTGTTGCTGTGGGCCTGCCTGGGAGTTCTTTGGTTCTGTTGGGTCTAGTGGAAGGTTCGCTCCTCTGATTTGCTTTAGAAACTGGTAAATCGAGTGAGCCTGGGGCCCACCCTGATATCCAGCTGCATCCCCTACCCAGGTGTGGACGATGGTGAGGACATTCCCCGTGAGATGCTGATGGGGATCTATGAACGGATCCGTAAGCGAGAGCTAAAGACCAATGAGGACCATGTGTCCCAGGTGCAGAAGGTGGAGAAGCTCATTGTGGGGAAAAAGCCGGTATGTGATGGGCCCTGGTACGTGGTGGGCCCCAGCACCACCCGGGCGGGGCTGCCTGCCAGGCCTTCTCACTCCCACCCACCCCACTCCGTGTGGTCTCTTCCAGCAGGGCTGGTGAATTCTGCCAGGGCTTGGGGTTTTTTCGAGTGTCTCCTGTCATATTTGGGAATAACAGCTATTGGCTCTGCGTTACAATCTGAAGAGAGCTGAGGCTCTTAATGATCTAGCAGGCCAGGGTTGTGCAGTGGCTGAGTTCTGGGCACCCGACACTGGCAGGCTTTCCTGGGTGGTCCAGGAGTCCCCTGGGACCCCTCAGAGAGCTCTGCCAGAGAGAGTGGGTACCCCACATACTGGCTGGGTGGATCCCAAGGGTAGGTGTAGGGAGGGGCACTTGCAGCATTGGCCTGGGCGTGGCTTTGAAACATGAACACCCTTTTGTTGGTTTCACATTCTCCCGCAGATCGGATCCCTGCATCCCGGGCTCGGCTGTGTGAGTATTTCTCTGGTTTTACCTTTGTGGGTAGCCCGCCGCCCTGGGGAGGCCCAGCATCAGCCAGTCCGCCGGCTCCCCAGGCTCCCAGAGCCCAAGTGCTGGCTGCTTGAGTTCATTGCTGGGGTGCTGAGAATCAGATGTTCGTAATTACCCCAGCCTCAGATCTCTGCAGGCCCTGAGGCTGTGCTGTCAGGGGAGACTCCTGCTCCCTCTTGTTGACGCCCTGTTGAGCCCAGCCCCCAGACCCTGCGCCTGAAACAGACCCCGGTGTGTCCTCTGAGGCCCTGCCCTGTCCGCTACCTGGCCCTGCTCTGTGCTCTGTCCCCCACATCCCATGCCCCAGGCTCTCCCAGTGCCTGCCTCCTCACCCCCAGGACCCGTCCTCTGCCATAGCTTTGTGGTGTGCCCACACGCCCCAGGACACATGCACACAGGGTGACTGGGCTGCTCACCATGACCCTCCTTGTGGACTGGCTTTGTCCCTCAGTCCTGAAAGCCGCTCTGCCTGCCCTCACCCTCCCCAGCTTCCCCTGCAAGAGACCAGTCCCCTCCCACCTCCAGCCAGTGCTCCCCGAACCCTCCCATCCTCTCTCCTTCATACCTTTGCAACCTAAGCACCCCAGGCTGGGCCACATTTTCCCCCTCATCTTAACCCCCAGATGTGCCAAACTCAGGCAGCCCTGGCCTAGAGCACCCCTGGTAGAGTCAAGCCTCTGGCCTCAGGACGGTGATCCCGGGGATCCCACCCCTTTGACCGCCTCCCCCATCCTGCATGAACCTGGGCACTCCCAGAGCCAGGCCCTGATGGCTCATCCCTCGCCCTGAGGCATTGGGCCTCAAGGGCAGCTGGAGCTATGACCGTGTTGGGAGCTTTCGTGAGCTGTCAGGGGCATGTTCAGGGTAGCTGTGGGGAGCAGAGGACGGGTCCAGGGCAAGTGCCACAGAGTGTTGGCTGCTGGCTCAGGATTTTGGAGAGTCTTTCAGGCATCAGGACCATAGGAATCTTTTATGGGGAGGCTTGGTTGGGTGGGAAAAGTCCTGGGGCCTGGAATTGGATCCTGGCTCTGCCACTTCCTAGTTTTGTCGTTACTTCTGTGCCTCAGTTTTTCCTCATCTAGAGCAGATTCTCTCTGTAAAGACTTTTGCAGGGCTGAGTGGCCTCATGTTTATGACCGGCACTTGTGGGGACTCAAAATGTGACTCGCTGTCTGGCCAGAGGCTCCCAGGTGAACGTGATAGTTTAAGAAGCCTGGTACCTGCCCAAAAGAATGGAAAGGAGGTCTCAGCAGAAGCTGGGGCACGTCCCTAGTCCTTCAGGAGAGCAGAGATACGGGATTTTAAATAGTGGCTCCTGAGAACAGAGTACGGGAAACTGCCATGAGCCAAAAGACGTATCTGCTCTTCAATGTCTGTGAGGGAAGGCATTTTTTAACTCAAGGCCCACGTGCCGGGTTTCTAGCTTGAAGGGCTAGACTTCTCCACTGCGGCCCCCAGGGCTCCTAGAGGAGAGCTGGGCGGCCGTGGCAGGACAGCCTCTTCCCACACAGGTGCTCTCTCTGCCCCACCGTCGGTTGGTCTGCTACTGCCGGCTCTTTGAGGTTCCAGACCCAAACAAGCCCCAGAAACTCGGACTACACCAGCGAGAAATCTTCCTGTTCAACGACCTCCTGGTGGTATGTGGCTCACCCACAAGGCATTGTAGCAGGGACCTCAAGCCTGAGCCCAGGGTCCATGTCTGGCTGTCTGCGTGGGGAAGATGTGCATGCATGTGGGGGTGCAAAAGGGAGGGTTTGCCTGGTGTCTTTCACACTGATGCACATGAAGACAGACTTCATTGGCTCATGCACAGGTCCAGAGGGAGATCTTTGGCTTTAGTACCAGCTGTTTCCAGAGCCTCTGCCAACGTCAGCAGCACTCCTGTGTGCTGTCTGCACCTGTACCTTGTGTGACGCTTCCTCGGGCAGGCCCCTTCCTCAGACAGGCTCTGTCCAGGAAGGGGAAGGTGGCCCCAGCAGCTCCAGACCTGATCCTGTCTGCTGAGCAACTGTAGAATCCTCTTCCTAGACTGAGCAGAGGTTGCAGAGTTAGCGCTTGTCGCTGCACATCCCTCCCTAAGCCTCTCCAGGCCAGGCAGGTGCAGTGCTTTCTGATTGGCTAGGCCTAGGTCCCAAGCCCCACCTCCTGGAGCCCTGAGCTGGTCCCTGCAAGACCTATGGACTGAAGGAAACAAGGGCTGGAGGTTTCCCCAAAAGGAAACTGGGGAGCTCTTGCCAGAAAAAAAGGTGGCATGGATGCTAGCCAGACGGGGGCAGAAGTGCCCACTGCAGAGAGAAGGGAGAGCTTGTCCTTTGGATTTCTGTACCCCTGCATGCCACGGGCTTTCTTGCCAAAGATGCCCATGTTCTTTTTTTTTTTTTTTTTTTTTTTTTTGAGACGGAGTCTCGCTCTGTCGCCCAGGCGGGACTGCGGACTGCAGTGGCGCAATCTCGGCTCACTGCAAGCTCCGCTTCCCGGGTTCACGCCATTCTCCTGCCTCAGCCTCCCGAGTAGCTGGGACTACAGGCCCATGTTCTTGATTGGGTATGAGGACTGGCTAACCCTCTCTGACCACTGATGTTGAAATCAGACGTGTAAGTTCAAATCCTTTATGAAGAACTCCTGACCTTGAGCGAATCCCTTCACATCTCTGAGCCTCAGTTTCCTCCTCTGTAAGATGAATCTCTCAGAAGGTGGCAGGGGTCCAGTGAGGTCCTGGACGTAAGACCTTACATGGTGCCTGGCATGCCCTGGAGACCGGGGAGATGTGAGCTCCCCTCTCCCCTCCCAGCCCAGCCTTTGGCTGCCACACTGGAAAGTTCCTTTCCTACTGTAGACCAGAATAGCAGCCAAGGACCGTGGCGGGCCAGCTGGGATTCAGGGATCACGTCGCTAGCCCAGGGGCCAGTCTCCCTGCAGGCCATCACCAGGCATAGCTTCACACTCTGGTTGTTCCCGAGAAAGGAAGCCATGGCTTCTTACCAAGGTCAGCGCTAGTGAGCACCACCTGTCCATTCCTGCCCCTCAAGGTGCCAAGCCCCGGGTGTGTACACCTCACCTGGCTGTGAGAAGGCACTTGAGGGGGCTCCGTGCTGTGAAGTGCCTACCGCCTCTATGTCAGGTTGTGGGGCTTTGTTGCCAGCCAAGATGGCATCGGGGTTGCGGGGACAGGAACCGTTGTCCGAGTCTTGGAGTGGAAGCCCATGCCCTCCACTCACGTGGGCTTGTCCCTGTCCTCCTGACTTTGAACTCCAGGAGGATCCTCTGACCAGAGGTCCCACATAGTCAGTGCCCCCCGAGACACTGTAGCTCAGCTCTGTCTCTGGCTGCCTCTAGGTCACCAAGATCTTCCAGAAGAAGAAGAACTCGGTGACGTACAGCTTCCGACAGTCCTTCTCCTTGTACGGCATGCAGGTCCTGCTCTTCGAGAACCAGTGTAAGTCTGCCCCCAGGGCCTGCCTGGAAGAGCGCATGTCCCAGCTTACGCTCTTTCTCCTGGCTGCTTCGAGGACAGAACCGCGGGGGGCTTCGACGCTCACCCCTGTTTTATCCCCAGAGAGCAGATTGCAGCTAGGAGCTCCGGTGAGCTGTAGGCACAGACCCTCAAGAGGCCCATCAGTCAGCTGAGCCTCATGTAATAACACTGGACAGACACTCAGTTTGCTTTTACTGGTACTTCGTTTCTTGCAGGTGATAAGATTTTTAAATTTATGGCAGAAATACATTTATGTAAATGTTGATAGAAAAACATTAAGTCATAGGTGATATGCAAACATGGCCCAGAACACAGGTGACAGCAACCCATGAGTGTCCGCGGAAGTGAAGAACTGAGCCCCTCAGCCTGGGTCAGATCCCAGCTCTGGCTCAACTGCTGTGTGGCCTGGCTCTGCAACCCCTCTGGCCTCTGTTGCCTGGGTTGTAAGGTAGTGCCTGCCACAGGGCCCCCATCATAGCTGCCGGAACACAGTGCTTTGCAAGGGTTAATTTTGATGCCCTGCTGGAAGGCCCTGGGTGAGGCCTGGGGACCTGGGAGTTTGGGAGGCTCACACCTGCAGCACCCCACTGGCTTCCATTTTACCTTGCTCCTTTCACTCTCCACGGCTTCTCTTCCCCCTCCTTTGTCCCTTCCCTGTTGGAGGCTGAGCCAGTCCTCCTGGGCTGGGGAGCAGGGGGCCACCTGGAGTGTCCTAGGGAAAGAAGCTGAGTGTCCGTGCTTGAGCAGTAGGGGTCCCTTATCCTCTCAGAACTAGGTGTCACTGTCTGTCTAATCAGCCTTCCATCTGCGGATTAGAACAGTGTCAGGGACCTGCAGCTGGACCATCCAAAACCACAGGCCTTGCGCCTGGATCTGGGGCTCTCTGTCCCCTTCAGTCTTCAGTGGGACCAGGGACAGCCCGGTAGGAGACCCTGCACTCCCTGTATGCCCTGCTCCCCACGTGCCCAACAAGGGGCATGGCATGCCTGCCCTGGCCGCCTCCCCACCTCCTGCCATTCCTGTCCCATCGCAGGCTGCAAGTCATGCCTTGCCTTGGTCCCAGGGGAGGCCAGTGCCATCCCCACATTGTCCTGACCAGCAGTAGCCTGCTCTCTGAGATGGTGGCATTGACCCCTGCTGCCCAGGGCTAGGGTGGGAACTTAGTGAGATCCTGGCAGCAAAGCTCCCAGCAGGGGGCCAGGACCACTGTGGACCATCAGGGCAGAGGCTGCACCTGGATCATGTCTATGGTCCCAGGGCTTGGCCTTAGATCGTGGGTGCCGGGTGCTGGCAAGAGCCAAGCCTGCAGCTTCTATAGGACATGCCGTCATTCCAGGGGTCTCAAACTGACAGCCTGGGAGGCAGGCCCAGCTCAGTTATCTTTTATATGGTTTGCATATTTTTAAAAAGTTTGCTGAGCCAGTCTCTACATCAAAATGTAGATATTTTGGGCCTCTCTGAAAATCAGAAGGTTTGGTGTCACTAGGCACATGTTCCCACGTGGCAGTAATGGGCTGCATATACATACATGTGCACACATATGCACACAGGAGCACTCTGCAGCTGCCCACAGGCCCACCTGGTCTGAGCCAAGGTGGGATTGGTACTTGGTCCAAGAACCTTCAAACATCCAGTGGCTGATGCTCTGCCAGTGACTCCCACTGCCGGAGCAGCACCGCCAGGAGACCAAAGCCCCAGGGACCCTGAGAGCCCGGAGGTGGCACCAGGCAGGTCTGGGCACAGGGTTCCTTGGCTGTGGAGTGCCCATAGTGCACCCCATGGGAGCTGTGGGCCACAGGCCATTCGGGAGAATATGGCGCTCACTGCTGTCCAGAACTGAGATGACTAGAGAAGACTCCCACCTTTCTCAGGACGCAACCTCTGTCCTCCTCCAGGACGCGGCCCCAGCAGCCTCCCCTGAGCTCGACCACTTTTGTCCCTGAGTCACATGTGGAGCGACACAGACCATCTTTCCCAAGTCGGGAGATGAGGTTGCTCTGCACCCCTGCAGCCTGCCACTGCGGAGGCTGGACTCCCGGCACTTATCCCAGGCTCACGCACAACTCAGCCCTACCATTGTTTCCTGACCAGAGAGGAGATTGCAGAGAACACACTGAGACCCGTGGGCCTCCTCCCCTCTCCTTCCCTTTTGCAGACTACCCCAATGGCATCCGGCTCACCTCGTCTGTCCCCGGAGCAGATATCAAAGTGTTAATAAACTTCAACGCCCCCAACCCTCAAGACCGGAAGAAATTCACCGATGACCTGCGGGAGTCCATTGCGGAAGTCCAAGAGATGGAGAAGCACAGGATAGAGTGTGAGTACCAGGCCTCATGGACAGAAGGCCGAGACTTGCCAGACTCTGGCACTTGCCTCCCCATGTCAGGGCAGTGACTTCTGAGCTCACAGAGACAAGATGTCCCCCAGTCTTTTCTGGCCTTCCCTATGGCCACATGATGGGGCAGTCTGTGTTCCCAGGCTGCAGGAGGCACAGAGGGAGTCCAATCCAGGACCCGCCCTACCTGTTGCCTGTTGTATGTCCATCAAAAGACCCTGGCTCTCTGGTCATCCCGTGCGCAAGAGCCCGCAGAGTTCCCAGCTGGCCTCTCTGCACCTCGTCATCTTCTGCATCAGGCTCAACCGACTGATGGGTCACACAGCCAAGGCCATCCCTGGCTCCAGGTCTACTCCCTGGCTCCAGGTCTACTCCTTGGAGGCACATGGGACTCCCTACCACTGCCCTCTCTGTGGAAGACCCTGGCTAATCTTTGCTCATCTCTCAGACCCAGGCAAGTCTGTGCCTCCCTGTCCACTCCCGAGCCTGGAAGGTGACTATCCTTCCTGCAGGTCACAAGGCCCTCTGGTCTCTCTAGCCTCCCTCCTGGGATCTCCTTTCTGCTCTTTTGTCCAGGGTGGCCATCACACCCTCTTTCCCAGAAACAACCCTTCCCCATTCCAAGCAGATGGTGGCTCAGGACAGTGCTAGCTCCAAGCAGAAGGCCCCGTCTCCTGCCCACTCTAGGCTGTGCTCCTCTCACCAGGACCCTCACCCTCTCTGTTCCAGCGGAGCTCGAGAAGCAGAAAGGCGTCGTGCGGCCCAGCATGTCCCAGTGCTCTAGCCTCAAAAAGGAGTCGGGCAACGGAACACTGAGCCGGGCCTGCCTGGACGACAGCTATGCCAGCGGTGAGGGCCTCAAGCGCAGCGCCCTCAGCAGCTCCCTGCGGGACCTCTCGGAAGCCGGTAAGAGCTTGGCCTAGAACCACCTTGCTAGCCCAGCGCATGCAAGACCGAGGCAGGGCGTCTGCATTCAGGGCATGCATCACGCGGGGCAGGGCCTGCGGCGAAGCCAGTGCGGCATTTCCCCTGACCTTCCGCAAAGCAGAGCAGCGTGTGACATACAGAAAGGGCGCCCCAAAAAGACACAGGGAAACAGGACCCAAACGTCAAAAAGAAAGGCATTGCACACGAATTAGCTGGGGAAGTCACCCCCATTTTCCCTTTCTTCTTCCAGGGGTTTTATTTACTTGTTTATTGATCTGGGAAGTCGCTCTAGCCCGAGTGAGCCGGCGGCTGTGTCCCGTGCTCTCTGTGCGGCCGCGTCCCTGTGCTTCATGCTGATGAATGAACTTGCGCGGAACCCTCTAATCTGTCTGGCGCCCCCTTGCCCACTGTCCCCGGTCTTGCTTTCCCTGCGGGGCCTCCTCTCCTGGGAAACCCGGGCCTCGTCCAGCCCAGAGGCCATTGAGCAGCAGCCAGGGCTGGCTCCGGGGTCCGGGAAAGCCCTGGTGGGAACTGTGATGTTGTGGTTGTTTCTTTGTTTCTGTGTGTGTTTAATTTGCTGCCAGCTGTTTAACCCCCAAGCAAGCAGCACCCCTGAAACTGCCTACATTCCTGGGAGTGGGGCACCGGGAGCAGCAAGGCTCAGGGGCTTTTGCCAGCAGCTGTGGCCCAGGCTCTCCCTTGTGGGGCAGGAGAGAAAAGAGGCACTGGCCGACCGGTGGGTGCCGGCTCGTGCCGCTGCAGGCTGTGTTGCTGCTCAAGGAGTGTACGGGAGGGTATCGTAGCCGCCCTCCGCCGAACAGTCTGTCCACCAGTCAGCGAGCTTCTCCCAGGAGGGGCCCCGGGGACTGCCTGGGGCTGCAGTGGCCCAGCTTGTCCCACGCAGGTCTGCCCCAGGAGCCTGGTGTGCCTGTTTTGGGAAGACCCCCCCATTCCTGGGGTTGCCTGCCCCACCTGCCCCACCTTAGGACTCCCTCCCGCACCTGCCCGTCAGCAGCCTTGCCTCCCCTCAGCTTAGTCCCTCTCAGGCCCTTTGGAGTCTGCCCTTTAAGTTGGATTTTTTCCTTTGTTTTCGTTTTGTCATTATTATTATTATTTGCCATGGTAAAAAAATCAGAAATTCATTGCCAGTTGCCAGCATGAGGGTTGAACCCAGGGCTTCTCAACCTCGGCTTGATTGACATTTTGGGCCAAGTGACTCCTTGCTGGGGGACCGTCCCGGGCTTGGCAAGATGTTTACTCGCATTCCTGGCCTCTACTACTGGTTGCCAGTAATATCTTCCCTGTCATGACAGTCACTGATGTCTCCAGAAATTGCCAGGTATCCCCTGGGGGACAGAATCATCCCTGGTTGAGAACCACTGGTTTCCCCAGTGGCCTTGTGAAACACAGCTAAATGTCACTGGACTGCTTTGGGCCTCTGCAGGCTGTGGGCTAGAGCCTCCGTTTGAGTTTGTGCAGTGTGACAGGCCCTGCCCTCTCCCTTCCCTTAGCCCCTCTCAGGCAGCAGCAGTTCTGCCAGAACCGAGGCCCTTGAGCGCCATCCGCCCCAGGGCCCAGCAGTCAGGACCTCAGCTGTCCACCCTCTGCCAGAGCTTGGGGGTTGGACAGCCACGTGCCGGCCCCAGGTTCGTGTGAGGGGTGGGCCCACGGCCAGCTGCTTTCATGTAGTGTGACGATTGCTGTTGTCATTTGGGAATTCTGAGCTCAGACGGACAATAGGGACTGAGACCCCACCCTGGGCCTGCCATTGAAACAAAAGGAGGAACAGATCTCAGGGACCCCCCTGTACCCCGAAAGGTTTGGGGGTGAAGCGAGGTGGGGTTTGAGTCCAGGCAGCTGCCGAGGCCCCAGGCTGGGGAGAGGCCACCTGTGATCTCCCATCGGGACAGGCAGGTGCTGGCAGCCTTCCTGGGGAGGGGCAGGGCTGGCAGCAGGAAAGGTCAGATGTGCTCTGGACCAGATGGGGGCTGCAAGCTCCCCAGCGGCAGCATGGCCCCACCTCACTCACCACGGCCCTCACAGCACTGAGCCTGAAACACCACGATGAGCTTGTGGAAGAGGTGAGCCTGCGGACAGTGTCCCCTCCATGTTTGACACGTCACTGCTCCTGGGGCAGGAGACCCTGAGAGCAGCTGTCCCAGGTCTGCACTCGACATCCATCCAAAGGAGGACATACCACAGACATGAAGCCAGGGGACTGATGAAGTGGCCGTAGATGGTGCCTGAAGGAACCCATCCTCAGGAGACTGCAGAAGCCTCTGTTGTGCCAAGAGTTAGAGGGAAGGGGGCTGGCGCCGGCCCCACTGCAGTGCATTGCCTGGCGTCTCAGCCCTGGTCTCCCTTGGGCTAAGACTCCCCACCCGGTGCTCATTCCAGCGGCACAAGAGTCCTGCTGACCCAAGACCAAGGACCCAGCAAGGACTGTGGAAACAGGGTTCAGCCAAGTGGTGATGGACACTGACCAGTGGCCCCCAGCGGCCCTCCTGCCCCTCCCTGGCCAAGCTGCCCAGCTCTGAGTCCTTACGGAGAGGACCTGCCTGCAGCAGTCTCCATGTCCCGTTACAGGGGAGCAGTGACAGGCACCAGTGGTGGGTGGACAGAGAAGCGCCCCTGCCACGTGTGAAGCAGGCCAGGGCCCAGAGAGGGTGGTGCTTCCTCTTGCCCTGGCCACATCCCTCCCCACCATGTCAGGCCCAGCAGAGAACATGGTGCAGCACGCAGATGCCAGAATCAGACAGCCTGAGCTCATCCCCCACCTCCGCCTGCCCTCTCTAGCGGTCAGACCCTGTGGGCCCGTTTCCCCAGCTGCAGCGAAGGAGTCGATGCATGGAAAGCCTTTCAGGCATGCCTGGCTCAGGCAGCGCCGGCCGAGTGTGCATAGCTATCATTTCTGTTATGGTCACTGACACTGAGCAAGGCCACCAGCCCAACCACAGCATTGTTGAGGGTCACAGGACGAGGATCCTGGGTGGGCAGGAGAGCACTGCCACGTTACGCCCTGCCCTGACTCTGAGGAAGCTGAAAAGGTTGTGAAGAATCATCCTGGGAGCCCTTCAAGAAAAATGGTTCCAAGTCCCTCCAGGCTCTGCCCAGGGCTGGCTTGGCCTGATCAGCACGTGTGTGGTGTGAGCCACTATTCTGGCCTGCCTGACTTCATCAGCCGGTGAACCAGGGCAGGTGTGGGAGGCTGCGTACGCATGGGATATCTGCACGGCTGGCTGTGGGCAGTTATGGTTGTGGGTGTACCTGTGAGCACAGGGCTCTAGGACTCAGCACAGAGGGAGCCCTGGGGTCACCCTGCATCTCTTGCTGACCTGAGACATTGAGAAAGTAGATTGTAAGACACTCAGCGTCACTCCAAAACAGCCAAGTAAGGAACTCCTAAGTGTTCACCCAAGTTGGGCAGGGTAAGGAGGGCCATGTTCAACTCCAGGTGGGGACACTATGTGGACCCCCAACCCCAGCCTTCAGGGCTGGCCCAGGTCCTGTCAGAAGCTATAGGCCAGCCAGAAGGAGTTGCCGGTTACAGACGGGGAGGCCATCTCCCCTCTGGCCCTGGTTTTTAGTCAGCCAGAGGAGTCCCAGGCGTTAGGGGTAGGCTAGAGAGCTGATTTGAAAACCTAGAGACATTGGCGCTCTGTCCCTCCACATTTCCACATGGCGCCACAATGTCCTGAGTGTCTGATGGCCGTGGCCACCCAAGAGGGGGGTGGAGGAGGGAGGCCATGTCCTGGGAGGCTGGACTCTACTTTGCTCCATGTCCCTGGACCACTGTGTTGGGCAGGAAGGGAAGAAAGGTCAGCCCTTCTTCCCACACTGGCTGAAAAATAAGGAAATGTGAGCCTCCTCTTACTTCCGGCTGAGAATTAGGGCCAAGGTTCTACTTGGCTGTCCTAGTCTTCAGCAACTGGTGTTGAGCCCTCTTGCCCTGATGTGCCGTGTGGCCCTTTCCCAGTAGTGGTCTCTGAGGGCCACGTCACACAAGCCAGAGCCACCCAAAGCCCTTTGCTGACCCCAACTCCCACCTGGACCTCTGGTTTGGGGTCAGCAGACAAGGCAGAGGAACTGGACTCCCCTGAGTCTGTGCTGTGATGCCCAGGCCGAAGCCATGCCAAGGCACAGCCCAGCACATTCAGATGGCACGGGGAGGCTCGAAGCCCACAGCACTTCCTCCACCTGTCACTGGCTGGTGGCCTTGGGCTAGCTGGGAGGTGCAGTAGCTTTCCCAGAGGCTGGGGACGGGGCACAGTGGGGAGGCCCAGCAGTTGCTTCCTTCTTCCAGGCTCCTGGGCCCAACCCGGCCTAGGGTCCAGCTCTGAAGGCAGCATGGCCAAGTTATCCAGCCTTAGAGGCGGTCGGGTGAGCAGGTCTGGGTGTGAACCCTGCTGCCTGTGAGAATTGGGCCTCAGTGTTCCTCTCTCTGATATGGACACAGTGGCGCCTATAGGGTTGACATGTCCAGCGCAGCGCTCAATACATGGTGATGCTGCCCAGATGGAAGCTTCTAGAGTGTCAAGTGGGGAGGACTGTTTCTCTCTCCCTCTTCCCATCCCCACTCCCAGAGAGCTGGGCCCGTCATGCTCCAGGCTTGGTGTTCCTCAAAAAATCCACGGAGAAGTCCTCAGGAGGGACTGTGGAGGCTGGGCGGGGCCAGGCCGGGCCTGGGCCCTACGCACCCAGAGCCAAGAGGAAGACCTGGCCTTGCTCTGACGGACCCCGCATGCCGAGTGCCTACTGTGTGCTCTGCGCTGGGGCGTGACGAAGATGCTGGCAGAGACCTCCTGGCTTAGGGAAGGCTTTGTGGCCCCTTTGGGGGGTGGTACCAAGCAGAGGAATCCCAAGCTGGAAGGCGGTTTCCGGCAGTCCCCAACCCTGTCTCCTGCCCCTGGCCAGGGCACTGCACAAACCAAAACTGAGCTCCTGCGGGCAGCTGGGAGGAAGCGGGGATGTGAAGTTGTTTCCTCTTCACCCTCAGTGCTCGTCCTGCCAAGGAGGTGGGGGCATATATGTGTGTGTGCGGATATACACATATATATGGCAATCACTGAAGGTAGGCATGCAGTACCTGCCATGCTGTTTGCAGCTATGTGGAAGCTGCCCTCACCCCTCCCCATTCACCCGAGTCAGGGGTGAACACACAAGTTGGGGGCGTCAGGCCCACCTGTACACATGCCTCAGCCCCAGGGTCCCTCTCAACAGACTCCTGGTCCAGGAGGAGTACAAAATTGGGGCTGGTTTAAAAAAGAATTTTTTTTTTGCTTTTCGAAAACTTTATTTTTAAAATTCATTCTTGCACTGCTGCTGGCTTCCCCACTGAGCCCCTCCTCCGACCCCTCACACCTGGCTCCTGCGGGCAGGTGGGCCCGGCACCTGTGCCTGCTCCCAGCAGGGGTGCAGGCTCCGTGGCAGCAGCGTGGCACCAGGCAGGCAGCACCCCCAGCCTCATGTCCGCGTCTAACTTCTGGTATTGCATGTTCTGGGCAGGGAAGCGAGGGCGTCGCAGCAGTGCGGGATCGCTAGAGAGCAATGTGGAAGTAAGTAGGAAGCGCCTCTGTCCAGCTGGCTGTCCTGTGTCGCCTTCCCCAGTCCTCAGTTCATATCTGTTGTCCTGGTTTTTTTTTTTTTTTTTTTTTTTTGGTTTTTTTTTTGTTGTTTTTTTTTTTGGCTTTTCCTTCCCCTACTGCACAGAGATGCAGACACCCACTCCCTGCCCCTGCCTGCCTGGAACCCTGTGCATGTCAGCTTCTCCTCTGTGCCTAGAAATATCCATGCCTCTCACCGCTTGTTTTGGACTCAACAGTGGGGGTGGTTCTGGATTTTGTGTTTTGGTTTCTGCTTAACCCCATCACCTGTGGTCCCTGAGCATGGTTGACCATCCCCAGCTTCCGGCACCCCCGCCCGGGCCACCCGGCTCCCACTCACCCTCCACACTTGCTGTTGGATGTTTTTGCTGAACCCTTGACTTCCACGCCCGCCCATCCTCATCGCTTTCTTCTTGGAGTTTGATTGCTGTGTGTCTGCGGCAGGACACCATGGAATTGCTTAGCTTGTGGGAGGAGGAGTGTCTTGAGAGAAAGAGATTCAGTGTGGATTTCATGATATTTCACTCATCCTCCGGCCATCTCTGTATTACTGTTCACATCTCTACCTCAGCTTGCAGATCTTTTTCTGTTACCTTCTTTTTCCTTGTTTGGTTTGTAGTAGGCAGCTGTAGTGAAATGCCTAGGCAGCCCATTCTCCCAGAGGACAAGGTTTCTGAGCCCCACCTGTCCCTGTCACCACCTCCCCCGAGACCTCAGGACCCACATGGGCGGAGCACATGCCCTCAGCCCAGTTGAGCAGTCCCAGGAGAGCTGAGGGCCCTGTTTTCAGCAGGAGCAGGGCTCCTCCTCCAGGCACATCAGCCCCTCTGCACTCGCCACACACAGCGCACAGACACCCCAACCTAGGGGTTCCAATTTGAAATCTCAGGCTGCTGCCAGGGCCAAAGTGCTTGTCAGAATGAGACCAGAAGTCCTACTTCTGCCGTGGTGGTCAGAGAGATGGGCCCCTCCCCTGCCCTCACTCCCCACTTTGGTCAAGGCCAGTAACCCCCAGCTGCCCTGCACTGTAGTGAGAGGAGGCGGGGCCCAGTCCAGCCTCACTGAGCCCCACCCTCTGGCCAGTGAGTTGAACTAAAGCTTAGCAGTCAGTGGGTGAATTTTTACATTTGAAAAAAAAAAATCATTCTGACCTAAGTGCTTGAAGATCTTTTAATTTTGATTTCTATGAATTTCCTTTTTAGGGGTCCATCATTAGCAGTCCTCACATGCGCCGGAGAGCTACATCAACACGAGAGTGTCCATCTCGCCCACACCAGACTATGCCCAACTCATCTTCCCTCCTGGGCTCCTTATTCGGGAGCAAGAGAGGGAAGCCCCCTCCCCAGGCCCACCTGCCCTCAGCCCCAGCCCTGCCACCCCCCCACCCACCGGTGGTCCTGCCTCACTTGCAGCACTCTGTGGCTGGCCACCACCTGGGGCCCCCAGAGGGGCTGCCGCAGGCCGCCATGCACGGGCATCACACCCAGTACTGCCACATGCAGAACCCTCCCCCGTACCACCATCACCACCACCACCACCCACCCCAGCACATCCAGCACGCACACCAGTACCACCACGGCCCCCATGGGGGCCACCCAGCCTACGGGGCCCATGCCCACGGCCACCCGCCGCTGCCCTCGGCCCACGTGGGGCACACAGTGCACCACCATGGGCAGCCCCCTGCCCCGCCGCCCCCCACCAGCAGCAAGGCCAAACCCAGCGGCATCAGCACAATTGTGTAGACAGCCTGGGTAGGGGTCCCAGGCTCCCTGAAACACCTGCACACCACACAGGGCACGCCCGGGGGTCGCCAGCCGCACACCAAACCCGGGGCACTTCTGTTGCCATCTCTCCCCTCTGCCCCTCACGGCCCAACCGGAGCCCCAGGAGCCCACAGGGCTGGTGTTGTGTGGAACAAAGGCCCAGATTTCATTTCTTGTTGGCACCCTGGGCTCTGCTCACCTCAGTCTGAGGGATGGGTGGGCCTCAGACACCATCAGCCTTGAAACGGTGAGCCAGCCAAGTAGTGTTGAACTGCCTCCCCCACTCCAGCTCTCAGCTCCCTGTGCCCTAATGTACATGCATATGAAAACCCAACCTAGAAAACGAAGAAATGAGATACAAAAACAGACAAAACAAACCCCAAAACTTGCTGCATTATTGCTCTTTTATTGACAATGGGCAAAAAAATAAGTAGACCTGATATGGTTGATGAAAATACGTAAGTAAACTTTATATAAATATATAAATATATAAATATATATATATATATACTGTATAGGTAGTACTTGTGTGTGAAAGGCAGGCGTTTCAGTCCACATTAGCAATACCCACCTTACAAGGAGCTCCACTTACCTAATAGGAAGACAGTACCTTAGCTGGGTGTGTGAGACAATAGACCAAACCCTAAATGCTAGGAACAAATTCAGATACTTCATATTTTCATACAAAGAAGTCCCTCTAGGACTGGCTAAAATCTTTACACAATCATTACTAACTGTGCCAAGTAACATAGCATCTAACTGTTTAAAAAGTCCAGTATTGCTTTGTATAAATCCTTATTTTATTAACAGAATACTATCATAAATAGTATTATAATGCTGTTATTTCAGGTAAGCAAATAGCTAAACTGCAGTACACTCTACAGTAGCAACTCAGGACAGCTGGTTACAAGCTGGTTGTCTTAGGACATTGGTTACACGGATTCTTAGACACTTTAATGGCTGCGATAACTGTGACTCTCCATGATCCATGTTTCTTTTATGCGCATATGATTTGACGCACACTCATTCAGAGTCCTCCGAGAGGGGCACCCATACACGGCAGAAGTGTTCATCTCCAACATGAAAGTGACCAGCTCTCATCCTCGTCTCCCCAACACCATAACGTCCTCATCCCGCCTCCAACCCACACCAGGCCGAAGCCCTCAGAGAGTGTTTTCATCAGGAACCACTCTCGAACCTGAAGGTTGACTTTAGCGTTTAGCAACCCAGGGCGGTGTGTGTGTTTCCCGTTTTGTTTTCTGAGTGGTAGCAGTGATCACCGTAATTCCATGTAGCCATGTGCTAGCAGAACCCCTGTGTCCTCACCGTGGCCCGTGTGACCCCAGCCGACGAGTGCCCGGCGGAGCCCCCGCTGCCTTCCCATGGTCCAGTGAGCTGCCAGGGCATCACATGACTCTCAGCTGTGCTCTTGTCGCTTCTGTGTTGTGGTGACACCATGCGCTCCCCAGGGCCAGACCTGCACGCGGCAGGTCTGTGCCCGAGTCACCCACGGGCCATACTTTGTAGTTTCAGCCTTTCGAGCCACTGCAGCCGTCAGTGCTGTGCTCCTAAGCCATGGGACCCGAGGACTGCCCCCCGGCGCCTGCCCAGGCGGAGGCCCTTTCAGAAAGGGCGAAGCTCACGCCTGACTCTGCGGGCCGCGGGGCCGCGTTCCCAGTGGACAGCGTGGTGAGCCGTGGCCGGACGGCAGGAGGAGAGGGGAGCCCCCTCTGGCTGTGTGTCACCTTGGCTGGCTGGCTGGCCAGGGTTTTGCCGATTTCCCTCCTCACATCCCTCCCACCCTCGGTCATATCATTGAGATCACCGTACCAGCAAATCTGCAAACCAAGCACTTTGTTAATCTCCAGAGAGAGCAAATACAGCAATCTAGAGTTTAGCCTTTTTAAAAATGTGACTTTAACCCGCCCACCTGTGTCCTCCCATTGGCGTGGCATTTCTTTGGTGTCTGCTCAGAAAGAAACAGCATGGGACCGTGTGATTGGGTCCAGGCTGGGCTGTCAGGGAAGCGCCCTGGTGTCTCCGACTCATCAATTCTCGGGTCTTTTTTAAAAGCCAGGCTCCCCAAAGCACTCTGTCTCGCAATTTTGAGGAGGCTGTTCCGACCTGGAAGCGTTAAACTGCTGCATGTCATCTGGCGTCAGCTGTGAGGCTGCGCTCTGCGTGTTGTGCGTTTGCAAAATGTATTGGCGTGACTGTAAACACATCGTTGAAGTAAAGCGATTACATATTGAGTATGTCAGCTTTTCTCACCCTCTTCTGTGCTGGGAGGAGAGTCTAACTGTAACCTTTAGGTTGTTCCAGAAAAGATTCAGGCCGTTTGGCACAGAATTGCTCTTTCTGAAGGGTAGCAGTAATGAATAGGAACAGACAGAAAACCCCAGGAGGGGCTTTCAGGAAACTCTCCCTCTCCATCGCCATCCTGCAAGCTCCACAGCCTCGGGCTGCCAGCCTGTGGCACTGTCCTCGGTGTGTCCTGGAGCTGTGCTGGGCAGCAGGGCCTCGCGTAAGGAACTGCTGGAACCCACTGAGCCCTTCCCGGGGTTTCCCGCCGCACTCAGTGTGTTCCTTCAGGCTAGTGAGGTTTCATTCTGTTTTATTTGCAAGCTTATCAAAAGTTTGTGGAAGATACATTGTTGGGTTCCAGAGGCTGGAGTCATGCTGCCCACATCTTGTTTGGGAAAGCAAAAGCTCCCAGTGAGCTGGTGTCCCCGTGTGTCTTTCATGGGACTGTCCCCTTTAGAGATCCCACCTGTCAGAGCCACAGCTTCGGGGTCCTGTCATCACATCCCCTGGGAGGGGAGGCAGGAGGAGGCCGAGGGCCCCAGGATGTCTGCCTGGTCCCTTCTCACTGTGAGGACGCCCTTGGCACACCTTTCTCAAGTCACACAAATTACTGCAGTTACATACAGAATTGCTGACAGGAGCAGGAGACGCTGAGGGAAACAGCTGGCAATGTGACAAAAGTCTTTTCTGGGACAACAATCAAATCATGTATTTGTATTTTTTTAAGTTTACCAATGAATTGTACAACAATGTAAAAATAAAGTTCATCCTAATATGCTGTGCACATCTTGCTTAAAAATGTCTTCAGCACCCAGTGCAGTGATCTTTCCCTCACACACTGCATGCAGCAGGAGCCTCTTGTTTTTCTTAATGAGCTGAAAAGACAGCAGATGTTCACAGCTGATGCTGGGTGTTGACTCAGCGCCACGGGAAGCTCTGTGCCCGCAGGTAAGCACGCACAGTCTTACAGTTCTCCTTGTAAAATATCATCACCCTTCCTGCCTGAGAAACGAGTACATTTGTATTTTATGTAACAACAATAGTCAAGGCAGCATTGCAACACTGAGCAGGGTGAGGTGGGGGTGCTGAGCACAGGACAAGAGGGAGGAGGCCTGCCCTCCATTCAGATGCATCTGCATCGCCCTTCTGTGTGCAGTCACATCGAGACTGCACACAGCATGCATCTCCTCTTGGAAAATATCTTTTGCCTCCGAGTTGTTTTAAGCAATTAGAATCAGGTCCTGAATCCCCAGACTGTTCAGAGACTTCAAGGGACACCTCCCTCACAAGAAGCCTGGCACCCCCACTGTGTACCTTTGAGAGGAAAGGAGTGCGTTTGTTTTCATCTGCATTCTGTTTGTCAGTGGCAACAGACTCTATCAATGTAAAACCATGGTTGTGATCATGTGGGGAAATCAAATAAATCCTTTGAAACTCTCGGATTCTCACTTTTTCTGAAAAGTCCAGAAGTTGCCCTGTTGGCCAGACCCAGATCTCCAGCTGATGAGTTTCCCCATTACTTGTTGTGACTCTGGGCACTCACTTTCCTTGAAGACATTGGACTGACTGAGGACACTGATACAAAATTTAAAATAAAGGGACACATCACAACCAATAGAAGGTTTCAAAGGTATTTATAATTTCTAGCAACTTTCAACAAGTGATGGTCCTTTCATGGAGTTAGAGGGGATGAATTCTATTAAGCGTTGAGGTACACTGATTATGACTTAGGGAAAAAAATACCCAGTGGCCCAGTCCCCAGTAAAGATGGATGATGACAGGAGTTCAGAGCAGCCTGCGTTTCCATGTTGGCTCATATCATGTACAAAAGCCAAGATGGTAAAGTCATTCTCCTGGAAGGAAGGGGCCTGTGAGGATGTAATTGGCTTCTGCGATTTCTCCTTTCCTGGCCAAACATAATTCCTGAGAACACCACTTTAAACTTTCAGTGCATGGGATAAAAGGAACTGGCAGATCTAACTAGTGGAAAACCAAACAAAAAAAAGTTAATTTTGGTGACCAAAATGAACTCTGGCCCTCCCTCCGTACAGCACATTCTGATTGAAAGATGTTCTCACAGGGGCCCCCTCTTCCAGTCTCATTCATAGCCACTACTGGCTCATCTAGACTGAAACCAGGAAACCAGCCATTTCAGTGCACACACACAAGTGCCTTGCACAATGCCTGTTTCTGCAACTGGGCGTCCATCCCTTTTACAGACTATTCAGGGGCCCTTCAAGAGAAGCTGGGTACAAAAATTCCCTGAAATACCCGGTTCTGCCTCAGGGTTTGATTTTTACTACGCAGATCTACAGCCCAGGAGCTGCTGGAGGTAGGTGAGCTAGGCCAGGGCTCCGAGGCGGTGATCTTCTGGGGATTGTGTTTGTCTCCCCCTGCCCTGAGATTGTGAGCTGCATGATCCGCCTGTGTGTGTCCAGTGACAGCCCCAGGACTGGGCTTGTCGGCATGCATCTATCTGAAAATTAATGGATGGCTGGAAGAGGCAGGGGTTCAGGTCACACCACCAGCAGCAGCTGGTGTTTGAGAATACCGATCACTGACATAATTAAAAAACGTATGGAAACCGGTTTGCTCATCCCCCCCACTTCCCTTAACACTTAAGTCTGGCTGGGAGACACCTGACTCAGACCTTGAGATCATGGTTCTTCCTCCTCCCTGGCTGCATGTGACTTCTGTGCCACCGAATCCCAGGAACATGTTTAGCTTCCCTGACCCCTCGGCAGCTGTGACTGTTCGTGCCTGCCTCCTTGAAATGCTGGTTCCCGGGCACCTCTGGGCCATGTGCCCTTTCTGCTCTCTGGAGACTCCTTCAGTCTCCTGTGCAGGCCAGTCCTCCTCCACGGAGCTCGTGTGTGGCTTAGGTCAAGTCCAAGCCCTCTTCCTCCCTTTCCCCTCTCCTGAGGCACCCTCACACAAGCCCACGGTTTCAGTCCACCTTCTCCATGCCCCTGGCTTCCACATGTCATCTCCAGCCCAGACCTCTACTCTGGGCACCCATGTCCCCTTGGTGTTTCTGACAGCCCAGCCCTGCAAGCCCTCCATGACCATGTTCTTCACCGTATAGCCCCATGCAGCGGAAACCCGGTCCTCTCCTCTGTTCCCTGTCCTGGTGAATGACATCACCATTGACCTATTTAAACCAGGACCTGGGGTTGCTCGTGACTTTCTCCCTGGTGTCCTGTCCGTCTTTCCCCGAACTCTTGATTTGTGCCTCCTGCTTCTTCTGGAATCCATCTGAGTCTCTTCACGTCTCACCCCACTGCAGGCCCTCATGTCTCTCTCCTCGACTAGAGCTCCCTGCCTTGGCACTGGCCTTCCTGGGGGGACCCCTGTCTATTCCCCACACGGGTCTTGCTCTGTTGGCAAAGCTGGAGTGTGGTGGGGCAATCACGGCTCACTGCAGCCCTGACCACCTGTGATCCTCCCCCCTCAGCCTCCTGAGTAGCTGTGACTACAGAGGCGTACCACCATACCTGACTATAGTGTTTTTTGTTGTAGAGACGGGGTCTATGTTGCCCAGGCTGATCTCGAACTCCTGGGCTCAAGCGATCCTCCCACCTTGGCCTCCCAGAGTGCTGACTTTACAGCCGTGAGCCACTACACCCAGCTGCCTAGACATGGAGTCATTTTTTTAAGGTGCTCCTGCTTAAAGCCCTATCGGTGATTTCCTGTTGCCCTTAGGAGGAAAGAAATCCCATCCTTCACATGGCCCCTGCCTGCCCCTCAACAGTCACATTCCCCTCACATTCCAGCCGTACCAGCCTTGATTGTTTTGTTACTGTTCATGCATGTCCTTTGACAGTAAAGGTCAAAAAGTCAAGACAGTGTCTGTCTTTGTACATACTGTAATCTCAACATGGAGCACAAAGTGGATTTCCTAAGTGAATGCTTTGGGAGCACAGCAGGAAATGTGCTACAACGCATGACACCATGTGGCGGCAACATGAGATCAGGGCCCAGAACATGAGGTGGGGACCGTGCTGGCAAGGCTCTGGGGCCCGCTGGCATGCCTTGTTAAGTAAAAATTGGGGCAGTGGTCAGAGGCTTTTAGACATTGTGTTTTAACTTATGTCGAGTGTCTTTTAACATGTAGTAAATGTAGTGAGAATAGATTGATGAAAAACAGGAAAAAAAAGTCCCCATAAGCTCACTACCTCAAATCACGTATAATTGAGTATGTGGCCAACTGTTCTTCCACCGTCCCTCCATACATATTTCTCAGTCACCTAGTTTACATCTCTGAAGTGCTTCCCAAACGGTACTGTCAGTGTTGCTTGGTGCCCCACGTGGAAAGTGTCATCGGTCACACACCTCTAGGGAACGATGCATTGCACGCAGTTCAATGCGTTTCTTTCTGCTGGACCTTTTAGAGCCTTTGGAAAAGATGGTGTGCATATATGAATAAATCTCTGAACAACAGCCTGTGCACTCTACAGAATACAGTTTAGTAACAGTGTGTGTGTGTGTAAATGCTATTCTTTTTCCCTTAATCCACTGTGATGAGGCAGTGGAAGACTCGACAATTTATAACGTCTGCATAACATTCCACCTTACGGATGTCCCATAACGTGTTGCCATGCAGACAGTGTTGTGTTGGCAAACAAGGAACAAACGGAAAGAAATAATCGAGTTTCTGGCAGAGTTGGTGATTCTGGCGAGGACTGGAGCCTGGAGAGGGGGACACCATGGTTCGACCACAATGCTGAGTCCCTGGGATGACCATGGACCCCGTTTTGGTGCTGCTGGAGGCCAGGTATCCCCTGAGATGCCTCTTAGCTCAGTGCATTCAGTTCAGTGCCCACTTTTCAAGAGACCCCATCTCACCGCTCAGCCCAGAGCAGGCCTGTGATAAAGACCTGGCGGCTGCTGCTTGTAGGCATGGGGTGAAGATCACCCACCCTCATTTCTAACGTGGAGCTTCAGGACTTTCAAGGCCCTCAGGGAAAGCTTTTCTTGTCTATTATTCCTAACCACACCCCACCCCCACCTCCACAGTAAAGTGTTCCAATTAAATCTGATACGTAGGACCTGAAGCACTTTGTCATTTTCTATGTAGTTAATAGGGAAGAACACATTCTAAAATGAAAATACCAGAGGATAATACCTGAATTGGAATCTCTTCTCACACCCTCTGAGAACTTTTCAAAGAACAAGGAGGGGCCACATGCTGTGACTCACCCCTGTAATCCCAGCCTGAGCAACATAGTGAGACCTCCATCTCTACAATATCAAAACATTAACCAGGCATGGTGGTGCCTGCCTGTGTTCCCAGCTACTCTGGAGGCTGAGGTAGGAGGATTGCTTTAACCAGTGAGGTCAAGGCTACATGAGCCATGATCACCCCACTGCACTCCAGCCTGGGCCACAGCGCAAGACCAAGTCTCCAAAGCAAAGAAACAGTCACCTATAGCTGTCAGACCTACACTGTGTTTGGGAAAGAGCAAGAACCACAAAATTCACTTAAAGGTCAGTGGGAAAATCAACATCTTAGAGCAGCAGAGTTGATGTAGAATCACTTGCCGGTGAGATGCAGGGGCAGGGGGGTACACAGCGGGAGAGGGTGGGGAGTCCCTGTGGAGGTTGTGCGTGGGGTGCAGGGGTTGGGGGGGTGCACAGTGGGAGAGGGTGGAGAGTCTCTGTGGAGGTTGTGGGTGGGGTACAGGGGGGTACACAGTGGGAGAGGGTGGGGGTCCCTGTGGAGGTTGTGGGTGGGGTGAAGGGGTGGGGGGGTGCACAATGGGAGAGGGTGGAGGGTCCCTGTGGAGGTTGTCAGGGGGGTACAGGGGTGGGGGTTGCACAGCAGGAGAGGGTGGGGAGTCCCTGTGGAGGTTGTGGGGGGGTGCAGGGGCAGGGGAGGATGCACAGTGGGAGGGGATTGAGGGGGTCCTCATGGAGGTTCTGGGTAGGGTGCAAGGGCAGGGGGCTGCACAGATGGACGGGGTGGGGAGTCCCCATGGAGGTCCTGGGTGGGATGCAGGGGCAGGGGGGCATGTGTAGCTGGAGGAGGTGAGGGTCCCCTTGGAGGTCCTGGGTGGGGTGGGGGGGGTGCACAGCTGGAGGGGATAGAAGGTCCCTGTGGAGGTCCTGGGGGGGGTGCAGGGGTGGGGGGTACACAGCGGAAAGGAATGAGGGGGTCCCCGTGGAGGTCCTGGGTGGGTGCCAGGGGCAGCCAGTGGGGGATGCACAGCCGGAGGAAATGGGTGGTCCCTGTGGAGGCGCGATGCACAGAGCAGGAGGAGGGAGCCGCCCTGAGAGGAGAAAGGCAGCCTGCTAAGCAAGAGCTACAGGAAGCACTTGGACAGGCCATCGGGCCAGAAGCACCTCGCAAGGGTGTCCGGGAGCTTTGGTGATGAAGGGCAAGAAAGAAGCAGCTAAGAGGGGGGCCTCATCACAGAGATGCTGTCAAAGATTCACCAAGCCCACCTAAAAGTATCTTTTATTACGGGAACTGCAATTCACCTTAGCAGCGCAAGAGGGCATGATTGCACTACCAAACCCAGAAAAGCACCCACGCATTCAAAAAACTGGAAGAGAAGGAAGAGAAAGGGAAAGGCAGTCAGCCGATCCGCTGCTGCACTGTTAGCAGGTGAGAGTCGGGTGATTTTATTGCAGCTGACAGTGCTCAATGATAGCACAAGGCCAGTTAGGAAAAGCGGGCACCGTGGGCATTAGCAGAAGTCACTATTACCAAGGCAGCCCTTGTGATGGCTCATTTTAGCAGTCAGCTTGACTAGGCTAAGGGATGTCCAGGGAGCAGGGAGAACGTGATTTCTCGTGTTTCTGTGGGGGGGTTCTGGAAGAGATGAGCACTTGACCCAGTGGACTGACTGAGGGCCACCCGCGCCAGTGTGAGCAAGCCTGCTTCAATCTGCTGAGGCCCAGATACAACCAACAGGAGGAAGGAGGGGAAATTTGTTCTATGCTTGACCTGGGACATCCACCTTCTCCTGCCCTTGCGTATGAGAACTCCAGGTTCTTGGGCCTCTGGACCCCATGTCTTAAACCAGAAGCCCCCAGGTTCTCAGGCCTGTGGCCTGGGACTGAGAGGGACACCACCAGCTGTTCTGGTTCTTAGGCCTTTGGACTCGAACTGAATTGCACCATGGGCTTTCCGGTTTTCCAGCTTGCCACTGGCATATCCTGGGGCTTCCTGGCCTCCTGAAGGGCATGAACCAATCAATTCCCACAATAAATCCCCTCATGAGTGTGTGAGTGTGTGTGTTTGTCCTATTTGTTCAGTTTTCTCTGGAGAACACTGACTAATACAGCTCCAGAACAAAAATAAAGCCTTCCTAAATACAGAAAAAAAAAAATAACCAAGCCAAAAAGGGAGAGTGGAACAGACCAGTCTTCAGAATGAAAGCCACACGAGGACGCCATACTCCACATAGTGAATTCACAACGGCAAACAACCTTCCAGAACAAACCAAAGACACCAGCTACATCAAAATGCAAGTATACCTAGCTCCCCTGCTAAGAGAAAGGTCTTTGAAGACCTTGTATCCATAAGCTACCGCCACCCTAGTTCTCTGGCAACCCCAAAGTGTGCAGGAAACAAGCACTGATTTCTCAGCCCCCATCTGCAGATGCACGGGGTTCCCCTGGTCTAGAACTGGGTCAGTCTGAGCCATAGGGGGTCTAGGACTGCTCCACATATCCCTCATTCTCCTGACCCCACCGGTCGAGGCCTGTCCTGGTCATGGCAATAGGCTGGAGTGCAGGAGCATGAGCCTGGCCCCAAGCACATAGCACACCTTTGCTCACGCCAGGTGCACCACAATCCCATTGACCACTTTGCTCCATGCCCAGCCCAGCGTCAGAGGGTGGAGAAGTGTTCCCTGCCATAAAGTGAGTCATAGCTAGGGTATAGACTACAAATACATTCCATCTACCCCAGACCACAAAGCAAAACCCACCAACTCTCTGCCAATACTCTAGAGGGACACCTAAGACAAAAATTCAGAAAGGCTAAAGGCTACCCATAAAGACGTGCATGGAGGGGTACAAGCTATGAAGCCAAATTAGACGAGGAAGCAAGTTACAGTCTTGATGTGTGACAGGGTAGAAATCAGCCTTAAAAACAATGCATGAGAAAGTGACTTGATAATGCTAGAAGCTGCAATTCCCAATGTAGACATGACAGGAGTATCTATGCACCACATAAAACAGCAGTCTTCAAAAAACGGAAACTGCAGGATAGGTAGGAATAAAAAAACACATTCATAAAGGTTAACATTGCCACTCTGAATCCAAGACAGGTTAAGAGGCCAAAATGAAATTATCTAGAAGCCTTCAGTTTCTCATGGATATGATACCAAGCATTGCGCTTCAATAACAGAGAAAACACCTTTCCAACCTCCCTTGAAACGTTTATGGAAACTTGCCACATATTAAGACACAAAGGAAACTTCAGTAATTCCACAAAGCAGAGAGAATCTAAACATATTCTCTAATCACAGTACAGTAAAACTAGAAATTAAAGACTCAAAAATTCCCTACTGGAAATGTTACTAACTCTATTAAATTACTCTTGGGTCAGAGGACAAATACAAACCACAACCATAGAATTTGTTCAAAATGGTAACACCTTGTATCAGAATCCATGATGCAATTAAAGCAATGAGGCAAAGAAAATTACATCCAAAATGAAAAAGAAACATCAAATGCAAAATTAGGAAAAGATTAAAGTAAACAAAGGAGAAACAGTTGCAAAATAACAAGCAAGGCTGGGTGTGGCAGCTAATGCCTGTAATCTCAGCACTTTGAGAGGCTGAGGCAGGCACACTGCTTTGAGACCAGGAGTTCGAGACCAGCTTGGCCAACATGGTGAAACCCCATCTCTGCTAAAACTACAAAAATTAGCCGGGCATGGTGGCTCACACCTGTGATCCCAGCTACTTGGGAAGCTGAGGCAGGAGAATCGATTGAACCTGGGAGGTGGAGGTTGCAGTGAGCTGAGATAGCACCACTGCACTTCAGCCTGGGAGACAGAGTGAGACTCCTCCTCAAAAAAAAAAAAAAAAAAAAAAAAAATCAGAACAAAGAAATAGTAAAGCTTATGAACAAAAAGCTGGTCTTGGAAAAGAAAAAAGAAAGTAGACAAACCTCTAGCTAACCAAATCAAGGTGACAAGAAAACGAAACACCAAAAATGAGAAACCAACACAGGACTGAATATTGAAGTGGAAAAAATGTTTAGAGTGATGATACTTTGAACGACTTTATGCAAATAAATTTGAAATGAATAATTAGCCAAAAGTGACTCAGGAGAAAAAGAAATCTTAAACAAATTCCCATGAGAGAAATAGAAAATGTAATTAACGGCTTAACTAGCCCATTTTGTTTCACAGGGAATTCTTCTGACCTTCACAACCAGATAATCTCACTGTTACAACTGTTTCTGATCACAGCAAAGGAAGGAAAACTTCCCAATGCTTTTTCTTGTCTTTTCTTTTTTGAGACGGAGATTCACTCGTCACCCAGGCTGGAGTGCAATGGTGCCATCTCAGCTCACCGCAACCTCCACCTCCCCAGTTCAAGTGATCCTCCTGCCTCAGCCTCCCCAGTAGCTGGGATTACAGGCATGCACCACCATACCCAGCTAATTTTGTATTTTTAGTAGACACAGGTTTTCTCCATGTTGGTAGGGCTGATCTCAAACTGGCGACCTCAGGTGATCTGCCCACCTCGGCCTCCCAAAGTGCTGGGATTACAAAGGTGAGCCACTGCACCTGCCTCCCAATGCTTTTTATGCAGTGATTTTGGCACTGTTTTCTAGACCTGATAAAAGTTACATAAATACAAAGCTGCATGTCACCAATAGAAAATTGTGAATCACATATCACACATATCAAACATCTAGTAGCATATTCCATATAAACTAATATACCTCATGACCAAATAGCATTTTACATCAGTAATGCAAGAACTGTTCAATATTAGGAAATCCATCATCTTAACTAAGATAAGAAAAACCAAGTGATCATTTCCCTGGCTGACAAAAGGGCTTCAACAAAATCCAGAACGAATTCCTGGTATATAAAACACTTAAATAAGTGGATACTTTTTTGGGAATGATAGAGTATACCTGAGTTCAAAAGCCAGAATTTAATTGAATGGAGAAACAGTGAATGCATTCTGTGCAAATCAGGGAAAAGACATGGTAAGCATCTTCACTTCTCTGTGACACTGTGTTGAAGGGTTCAGCCAATGCAATCAGATGCAGTTAGAGGCATCTGAATCAGAAAGGAAGAGGTGAATTTTTTTTTCTTTTTTTTTTTTTTTGAGACAAGAGTCTTGCCCTCTCACCCAGGCTGGAGTTCAGTGGTGCAGTCACAGCTCACGGCAGCTTCAACCTCCTGGGCTCAAGTGTTTCTCCCGCCTCATTCAGCCCAGTAGCTGGGACTACAGGTGTGCACCACCACCCCCGGCTAATTTTTATTTTTAGTAGAGATGAGGTCTCGCTATGTTGCCCAGGCTGGTCTCAAACTCCTAAGCTCAAGCGATCCTCCCACCTCAGCCTCCCAAAGTGCTAGGATTACAGGAATAAGCTACTGTGCCCCACCAAAGAGGCAAATTATTTCTATTTGCAGATGATACAACAGCATTTCTGGAAATCCCAAGAAATCAATGAAAAAGTTAAGGCACAATGAGGAAACTCAGCAAGATGACTGAAAAGCAAATTAATGTATATGAATCAATAGACATTAATAAGTTTAAAAGAATAATAAAAGGAAAAAAGAATGCATGTACAAGATAAAATTTTTACAAAAGATATATAGGAGCTGGGCATGGCGACACACCATAATCCTAGCACTTTGGGAGGCTGAGGCAGGAGCATCACTTGAGTCTAGGAATTTGGGGCCAGCCTGGGCAACATAGGGAGACCTCATCTCTCCTAAAAATAAAAAACATTAGCTGGACATGGTGGCTCACGGCTGTAGTCCCAACTACCTGGGGGGCTGAGGCAAGAGAATAGCTCGAGGCCAGGAGGTTAAGACTGCAGTGAACCATGATTGCACCACTGCACTCCAGCCTGGGTGACAGAGAGACCATGTCTCAAAAAAAGGAAAAAGATAACTAGGAATAACTTCAAAAAATAATGACAAGTGAGGAAAAGATTAAAACACTGAGAAATATACCGAGTTTTAAGATAACACAATTTAACATACAGATGTCAATACTTCTCAGTTTTTTTAAAAAAATGGAGCTAGTCAAGATTATTTTCAATTCCAGTTTTGACAAGGCAAGACTCTCCAGGAAAATCAGTCTTTTTTGTTTGTTTTTAGAGTTAGTGGTACATCCAGACATCACTGCAGCACACTAGAAAGCTTCTGTCATTAAACCTGCAGTATTGGTATGTGCGGATTCAGACGAGCTGAACAGAATGGAAAGTCCAGAAACAGACTCCATAAAATGGAAACTTAGGATACAGTGAAGATGGCGTGACAAATCACTGGAGAAACGGCAGACCCCTAAATAAAAGGGGTGTCAGTTACCTTTTGCTACAAAGCCAAACACCGCAAAACTTCCTAGCTTAGAGCCACGGTAACAATGGTTTCTCATCACACTCAGGGTTGTTTGGGCCGCTCCTCTGGTCCCGAGGCTCGCTCTCACTGGAGGAGTGGAAGCAGCCCTTGGAATGGCGGAGACCGTGTCAGATGCCCCAGATGGCAGTTGCTGCAGCCAGCAGGCTGGGGCTGGCAGGCATGGGAATGTGAGACAGGACTGGCAAGCAGGACGTCCCTCGGGTGCTGGCAGACAGGGCATTGCATGTGGGAAGTCACCCCCATGGAACCCTGCTTGCCCACGGCAGCTGCAGATGGGAAGAGAGCGCTGCCCAGTGCAACCAGGAGGGATGCCCCTTCTTCCCGTAGCACCCCCAGTGTCACCTCTGCTAACTGGCAGAGGAGAACATTGACAAAGTCCAATGCCATGATCACAGAGCAAGGCGGTGAACAGTGGCTTTGGAGCTGAGAGACAAAAAGGCTCTAACCCAGCTACCATATGACACTCAGCTTCCACATGCACCTTCCACGCACATGTGAAATTCAGAACAAGCAAGCAGCCTTGTGTTTCCACCTCCCAAGATACAGCCACACTTCAGATCACGAAGGGGTTTTCTCACCCCTTGCCCACAATGAGGCACAGTCCCTCAGTCACTGTGTATGGGGTGGTGGGGGGGCGGGGCTCTGAGTGACTCCTCAGATTCCATCACAGCGCTGCTGAATATTCTGTTCCCTGAAGACTAAATTGTAACGTTACCTATCGACACCTGTATAGAAAGTGAAAAATGGAAAGAAGGAAATAGCACAAACCAACTAACACGTGTGTAACCGGGAAAGTGAAAGTGAGTAAAGCTACTGCAGCCCTCCCTTTGCTAATGGAAGGCACAGCTGTGGGTAATGTCTGTGGCTTCCTTCTTCCCAAACCCATTCCATTGTCCCCTGCCCTCATACAGACCTAAGCCGGTCAAGTTTCTTTAAAATTGGTTTTATAGAGAAACCGTCACCCAGGCTGAAGTGCAGTGGCAAAATCATGGCTCACTGTAACCTTGAACTCCTGGGCTCAAGTGATCTGCCCACCTTGGCCTCCTGAAGTGCCGGGATTACGGGCATGAATCCACTGCACCTGGCCTCAAGTTTCTCCTATGTGGGGTGTGACTGAAACCATCATTCCTAAGGACTCTGATTCTTCAACTGTCCTTTTTTGGCTGCTAGAATTTCCCACGAGCCATTACCATTGGGTATGGATATACCAGAGAAGCCCCTGGGTTCTTGTCCCCATTGCGTAGCAAAGCCTTGGTGACTGGGATCACTCTCTCCAGCTAGTAGAGAAACCCTTTTGCCTCCCATTGCTTCAGTGGCCTGGGGAGCCCCACATGGCCAGGGGAAAGTCTCATCTTCCAATGCACTGGAACCATGCCAGATTTCCTCTGGGGAAGCATTCCCTCGTAGAAACTAAGACCTCCAAACAAGCAGAACTCAAAGTTTCTGGGGCAGGAAGCAAACATTCCGTGCAAGGGTTACTAGGTAAGAGCATGAGAGGAGCCCCTGCCACCTGCACCCCCAGCTGCAGACCCCTGCTGGGGAGGAGACAGCACCACGTGGTGGTCTCTGGCTCACAGCATGCACCGCTCCCTGTAAGGCAGAGCCCTGGCCTTCTAAGGCCATGTCCCCAGGTGGCTGTGTGCTGTGGCTGCAGTGACCCATTCCACCTCTACATTAAGCTGCTGCTGTCTGGTGACGGTGGATGGATAGGAAGACAAGTTACAGTTTGAGTTTTTGTTCCTCCTTGGGGGCTTAATTGTAGGTTTTGAACATGTAAAATACTTGCATGGCTCACAAGTCAAAACCCCATGCAAAGATATTTTCATCCCCTCCCCCCTTCTTACCGCACCCCGCAGAGCTCTATGCTCATCATTTTTGTGAGTTCCCAGGTTCATCGTGCCCTGTTTCCGTTCGCAAAATTAAGGAAAGATGTTCAGACACCGTCGCCTGGCCGTTCATACACAAAACAACTCGCGCTGTGTGTGCTGCCCCACTTCCTGCCACTTCACTAATGGCCGCCCATTACCCATTTGTTGACTGTCAGCTCCAAACCTCCCCGTCCTTCCCTCGCTGTGTGAGGACAAGGCTGAACTCCGTGTCATTTGCCAGCTGGCCAGTACCCTTCAGCCCAGATCTCTATGCCAAGCAGTCTGAAATCCTTCTGAGCAACCACTACACCACCTCCGAGGTCAGGGTCTTTGGTGTCCCAGAGGTTCTGGAGAACTTGGAGGTGAGTGGCATCTGCATGCCTCAGGACAGGCCGGAGTCAAGGGCGTCAGGAAGGGCCTGGAGGAAGAGGGAATGTGGCATGGATGTCCTGGGCCAGTTCTCTTTAAAATTTATTTTTACAATTAGAATTTTTAAATTGAAGTACTCTTTTTCCGTAGCACTACTGCTCTCTCTCAGGCTGCGTGATTGTATTAATTGTTCCGACCTCTGCTGGTCTTCCCCAGCTACAAGTTAAGCTTGTGGGGGCAGCACTGAGAACCCAAAAAAGGCGCCAGTGAGCATGTGGTGCGTGGCATGGCAGAATTCGGTGCAGGAGCGTCTGCCACACAGCAGGGAAGAAAGCCCTAATCCCTGCTGGGACAAGTCCCCTCTCTCCAGGCCTCACTTCCTCCATGACTAAGTCACGGGGTGGGATTGGTGGGTGAATGATCCCTCAGGCCCAGAGCCTGGCAGGCTGGGAAGAGTTCTGGGGTGAGAGAACCAAGGAGTTCCTCAGCATTTCCGCCTGCTCCTTCCTCCTGCCTTACTGCAGCCCGCGTGACCGCGTGTTCTCCCGAAAAGGCAGGGAATGCTCAGCATGGCTGATGAGGGAGGAGGGCCAGCCCGCTGGCAGCTGCTGGAGACCAGCCATGAGCAGAGCTCGGGCTGCTGCCTTACAGAGGTAGTGCTTGGTGATACTTCATGTTGGTCCAGCTTTTTTTAAAGCAGCACTCGATTAGAATTGAAGGAGCTTGAATTTGATTCCGACATTCATATCAATTTGCCCTTCCCTCAAAAAACACCCTTAGTATAGACAGAGCTTCCCAACTCTGCAGACTACATGCCGTCCCTGAGCAGTGCCCAGGTGTCCTTACCTGCTCATGAGGTGTTGTTGAGGTGTTGTGTTTGTAATTGGTGGGTTCTTGATCTCACTGGTTTCAAGAATGAAGCCGCAGACCCTCATGGTGTTACAGTTCTTAAAAGCAGCGTGTCCAGAGTTTGCTCCTTCCGACCTTCAGATGCGTTTGGAGTTTCTTTCTTCTGGTAGGTTCCTGGTCTCACTGGCTGAGGAGTGAAGCTGCAGGCCTTCATGGTAAGTCTCACAGCTCAGCAAAAGCAGTGTGGACCCCAACATTAAGCAGCAGCATAATTTAAGTGCAAAAAGTAAAAGAACAAACATTCCACAACCAGCAAAGGGACCTTAAGCGAGTTCCCACTGCTGGCTCCGGAAGCCTGCTTTTATTCTCTTATCTGGCCCCACCCACATCCTGCTGATTGGTCCATTTTACAGAGAGCCGATTGGTCTGTTTTACAGAGAGCTGATTGGTCCATTTTGATAGGGTGCTGATTGGTGCATTTACAAACCTTGAGCTAGATACAGAGTGCCGATTGGTGCATTCACAATCCCTTAGCTAGACATAAAGATTCTCCAAGTCCCCAACAGATTAACTAGATACAGAGTGCCTATTGGTGCATTCACAAACCCTGAGCTAGACACAGGGTGCAGATTGGTGTATTTACAATCCCTTAGCTAGACATAAAGATTCTCCAAGTCCCCACCAGACTCAGGAGCCCAGCTGGCTTCACCCAGTGGATCCCGCACCGGGGCCACAGGTGGAGGTGCCTGCCAGTCCGGCGCCTGTGTGCCCGCACTCCTCAGCCCTTGGGTGGTCGATGGGACTGGGCGCGGTGGAGCAGGGAGCGGCGCTCGTCCGGGAGGCTCGGGCCGCGCAGCAGCCCACAGCGGGGGGCGGGGAGGCTCAGGCATGGAGGGCTGCAGGTCCCAAGCCCTGCCCCGCTGGGAGGCAGCTAAGGCTCCGCGAGAAATCGAGCACAGCACCTGCTGGCCCAGGTGCTAAGCCCCTCACTGTCCGGGGCTTGCGGCCGGCCAGCAGCTCCGAGTGCGGGGCCCGCCAAGCCCACGCCCACCCGGAACTCTAGCTGGCCCCCAAGCGCACGGGCAGCCCGGGTTCCCGCCCCGTGCCTCTCCCTCCACACCTCCCCGCAAGCCGAGGGAGCCGGCTCCGGCCTTGGCCAGCCCAGAAAGGCGCTCCCACAGTGCAGCGGTGGGCTGAAGGGCTCCTCAAGCGCGGCCAGAGTGGGCGCCAAGGCCGAGGAGGCGCCGAGAGTGAGCGAGGGCTGCAAGGGCTGCCAGTATGCTGTCACCCTCTCAGTGTGACCTGGGCAGGGGTCCCCACCCGTACTCCTTAGGCCCCAGGAGGAAAGCCCAGCATGTAAGGCTGAAGCGGGGGTGCTTCCAGAGATGGGCCACTCAGTGGTCCCTCTACTCTGCAGAATGTGCACCCCCAGCTCTAATGTCTCTCCCAGGTGAAATCCGGGTCCCCGGCCGTGCTGGCCTTGGTAAAGAAGTCTCTTGGGTCACATACACGGTCAGCGTCGCGGAACCCGCGGCGGCAGCCGGGGGCCTCTGTCCACTACCTTGACCTTCTCCAGCCCCGAGACTAACCGAGCCTTTTACCTCTCTTTTCCCACCTGTTTCCTCTCTCATCTCACCTCCCAAATGAAACTGTTGAGATTTTGACTGGAATTCATTTTTTTCTTCAAGCCCACTGTTTTTTTCTCATCGATTGCAGTTTTGTTGAGGCTGTTGCATTAGTCTGCTCAGGCTGCCTTACCAAAACCCCACAGCCTGGGCGGCTCCAAAACAGACATTTTGTTTCCTCACAGTTCCGGAGGCTGGAAGTCCCTGAGCAAGGTGCTGACACATTTGGTTTCTGGTGAGGGCGCTCTTCCGGGCTCTCAGACTGCTGTCTTCTCACTGTGTTCTCCCATGCCCTTTCCGCTGTGTGCACAGAGAGAGGACACATGAGCAAGGTGTCTCTGGTGTCACTTCTTCTTTTTTTTTTGAGATGGAGTCTCACTCTGTCGCCCAGGCGGGAGTGCAGTGGCGCCATCTTGGCTCACTGCAACCCCCGCCCCCAGGGTTCTAACAATTCTCCTACCTCAGCCTCCCGAGTAGCTGGGATTACAGGCACCCACCACCACGCCCGGCTATTTTTGTATTTGTAGGAGAGACGGGGTTTCGCCATGTTGGCCAGGCTGGTCTCGAATTCTTGACCTCAGGTGATCCACCCGCCTTGGCCTCCCAAAGTGTTGGGATTACAGGCGTGAACCACCGCACCCGCCCTGGTGTCACCTCTTCGTATAAGGCCCTCTTCTTAGAAGGACACAAATTATCTCAGATCAGGGCCCCACCTTGTAACATCATTTAACCTTCCTGCCTTCCTTATTCCAAACACAGCCACCCGAAGGTTAGGGCTTCAGCACAGGAATTTTGGAGGAACATAAACATTCCGCCCATGATACTATTTTAGGTCTTGTTACAGTTCCTTCAGTAAGATTGATTGGTTTATTTTTTAGAGACAGGGTCTTGCTCTGTCATTGAGGCTGATACGCAGTGGTGCAGTCATCACTCACTGCAGCCTCGAACTTCTGGGCTCAAGCGATTTTACCACGATAGCCTCTTAAGTAACTGGGACTACAGGCACACCTAGGCTATAATTGATTTATATAGAATTCTTTGCCTTTCATATTAAACATATTCCTAGGTACTGGTGGGAATGTAAAACATTGCTATTTATATCAGCTAAACAGCAGGAACAACTCAAATGTCCATCCACTGATAAGTGAATAAACAAAATGTAATTTATCCATGTATTAGGATATTATTCAGCTATAAGAAGGAATAAATTAGTGACACATGCTGCAACATAGGTGCTAGGTGAAGGAGGCCAGTTGCAAAAGACTGCATGTTTTATGATTCCATTTCAATGAAATGTCCAGGCTGGGTGCAGTGGCTGATGCCTAAAACTGCAGCACTTTAGGAGGCTGAAGTAGGAGGATCACTTGAAGCCAGGAGTTCGAGACCAGCTTGGGCAACATAGCAAGGCCCTGTCTCTATGCAAAGTTAAAAATTAGCTGAGCTTGGTGGCATGAGCCTATAGTCCCAGCTACTTGGGAGGATCCTGTGAGTCCAGGAGTTAGAGGCTGCAGTGAGCTGTGATCACGCCACTACACTCCAGCCTGGGCAACAAAGAGAGAATCTGTCTCAAAAGAAAAAAGAAAACGTTATTCTTTGGGAAATAAGCCTAACACAGGACAAATATTGTATCACTCCACTCTTAGGAAGTACCTAGAATAGGAAAATTCATAGAGACAAAAATAGAACAGAGTGGTGTCAGGGGGAATGGAGAATTACTCTTTAAGGGGCACACGATTTCTCTTTGGGATGATGGAAAAGCTCTGGAAATAAACAGTGGTGATGTTTGCACAACATTATGAATATATTTAATGATGCTGAGATGGACACATAAAATGGTAAATTTTATGTATGTTTGATACTTTTTTAATTAATAAAAAATAGGAAACTGCTGAGGGAAAAAAAGTAAAAAATCAATGAGTGCCTAAAGCCCATGAACTTGAAAATGAGGCTTTGCCTCACAAAAACCCCAGCTGCCTCTGCATCTGCACCCTTCCCATGTGTCTCTGAGCCCCAAACTGGTGGCCCTTTTGCTGTCAGCCCTCCCAGTGGCTGCACTGGCCTTGGGGGCTCACCCAGCATAGGGGGCAAAAGGATAGAAACCCAGGGCTCCATGCCGGGTGCGGTGGCTCACGCCTGTAATCTCAGCACTTTGGGAGGCTGAGGCGGGTGGATCACCTGAGGTCAGGAGTTCGAGACCAGCCTGGCCAGCATGACAAAACCCTGTCTCTACTAAAAATACAAATATTACCCAGGTGTGGTGGCACACACCTGCAATCCCACCTACTTAGGAGGCTGAGGCAGGAGAATCACTTGAACCCGGGAGACGGAGGTTGCAGTGAGCTGAGATCACGCCACTGCAGCCCAGCTTGGGTGGGTGACAAAGCAAGACTCTGTCTCAAAAGAAAAAAAAAAAAAAGAAAAGAAACCCAGGGGTCCACCCAGGCTGAGAGCTCCTGAGTTCTGGTGCTGAGCCTCCTGAGTTTCTGGAACTTCAGGCTCTGAATCATGGTGGGGGCCAGAGATTTTTACTCAGTATGGGAGGACACGTGAGTTAGGACTCATTTCTTGGTCCGTAAGGCTGTGCAAGCATCCCCTGGCAACTCCAGCCAGCTTTGCTGCTGAAGGAAGCTGTAGACAAAGAGTGCAGAGAAGCCCCCCAGGCACCCCCCTCCCCAGTGGAGCAGGGCCTGGAAAGTCAGTGGCCTTCCTTTCTTCACAACCTCAGTCGCTCTCACCCCTGTGGCCAGTGTGGAAACTGGGATGCTGGGAAGCTTGCCCAGGCACCTTTGACCCCGCAAGTCCCTGGAGCTCTGCCTTGGGTAGGGCTGCAGGCCCCTGAGTTGCCCAGGCAATGCCTCCGGGAGTGCCAAGGCAGGAAACTCACTAGAGAGCTGGAGCTTTAAGAAAACTTCATGCCTAGGCCCCATCTTCAGCACCATGGATTTCCTTGGACTGAGAGAACCACTGGTGTGTTGAAGGCTTACCCAGTGATTTGAGAGTGTGGCCAGGATGGAGAAGCACACACTTCTGGATGCTGTCAGCGGAGGCCTTTGACCCAGGGCTTCTGCAGAACTAGTCAAGAACCAGTGGCTCCTCCACTACCCACAGCCCTGGACAATGACAGGCTGGGCAAGACAGACACATATTGGTGGGCACAAAAGATCTGTTTCTGTTCCTGCTTGGGGTGTTTCTGTGTGGGAAAAGAAATCCCTTCTTTCTTCATCTGGAACAGGAATTAAAAGAAATTAAAGAATGTGTAAGCAGAAACTCAGTTGTATGTAAGAAAACCTAATTCCCTCTGAGAAAGAGAAAGAGCTGGAGTCCTTTAAAATTAACTGCCTGTTTTTCTGTGGCTGTTGAGCCTTATCTCTCCTCCTTTCCCAGGCATTGTGAAGACCCTGTTTCCCTAGCTGTGCAGCTGCAAGGTCACTAGACAGATAAACTCAAGTTGCAAAACACGTTTTCCTAGAAAAGTAAGAAATCATGTAATGCATGTTTCAATTGAATAACTGTCTTTGTTTCTCACTTCTGTAGTATTTCCCCTGCACAAATCTCCCCCAACCCACAAAATGCTTAAAAGTTAACTCTTCGTTTGGGGCTCAGTCCTTTGGATGTTAATCCGACTGGGCCGGTGCACCTAAGTAATTAATAAATATCCTCCTGAGCCCCATTGGTCTCTCTGATTCCTTAAAAATCCCGCAACACCTCAAGGCCCAAAGCCAGCAGAACTGCTCTTCCACCTGGCCCTTCTAGTATGTTTGTGAATATGTTTCCTGGAGGAAGTTGTAATTCTACTGTCCCCTCTGGAGGCAGGCAGGGCTGAGGTCTGGAGGAGGCAGGGGCTCCCAGGAACAGTGAGACCTCTGAGCTGCTGTGTCTACATGGGGTCCTGGGTTGTGGACAGAGGCAGGTTGCTAGTTAGCACATAGACCAGTCAGAGGAGGCCCAAGAAGGAGTTGCAGCTGTTCTGGGCTGCGTTTGGGAACCTACGGCTGAGTGTGGCAGGCCTGTGGCAGTTGCCAGAAGCTGGCCCTGCAAGCCAGGGTGTGACCCTGCTGCTCTGTTGTCTTGCTCTCTGGGTCCTGTGGTGCTAGGAGGAGTCTTCTGGATGCTTCCTTCCAGGCCTGGGACAGAAAGTCAAGGGAAGAAGAGCATGGCCTGGTGGCCAGCCTGCCAATGACAAGTAGCTCTAGTGGGGAGAGGCCTAGGGACCAGGGCTGGATTCCAGGATCCATTCGGCAAAGGATCTCTGGCCAGCCACTACCCTCAGAGAGCAGTTATGAAGGAAAACCAGGTCAAGAAGCTGACGCCTGTCCCACAGGAGCTCACAGACTCAGGGTCAGACAGCCCTGGCAATGGGGAGGGACCTCTGTGACACTCGGGGCTGCAGCCACAGACTGAGACTGTGTCCGTGGGGTGTGCAGTGGAGACTTACCATGGTCACGGGCAGCACAGGTGGGAAATTGCACCAGTCACAGGCGGCCTGCAGGCCAGCCCTGAGCTGCAGGTGGGTTTTGTTTTATGTTCTGCAGTTTTTCTTTTAATCTGAAGTTTTATGACTCCAGTGTTTAACACACACACACACACACACACACACACACACACACACCCAAGATCATGTACAAAAATGCTGATTCCTGTGTCTCTTCAAAACGTCTTGCAGCCCCAGGCCTCCATTCTGCTTGCTGCAGCCGCTGGAACCACAGATGCTCCCTGGCAGGGCCACCATACCCTCCAGCACCAGCTCCTCACCTCATGCCTCTCAGGCAGATTTGGATCATCTGCCTGGCCAGGTAGGCCTGCAAGCCTATGGCCCCTGGGAAAGATATAATAAATGCCGTTGGCTTTTGATTTGCTTTTCTTGTTGCAGAAGGGGTTTTCTTGGGACAAAATTTGAGTGGAAAAGCATCCCAGACAGAGGTAACAGAGGTACAGATGCACGGACAAGAAAGGCCCCTGAGGTGTGGAGAGTATTGGTTCCACGGAACGGGTCCCCAGTGGTTTTATGATCAGGCAAGTTGGGAACACCAGTCCCAGTGTGCACATCACCACAGGGGCTGCACAAATGGATTCCAGCAATGGGGAGGCCAGCAGGTGCCCATGGCGCAGGTCCTGACGGCACATCAGGAACAGAGGTCTTGAAGGCACATCTTGAAGGCCTGCATCCTGTGGTCAGTGGGTACCCACCGAAAGGTTCCTCTGGAAGCCAACTCTGCTAGGTGGTGTCAGGTGTGTGCAGCTTCCACCATTCTAGGGCACCCTAGAAGTCAGCCTTCAGCTCGGCCTGCTTCAATATGGAGATGGTTTTTAACCCTTTGTTATTCTGTTGGGACTCTGGACATTTAGACGTCTGTGCAGGGGGGCTCATGAAGAGACCAACTTCCCTGATAGGCCTAGATATGGCCTAGCCTGAGGCAGAAAGGGAACACAATTGGGGCTGGATGTTCTTTCAGCTTCCCTTGCAGAGATCACTGACAGAGTGGTCAGCTTGGCCAAGCTTCTGCAAGGGCTGGCTGTGATGTCTGGGAGGGAGGCAATCCCCAGAGCAGGAATGCCTTCCCTGGGGCTCATATCCTTGCAGGGGAGGAGGCGGCCATCCTCCCTTCAAAGCCTCCTTCACTGCAGCCCATGGGAGGCGAGTGACCTGGGGGATCCGTGCCCAGGGCAAACCTCTGGGCTCTAGCTTAGCCCCACCTCCGAGGAACATTCACAGCCCTTCGGGAGGAGAGCCCTGCTGCAGGAAGACTCTAGGGGAGGGCCCAGCTGCGGGGTCCTGGGCTGTTGGTGACAGTACCCCAGGCTCCAAACTCTCTGTGCCCGGGGGGCAATTCCCTTCCCTGGTTGCAGCAGATTCCCACCCCGCCCTGCCCCACTGCCCGCCCCACGGGGAAGTGGCCCGGGAGTGGAGGCGTGGACAGGCATCCCGGTGTCTCGAGTCAGGCTGTCGGGCCAGCCTGGACAGCACGGCCCGCGGAGGGCAGACAGGGCGCACGGAGCAGGCCCCAGGCTCCAGAGCAGCCGCTGACAGGCTGTCCAGCTGCATCGGGTCTCCATGGAGACGGAAGCGGGGCCACAAGGTGGTGAGCGGCGGGGGGCGGGGCTTCCAACGGCCATCAGCCCCGCCCAGCCTGGGCAAAGAGAGCCCGGCCTGGGAGGCGGAGCCAGGGACCCCCGGGCTGAGCCTGATTTCTGAGGGCGGCCGGGGCCACCTCCCTCCAGACGCTGCTGCCCCCACGCGGACGGGCGCCCTCTGCGGGTCCCGTGGCTCCCGGCCCTGCTCAGCGCCTCCAGAGCCCTCACCCGGGCCCTCTCCGCTGGGTCCACAGGGTCCTCAAAGCGCTGGCCCAGACGCGGGGTCACTCTCCTGAGCCTCCCGACCTTCCCATGGGTCCTTTGGAGCCCTGGGTTTTGGAGTTTGTCTTTCCTAAGTGCCGCTCGCCCGGACGCGGCTGCTGCAGGACCACAGCCGACCGAGTGCGGCCGCGTCCCCTGCAGGCCACCCGTCAAGGGCACAGGGGAGAGGCGCCCCAAGCCACAGAGTCGCAGAGCTGCCAGGAGCTGACCCTTCGGGTGGGGAGAGGACACTAACTCGGGTCCTCTCCACTTCCTCAAGGTTCCTTCTCACCTGCAGTGAACGGCTCCCAGCACCTCTGGGGCCTTCCTGTTTCATTGATGTCAGCAACTGATCATTGATCATCTCTGGTGTGCAGGGACAGAGAAGACAGACCCGCTGGCCCCCCCGGGTGGGCGAGGGAGTCTAGTCTATCTGAAGAAAACTCCCATAGAGATAGGGGCTAGGAAGGAGACACCAGGAAAAGTGAAGGTGGAAGATGGGGGTGACCCTACTGCGGATGGGGTGCTCAGGGAGGGTTTCTTTGAGGGGGTGACATTCACTAGATTGACCAAGGGACGGTCAGGGCCTGTGAAAGTATTTTAAGAGAGGGAATGGCAGTGTCCAGTGGACTGTTTCAGGGATGGAAATAGGGCAGCAGGGTGAGGGGTGTGAGCCAGGCAGGCAGGGCCCAGACACCATGTGATGGGTACAGGGGTGGGACCCATGGAGGCTCTGAGAAAGGCCTGGGCCTCAGAAGACAGGGAAACAGGAAGACCCACTTCGAGGCCTCACAACCTTCTAGGGCACAGACGGTGAAAATGGCTCAGGCCAGAATTTGGTTTAGGTTTCAGAAGGGTGCTGGGTGCCTCATGCTCTTCTTGAGGCTAAAGGGCTCCAGCTCCTTGGACCCTTTCCATGCAGACATTGTTCTGGGGCCCCCACTACATGGACACCCTTCTGATGTTGTCTGCAGCCAGGCAGGGGTCGTGGGCCAACCCGCCCCTTCCTTGGCCAAGTGGACAGATGAAGGGAGCCTCTGGGGGCAGGATTGCTGGACTGGGAATTAGACTTGGAGTGTAATCAAAATGCCCCACAGGCCCCACCTCTTCTCTGGAGCTCGACTTCTTCAAGAAAACTGGAAACAAAGGGATGGCAAGACCAACTCTCAGGACCCTTGCCCTTCCATCCCATGATGCTTTTAGACAGTTCCCAGGGGCCACCTTTTTCAGGAAGAATTATCAGGATATAGGAAAGTAAAGGGAGGAAACGTGTTTTGAGTGGCACTTAGATCAGGCTCTAGACTGGGTGTTGGTTTGGTGGGGTTTGCTTTTTCTCCCGCCCCACACCCCTTCACAAAACCTGGGTCCTGGCTAGGCTGGGAGTGAGATTCCTGTGTCTAGATTTTCATCATTCCGTGTTGCACAGGAAGTCTAGGGAAAAGGAGACAGATATTAGCAAGTGTATAAAAGAAAATTTAGCCAGAGAAAACCTAGAAGAGGAATGAAGATGGGGGGATTATGAATGGCAAAGGACGAGCTGGGGGAGAGGGAGTTGGGCGTGGGGCTGGGACAAACAGAAAGGAGGTGGGGGAGGGGCCAGGGAAATAAAGTCCAAGAGGTCAGCAGGCACCAGAAGCCATAGCCTTAGTTGGGGCATCAGGAGAGCAGCAAGCTGCATCTACCTTGGAAAGATGGAGAGAAGACTGCAGTGAGCGGAGTGGGGAGGAAGGGGGAAGTGGCAGGGCAGAGGAAGCAGGGTACAGACAGGAGAAAAGAGATGGTGCCCTGGGCCAGGTGGCTGCCACCGCTACCATCGCCAGAAGTGGAAAACTCTTTGCCTTCTCCTTACCACTGTCACTATGACACCCCAATTCTTTCTGCTCCCCCTTCTTTAGTAATAGGTGCTGGCAAGTAAGGAGCAGTCTGATTTGAGTTTGCGAAGGAAACCCTTGGAGGTAGCTGTGAACCCATGAGGCTTGCCAAGTAGGGAGCTCAGGATCCCCAAGATTGGATGAGGAAATAAGCTTAGTGAGTGACAGTTCCACCAGCCTTCCCCAGAGTCACAGTAGGCGTCCACTGCCCCTGCGGGTCCCCAGGCCTGCTCTACTGGGTGGCCTCTCGGACCCAGGGCTGCACTTCCAATGCTCTGCAGACACATCTCGGGCTTGAATCCCATCTCACTGATTCCACAAATATTGACTGAGGGCCTACTGGATGCGAGACCTGTGTGGCTGTGGGGGAGGCAAGGTCCCTGCTTCAGTGGGAGTGACAGGTGTAAAGCAGGATGATTTCAGAACCTGAGAAGGGGGACAAAGCAGAGAACTGGGAAGTGGCTGGGCGGGTGCGGTGCAGCCTGGGATGGGGTAAACAGCAAATCTTTGCCATCTGTTCCTGTCCGGATATCATGGAAAATGCTACCCGATCTCTCTTGCACCTCAGTGTCCTCAGCTGGTTGGTAGAGTTTGAGCTTCCCCACTGCCTGACCCTGCTCTCTGGGCTGTCTCTAGGGAGTCTGCCCTTCTCAGGCCTGCTCCCCACCCTCTATGGCTCTCAATTCCTCCCAAGAAGAATGTTCCTCTAAAAGGAGGCCGCTGGCCACAAAGGGAGATGAACAAGCCAAGGTAGCCTGGCCTGCACTTGGGGCCACATGGCTCCTTAGGCCCGGCCTGGGTGGACACTGGAAGGAGCTTTGTCTGTGGGTTTTGCCCTGTTGCCTGGAGCCCCTTCCCTATGGTGTCTTGACTCAGCCCAGCTCGCTGAGCCTGGAGCCCAGGCTTCTAGAGAAGAGATGTCAAGGTCTACCACAGGGCACAGGCCAGAAACAACTTGTCCGATGCCAGTGAAAGCCAGGCCTGGGGAAGGCTCCTCTTCTCACAGGGCTGGCACTCCCAGAGGGGACACGGCACGGCAGCAAGTTGGAGGCACAGACTCTGAGGGGCCCTTGGTGGGGAGCTCAAACAGGACCCACAGGGACCCTCTCTCTGGGGTTGCAAACTGGCACTGGGTGGAGGGAGATTCAGTATTGACACCTGGGGGACCCTCAACCCCAAAGTGGATTTAAAGGACAGTGGCACACTGGGGAGACAAGAGGCTCCACAACACTCCCATGCTTGCCCCAGCCTGCTTCTTGCTTCCCGTTCCTGCTCTTTGTTGGGGAAGGAGAATCTTATATGACTGGTTGAACTCCAGGATAGTCCCTGACCACCATCAGTAGTGGGCAGGGTCACCATATGTTCAAGGCTGTGCACACCGAGCCACTGGCCATGCACATGGGCGGGGCCTTCTGGACCTTCATCAGGCCCCTTAGGAACCCATGAAGAAGCTCCCTGATAGGTGCTGATGGGCATCTGCACCCATAGATTCACTGCCTGAAATGGAAACACTGGGTTCCTGGGAAACTGGAACCTGCCTTATGAAAGCCCCCATTCCCATCACCCCCTCCATCCCTCGGGGCTGCTGCTGTGTCTTGCCATCAACCCTCCCCAGACCCCCAGGACACCTGCCTCACCCAGAAGCACCCCTTCAACCTGGGCCTCGATGAAGGCTCACTCCTCCGTCAGGCCTCTGAGGGGGGATGGCTCCGTGCCACTTTTAGCAAAAGGGGAAACCATCGCAGCAGAAAGGCCAATGCCACACTAGACAGCCAGGAGCCCAGCAGAACAAGTGGCCCCCTAAGGCACTTTGGGGACCACACCCCCGTCACTCTGACCCCAGCACAACTGGTTCCCAGGCCTTCGGGATCCTCCTGGGAACCTCTCAGCATGATTAACACAGGCAGACGGGACCTGAAGGGGCCGCTGGTCCTTCTGAAAATGTTCACCAGGCAGTGTGAGTGTGGAGAGGCCATGCGCAATGTGTGGGACTCTGCCCTGCACCCACTCAGAGCCTCAGCCCTTCAGAGCCACTAATAATGATTTGCTGTGGGTGGGGTCATCCTGATACTTCCCTGAGGTCTCTTTTCCTTTCAATTTTTCTGAGTAACTGAGAGGATCATATGACTGCATGCCACCTAAACTAGGGTTTGCACAGCCCCCTTTCTGTGCAGGGAGGGCGCAAAGCAGCAGAGTGTCTGTGACCCACCTGCCACTTTTCCAATGCTACTACAAGATTTGCAGGAAACGGTCATTTATCAGGAGCCATCTTTATTAAAAAAGATAAAATAGAGCAGGGCAGGGGAAAAGCGCTGCAGGCTCCAACGTTGCTGGGCACGTGGCAGCATGGGCGTCTCACCAGGCTCCTCCCCACAGCTGTTGGCATCCACTGTCAGGTTTCAATGTTCTTGGACCTCAGGGCCTTCGTCCTCTCCAATCTAAATGCAGGGAGACATTTGATATGGACTCTCTCAGGTGTTTTGCAAAACGCAACACATTCTCATTGATCTGGTCACCCTGCTGTGCACTAGATGTCAAAAGCTCTTCCTCCAGTCCAGACTTTGGTCCTTTAACCGACAACCCCCCATTCCCTCCCTCTGTCACTCTCCAGCCCCAGTTCAACATCGATCTACTTGCTACTTCTATGGGGTCAACTTTTTCAGATCAACACTTCCAGGACATCATGTGGAATTGGTCTCTCTGAGATGGTGGAGATGCTGAGTAGCGGGATTTCCTCATTCCACGGTGCACACATCTATCGAATCCTCACATTGTACCCCATAAGTGTACAAGCATGATTTGCCAATTAAAATAATACTAATAAAGACATAATAAATACCATAAAATGCAGGAAGTGTGGTTTCACTACCCCACCTACTTGGTTTTTGTCTTCACTACTGCCGTCCAACTACTTCTTTGGGGTGATTTTATTGGTTGGAATGTTCTGCGCTGGGCTCAAGTGACCGAATCTTAGCAGAAATGAAAGTCATCTTCTGGCAGCCCTGCGGCAGCCCTGGTTTCTTGGTGAGGCTGACGTCACAGCCTCTGGCTGCCCAGCTTGGAGGAAGCTGGCTTTCTGCGATGGTTCTCGCTGGGCCAGGGACGTTTCTGGGTCTCTGTCACTGCTTCTGGTGCTCTGAGTGGAGGGGGAGGCCACAGGGTCATGCTGGGGGCGTCACTAAAACTGTCTGGCTTCCTCTGCAGGCCAGCAGGTGCACTGGCAGGAATGGTGGTCTTCTGCCCTGACTTCTGGCTGTCCTTGGGCAGCTGAATTTTAAAAGTGTGACAAGCTGGCTTGCTGTGAGTCCATTTCAGTGGGAGCAGGAAGGTGGAAACTTCGGTGGATAGGGAAAGACAGGTGGGAACCCCAGGAGGAAGGGACAGTTCTCTGAGGGTAGAGTGCTTCCTCTTTTGTTTTGGATGCTCTAAAATGAGGTATGGGGCCATGGGATAGTTGAATTTTCTTTCTACTATTGACACGGAGATGTTCTCAGCCCGGAATCCCATGACCATCATGAGCTGAGTTGTTTGTGGCTTGGGTGGTCCAGGAGTGGCACTTCATATGGTATCACTGGCATCTCCCGACCACTGTTCTCCCATGGGTCCCTCATCAGTTGTTCCAGTGGGGGGCTGCTCCCTGGGGTCTAGTGTTAATAACTTTTTAATCAGTCTTTCAAGTTGAAGGGAAAAAATGGTGGGACATGGTATTTTCTTGTGATAGTTTTATTATTGAGGTCTGTAGGGCTCCCTGAGTAGAAGGGCAGGGTCCAGCCACCATGGAATAGAGAATGACATGGAAGCTCCATATGTCCATGGTGGGGCACTGGCACTCCCAGGCCCAGGAAGAGTTCTGGGGCAGGAATGGTGGTCTTCTGCCCTGACTTCTGGCCCTCGTCAGGCAGCTGAAAATTAAAAAGTGTGAACAGCTGGCTCCCTTTGAGCCCTCTTTGGTTCCATGGGGAAGGTGGACTTTGTCAGATGGGGAAGAACAGGTGGGACCCCCAGGAGGAAGGGACTGTGCTCCAGTGATGGAGCCCTTCTTCCTCTGCACTTTTCCTGTACCCCAGGATTAGGTACGTGGCCATGGGATAATTACATGCGTATTTTTTTGTGGGGGAAATACTGATTCGGAAATGCATGGGGCCTGAAATCCCATGGGCACCATGACCAGGCTTGTAGGGGGCCCAGGTGCCCAGGCTCTCTGTATGGTGTCAGCAGCATCTTCTGGCCAAAATTGACCCAGGGGTCACAAGTCAGCTGGTTTAGTGGGGGTCGCTCCCTGGGGTAGAGGGTGAAAAATTGTTTTACTAGTGTTTCCAGTGGAAATGAAAAAAAATAGGTGGGGTGTCATACTGTCATATAGCCTGAGGTGGGAAGGGGCCACAGGTGGGGCTGGATGTTCTTTCAGCCTCTCTGGCAGAGATCACAGACAGAGTGGTCAGGTTGGCCAAGCTTTTGAGGGCTGGCTCTGATGTAGGGGAGGGAGGCAGTCCCCAGAGCAGAAATGCCTTCCCTGGGGCTCATATCCTTGCAGGGGAAAAGCTGGCCATCCTCCCCTCAGAGCCTCCTTCACTGCAGCCCGTGGGAGGCGAATGACCTGGGGAATCCGTGCCCCAGGGGCAAACCTCTGGGTTCTGGCTTCAGCCCCACCCTGGGGAAACATTCACAGCCCCTTGGGAGGAGAGCCCTGCTGCAGGAACACTCTAGGGGAGGGCCCAGCTGCGGGAGTCCTGGTCTGTTGGTGACAGTACCCCAGGCTCCAAACTCTCTCGGCCTGGGGGCAGTTCCCTTCTCTGGTTACAAGATTCCCATCCCTCACTGCCCTACTGCCTGCTCCGCGGGGAAGTGGCCCGGGAGTGGAGGCGTGGACAGGCAACCCGGTGTCTCGAGTCGGGGGACAGCCTGGTCAAGCCCCCAGGCTCCAGAGCAGCAGCTAACAGGTGTCCGGCGGCGTAGGGTCTCCATGGAGACGGGGGCGGGGCCAGGAGGCGGTGAGCGGCGGGGGGCGGGGCTTCCAACGGCCATCAGCCCCGCCCAGCCTGGGCAAAGAGAGCCCGGCCTGGGAGGCGGAGCCAGGGACCCCCGGGCTGAGCCTGATTTCTGAGGGCGGCCGAGACCACCTCCCTCCAGGGGCTGCTGTGCCCACAGGGACCGGCGCCCTCTGTGCGTCCCACGGCTCCTGGCCCCGTTCAGCGCCTCCAGAGGCCTCACCCGGGCCCTCTCCACTGGGTCCACAGGGGCCTCAAAGCGCTGGCCCAGACGCGGGGTCACTCCCCTGAGCCTCCCGACCTTCCCATGCATTGGTCCTTTGGAGCCCTGGGTTCTGGAGTTTGTCCTTCCTAAATGCCGCCAGCCAGGACGCGGCTGCTCCAGGACCACAGCGGACCGAGTGCGGCCGCGTCCCCTGCGGGCCACCCATCAAGGGCACAGGGGGAGAGGCGTCGTGTAGGGTCCAGCCCTACTGGGTCTGTGGGTTTTTCTCCTCGTTTGCGGAGACGAGAGATTGTAGAAATAAAGACACAGGAAAAAGAGACAGAAAAAAACAGCTGGGCCCGGGGGACCACTACCACCTAGATGCGGAGACCGGTAGTGGCCCCGAATGCCTGGCTGCACTGTTACTTATTGGATACAAGGCAAAAGGGGCAGGGTAAGGAGTGTGAGTCATCTCCAATGATTGATAAGGTCATGTAAGCCACGTGTCCACTGGACAGGGGGCCCTTCCCTGTTTGGCAGCGGAGGCGGAGAGAGAGAGGGGGGACAGCTTATGCCATTATTTCTTCTATGCATTTCAAAGACTTTTAGTACTTTCACTAATTCTGCTACTGCTATCTAAAAGGCGGAGCCAGGTGTACAGAGTGGAACATGAAAGCGGACCAGGAGCGTGACCGCTGAAGCACAGCATCACAGGGAGATGGTTAGGCCTCCGGATGGCTGCGGGCGGGACTGACTGATGTCAGGCCTTCCACAAGGAGTGGAAGTCCTCCTGCAGAATTGTGGAAGTCAGCGCTTCCACAAGCGTTGGCGTTACCGCTAGGCCAGGGAGCCCTCTAGTGGTCCTGGCCGGGCGTAACAGAGGGCTCACATTTGTCTTCTGGTCACTTCTCACTGTGTCCCTTCAGCTCCTAGCTCTGTGTGGCCTGGGTTTTCCTAGGTTGTAATTGTAGAACAAAGATTATAATATTGGGATAAAGAGTAATGTTACAAACTAATGATTAATGATATTCATATATAATCATATCTATAATCTATTTCTAGTATAACTATTCTTATTCTATATATTTTATTATACTGGAACAGCTTGTGCCCTTGGTCTCTTGCCTTGGCACCTGGGTGGTTTGCTGCCCACAATGTCCCAAGGTGTAGTGACCAGCCCTGCCCGGGGCTGACCCTCGGGGTAGGGAGAGGGCACTAACTCGGGTCCTTTCCCCTTCCTCAAGCCTCCTTCCTCAACTGGGGTGAAGGGCTCCCAATCCCAGCACCTCAGGGGCCTTCCTGTTTCATTGATGCCAACAAGTGAACATTGATGCCAACAAGTGAACATTGACCATCTCCCATGTGCAGGGACAGAGAAGACAGACACGCTGGCCCCCGGGTGGGTGAGAGAGACTAGTCTATCAGTGCAGAAAACATTCCATAGAGATAGGGGCTAGGAAGGAAACACCAGGAAAAGTGAGGGTGGGAGATGGAGGTGACCCTACTGCAGATGGGGTGCTCAGGGAGGGCTTCCCTGAGGAGGTGACATTCACTTGATTGGCAAAAGGGATGGTCAGGGCCTGTGAAAGTCTTCTAAGGGAGGGAACAGCAGTGCCCAGCGGGGTGGGACCCACGGAGTCCGAGAAAGGCTTGAGCCTCAGAAGATGAGAAAGCAGGAAGACCCACTTCCAGGCCTTCACAACCTTCTAGGGCACAGACGGTGAAAATGGCTCAGGCCAGAGTTCAGTTTAGGTTTCAGAAGGATGCTGGGTCCCTCACACTTTTCTTGAGGCTAAAGGGCTCTAGCTCCTTGGGCCCTTTCTATGCAGACATGGTTCTGGGGCCCCGGCTACATGGACACCCTTCTGGTGGTTGTCTTCTGCAGCCAGATGGGGGGTGTGGGGCGACCTGCCCCTTCCTTGGCCAAGTGGACAGATGAAGGGAGCCTCTGGGGGCAGGACTGCTGGACTGAGAATTAGGCTTGGAGTGTAACTCAAACGCCCCACGGGCCCTACCTCTTCTCTGGAGCTCTGCTTCTTCAAGAAAACTGGGGATAAGGGACATCAAGACCCGCTCTCAGGACCCTTGCCCCTCCACCCCGTGATGCTTCTAGATGGCTCTCAGGGGCCACCTTTTTCAGGAAGAATTCTTGGGATATAGGAAAGTAAAAGGAGGAAACATGTTTTGAGTGGCACTTAGATCAGGCTCTAGACTGGGTGTTGGTTTGGTGGGGTTTGCTTTTTCTTTTTCTTTTTTTTTTTGAGACGGAGTCTCGCTGTGTCCACCAGGTTGGAGTGCAGTGGCGCGATCTCAGCTCACTGCAAGCTCCGCCTCCCGGGTTCAGGCCATTCTCCTGCCTCAGCCTCCCGAGTAGCTGGGACTACAGGCGCCCACCAACACGCCGGCTAATTTTTTGTATTTTTAGTAGAAACGGGGTTTCACCGTGTTAGCCAAGATGGTCTCGATCTCCTGACCTCGTGATCCACCCGCCTCAGCCTCCCAAAGTCCTGGGATTACAGGCGTGAGCCACCGCGCCCGGCCGGGGGTTTGCTTTTTCTACTGCCCAACACCCCTTCACAAAACCTGGGTCCTGGCTAGGCTGGGAGTGAGATTCCTGTGTCTAGATGTTCATCATTCCGTGTTGCACAGGAGGAGGTCTGGGGGAAAACAGAACAGATACTAGCAAGTGTATAAAAAGATAACTTTGAGAAAACCTAGAAGAGGAATCAGGATGGGGGGATTATGAATGGCAAAGGAAGAACTGGGGGAGAGGGAGTTGGGGGTGGGGCTGGGACAAACAGAAAGGAGGTGGGGGAGGGGGCCAGGGAAATAAAGTCCAAGAAGTCAGCAGGGACCAGAAGCCACAGCCTTAGTCGGGGTATCAGGAGAGCAGCAAGCTGCATGTACCTTGGAAAGGTGGAGGAGAGGACTGCAGCGAGCTGGGTGGGGAGGAAGGGAGAGGTGGCAGGGCAGAGGAAGCAAGGGACAGACAGGAGGAAGAGATGGTGCTCTGGGCCATGTGTCCGCCACCGCTACCATCACTGAAAACTGGAAAACTCTTTGCCTTCTCCTTACCCCTGTCACCATAACTACCCCATTCTCTCTGCCCCCCGTTCTTTAGTAACACGTGCTGGCAAGTAAGGAGCAGAGTCTTCTTTGAGGTTGCCGAGGAAACCCTCAGGGGCAGCTGTGAACCCACCAGCCTTGTCCCGTAGAGAGCTCAGGATCCCCAAGATTGGATGGGCAAATAAGCTTAGTGAGTGACAGTCCCACCAGCCTTGCTGAGAGTCACAGTAGGCGTCCACTCCCCCTGTGGGTCCCCAAGCCTGCTCTGCTGGGCAGCCTCAGGGACCCAGAGCTGCACTTCCAATGCTCTGCAGACACACCTCGGGCTTGAATCCCATCTCACCAATTCCACATGTTGGATATAAAATACTCCAGGAATAAATGCTCAGTGCCACGAGTAAAAACAGCACTCAAGCAAAAGTTTAATTCTCTCAGCAAGGCAATTTACTTCTGCAGAAGGGTGTCACTCCTGTCAATCAAGATCGCAAGTGCACACAGAACAAAGGAGACCAGGGGGTTTTATCCTTAAAGCAGTCCCTATCCCTATCTCTGTACCACTCCCCCATGGGCTGAGGTCAGACTGCACAATCTAAGCTGACCCGATTGGCTACTTGTACATATTTTCCTAAATACAGCAGGGGAGGGAGACGTGAGGTACAGAGGTGAATCGTGTGAGATGTTCAGTTTCAGGGGAACAATGGGTGCAGGTAACCAAGGGAACAGATGTGTTATTGATTAGAGCCCACGGGAAGTGGTAGGCTGTTTACGGTAACTAGGGGCAAGGGAGAACAAGAAAGTTGAGTTTCAGAACAAAGGATAAGGAAGTTTTTTGTTTGTTTGTTTGTTTGTTTTTTGAGACGGAATCTCACTCTGTCGCCCAGGCTGGAGTGCAGTGGCACGATCTCGGCTCACTGCAAGCTCCGCCTCCCGGGTTCAGGCCATTCTCCTGCCTCAGCCTCCCGAGTAGCTGGGACTACAGGCGCCTGCCACCACACCCGGCTAATTTTTTGTATTTTTAGTAGAGACGAGGTTTCACCGTGTTAGCCAGGATGGTCTTGATCTCCTGACCTCGTGATCCGCCCGCCTCAGCCTCCCAAAGTGCTGGGATTACAGGCGTGAGCCATGGCGCCTGGCCAGGATAAGGAAGTTAACAGGCTAAACCCTTTGAAGAGAAACTCAGAAAGATTTATTGTATCTTACACACAACTATTGATTGAGGGCCTACTGGGTGCGAGGGCTGTGTGGCTGTGGGGGGAGGCAAGGTCCCTGCTCCAGTGGTAGTGACAGGTGTAAAACAAGATAACTTCAGAACCTAAGAAGGGGGACAAAGCAGAAAACTGGGAAGTGGCTGGGTGTGTGTGGGGCAGCCTGGGACGGGGTAAACAGCAAATCTTTGCCATCCCTTCCTGTCTAGATATCATTGGGGATGCTACTCAATCTCTTTGCAGCCTCAGTGGCCTAACCTGGACGGTGGAGCTGGAAAGCCCCCCACTGCCTGTTCCTCCTCTCTGGGCTGCCACTAAAGAGCCTACCCTGCTCAGGCCTGCTACCCACCCTCCATGGCTGTCATTCCATGCCAAGAAGAATATTCTCCCAAAAGGAAGCCACTGGCTGCAAAGGGAGATGAACAAGTCAAGGTTGCCCGGCCTGCACCTAGGGCTGCGTGGCTCCTGAGGCCCGGCCTGTGTGGACACAGGAGGGAGCTTTCTTTGTTTGTGAGTTTTCCCTGGTACCTGGAACCCCTTCTCTATGGTCCCTTGACTCAGCCCATCTCACTGAGACTTGGATCCCTGGCTTCTAGATTAGAGACGTCAAGCTCTACTGCAGGACATGAGCCAGAAACAATTCTGGCCTTCTCCAAGGCCAGTGGAAGCCAGGAGTGGGGAAGGCGTCTTCACTCACAGGGCTGGCACTTCCAGAGAGTGGATGGCAGCAAGGAGGGGAAGACAGACTCTGAAGGAGCACAAGCAGGGCCCACAGGGACCCTCTCTCTGGGGTTGCAAACTGGCATTAAGTGGAGGGAGATTCAGTATTGACACCTGGGGGAATCTCATCCCCAAAGTGGATTTAAAAACGGCAGCAAACTGAAGAGAAAAGGGGTCCACAACACTCCCATCCTGTCCCCAGCCCACTTCTTACTTCCTGGTCCTGCTATCTTGGGGGGAAGGAGAATCTTAACTGCTTTTCTCTGACTTCTGGCCCTGCTTGGGCAGCTGAAAATGACAAGAAGGAAATACTGGCTTGCTTGGAGGCCTCTTTGGTTTTGCTGGGAAGGTGAAAACTTTGGCAGAGGGGAGGGATAGGTGGGAACGCCAGGAGGAAGGGACGGTGCTCTGATGGTGGAGCGCTCCCTATTCTGTTATTTCTTGTGTTCTCAAATGACATATGTCCCATGGGATAGGTGATTTCTTTTCCATTGTTCACACTGAGATGTTCTCAGCCTGGAATCCCATGGCCACAATGAGCTGGGTTGTTTAGGGTTCGGGTGGTCCAGGAGTGGCTCTTGGTGTGGTGTGAGTGACATCTTCCTGCCACTGTTCACCCACGGGTCCCAAATGAGCTTGTCCAGTGGGAATTGCTCCATGGGGTCCAGTATTATAAGTTTTTATTCTTTTTTTTTTTTTTTGAGATGGAGTCTTGCTCTGTTGCCCAGGCTGGAGTGCAGTAGCGCGATATCGGCTCACTGCAAGCTCTGCCTCCCAGGTTCACGCCATTCTCCTGCCTCAGCCTCCTGAGTAGCTGGGACTACAGGTGCCCGCCACCATGCCTGGCTAATATTTTGTATTTTTAGTAGAGACGGGGTTTCACCGTGTTAGCCAGGATGGTCTCGATCTCTTGACCTCGTGATCCACCCGTCTCGGCCTCCCAAAGTGCTGGGATTACAGGCATGAGCCACTGCTCCCGGCCAAGATTTCATTTTTTTAATTTGAAATGAAAAAAATGGTAGCAAGTAGCTCTTTTCTGTTCTATCTTGTTCTTGAGGTCCATAGAGTTAAAGCGCAGGGACCTGGCCATTGTGGAATAGAGAATCATGCTGAGGTGTTGTTTATCCCATGGTGGGTCACTGGCACCCTGGAACCAGGAAGAGTTCTGTGGCCACATAGGGGTACATGCCACAAAAAGGGTTTCCGAATCTCCTTTCCCCGAATGTCATGCTAAAGCCAAAGTCCACGATTTTTATATTGCGCTCTTCAGGGAGTAGGATGATTTGTAAGCTTACGTCTGCATGTGCGACGTTTTTATAGAGGCAGTACTACATTGCTAACAGAATTTGCCCAAACATGGTCTGGGCCTCCTCCTCTTCCTTGATGTGCCCTTGGTGGCATATCTGGTGCGGCAGCTCTCCTCTGGCTTACAACATCACCAGGCAGATGGTTTCTGCCTTGTCAAACACCTGATAAACCTGATTTATATTTGGGTGGTTAAGAGTCTTCCTGATACTCATCTCTGTCTCTGGAGAGCAAGGCCAGTCTTCATAGAGATGATTTGGAGGACAACCTGGGTCTCAGTTAACCTAAGCTGGGCCAGTTCCCTGGGGAATGGTGTCTATGATCTGCTAATTTAGTATTTCCTTGTGAAGTGAGGTGGAGACCGATCCCTGCTTTATGGTACCTCCTCACTACACTGCTCCAAAGGGAGATGAACAAGCCAAGGTTGCCCGGCCTGCACCTAGGGCTGCACAGCTCCTGAGGCCTGGCCTGGGTTGACGCTGGTGGGGGCTCTCTCTGTTCCTAGGTTTTGTTCTGGTGCCTGAGGCCCTTTCCCTATGGTCTCTTAACCCAGCCCAGCAGGCTGAGGCTGGAGCCCCGGATTCAAGAGAAGAGATGCCAAGCTCTACCACAGGTCATGGGTCAGAAACAATTCTGGCCTTGTCTGGTGCCAGTGGATGCCAGCTCTGAGGGAGGCACCTCCTCTCAAAGGGCTGGCACTTCCAGAGGGGCCCTTTGAGAGCTCAGTGGGGCTGACAGGGACCCTCTCCCTGTGGTTTAAACTGCCATTGGGTGGAGGGAGATTCAGTACTGACACCGAGTGGACCCTCACGCACGGAGTGGATTTTAAGGACACCAGCACCCTGCATAGACAAGAAGGTCCACAACACTTTTACCCTCTCCCCAGCCTGCTTCCTGCTTCCTGGTTCTTCTGTCTCGGGGGAAAGGGGAATCTTATCTGACTTTCTCTGACTTTTGGCCCTGCTTGGGCAGCTGAAAATGACAAGTAAAAAATACTGGCTTGCTTTGAGCCTTCTTTGGTTTTGCGGGGATGGTGGAAACTTTGGCAGATGGGGAGGGACAGGTGGGGACCCCAGGAGGAAGGGATGCTGTTCTGATGGTGGAGCGCTTCCTATTCTGTTATTTCTTCCCTTCTCAAAGGAGGTATGTGACATGAAATAGTTGAATACTTTTCCAGTGTTGACACTGAGAGGTTCTCAGCTTGGAATCCCATGGCACCATGAGCTGGGTTGTTTGGGGTTCGGGTGATCCAGGAGTGGCTCTTCATACACTGGTAGTGGGATCTTCTGGACACTTTTCACTTAGAAACTTTCCATCACTTGTTCCAGTGAAGGACGCTCCCTGGAGACCAGTATTAGTAACATTTTAATAAGTCTTTTCGTTCATAGATTAAAAAAATTGTGGTAAGTGGTATTCTGCACTGATAACTTTGTCTTAGGTCTGTAGGGTTCCCTGAGTAGAAGGGCAGGGACCTGACCATCGTGGAATAGAGAATAGTGCTGAGGCAGGACACGTCCATGACAAGTCAGTGGTACCCCGGGCCCAGGAAGACTTCTGTGACCATGTAGGGGTACGGGCTACAAAAGGTTTTTGGCATCTACTCTCCCCAGAATATTGCCCTAAATGAAAAGCCCATGATTTTTATATTGCTTTCCTCTATGACTAGATGGATTTGTGGCTTTAGCTCTGGATGTGTGATGTTTTTAAGTGGTAGTACCGCAGGCCTGACAGAATCTGCCTGAAGTTTATCAGGGCCTCCTGATGTGGCTGCCTGATGTGGCCATGGTGGCATATCTGGTGGTGCTGTTCTGTTTCTTGCTTCTCTAAGTTGTGGATTTTGTGTTGTAACTTTGTCAATTACCTGGTACGCGTTTATAATATTTGGGTGGTTGACAGTCTTCATGATACTCATCTCTCTCTCTGGAGAGCAAGGCCAGTCTTCATAGAGATGATTTGGAGGACAACCTGGGTCCCAGTTAACCTATGCTGTGCCAGTTCCCTGGGGAATGGTGTCTATGATCTGTTAATTTAGTATTTCCTTGTGAAGTGAGGGGGAGACCGATCCCTGCTTTCTGGTACCTCCTCACTACGCCGCCGCAAAGTGAAATCAACAAGCCACGGTTGCCCAGCCTCCACCTAGGGCTGCACAGCTCCTGATGTCCAGCCTGGGTTGATGCTGGTGGGGGCTCTCTCTGCTCCTGGGTTTTGTTCTGGTGCCTGAGGCCCTTTCCCCCATGGTCTCTTAACCCAGCCCCACTGGCTGAGCCTGGAGCCCCAAATTCTACAGAAGAGATGGCGAGCTCTACCACTGGTCACGGGCCAGAAACAATTCTGGCCCTGTCCAGTGCCAGTGGATGCCAGGTCTGAGGAAGGCACCTCTTCTCAGAGGGCTGGCACTTCTAGAGGTGGTGGATGGCTGCAAGGTGGGGAAGACAGACTCTGAGGGGCCCTTTGAGAGCTCAAGTGGGGTCCGCAGGGATCCTCTCTCTGAAGTTTAAACTGCCATTGGGCGGAAGGAGATTCAGTATTGACACCTGGTGGACCCTCACCCCCAAAGTGGATTTTAAGGACAGCAGCACACTGCGTAGACAAAGGGGCCCACAACACTTTTGTTCTGTCTCAGCCTGCTTCCTGCTTCCTGGTTCTTCTGTCCTGGGGGAAAGGGGAATTTTATCCGACTTCCTCTATTCTCTGACTTTTGGCCCTGCCTGGGCAGCTGAAAACGACAAGTAAACAATACTGGCTTGCTCTGAGCCTTCTTTGGTTTTGCGGGAAGGTAGAAACTTTGGCAGATGGGGAGGGATAGGTGGGGACCTCAGGAGGAAGGGACGCTGCTCTGATGGTGGAGCGCTTCCTATTCTGTTATTTCTTCCCTTCTCAAAGGAGGTATGTGACATGAAATAGTTGAATACTTTTCCAGTGTTGACACTGAGATGTTCTCAGCTTGGAATCCCGTGGCACCATGAGCTGGGTTGTTTGGGGTTCAGGTGATCCAGGAGTGGCTCTTCGTACATTGGTAGTGGGATCTTCTGGACACTTTTCACTTAGAAACTTTCCATCACTTGTTCCAGTGAAGGACACTCCCTGGGGTTCTGAGTTAGTCACTTTTTAGTAAGTCTTTTCATTCATAGGGAAAAATAAATTGTGGTGAATGGTATTGTGCACTGATAATTTTTTCTTGAGGTCTGTAGGGTTCCCTGAGTAGAAGGGCAGTGACCCGACCATCGTGGAATAGAGAATAGTGCTGAGGCAGGACACGTCCATGGCAAGTCAGTGGTACCCTGGGCCCAGGAAGACTTCCGTGACCATGTAGGGGTACAGGCCATGAAACGTTTTCAGCATCTACTTCTCCCTGAATATTGTCCTAAAGGCAAAAATCCGTTATTTTTATATTGCCTTCCTCTATGACTAGATGGGTTTGTGGCTTTAGCTCTGGATGTGTGATGTTCTTTAAGCGGCAGTACTGCAGGCCTGACAGAATCTGCCTGAAGTTGATCGGGGCCTCCCCTGCTGCCTGATGTGGCCGTGGTGGCATATCTGGTGGTTCAGCTGTTGTTGTTGTCGTGTATCATCATATAAGTTGTTTCTGGCTGGTCAATTACCTGGTAGAGCTGAATTATATTTGGGCGGTTGGGTGTCTTCATGATACTCATCTTTCTGCAGAGCAAGGCCAGTCGTCTTAGAGATGATTTGGAGGACAACCTGGGTCCCAGTTGACCTATGACTGGCCAGTTCCTTGGCAAATTGTGTCTATGATCCAATAATTTTGTATTTCTTTGTGAGTTGAGGTGGAGACCAATCCCTGCTTTATGGTACCTCCTCACTATGCTGCTGCAAAGGGAGATGAACAAGCCAAGGTTGCCCGGTTTGCATTTAGGGCCGCACAGTTTCTGGGACCAGGCCTGTGTTGACACTGTAGGGGGCTTTCTGTCTTCGTGGGTTTTGTTTGATGCCTCTTGCCCCTTCCTTATGGTCTTTTTACCCACCCCAGCTGGCTGATCCTGGAGTCCTGGCTTTTAGAAAAGAGATGTCAAGCTCTACCGCAGGTCATCGCCCAGAATCAGTTCTAGCCTTTTTTGGTGCCAGTGGATGCCAGGCCTGAGGAAGGCACCTCCTCTCAGAGGGCTGGCACTTCTAGAGGGGGTGGATGGCAGCAAGGTGGGGAAGACAGACCCTGAAGGGTCTTCAGGATCTCAAGTGGGGCCCACAGGGACCCCTTCTTTGGAGTTGCAAACTGGCATTGGGTGAAGAGAGATTCAGTATTGACACCTGGTGGACCCTCACCCCCAAAGTTGATTTTAAGGACAGCTGCACACTGGGTAAACAATGGGGCCCACAATTCTTTTGCTCTCTCTCCAGACCTCTTCTTCCTGACTGGTCATGCTCTTTTGTGGGGAAGGAGAGTCTTACCTGACTTTTGGCCCTGCTTGGGTAGCTGAAAATGACAAGTAGGAAATTCTGGCTTGCTTTGAGCCCCCATTGGTTTTGCTGGGAAGGGGGATATTTCTGCAGATGGGGATGGATAGGTGGAAACCCCAGGAGGAAGGGGCGGTGCTTGATGGTGGAGCACCTCCTCTTCTCTTATTTTTTGTGTTCTCAAATGAGGTATTTGCCATGGGATAGTTAATTTCTTTTCCACTGTTGACACTGAGATGTTCTCGGTCTGGAATCCCATGGCACCATAAGCTGGATTGTTTGGGGTTCAGATGGTCCAGAAGTGGCTTTTCATACATTGGTAGTGACATCTTCTGGACACTTTTCACTTAGGGATCTTTCATCACTTTTTTCAGTGAAGGACACTCCCTGGGGTCCAGTGTTAGTCACTTTTCAGTAAGTCTTTCCATTCGTAGGGAACAAAATTGTGGTGAATGATATTCTGCACTAATAATTTTTTCTTGAGGTCTGATAATTCTTTCTTGAGTTGAAAGGCAGGGACCCGGACATCGTGGAATAGAGAATACTGCTGAGGCAGTATATGTCTATGGCAAGTCAACGGTACCCCAGTCCCAGGAAGATTTCTGTGACCATGTAGGGGTATACCCCACAAAAGGTTTTCAGCAATCCGCTGCTCCCTGAATATTGTGCTAAAGCCAAAGTCTATGATTTTTATTTTGCCTTCCTCATTGAGTAGGATGTTTTGTAGCTTTAGGTCTGGATGTGTGATATTCTTTAAGTGGCAGTACTGCAGGGCTGACAGAATCTGCCTTAACATGATCCAGGCCTCCTCCCCATCCTTGATGTCGTGGTGGTGGTGTATCAGGTGATGCAGCTCTCCTCCTCTGGCATACTCCATTACCACCTAAATGGTTTCTGCCTTGTCAATCACCTGGTAGAGTTGAATGATATTTGGGTGATGGAGAATTTTTATGAGCTCATCTCTGTCTGGAGAGCAAGGTCAGCCTTTTAAGAGATGATTTGGAGGACGACCTGGGTCTCAGCCTATGCTGGGCCAGATCTCTGGCGGGATGGTGCCTATGATCTTATGGTTTTGTATTTCTTTATCAAGTGAGGTGGAGGCTGATTCCTGCTCCATGGTACCTCCTAACTACGCTGTTTACAAGTCCTAACTCTGCAAACTAGGCTAAGATGCACAGCACCACTGTTGCTAACTAGGCTAAGGTCACTAACTGTTGCTGACAATACCTCAGCTGCCAACAGACTGGATCCCTGACCTATTGCCCACTTCACAGGGAAGAAGCAGAAATGTGGACACATGGACAGACTCGTGGTGTCTCCTGGTGGGACAAGCCTGGGCACCATGGCTGCAGGCACAGACAAGGCAGAGACTGGGGCAGGGCCAGGTGCTGGGGGCGGGTCTGAAACAGAACTCCCATGGGCAAAGGCCCTGCCCAGCTTGGTCTCCCTAGGCACAGCCTGACCCCTATGGGCTGCTGTGGCCACATTTCTCCAGGCAATGCTGTCCCCACACTGTTGGGCACCGTCAGCAGGTTCTGCAGCTCCCGTAGGCACTCAGCACCTCCAGATACCTATCAGGAGGTCCTCTCTGCTGTGTCCCCAGTGGCCTCGAAGCACTGGGCCCAGTACAGGTTCACTCCCCTGAGCCTCCCAACCTTCCCATGGGTCCTTTGGAGCCCTGGGTTTTGGAGTTTGTCCTTCCTAAGTACTGCCTACACAGACGTGGCTGCCCCAAGACCACAGCTGACTGAGTGTGGCTGGGTCCCCTGGGGGCCACCCATCAAGGGCACATGCTACAGGCACCCCAAGGCAGAGTGGCCTGGCCTGCCCGGGGCTGACCCTTAGGGTGAGGAGAGGACACTAACTGGGCAAGAGAGACTAGTCTATCAGTGCAAAAAACTCCCAATAGGGATAGGAACTAGGAAGGAAATACCAAGAAAAGTGATGATGGAAGATGGGGGTAACCATACTGCAGATGGGGTACTCAGGGAGGGCATTTTAACATGCTTCCCAATGGACAGAAATCATTTTTTAAAAATCCTGCACATAGCTCAGGCTCACCAGACAGACTAACTCCTAGTACTTGGAAATGAATTAAAATCTGGCAGTGAGTTAAAAAAAAAAAAAAAAAAAAAAAAAAAAAACAAACCTTTTTGGCTGGGCATAGGAGCTCACACTTGCAAATCCTGCACTTTGGGAAGCCAAGGCAGGAGGATCGCTTGAGCCCAGGAGTTCCAGACCAGCCTGGTCAATATGACAAGACCCTATCGCTACAAAATATATATTTACAATAAGAATTTACCAGACATGAAATTCAGACCATATCCATTCTAGACCCCAGAATATCACTATGACCAGTAAAAACGATCTATGGCCTGGCACTCAGCAGGTGCAGGTCAATGTGGACAGATTCTTTCCCCCCGTCAGCAGGATAGGAACATCTTCCCTCTCCAAAAGGCATCTGCTGAGGAGCCGCGGTTCTCTGGAATTATGCTGGGCACCCAGATGTGTGCACCTAAGGCCATAGGACAGTCAACATGGAGTGCACTCGAAGGCACTTAACTTTTTTTCAAGAAACACTCTTAGGAGTTTACGTTAACCCACTTCCCACCTCATAGCACATAAGGAGAGTCAGACATTTTGACCTCAGTAAGACGTGACAAATGACAATAGCTGGACCCCACAGCAACCAGTTACTTTTGTAGAGAGGAAAATTATGCTCATTGGCTTCAGGTGAAGACCCCTAGATCCAGGCCAGTGGATTTACAAGTGAGAGTCAGCAGCACTGGGCATTTTGGGCAATGGCTCTGAACGAGCCCTTTACCATGCGGGTAGGTAAACCCCAGAACATACAGGTGCCCCTTACGATGCGCAGGTGGGGAGGGTACGTGGCCGAGAGAGCATGAGCTTATGAAACAGACTGGGCTTGAATTTCACTGAGCTTTTGTCTGTGGACCCATGGGAATGTGGCATAGCCTCGCTGAGCCTTAGTTTCCTCCTGCATGGAATAGGGATAGCAACAGTACCTGCCTCATTCAGTTGGCGTGAGGATCTAGAACAGCGCCCACATGGACTGTCCCAGTCAAAATGGACTGACCTGCACCTAGAGGAAGCGGCAGCTCTGGAGCCCTTTGAATTGAAAGTGCAGCGCAACCCTGCTTGCCACTGGCAGCCTCTGCTTGGCTGTATGGTATCCTCCCTCCTAAAAAGACCTGGGGAGATGAGCGAGACCCTGGCCCCTGGCTGCTTTGAAGATGACCACAATGTGACTTCATCTTTTCATCCTGCAGGGCCAGGCTTCTGGTCAGAGGCTGCTCTGCAGGCATCTGTGATTCAGGTGTTGCACAGCTGGACAAAGCTGTGAGGATTGAGTGGGAAGATGCCTGTAAAGTCTGACCCAGGAGCAGCATCTCAGATTCTGGCTATCACTCTTATTAGCTGTTCTCTATGGGAAGCACTTGACTAGTAGCCTGGCACATCATAGGCACTCCATAAATAGCGGCTTTTATTATCGGTGTAATCACTGGCCATGATTCTGCACACAATGCTGCTTTTCTTAGCATCTGCCAACTAGAGTGGAAAAGATGGTCAAGGTCTCTGATTCTGACAGCAATGTGGGCACTTCCCACGTACCTTCATGGCGGGATTCATGGACTTGATTCATTGTGTCCTTTCCTGGCCTAGTCTATGAAAGCTAGAGAGATGGCTGAAAACATCTGACTCCTTTCCGCACGTAAGGAAATGCCTAGGTATGTTCCTGAGCTGTGTTTCCATCTAGAACCTGAGATGGAGGAAAGAATGGCTTCCAACCCCCTCTCCCCTACTCCTTCCCTCTTTATCTCCTCACAGTCAATTAACGAGCTGCTCATTTTGTCCATACTCCTGGGCTGATATTGAAGGAGTGGCAAGGAGGGATGTGATGCCAGCCTTGGGTTAGGTCAAGACTTGTAGGCATGAAGAGAGAGGAGACTGGACCAGACCAGGACTAAGAAGCCTGGCTGAGAACCAGCTGTGCCACGTAAGGGGCTCTGGGACCTCAGGCCAGCCACTTTCCTTGGAGCCCCAGTCCTCCCAGTTCTGAAATGGGGGTGGTGAGAATGCCTGCTGCAGTCATGAGGCTTAACTGAGATGTTGTAAAGGGGAATTCAAATCAGGGATGGTTGTGCAGATACTAGCCATTACTAAACAAGGGAAGTGATCGTTGTGTAACAATGATCTAGATTATATTTTTAGATGTCCTCAGTGTAGGTAAGTGGAGATGGAGGAGGCTGTAAGAGTCAGAGGAGGGAAGAGGCATCTCCATGGAGGGAGCTTCCCTCTCCTGCCTCAGCCAGAAATGCCAGCAGGGAGGAAGACGACAAATCCCTAGAATAGGTGTTGCTTGCTTTGGGCACAGAATGAAATTTAAAGTCTTCCCTCTAGATTGTCACCTCCTTACACCCAGGAACTAAACACGTACCTCATCTTAGCATCACCCACACTACCTAGCACAGTGCCTTCGATGGGTCCTTTGCTCAGCAAATGTTTGAATGGCAGAGTCAGGACTGAAAGCCGGTGCTCCTTCCCCAAACCGCACAACTCCTTGCCACGCTGACTGCCCCGAGAGTGGGGCGGGCACTCAGGCATATCACAGCTGAGCATATGATGGATGGCTAACACTTGGACTTGCTGGGAGGCACAATTTGAGTGGAGTTTTAGAAATAGACTCATTCACCCTCTGAGACTCACTCACCCTCACTCACCCTCTGAGCTATACTTTATCTTGCTGTTGCTTTCCAAACATGAAGTCACCACCACCTGGAGAAGCCCTCCTAGGGCTCGCTGTCCTACTTGGCAGCCCTGACAAACCAGTTCTTGCACAAGATTATATAAATTTTGAAAGGAAACCAAAAATTCCAAGACTGTATCTCATGCTTTATCCCTCCTCTCTGGGCAGGATGGCCAGAGGCAGAGGCGACAGATGTTGCCTTTGTCTTGAGACTGCCTTTCCTAACTTTTGACAGTCCTGACCTGCTGTGTCAGCAGGATGGCCTTGGTGCAGCCAGCAAGACTTTGCTGCTGAATCTTTTTTTTTTTTTTTTTTTTTTTGAAATGGAGTCTCGCTCTTGTTGCCCAGGCTGGAGTGCAATGGTGCAATCTCGGCTCACTAACCTCAGCCTCCCGGCTTCAAGCGATTCTCCTGCCTCAGCCTCCCGAGTAGCTGGGATTACAGGCGTGCGCCACCATGCCCGGCTAATTTTGTATTTTTAGTAGAGATGAGGTTTCTCCATGTTGGTCAGGCTGTTCTCGAACTCCCGACCTCAGGTGATCCACCCGTCCTTGGCCTCCCAAAGGGCTGGGATTACAGGTGTGAGCCACTGCACCTGGCCTTGCTGCTGAATCTTAAGGTCCTGGCAGAGGAAGCCCCAGGCCACCCCTTTGGCTCCTCTTGGCTGGCCACAGTCAGGGAGCAGCAAACTGCATTTATTTTTGAGGTCAGGATGGCAATCTTGGAAGAAAACCTTTTAATAAGCAGAGCTAGTTTGGGGCAATTGAGGGAGATGAGTTCCTGGTGGATGTAGTGCGTGGGTTTGTAATGGGGCAGACAAGGATGACGAGGACACAGTCCAGGAGAAGCTGTTTGTGCCCCTCGTCCTGCTGCCACTTCCACCCACCTCATTCCCTTCTTCCTCTTGCTTTCTGGTCTTTTTCCTCAGATCTGAATTCCACTAAATTTCTGAATTCCACTAACATTTCTTGAATAGCTGCTCTGTGTCAGGCATGGATGATGGGCATTTCCCCAGTAAGTCTTGCAGTCAGGAGTTTCGAGGGTATCATCAGCTTAGAAGAAGTGGGCTCTAGCCTGAAGCTGAGTTGTGTGGGGGAAAACACAGACTGACAGAGCCTAGCAGAAGGGAAACCTGGAAATTTCCCTAAAAATCTTTCAAAGGTACACATGCTTTGACCCAGCAATTTCATTTCTAGGAATTTATGCCAAGGCGCCAAGTTGGGACAGATGCAAGGACTTAGCTAGAAAGATGCCTGCTATTTACAATACAAAAAAGCTGGCTGGGCACGGTGGCCCATGCCTGTAATCCCAGCACTTTGGGAGGCTGAGGCAGGCAGATCATCTGTGGTCAGGAGTTTGAGACCAGCCTGGATAACATGATGAAACCCCATTTCTACTAAAAATACAAAAAATTAGCCAGGCATAGTGGCACGTGCCTGTAATCCCAGCTACTTGGGAGGCTGAGGCAAGAGAATCACTTGACCCTGGGAGGCGGAGGTTGCAGTGAGCCGAGATCACACCATTGTGCTCTAGCTTGGGCAACAAGAGCAAAACTCTGTCTCAAAAAAAAAAAAAAAAAAAAAAAAAAAGCCATAAGCAGCAAACATGTCCAGTAGAACTGGTCAAAGAAGCTGTGGACCATCCACAAGACAGGATAAAATCCAATGGTAAATACAATGCAGGAGGGCCCGGGCAGGAGGGAGGTGTGCTGGCTGTAAAAGGGTAGTGCAACACCCTTATGCCCTTTGCCCAGTTTCCCCCAATGGTAACAGTGTGCAAAGCTCTAGGGTGATCTTTCCTTCTATGTCAACATGTGTAATCTCCCCTGACAGTCATGACTAGATGACTGTGTATATTATGTTGTATATTATGCATATATTATATATACACAAAGAAAAGCTCTAAGCAAATGTATTCCAATATGTTTAGGAGTGATTCTGTCTTGAGGATGGGATGCTGAGGGCTAAAGTTTCTCGCTAGCGCGCATCTCTGTTTTATGGCAATCTTACAGTAAGCACCATCTGTGTGGGGTGCAGAAGGCAGAGGGGAGACCACCCCACATTCGGGAGGTCAATCTCAGCCACCTGTCTGTGGTTCTGCCCTCCCCCATTCTGTGGCTCCACACTTCAGGGCCCCATTTCTGTTGTGGGCTCCTCCTAGTTCAGGGGACTCATGCAGAGTCCCATGCTCCCTTATTGGCTCACAGACCTCAGCCCACACCCCCCACCCACTCATTCTCTCTCTCCCCTGTCTCTCACACACACATCACCACCATCACACACGTGCTCATGCACACACCCTGCTGGACTCCCGGCTTTGCTTCTCTCTCCACTTGGCCTCATGCTTGGCTCTCCACAAAACACACTCTGCTGACGACACTGCATACCCTTCCCATCCCTACAGAAAGGGGACAAGGAAGAAACTGAGGCTCAGGGAGGTTGAGCTGTTTGCCCCTAGTCACACAGGTTGCAAGGAGTGGAGACAGGGCTGCAGGTTCCAGGCCCAGGCTGCCTCCCACGACATCACAGCTGCCATTCTTCTCTCCTTGCTACTCTCTCCCCAAAGCACCAGCAAAGGGCCCAGCTTCCCTGGTCTTGTCAGCCTTGCCAGTGCTAAGAGTGGACAGGCACTCCCAGTTACCTGCGGCACCTCCACGGCAGAAATGGAGAAGACATGGAGGCAGAAGATCTTGGAGCCATTGTAGCCGACCACAAAGCCCTGCAGCTTCTGCCGGTGCATAGGGAAGGTGCTGGCTTTGATGTTGAGGTAGCCTCCTCCCGAGAAGCAGAGCATGCATGTCCTCACACTGGGTGTTCCAGGCCACACTGTTGGCGTTTGGTTCCTGGGGGACAGGGATGGTGGGGATCCTGTGAGAACCACTCTGGGCTTGGGCAGTGCTTGCACATTTCAGCCCAATACCCTCTTAAAGACTGAATCCCCTCTCCCTCTCCCTCTCCCTCTCCCCACGGTCTCCCTCTCCCTCTCTTTCCACAGTCTCCCTCTGATGCCGAGCCACAGCTGGACTGTACTGCTGCCATCTCGGCTCACTGCAACCTCCCTGCCTGATTCTCCTGCCTCAGCCTGCCCAGTGCCTGCGATTGCAGGCGCGCGCTGCCACGCCTGACTGGTTTTCGTATTTTTTTGGTGGAGACGGGGTTTCGCTGTGTTGGCCGGGCTGGTCTCCAGCTCCTCACCGCGAGTGATCCGCCAGCCTCGGCCTCCCGAGGTGCCGGGATTGCAGACGGAGTCTCGTTCACTCAGTGCTCAGTGGTGCCCAGGCTGGAGTGCAGTGGCGTGATCTCGGCTCGCTACAACCTCCACCTCCCAGCCACCTGCCTTGGCCTCCCAAAGTGCCGAGATTGCAGCCTCTGCCCGGCCGCCACCCCGTCTGGGAAGTGAGGAGCGTCTCTGCCTGGCCGCCCATCGTCTGGGACGTGAGGAGCCCCTCTGCCTGGCTGCCCAGTCTGGAAAGTGAGGAGCGTCTCTGCCCGGCCGCCATCCCATCTAGGAAGTGAGGAGCGCCTCTTCCCGGCTGCCATCCCATCTAGGAAGTGAGGAGCGTCTCTGCCCGGCCGCCCATCGTCTGAGATGTGGGGAGCGCCTCTGCCCCGCCGCCCCATCTGGGATGTGAGGAGCGCCTCTACCCGGCCGCGACCCCGTCTGGGAGGTGAGGAGACCCTCCGCCTGGCAACCGCCCCGTCTGAGAAGTGAGGAGCCCCTCCGCCCGGCAGCCGCCCTGTCTGAGAAGTGAGGAGCCCCTCCGCCCGGCAGCCACCCCATCTGGGAAGTGAAGAGCGTCTCCGCCCGGCAGCCACCCCGTCTGGGAGGGAGGTGGGGGGGTCAGCCCCCCGCCCGGCCAGCCGCCCCGCCCGGGAGGTGAGGGGCGCCTCTGCCCAGCCGCCCCTACTGGGAAGTGAGGAGCCCCTCTGCCCGGCCACCACCCCGTCTGGGAGGTGTACCCAACAGCTCATTGAGAACGGGCCATGATGACAATGGCGGTTTTGTGGAATAGAAAGCAGGGAAAGGTGGGGAAAAGATTGAGAAATCGGATGGTTGCCGTGTCTGTGTAGAAAGAAGTAGACATGGGAGACTTTTCATTTTGTTCTGTACTAAGAAAAATTCTCATCCTGTTGATCTGAGACCTTACCCCCAACCCTGTGCTCTCTGAAACATGTGCTGTGTCCACTCAGGGTTAAATGGATTAAGGGCGGTGCAAGATGTGCTTTGTTAAACAGATGCTTGAAGGCAGCATGCTTGTTAAGAATCATCACCACTCCCTAATCTCAAGTACCCAGGGACACAAACACTGCGGAAGGCTGCAGGGTCCTCTGCCTAGGAAAACCAGAGACCTTTGTTCACTTGTTTATCTGCTGACCTTCCCTCCACTATTGTCCTATGACCCTGCCAAATCCCCCTCTGCGAGAAACACCCAAGAATGATCAATAAAAATAAACTAAAAAAAAATAAAAATAAAAATAAATAAATAAATAAATAAATAAATAAAAAAGACTGAATCCCACTAAATTGCTTACAGTGGGATGGAGGAAAAAGGAGGAAAGGGGACCACAAAGAAATGAACAGAGGCAAGAGAAATGAACAGAGGCAAGCCTCTCCATGCACCTGCGTATTGTTGGAATTTTTCAGTAAGCAAGTATTACTTTTGAAAAATGTTCTCCTGAAATATGAATCCCTATATAGAAAGTGGAGAGTCAGCAAAGTGGGATTCCACTTCTATTACAGAAGAAATATACATCTCTCTACACAGAAGAACGTTTACAAGAATAAGCTCCAAACGATTAACAGCGTTTCTGGGTAGGTGGAATTGCATAATTAGAAAATCTTTTTTGTTTGCCTGGATTTGTTTTGTCATGAACATCTATTGTGGGGCTTTTTTTTTTTTTTTTTTGAGATGGAGTTTCACTATTGTAGCCCAGGTTAGAGTGCAGTGGCGCGATCTCGGCTCACTGAAACCTCTGCCTCCAGGGTTCAAGTGATTCTCTTGCCTCAGCCTCCTGAGTAACTGGGATCACAGGCATGCACCACCACGCCTGGCTAATTTTGTGTTTTCAGTAGAGACGGGGTTTCTCCACGTTGGTCAGGCTGGTCTCAAACTCCTGACTTCAGTTGATCCACCCGTCTCGGCCTCCCAAAGTGCTGGGATTACAGGCATGAGCCACCGCACCCAGCCCATCTATTGTGTTTTATAAGAAAAAAAAAAAGTGAGTTATTTGTAAGATTTGAAAAGAATATCTTGTATTTGCATTTACAGTTCACACATTGTGAAAATAGAGTTTTCCTGGGAGGCACCCCGGGTACCTCAGTTTTCTGCTCAGCCCTGGAGCCCTGGGGACCAGCAGATGCTCACAGCTTTCTACCTAGGATATTTTATAATGTCTGACTCTTTTATAATGAGCATGGATTGCTTTTATAATGAGAAAAAAAGCAATATAGCTGTTTTATGTGTAGGGGGAGGGCCGTGGGAAGAGGAAAAGCCAGCAGGCAATGTCACAGCTGGGAATGCTGATGTCTCCTGGCAGGGCTGAAAATCACCTCCCCTAGCCCGCTACAGAGCCAGCAGTGGGGACAGGGAGGAGCACACACCCTTCCACACTTGTATGGTTCTAGGCTCAGACAGATTCACATTTGGGGCCGCCTACCCACCCCCACCATAGGTGGAAGTTGAGGCTGGGGAGAGAAGAAGTAACATTTTGGGCCCTGTTTTGTGCCCAGCACTGAGCTAGACACTATTGTATCTTGTTTATTCCTGTAGCAATTCTGTGAGGGGCAATTACTAATTTCATTTTAGAGAAAAGAAATCAAGGTTCAGAGAGGCTCACTAACTTGCTTAAGATCACACAGTAAGGGATGCGGGCAGGACCCAAGCCCAGGTCAGCCTGAAGGCCGTGCCCTCTCCCCTGAACCATTCTACTTCCTCAGGGACTGAGTGAGTTGAGATTGACAGGGTGTCACCTCTGGGCTAGTGGTGGCCAAGTGTATTAGTCTGTTCTCACACTGCTAATAAAAACATACCTGAGACTGGGTAACTTAGAATGAATAAAGGTTTAATTGACTGAGAGTGCCACATGGCTGGGGAGGCCTCACAATCATGGTGGAAGGCAAATGAGGAGTAAAGTCACATCTTACATGGTGGCAGGCAAGAGAGTTTTTGCAGGGGAACTCCCATTTATAAAAGCATCAGAACTCGTGAGACTTATTCACCACCACGAGAACAGTATGGGGAAAATCACCCCCATGATTCAATTACCTCCACCTGGCCCCACCCTTGACACATAGGGATTATTATAATTCAAGGTGATATTTGAGTGGAGACACAGCCAAACCATATCATTCCACCCCTGGCCCCTCCGAAATCTCCTTTCCTCACATTTCAAAACCAATCATGCCTTCGCAACAGTCCCCTAAAGTCTTAACTCGTTTCAGCATTAACTCAAAAGTCCACAGTCCAAAGTCTCATCTGAGACAAGGTAAGTCCCTTCCGCCTATGGGCCTGCAAAATCAAAAGCAAGTTAGTTACTTCCTAGATAAAGTGGGGTACAGGCATTGGATAAATACACCTGTTCCAAGTGTCAGAAATTGTCCAAAATAAAAGGACAACAGGTCCCATGCAAGTCTGAAATCCGTGGGACAGCCAAATCTTAAAGCTCCAAAATGATCTCCTTTGACTCCATGTCTCATATCTAAGGTCATGCTGATGCAAGAGCTGGATTCCTACAGCCTTGGGCAGCTATGCTCACAGCTGTGTAGCCACAGCTATGCTCCTGTGGCTATGCTCCCACAGCCTTGGGCAGCTTTGCTCCAGTACAGCTCCCCCACCCCCACCCCATCCTGCCTGCTTTCACAGGCTGGCATTGAATATCTGTGGCTTTTCCAGGTGCACAGTGCAAGCTATCAGTGGATCTACCATTCTAGGGTCTGGAGGACAGTGGCCCTTTTCTCAGAGCTCTACTAGGCAGTTCCACAGTGGGAACTCTGTGTGGGGCTCTAACCCCACATTTCCCTTCTGCACTGACCTAGCAGAGGTTCTCCATGAGGGCTCTGCCCCTACAGCACAACTCTGCCTGGACATCCAGGCATTTCCATACATCCTCTGAAATCTAGGTGGAGGTTTCCAACCTCAATTCTTGACTACTGTGTAACCACAGGCTCAACACCACGTGGAAGCTGCCAAGGTTTGGTGCTTGCACCCTCTGAAGCCATAGCCCAAGCTGTACCTTGGCCCCTTTTAGCCACTGGAGCAGCTGGGATGCAGTGCACCAAGTCCCTAGGCTGCACACTGCAGGGAGGCCCTGGGCCTAGCCCACAAAACCATTTTTTCCTGCTAGGCCTCTAGGACTGTAATGGGAGGGGTTGCCTTGAAGGTCTCTGACATGTCCTGGAGACATTTTCTCCATTGTCTTGGTGATTAACATTTGCCTCCTCCTTACTTATGCAAATTTCTGCAGCCAGCTTGAATTTCTCCCCAGAAAATGGGTATTTTTTCTATTGCATCATCAGGCTGCAAATTTTCCAAATTTTTATGCTGTTGTTCCCCTTGAACACTTTGCTGCTTAAAAATTTCTTCCCCTAGATAACCTAAATCATCTCAAATTCAAAGTTCCACAGATCTCTAGGGCAGGGGCAAAATGCCAATATTCTCTTTGCATAGCAAGAGTGACGTTTACCCTGGTTCCCAATAAGTTCCTCATCTCCATCTAGACCACCTCAGCCTGGACTTTATTGTCCATATCACTATCAACATTTTCGTTAAAGCCATTCAGCAAGTCTCTAGGAAGTTCCAAACTTGCCCACATCTTCCTGTCTTCTGAGCCCTCCAAGTCTCTAGGAAGTTCCAAACTTTCCCACTTTTTTCTATCTTCTTCTGAGCCCTTCAAACTGTCCAATGGGGCAGGAGAATAGGGCCTGGAGGCAGGGAACATAAGGCTGATCCATGCTGACTTCTTAGAACTAAATCAAATGGAAGCACTTCAGCAATGACAGAAATGTGAATGGCTTTGTAACTTCACTTCATCCTCTCCATTTACACCATTTACACTTTGTAACTTAACATTCATCTTCTCCATTTCCGTAGCCCACACACTCCAAGTAACATCCTCTCCATTTACACTTTGTAACTTCACATTCATCCTCAGTATTCACACAGATCACACACGCCAAGTAACATCATCTTCATTTATATAGGATGCATTCTGAGTAAATGACTGCAACTTCACTCCATTCTCATTTACACAGAGGTACACCAAGTAACCAAAGAGAAACCTCTAGAGTATTGAAACCCCAGAAAACTCTGTAATGGGGACTCTTGAGCCCTGATGCTCAGGCCTGCTTCCAACACTGTGGAGTGTACCTTTGTTTTTAATAAATCTCTGCTTTTGCTTTCCTTGCTTTGTTTGTGCATCTTGTCCAATTCTTTGTTCAAGACGCCAAGAACCTGGACACCTTCCACCAGTAACCTCTGCCTGTTACTCAGTTCCAAAGTCGCTTCTACATTTTCAGGTATCTTTACAGCAGCCCCTCACTCCAGGTACCAATTCACTGTATTAGTCTGTTCTCATAATGCTAATAAAGACATACCCGAGACGGGATAATTTATAAAGGAAAGAGGCTATTGACTCACAGTTCCATATGGCTGTTTACAATTCATAATCATGGCGGAAGGCAAAGGAGGAGCAAAGTCAGGTCTTACACAGCAGCAGGCAAGAAGAGTGTGCGCAGAGGAACTCCCCTTTATAAAACCATCAGATGTTGTGAGACTTATTTACTACCAAGAGAACAGTATGGGGAAAACTGCCCCCATGATTGGATTATCTCCACCTGGCCCTGCCCTTGACACTTGGGGTTTATTACAATTCATAATGAGATTTAGGTGGGGACACAGCCAAACCATATCACCAGGTAACCCTTTCTAATGACTGAGGCAGCTCCCTACTCCAGGTCCCTCGCACTATCGATTTTGCTGCCGAGAACAAGGAGGAGCCTAGTAAGGGGACCGAATCTGCCTGTAACATTGGGAAACCCTGCAGTGGCCAAGATAACCAGTCAGGAGGGGCTCCAGCTTTGGGGGGAACTTCATTCCAGAAAACCAGCCCTGACCACCTACAAAGCCCTAAAGAGGCAAAGAATGGTGCAAGCCCAGCAGAAAGCCAGCCAGGCCCTGGGCATGGAGTCTTCGAGCTGTCTTCTCTGGTGACATGCTTCCTCAGGCCACAAGGCTGAATGATACGTAAACGCCCATGCCCCCAAAGATCCAAGCACTTCCCGTTCTGCTGGCTCTTCCGGCATTCCTGTGAAGTGAGCAGAAGGCCAGGTTTGCCCGTCTCTTTTCCCCTTTCAGATGACAAAACTGATGGTTTCCTTCCCGCTCTTTAGGAGCGCATAGACACAGGCAGGTCTGCAGCAGGTGAAATTTACTCAAGCTAGAGTGCAGTGGTGCCATCATAGCTCACTGAAGCCTCCAATTCCTGGCTCAAGCAATCCTCCTGCCCTTGCCTCCCAAGTAACTGGGACTGCAAAGTGAGTGCCACCAAATCCAGCTATTTTTTTTTTTTAATATATAAATGAGGTCTTGGTTTGTTTTCCAGGCTGCTCTTGAATGCCTGGCCTCAAGCAATCCTCCTGCCCTTGCCTCCCAAGTAACTGGGACTGCAAAGTGAGTGCCACCAAATCCAGCTATTTTTTTTTTAATATATAAATGAGGTCTTGGTTTGTTTTCCAGGCTGCTCTTGAATGCCTGGCCTCAAGCAATCCTCCTGCCTTGGCCTCCCAGAGTGCTGGGATTACAGGTGTGAGCCACCATATCCAGCCCAGCTCTAGACTTTTAGAGAAATTTTAATAGTATTTTACACCACAGTGATTCCTTTTTTTAAAAAAAATTTATGTCCCTAGCATGTACAGTAAACACTAAAGTGATTCCTAAAGAATTCTTCCCTTTTATCACTTCCAGTAGGCCTCTGTGAAACCAAATCTACCTCCGCTTACAAGAAAGATGCTGGGCTGGCCTTCTCTCAAAGTCTTTCCAAACTTTTCTTGGCATTGACTTAGACACCCTAGGAATCTAACTTGAGAAAATGTTTTCATTAAAAAAAATCTCAGGAAGTAAAACCTCCTGAATGATTACTGAGTTGACATAAATCTTATGTGTATATTCTTATCAGAAAAAAAGTATCTTCATTTTGTGGGACACCAATTCATGTATTATTATTATTTTGAGACAAAGTTTCGCTCTTGTTGCCCAGGCTGGAGTGCAATGGCGCGATCTCCACTTACTGCAACCTCCACCTCCTGAGTTCAAGTGATTCTCGTGCCTCAGCCTCCCTAGTAGCTGGAACTACAGGCATGTGCCACCACACCCAGCTAATTTTTTGTAACTTTAGTAGAGATGGGGTTTCACCATGTTGGCCAGGATGGACTCGAACTCCTGACCACAGGTGATCTGCCCACCTCAGCTTCCCAAAGTGCTGGGATTACAGGCATGAGCCACCGCGCCCAGTCGCTGGGTCTTACAGTAACTTTATGTTTAACATTTTGAGGAAATGCTATTCTTTTCCAAAGTGACTGCACCATTTCATATTTGCACTAGCACTGTACGGACATTCCCATTTCTCTGTCCTAGTGAGTGTGAAATGGTATCTCACTGCAGTTCCAGTTTGTATTTCCCTGATGGCTAATGATGTGGATCATTTCATGTGTTCATTGGCCACAGAGAAATGTCTATTTGGATTCTTTACCCATTTTTCAATTGGGTTATTTGTCTTTATAGGTTTGTTGTTGTTGAGACAGAGTCTTGCTCTGTCACTCAGGCTGGAGTGCAGTGGCATTATCACAGCTAACTGCAGTCTAGAACTGCTGGGCTCACGTGATCATCCCAGCTCAGCCTCTCGAGTAACTGGGACTACAGGCATGCGCCACCAGCCCCAGCTAATTATTTTATTTTTTGTAGAGACAGGGTCTTACTATGTTGCCTAGGCCGGTCTTGAACTCCTGGGCTCAAGCAAATCTCCCACCTCAGACTCCCAAAGTATTGGAATTATAGGTGTGAACCATAGTGCTCAGCCAATTTGCACAATAATCTTAAATACAAAAGCTAAGCAAAACAAATCAAGAGCATCTTTAAAAACTAGGCAGTCTGGGAGGCAGGGGCTGCCGTGAGCCGTGAGATGGCACCTTTGCATTCCAGCCTAGGTGACAGAGGGAGGCCCTGTCTAAAAAAAACCAAAAACCAAAAAACAAAACAAAACAAAAAACATCTAGGCAGTAGCTCGTGCCCGTAATCCCAGCTACTCAGGAGGCTGAGGCGAGAGAATCGTTTGAGCCCAGGAGTTCAAGACCAGCCTGGGCAACAGAGTGAGACCCCATTTCTAAAAAATGAACAAAGAAAAACTAGGCAGTTTCGCCCAGTGGTTAGAAGCGTGGAGTTTGGAGTCAAGTCTCCAAATTTCATCTTCCACATATGCAAAATGGAGACAATAATAGGGGTACGTTATAGAATTGTGGTAGGCATAGTGAACTCCATCGCATGTTAGCTGTTTTCGTTACTATTTACTGTCTAAATTCGGTGATGAAATTATTAGGAAGTCTCTGTCTTGTTCTCTTCTGACCACTAAGAGGCGCACTTCGGAGTAGAAGAAACGCGGGCGGAAATAGCCCAAAAGCGGATTGGCTTCGACTTCTGGCGGAAGTAAATTCCTCCCTCCACCAGGTCTTATTAGCTCAGAAAGAATTCCAAATTTCTACGTAGTCCCAAGGATAGGTAGAATACATTTCTCAGTCCTATTCCTAGTTATTATTGTCTATTAAAACATGTATACTCAGAATTTTTGCGGCATTATTTTTTGACGTGTCTTTATTTTATTTAAAAGAGCCGGAGCCGGAAGTGCTTGCCTTTTTCCCTGCTAGGACCCAGGGGTTACGACCCATCAGCCCTTGCGCGCCACCGTCCCTTCTCTCTTCCTCGGCGCTGCCTACGGAGGTGGCAGCCATCTCCTTCTCGGTAAGTGTTAATCCGTGGCAATCCGCATTCCTGCGGGATTCATCTGGCCCCGTCGCCCAGTGGTGCGGAGGCCTCCCCTTCAGCGCGGTAGTGTCTGTGGGTATTGTTATTGTCAGCTTACTGGAGCGTGTACAGGAACAGAACGAAGCCGCCGAGTTGATAGGGCTTTGCGTCCCAGAGCCTCCTGCCCTCCGCCTGTATTCAGAGCTGCGGGCTGCTTGTTTGTTCCTTGGCGGTGGAGGGTGCTAGTTGAGGCCAGACTTCGGGGTCTCCTGGGGGCCGTGGGACGACCAGGGGTGGCCCAGCTTGACAGCTTTCAGCTGGGATCTGTGGATCCCAGCGCTCACCAATGTCGGCCCACGTGTATTCGTTCATGCCATGGCCGGCTTCTTCCGCTGCAGTCTCTGGCCCGAGGGCTGCTGCTGCGGGACCGCCAAGGAAAGACGAGCTGTAGGTCGGCTGGTCCAGCTGCAGGCAGAAATTCTGGTAGTATCTCTGGGAATATGAAGATGCAACTGCCCCCACCTTGCCTTCGAGGATATCATGGGCCAGAAGGCAGAGTCGTTTTGAATACGTGGTTCATTGAGTACCCACTCTGGGCCAGTTGATGGCTGCGAAGAGAGCAGAAGGGGTGCTGCTGTAGGAAATCAATGGCTCGGAAGACCACACTGAGGAAGGTGTGAGTTGATACTGGAAGATCTCCAGGTTTGAGGCATCTTCAGAGGTATATGGTGGTTTTGTGTGTGTTGAGGGTGTGGTAGCGCAGCAGCTCCCTAGGGAATTAGAAGGTTTTATTGAACATTTACCCTGTGACAGGCACTGCAGGCATTCAGCGCGCAGTGTCATCTTCATTTTACAGGTGAGGAAAAGACTCAGGTTCAAGTAGATGGTCAAGGCCAGTACTACCGGAAGGACCATCTGGGGGTTCGGACACTGGTGGGGTGGGATTTGCTGCCCCTTGCAAATTGAGAGTGTCTTGGGGTCAGTTTTGATTTGCTCAGCTGTTGGCATTCTTTGGGCTCTGAGTGGGTGAGGTGACCCTTGACCTCCTGGGATCGCATCTGGAGAGTGCCTAGTATTCTGCCAGCTTCGGAAAGGGAGGGAAAGCAAGCCTGGCAGAGGCACCCATTCCATTCCCAGCTTGCTCCGTAGCTGGCGATTGGAAGACACTCTGCGACAGTGTTCAGTCCCTGGGCAGGAAAGCCTCCTTCCAGGATTCTTCCTCACCTGGGGCCGCTTCTTCCCCAAAAGGCATCATGGCCGCCCTCAGACCCCTTGTGAAGCCCAAGATCGTCAAAAAGAGAACCAAGAAGTTCATCCGGCACCAGTCAGACCGATATGTCAAAATTAAGGTATGTGGTCCTGGGATGGAAATGGGTGTGGGGTGAAGAAAAGAGTTTCCAACAGTTTCTGACATCACCTAGTCAGGATTATCTTTGACCGATGAACTGGCTTGTGGAAGAGCTTTCTGTAGAAATACAGGTCTCCCCCAGTGTGCCCTAGTGCTGGTACTTATGTCTCTTGATGTGTGAAGCGAAACTTTAATGAAAAGGGACATTTGGCCGTTTTGATGTGTTCAGAGGGCTTTGCATTTGTGTCCTGTATTTTGGGTTGCCTTGTGACAGCAGGATCCCTATTTTATAGACAAGAAAACTCAGGTGCTGAGAGCAGTGTCTGCAGCTGTGCTTGCCATCTCAGTATCTACACAGTCCCCTCGCATCCCATTGGTGCCTCCTCCATTGCTTGGGAGTGGCAATGGTGGGGGTGCCTTCATCCCTAGTGGCTAAAGCCACGAGCTCCTGGTTTTTCCCACCAAAAAAGTAAGGAAATAGTGAAGTCCTGTTACCAAAGGCAACTACTGTGTGGCATACTTCCTTTTCATTTGGTCCTTTTTTTCCCTCCCCAAAAGGAAGAGTTCGCACTCTGCACAGACGCTAACCCACCTGTGTATTATTTCCTTCAGCGTAACTGGCGGAAACCCAGAGGCATTGACAACAGGGTTCGTAGAAGATTCAAGGGCCAGATCTTGATGCCCAACATTGGTTATGGAAGCAACAAAAAAACAAAGCACATGCTGCCCAGTGGCTTCCGGAAGTTCCTGGTCCACAACGTCAAGGAGCTGGAAGTGCTGCTGATGTGCAACAAGTGAGTTGGGTCCCACCTCTAGTTTTCAGTGATCAGAAGTTTGCATCTGTGTGAGCACTTCTGGCAGGAACTCTACAAACTCTTGGGATGCATTTTGGCGGGGGGTGTTGTACATTCTCTGAGGGAATCAGAAGTTGTTCCTTGCAGGATTTTAGAGAATGCTTGTTGGGGAATTCAAGGTGTTTCCTTTGCTGAAGGAGGTGACTTGGTCTTCTAAGTGTAGAGACCCAAGACCAGGAAAAGACTGCTTTGTGAACACTGCAATAATAGCCACTTTCCACTACTACAATATCCTTTGGCTGTTGTTTCCAAAATGTTGCTTTCTTTATGAAGGTGTCAAGCAAAAGAGTTGAACTCTGAAATATTCGAAGAGATTTATTCTGAGCCAAATATGAGTTGACCATGGCCCGTGACACAGCCCTTGGGAGACCCTAAGAATATGTGTCCAAGGTGGGCGGGGAGCAGCTTGGTTTTACATATTTTAGGGAGACATGAGACATCAATCAAATACACATAAGGCATACATTGGTTTGGTCCAGAAAGGCGGCACTTCGAGGTTTTGGATAGATTTTCTGTTTCTCGTCGAGAATTGGTTATCACTAGAAAGGAATGTCTTGGCTACAGTAAGAGGTTGTGGAAACCAAGAGTGCCCTATTCAAGGAGGGAGTGCATTCAGATGGTTGCTGGGGGCCTTTGAATTTTATTTTTGGCTTACAAGCGGGAGAAGGTCAAACATGGACCTCAGACCTTAAGGGGCTCTTAAGTCTGTGCTGTGGTAAGGGGTATCTTCAGGGGCAGGAGGGCTCTGGAAAGTTTGCATTAGATGGAGAACAGGAGGAAACTTGGCAGGCAGAGAGTGCTTACACAAAGGTGTAGAGGTGAAAGCACATGGAGGGTTTGCAGGGCATTGGTTCCAGGTGGGTTTTATTGGTTTTTGTTTTTTAAGATGAAGTCTTGCTCTCTTGCCGGGGCTGGAGTGCAGTGGCATGACTTCGGCTCACTGCAACCTCCACCGCCCAGTTTCAGGCGTTTCTTCTGCCTCACCCTCCCAAGAGCTGGGATTACAGGCGTGCACCACCATTCCTGGCTAATTTTTGTATTTTTAGTACAGATGAGGTTTCACCATGTTGGCCAGGCTGGTTTTGAACTCATGACCTTAAGCGGTCTGCCTGCCTTAGCCTCCCAAAATGCTGGGATTACAGGCATGAGCTACTATGCCTGGCCTGGTTTGATTTTAGAGATAGACAGGCTCTGTGTTGCCCTGGCTACAGTGCAGTGGCTGTTCACAGCTGTGATCATGGCACACCGCAGCCCCAAACTCAAGGTGGGCTCAAGCTGTCTTCCTATCTCAGCCTTCCTGGTAGCTAGGACCACAGGCACACTCCACCACACCCAGCTAGTTCTAGGTGTTTTGAGTAAGTTAGACACTTGGTGAGCTTTGTGTATAAAAGACTCAGTGACCTGCTTAGATTAAAACTAGGGCAGTGGAATGAAAAATTCTCATGGGAAGTGACAGTTTATTTTCTTCACTTACTGGTAAATGAAAGCCAAAAAGCTGAATTTTCCTAAGTAAACTAGAAAGAACATGGAGTGTGTGTGACTAACTAGGATGTTTGTGTTTACGTTTACAAAGATAACTTTCACCTACAGTGGTTGTAGATACAAGTAATAAAAATGAACAAGACCAGTATTCTAACGTGGTTACCTTCCAAGATTGGAAATTTAACCAGGCGTTGAAATGCTGAAAATTTCTGTTAGAAAAGATGGGCGAAGGAATTAATGGTGGATACTGAAACCACAGTTGGCTGTATGAGTTGAACTGTAACAGGCAATACCTGTTGTATGGCCAACATGATTACTCAGTTGCAGTGCACATGTTGGCTGGTTGGCATATGCTCTGTAAGCGCAGCTTGGCAGTCTTTAAGATCCATAGAAATACTCTTTGACGTTTGATCTCTAAGTTCCATTTCTGGGCATTTGTCCTTAAGGAATGGAAAAGCAGGCAAACTAAAGCTAGTCATTGCAGCAATAACCCACTGGAAACAACTGAAAATATAATGAGAGAATTGTAGAGTGCTGGATAAAATGTTGTGGGTCCACTCAAAATGATTCGAGTGTTGTAGTGTGGAAAATGCCCAAGCCAGGGGGGACACATTTAAAATGGTGGGTACACTCTGATTGTGATTATCAAATATATAGATGGACAAGGACAGGAGGGTTTTTTGAAAAGTAAAGACAGATGAGAAGTGTAATATAACCTAAGTCTTTAAAACGTAGAAACATTTAAAAATACAATTGCTTTGAATTTGAGTGGACTCATATAAAACAAGAATTGTCTGGATTTGCTGTCTTGCTGTTAAGGCAGGGTTCTTGAAAAGAGCTGTGTGTCCACTGCCTCAATCACTCCTCACAGTCCTGCTGCTTCTCTCTTTGCTGAAAATGCTTTAGGGGTGGAATGTCTGTTCTTAACCACTGTGGGTGGCTTCATAAATCACCTCCTTACTGAAGTGTGCTTGTTAGGCCTATTGGTTATCAAATGGGGCACAGTGTAGCTGCCTCTTAAAAAGTTGTGAGGAATGAGTTAGAACTGGATCTGAAGTCCTCAGGTAATAGGCATGGCTATGACTGGGTGACTTTAAGCATTGTTGCTTCTCAACTTGCTTTGTATCCTCAGCAGTCAAACCAGGTGCTCTTGGCTCCATTCAGACTCTTGGGTTCTGCTCTTGACCATTTTGCAAAGAGTTCTGAACCTTCATGGGCAAGGTCAAGCACCCTGTGACTGGGGGAGAACCTTTGAACCTGGAGTGTGGGCCTGGGTTCGCCCCGGATCCCTGTCCATTGCTTGCTGTGGGCCTTGGTTTCTTTATCTGTAAAATGGAGGTAATGCCTGGATTACAAGGCTGCTATAAGGATGAGAGGGGACAATGAGGGTACTTTTTAATGAAAGCATTCTTGTCACCACCAGGGAACCATAGTCAGGATTTGGGGGCATGTAGGTGTCATTCCACAGCCACTTACCAAGCAGCCCTCTCTTAGCTTGGTGCTGGGACTCATTGCCTCTCCAATGGAATTTTCCAAGTGTGTTGAGGGCTGTCTTGCTCCTTACCTACTTGATTCTCTTGCAGATCTTACTGTGCCGAGATCGCTCACAATGTTTCCTCCAAGAACCGCAAAGCCATCGTGGAAAGAGCTGCCCAACTGGCCATCAGAGTCACCAACCCCAATGCCAGGCTGCGCAGTGAAGAAAATGAGTAGGCAGCTCATGTGCACGTTTTCTGTTTAAATAAATGTAAAAACTGCCATCTGGCATCTTCCTTCCTTGATTTTAAGTCTTCAGCTTCTTGGCCAACTTAGTTTGCCACAGAGATTGTTCTTTTGCTTAAGCCCCTTTGGAATCTCCCATTTGGAGGGGATTTGTAAAGGACACTCAGTCCTTGAACAGGGGAATGTGGCCTCAAGTGCACAGACTAGCCTTAGTCATCTCCAGTTGAGGCTGGGTATGAGGGGTACAGACTTGGCCCTCACACCAGGTAGGTTCTGAGACACTTGAAGAAGCTTGTGGCTCCCAAGCCACAAGTAGTCATTCTTAGCCTTGCTTTTGTAAAGTTAGGTGACAAGTTATTCCATGTGATGCTTGTGAGAATTGAGAAAATATGCATGGAAATATCCAGATGAATTTCTTACACAGATTCTTACGGGATGCCTAAATTGCATCCTGTAACTTCTGTCCAAAAAGAACAGGATGATGTACAAATTGCTCTTCCAGGTAATCCACCACGGTTAACTGGAAAAGCACTTTCAGTCTCCTATAACCCTCCCACCAGCTGCTGCTTCAGGTATAATGTTACAGCAGTTTGCCAAGGCGGGGACCTAACTGGTGACAATTGAGCCTCTTGACTGGTACTCAGAATTTAGTGACACGTGGTCCTGATTTTTTTTGGAGACGGGGTCTTGCTCTCACCCAGGCTGGGAGTGCAGTGGCACACTGACTACAGCCTTGACCTCCCCAGGCTCAGGTGATCTTCCCACCTCAGCCTTCCAAGTAGCTGGGACTACAGATGCACACCTCCAAACCTGGGTAGTTTTTGAAGTTTTTTTGTAGAGGTGGTCTAGCCATGTTGCCTAGGCTCCCGAACTCCTGAGCTCAAGCAATCCTGCTTCAGCCTCCCAAAGTACTGGGATTACAGGCATCTTCTGTAGTATATAGGTCATGAGGGATATGGGATGTGGTACTTATGAGACAGAAATGCTTACAGGATGTTTTTCTGTAACCATCCTGGTCAACTTAGCAGAAATGCTGCGCTGGGTATAATAAAGCTTTTCTACTTCTAGTCTAGACAGGAATCTTACAGATTGTCTCCTGTTCAAAACCTAGTCATAAATATTTATAATGCAAACTGGTCATTTTTGGGATTTTGTTTTTGAGACTCATTCTGTCACCCCGGCTGGAGTGCAGTGGCTTGATCTTGGCTCCCTGCAACTTCTGCCTCCTGGGTTCAGGCGATTCGATTAACAATTGGAGACGAGTCGTGCAGAGGAAAGAAGTAACTTAGAATCTAATCTTTATTAACCTGGGATATCACAGAAAATACTTGGGCCTGCCACTTGTATTTCTTTGTCCTCAATACTGAACACTAGACACATTTGAAACCTTCCTCAGAAGGAAACAAACCAACTGGTTATGCCTGGGTGGTGGCATGGAAGATGCCCATTGTTGCCCAATTTGCTAATAAGTATTTTGAAATTAGAAATGAAACATGAGGTCCAAGCCTGTCCAGTTCCCTACCCAACCCATTCCTCCTCCCTGGAAAAAAGAAACCCGTATCATCTTCCAAATTTCTGATTCATCACTGCCACTTAAAAATGAACCGTTTTGAATTTTAAAATGTGAATAACTCAAGTATCTTTTCTTTTGAGATGCCCGGCCTGAGCACTAACTTCAGGCATTGCTGAATGCAGTGAAGAAACCAGAGTGGTGTCTGCTGCCTCCTGATCTTTTACAGCTGACAGCACAGCCTATTTCTAAATACTACTAGTTTGTGAGGCAGAGACACCCTCTGAAGGAACCAGACAGACTATGGAGGGGTACAGTGTGAAGTCACTGGAAAACTTCCTCACCCTATTTCTTTGGATGACTGTCCTGAGTTAAGGAAGGGGCCCAACTGTTGGCAGCCTCACAGCTTGGGCTGGGGGCCTTTGAGTTGGGTCCCTGGAGAAGGCACTGTAAGCCCTGACCAGGAGCGACAGGGCCCCCAGTGAGATGGTGGAAGGGCAAAAGTAGAGACCTGCGATGGTGGGATGGGGAGGCCTCGGACTTGGGTGGGCTCCTTTCTCTTAAGCGAGGGCCCACCTTGGTGCTGAGGGGACTAGCTGAGCTCCATTGAGTCTGTGCTGGGGGCTGAAGCGGAATCCTTCTGGATGCTTTCAAAGAGGGCAGCAAGTTCAGGGTTGGATCTGATTTGGGAAGAGAAGTCGGCCATGATGGGGCTTTTCCCCACCTCGGGGATGGTCAGCAGGGCAGCCACTGCCCTCATTGCAGAGCGCTTCAGTTCATCTTGCTTTTCAAACTCCTGCTTCACAGAACCAGCTTTGACCTAAAGTAGGAAACAGCAGAAGCAGCCATCCTTTATTGAGCCTGGCCCACACCACTGCCTCCTCACTGGTCTTTGGCTTCCTCTCTGCCCCATCATCTTCCCCAACATAAATCCCTGCTGCGAGGTCTCCTGAGGCTTCTGTCTCACCAGCTATTTCCTAACTCCACCTCTGGGCTTTTGCACTGGCTAGTTTCCCCACAGAGGTTCTTTGCCATTCAAATCAGCTTGAGTACAGCCTGAGGGGCCTCTGAGCAGCCAATCTGAAGTGCTCGCTTTTTGTTAATTGACAGTGGCAAGTACTGTGTTCCCATACTTACCTCCTACAGACTGCAGGGATCCAGCCTATATTTGCTGTGCTTAAAACCAGCTCTTAGCACCATATGACTAGACTGAATGAATGGATCACTGCGATGGTCTTCTAGCAGCCTCCTCCCCATACTCAAGTCCCTGCCCCGCAATCAGTTTTGCAGATGCAGCCGGAGTGTAAGCACCCCAAACTACCTCCTGCAGTTTCTGTTTCCTCTTCCCCCACCATCTCCTACCTAGGCAGAGGAGCTCAGTAATTCCTCCACTGCTTATGGACTAAAGTTCAAGTTCCTTATTATGCTGGGCTCTTCCTAAAGAATTCAATGCAGTGGGTAACAGCTTGGCATTGGAGTTGCAGAGTCCTGTGTTCAAATGGCTCTGCCCCCAAGAGCTGTGACTTCAGGTAACTACATCTTTGAGCCTCATTTCCCCATCTATAAGTAAGAGCTGCCTCGTCGTAAGAGTTGCCAAGAGGATTAAACGACACAAGTCCACACTCCCTTCTCTGAAACCCCTGGAGCCAGATGTGCTTTGGAATCCAAGACATTTTGGGTTTTAGAAAGGTAATACTGTGCAGATAACATTCCCGAGGGGTTTTGTACAATACCCTGTAATCAAATACATGAATACTCTACTACATGTATGAGTAATGTGAGTAGTACAGGTGTCCCTCAGTATCCATGGGAGTTTGGTTCCAGGATCCCAGGGGATGCCAAAATCCTCAGATGATCAAGTCCCTTATATAAAAGTGGTACATTGGTAAGAATTAAAGATCATAGCCTCATGCCACTTCAAGTCAAGTTGTGTGACAAACAGGTTCCTAAAAAGCTTTTGGTTGTCAGAGCTTGGTAGATTTCAGGGTCATGGGTAAGGACTGTGGGTGTGGATTTACCCATGCTCATCCCAATGCCCAACAGACAGCATCCTCCGCGTGGCCAGATGAGTGGCTCTTGTGGAAACTCAGGGCAGAGCTTCTCTTGCCACCTCGGCTTTACTGCAAGAATGTTCTGGCACTGCAGTGCCATATATACCTCCCTCTTAAGAACTGGGACTTTTCTTGGTGCCATAGAGCTCAGAGAAAACCAGAAATGAGAGACTGTCAAAACTGGCCTGGCCCTGTAGAAGTGTTTTTTTGGATGGACTCAATAATAAGCATATGTTAAAAATGTAAACTTACAAGGCAGGTTTCTATGAATAAACTACCAATTTTAGTGTTTTATCCACAGAAGATTTCATTTTTGAAAATCACCACTTTATGGGTATCTCTCCTCTTTAAGTGCCAACCTAAAACACTGCTCTCCTTTTGGTAATGATTCCCATCCTTAAAAAACCCAAATGTATTCTTTCATTCAACAGGTATTTACTAGGTACCACGTAGGTGCGCCAGGCTCTGCTCCCAACGCCAGCTTTCCATGAGGGCTTGCACCCCACATCCCTCCTCCAGACCCTTCAGGCACTCCAGTCTAGCAGCAGCTTTGTCCTAGACCAGTCATCTGACCCAGCTTCCCAACAAGGAGGTGAGAGATTGACAGTAGGGAACCTATCAGGCTCAATGTTACATCTTTAGTATCTCCCACGAGGCTCAGCACCCAGGAAGTGTTTAATGAATGGAAGGAGAGACAGAGGTGGGTCTGAATCCAGCTCTGCAATTTACTAGCTGTGTAGCCTTGGCCAATAACAACTTCTCAAAGCCTCTGTTCCCCTGTGTATACAATGATAATAAGAGGTACTTTATAGGGCAATGACAATGATTAAATGAAGCACTTTCACAACATCACCTGCACTGCAGGAAGTGCTCAGTAAGGGTAACTGAACGACTGGCCGAGGACTCCATAGGTGCTCCAGGGCCTGGGCTAGGGCTGGGCCAGGGACTTACCTTGGCAGTGCAGGTGGCCCTTAGTGGCTCAATGAGTCGGTCCACCCTCTGCAGGACAGGTGCAGGACACAGGGTGGCCAGCCGGGCAACCATGATGAAGGTCAGCATCTGCCCAGAGGAAGGAGATGGTTCTTAGTGAAATGGTGCAGGAGCAAGAGCAGCAGCCAGCCCTGGGAAAGAGCAGAGGCCCCACAACTGAAACCTGAAGCCCAAGTTCAGACCACCGTGAAGTCCTGCCAGAGTCTCTCCCTCTCTGGGTCTGTTTCCTCAAATGGTGACACTTTCTTTGCCAACTACACTTGGATGACCCAAGGAGGATCAGAAAAGCACCAGGGAGGGAGTCGTTCTCAAGCTCAGATGCCCACCAGTCAGGCAGATGCTGGGGATGAGTGAAGGGGGCTGCTGGGGCAGCTCTGGCTGAGTGTGGCCAGGTGGGAGTGCAAACATGTAGCTTGGGGCCACTGGATTGTTTTCAAAAGAAATCCCAATTTTCATGTAAAAAAAAAGTCTCGATTTTTAAATGTTGACACCTGATTTCAAAACCAAACAAAAACTTTTAACAACAACTAAACATGGCTGCAGGCCTAGATTCAGCCTGTAGGGGAATAATTGTCCTGTCTTTTGAAAATAGTCAAGTCCTCACAAAGAAGCCTTGCACACCATAAAGACTGGTTGTCTGAAATCCCCACGCCCTACCCATCTCCACACCCTGACCCCTAAGCCCCACAGCAAAGGAGGAGGCCCAGCCCACGGCAGCAAGGAGCAGCGGTGCTGGACTTCAGGAGCTATGACTCTTGGCTACTCCATGACCCTGTGCCCTAGAACTAGACAAGATTCCGTCTCCCCTGTGAACTGGGCGGTGTTCACTCCCTCTCTAAAGGCTCACTTGAAGACTTGATGACGCAAAGCTGTGGGCTCTATAGCTGTAACACCCACCCTCCTCACCCCAGGGGGTGGCAGCAGAGTGGACTCCAAGGCTGCACTGGTGCCTAGGCCCTGTCCTGCGCTCCTGGAGGGCAGGCATGAGAGGATATGGCCAGACTGGATGGAAGAAACAGACTTGCTCGATCCTGGAGAAAAATCCCCACAAGGTGGAGCTTTGGGCTGGCCCAGAACTCCTCACTCTGTGTCCTGGGGTCAGTAGCCCCACAAGATGCCTAATACCAGGCACACCCAGATGATGGAAGCTGAGTACACCCCTCCCGTCTGGAGCCTCCCGGAACCCTGTGGTGGAAAGTCCTGTTCAGCTTTGTGCGCCCCATCATTTTCCACTAGTTTGCATGGCATACACTGGAAAACCCAACCCCCTTTCTCAACCAAGATCTTGGGGCTGGAATCCCAGAGAACTTATGTTGTTTCTTCTTTTCTCTTTCTTGGGGGTTGGCAGGAAGCAAGAGTTTAAAGCAATAATAAAGCCGAGGGGGAGACAGGCAGACAGGAAGTGCAGGAAGGAGCGTCCCAGGAACTCCAAGTCTGGAGTGGTCAGAGGCACGCCCGCTGCAGGAGGTGCAGCCTCACCACGCGCATCGGATGCTTTAGCAGGAACATGCACTCCACCCTAGAAGCCCACCGATCACACCGTGGGTCACAGTAATGCACCAGGGTGTTCACAGCAGCATTGTCTGTAATTGTGAAAATGTGCAAATAACATACATGTGTAGCAGTGAGTGCAACAGAAATGGGAACTCCTGCAGCTGTTGACAGGACTGATATATATTGAAAAGCAAAGCAAACAACATACAGTAAATGTAAGTTAAAAGGCTGGGGAAAAAAACAGCATGTGTGTGATCCCATTTCTAGAAAACAGGTCTCATAAACTCATCTCCACAGCTTTGAGAACAGGGACCCCACCTCTCACATTGACCTTGGCGTGTTGGCACTCACTTAATACTGGCTGACTAATGAATGAGGGTCTATGTGCATCATCCCAAGAAACACACTGAGACAGCAGGCCTCTCTGGGTGTGGAGAAGCTTTTGGGTGATTATTACTTGCTTCTTTATTTGCTTTCATCTTGTGTAAATCTTTTAAAACAAGTATGGGTTACTTTTGATTACTTTGTATTAATTTTTCCTTATAAAAAGTGACTCACGCTTACAGTACATATTTTTTAAAGTTGTAATATGGGGCCGGGCGTGGTGGCTCATGCCTGTAATCCCAACACTTTGGGAGGCCGAGGTGGGTGGGTCACCTGAGGTCAGGAGTTCAAGACCAGCCTAGCCAACATGGCGAAACCCTGTCTCTACTAAAACATATAAAAATTAGCCGAGCGTGGTGGTGCACATCTGTAATCCCAGCTACTCAAGAGGCCGAGGCAGGAGAATCACTTGAACCCGGGAGGCGGAGGTTGCAGTGAGCCAAGATTGCACCAATGCACTCCAGCCTGGGCCATAAAGTGAGACTCCATCTCAAACAAATAAATAAAAACTTAAAAATAAAGTTGTAGTATAGCAGTTCCTTAAGACATTAAACACAGAATTGCCGTATGATCCAGCAATTTCACTTCTGGGTAAAGTGAAGAGAACTGAAGGCAGGATTCCAAAGGATATCGGAACACCTAGGTTCACAGTCGCATTACTCATAATAGCCAGAAGCTGGGAACACCCAAATATTTGTCCAGCGATGGATGAATGGGTAAACAAACTGGTGGTCTGTACATACAACACTGGGAAATTCTGACATGCTGCAACATGGATGAACCTTGAGGACATCAGACTAAGTGAAACAAGTTGGTCACAAAAGGACAAATACTGTATGATTCCACTTACAAGGGCAGAAACCTAGAGTAGTCAAATTCATAGAGTGTTGAATGGGTGCAGTTTTCAGTTTGGGAAGGAGAAAAGAGTTCTGAGATGGACAGTGGTGACGGCTGCACCGCAATGTGAATGTGCTTACTGCCACTGTGCTGTGCACTTTAAAATAGTGAAGATGGAGCCTGGCGCAGTGGCTCACACCTGTAATCCCAGCACTTTGGGAGGCCAGGGCAGGCAGATTACTTGAGGTCAGGAGTTCGAGACCAGCCTGGCCAATATGGTGAAACCCCGTCTCTACTAAAAATACAAAAAAAATTTAGCTGAGTGTGGTGGTGGGCACCTGTAGTCCCAGCTACTTGGGAGGCTGAGGCAGGAGAATCGCTTGAACCTGGGAGGCAGAGGTTGCAGTCAGCTGAGATCAAGCCACTGCACTCCAGCCTGAGTGACAGTGCAAGACCCTGTCTCAAAAAAAAAAAAAAAAAAACACTTCACCTGCAGATAGTAAGTTACTGAAGATAGTAACTTGTATTATTAATATTTCGCCACAATTAAATGATTTCTATCATATATGTGAATAAACTTTAACATTTAAAAAAATGATATAGAAAGATATAAATTGAAGAAACCGACGTCTCCACCAGCCCCAGACTCACTCTGTCTGTTAAGAAAATGGTCCTAACTTCTGGAACTAGCTCTTGCCACTCAACATTGGGGCTTGGAGCTCTTTCAGGTCACAACACGAAGAGATGCAGCTCGCTCCTCAATGCTGCTAGTATTCCACAGCTGAAAGTGCCCTGCAGGGTCAAAAATTTCGTCTGGGAATTTTTTTTTTTTTTTTGAGACAGGGTCTCGCTTTGTCGTCCAGGTTGGAGTGCAGTGGTGTGATCATGTTTCACTGCAGCCTCAACCTCCTGGGCTCAAGCCATCCTCCTGCCTCAGCCTCCCAAAGTGCTGGGATTACAGGCATAAGCCACCACACCTGGACAATTTTTTTTTTCTGGTTGCTGTGAAACCATCCTCCAAAGAGCCTGCCCAGTGTAGACTCCCACCAAAGGTGTTTGAGACACAGGTTCCTTTTCTTATCAGAAAACAACAATGCAGCTATTTTCATTGGGTGCCTGGAGTAGGGAGCAAGGACAAACAAGCATGGCCCCAATGGTGCCCGACTATCCCTTGGTACAGGGGCACATAGATCTGGCAGGGGGCTTGGTCTTACCCGGATGTCGTAGTGGTCCTTCAGCCCGTCCTCCACATGGTTCAGGAACTCACAGATATCCAGCTGGCCCAGGCAGCTCTCAAGCAGTGAATACATGCATTCAAAGGCCGCCTTCCGCACGTCCAGCCCATCGTCCACTGTATGTTTAAAGGGCCCCATCTCCACCTGCAGGAGGGATGAAGGTTGGTGATATGGCCCCAGGGTGTAAGGACACCTCTTCTAGCTTCTGCTACAAACCCCACATCTCTATTCCACAATCCATGCCAGCCCCAAATCGTGCCTTATACTCTCAAGTCTCCATGCCTTTGCTCAGCCTGCAGTGTCATTTCCCCCAAGTGATAACAGTGGCAATAAGAACAATTATTCTTATAATCTACTGAGCAGGCACTGTCTGAGTGGCAGGCACTGTGCTGACTGCTTGACTGATGACGTTTCATTCAAGCATCACAAATGCCATCAGAAGTAAATGTTACTGGCCAGGCACAGTGGTTCACGCCTATAATCCCAGCACTTTGGGAGGCCAAGGCGGGCGGATCATGAAGTCAGGAGATTGAGGCCATCCTGGCTAACATGGCGAAACTTCACCTCTACTAAAAATACAAAAAAATTAGCCGGGCATGGTGGCACGTGCCTGTAGTCCCAGCTACTTGGGTGGCTGAGGCAGGAGAATTGCTTGAACCAGGGAGGTGGAGGTTGCAGTGAGCTGAGATCGCGCCACTGCACTCCAGCCTGGGTGACAGAGCGAGACTCCATCTCAAAAAAAAAAAAAAAAAAGTAAATGTTACTGATCCCATTTAATGACAGATGAGGAAACTGAGTTGGGCAGGTTAATTAACTGAGCTGGACAGGTTAAGGATACACTGCTTGTAAGTGGCTGAACTGGAATTTAAAACCCAGGTAGGTTGGGCATGATGGCTGTCCTCCCAGCACTTTGAGAGGCCGAGGCAGGAGGAATTTGAGACGTCTGGGCAACATGGCAAAACCGCATCTCTACAAAAAAATACAAAATATTAGCTAGGTGTGGTGGTACACGCCTGTAGTCCCAGCTACTCAGGAGGCTGAGGTGGGAGGATCGCTTGAGCCCAGGAGGTCGAGGCTGCAGTGAGCTGTGATTGTGCCACTGCACTCCAGCCTAGGTGACACAGCAAGATCCTGTCTCAAAAAAAAACAACAAAAAAGACACCCAGGTCTTTCTGAAGCTTTCAACCATGAAGCCCTGTTTTAATGGTAAACACCTTTTCACCCTTCAAAGCCCAGCTTAAAGGGCCTCAATGCTGCTAGTATTCCACAGCTCAAACTTACTAAATCACCTTTAACCTCTGCCCCCGAATCCTTCCTTTACCAGGTGGGCTCTAAGTGAAACGCAGCTGCTCCTTGGTGTATGATGGGATTACATCACAATAGGTCCATTGTAAGTTGGCTTCCAGAAGCAATCCCATCATAAGGTGAGGAGCCTGCTGAACGCTACTGCTTTTGCACCATTGTAAAGTTGAACCATTGTAAGGCGGGGGCTGTCTGTAATCAGCAGAGTTGGCATCTCTGTCCTTTAGGGGGCCACGATGAACTCCTTGGTGGCAGAAACCCAGTCAGGCCCAACTCTGAGTCCTGGCACTTGGGCGCAGTGCAGATGTTCAGTGAACACCTGTCAAACATCAACATTTACTGAGCGCTGGCTGTGTGCCTGCGGTGGTTCTGAACACTTACAGGACCTCACTCACCAAATTGTTGCAGCAACCCTATGACGCAGACACAATTAGCACCCTCATGTGCTCACGAGGAGAAACTGAGGCTCAGAGAGGATCAGGTTGCCCTGGCTGGGGTCCCACAGCTCGGAGTCAGGGCAGGACTTGACCCAGGCCATGTGGCCCCGGCACCTGCTCTGATGAGATAATAATGCCCTAACAGTGAGGCATGAGAGGTGGCATCACCCCCAGCTTCCCCTGGGTCCCCAGCTCTGCTCCACACCTCTCGGATGAGGTCCCGCCGGATCTTTGTCTCCTGGTAGAGGAGGGGCAGGATGTCATCCAGCAGGTCCCGGACTAGCGAGGGCTTGTTGTGCACAGCTGAGTTGAAGAAAGCCAGAGTCGCACGGCGCACGTTCAGGTCTGGGTCCTGCAGGCTCTCCATGAACTCTCCTGGCAGAAGAACATGAGGGGCGTGGGGGATGCACAGCCAAAGCACAAAGTCACCTCCCTCACCACCCCGGCCATCTGGTTACTGTGCACGTGCAGAACTGGCTGAATGGGGGTAAGCTGGGTGTGGTGAGCATCTACTTTGTGCCAGGCACAAACAACCCTTCAAAGGCCAGATAAGAATGTGGGCTTGAGCTGATGTGGCTTCCATTCCAGCTCTACCAATTTACTGTGGGACCTTGGAGAGCCTCAATGTCCTCATCTGTAAAATGGGAGTCGTAACAGAACCTATGCTATGGGACTGTCTTTAGAATTTAAAATGTGGTGCCTCAGCATTATCTTGAAAAAAAAAAAAAGAAAAAAATTTTTTGAATGTGGTAATGCATTAAAAGCACAGAGCAGAGTGCCTGGCACACAGCACGGACTCTGTGAATGTGAACTTGTTATTACAGGTGAGGCTCTTAAAGATCAGAGAGGTCAAGAAACTTACACAGAGTCACCAGCACTTCTCAGGATACTCCTTTTTGTACAGTGCCATGATTTGTTTTTGTTTTGTTTTGTTGTTGAGACAGAGTCTCACTCTGTTGCCCAGGCTGGAGTGCAGTGGTGTGATCTCGGCACACTGCAACCTCCACCTCTCAGGTTCAAGCGATTCTCCTGCCTCAGCCTCCCAAGTACCTGGGATTACAGGCACGAACCACCATGCCTGGCTAATTTTTGTATTTTTAGTAGAGACGGGGTTTCACCATGTTGGCCAGGCTGGTCTCGAACTCCTGACCTCAAGTAATCCACCACCTCGGCCACCCACAGTGCCGAGATTACAGGCATGAGCCACTGTGCCCAGACTTGTACAGTGCTATGATTTGAATGTCCCCACCAAAACTCATGTTGAAACTTAATTGCCATGGTAATAGTATTGAGAGGTGATTAGGTCACGAGGGTGAAGCCCTGACGCATGGATTAATGCCGTCACTACAGGAGTGGGTCAGTGATCATGGGAGGGAGCTCCTGTTAAGCCCCGCCTCTCGTCTCTCTGTCTCCCATGCTCACTTCTGCCCTTCCTTCCACCATGGGATGGCCCTCACCAGATGCTGGTGCCATGTTCTTGGACCTCCCAGTCTCCACAACTGTGAGGAATGAATTTCTCTTCTTTATAAATTACCCAATCTGTAGTATTCTGTTATAGTAGCAGAAAAGGACTATGATATAGAGTTTAAACTTAAAAAAAATTTTTTTATTATACTTTAAGTTCTAGGGTACATGTGCACAACGTGCAGGTTTGTTACATAGGTATACATGTGCCATGTTGGTTTGGAAAAAAAAATTTTTTTAGAGATGGGGGTCTCACTATGTTACCCAGGCTGGTCTCAAACTCCTGGACTCAAGTGATCCTTCTGCCTCAGCCTCCCAAAGTGTTGGGATTACAGGCATGAGCCATTACGCCCAGCCATTATAGTTTAAACATTTTAGAATTGTTAATGTTTTATATACTTAATAAAGAAATAAGGATGGGGGAATCCCTAAAAATAAAACCAAAATGCAAAAAAACTGTATTTATCATTTTTTTGTTTGAGTCAAAAGACAGTCTCGCTCTGTCGCCCAGGACGGAGTACAGTGGCACAATCTCAGCTCACTGCAACCTTCATCTCCCGGGTTCAAGCGATTCTCAGGCCTCAGCCTCCCAGGTAGCTGGGATTATAGGCGTGTGCCACCACACCCCGTTTTTTTGTTGTTTTTTTTTTTGAGATGGAGTCTCGCTCTGTCGCCCAGACTGGAGTGCAGTGGCGCAATCTCGGCTCACTGCAAGCTCTGCCTCCCGGGTTCACGCCATTCTCCTGCCTCAAGCCTCCTGAGTAGCTGGGACTACAGGCGCCCGCCAGCATGCCCGGCTAATTTTTTTATATTTTTAGTAGAGACGGGGTTTCACTGTGTTAGCCAGGATGGTCTCGATCTCCTGACCTTGTGATCCGCCCGCCTCGGCCTCCCAAAGTGCTGGGATTACAGGCGTGAGCCACCGCGCCCAGCCTACACCTGGCTAATTTTTATATTTTTTGGTAGAGATGGGGTTTTGCCAGGCTGGTCTGGAACTCCTGACCTCAGGTTATTCTCCCGCCTCAGCCTCCCAAAGTGCTGGGATTACAGGAGTGAACCACCGTACCCATACCCACCCCCTGCAAAAACAAACCAACAAAAACTGTATTTAAAATGATCCACATAACCACCCAGCTTATGAAGGAGAGAACAAACCAAGCCACTTCGAGTATTTTGACTAGCTGCCCTCTAGCGAAACACAAAAAAACTACACACGAGTATTAGTTTTCACAGAGATAAGAGTCAGCAATTCTCAGACTACTTTCTGTGTATTTCAGGATTAAGAAAATAAATATCTTGTAGATAATGGGAGCTGGGTTTCTTACTGTAAGAGAAAGGAGTTACACATATGGAAAGGGGGCTAGACTGCAATACGAAGCAGCTATGAACTCAAGGTTTTCAAAATAGGTGGGTAGGTAGGTAGAAGAGAAAGAAGAGAGAGGGAGAGAAAGAGAGGCAGGGAGGGAAAGAAGGAGGGACAAAGAAAGATGTGCATGGGTGTGCATCTGGAAGCACATGTATACACGTATGTGTTTGTGTCTCTGCGTATAGACATGCATTTCCTAGTTCTGTCTGCTGAGAGGGCCTAGAAGCAATGAGGCCCCAACAGCAACAGGCACATCTAGTGTCCAGATTTTGGATTCAAAATACCATTCTCCACTAAAAGGAATCAGGACTCCTTGGAGAAATGGCTGATTCCAGGACTGGGGCAGGAGAGGTTCGCAATGAATCTGGAGCATCTCATCGTGCCAAAAGCAAGGATACACTTAAGAGAATGATGGAGGCTGGGCACGGGGGCTCACGTCTGGAATCCCAGCACTTTGGGAGGCTAAGGTGAGTGGATCACTTAAGCCTAGGAGTTCGAGACCAGCCTGGGTAACATAGCAAAACCCTGTTTTTATAAAAAAAATTTAAAAAGTAGCCAGGTGTGGTGGCTGGCGCACATCTGTAATCCCAGCTACTTGGGAGGCTCAAGTGGGAGGATTGCTTGAGCCTGAGAGGCAGGTTGCAGTAAGGTATGACTGTGCCATTGCCTTCCAGCCTGGGTGACAGAGTGAGACTCTCTCAAAAAAAAAAAAAAAAGATTGAAACATGTCAATAAAAAATAGGAACCAGCTTGAAGGGCTTCCAATGCATCAAAATTAAAGACAGTAACAGTATAGCCCACGGAATGAAGTGGGAAGAAGCCATGAGTCTCTAATGACAAATAAATTGATGAATAAATAAGTGGGAGAGAAGAAAAAGTTCTTCCAGACAGTAGAATGCAAACTTGTAACTATGGAAAGAATAATGGAACTAGAAAGTCACCATTTGGCAAATATCACAGTAATCATTGACCCAGGCAAGAAACAACCGTGGATGCTAAACCTAGTGGGCAAAAAAATTGATGAGAACAAGGATGTTTACATAAAATACTTATTTTATGTACTCAAAAATTCATATTCATTCCAAAGGAAAAAAAGAGTAATTTTAGAGTGGAGAGAAACCATGGCGGTATCCACCTGAACTGGGTGATCAAAGTTACCATCGCCAGCCAGGGGACAAGCCACCTCCATGTGCCCCTGATGTGATGCACTGGGAAGGGCAGGAAGGCTCCCAGCAGAGCAAGGATGCTCACAGCTCCTTGCTTGTGAGCATCCACTATGATGAGGTATATTAAAGGGCCTAGTGTGGTGCCTGATACACAGTGAGAGCTCAAAAACCAGTTCAAATGTTTTAAAGCAAGCCAGAACCCCCATGTGAAGGTCGCTGGTGGTGCTAGCCAAGGGCAGCTCCGTTACAATGGAGGAAATCAGGCCGGAGGGGGGGCATGTGCCCACTGCATTAGGGCAAGGGACAAAGTTGCTGCCGATGACCTTGCTAGAGCTTCTGCACGTGTTCTCCAGTGCAGAACACGGTCACGTCTGCTGGCCCCTTGGTCCCACATAACAGGCCCCTGGCAGATGAGTATCAGCACAACCGTTCCTTTTTTTTTATTTATGAGACAGAGTTTTGCTCTTGTTGCCCAGATTAGAGTGCAATGGTACGATCTTGGCTCACTGCAACCTCTGCCTCCCGGGTTCAAGCAATTCTTTTGCCTCAGTCTCTCAAACAGCTGAGATTACAGGTGCCCACCACCATGCCCAACTAATTTTTTTTTTTTTTTTTGAGACGGAGTCTTGCTCTGTCGCCCAGGCTAGAGTGCAGTGGTGCAATCTCCGCTCACTGCAACCTTCACCTCCCGGGATCAAGTGATTCTCCTGCCTCAGCCTCCAGAGTAGCTGGGATTACAGGTGCCTGCCATCATACCCGGCTCATTTTTGTATTTTTAGTAGAGACAGGGTTTCACCGTGTTGGCCAGGCTGGTCTTGAACTCCTGACCTCAGGTGATCCACCTGCCTTGGCCTCCCAAAGTGCTGGGATTACAGGCGAGAGCCACCGCACCTGGCCCAGCACCCCCATTTTATAGCTGAGGATGAGAAGACTTGTCCACACTCACACACCCAGGGAATAGCAGGGCCAGGATTTGAACCTGAGGCAGGTGAGCTCCAAAACCTCTCTCTACTGGGCTGCCCTGCCTAGATGTGGGCTGAGACTCCAGTGTGGCCCAGTGAGGGGCTGCAGGCTCCAAGCTCTGAAGGGGCGAGGGCTCTGCCTTCCTAGGAAAAACCCAGTGGTCCTGCCGAGCCCCAGAGGGAGGTCTCAGTTCCTCTCCTCCCAGTGAAGGCTGCTTGGGCTCCTCAGGCCAGAAGGCCCCTCAGACAGAGGGCGATCTAGTGGACAGGCGGGGCCGGGGGGAGCACTCTTCCCTGCCCCACTTTGGGGCCCGCAAAAGCTAAGGCATGTGAGAGGCTGGTGGTTTTCCATTCCCAAGAGTCTATATGTTGATGAAGCATCTTCTCCCTCAGTTGCCCATGGGCTTCCAGGACAACTCTAGAAAATGCAGATAATAAGAGTTTCTCACGCCCATTTGACAGATGAGGAAAGCGAGGCTTAGAGGTGTGATGGGCATGCCACACCCACCCATGATTGAGTGGCAGTAGGAAGGCAGGGATGTGAACCCAGGCCTTTTAACTGGAGGGCCAGGCCCTGCTGCCCATCATGGGCACACCTCCCGGGTCTCCCATTGCCCTTGGCTATTGGGTAGTAAACATCAGCCCAAGCTCAAGGACTGGGTGGGGGCACTGAACAAGGTGGAGGGGCAAGAGGTAGGTGCTCACCGATGAAGCTCTTCAGGAGGGGGTCAATGGGATGGGGCTGGTCCGAGATAAGGAACTTGACCGCTGTGATGACGGTGCTCCGGGTGTGTGGCCGACCTGCAGGACAAGAAGAGGTGAGTTAGTGAGGGGCAGGGGCCAATCCTGGAGGCTCACAGATCAGAAGGTGCTTAGGCTCCTCCCCCTGCTTCCCTGGAAAACAGAACTGTACCCCCTCCCCATCTCTGGGAAAGTGGATTCTACCATTTCCCTTGGCAGCCTTGAATCTCCCCTCAATTCTTCCTGCTGCAGCTGAAACAGTAGGACTGCCAGTGCTCAGGTAACACCACAGGCTGCAAACAGGGAACCAATAACCAAGACAGGAACTGCTCCAACAAAGACCTTCCCTCAGGCCTTGGGATTTTTCAGACATGTTATCTCAATGAGTCCTAACAATGATCCTATTAATAATAAAGTAGTATTAAAAGAACCAATAAAATCACCAATAAAAATCATCTCTTTGACATATGAGGAAAGAGAGACTCAGAGGGTTTAAGTTCATGTCTAGGGCCACACAGCAGATCCAGAATTCCTGGCTGGGCCCCTCTTCCTGGGGCTGCGTTCTGGCTGGTGGTCAGGGAGGCCTAACAGAACTCGGATCACCTCCAGGCTCGGTCACAGAGAGCTTGCTTACTTGTGCTTTGCCGCTTGCTTTCTGAGTAGAGAAGCCCAGTAAAGAGGGGAAGTACATTCCCTTAATGAAGGAAACGAATGGGTGGACGCTCCACCTGCGTCTGAATCTCTCCTCAGTGGCTCGCCCCCTTTGCTCCCTGCCCAACCCCAGCACAATGCAGTGAATGGGCTAAGGTGTTTCCACCCCACAGGCTTTATGTTCAGCCTCGAGGAAAAGTTTACCATTTGGTGCTAAGGCATGAATGAATGGAAGAGTTACTGAATTCAGACTTTCAGCTTTTACCTCTTTCCCTTGCCAGCCTGACTGGCTCCCAGGAAGATTTAGGGTGGCTGATGAAGACAGGCACAAGAGAGTAAGATTAAGTGAACTGAAAACAAGAACAAGGCCAAGGACGACTGAAGGCAGGGAGGTGAGAAGGAGACTAGCAGGAAGATGTACAGAGAGCATCAATAAGGAAGTCCCAGGAACCTACTAGAAGCAGACCACTCATCTGGCTCTAAGCTTCCCAGCAGTTGGTGCTAAAAAGGAAATGTGACCGGGTGGCTGGTTCAACAGTGCACGTGAGATAGAAACAAATAGGTGTTTAGGCAAAGCAGGGCTCCTCTGCATCTTAACACTCTCGTCTCTCAAGGTTGTGTGATGTAATAGACAGTGTCCTCAACAATGTTCTTCCATCCAGTCCTGAGGCCAGACAACTGCTTCTTACGAACCCAGCAACCCAAGAAGGCCTTAACTGAAATCACTAACCTACCTAGTAACAACAGCAGCTCTTGATTTACTCAGTATTAATTACTGTAGGTACCACATAGGTTACCAAACACTGTACCTGCATTCTGTCAAGCAGAGCATCCACTGGTTCTGTAAGGGGCCAGCTGGCCAGCTCGAAGCCCACTGGCCTTTCATTCTGGGAACTCTCATTTTCCTAGGAGCCTGATGACCCTACCTGTCTGCTTTCCACCTCCTGAAGCTAAGACACCTGGTGTGCCAAAACACGACAAGCCAAAACGCCTGCCCCTCCTGGTTCTTGCCCAGCCCTCTCCAAGCCTCGGGGGCATGTCAGCCTGTCCCCGTCTATACTGACGTCTGCTCTTGGCTCAGGCTAGCCGAAAGAGCTGACCCTCTGCAGGCTGCAGTCTACGGCTACTGGGAAAACTGTTTTTGTTGACCTCTGTGTGGAGCACTAAGCTACTGTCCACATCAAGGATTATGAAGTTGGCATCATGAGGTTTTTTGTTTTGTTTTTTTTTTTGGTAGAGGCAGGGTCTCACCATGTTGCCCAGGCTGGTCTCAAACTCCTAGGCTCAAGTGATCCACCCACCTCAGCCTCCCCAAAGTGCTGGGATTACAGACATGTGCCACCATGCCTAGCCAACATCATGAGATTTTTAAATGTATTTGTTGTAGGGACCAATCAAGGACTCTGTCCCTTCTATCCCACAGTCCCATAGGAGGAAGGCTTTAAGTCTCAGGTATCACTGTGTGTTCCTCTGTAGCTTCCTTGCCTCTGTCGTATAGATACCGTGATTCTTGTATCCAGTGACTTGAAATAGCTCACTCTGCCCCAGCTGCCTGGATGCTCAGTGGCAAACTGCCCACCTCCGAGGTGGGCTGCCTTGCCCACACCTGTGTGCCTACCTGCAGCAAGCTGCTTCCGCAAGCGGGGCAGAAGGAACGAAGGGTTCACAAGGACCAGCTTCCCAATGCACTCGGCCACCACCCCCCGGGTGCCCTCCTCAGCACCCTCGCAGCGCTGGAACAGCAAGGCCCAGATGTCCTCGGCGTAGGGCTTCAGGCTGTCAGGCTGGGCGGCCCCCAGGGCCTCCCTGAGTGAGTGCAGCAGCAGGTACTGTCGTCGGGGCTCAGCCTCGATCTGCTCCAGCAGGAAGGGCAGGAAGTCGGGCAGGCTGCCAGCACCCACACGGCCCAGTGCATACGAGGCTGCAGCCCTCACATCCTCACTGGGTGACCCCAAAGCTTCCAGGAGCACCGCCTTCAGCTCCCGCTGGTGGCCTGGCCCAGCCACCTGACCCACCTCAGCCAGCGACAAGAATGCCAGGACCTTGACCCCCGTGCTGGAGTGGGGCGACCTGGCATCGCAGACCAGGCGACTGGCTGTGCTTGCCGCCTCTTGGGGACAGGCAGCTGAGAGGGCTGCCACACACCGGGCCAATGAGTGGAACACCTGCTTGTGCAGGCCAGGCCCACCATCCACAGCCTGCTCATAAACAGGCGCAGTGAGCAGGCTGATGAGTTTGGCATAGTCCACACACGGGGGACGGGTCCCTACCAGGGCCTGCAGGAAGCCTTCAGCAGCTGCCAGAACCCCGGCTGGCAACAGGGGCGAACGCAGCAGCCGCAGCAGCTCTGAGAGCACAGGGCCACTGACCTCCACCAAAGAGGCTGGCTGGGCCTGGGTCACTGTGGCAAGGAAGTCCACAGCCAGCTGGGCCACATGCATGTCGCTCTCGTTGACCAGGGCAGGCAGCTCAGCCAGCACGGCCTGCACGGCAGACGGTGGGAGGCTGAGGCCCTGGCTCTGGGCCAGGGCGTCCAGGGCTGCCAGTGTGGCCAGTCGCAAAGCCCGCTGGTTCTTCCGCAGGAATGAGGCCAGAATGTGCAGTGCCTCGGCCAGGATGGGCTGTAGGTCAAGCTGTAGTGGGGATACGGCCACCAGCGTAAGCGCCTTGATGGCGGGCAGCCGGGTGATCTCATTCCGCAGGCGGTCCAGGAGGAGCAGTAACGTGGGCTCCAGGTCATCCCCAAGCCGGTCACCCAGGTGGCCTACAAGGTGGCCCATGCAGGAAATGGCCCGCTCCTTCACCTCCTGGTCCAGGTCAGTGGCACGAAGTCGCGCCAGGGTGACAGCAGACATCTCTCCAACATATGGCTCAGGATCCAGCATCCGAGGCCTGTGCAGCGGCCACAGGGCCCGCACCAGCTCCTGCAGCACCACCAGGGCCTCGGCTGCAATCTTGTAGAAAGAGTCAGCCACACAGGCCATCACAGGTGGCAGGAGGATAGGCAAGTGTGGGTGGAAGGCCTCAGCTGGTTCGGTGCCCAGCAGCCCCTGCAAGAAGGCCAGGGCATCCATCCGGATGGTGGAGGAGCTGGAGCGGTCGGCCAGCGAGAAGATGATGCCTGCAGGGTGAATGCAAAGGTTATGAGGCCACCGCCTCTGATGCAACACGGCCCTCCCTGGAAGCAAGGCTGGGGTACCTACAAGTGCCTGAGCTGGACTGAAGCACCTAAACTCTTCTGCAGAAGTTTCCAAGAAGTCAGCCCTGACCAGTGGCCAGGGCTGAGGGAAACATGTCCAGGGAACTCACTGGAGCCAGCCTTGTTCTCACTGCTGGTAGTGGGAGGCCACTGGAGACTCTTGACCAGGGACTGAGCCTGGGATTGGGTCTCAGACTGTCTCAGGAACTGGGGGCTCAACTCAGGGGTGGGGTCTGGGTTCTGGAAGTGGCCCAGAACAGCAGATACCTGGTTGCAGTCCAGCCTACCTGATACCAGCACAGGCATATGCTCGGCCAGGCTGCCTGGGAGGACACCCGCCAGCTCGGTGAGGAGGCTGAAGCATCCCTGGCGGGCTCTGACGCTCCGATCTTTAAGCTGCCGCTGCAGGGCCTTGACCACAAGGGGCACCTGTGGGCAGGAGGGGGAAGTCAAGGTCAGGGAACACCCAAGAAACCTACCCACCTGCCCACTACCAGGAGGCTTTGCCAGACACATCCCCAGGGAGGATGTCGGCATCAAGATATCTCCCAAGCACTCGTCCCTCACTCTGTGCCAGGCTTTTGGTGACCGCACACAGACCCTTGGAGAGTAGGCAAATTTTCTGCGTCCATTTTACAGGTACAGAGAGACCAAGCAACTTGCTCAAGCTCACTCAGGCAGGCTGGCTGTCACTACTACACTCCAGAAGCCTGGCTGGCTCCCGCCCCCCACCCCAGGGACCCCTTCCCTTCCCTTCCATGGCTGGATGTTCTCCCAGCTGAGTTTCCAAGTCCAGGGACACTAACAGTGAGTGGCTGGGTAGGCAAATCGGGGGTAGGGGTGGAGGTGAAGGCACGCCCACCTGTCCACGTAGCATATGGAGGTTGCTGCCGGTCTGGGTGGGTTCCTCCATGGCCTCCAGCCATCCCTTCGGGGGCTGTGTTTGCCGCAGCAGCACGATGTAAGCAGTGAAGACGTCAGCCTTGACGTTCTCCTCGCGTTCTTTGAAGCGGCGGATGAGCACAGGTGCCAGGGTGCAGTGGAAATCGGGCAGCAGGTCAGGCCGCGAGCTGATCAAGGCTGCGATGCACTTGGCAGCTGCCCGGCGCACCTTCCAGCTCATGTCATCGTCATCGCTGTACTCGTCTTCACTCTCTGGGGCAGGAACAAGACACACGTGGAACCCTCATCTCCCAGGACAGGTCTGTGGCTCGGGGGAGAAGGGACAGGGAGGAGAGAGAGCTGGGCACTGTGCTTCACTTTTTGATGATCAGCATTTATAGATACCCTATGGGGAACATTCCCTACCTTTTAATGGGCATCTACTGAGTGCTACGGATGGGGCTAAGCATGTCAAACCCATAATCTTATTTTAGCTTCATGACGACCTTTTGAGACAGGGATTATTTCCCCATTATAGAGATGAGAAAACTGGGGTTTAGATAGAGGAAGTGGCTTGCCCCAAGTTAAGGAAATACTTGGAGTTAAACTAGGGTCCTCCCCTCTGCCTCCAGACCCTTAATTGTCTGGACTGTACCAGGGAAAAAACAGACTTCCAAGTCTTCATGTAGACTTGGAGAATCAATTTGGGGCACAAAACTCATCTTTTGGCATCAGGTTTGGCTATGTGATGTTTCGTTTACTGGGACTCCAGAAGGGAGAAGGGACAGAGCCTCCCTTTGGCCTCTTCTCTCCCCCGATCTCTGCCTCTCAAGGGTCCTGATTCCAAAGGCTTCCAGGCAGGATTAATAAAGAGGAAATGCTGGGTTTGTGTGGCTTTCTACCTGACAATCTCCCTGAAAGTCAAGGGCTCGTGCAGTCTTTACCATCACCTCAAAAGTGAAGGTACTGCCAAGCTCCATTTTACAGACGATAAGACTAAGACTCAGAGCGGGTGAGACTCTCAGGGCACACAGCGAGGAACAGCAGAGCTGAGATTCAGGTCCACGAGGCCCAGCCCTATCACCTGTGGAGGCACACAGGAGGCTCAGAGGGGGACAGTCTTGCCTGGGAGCACCCCAAGGCACAGGCTCAGAGCCCAGCATGGCCTTGCCCATACCACTCTGTGGACCACTTGGACCCACAGGGTGGTGTCTGGACAGCCACAGTGGGCCACGGCCACCGGGCAGCTCAGCAGCCATCCCCTCTAATGGATCACTGTCACCCCCACAGTAGGCCACCCACGAACACACATCCTTAGCTCTCTATTACTGACAAGTGTCCCACCTCCCTGGCTTGGCATTCAAGGCCCCCGCATGCCTGTCCAATCTCATTTACCATCCCATCTTGTTCCAAGTACCCCATCAGGCTCTAAATCCATCGTCTCCATCGATGCCCTGCCTTCAGGCCTAGGGGCATCTCTGCCCTGGAAATCTGTCTGAATGACAGACAGGACCACAGGCATAGGAGGAAAGAAGCTATCAAGTCCACCCCCATTGAGACATCTTGCTCCCCTGCCAGTGCCTGCCATTCCACCATCAGAGCTTTCCTCTGCTGGGTTAAAGACATTATCTCCTGAAAGCCATTCATAAAAGGGTACACGGTGGCAGTGCAGAGGTGGGGGAGCCTGACAGACCTGGCTCTAAGGCCCAGCTATGCCAATTCCTAGTTGTGTTATCTCAGGCCACTCTCTTCTCAGTATGTGTCCTTGTCTGAAACACGTGGGTAATAATTTCTGTTTTTTTAGGGTTATTGTGAGGAACACAACTAGTAGATGCTCAATAAATGACAGCAATGACTACTATCATTACTGTGGTCTGTGCAGTCACAGCGGGTGGGACTGGAGCTTGAGAAAGAGCTGGCATCAGGACAGGGGCACCAAATGTGACCGCTGTCTTTGGTTGGGGGATCCCAGGAAGGCTGTGTTCACCTCCACCCTCCAACCCCAATGATGGGCTGTCCACCAACCTTGCTCACTGAATTCACTATCCTCTGTCTCCATCTGCTCCTCATCCTCATCACTGTCGTAGTTGTAGTTGGGGTCGTGTTTTATGTATTGGAGGCAGAGGCTGGTCACGTTGGGCACGTGAGGACCCATTTCCTTGGGGCACCTGTGGGGCAGGATGAGGAATGCTTTGCTGGATCCAGCCAGGACAGGAGTGGGGGACAGGGCCCAATGGGAGTCCTGAAATTTTACTGCTTTGGGCCAGCATCCCCACCAACTTCCCAAAGGGATCCCCAGGCAACCCCACCATACATACTTCCTCAAGAAGGCCTCAAAAGCCTGGAGGCAGGACTCCCGGAGCTCATCATCATCCAGGTTGCAGAAATCCTCCACCAGGGGCACCAGGCGGTCCAGGTGAGCCCCTGCAGGGCCAGGTGGATCACTGAACCCAAGCCAGACACTCTCCCGGAGTTCCCCCAGCCCACAGCACTCAGACTGTCTATGCACCTGCAGCCCTGACCACTGTAGATTCAACTCAGAGGTTTCATAGTCAAGCAAATGTGGGTTCTAGCCCTGACTCTGCCACCCAACTGCTATGGGACCTTGGGCAGGTCACAACATTTCTTTGACCTTAGTCAGCTAATCTTCACAACAAGGATAACAGTGCCTCCTGGGCAGAGATTTTGTGAAGATAAATTATATAATGATAAATAGCTTAGGCCAGGCGCGCCTGTAATCCCAGCACTATGGGAGGCCGAGGCGGGTGGATCATGAGGTCAGGAGATCGAGACTATCCTGGCTAACAAGGTGAAACCCCGTCTCTACTAAAAATACAAAAAATTAGCCGGGCGCGGTGGCGGGCGCCTGTAGTCCCAGCTACTCAGGAGGCTGAGGCAGGAGAATGGCGTGAACCCGGGAAGCGGAGCTTGCAGTGAGCCGAGATTGCGCCACTGCAGTCCGCAGTCTGGCCTGGGCGACAGAGCGAGACTCCGTCTCAAAAAAAAAAAAAAAAAAAAAAAAATTAGCCGGGCACGGTGGCACACACCTGTAGTCCCAGCTATTCAGGAGGCTGAGGCAGGAGAATTGCTTGAACCTGGGAGGTGGAGGTTGCAGTGAGACAAGATAGCGTCACCGTACTCCAGCCTGGGGGACAGAGCGAGATTCTATCTCCAAAAAAAAAAAAAAAAAAAGATAAACAGCTTAGGCCGGGCATGGTGGCTCACACCTGTAATCCCAGCACTTTGGGAGGCCAAGGCAGATGGATCATCTGAGGTCAGGAGTTCGAGACCAGCTTGGCCAACATGGTGAAACTCCATCTCTACTAAAAATACAAAAATTAGCTGCACGTGGCAGTGCGCCCCTGTAATCCCAGCTACTTGGGAGGCTGAGGCAGAATTGCTTGAACCTGGGAGGTGGAGGTTACAGTGAGCAGAGATCGTGCCACTACACTCCAGCCTGGGAAACAGAGCAAGACACGAGACTCAGTCTCAAAAAGAAAAAAAAAAAAGAAGTTAAAAAAGCTTAGTCCAAGGTTGGGTGCAGTGGCTCACCCCTGTAATCCCAGCACTTTGGGAGGCCGAGGCGGGCAGATCATGGGATCACAAGGTCAGGGGTTCAAGACCAACCTGGCCAACCAACATAGTTAAACCCCGTCTCTACTAAAAATACAAAAATTAGCTGGGTATGGTAGCGTGCGCCTGTAGTGCCAGCTACTCAGGAGGCTGAGACAGGAGAATCACTTGAATCCGGGAGGCGGAGGTTGCGGTGAGCCGAGACTGCACCATTGCACTCCAGCCTGGGCAACAGAGCGAGACTCCGTCTCAAAAAAATAAATAAAAAAGCTTAGTCCAGGTTCTACACGAGCAGGCACTCGATAAATAGCATCTGTTATCAAAACCATTATTCATGTCCTGGCCTAATTTCCTTCACTAGGTTTAAGTCCTTGGATAGGAGAAAGGGAGGCAGGTACTGCCCTAATAGACCAGGCAAGAGGGGTTCCTGCCTGGTCTCCAGGCTTTAGAGCACTCCACTCAAGCCCTTCTCCAGCCATACCCTTCCCTACAGCATAAGAAGAGACATGCTGACCTAGAGACCCCCAACACTCCTAGACTCCATTCTGTCTGGGTATCTGGGGACCCGAGTTTCCTGCCCAATGGATCCTGACCCCTTGTCCGAGCCTGCGCAGGCCTCTTTCCTAGGTCCATGCAACCAAGGATGGCTGAGGGCTGGCTGCTGTTTGGGAGAAATGGGACAGGGTGTGGCCATGTCAGCTGGGGTTCCCCCCCCCACCCCCCGCCGTGTGCCTGCAAGGCCCCTTGCAGTGAGAGAGCCAGGGGTTGGGAGGGGCTGACCATATGCCAGTTCTATCCAAACTGTCTTGGTATAGTCAGAACTCCAAGGTGTCTGAGGATACATTCAAACCTGATTGCAGCTTTCCATTTCTAAAAAACTAATCTATAGTGACAGAAAGCAGATCAGTGGCTTCCTGGACAAGGCAGAGAGCTGGACTGCAAACGGACACAAGGAAGCTTTTGGGGGTGATGGAAAGGTTTCACGGATATACACAAAGGTCAAAACACACTGAATTGCACACTTTAAATAGTGCGGTTTATTGTATGCACATTAAATTGTTTCTTAAAAATTCAAACTTGGCTCATGGGCTGTTACTAAGATATCTTTGTCAAACTGGGAGAAGAGAACATAGTCTAACAGTTTAGTGGCATGACTTAAAATTGTAATTACCAGCCAGCCTCCACGTCTCATAAGTGATTGAACCAACCCCCTTCTCTGAACCGTCTGCACTCAGCAGGGGCTCAGGCCTGGGGGTTTGTCGAGCTCAGGGCCCGCCCTGCGCCTCTCAAGCCCTATCCGGCCCCAACCTCTGCGTTTCAGGGGCTTCAGCCGCCCGCCCCAGGCCCCACCCACCACATCAGCCCAGGCCCCGCCCCATCCTCCCTACCAAGGCAGACGGCCCACCCTTAGGCCCTGGCTGCACTGCGGCCCAAGCTCCGCCCCTTTACCGAGTCATTGGCTCACCCTAAGCTCCGCCCACCATGCCAGCCCAGGCCCCGCCCCCTGCCCCCTTACCGAGGCGGTGGCCGGCCTGGCGGCCGACGCTGCCCAAACATTGGATCAGGGTGCGGATGGCAGTCGGGCTGGTGGGCACCCGCGGGCCGGGCAGCCGGTCCAGTAGGTGGTCAGCGAGCTCGACGAAGAGGTCGGTGCTGCAGGCGGCCGCCAGGTGGCCAAGCGCTCCGACCGCCCGCTTGCGCACCGCCAGGCGCGGGCTGCTCAGCTGTGGCAGCAGACAGTGCAGGAGGCTGGCGTGGAAGGCGCCCAGCGGGACACCCAGCCTGGGGAGCACGAGGGGGCATCAGGCCGATCGCACTCCGCGGGCAACCTGGGCCAGGCTCCGCCCCTCTCCCCATTCTCTCCCGGCCTCCTTCCCAGGATTATGGCAACTCAATGGCCCTTGCAAAAGAGGTGCCCTGCAACTGTGAGGAGGAATTATTTTAATTACTTTTGTTACATGAGAGAAAGCGGAGAGAGAAAGGGACTTCTCAGCAGTGCAAAGCCTGGCTCCCAGCCTAGGGAGAAAGACCTGATAGGGGAAAGCATAGAGGATCTAGTAAGGCTGTCCCTATTTCTTGGAAGTCTAGGCCTTGCCTCAATACCATCCCCTTCTGTCCATCCTCCTCGCTGAGACCAGAGCAGTATAAAGTCTACTTCTCACCTGGTCACTCCTCTGCTTAACTCCTTCCATGGCTCCCTAGTGCCTTTGGAGATGCTGAGCTCTGGGCTCAAGACAAGAGGCAACACCAGACAATGGTTTCTGCGCACACAGCACAGCTCCTGCCTGCCTCAGCAGCTTCTATCCACACCTTCAAACGAGGCCCGTGCATTTTCTGTCCTGTAAACATCTTGAGACCTTTTCTTTCTCACTTTACAGAAACACGCTGACCTTACCCTCCCTTATTTCTATGTCCTACCCAACCCCCTCTCCTAGGTTTCATTTGTTTGCCTGTTCACCTGCTAAGTGACAGGGACTGTGCTGGAAGCCAGGGTGAACAAGACAGACTGATCCTGGGAGCTGCCCTCATGGAGTGTGTGGTTGAGTGAGTGCCTCCCAGGAGCCTCAAGTTCAACATGCCCCAGCTTGAATCCATCACCTTCCTCCCCACACACCTGCTGCTGGCTCCCGGAGTGCACCCCATCACAGCACCTCTGTCTGCCCCCGCCAGTTACTAAAGGCAGAACCCTAGGGGTCAGCCTCCAGTCCCTGCCTCCCCTGCCCACTCCAAGTCCTGTGGAGTCCCCCTCCTGAATACAACCCGAATTGCTTTCCCTATAGCAGCCTCTTAACCAGTCCCCTGCCTGTTCAATCCCCTCCCACCTACTCTCCACTGCAGAGAGAAAGATCAGGGTAGAACACACAAATACTCACCCCTGCCCCATGGCTCCTGGCCAGCCCTGCACCTCAGCTCTGCATACCCACCTCTCCACATTACAGCCTGCCCCACGACCCCTGGCAGACTCTGGGACCCCAAGTCTTCCCCTGTCTCTGCCTTCTGGACTGGGGACAGTCTCCCCTCCAGCATCCTCTTTATACCTGCCCAAACTCAGCTAAGTCCTGCCCCTCCTCGAAGGCTCAGCTCTAGCAGCACTCTCTTTTAGAAGGCTCCTCACTCCCAGCTGGACTGGGGGCTCCTCTGAGCTCCTATCAGCCCTGCTCTTATCCTTACTGTTGTGCTTACTCCATTCACAGTTTTATACATGTCTGTGAACTCCTCCCTAGAACAACCAAGACTGATCTAACCCCATGTTCCCAACACTAGGCCAGCACCTGACATTTTTCTGGCCAGAGCAGGTGTTCAAGTCATGGGAGGTTTTACTGACCGCATCATCTCTCAGAGCCTGTAAAATTGTGACAATTGAGTTCTCCTTTACGAGGCTGCTGGGATGATTAAGGAGCCCCAAGCACAGGGCCTGGTGTGCAGTAGGTGCTAGCTCTGTGATTTGAGTCCCTCCCTGTCCCCTTTTACCCACTCTTCCTCAATACCCAGGATGGCCTCCCACACCTGCTCAGCATGTCAGAGAGGATGTCCAGGGCTTCCAGCTGCACAGCCACATCCTCCTGCTGGGCAATGGCACTGGTGAGCTGGCCTGTGATCTTCCGGCACACGTTGGTGGCCAGCCCGGAGCCTGCACAGGGCACAAGGTGGGCACAGTGAGGCCCTGGCCTGGGGGAAAGGCAGCCTCCACCACTAGTCTGCCTCTGCTCTGGCTGTGTTCCTGAGCCCACATCCCCGGGAATCTTACCAGGGCTCCAGAGGTCCCAGGTTTGACCCAGAGTCTGGCCAAAGTCAAGGAGACAGCTAGGGGAGCTGCAGAGCTGATGGCCGAGCTTCTGGGTGACTTACACACACCCAAGCCCTTCTTCCTTTCCCCATTCCACTAGGGAGGCAGGGAAAGTTAAACACTTCCTTTCCTGCCTCCCTTGCTGCTGGGAGTGGCTGGGTGATCCAGCTCTTGCCAGTGAGATATAAGTGGAAGTCCTCTGGGGGTTTCTGGGAAAACGTGTGCTTTCCCTATAAAGGGAGGGGACATGGGGCAAGACTGGAACCCTGTCAACATTGAGCCACTAAATGAACTGCTACAAAAATGGAGTGGCTGATTCCTCCAGGATTGCCATGTGAGGAAAAACCACCCCTGATTTCTTTAAACTGCCGTTAGTTAGATTTCATCACTTGAGCTAAAAGCATTCCTGACACAGAACCATGAACTTAAACTGAGCTGGGCCTGAATTCTCTGCCCTGCTTACTAGCTGAGTGACCTCAGGTATGTCTCTTCAACTCTCTGAGCCTCAGTGTTTTTTTTTTGTTTTTTCGTTTGTTTTTTTACCATAAACTAGGACAAATACTAACAGTACCTAGTCCTGGGGACCTGGGTACCTGTGGCTGCAGGAGGGAGCTCCGAGAGGACGGTCTTGAGGCCAATGCCGGCAATGTCTCGCAGCTGCTCCTTGTCTGACCGCATGTTGGTGCACAGGGTGTCCACAATGGTCTCCACCTGGTACTCCTTCACTTTGACCACCAGAGGACCCAGGCTGAGCAGGGAGTGGGAAGGTGAATCCAAGGGCACAAGGTTCAGCCTGAGTCAGGCTGCCCCTTTATGTCCCCTCATGCTCCTGCGGCCACACGTGCTGAGGAAAAGGCCTCAGATCATCAGGGGAGCCCCTGTTTGGCCAGAAAGAGATACTCTCTGGCTATGCCAACATCGTTCCTGGGACCTCCCAAACCTACATTTCTTCTTGTGTTTTACGTCTCAGGAAATGGCCAAATAGTGCTCCAGAACAAGGGTTCTCAAACTTGAGGGTGCATCTGAATCCCCTGGCGGGCTTGTTTAAACAGATGGCTGGGCCCCACCTCCAGAGTTTCAGAGTCAGGAGGGCTATATCTAGGTGTGGCCTGATAGTGTGCATTTCTAGCAAGCTCCCAGTTGAGGCTGATACTGTAGGTGGTCCAGGGAGCACACTTGGAGAACCTCTGCCTTAGAGGCTTGCTTCTCAAAGTTTGGTGGTGAGTTAGCATTGGCAATGCCACTCGGGAGCTTGTTCAGGATGTGGAATCTCAGGCCTTACCCTACCCTAGATCTACTGAGCCAGGATCTGTAGCGCCACAAGGTCCCCAGGTGATTCCAATGCACAGGAAAGTGTAAAAACAGCGGCACTAGACGCCCTCGTTCTTGGCCTTAGTTGCCATCACCTGGGCCTCTAAAAAATGCCTACCTGGGCACTGCCCTCAGAGAGTCTCAGTTAATTGGTTTCAGATGTGGCCTGGAGGGGGTTGGGGGAGGGCTTTTAAAATTCCCCAGGTGATTCTAACATGCAGTCGAGGCTGACAACCTCTGCCCTACCTGAGTGGTTCTCAGACATTGGTGTGCATCAGAATGCAGATTCCAGGGTGCTATAGTCTCATCCTCTGCCCCAGCTCCCTTCCTGCTCCATCCCCTGAATCTGAATCCCTGGGCAGGGAATACAGGGTTTCAACAAGAGCTTCAGGTGACTGCAATGCACAATGGTTTTCTTTTTTCTTGATTTTTATTGAGATGAGGTCTCGCTCTGTTGCCCAGGCTGGAATACAGTGGCGTGATCATAGCCCACTGCAGCCTCAAACTCCTGGGCTCAAGCGATCCTCCTACACAGATGAGATTACATATTCAAGCCACCATGCTTGGCTAATTTCTTTTTTCAGTGTCTCGCTATGTTGCCCAGGCTGGTCTTGAACTGCTGGCCTCAAGTGATCCTCTTGCCTCAGCCTCCAGAATAGCTAGGACTACAGGCATGTGCACCATGGTTTTCAAACCTTGGTTCTCTCAACTTCCTTCTCCACAGCTCCTCTATCTACGTAATCATGGAGTCCTCCATCCTACCTCCTATAGCACTGGTTCCCACTAGGAGTAATACCACCTTGGCAATTTATGGGGGTCCTTGGTCATCAAAACTATTGAGTTAGTACTTCTGGCCTTTAAGGGGTTGAGAAGCAGGAACGGCAGAAAGACAATAATGTAAAACAAAGCACTGTCCATGCCCCGCAAGAGGTTCTAACATCCCAATGGGCATTTGTATAGGCAAAAGGCCTTTCTATAATTATCTGAGTCTAAAATTTCATTTTATACATAGACACAAAATACTTTTTTACATTGTTTTAATATACCACATTTTAGATTTTCTAAGAATGCAATTTTCAGGTAAATTGAAGGAAAATTCTACTTTGTTTTCTGGGAAACTTTATTGGGAGATGGTCACTCACTTTAGAAAATCCTGGCTGGGTGTGGTGGCTCATGCCTGTAATCCCAGCACTTTGGGAGGCCTAGGCAGGCAGATCACTTGAGGTCAGGAGTTCAAGACCAGCCTGGCCAACATGGTAAAACCCCGACTCTACTAAAAATACAAAAATTAGCCGGGTGTGGTGGTGCATGCCTGTAATGTCAGCTACTGAGGAGGCTGAGACATGGGAATCGCTTGAACCTGGGAGGGGGAGGTCACAGTGAGCTGAGATTGCACCACTGTACTCCAGCCTGAGTGACAAAGTGAGACTCTGTTTCAAAAAAAAAAAAAAGAAGAAAAAAAAAAGAAAATCTTGCCACTAAGAGCAATGGCCTCCAATTCTGAAACCTGAGTCCCCAACACCCCCTGTCTGTATCTGTACTCATGATGAGTTCACGTGTAGATGCAGGCTTCTCGTGACTTCATCACTTCTACCATCACAGTGCCCAAGCACGCATACATGGAAACACACATTACTATAAACTACATTCCTTCTAGTTTGCCTTTATGGTTATGGTTAGGGCATTATGTGTAGAGGTAGGTTTTATAATGTATGAATTTCATTTCCTAATAGGAAACGGTATTACAAACTATTTGTTATAAAAAGGTATTGGTTCTGCTGGTGTGAAACCCATCCTAAGTCTACTCCATGACCAGAAAGACATTCCCAGCTCATAAACTTGTCCATGTCACCTTCCTACATAAAACCCTTTACTGAATTCTCTCTGCTCTTGGGATCACATTGCAAATTCATTAACATGCCCCAGAAGAATGCCTGGACCCAGCTCACAGACAGTGGTTTGAGAGACAGTGCCCAATTCTCTCACCCTGTTGTCCCTTGATCCCTGGCATTCTATTTAAAATTACCCAGGTGATGCTAACCTGCAGTCAAGCTTGACAACCTCTGCCCTACACTAGTGGTTCTCAGGTGTGGGTGTGAGAATGACCCTACCACACAAGCATCCCCACGTGCTCTGCACATACCCTTGTCTTGTCTTTTTCTACTCGAGATAACTGGCCAACGTCTCAGGATCACAGCCTCACAGTGATCTAAGGCTGGGGCTTTTAGGACCTCTCCCAGTCCCATGTGCCCTAAGCCTTTTTTGTTTGTTTGTTTTTGAGATGGAATTTTTGCTCTTGTTGCCCAGGCTGGAGTGCAATGGCGCAATCTTGGCTCACTGCAATCTCTGCCTCCTGGGTTCAAGCGATTCTCCTGCCTCAGCCTCCCAAGTAGCTGTGATTACAGGCACGCACCACCATGCCCGGCAACTTTTTTTTTTTAATTATTATTTAGTAGAGACAGGGTTTCACCATGTTGGTCAGGCTGGTCTCAAACTCCTGACCTCAGGTGATCCACCTGCCTTGGCCTCTCAAAGTGCTGGGATTACAGGCATGAGCCACCGCACCCAGCCTTTAAGCCTTTACCACCTTGATGTGTGTCAGCTTGACCTTCCCAGCATTTACATCTGTCTGAGGGCTTTCTCTGGCTGGAGGTGGCAGGCAGTGGACAACCCTCCATCCTACCCCAGAAGCAGCCCTTAACCAATGACTACCAGGGAGCTGGTGGATTAATACCCCAGCTCCCTTACCCTTTGAGTGGGAAAAGTCCAAGGGACATGTCCTATACTGTGTCCCAGAGGTCCCCATGGGGTTAAGCTCATCAGGCCCACTGTGGTCACTTGCTTCGTACCATACCCTTGATTGGTCCTCTTCCCTTTCCTGCCTCACTTCCCTACTCCTCTACCATGTTTCCTGGGAGCGCCTCCCAAATAAACTTAGATTTGAATCCTTGTCTCAGCATCTTCTGGGAAAACTCAGACTAAGGTACCATTCAACGAGAGCTGCTCAGCAGGTCTCCTCTGCGAGGCTGTACCCCAAAGGGACAGCGGTCCCCAGGATGCTCCCACACAAGGTAGGGCCCCCTCTCCTGCTCCACCGAGGCTGACACTCACCACTTGACAGCCAGGTTCTGCACCTCACCGTTCTTGTCCTCCAGGAGCCGGAGCAGCATCTTCACCACCTTGCGCTCGCTGTCCTCGTCCAGCTGGATGGAGTCCTTCTGCAACTCCGACATCAGGTCGCTGGTGGCCATGAACCTGCACAGGGAGGGTGGAGGAGATTGCTGAGCAGCTCCTGGGCCCTGGTGGATTTGGGCAGTACCTCAGGGTTCCCCTAGAAGTAGACCTTAATACAAAGATTCGAGGTCAAATGCAGTCCTGTGTCACATAATGATGTTTTGGTAAGTGACAGGCAACATATACAATGGTTGTCCCATAAGATTATAATGGAGCTGGCCGGGCGCAATGGCTCACGCCTGTAATCCCAGCACTTTGGGAGGCCGAGGTGGGCAGATCACGAGGTCAGGAGATCAAGACCATCCTGGCTAACATGGTGAAACCCAGTCTCTACTAAACAAAATACAAAAAATTAGCCAGGTGTGGTGGCGGGCGCCTGTAGTCCCAGCTACTTGGGAGGCTGAAGCAGGAGAATGGCGTGAACCCGGGAGGCGGAGCTTGCAGTGAGCCAAGATCATGCCACTGTACTCCAGCCTGGGCGACAGAGAGAGACTCCGTCTCCAAAAAAAAAAAAAAAAAAGATTTTAATGGAGCTGCCCTATACAGGCATGCCATTTTAATCTTTTCTACCTTATTTTTACTGTACCTTTTCTATGTTTAGACACACAAATACCACTCTGTTACAACTGCCTACAGTACTCAATACAGGTTTGTAGCCTAGGAGCAACAGGCCACACCATATAGCCTGGGAGTGTAGTAGGCTCTACCATCTAGGTTGTGTAGGCACACTCTATGAGGTTCACACAAGGACAAAATCGCCTAAGGATGCACTTCTCAGAATGTTTCCCCGTCGTTAAGTGCCACATGATGGTGGATTATTTGGGCAGTGGGCATGGTTGGGCTACAAGGAGACCCACATATGTGTGACACCAACTGCCACATAGTGGCAGACTAGCAACGGCTCAGCATGCTGGCTAAATGCATAATGTTTCAGGATCGGTGGCCCCCGCCTCAGCCATTTATGAGTGTGAACTTGGGCAAGTCATTTCACCTCTCCAAGCCTTAGTTTACCTGTCTGAAAACAGGGATGAGACTAGTACCTGCCTCATGGTGTTTTAAGTGCACATGGTGTGTGCTCAGTAAATGGCACTGCCATTATTATAATGGCACAGGACATCATCCACATCTCACAACAGCTGAGAAAGTGATGCCAGAAGGTTGTTTTGTTTTGTTTTGTTTTTTGAGATGGAGTCTTGCTCTGTTGCCCAGGCTGGAGTGCAGTGGCACGATCTCAGCTCACTGCAAGCTCCATCTCCTGGGTTCACACCATTCTCCTGCCTCAGCCTCCCGAGTAGCTGGGACTACAGGTGCCGGCCACCACGCCCGGCTAATTTTTTGTATTTTTAGTAGAGGTGGGGTTTCACTGTGTTAGCCAGGATGGTCTTGATCTCCTGACCTCGTGATCCGCCCACCTCGGCCTCCCAAAATGCTAGGATTACAGGCGTGAGCCACCGCGCCCAGCCAAGGGATACCAGAAGGTTGAACAGACACCTTGTGTCCAAGTCAGAGCTAGAGGCCTGTCTGCCAAACAGATGGAGGAGGGCGAGCCCTGTCCACTCCCATCTCAGAGAACCGGCTCAGTCCCTGCCCTTAGAGCAGTGGATCTCCAGCTATAGCCAGCATCAGAATCACCAGCAGCGCTTGTTAAATAATACTAGTCCCCATTCCCAGAGTTTCTGAATCAGCAGGTCTGAGTTGGGGCCCAGGAATCCACATTTCTAACAAATTCCTGGAGGACACTGAGGGTCAGGGACCACACTTTGAAAACCACTGCCCCACGCCATGCTGATGGGCATGGGCATATTTTGGAGACCAGCGCCAATAGCTGACTGGCTCACTGACCTAGGGTGGGCACCAGAGGCAAGGGCTACCCACCCGGAGGTGAGGGATTCATGGGGCCTGACACCAAAAGCCTGATGCTGTCCCAGGCATTTGAAACTGCAGTGGGAGTCTAAGCTGGAAGCCACGGAAAGTTGAGGCTGGGGCCAACTTTCCAAGTCGAGGAATGGTGCGGGAATTGGGCACCATTCCCGCCAAAATTAAGAGGGTAGGAGCAGAGGTCTGAAACTAGTAGCCCTCAGCTGTGTCCAGCTTGCAAACATGTTTTCAAAAATTTAAATTACTTGTCAACATTTGAACATTGGGAAAGTTGACACAAAAATACTGACTTTGGCCTGGCATGGCGGCTCACGCCTGTAATCCCAGCACTTTAGGAGGCTGAGGCGGGTGGATCACCTGAGGTCAAAAGTTCTAGATCAGCCTGGCCAATATGGTGAAACCCTGTCTCTATTAAAAATACAAAAATTAGCCGAGCGCGGTGGCAGACACCTGTAATCCTAGCTACTGGGAAGGCTGAGGCAGGTGAATCACTTGAACCCGGGAGGCAAAGGTTGCAGTGAGCTGAGATCGTGCCACTGCACTCCAGCCTGGGTAACAGTGCGAGTATCCATCTCAAAAAAAAAAAAAAAAAAAAATACTGATTTCCAGGCTGGGCGCAGCAGCTCACGCCTGCAATCCCAGCACTTTGGGAGGCCAAGGTCGCCAGATCACTTAAGGTCAGAAATTAGAGACCAGCCTGGCCAACAGGGGGAAACCCCATCTCTACTAAAAATACGAAAATTAGCCAGGTATGGTGGTGCACACCTGTAGTCCCAGCTACTTGGGAGGCTGAGGCAGGAGAATCACTTGAACCCAGGAGGCAGAGGTTGCAGTGAGCCAAGATCGTGCCACAGCACTCCAGCCTGGGTGACAGAGTGAGACTCAAAAAAAAACAAAAACAAAAACAAAAACAAAACACTGACTTCCAGATTATCTTGAAAACAGAATATTTGAGTACAACGGGGCCTACAATCCCTGGTGACAATACCTGATTAGAATCAGGTTGTGGCTGCCCTCTCCCCAGTTCACCTGGTCCCCACTAGGCCCACTTCACCCACTGACTGGCTCCTGCAGGCATGTGAGAGCGGAGTCTCAGGAGAAAACAGGACAGAGCAGCGAGGAGATACTGTAAGGCTGCCTCGGAGAAAGCCTCCAGCTTTTACTGACCCTGCTGGGCCACTCTACCACCCCACGCTGGCCCTGCTTTCCAGCATGGTTGAGCAAATCAACCAAGAGCCCTGACCCCCGCCTCCTGTGGCAAAATCTATCACAGTTGGGATTCTGGCTCTCATCTGTGCAGACTCAGACCTGCTCCTAGATGTCACTGCAGCCCACAGTGCCCTGTTACCAGGGGTGGACTGGTCGATGACCTATTTATTTTTAACAGGTAGATTAGCCACAAGTTGCTAGGAGAGAGAAGGAGGCTGGGCTGGCAGCATGGGCAGGATGGCAGGACTGACTGTGCCCACCTCTGGGCAAAGGTAAAGTGAAGGAGGAGGTTTGGATTTGAGCCAGGCCAAGGCCTGAGGTGAGCACATGCACCCCTACGTCTGCTCAGCTGAGGGGACATTCTGAGATGGCACCCAGGGTCTCCAAGTTGTGTTTCTGCTGCAGTCCATGGGGGCCCAGCTCAGCCTGGCAACCCAGGCGATGTGCCTCTTTGCCCAAGATAGGCCTTCTATCCCCGCTCTTCTTCTTCATCTGTTGAGCTCCTCCTATTCACCCATCAAGAGCCCAGCTCAAATGTCCCAGCTCAAGGATGACTGACCTCCCTGCCCTACCCCTGCATCCACAGCCCCTAAGCACAATGGTTCCCTGGACAAGATCCTTTCAGAGCACTCTGCACCCCTCCTTTATAGCACTTCTCACACTGCAATACAAGTCTGGCCACCAGAGCATCTTCTCCATTGGACTGTACACTCACTGAGGGCAGAGGCTCATCAGGTTTATCTCTGGGACTCCAGGCTCAACAAAGAACAGGTCTGCAGAGGGCTTTGTCAGGGAGGGTGAGAGCAGGAGGAGAGGTAGTGAGAGAGCTAGCCCTTAACAGAACTTACAGCCAAATAGTCCGAATTCAGAAACCAACTCTTCTGAAGTATGCCTCAGCATTTCAGACACCCCTGGTTCCTGCAGACACTAGCTCTCGGAGAAAGCAAGCCATGTTTTATACGTGTATGTGTGTAGGGATGGGAGAGAGAAGGAAAAGTATATAATTTGGTGGATAAGAGCTTGAGCACCAAAGTTTGGCTTTAAGTGAGTATACTTACTAGTCTTGCCATTTATCAACTAGGTGACATTGGGCAACTACCTCCTTTTCTCTGGGCCTCAGATTTTCTATATATAAAATGGGAACTTTTCTTTGCCCTACCTCATAGTATCCTTGGGAGGTTTCAATAGGACAATCTAGCTCTTAGCATGAGGTAGTAAGAAAACTAGGCTCAGGGAGGCTGCACAAACTGCCTACGGTAACAGCAAACTGGGCGGAAAACCAGCCCACCACACAGGTCTCCTGGCTTTTCAACCAATAATACTACTGTGTTTTCAAGAAATGACTTGGTAATTCCTGCAAGACCTGCAAGGGTACTCGTTTTGACTGCTGGAGCCTCCGTGGTAATGGGGCACCTCCTGCCCATAAAGCCAGGGCCCAGGAAGAACAGGAAACAAAGGTCTCCCTCCACCCCACCTGGGACCCCCATTTGCAGTCGCTGCCCCGCTCCAGGAACCAGAGGACAGTCTCAGTTTCATTACAGAGAAACCCTAGAGGCAACTCAGCTGAAACCCTTGGCCACACGGACGCCTGGACAGCTGGTCTGCAGGACCCAGCACCCTGGTATTCGGACTTTAAAAATAGACACCATTCTCACATGCTTGGGGTGGTTTTAAGTGTTCTCCAGGCCACTGGCAGAGACAGGCTGAAAGGGCTTCTCGGGCTGTAGCTGGCAGGGCCAACTCCCTCTCCCAGAGACTGGACCAGAGGCCTGAGAGACACTAGCGCAAATCCCCTAGGCCACTAGCCAGCTCTGTGACCTTGGGCAAGTCACTGCACTCCTCCAAGCCTCCGGAAAACAGGAAGAACAATCACTACCACCCATGGGTGGACTGAGATTACACGTGGGGTGCACAGTAGGGAGCCTGGGACCCAGCGAACATTCACTAAGCACCTACCGTGTACTCAGCACAGGTGTTGGGGCACTAAGAGGAAGTGCATAGTCCCAGTGGCCCAGGAGCTCAGGGTCTCCCAGGGCTGAAAAGTGATCTAGCAGAAACATGAGGGGAGGCATGATGGGAGCTGAAAGGAGGTACCTAATCCTGCCTGGGGTCAAGAGTTATAGGAGCTGTCAGATGAAGGGAGGAGGTCAAGGGAGAGCAAAGAATCCCCCTAGTGAAGGTCTAGAGAGGGGACAGGGCGTGGCAGATTTTGGATGTGCACAGAATCATAACAGTGTCCGTTTATGAAGCACCGACCTAGTGCCTGCCATGAACCTGAGCATTTCACATGTACTATCTTATTTAATCCTTACCCCAACCCTCAGAGATGGGTTCTGTTATCCCCATTTTATAGAAACAGAAGCACAGGGAGACTCATGGGGGTTAAGTTACTTGTCCATGGTCACACGGCCAGTGAGTGACGGCAGCTGGGATCTGAAGCCAAGACCTTGGATCCCAGGCTCTATTAATGTGGGGGGGCTCTTGAGGGGTACTGAGGAATGGGCTGCAGGAGAAGAGTAGGAGTCAGACCACCAGAGCAGGTCTGTCTCCTCACCTGTCAGGGGGCTGGAATCAGAGGACCTCACTAAGATCTTGGCCTCTGTATTAGACTGGCCTGGATTTGGACTAAGTCTCCCACTTCCTCGCTGTGACTGAACCTACGCCCTTCATGTCTCTGAGACTCAGTTTCCCTATCTGTAAAATGGGGACAAAGTGAAAAAATGTTCATTGAGTCTCCAAGGTCTTCTTTCAGCTGGAGGGGCCAGAACTGGCCATGAGACCACGGGCCAATCCCTTTTCCTCCCTGGGCCTCAGTTTCCCCAGGGAATGCAGGTGGAAACTCATTGGACCAGATGTTTCCACCGTTCTTTTCAGCTCTATTCCTGTGGTTCTGTGATGCTGTGAGAGGGGGAAAGAAGGAAAAAGGGAGTGGGGAAGGAGAGTGGCACACAAAACCTAGAAGGTCCCACCCCAACCATCACCTACCTGTGACTGGAAAGCCAGACTCAGCCCAGCCCCCTCCTTTAGGCTGGGTCTGAACAATCGCAGGAGGGGAGGGAGACGGGGAGGGAGGGGTCCGGGTGATGTTGAGAAGGAGGCATCACTGAGGGTGCCAGTGAGAAAGTCAGCTGGGGGTTGCGGTCCCGGGAAGGGTCCGGGTTCAATGCGGAGGAGAGGCAGGTGCTGGGGTCCCCAGGGAGAGGCGTAGGGCTTCACTGTGGGCTCGCTGAAGGTGGTGGGGGCGGGGGGGAGGGGGCGCTGGGGCATCAGCTGCGGGGGAAGAAGGGGGCCGGACACACACGAGGGAGGAGAGGCCGAGGCAGGGTGCAGAGGGGTGGAGCCGGGGCTCTGATCGGGGGTGAGAGGTAGGGCTGAAGCCTGCACGGTGGGAGACGAAGCAGGGACTGGAGTCGCGGAGGGGCAGGACGGCCCCTAGGGGAGAACGGCCGGAGCTCCAGTGGGGACCACGAGGCAGGAGTGGGCCTGTGGGGAGGGGGGCAGCTTAATGCAGGGAGAAGAGAGAAGAGGCAGGGGGCTGCATGGTCATGGGGGATGGGCTGGCGCTTCGAGAGGGGAAGAAGGCCCCCGGCTTCAGAGCGGGAAGGAGAGAAGGGGGCCGGCGGCGGGCTGCACCTGAAGTCCTTGTCGCTGGACGTCATCTTCTCCAGGAGGCTGGAGATGTGGAAGGCGGCGGTGCTCATGGTGGCTGCGCGCCGCGGAGCCGGCCGGCGGGAGGGAATATGGCGGCGCGGGCGCCCCCTCCCTCGCCAGCTGCGCGGGCTGCGCTCACCAGACAGAAATAGCAGCTCCCGCCCCGCCCCGTGCTCACGCCTTGGCCGTGGCGGCCGCGGGAGGCGGGCGGGCCTGGGCCTGGCTTGGTGGTCTTGGCCCCGGCCCCAGCCCTTGCCCTGCTGACAGCGCAGCGCCGGATTGCACACACCCCCAGAGACGGGGAGCTCACTACCCTGCCACCACCTCCTTGTTATTCCCGTAGGTGCCAGCTCTGTCTTGCGGCATGGACGTAATATCATAGAGTCTCAGGTTCGAATCCCACTTCTGCCTCTTCTGCTGTGTAGCCTTGGCCAAGTTACTTTACCTCCGCTTTCTCATCTGTAGGCATTCAAGAAACAGGAGCTATCAACCAAAGCTGGTCAGGCCAACCAAAAGACCCCTCACCCACGATGCTTGCCCGCCCCTGAGCCAGACAGGATCTGGGGAATGAACTGAGTCACACAAGGCCCCCTGCCTCGCATCCCCAACCCTCAGGACGGCAGGGTCAGTTTCTTCATTTTTTTAGCAATGCAACTGAGGCCGAGAAGCAAAGGGATTTGCTGAGGGTCACACAGCCAATGAATCTGGGATGGAGTCAGGATTGACTGCAGATCCCTTAATATCCTGCGCAGCAATCCTTCCATAAACAGCCAGGAGGCTGCTGGATGGGAAAGGGAGTAGTGTGTGCTTCAGAGCCAGACAAGCCTGGCTTCAAATCTCTGCTAGGCTCCTTCCTGGCTGTGTGACCTTGGGATAATGAAACAACCTCTCTGGGCTATGTTTTTCTCACTCATAAGATAAGGATAAAAGAAATCTTTATTCACTTGGGAGGCCGAGGCGGGCGGATCACGAGGTCAGGAGATCACGACCATCCTGGCTAACACAGTGAAACCCCGTCTCTACTAAAAATACAAAAAAATTAGCCGGGTGTGGTGGCAGGCGCCTGTAGTCCCAGCTACTCGGGAGGCTGAGGCAGGAGAATGGCGTGAACCCGGGAGGCGGAGCTTGCAGTGAGCGGAGATCGCGCCACTGCACTCCAGCCTGGGCGACAGAGCGAGACTCCGTCTCAAAAAAAAAAAAAAAATCTTTATTAAATTGACACCCCCCTTGAACACCTGTTATTATGAGGTACGTAGGTTCTAGACCAAAGCTAATAGAACACTGCAATGTTGAAAATGTTCTACATCTTCAGTATAGTATCTAATATGATAGCCACTAGCCACATGTGGCTATTGAGCACTTGAAATGGAATTAGTGTGACTGGGGAACCAAATTCTTAATTATATTTATTTTTCATTAACTTAACTTTAAATAGCCCACTATGGGTAGTGGCTATCATAATGGACAGTGCAGATCTGTACAACAAGGATGCAACGCAGCAGGGTGTTAGACACAAACGGCCCCTGCCCCCTGGGGACTTTACATTTTAGTGTAGGAAATCAGCAAGAAGGAAGAAAGTGATTAGATAAGGAAAATAAGAGCTCTTCAGAAAATAAAATAGAGAGTTCCTGGAGCGTGGAGGGGCAACTTCAGCAAAGGTCAGGGAGGGCACTTTTTGAGGAGGAGACATTTGGGCTAAGACCTCAACAGATGAAGCAGCTGGGCAAAGTTTTGAGGGAAGGGCTTCCCAGACAGAGGGAGCAGCAGGTGCAAAGGTCCCGAGGTGGTGGCCGGGTGCGGTGGCTCACACCTGTAATCCCAGCACTTTGGGAGGCCGAGGCAGGAGGATCACGAGGTCAGGAAATCGAGACCATCCTGGCTAACACGATGAAACCCCGTCTCTACTAAAAATACAAAAAAATTAGCCGGGCGTGGTGGCGGGCACCTGTAGTCCCAGCTACTCAGGAGGCTGAGGCAGGAGAATGGCGTGAACCCGGGAGGCAGAGTTCGCAGTGAGACGAGATCGCGCCACTGCACTCCAGCCTGGCGACAGAGCAAGATTCTGCCTCAAAAAAAAAAAAAAAAAAAAAGGTCTCAAGGTGGGAACCAGCCTGATGTGTTTAAGAAAATGCTGTGGCTGGGCCGGGCACGGTGGCTCACGCCTGTAATCCCAGCACTTTGGGAGGCTGAGGCGGGTGGATCACAAGGTCAGGAAATCGAGACCATCCTGGCTAACAAGGTGAAACCCCGTCTCTACTAAAAATACAAAAATTAGCCGGGCGTGATGGTGGGCGCCTGTAATCCCAGCTACTCGGGAGGCTGAGGCAAGAGAATGGCGTGAACCCGGGAGGCGGAGCTTGCAGTGAGCCAAGATGGCACCACTGCACTCCAGCCTGGGAAACAGAGCGAGACTCCATCTCAAAAAAAAGGAAAGAAAGAAAGAAAGAAAAGAAAAGGCTGTGGCTGGCTGGGCGCAGTGGCTCATGCCTGTAATCCCAGCATTTTGGGAGGTTGAGGTGGGTGGATCACATAAGCTCAGGAGTTAAAGACCAGCCTGGGCAACATGGTGAAACCCTGTCTCTACAAAAAATGCAAAAATCAGCCGGGTGTGATGGCACACGCCTGTAGTCCCAGCTACTTGGGGGGCTGAGGTGGAAGAATCTCTTGAACCTGGGAGGCAGAGGTGAGCCTGGGAGGCAGAGGTTGCAGTAAGCTGTGATCGCACCACTGCACTCCAGCCTGGGTGACAAAGTAGACCCTGTTTCAAAAAAAAGGAGGGGAGGAAGGGAGGAAGGGAGGGAGGGAGAGAGGGAGGGCGGGCTATGGCTGGAATGGAATGAGATCAGTCTTCCACTGAGGAAATGAGGACAGAGAGGTGGACAGGGGCCAGATTACTTGAAACCTTTCAGGCCAAGGCAAGGAGTTCGTATTTTATATGGGAACACTAATTTTATGTGGGAACACTAACGCCAGGGAACACTGGATGGCGTAAAGCAAGAAGGTAACTTGATCAGTTTTTGTTGTTGTTTTTGAGACAGAGTATCCCTCTGTTGCCCAGTCTGGAGTGCAGTTGTGTGATCTCGGCTCACTGCAACCTCTGCCTCCCAGGTTCAAGCAGTTCTCCTGCCCCAGCCTCCCGAGTAGCTGGGACTACAGGCACCCGCCGCCACACACGGCAAAATTTTGTATTTTTAGTAGAGATGGGGTTTCACCATGTTGGCCAGGATAGTCTTGAACTCCTGACCTCAGGTGATCCACCCGCCTCAGCCTACCGAAGTGCTGGGATTACAGGTGTGAGCCACTGCGCCCAGCCAGATCAGTTTATTTTATTTTATTTATTTAATTAATTCAGTTATTTATTGAGATGGAATCTTGCTCTGTTGCCCAAGCTGGAGTGCAGTGGTGCAATCTCAGCTCACTGCAACCCCCACCTCCCAGGCTCAAGTAATTCTCCTGCCTCAGCCTCCCAAGTAGCTGGGATTACAGGCACGCATCACCATGCCCAGCTAATTTTTGTATTTTTAGTAGAGACAGGGTTTCACCATGTTGGCCAGAAGCTGGTCTTGAACTCCTGACTTCAGGTGATCTACCTGCTTCGGCCTCCCAAAGTGTTGGGATTACAGATGTGAGCCACTGCACCTGGCCTGGTTTTTTAGAAAGATCTCTTTAGTGCTGAACAGTCCACGCAATCAAGAATCAGGGTGGTTTGGGCCGGGCGTGGTGGCTTATGCCTGTAATCCCAGCACTTCTGGGAGATCACCTGAGGTCAGGAGTTCAAGACCAACCTGGCCAACATGGTGAAACCCTGTCTCTACTAAAAATACAAAAATTAGCCGGGTGTGATGGCACACGCCTGTAGTCCCAGCTACTCGGGAGACTGAGGCAGGGGAATTGCTTGAACCCTGGAGGCGGAGGTGATTGCAGTGAGCGAGATCACACCAATACACTCCAGTCTGGGCAACAGAGCCAGACTCCATCTCAAAAGAAGAAAAAAGAAAAAGAGGCTGGGCATGGTGGCTCATGCCTATAATCCCAGCACTTTCGCAGGCCAAGGCAGGCAGATCATGAGGTCAGGAGATCGAGACTATCCTGGCTAACACAGAGAAACCCCATCTCTACTAAAAATACAAAAAATTAGCCGGGTGTGGTGGCGGGCACCTGTAGTGCCAGCTACTCAGGAGGCTGAGGCAGGAGAATGATGTGAACCCGGGAGGCAGAGCTTGCAGTGAGTGGAGATCATGGGCCACTGCACTCCAGCCTAGGCTACAGAGCGAGACTCTGTCTCAAAGAAAAAAAAAAAGAAAAAAGAATGAGGGTGGTTTGCATTGGGGGAATGGTGGCGAAGATGGGAAGATTCGGGTTATGTCATGGAAATAGAATACAGCAGTTTCATTTGAGGATTGGATTCACATACTTTTTTTTTTTTTTTAGACAACATCTCACTCTGTCGCCCAGGCTAGAGTGCAGTGGCATGATCACCACTCACTGCAGCCTCCACCTCCCGGGCTCAAGCCATCCTCCTGTCTCAGCCACCTGAGCAGCTGGGACTACAGGCACACACCACCACACCTGGCTAATTGAATCCACACTCTTGAATTGGGTGATGATTACAGGTATATATTTGTAAAAATTAATCAAGCTGTACTTTGCTATATGTAACTGTTGCCTCAATAAAAAGGAGGGAAATGGGCTGGGCTCGGTAGCTCTAGCCTGTAATACCAGCACTTTGGGAGGCTGAGGTGGGTGGATCACTTGAGGTCAGGAGTTCGAGACCAGCCTGGATAACATGGTGAAACCCCGTCTCTACTAAAAATACAAAATTAGCCAGGTGTGGTGGCGCGCACCTGTAATCCCAGTTACTTTGGAGGCCGAGGCAGGAAAATTGCTGGGAGGTGGAGATTGCAGTGAGCCAAGATCATGCCACTGCACTTCAGTCTGGGCAAAAGAACGAGACAAAAAACAGAGCAAAAAAGTAAATAAATAAATAAATAAAAAGGAAAGGAAATGAAATAAGTACATAGTTTCATAATATTTTGTAATAATTTTATGAGTCAGTGCATATATTTTTACAAGTCATATATTATTTTTATGGGTAAGGAAAAGGGAAGAATTATGAGTTTTTAGCTGGAGCAGCTGAGTAGATGGTGGTGCTTTTTATGGGGATGAGGAAGTCAAGACAAGAAACCTTTTGATGGGAAGGAGGACTTGAAAACTGCATTGATCTGTTAACTTGGAATTACCTACTAGACATCCAAGGAAAGATGCCATGTTGACAACTGAATACATCAGTTGCACAGGGGAGAATTCCTGGTTGGAGATACAGATGGGGGAAGGTCTTCACACAGAGGAAGTATTTAAAGCAATAAAAGTGTACAAGGATGGACAACATGAAGTGTTATCAAGAATGCAGGACAAACAGAACTCTTTTTTTTTCTTTTTTTTTTTTTTTTTTTTTTTTTTTTGAGACAGGGTCTCACTTCACCCAGGCTGGTGTGCAGTGGTGCAGTCTCAGATCACTGCATCGTTGACCTCCCAGGTTCAACTGATCCTCCTATTCAAGCCCCACAAGTGGCTGGAACTACAGGTGTGAGCGACCATGCCTGGCTAATTTTTGTATTTTTTGTAACAACAGGTTTTGCCATGTTGCCCAGGCTGGTCTCAAACTCCTGAGCTCAAGCAATCCACCTGCCTCAGCCTCCCAAAGTGCTGGGATTACAGGAGTGAGCCACCACACCTGGCCCCAGAACTCTTATATGGTGGTAGTGTGAGCTTTAAATTGGTAAAACTACATTGGTACAAACTGTTTGTCCATATTTAAAAAAGCTAAGTATGTATCTACCTTGATGTATTCAGATAAGCACTTTCACTCTGGGGCGTATATTCAAGATATATGAACGTATATGTGTTCATCAAAAGAACGTTCAGGCCAGGCTTGGTGGGTCACACTGGTAATCCCAGCACTTCGGGAGGCCAATTTGGGTGGATCACCTGAGGTTAGGAGTTTCAGACCAGCTCAGCCAACATGGTGAAACCTCATCTCTACTAAAACTACAAAAATTAGCCGGGCGTGGTGGCAGTCACCTGTAATCCCAGCTTCTCTGGAGGCTGAGGCAGGAGAATCGCTTGAACCCGGGAGGCGGAGGTTGCAGTGAGTCGAGATCCTGCCATCGCACTCCAGCCTGGGTGACAAGAATGAGACTCTATCTCAAAAAAAAAAAAAAAAAAGTTCAGACCACCCTTCTTCTTCTTCTGAATAGCCAAAAATTGGAAATAACCTAAGTGTTCATCAACAGGTGAATGAATAAACAAACTGTAGTAGTTCATAAAATTGAATATTATATAGGAATGAAAATTAATGAACTACTGCCATGTGCAATGACATGAATGAATCTCAAAGATATTGGCCAAAAGAAGCCAGATGCAGGAGTGCATACTCTATGTGGTTCCATCTGTGTGAAGTTCAAAAACAAACAAGGCACAGTGGTGCAGGCTTGTAATCCCAGCACTTTGGGAGGCTAGATGGGAGGACTTGAGCCCAAGAGTTCAAGACCAGCCTGGGCAACATAGTGAGACCCCATCACTACAAAAATATTTTTTAAAAATCAGCCAGGTGTGGGCCAGGTGCGGTGGCTCATGCCTGTAATCCCAGCACTTTGGGAGGCCGAGGCAGGCGGATCACCCGAGGTCAGTAGTTCAAAACCAGCCTGACCAACATAGCGAAACCCCGTCTCTACTAAAAATACAAAAATTAGCTGGGCATGGTGGCAGGCGCCTGTAATCCCAGCTACTCAGGAGGTTGAGGCAGGAGAATCACTTGAACCTGGGAGGCGGAGATTGCAGTGAGCCAAGATCGCGCCATTGCACTCCAGCCTGGGGGATAGAGCGAGAGTCTGCCTCCAAAAAAAAAAATTTCACCAATTTTTCCATCAGTGTCCTATTTCTGTTGAAGGATCCAGTTCAGGGTTACTCATTACATTTAGTTTCCAGGTCTCTTCAGTCTCTTCCAATCTGTGACTGTTCCTCCATCTTCTCTTGTTTTTAATGTCCTTGACACTTTTTAAAAGAACTGGTTGGCTATTTTACAGAATGTCCCTCAATTTGGGTTTGTCTAAGGCTTTTCTCGTGATTAGATTGAAGTTATGCATTTTTTGGCTAGAGTACAGCATAAGCAGTGTTATGCTTTCTTCAGTGCATCAGAGCAGGGGCTTTGTGATGTCACTAAGTCTTCTTACTGCTGGTGTTAATGTTGATCACTTAGCTAAACTGTGTCTTGGTTGAGTTTCTCTACTATAAAGTTACTATGTTTCTCTTATAATTAATAATTTTATACTTTTTGTAAATTTGCATTTAAATTTTATTAACTTGAGAAATTGCACCGGATAAATATCTTGGAGGAGATTTTTTGAGATGACCAAAATATCCTATTTCTCCTCAAAATTCCACCTACTAATTTTAGCATCCATTGGTGGATCTTTCTTTTATGAGTATTACTGTCGAATGGTGATTTTCTATTTCCCTGTTTCTCTTTTTTTGAGACAGGGTCTTGCTCTGTTACCCAGGCTAGAGTGCAGTAATGCGATCTCAGTTCACTGTAGCCTCGACCTCCTGGGCTTAAGAGATCCTCCCACCTCAGCCTCCTAAGTAGCTGGGACTACAGGCTTGTGCCACCATGCCTGGCTAATTTTTGTATTTTTTGTAGAGATAGGGTTTCACTGTGTTGCCCAAGCTGGTCTCAAATGCCTGAGCTCAAGTGATCCTCCCATCTCAACCTCCCAAAATGCTGGGATTATAGGAGTGCACCATTGCATCCAGTCACCTTCTACATTTATTAAAATTCTTCTGGAAGGAAGATATGGTCATTTCTCCCCCATTTATTTATTTTTCAATTATTTATTTAAATCTGTGGTCTCTAGGCCAGGCACAGTGGCTCATGTCTGTAGTCCCAGCACTTTGGGAAGAGGTAGAGGCGGGAGGATCACTTGAGCTTAAGAGTTCAAGACCAGCCTGGGCAACATGACAAAACCCCATCTCTGTTAAAAAATAATAATAGGTTGTCGGCAAAGCTGAGTCCTGTCTTCTCGCCCTCCTCCCCGGACAGCGTGAGCTTCACCAGTCGCTCCACCTTCTCCACCAACTACTGGTCCCTGGGCTCTGTCCAGGTGCCAGCTATGGCGCCCAGCTGGTCAGCAGCATGGTCAGCGTCTCTGCAGTCGCTGGGGGCTCTGGTTCCCGGATCTCCGTGTCCCGCTCCACCAGCTTCCGGGGTGGCATGGGGTCCAGGGGCCTGGCCTCGGGGATGGCTGGGGGTCTGGCAGGAATGGGAGGCATCCAGAACAAGAAGGAGACCGTGCAAAGCCTGAACAACCACCTGGCCTCCTACCTGGACAGAGTGAGGAGCCTGGAGACCGAGAACTGGAGGCTGGAGAGCAAAATCTGGGAGCACCTGGAGAAGAAGGGACCCCAGGTCAGAGACTGGAGCCATTGCTTCAAGACCATCGAGGACCTGAGGGCTCAGATCTTCACAAATACTGTGGACAACGCCCGCATCGTTCTGCAGATCAACAATGCCCATCTTGCTGCTGATGACTTTAGAGTCAAGTATGAGACAGAGCTGGCCATGCGCCAGTCTGTGGAGAACGACACCATGGGCTCTGCAAGGTCATTGATGACACCAATGTCACTCAGCTGCAGCGAGAGACAGAGATTGAGGCTCTCAAGGAGGAGCTGCTCTTCACGAAGAAGAACCACGAAGAGGAAGTAAAAGGCCTACAAGCCCAGATTGCCAGCTCTGGGTTGACCGTGGAGGTAGATGCCCCCAAATCTCAGGACCTCACCAAGATCATGGCAGATATCCAAGCCCAATATGACAAGCTGGCTCAGAAGAACCAAGAGGAGCTGGACAAGTACTGGTCTCAGCAGATTGAGGAGAGCACCACAGTGGTCACCACGCAGTCCGTGGAGGTTGGAGCTGCTGAGATGATGCTCACAGAGCTGAGATGTACAGTCCAGTCCTTGGAGATCAAGCTGGACTCCGTGAGAAATCTGAAGCCCAGCTTGGAGAACAGCCTGAGGGAGGTGGAGGCCCGCTACACCCTGCAGATAGAGCAGCTCAGTGGGATCCTGCTGCACCTGGAGCTGGCACTGACTTGGGCAGAGGGACAGCCAGGCCCAGGATTACGAGACCCTGCTGAACATCAATGTCAAGCTGGAGGCTGAGATTGCCACCTACCGCCGCCTGCTGGAAGATGGCGAGGACTTCAATCTTGGTGATGCCCTGGACAGCAGCAACTCCATGCAAACCATCCAAAAACCACCACCCGCCGGATAGTGGATGGCAAAGTGGTGTCTGAGACCGATGACACCAAAGTTCTGAGACATTAAGCCAGCAGAAGCAGGGTACCCTTTGGGGAGCAGGAGGCCAATAAAAAGTTCAGAGGTATAATAATAATAATAATAATAATAATAATAATAATAATAATAATAATAAATTAAAAATCAATAAATAAACATATGGTCTCCTGTATATTCATTCTGTACTTTGGGTTACAATCCAATAACATACGATTTATTTTGTTGCTCAAATTGCTCTTGGTTTGCCCATTGAGAGCTCCTTCAAGTTGGCTTCTATGTTCCTTTGACAAGCTCCCGTTCTTTTTGGAGCATTTTCTTTCTTTCTTTTCTTTTCTTTTTTTCTTAATAACAAAAGATGTTCTAGGCTTATCTTATATTTTCCCTGTTCCAACCCTATAATCACCATCCACTTTTCTAAGGAGCACTGGTTCCTTTTATTGGAAAGTGGCACTTAGAAACCAAGATCTGGGTTCTGGCTTTGCTCATTGCTACTGAGATGTCATTTCTTCTAGGCCCTCTCAGAGGACAAAGCTATGAAATATGTATGTGTATACTAACTCTCACACACATACATCTCTATCTATAAAAAAAACCCCACAAGTTCATACTGATATCTCTGATTTCAACCCAACACCAAAGGTTCATTCTATCCTTCTATCTTTCCTATCTTTCCTTATTTGTAACTATTTTCTTTTTTTTCTTTTGAGACGGAGTCTCACTCTGTTGCCCAAGCTGGAGTGCAGTGGCACGATCTTGGCTCGCTGCAACCTCCGCCTCCCAAGTTCAAGAGATCCTCCCGCCTCAGCCCCCCAGTATGTGGGATTACAGGCACCTGCCACCACACCCAGCTAATTTTTGTATTTTTAGTAGAAGCAGGGTTTCGCCGTATTGGCCAGGCTGGTCTTGAACTCCTGACCTCAGGTGATCCACCCACCTCGGCCTCCCAAAGTGCTGGGATTACAGGCGTGAGCCACCTTGCCCAGCCATTTGTAACTATTTTCTTTGACAGTGATAAATCTTGTTCTCATTATCTATATTTATTTATTTGTTCAATCCTAGTATACATATACACTACTTGCAGAATTGCTAACCCACACCTCAGTGAGAAACAAATTTGCTAACTAGAGTACAGTATTTATATGGAGTTCTTTTTGTCTGTAGCCTTACAGAATACAGTTCAAATTCTATATTCCACAGTTACTTAAGTTAGGTCTTTTCTTTTCTGTCCCTTTGGTATGGTCTGTTATTCATTTGGAATACAGTTAGGTTTATTTGCTAGTGTTTGTATTCCATCTTGGGTTTCCCCAACAGTCTGGTTGGTTTTAATTGTTTCTTTATTTGGGGAGTATGTGAAATATTACTCTTGTTCCTGGAGTCAAACCTAAGCAAAAAGGTATACTCAGTAAAGTGTCACTTCCATACCTTCCTTCTTGTCACCCCAGTCCTACATACCCCCTGTAGGTAGCCAATCTCTTTAATTTCTGGTTTACCTTTGCTAGATTTCTTTTGCACATATGAGCAGAAATGTGTATCTTCCTATAACCTCTTCTTTCTTACGCGACCAGTAGCATGCCATGGATACGTTTTTGCACTTTGATTTATTTCCCCCTTAACTGTATATATGGAAATCACCCCATATCATCTCATAGAGATCTCATCCATTTTTACAGCTATATGGTACTCCATTGCTGGAGATGTCACAGTTTATTCAACCACTCTCCTATCTATGGACATTTAAGTTTTTTCCAATATTTTGTAATTATAAATAATGCTGCAACGAATAACCTTATAAATATGCATTTTCTTTCTTTTATTCTGAGACAGGGTCTCATTTTGTCACCCAGGCTGGAGTGAAGTGGCACGATCATTGCTCACTGCACACTTGACCTCCCAAGCAGTTCTCCCGCCTCAGCCTCCCAAAGTGCTGGGATTACAGGTGTGACCCACTGCACCCGGCCACGTATTTTTTATTTATCTTCAGGTAGATTCCAAGGAGAGGGATTACTGAGTCAAAAGGTAAATGCATTTGTAGCTTTCTTAGCTACTGTCAAATTCTCCTCCACAAGGGCTGCACCAGTTTGCATTCTCATCAGCAACGTAGGAAAATGTCTGTTGCCCCACAGCCTATGTGTTATGCAAATGCATGTGTTGTCATGCATTTTAGTCTTTGCCAATCTTATGGGTGAGAAACTGTATCTCGGTGTTGTTTTAATTTGCATTTCTCTAATTATGAGTTTGATTTTTTTCAAATGTATGGAGGCCCTTTTTATATCTTTTTGTGAATTATCTATTCATATCTTTCTCCCATTTTTCTATCCAGTTTTTAGTTCTTTGTTCCTCACATTTCTTAAAATAATCTTTTAATTTTAGAACAGTTTTAGAATTATGGAAAAATTGTGAACACAGTAGAAAGATTCCTATATCCTCACATCCAGTTCCCCATATTATTAACAATTTTACATTGACATGGTATATTTGTCACAATTAATGAACTACTGTTGATACATTATTATTAACTAAAAGACTATATTTCTTTCAGGTTGCCTTGGTTTTTACCTAATGTCCTTTTTTTGTTTGTTTGTTTTTTTGGTTTTGGGTTTTTTTTTTTTTGAGACAGAGTCTCACTCTGTCACCCAGGCTGGAGTGCAGTGGCACGATCTTGGCTCACTGCAACCTCTGCCTCCTGGGTTCAAGTGATTCTCCTGCCTCAGCCTCCCGAGTAGCTGGGACTACAGGCGTGCGCCACAATGCCTGGCTAATTTTTCTATTTTTAGTAGAGATGGGGTTTTGCCATGTTGGCCAGGCTGGTCTCTAACTCCTGACCTCAAGTGATCCGCCCTCCTCAGCCTCCCAAAATGCTGGGATTAGAGGCATGAACAACCACGCCCGGCTACCTAATGTCCTTTTTTGGTTCCAGGATACCACCTTTAGTTGTCATGTCTCCTTAGGTTCGTCTTGGTTATGACAGTTTGTATTAGACTATTCTCACACTGTTAAGAAGAAATACCCGAGACTGAGTAATTTATAAAGGAAACAGGTTTAGTTGACTCACAGTTCTGCATTGCTGGGGAGGCCTCAGGAAACTTACAATCATGGTAGAAGGCAAAAGAGAAGCAGGCACCTTCTTCACAGGGTGGCAGGATGGAGTGAGTGCAAGCAGTGGAAATGCCAGACACTTATAAAACCATCAGATCTCGTGAGAACTCACTCACTATCACGAGAATAGCATGAGGGAAACCACCCCCATGATCCAATTACCTCCATCTGATCCTACCCTTGACACATGAGGATTATGGGAATTACAATTTAAGATGAGATTTGGGTGGGGACACAAAACCAAACCGTATCACAGTTTCTCACACTCTCCCTGTTCTTGATGATGCTGACAGTTTTGAGCACTGTTCAGGTATTTTATAGAATGACCTTCAGCTCGGATTTGTCTGATGTTTTTATTATAGTTAGACTGGGGTAATGAGCTTCTGCAAGGAAGACCACAGAGGTAAAGCGTCATTCTCATCACATATCTGGGGTACATACTATCAGCATGAATTATCACTGTTGATGTTAATCTTCACCACGTAGCTTGAGGTAGTGTTTGTCAGGTTTCTTCACTATAAAATTATTCCTTTCCCCCACCTCCCTTTCCATGCTCTACTTTTCAAAAGAAAGTCACAACGTGCAGCCCACATTTAAGGAGTGGGGTGTTACGTACCACTTCCTTAAGGGAGGATTATCTACATAAATTATTTGAAATTGTTCTGCACTAGATACTCATTTTTCTCCCGCATTTATTTATTTATTTAATCATCTATTTGTATAAGTATGGACTTATGGATATTTTATACTTTGAGTTCTAATCCAATACTACTTTACTTTTTTTTTTTTCTCAAATTGTTCCAGCTTTGGCCATTGGGAACTCTTTCAGTTGGTTCCTGTGTTCCTTTGACATACCCTGATCATGTGTGTGTGTGTGTGTGTGTGTGTGTGTGTGTGTGTGTGTGTGTGTTTGAGCACTTCCTTATTTACTGGCATTAGAAGATGCTTCAGGCTCATCTTGCGTATTTCCTGAAGATCAGCCATTTCTCCAAGTATCCCTGGTTCCTTTTACTGGAGAATAGTATTAGAAATCAAGTTTTGGCTGCTAGATATAATTGTTCCTACTGGGGTGTCATTGCTTGTAGACCCTCTCAGCTGATAGACAAGGAGATAGGTGTATGTATACTGATCCATGCATACCCACATATCTATATATATTTCTATGTGTAACCATTTGTATCTCTATTAAGCTAAACACAAATTTATACTGATGTGTCCAACTTGAATCCATTATCCAATGGATAATTCTAGCTTCCTCCCCTTGTTTCACTATAACTCCTACTCCAACAATGAGAATCCTAGCCACTCATTTACCCAATTCTTCAATTCCAGTATATATGTATAGTGATATCACAATGGTTAACCTGTACCCCATGGGAAACAACTTCACAGACTAGAGGATAGTGCTTGTGTGTATCTTCTTTTGCCTTTAGTTTTGCAGATTCCATTCATTTCCAAATTTACTTATGAGGTAGGAGATCAACAAGACTTTTCACAACCCTCCTTATCTAAACAGGATTTACAAAGAAGCCAGCCCAAACCAATCAGTACCAAGATGTCCACGAAAGCAACCTCTAGTTACCCTCACTGCTTATTTGCATTGGCATGTCACTCCCACCAGTGCCATGACAGTTTACAAATGCTGCCATGGCAACGACCCAGCAGTTACCTTATATGATTCTGGGAACTCCCCGCCCCTTTCCCAGAAAGTTTGTGAATAACCCACCCCTTATTTAGCATATAATTGAGTGTGGGTATAAATAGAGCTAGCCAGCAATCCAAGAGTGCTACTCTGGGCCACTCTGCCTATAAGATAGCCCTGTTCTGTCTATGGAGCAGCCATTTTGCTGTACGACGTTGCTCTAATAAACTTGCTTTCTTCACTGTTGGCTCCCTCTTGAAATCTTCCCTAAGTGAAGCCAAGAACCCTCCCAGGCTGAGCCCCAGTTTTGGGGTCTGCCTGCATTACTTAGGTCAGCACTTTTCTCCCACCCTGCATTCAGTGAGGTTGTTGCATACATTTATAATACAGTTGCATTGTTTCATCACATTCTGCTTTCCACCCTGAAATCCCCTGACCTCCTAAATGACTTTAGAAACTTCGCACATGTTAAGATTCCTCTGTGCTGTAAAGTTCTATAGGTTTTGACAAATGCATAGTTGTGAATTCACTGTTAGAGTATTATATATAGTTGCTGTATATACCTTCGTCATCCTAAAAAAATCCCCTCTGCTTTACCTAGTCACCTCTCCCTCCTTCTTTTGGAGCCCCTGGCAACAACTGATCTTTTTACTGTCTCTATAATTTTGGCTTTTATAGAATGTCATATAGTTGGAAGCATATAGGATATAGCCTTTTCAGACTGACATCTTTTACTTAATAATATGCATTTAAGATTCATCTATGTTGGCCGGGCGCGGTGGCTGATGCCTGTAATCCCAGCACTTTGGGAGGCCGAGGCAGGTGGATCATGAGGTCAGGAGATCAAGACCATCCTGGCTAACACAGAGAAACCCGGTCTCTACTAAAAATACAAAAAAATTAGCTGGGCGCAGTGGCGGGCGCCTGTAGTCCCAGCTACTAGAGAGGCTGAGGCAGGAGAATGGCCAGAACCCAGGAGGCAGAGCTTGCAGTGAAGCAAGATCGCGCCACTGCACTCCAGCCTGGGTGAAAGAGCGAGACTCCGTGTCAAAAAAAAAAGATTCATCTATGTCTTTCCATGAGAACTGCAGAACTCAGCCAGGCACAGTGGCTCATGCTTATAATCCCAGCACTTTGGGAGGCTGAGGTGGGCAGATCACCTGAGGTCAGGAGTTCGAACCAGCCTGACTGACATGGTGAAACCCTGTCTCTACTAAACTACAAAAATTGGCTGAGCGTGGTGGCGGACACCTGTAATCCCAGCTACTCGGGAGGCTGAGGCAAAAGAATCGCTTGAACCCTGGAGGTGGAGGTTGCAGTGAGCCAAGATCATGCCATTGCACTCCAGCCTGGGCAACAGAGCAACACTCCATCTGAAAAGGAAAGAAAAAAGGAAAGGGGAGGGGAGGGGAGGGGAAGGGAGGGGAGGGGATTGCAGAACTCTTGGCATATAACAACCCATCTAAACCCCTGCATTAAGAGATTTGACCATAAGAATATATCCTTAGAATGACCTCAGACCTTGTTAAAATGCCTGTCTGAGAAAGCTCAAGCTGCCTGGAGAACTTACTGTCTATTTTAGCCAATATCTCATGATAAGCCTCTGACCTCCCTTTCTTAAAGCATTTACTAGAAACAGCTTACAACTGCGAATATGTATCTCTTATAACTCAGAAGCGTTTCTCTCAAGGACCTGAGAGCCATTCCTTTGAAATGTAATCATCAGGAACATTTCATGATGTTGGGGCCTCTGTCTCCCACTCTCTGAGGGAGGATAGAACAAACACAGCTGGCCTAATTGCACTGACCAACGCTTTGTAATTTTTCACTTCTCTGATTCTACAGAGGCCCGCTCTCCTTGATCCCTCATTCTCCCTTTAAAACATCCAAATCACCTCTGCACAGATCAGAATGGAGCTCAGCTCTTTCCCCTGCTGTCAGTAGTTACTGAATAAAATCTGTTTTCACTGCTCTAACTGTGTTTATCATCAACACAGTTGATGTCTGGCTGTGTTTATCATCAACAATAGTGCATTTCCTTTTATTGCTGAAGAATATTCCATTTTATGGATGTACTGTAGTTTACCCATTCACCAATCAAAGGACATCTTGGTTGCTTCCAGTGTTTAGCTATTATGAATAAAGCTGCTATAAACATTCACGTGCAGGATTTTGTGTGGAGGTAAGTTTCAGATCAGTTGCATAATTACCTATGAGTGTGATTGCTGGCTGGAAGGTATGGTAAGCTATATATATGGTAAGCTTATAAGAAACTGCCAAACTGTATTCCAAAGTGACTATACCATTTTGCATTCCCACTAACAATGAATCAGTTGCTTACTTAGCATTTGGTAGTGTCGGTTTTTTGGATTTTAGCTATTAGAATAAGTGTGTAGTGATTGCTCATTGTCGTTTTAATTTGTGATTCCCTAAAAACAAATGAGGTTGGCCGGGCACGGTGGCTCACACCTGTAATCCCAGCACTTTGGAAGGCTGAGGTGGGTGGATCACCTGAGGTCAGGCGTTCATGACCAGCCTGACCAATATGGTGAAACCCCATCTCTACTAAAAATACAAAAATTAGATGGGTGTGGTGGCGGGTGCCTGCAGTCCCAGCTGAGGCTGAGACAGGAGAATTGCTTGAACCCGGGAGGCAGAGGTTCCAGTGAGCCGAGATCGCGCCACTGCACTCCAGCCTGGGGGACAGAGCGAGACTCCATCTCAAAAAAAAAAAAAAAATGAGGTTAAGAATTATTATGTGCCTATTTGCTATCCGTGTATATTCTTTAGTGAGATATCTGTTCAGATCTTTGTCCATTATTAAACGGGTTGTTTGTTTTCTTACTGTTGAATTTTAAGAGTTATTTGTATATTTTTTGATATAAGTCCTTTATCAGAAATGTAATTTGCAATTATTTCTTCTCAGTCTGTGGCTTCTCTTTTTATTCTTTTAGTAGTGTCTTTGGTATAGCAGTAGGTGTTACTTTTAATAAAGTCCAACTCGGGCAGGGCCTGGTGGCTCACGCCTGTAATTCCAGCACTTTAGGAGGCAAAGGCAGGCGGATCATGAGGTCAAGAGGTCGAGACCATCCTGGCCAACATGGTGAAACCTCGTCTCTACTAAAAATACAAAAATTAGCTGGGCATGATGGCGCATGCCTGTAGTCCCAGCTACTCGGGAGGCTGAGGCAGGAGAATCACTTGAACCCAGGAGGCAGAGGTTGCAGTGAGTCGAGCTCGTGCCACTGCACTCCAGTCTGTCAACAGAGCGAGACTCCGTCTCAATAAATAAATAAATAAATAAACAAACAAAAGAAATAAAGTCCAACTTATTTTTTCTTTCATGAATCATGCTTTTAATGTTGTGTCTAAAAACTCATCGCCAAATCCAAGCTCACGTTGATTTTCTCTTATATTTTCCTCTACATATTTTATAGTTTTATGTTTCGCATTTAGGTCTATGTGTTTTTTTTTTTTTTTTGAGATAGAGTCTCACTCTGTCGCCCAGGCTGGAGTGCAGTGGTGCAATCTCAGCTCACTGCAAACTCCGCCTTCCGGACTCCAGCAAGCCTCCCACCTCAGCCTCCTGAGTAGCTGGGACCAGAAGTGCATGCATTTTTGTGTTTTTAGTAGAGGTGGGGTTTCGCCATATTGGCCAGGCTGGTTTCGAACTCCCGAATTCAAGCGATCCACCTGCCTTAGCCTTCCCAAAATGCTGGGATTATGGGCATGAGCCACTGTGCCAGGCCCTATGATTCATTTTGAGTTAATTTTTTGGAAGGTGTAAGGTCTGTGTGTAGGTTTTTTGTTGTTGTTGTTTTCATATAAAGTACAATTTTTATTTTTCTTTTTCTTTTTTTTTTTTTTTGAGACGGAGTCTCACTCTGTCACCCAGGCTGGAGTGCAGTGGCACGATCTCAGCTCACTGCAAGCTCAGCCTCCCAGGTTCATGCTATTCTCCTGCCTCAGCCTCCCCAGTAGCTGGGACTACAGGCACCCGCCACTGCGCCCAGCTAATTTTTTGTATTTTTTAGTAGAGACGGTGTTTCACCATGTTAGCCAGGATGGTCTCCATCTCCTGACCTCGTGATCCGCCCTGGGCAACAAAATTAGCTCCTCTAATTTTTAAAAATATTAGAAAAAAATAGGCACGGTGGCTCACGCCTGTAATCCCAGCACTTTGGGAGGCTGAGGTGGGCAGATCACGAGGTCAGGAGATTGAGACCATCCTGGTCAACACGGTGAAACCCCGTCTCTACTAAAAATACAAAAAAATTAGCTGGACGTGGTGGCAGGTGCCTGTAGTCCCAGGTACTCAGGAGGCTGAGGCAGGAGAATGGGGTGAACCCGGGAGACGGAGCTTGCAGTGAACCGAGATCGCGCCACTGTACACCAGCCTGGGCAACACAGCAAGACTCCATTTCAAAAAAAAAAAAAAAGGGAAGAATGCAACTGACTTTCATATATTAACCTTGCATTCTGTGACCTTTCTATACTGGCTTCCAGCTAGTTGGACTGAGGAAAAGGAAAAAGGGACAAAGATCATATGCTAGATGTGTTTTAAGCAACATTCTCAGAAGCTGCCACTAGATACTTTAACTTACAACCCATTGGCCACACTGGAAAATGTAGTGTATATTCAGGCACTGGAAAATGTAGTGTATACTCAGGCACTGGAAAATGTAGTCTATGTAGCCATGTGCCCCGCGATTACTATGGAAAAGGGGAAACAGATAGTTTCTGCCACAAGGAGTTAATACTGCCTAGTTCTTTAGGGGGCATCCATGGGTCTCTCTTTGCTTCCTGTCCTACATACCATACTGCAGAGTATATTTGTGTACTTTCTCATGTTCTGTTCCCCAACACATCCTGCATTTTCCCACCTTTGCTGTAGTTCAGAGTTTGGCAAACTGTGACCCACAGCTCAAACTTAGCCTGCCACCTGTTTTTGGAATACAGCCACACCCATTCATTTAGAATTCGCTATTAATGTTGTCAAAGTCAAAATAAAAATGCAGAAACAAATATCTGAAATTAACTGTTTTATTTGTGAAGACAGAACTGCAATCTGGGGCATACACACAGCCTGGGTGGTCTTTGGTATGTCCAAAGAACAGAGAGGAGGTTGGAGTTTTTTTTTTTTAAAGGAGAAACGCATTGCTCTTTGAGAAAGTTCATTGGCACCAGTAAGGTTCTGGGGAACTGCTGGCAAGCTCTGGTTGGTGAGCAACAGTCGTGGGTAAAGTTGGTCCTAGAGTTATGGCAAGTTAGTTCAGTAGTTATAGATACAACTGTTATCAAGTTACAACAGGCAGTTTCTGCAACGGGACTTGCAGAGAATTACATTTCTGGAACAATGTTATGTGTCCAGAATGCTTCCCCACCACCACCACCACAACCACCACGCTGCCACAGACACTGCTTGGCCTACAAAACTCAAAACCCTTTATCTCTGGCCACTTACACAAAGGGTTTGCCAAGCCTTGAGCCTAGCTGCTCCCCACAGCCCTTCTAACTCCATCTTTCACACAGATTAACAGGATTAATTTTATTTCAAAAGACAGAGGAGAAAGCCTGGATATCCACACTAGGGAATGGTCAAGTAAACTATGATGCAGCTACATAAAGCCGCCATTTAAAAAGTTGTTAAGAAAAACATTGGCTAAAATGTCAAATTCTTCATACTATTTGGTGATTTCTATTTAGGGTGTTAATAAACAACAGCCCCTTTCCCTTTCACAATGTGGAATGAATTGAGAAACAGAGACAGGCAGACAGATGGAGAGGAGGATGATTAGAGAAAGTGGTTTTAGACACCTGCCCCACTAGTCTCACTAATTCAGCACTCCTGGATTAGAGAACATGTCTAGTCTACCAGATGTCTGAGGGCAGAAAGCAATCCCCACCCAAGTGAATGGTCTGAGTATGTGTGGTTCCTTTACATACCCCCTCCATCAGATGCTCCCTCCTTCTCTTTTAGGAAGACACTGCAAGAAGGATCAGCCTCCCATCTTTCTGGGGGAAACCTGCATTAGAACCTCATAAAGCAGCCTGTACAGCTTGAGCTCACATTCGTAACAAAGTAAGTATTTATGGATAGAAAAAAGATGAAGGATATATACACGTATATCAACAGTGGTTATTTCTGGATGGTGGGAATTCCAGGAGATTTTTGTTTTGATTTCTTTGTTTACCAGTATTTTACTCAAGTTGCTATAAGGAATTGATGCTGCTTCTGTCAGGGGGTGGGAGAAGTTATTTAAAAAAAAAAAAAAACAAATAACCCCCAACCAACCTTCAAAACCAACTGTCACAGCCTCCTGGAGGCCTTCGTGGATTTCTCCTCTCACTCCCTGTATTAGTCTGTTTTCACACTGCTGATAAAGACATACCTGAGGCTGGGCAATTTACAAAAGAAAGAGTTTTATTGGACTTACAGTTCCACGTGGCTGGGGAGGCCTCATAATCATGGTGGAAGGTGAAAGGCACGTCTCACATGGCGGCAGACAAGAGAAAGAATGAGAGCCAAGTGAAACAGCTTTCCCCTTACTATCAGATTTCGTGAGACTTATTCACTACCAGGAAAACAGTATGCGGGAAACTGCCCTCATGATTCAATTATCTCCCACCAGGTCCCTCCATAACATGTGGGAATTATGGGAGTACAATTCAAGATGAGATTTGGGTGGGGACACAGACCCAAACCATATCACTCCCTTTTCCTATGTCTCCTCTGTCTCACCTTCAATTTCCCTTCCTGCTGTTTTTTCTGTCTCCATAGCTGACTGAGAAATCTCTTTTGGCTGTAAGAGAGTTAGTAGTAGGAAGAAGTGGGGTTTTAAGAGCAGAGTCCCTGCATTCAAGTTCTGGCCTCACTACTTCGCCCTTTGTTGTTAAATGCAATAGCACTTACCCTCCCTGCCACCTAGCACCTGGTACAGTGCCTGGCACAGTGTAGATGCTCGAGCAATGGACTGAACTGAGAGAAGTGGTGAGGAGCAAGGAAGACAAGAAAGCTATGGCTGTGACAGTGTTTTGTAGAATTTGGGAATAAAGATTCATTTCCATCATCTCCCACCCCTACAGTGAGGGGCAGGGCTGGCTCACTCCCAGAGCCTCCAGCTGATAGGTATCCTGCAGGTGTCTGAAGGTGGGTTTGGCTAACAAACCATCCTCCTCATTTATACTGGCCCATGGTCAGGGCTTCAGGTGTTGCCTGCAGAGAAGTCCCCCAGATGCAGCCCCTTGCTCCAGAAGTCAATCTGCTTGGCCCTGTGGGGGGACCAGGCTGCTCCTTCTGGGCCCCACTTCTTCTGCCTGGGTCTCGGCAGAGGCTTCTGTCCATGGCCTGGTGCTGTGTGTGTGACACCCCAGCCCACCTCAGCAGGATGCTGGAAGAATTCTTTAACCCCTCCTGGAGAACTGAAAAGAACATTTGCTGAGCACTGTCAGATGCCTTCCCTCAAGGGACAAGGGGTTTCTCCATTTGCCCTACAAAGAAACCGAAACTCATGGAGGTTATGTGATTTTGTGAAGGTCACACAGCCAGAGCCAGAGCTCAAAATGGGGTCTCTCAGCTCCCAGCTTAGGGCTATTTATAAAACTGAGCCACTTCTCTTTGGGATGGAGAAAGACGTTTGTAGCTTGAAGTGAACAAGGTGGAACTCTCATTCCATCGCACCTTTTGGGAGTGAATGAGGCAGGCAAGTTGCTGGGGGAGGGTGGCAGGCTCCCCAGACTGGGAGGGAAGTCGAGTCAGAGTGGTGAGTGTTTCTTCAAGCATTTACCAAGGAGCCAGCCATTCGCTAGGCACAGGGGGAGCTAGAGGCAAGCTGGTTAGAAATGTGGTTAAGAACAACTGCTTTGTGGGAAGACAGAGCTGCGTTTCAGTCCCCTCTTGCTGTGTGATTTTGGGCAAGTGACTCAATCTCTCTGAGCCTCAGTTTTCATCTCTATAGAGTAGAAATTATAGCACCTACCTCATGAGGTAAAGCTCTTGGGAGAAAAGCTGGCACAGGGCAAGCTGCTGTGAATGGTAGCTGTTAGTTATTTCTATTACTGTTATGCCCGGTAGGGGAGACATTAACTGACCAACAATTACCGCCCAGTGCGATGTGTGCCACGGCTGAGGGAAGAATCATGGAGACGGTGATGGCTAATTTGATGTGTCAACTTGACTAGGCTAAGAGCTGCCCAGATTGCTGGTAAAACATTATTTCTGGTGTGTCTGTTTCCAGAAGAGATCAGCATTTAAAGCAGTAGACTGAGTAAAGAAATCTGCCCTCACCAGTGCAGGTAAGTATCTTTCAATGTGCTGAGGGTCTAACAGAACCAAAAGGTGGAGGAAGGGCAAATTTGCTGCCTGTGCTTGAGCTGGGACACCCACCTTCCCTTGCCCTCTGATGTCAGAGCTCCTGGTACTGGAACTTACACTACTGACTTTCCTGGACCCCCAGCTTGCAGATGGAGGATTATGGAACTTCTCAGCCTTCATAACTGTGGAGCTAATCCCTCACAATAAATCTCTTCCGGTACATCTACATAAAGTCTATTGGTTCTGTTTCTGTTGGAACCTTGACTAATACAGGGACACAGAAGAGGGAAGGGGGAGAGGGGACTCATGAGCCAAGCCTTGAGGAGCAGTTGCCTTCTCCAGGTATAGAAGTGGATAGGAGTCCCGCCACACATGCTTGCATGTGCACATCCTCAGGCTCCTGTCATTGGGTGGGTGGGACAAATGGTCCTGTGACATCTGCCTGGGCTTGAGCTCAGCTCAAACCACTCAGAAGAGTTACTGCCCAGAGTTCTTGGGAGAATTCCAAGGCTGAAGGCACTGTCTCCTTCCAACAGAGATGAGCCCATTCCAAACACTTAGGGCTTGGGTCTCAAGATGATCTCAAGAGCCTTCTCCTTTATCTTCTCTCCTTCCTCCTGCTCCTTTTCTTCCTTCTGAAAGGGGCCCAAGAATCCCATAGACAGTTGTTTTTGGATAAACATAGAAATTGACCATTCTGCTGTTAAAGATTGAAACTTACATTTGTTTTATCTGAGTTCCTTCCTCAGGAAAGGACCTTCAGGCCTCTCACAAAAAGTATCAAAGAACTGAAACCAGGTGACTGAACTAGGTGCCTGACCCCTCATTCACCATGATTGCCTCCTTGCCCCTCCCAAGTTCCTGTTTTCTTACACATTGTTACATTTCTTGCCTGCTATACCAACCGCTGGTTTTAGTCAGTCAGGAAAATAGATTTGAGACTGAGCTTCCATCTCCTCAGCTGTAGCACTTGATTAAAGGCTTCTTCCTTGGCAATACTTGTCTCAGTAATTGATTTCTGTGCAGCAAGCAGCAGGACCTAGACCAAACCCCTGGTATTTTGGTAACACTTCCTTCTTCCCTCTCCCCTCCTCTTTTATTCCTTCCTCCCCTCTTACCTCTCTCCCTCCTTCCCTCTCTCCCTTCCTCCTTCCTCTCTCCCTCTCTCTCTCCTTCCCTCCCTCCCTTTACTTCTTCCCTCCCTTCCTGTATTTGTCATAAAGGTCAACAACCCCCTCTTATTTATTGCCAGAGACTGTTGAACCCTCCTAAAGAAGTGAACTATATTGGTAGATCCGACAACTCTAGAAAGGAATCACCAGGCCCAAAAGAAATCACAACCGGAGATTCCATAACATTTATAGCAAGGAGTGTCCTGGTGTCCAGTCACTAAATGCTTTCATTCTGGGTTTAAACAAAGATATGGAATACACAGTCCAGACATTTCTGAAAACAGTACTGCCTCTCTAATGCCATGGAACATGGATCCAGTGAGGTACTGCATCCTTGGAAACTTTTATTAAGGAAATTTTGATATATACCCAGTTAGACAATAATATAGCAAATCACCCAGCTTCCACTGTTACCAACATTAGCCAATCTTGCTTCGTCTCTCCCTCTTCCACATTTTTCTGCTGCTCAAGTGCTTCAAAACAAATCCCAGACACAAGTAATCACTTCAGCCCCCATTGCCAATGTATGACTTTGTTTGTTTTGAGATGAAATCTCACTCTATCACCCAGGCTGGAGTACAGTGGCACAATCTCGGCTCACTGCAACCTCTGCCTGCCAGGTTTAAGTGATTCTTGTGCCTCAGCCTCCCCAGTAACTGGAACCACAGGCGTGCTCCACCACACCGGCTAATTTTTGTATTTTTAGTAGAAACGGGGTTTCACCATGTTGGCCAGCCTGGTCTTGAACTCCTGACCTAAGGTGATCTGCCCACCTTGGCCTCTCAAAGTGCTGGGATTATAGGCATGAGCCACCATGCCCAGCCTGTTTTTTACATACCACCATGCCATTTTCATACGTAACAAAAATAAAAATAATTCCTTAAATAACTCAATGCCCTATATTCAGTGTTCAGATTGTGTCAAAGCTGTCTATTTGCAATTTGTTTGTAAGATGAGTATTCACAAAATTTCCTGAATTTCCCCCTCCTTCCTGTCCCTGGCCCATCTCAGCCCCAGGCAGGACAGAGGACTGTCTGCCTCCTGTCTCTGTTTTAGAGTAGCCTTGGCCCCACTCGAGTCAGGCCTCCTATAGTGCAGCTCTTGTCTGAGTGTTCCTGCTTAAACCTCTCCAGGGATTCTCCAGGATTTCTCTCAACAACGAAGCTCCCAAACTTCATTCATTCACATACCACTTCCAGAACATTTGCCACATCTATAACCACTTGTATTATTTATTACATATTTTAATATTTAAGGTTTTTGTTTGTTTGTTTGTTTTGAGACAGAGTCTCACTCTATCACCCAGGCTGGAGTGCAGTGGTGTGATCTCGGCTCGCTGCAACCTCCACCTCCCAGGTTCAAGTGATTCTCCTGCCTCAGCCTCCTGAGTAGCTGGGGAGCATGCACCACCATGCCCAGCTAATTTTTGTATTTTTACTAGAGACAGAGTTTCAACATGTTGGCCAGGCTGGTCTCAAACTCCTGACCTCAGGTAATCCACCTGCCTCGGCCTCCCAAAGTGCTGGGATTACAGGTGTGAGCCAGTGCACCCAGGAATATTTAAGGTTTTAAAATTACTTTATTGTAGGGACCAGCCCCACAGGGTTGGTGGGTTTCACCCCGTGTGTGGAGACGAGAGAGTGTAGAAGTAAAGACACAAGACAAAGAGACAAAAGAAAAGACAGCTGGGCCCAGGGAACCACTACCACCAAGTCACGGAGACTGGTAGTGGCCCCAAATGCCGGGCTGCGCTGTTATTTATTGGATACAAGACAAAAGGGGCAGGGTAAAGAGTGTAAGTCATCTCCAATGGTAGGTAAAGCCACGTGGGTCACGTGTCCACCAGACAGGGGGCCCTTCCCTGCCTGGCAGCCAAGGCAGAGAGAGAGAGAGAGAGACGGAGAGAGAGAGACAGCTTACGCCATTATTTCTGCATATCAGAGACTTTTAGTACTTTCACTAATTTTGCTACTGCTATCTAGAAGGCAGAGCCAGGTGTACAGGATGGAACATGAAGGCGGATTAGGAGCATGACCACTGAAGCACAGCATCACAGAGAGATGGTTAGGCCTCCGGATAACTGCGGGCGAGCCTGACTAATGTCAGGCCCTCCACAAGAAGTGGAGGAGTAGAGGCTTCTCTAAACTACCCCAGGGAAAGGGAGACTCCCTTTCCCGGTCTGCTAAGCATCATGTGTTCTTCCTTGACACTTACGCTACCGCTAGACCATGGTCCGCCTGGCAACGGGCGTTTTCCCAGATGCTGGTATTACCGCTAGACCAAGGAGCCCTTCTGGTGGTCCTGTCTGGGCATAACAGAAGGCTCGCACTCTTGTCTTCTGGTCACTCCTCACTGTGTCCCCTCAGCTCCTATCTCTGTATGGCCTGGTTTTTCCTAGGTTATGATTATAGAGCAAGGATTATTATAATATTGGAATAAAGAGTAATTGCTACAAACTAATGATTAATGATATTCATATATAATCATATCTAAGATCTATATCTAGTATAACTATTCTTGTTTTATATTTTATTATACTGGAACAGCTCATGTCCTTGGTCTCTTGCCTCGGCACCTGGGTGGCTTGCCGCCCACACATTATAACTTTTTAACTCACATCTTAAAAAAATTTTTCTTTTTTAATAATAATTACTATTTCATCTTCAACTTTTATTTTAAGTTCAGGGGTACATGTGCAGGATGTGCAGGTTTGTTACATAGGTAAACGTGTGCCATGGTGGTTTGCTGCGCAGATCATCCCATCACCCAGGTATTAAGCCCAGCATCCATTAGCTATTCTTCCTGATGTTCTCCCTCTCCCTGCCAACAAGCGAAATAATTTATTTTTAAAGGAAACTTTATGTTACTACCCAAGACAGAAACCCAGTATTATCTGCCGTAAATTGAAAATAACTATTAAAAAAGACAAAATACCAGGAAAGTGGAACAAGGTTATTATTACATTCTAATTAGATAGCATTGTCTGCTGAAAATTAGAGTGTGTCTCCACAGAGATACATTCTAATACTTTATTAAAAGTGAGCATGGGCTCAAAATGGGCAAGGCATGTTAAAAACACATTAACAGTACACAGAGACTTTCTCCTAGATGTAATAAGTCACCAATATGCAGTTTAAGTGAGCTAAGTTAATGTAACAACCCAATAAGGTAGGTACGATTGCTATCCCCATTTTATGGATGAGGAAACCAGAGCTCAGAGAGGTTAAGTAACTTTCTTGAGGTCAAACAGCTGGTAAGTCACAGTCAGGATCCAAATCCATGCTGTCTGGTTCCAGAGTCATAAACACCATGTTATTCTTAATCAGAAGGGCCCAGACACGTTGAAAATGGAACTTGTTTCTGATTATGTGATTCAGTATTATTGGTGCTAGCTATGATTATCTCCTGAACCACCAGGAATTAGAGGGGCTGACTTGGGGACACCCACTCCTATGGAGTAACCTCTAAGTCCCTTTCATAACCAACTCCTCTCGCCTCAGCTTCCCATCTCAGCTGGGACTGCAGGTACACACCACCACTCCAGGCTAATGTTTTTTGAATTTTTTGTAGAGGCAGGGTCTTGCTATGTTGCCCAGGATGGTCTTGAACTCTTGGCCAGAATCAATCCTTTTGCCTTGGCCTCCCAAAGTGTTGGGATTACAGGTGTGAGCCCCTGCACCCTGTCCCAGCCTCATTTTATTACCCCTCCACTCACCTCCTGCTCCAGAAGGTGGAGCCTTTTTAACTTGTTTAACTAAGGGTGGCTCCTGTTGAGAGGTGACAGCGTGTTGGCAGCCCTCGCAGCCCTCGCTTGCTCTTGGTGCCTCCTCAGCCTCGGCGCCCACTCTGGCCGCACTTGAGGAGCCCTTCAGCCCGCTGCTGCACTGTGGGAGTCCCTTCCTGGGATGGCCGAGGCCGGAGCCGGCTCCCTCAGCCTTCCGGGAGGTATGGAGAGAAAGGCACGGGCGGGAACCGGGGCTGCACGCAGCACTTGAGGGCCGGCTACAGTTCCGGGTGGGCTTGGGCTTGGTAGGCCCCGCACTTGGAGAGGCCCCGCCAGTCCCGGGCAGTGAGGGGCTTAGCACCCGGGACAGCAGCTGTGGAGGGTGCGCCGGGTACCCCAGCAATGCCAGCCTACTGGCGCTGCACTCGATTTCTCGCAGGGCCTTAGCTGCCTCCCTGAGAGGCAGGGATCAGGACCTGCAGTGCGCCTTGCCTGTGCCTCGCCAGGCCGCGCCCCCCCGCCCCCCCCGCCCCCCCCGCCCCGCCCCGGCCCCGGCCCCGGCCCGCCCTGCCCCGCCCCGCCCCGCCATGGGCTCCTGCAGGGCCGAGCCTCCCCAATGAGCGCTGCCCCCTGCTCCACGGCGCCCGGTCCCATCGACCGCCCAAGGGCTGAGGACTGTGGGAGCACTGCGCGGGACTGGCAGGCAGCTCCACCTGCGGCCCCCGGTGCGGGATCCACTGGGTGAAGCCAGCTGGGCTCGTGAGTCTAGTGTGGACTTGGAGAACCTTTATGTCTAGCTAAGGGATTGTAAATAACACCAATCAGCACTCTGTATCTAGCTCAGGTTTGTAAACACACCAATCAGCACCCTGTGTCTAGCTCAGGGTTTGTGGATGCACCAGTCGGCACTCTGTATCTAGCTAATCTGGTGGGGACTTGGAGAATCTTTATGTCTAGCTAAGGGATTGTGAATACACCAATCGGCACTCTGTGTCTAGCTCAGGGATTGTAAATGCACCAATCAGCACCCTGTCAAAACGGACCAATCGGCTCTCTGTAAAATGACCAATCAGCAGGATGTGAGTGGGGCCACATAAGAGAATAAAAGCAGGCTGCCCCAGCCAGCAGTGGTAACCCGCTGGGGTCACCTTTCACACTGTGGAAGCTTTGTTGTTTTGCTCTTTGGGTCCACGCTGGCTTTATGTAGTTGTAACACTCACCACGAAGGTCTGCAGGCTCACTTCTGAGGCCAGCATAGACCACGAACCCACTGGGAGGAACGAACAACTCCAGACGCGTCGCCTTAAGAGCTATAACACTCACCGCGAAGGTCTGCAGCTTCATTCCTGAGCCAGCGAGACCGTGAACCCACCAGAAGGAAGAAACTCCGAACACGCCGCCTTTAAGAACTGTAACACTGCGAGGGTCTGTGGCTTCATTCTTGAAGTCAGTGAGACCAAGAACCCACCAATTCCAGACACACTGTGGTCTCTGGCTGAGGGGCAATGATGGTCCTTAGTGTTCCATTCTGCTCTTGAGTCCGTAACTATGACACTTCCACAAGTTTTGCTTCCTGGACAAGCTATAAGGGGTGTGGAGACAGGAGCTGCACCATATTCCTCCCTAAAAGCTCCAGCTGTATGCTGGACACAAACTAGCCCCAGTAGGTCCTCAAGGTGAGACCAGGCCTTTGACCCTCCTTGCCTCTTTGTTAAGTCCAGTAGTGCTGGGTGGTGAATCAGCCCTAGTCATCCTGTTTTCCCGTCCCCTTGGAGACCACCTTCTGGGGCCCCTGCTCAGAGCAGTGGAGTTCAGAGGAGTCTTGCCCATGCTGCTTTTGCCCTGCGAATGGAGAGCATTTCTATCTAGCCAGGCCTGTAGGGACCCAGGGCTCAGATAAACTCCCATCTGATGGGTACGTTACTTCATTTCTCTCTTCACCCCAATTCTCTAATCTGTGGGTAAAACAGACCCTAAGGACCTCAGAGCTCATACTTGACCGTAGAGAAGGTGAACCGAAGCTCCTGACCTGCTACTTCCTCTCATCTCTTCTATCGATGCCACAGTCGCCTGGGAAAGAGGACATCTCCCGCCCTCACCATGGTTGTCCCCACTTGCTCTTCTCCAAGGAGAGCCTTTTCCCCCCTGCTGTCCTGGAGGCCAAATTTTTATTCCTCTGACCCATTGAATACATCTGATGACTCTATAGTCCTTCCCCTATAAAAGCCAGTATCAGGGCTGACAGGAAGGCACTGAAAAAATTTGGCAACTGACCCCCCAACTTTTACCACTAAATCATTGTGACCTCAAGCAAGTTACTTAACCTCCCCAGCTTCAAGGTGTCCCACAAAATTCATTCTCTAGTAGCTGCTCCAGGGTCAGATCTTCCCTCACCTGGAGGAAAGTGCATATTTTCTGGACATAGGGTCCTTTTTGGAGACTGGCCCTTCCCCAGGCGCAGACATCTCTCTCCCTTGTCTGGCTTCAGCAAGCTCAACTAGAGCTGTGGCTGTGTGGTGAGCATCCATCCAGGATGAGAGGGTAGGGAAAGGGAAGATCTCTCGTTCCACAAGGTGGCCTGATCACTAGGCCGAGGGTCAGGAGGAGATCTGGGTCCTGGTCCCCCCTCTGCCCCTAAACTCCTTGTGCATTTGTGGGAAAGTCCTTTTACCCTCTAGACCTGTGTTTCTGCATCTGTGAACTGTCCTCAAGAATGCCTGTCCAGCTGGCCTCTCAGAGTCCTGTGAACTAGACAAGGGAATGACTGTTCAGCAGTGTCAGAGGGTGGCCGATGGACTGGAGAAAATATTTGCAAACCACATAGCTGACAAAAGGTTACTATCTGCTATATATAAATAATCCTTTTTTTTTTTTTTTGAGATGGAGTCTCGCTGTGTCGCCCAGGCTGGAGTGCAGTGGCACAATCTCGGCTCACTGCAAGCTCCACCTCCTGGGTTCATGCCATTCTCCTGCCTCAGCCCCCCGAGTAGCTGGGACTACAGGCACCTGCCACCACGCCTGGCTAATTTTCTGTATTTTTAGTAGAGATGGGGTTTCACTGTGTTAGCCAGGATGGTCTCGATCTCCTGACCTCGTGATCCGCCCTCCTCGGCCTCCCAAAGTGCTGGGATTACAGGTGTGAGCCACCGTGCCCGGCCCTGTATATGAATATTTATAGCAGTTTTATTCATAATAGACCCAAACTGGAAACAATCAGATGCCCCTCACTGGGTAAATGGCCAACAAACAGTTGCCTATCCACACCATAGAATCTGAACATCCACGCTACTCTGCAATAACAAGGAACAAGCTGGCCAGGCACAGTGGCTCATGCCTGTAATCCCAGCACTTTGGGAGACTGAAGTGGGAGGATTGCTTGAGCCCAGGAGCTTAAGACCAGCCTGAACAACATGGCAAAACCCTCTTTCTACTAAAAATACCAAAAAATTAGCCGGGCGCAGGTGGTGCACACCTGTAATCCCAGCTACTCAGTAGTCTAAGGTGGGAGAATCGCTTGAACGCGGGAGGTGGAGGTTGCAGTGAGCAGAGATGGTGCCCACTGCACTTCAGCCTGGGCAACAGTGCAAGACCATGTCTCAGAAAGAAAGAGGCTGGGCGCAGTGGTTCACGCCTATAATCCCAGCACTTTGGGAGGCGGGCAGATGACGAGGTCAGGAGATCGAGACCATTCTGATTAACACGGTGAAACCCAGTCTCTACTAAAAACACAAAAAATTAGCTGGGCGTGGTGGCAGGCGCCTGTAGTCCCAGCTACTCAGGAGGCTGAGGCAGGAGAATGGCGTGAACCCAGGATGTGGGGAGCTTGGAGTGAGCCGAGATCACGCCACTGCACTCCAGCCTGGGCAACAGAGCGAGACTCCGTCTCAAAAAAAAAAAAAAAAAAAGTAATCAAACAGCCATTTTTCTTTAGAACCCAAAGCAACCATTTAGTGGACCTTCTTGTCTCTCTTCAAACGGATCTCCAGCGATGGTTTGTTTGTATTGCTGCCCTCCAGTGATTGTCAAACTGGGTTCTCTGGCACCCCTGGGCTCTTCGTTGGCACCCCAAGGGCTGCCTGCAAGGCCAAGGTGATGTTGGTGTTCCCATCGACAGCCCATGGCTCCTACTTCAACCAGAAAAAAAAAAATCCACTTTGATCAGATAAGATTTCTTAAATTTTATTTGTCAAAAGGATTTTTCTGCTTAAAACAATAAGATTGTTGAGTACAAATCACTAGTTTTGCACAAATCAGAATGAGCTAGGATTGACTTTTCCTCTACTCCCTCTTTATTTTTTAAAAAAATTTAACTTCAGGCCAGGCGCGGTGGCTCATGCCTGTAATCCCAGCACTTTAGGAGGCCAAGGGAGGTGGATTACTTGAGGTCGGGAGTTCAAGACCAGACTGGCTTGTCTCTGCTAAAAATACAAAAATTAGCCAGGCATGGTGGCAGGTGCCTGTAATCCCAGCTACTCGGGAGGCTGAGGCAGGAGAATTGCTTGAACCTGGGAGGCGGAGGTTGCAGTGAGCCGAGATTGCGCCACTGCACTCCACCCTGGGCAATAGAGTGAGACTCTGTCTCAAAAAAAAACAAAAAACAAAACTTAAATATTAAAATATGTAAACCTGCCTCCTGGGTTTAACTTTAAGTTAATTTTAACTTTAAATTTAACTTTAGTCCTTGCCTTTTAAAGTAGGTGCAGGGACACAGGCATCTGAGGGTTAGGAGAGCCCTCAGGTAACGAGATCCAACTTTCTGCCTTCAGCCAAGGCAAGCTTTCATTATGCCCATTTTACAGGTGAAACAACTGAAGCCTGGAGGCCCAGGATGAGTAAGGCTTAATCTAGTTTAGGAATCTTTTAAGCTCCATCTCAAATGGCATCAGCTACGGCCACTGTTTCTCTAAGACCATAGATTGCAAGGATTCCAACGTGGACCAGAAGCTAACACTTCAAACATGGATTTAAGTGGCACGTGCAGGAGCTTCCAAATCTGTGAGTTAACTTGGAGTTTCTCCATGAAGGCATAGAAAGAGACCCAGGTTTCCAGTCAGGGAGACCTGAGTGAAGATCCTGACGCAGCCACTTCCCAGCCACGTGACCTTGAGCACATCATTTAACCTTTCTGAACCTCATTTTTCTCATCCATGAAATGGACACAATACTCTCCAATTTAGAGTTAATTTAATAGATGCTTTAAGATGACTAAGACAGGTGCTGCCCTCACAGACATCTTTCTGGTGACTAAAAATTCATGTAGCCGGGCACGGCAGCTCACACCTGTAATACCAACACTTTGGGAGGCTGAGGCGGGTGGATTATCTGAGGTCAGGAGTTCAAGACCAGCCTGGCCAACATGGTGAGACCCCCGTCTCTACTAAAAATACAAAAATTAGCCAGGTGTGGTGGGTGCCTGTAATCCCAGCTACTTGGGAGGCTGAGGCAGGATAATCACTTGAAGCCGGGAGATGGAGGCTGCAGTGAGCCGAAATCACGCCACTGTACTTCAGCCTGGGCGACAGAGTGAGACTCTGTCTCAAAAAAATTAAATAAAAATAAAAATAAACCTCATGTAAAGAACCAGGCTCCTGGGTGCTCATAGTAGGTAAACATTCTTTTCTCCATACACCTACAGGGCATCATTCTCAGACCTAGGAAGTCACTGGGGAGTTCCAATCAGCCTGAAGGATCCCACAGCCTCATCACAAGAACACCAAGGTATAGCAGGGGCTGACGTGTGCCAGGCGCTGCCTTGACCACTTTATATAAATATTCTCACCATGGATAGGGGCTGTGTCCCGCCATTTTTATGGATGGGGAGACTGAGGCTGAGCTGTCTAACTTGTCTCCAGAACACCCATGCCTGCTGAGTCAGGCAGGCCCCCGCTTGCAGTTCTGGAATTCAGGGAAGCTGGATGCCATGCTCAGCTGCTGAGCTGGCTCCCCCGGGCTGTCAGCTGTGCTCACAGGACAGTAGGAGGTTGTCCTATGAATCACCCCCTACACACAGGGCAATGAGGTCACCTCAGGATGGAGTTGAGCTGGGGCCTGCCTTACACTTCTGGCAGCTCTATCATGTCCCCTGAGATCTGCCCACAGCAAAGAGGTAGGAAACGCCCTGAGGTTCATCCATCCTGTACCAGGTACACACACAACCAGATGCTGTAGGAGGTGCAAAGAGGGAAACTAAGGCTCAGGGAGGGAAGTACCTGAACTTGGGAGTAGGAGGCAAACAGAAGGTAATGAACAGTTTTTTTGGAGCACCTACTATGTGCCAGGCATTTAAACCTTTTTTTTTTTTTTTTTTTTTTTGAGACAGAGTCTCACTCTGTCGCCCAGGCTGGAGTGCAGTGGCGCGATCTCGGCTCACTGCAAGCTCCGCCTCCCGGATTCACGCCATTCTCCTTCCTCAGCCTCCCGAGTAGCTGGGACTACGGGAGCCCGCCACCACGCCCGGCTAATTTTTTGTATTTTTAGTAGAGACGGGGGTTTCACTGTGTTAGCCAGGATGGTCTCCATCTCCTGACCTCGTGATCCACCTCAGCCTCCCAAAGTGCTGGGATTACAGGTGCGAGCCACCGCGCCCAGCTGCATTTAAACCTTTAAGTGGCAGGAAACATCACCCAGTCCAGTGGGGCTTATTTAAATACAGATTCTAGGTCCCACTCCTGGAGTTTCTGATTCAGGCCCGGGATGGGGTCTGAGAATTTGCATTTCTAAAAGGTTTCCAGGGGATGCTGTAGCAGCTGGTCCGGGGACTATATTTTGAAAATATCTAGTTCCACCTCCTTTCCTCTGCTTAGTGGTGGTCCTTAATTTTCTTCTTACATACCTCCAGAGACAGAGAACTCACTGTCTATTCAGTCAGCCTATTTCATGTCTAGATAGATCTTACTTTGAAGATATGAGCGTGTGTGCTTATGCTGAACTGAACACTCACTCTGTAGGCTCTCCCCTGTGGCCTCTGGACCACAGTGGTCTCATTAGAAAGGAGCAATTGGAGAAGACAGACTTATAATTAGACCCGGGGTCCCCCTCACCCTCACAGTACTCCAGCCTCTGCCAGTTCTACCTCTAAATCAGCACCATCCAATATAGAAGTTCTGTAGCTCCTGAAAACTTAAAATTTAAAAAAATTTTCAGTAACTATGTTAAAAATAGTAAAACGAAGCAGGTGACACTAATTTTAATAATATATCCAGACCAGGTGCTTTGGCTCATGCCTATAAATCCCAGCACTTTGGGAACCCAGGGCTGGAGAATCACTTGAGCCCAGGAGTTCAAGACCAGCCTGGGCAACACAGCAGACCCTTTCTCTACACAAAATTTTAAAAAGTAAAAGTTAACCGGGCATGGTGGTGCACACCTGTAGTCCCAGCTACTGGGGAGGCTGAGGTAGGAGGATCACTCGAGCCCATTTCAAGGTTACCATGAGCTATGATTGTACCACTGTACTCCAGCCTGGGCAAGAGAACAAGATCCTGTCTCTACAAAATAATAATAATATATCCAAATATCATTTTAATAGATAATCAATACAAAAATTATTAATGATCTATTATACATATATATGTTGTATATATATACATACATTTTTCATACCAAGTCTTTAAATCTAGTGTTATTTTACACTCACAGCACATTTCAATCCTGACCAGCCATGTGTCAAGGGCTCCATAACCGCATGTGGCTGGTGGCTACTGTTCGGACAGCAGAGCTGTAAACTTCCCACGACCCTGTCCCTAGTCCCCATCTCCCCTGCATGGCTCATGCTCACCCAGATGCTGGATCCTCACAGCTTCTCCACCAGTCCACAATGCAGCAGCCAAATCCTTATCTTTTTTCTTTTCTTTTTCTTTTTTTTTTGAGATGAGATCTCACTCTGTTGCCATGGTTGGAGTGCAGTGGTGTCATCTCTGCTCACTGAAACCTCCACCTCCCAGGCTCAAGTGATCCTCCCACCTCAGCCTCCCGAGTAGCTGGGACCACTGGCATGCACCACCACACCCAGCTAATTTTTTGTATTTTCAGTAGAGATGGAGTTTCACCATGTTGGCCAGGCCGGTCTTGAACTCCTGGACTCAAGTGATTCACCTGCCTCAGCCTCCCAAAGTGCTGGGATTATAGGCGTGAGCCACGGCTCCCAGGCAAAATTCTTATCTTAAACACAGGTTTGGTCATGTCCCTCTCAGGTGGCTCCCCATCCCTCTCAGGATGCCTGGCTGCTGAGGCCCTGCCTCTCTTGCTTCCTCCTCTCCCCTCTCCATCCCCAAGGCCCCCACTCTCTGGCTGTTCAGGATTATTTGCAGATCCTCCACACAATAGTGCTCCTCACCTCTAAGCCCTCACACATGGCTCCCTCTGCATGGAATATCCTTGGAACACTTCTTGGGCTAACCTTTCAGGTCACTCATTCATTCAACAAATGTATTGAGGGCCAGATGCAGTGGCTTACGCCTATAATCCAGAGCTTTAGGGGGCCAAGGCCGGAGGATCGCTTGAGGCTAGGAGTTCAAGACCAGCCTAACATAGCAAGATCTTGTCTCTACAAAAAATATAAAAATCAGCCAGGCGTGGGGGTGCATGCCTGTAGTCCCAGCTCCTCAGCAGGCTGAGGTGAGAGGATGGCTTGAGCCCAGGAGTTTGAGTTTGCAGTGAGTGATGATCGTGCCACTGCACTCCAGCTTGGGCAACAGAGCGAGACCCTGACTCAAAAAAAAAAAAAAATTAGTGAGCACCTACTGTCAGACATGATCCTAGGTCCTGTAGCAAAGCAATACGTAATGAGAAAATAGACATAACAAGAAAATATGCAGCACAGCAGATGGTGAGCAGTGAAGCAGGCAGAGGGAAAGCTGGTGTGGGGTTACTACTTTAAGCAGGATGGTCAGATAAGGCTTCATGGAGTAGGTGACTTGTGAGGAGAGAGCTGAAGTGAGCGGGGGGCCAGGTGGCTTTCTAGGGGGAGAGCACTCCAGGCAGAGGGAACAGCCAGGGCAAAGGCCCTGAGGAGGGAGCCCACCCAGGGGAACTGGAACATGTTCCAGTGTTACTGGAGCAGAGTGAGGGAGGAAGTCATGGGAACCAAGGTCAGAGAGGGCCAGAGGTGTGGGGAAGATCTCGCAGGGGCTTGTAAGACCTTGGGTTTTACCCTGAGTGCAGTGGGAGTGTGGCAGCTGCTGAGCGGGGAGGGACATGAGCTGCTTTGGGTTTGAACAGGACCCCCTGGCTGCCTGGCTGATGAGAATAGCCAGGGGCGAGGCGGGGAGCAGGGAGCCCAGTGTTGACACTGGCTGGATCAAGGTGACAGTTGAGGAGTGGAGAGAAGGGGCTGAATTCAGGCTATACTGAAGGCAGGACCAACAGGATTTTCCAGATGGGTCAGATACAGAGTGTGAGAAAGCAAAGTGTCAAGATCTGGGGGCTGAGCTTAGGGTATGGAAGACCCCTCTTCAGGAAGTCCTCCTGGGGAGCCCACAGCTCCTGGGCCTTGCCTGTTTCCCTCCAAGGCTGGGGGCTCCCGTGGTAGGACTTGTTTCCTGTCCTGCTGCCACAGTGCTGGATAAGTGAGAGGTGAGAGGTGGAGGCAAGCTGAGCTGGGGCCCTGCCCTCGGCTGTGTGAGGTCTGACACTGCTCCTCTCACCTCTCTAGGGACCTGTGTTTTCCCACTTGCACAAGGCGAGTGGGTGCTCTCCAAAAGTACTTCTAGCTGTAACCCAGTTTCCTCCCTAGGAGTGGGCACTGCCAGTCTCCTGAGCCCCCAGGCCCTCTCTCCTGCTCCCTGCCCAACCTCAGCCTCCTGGGAGCATTGGAATATCTTCCTTCCCCTCTGGGACGCGCAGGGCAGGTTGGGACACGTGGCTGGGGCCTGAGTCAGCCTCACCAATGTGGGTGGAGGGGGTACCTGGGACACGTCCCCTCCTTCCTTCCCAGAGCTTGGTACAGCCAAGGGTGGCACAGCTGCCCCCATTTCACTGTCTCCTGGAGTCTGAAGGCATGGCTGTGGCCCTGAGGCAGGACCAGGCATGTAGCTGCCCCACCTGCCCCTCCGCAGTGTTGTAGGGAAGAGTCAAGTCAGACAGGAAGGCCTGGGGCTGATAGCACCAGCAGGAAGGAATGCCATCCCAGTGAGCGAGTGGGGCCCAGGGACAACGTCACGGTAGTCCCGCCCTCCTTGCTGTCACAGGTGCAGCCTGTCCTCTCCTTCCCCTGACCAGCCCAGCATCCACATAGTCTACACAGAGCTCCCCTTGCTGCCCAGACAAGCTGAAGGACCACAGGTAATGGGACATGGGGCTGGGTGAGCAGTGGGGTGGAGTGTCAGCTTTTAAGGAAATCGGGAGAAAGAGTGTCCTCAATAGGCTTGATATTGTGTGGTTCCTTGGTGGACCTGGGTTTGAGTCCCAGCTCTGCATCTTCCTAGCTGTGTGAGAACCTGTCTCTACTTCAGGGGAGGATGACAAATATTCACCTTCCTGGGTTGTGTTGAGGTTTCCACCCGCCTATACTTGGCCATGGTAGGTGACCAGCTCCCAATTCTGTCACCAACTTGCTGCAAGACTTTCAGAAAAACCCTTGACCTTTCTGAGCCTCAGTTTCCCTACTTGTAAAATGAAGGGTCCAGCTAGATCTCTGAAGGCACCTCACACCCTCACTGTTATGGAACCTAACAGCTTAGGAGGGGAGGGGTGTTCCCGCAAATGTCTCAGCCTCTGCACCACCATCAGTGACTACAGGCAGCTGCCCCTCTCTCTGCCCTTCCTGGAGGAAGCCACCCTGGGCTGCCAGCCAGGTTTGGGAGACTTGGAAGGAAGAAGTCAGCCGTCCTCTGCCTCCAGCTCAAAGGCACCCCCGGGGAGGATATGCCAGAGAGCTGGGCCATGGGGAGGGGGCCCTGCTGCCTGTTGGGGGCTCAGGCACAGGTGGTGTGGCCCAAGGGGAGGGGGGCTTGGCAGACCTCTCAGAGCTCCCCCCACCCACCCCCGTAGGCTGTCATCCTTGTCCTAGAGCCACCTCTGCTCAGAGCACCCTGGCTTTTAGGCCTCAAGCCAACCTAGTTTCCTTTTAAGGGGAATGAGAATGATTATGGTCTTGTGCTTATTATTTTCTTCTGTTTTGTTAAGAAACTGCCCAGAAGAGTTCAGAGCCCTAACTAAGGAGTCAGGAGTGTGTGTTAGTGGGAGTGGTGGGGAGTGAACTCAAGCTAGTGTAGCCCTAAAGCACCAGGTTACTTTTGCTGGGAAATCCTCCTTGTGAAAAGGATCAGAGAGAGAGAGATCTCAAGTGCTGGCTGCACGTCAGGGACCATGCTGGGCCTGCCCTGCTCCCTGCCTTATTTCACTTTCACAACAATCCTGTGGGTGGAGTCTTTCCTTTTTCTTTCTTTCTTTTTTTTTTTTTTAAATAACAGATTTACTGAGATGTAATTCACTACTATAAAATTCACCCTTTAAAAGTGTATAATTCAGGGCCAGGCGCCATGGCTCACCTATGTAATCCCATTACTTTGGGAGGCTGAGGCGGGTGGATCACTTTGAGGTCAGGAGTTCGAGACCAGCCTGGCCAACATGGTAAAACCCCGTCTCTACTAAAAATACAAAAATTAGCCAGGCATGGTGATGCGCACCTGTAATTCCAGCTTTTCCATTTTTGGCTGTTATGTGTAATGCTGCTATAAACATTCATTACAAGTCTTTGTTCGGATATAGGTTGTCAATTCTCTTGCGAATATACTAGGGATTGGAATTGCTGGGTCATGTAGTAAATCTTTTTTAACCTTTTGAGGAGCTGACAAACTGTTTTCCAAAGTGACCACCATTTTACAATCTGACCAGCAATGTATGAGGGCTCCAGTTTCTTCGTACCCTCACCAATACTTGTTAGTGTCTGTATGTCTTATGGTAAGCCACCCTAGTGGGTGTGAAGGGGTATCCCATGGTGGTTTTGATTTGCACTTCCCTAATGACTAATGATGTGGAGCATCTTTTTTTTTTTTTTTTTTGAGACGGAGTTTCAGTCTTGTTGCCCAGGCTGGAGTGCAATGGTGCGATCTCAGCTCACCACAACCTCTGCCTCCTGGGTTCAAGTGATTCTCCTGCCTCAGCCTCCCGAGTAGCTGGGATTACAGGCACCTGCCACCATGCCCAGCTAATTTTGTATTTTTAGAAGAGATGGGGTTTCTCCATGTTGGCCAGCCTGGTCTCGAACTCCCGACCTCAGGTGATCCGCCCGCCTCAGCCTCCCAAAGTGCTGGGATTACAGACATGAGCCACCGCACCCAGTGATGTGAAGCATCTTTCTATGTGCTATTGACTATTTCTGTGTCTTCTTTCGAGAAATGTCTATTCGAATCCTCTGTCCGTTTTTAAACTGGATTATTTGTCACTGTATGTTGAGTTGTAGGCATGCCCATTTTTCCAACTAAGGATTCTGAAGCTCTGAGAATGGATGTGACACGCTCCAGGTCTCAGAGTCAGTGAGGGGTAGAGGCGGGAACTGAAGATCTAGGTCTGTCTGATGTTCAAGAGAACTGACAAGCTCTTGTGCTGGATGCTACCTTTTTGTTTCTTATTGTCAGTTGTGTGTGTGTATGTGTGTGTGTGAGAGAGAGAGTGTGTATATGTGTGGTGTGTGTTGTGAGAGACAGAGTGTGTGTGTGTGAGAGAGAGAGAAAGAGATAGAGAGAGAGAGAGGGAGGTGGGTAGAAACAGAGAGAGAGAAAGATGGGAAAGAAAGAAACAGAGACTGAGATTCCAGGCTGTGGGAGAAGGGACCCGCCTGGCTCTGTCTAGCTGGGCACCCACCTTGGTGCTTTGGTGTTTGACTCAACACTACACCAAGTTAGGACGATGCGAGCCAGGGAAAGAATTTTATGAGTTTTAGGTTTCTTCCTATTAATCTTCAAATGTGTCAGTGGAGCCTCAAAAAAGTTTTATGGAAGGCAAACTCCCCCTCTAGTTTTCCTTGTCCCTAAATCTGGAACAAATTATCTGATTAGACCCAAAAACCCCAAACCAGGACTAGCATCCCCTAGTATCTAGCTTGGTCTGAGGATCTAGAGCAGCACTCATCTAACTTTTTGATTGCACAATCTTCTCAAGAAGCATGCCGTTGGCACCCCCAGCATATACATATGCATAGATATGTACATGTATATACAAGTATGGTGGCCGTTAGCTGATGTCTCAGGGCCAGTGTACGCCCAGAATGAATTTCAATCACCAATGGTAGTGGGTGGAAATCCACCTTTCAAATTGTTTCTCATTATTATTTCAGGAACTCAAATACGATTGTATTTGAGTTTGAGTTTGTATTTGTTTCTCGTTATTATTGTGTATTTTGAGTTTGTGTTTATTTCTCATTATTTCAGGAACTCAAATACACAGGAAACAGTTGTTTCATGTGTCGGACTCCTTTCCATTGCTCTTTCCAATGTGGTAATGCAGCTAAACTAAGAGTAAGGACAAGTCTGTCCCACACTTTTCCTGTTGCTTGTTTGTACTTTCATGATTAGGGTTATCTCCATCCGCGGTTTCTTTGCAGAGACTCTTTGAAGTCACTTGTCAACAAGAAGGGGGCTGATTCAGTGAAAGCTGTTTCATTTGAGCCTCAAATTAACCCAACTGGGCTCCTGCACGCCACAATATATGGCAATAGTCTGGATGTAGAGAAAAGGAAGACGTGGCCACAATCAACCTGTCTGCCTTGTGGGGCTCCCCACTGGCCTCTGGGAGCCCCACTTAATAGACATGACATGTGGTGTCTGACATATGAGCCAAGGGTGCACATCAGGGCTAAACTATATACTATTAACTATTTTTAGTTAAAAACTACATAGAAATCGATAAATTAATATTTTCCTCCTGTACTTTGGAGAGAATTGCTTGAGACACTAATAGGTTCTGAGCTAAGAACATCTAAGCCAACCCTTGCCACTCCTCAACTTGCCACCTCACATGGCAACGTGCTCAGGACAACCCCAAAGCTGTTGTCATTTTTAGAATATTATTTTATATATTGAGGCCAGGTGCAGTGGCTCAGCACACTTTGGAAGGCCAGTCCCAACACTTTGGGAGGCTGAGGCAGGAGAATTGCTCAAGGTCAACAGTTCAAGGCTGCAGTGAGCCATGATTGCTCCAATGCACTTGAGCCTGGGTGACAAAGTGAGACCCTGTCTCTAGAAAAGAAGAAAGAAAGAAAGAAAGAAAGAAAGAAAGAAAGAAAGAAAGAAAGAAAGAGAGAGAGAGAGAGAGAGAGAAAGAAAGAAAGAAAGGAAGGAAGGAAGGAAGGAGAGAGAGAGAAAGAAAGAAAGAGAAAGAAAGAAAGAGAAGGAAAGAAAAGAAAAGAATAGAAAAGAAAAAAGAAAAAAGGAGGGAGGGAGGGAAGAGAGAGGAAAGAAAGAAGGAAAGAAGGAAGGAAAGGAAGAAAGAAAGGAGGGAGGGAGGGGGAAGGAGAGAGAGGAAGGAAGAGAAAGAAAGAGAAAAAGAAAAGGAAAGAAAAAAGAGAAAGAAAGAAAGAAGGAAAGAAAAGAAAAGAAGAAAATTCTTTTATATATTGAAGTTGGCAACTTCTCTGGTGACTTCCTCAAGGTACTGACCTTTCCTTCTGAGCTCACAGCCCTACCTGCTCCCCATGTCCTGGAGTCCTGGAGTAGTTCTGCAGAGACTTGGGGTCAGTGACTAGGCCCATCCATGTGGAGCTCATCCCTAGGTCAAGTGCCCTGCTCCCCAAGCCACTTCTCTTGGGTGTAGTCTCTGTACCTGCTACATCCTCTGGATTCTCTTTGTCTGTCCAGAACTTATTCTATGCAGGACCCAGGAGTAAACCCAGGATGGAGGATTGGGGATGGTGGAATGTGGGCCACCTTCTTCACCGTAGACTCTGTGCTTCTGTTAATGTCACCTAAGGATATGCTAGCTTTGCTCTGTAGCTATATCACCTTGTTGGCTTATATTGCCACTTTAACAAACATTGGTTGTGCACCTACTATGTGCTAGACATGCTAGACAACAACCTAGATGCTTGCACTATTTTCTTTCCTTCCAGATTATCTTTTTAAAATCTTAGATCTTTCTGTATAAACAGCCTCCACCCAGAGTCCAACCATCCTCTTTCTGTACAGCCATTATTTTGTTTTGTTGTTGTTGTTGTTGTTGTTTTGAGACGGAATCGTGCTCTGTCGCCCAGGCTGGAGTGCAGTGGTGCGGTCTCGGCTCACTGCCAGCTCCACCTCCCGGGTTCACGCCATTCTCCTTCCTCAGCCTCCCGAGTAGCTGGGACTACAGGTGCCCGCCACCATGCCCGGCTAATTTTTTGTATTTTTAGTAGAGACGGGGTTTCACCGTGTTAGCCAGGATGGTCTCGATCTCCTGACCTGATGTGATGAAAGAGCCAGCCTTGCCCCGTGTGGCTCCATGACCTGCGCAAATTCCTCTCCATTTCAGGGCCTCAGTTTCCTCTTCTGTAAAATACGACAGTAATCTCCAGTCTGCCTCCCTCCTGGTTGTGTGAGAGTCAAGAGAGCTGGGAGAGGAGAGTGCTGTGAGGCTGTGATGGCTCAGTGTGCTCTGTCAGCCCTCCTGCCCTGGGCCCAGGCCCTGTGACAGCAGAAGCTCAGGAAATCTGGGCTCACCTGAAGGGGAAATCCAGTTTAGCAGGACCCGTGGGTACAGAGGCCCTGGCACCACCCATGACTCAGCAGGGCTGGGCTTTTTGGAGAAAAGTGCCAGAAAGTCAGGCATTCCATTTCCTTGTAGGATCAGCCTTGGATGTGGGGGCCACCTGAGTTGGTGCTAGAGTCCTCTAACCAGGGGGCAGCTGGGGCATGAAGCTTCTCTGTTGGGGTAGGGGTCAGATTTGAGTCCATCTATAAGCTGGGAGACCTTGAACAAGTCTCTTCCTCTACCTGAGCCTCAGTCTCTCCCTATGTTAAATAAGACCTGTGTGGAGGCCGGGTGTGGTGGCTCATGCCTGTAACGTCAGCACTTCGGGAGACCAAGGCGGGAGGATCACTTGAACCCAGGAGTTCAAGAGCAGCCTGGGCAACATAGTGAGACCCTATCTCTACAAAAATATAAAAACTAAAAAATTAGCTAGGTGTGGTGGCAAATGCCTATAGTCCCAGCTACTCGGGAGGTTGAGGTGGGAAGATCACTGGAACCCAGGAGGTTGAAGCTGCAGAGCCGTGATCGTGCCACTGCACTCCAGCCTGGGTGATAGAGTGAGACCCTGTCTCAAAAAAAAAAAAAAAAAAAAAAAAAGAAAGAAAGAAAGAAAGAAAAAAGGCAAAAAAGAAAAATGTGTGGAGGAGGAATAGACAAGGACATTGAAAGGAGAAACAGAGCCACATCGGGTCTTCCCCCGGTGATGGTTCCATTCCTCCCCTTCAGTGTGCTAAAGACCTGCCCAGGGAAGTTCCCTTGGCTATGGGAACAATTACTCAAGGCTCCATCAGTAGCTAAATATAAGCCAAGTCAGCATATTTGCATAGCACTCTGATGACTGTTAGTGTGTCCTCTTTCCTGGTGCCAGTGTCAGGGTCCTGAGAAGAGGAGCCAGCATCACTCCTTTAGTCTCCCAGCATGGGCTTAGCAACCAACTACCCTTGCTTAACCACTTACTGTGTGGTCCTGGACAAGTTTCTTTCTTTCTTTCTTTCTTTTTTTTTTTGAGACAGAGTCTTGCCCTGTCGCCCAGGCTGGAGTGCAGTCGCGCGATCTCAATTCAGAGGCAGGTTGCCTCTGCCTCCGGGGTTCAAGTGATTCTCCTGCCTCAGCCTCCTGAGTAGCTGGGATTACAGGCCTGCAACCACCATGCCCAGCTAATTTTTGTATTTTTAGTAGAGACTGTGTTTCACCATGTTGGCCAGGATGGTCTCGATCTCCTGACCTTGTGATCCGCCCGCCTCAGCCTCCCAAAGTCCTGGGATTACAGGCATGAACCACCGCGCCCGGCCGGTCCTGGGCAAGTTTCTTATCCTCTCTGTGCCCCAATATTCTGACCTATAAAATGGGCACGGCCCTAGTGAGCCTTCATAGGAATAGATTAGTTAACACAAGTTAACTGTTAGAACCTTGCCTGGCAGATAGTAGGCACTTATAGCTGCTTGTTATCATCATTTTTCCTTTGTTCCCGGCTCTGTACAGGGTATGGGTGACACAGAAATGAATCAGCCTTAGTCCCTACTTAGGCTGCATTCGTGATCTAGTGAAGGAGACAAACCCTGGATGGTGGTACATGCTTGTAGTCCTACCTACTCAGAAGGTTGAGGCAGGAGGATCACTTGAGTCCAGGAGTTCAAGGCTGCAGTGAGCTGTGATTGCACCACTGCACTTTAGCCTGGGTGATAGAGAGAGACCTTGTCAAAAAAACAAAAGCTAGGGATAGTGGAGGGAGTAAGTTTAGGGGAGTGGGGAATAGAGTTGATGGGTATTGTTTAGGCAATTGAAAGAGTACTTCATGAGGGAAGTGGGTTTTGACCTGTGCTTGGAAGGTCAGATGCAATTTTGACATTAGGAAAGAATGGACTAAGCCAAAAGTGCTGTGTGTGACCAGGACACAGAGCAGGATGGAGATGAGACTGGAAAAAGAGCTCATCACTTTGTAAACTTCGGTCTATCTGACATCAGCCAGCAGCTCTCTTTCCCCCACGTGGCTCTACAACTCTTCCTCCACTCTAGCTGAAATGCCTTCATTAGAGATGATCTCAGCCAATGAATATGTACTAGTCACCTGTTGCGTGCAGAGAACCCTGTTCAAAATAGAAATATGCCCTGGAGGCTTCTGCTGTCAGTCATTCCATCTCGATATCGATGCATTTTAATGGCTAGTGACTTCCTAATGCCTAGCTGAATTCTGCTCTGAGAAATGGGAAGTTTTATTCTAGAAAAGGGTAGGCCAGGCGCAGTGGCTCACGCCTGTAATCCCAGCACTTTGGGAGGTCAAGGCGGGCGGATCACAAGGTCAGGAGTTCGAGACCAGCCTGGCCAATATGGTGAAACCACGTCTCTACTAAAAATACAAAAATTAGCCAAGCATGGTGTGGCGCCTGTAATCCCAGCTACTCCGGAGGCTGAGGCAGAAGAATCACTTGAATCCGGGAGGCAGAGGTTGCAGTGAGCTGAGATCATGCCACTGCACTCCAGCCTGGGCGACAGAAGCGAGACTCCATCTCAAAAAACAGAAAAAAAAAACGGGTAATGGAGTCTGGGGCCTACGAGATGGGGGATGAGCAGGGATGGGACTGGACACTGAATGTCCAAGGGTAAGAGGAGGCCTGTAGAGAAGGAAACACGCATTCACAATGGCCCTGCTAAGGACTGTCCTGCCATTTTCACATACTATAAGGTAAGCACTATTACTGTCTCCGTTTTACAGATGAGAAACCCAGGGCACAGTGAAGGATTAAGTAACTAGCCCATGCTTCCATCGCTAGAAGAGGCAGAGGCAGGATTCCAACCCAGGCAATCTGGCTCTAAGACACAGGGGAGGAGGCTTCCTGCCAAGGTCTTGTGGTAGATTCTCTAGACCATTCTCAAATGGGGGGTGATGTTTGCCCCACAACAGGGGTCATTTGGCAATGTCTGGAGACATTTTTATTGTTATAGCTGAACAGGAAAGTGCTACTGGCATCTGGGAGGAGGCTGCTAAACATCTCACAATGTGTTACCCTGTCCCAAATGTCAGTCGTGTTGAGGCTGAGAAACATGGTTTAAATGAGTCAGAGGCTGGCCACAGTGGCACGTGCCTGTAGTCCCAGCTACTCAGGAGGCTGCGGTGGGAGGATTGCCTTAACCCAGGAGTTCAAGACTAGACTGGGTGATATAGCAAGACCTCTGTCTCAAATAAAGAAGTAAAAAATAAATGAATCAGAGACTAGTAAATCTACCTCCTCTCAGATTTAAGGTCTCAGCCTCAGAGCTGAGAGAAGAAGAAATAGGGCAAGGAATCAGAAGGAAGCCTGCACTTCCTGGCTCAGCTGCTATAACAGAGACTCATAGCACATGGGCTCCATTAAAAGAAACTTCTTTCCTGTGCACGTAGCTGTCAAGAGGTGGCAGGTGGCTCTGTGTGTGAGGCCGGCCGGGGCCCAGGATTCCCTTGCCTTTTTGCTTAGTCATTCCTGGATGTTGGCCATGTTTGTGGGATTGGAGTTGGTTCACCAACTTCAAATCTGCATTCCTGTCAAAATTGTACCTAGGCTGGACATGGTGGCTCACACTTGAATCCCAGCACTTTGGGAGGCCAAGGTAGGAGAATTGCTTGAGCCCAGGAGTTCAAGACCAGCCTGGGCAACATAGAGACACCCTGTTTCCACAAAAAAAAAAAAAGAAAAAGAAAAAGGATTGTGCCTGACTTTTCAGGCACAGATAAAAACTGATTTCCTTCATGAAGCCCCCTGCTAGTTGCCTAACCAATACCCACCACCCCAATTCCCACTCCCTTAACCCTCCTCCCTCCACTACCCCGGCCTTCTTGCTTGCCAACAGAACTACCATTTTTTTTGTTAATTATTTTTCTTATTCCTTTGAATGTTGAGTGTTTGTCTTTTTCTTATTTATTTGCCAAGCTCTTTGTATATTAAGATATTAACTAAGGTGATATTAACTACTGATTATTGTTATTCCTCCAGGAAAAGCCATGGAGACTTCAGCATCCTCCTCCCAGCCTCAGGACAACAGTCAAGTCCACAGAGAAACAGAAGATGTAGACTGTACGTTTGCCTTCTCTGACCCTCTGGGCAAAACCACATGGGAGGTGGAGTCCAAAAGTAGAAGGGACAGAAGAAGACCCTGCTCAACTCACGTTGCACAGGGCCTCAAATCACAGCTGAAATGGGGAAGTAGTGGTTTTACACACATGCACACACACATTTGCATGGTCCAATCTGTCCTCCTGTGCTGTCTAGCTATGGGGACCCTCAGCTGCTTGCCAAATCTCAAGAATTCTCTGGGGGCTTGGGCTGGCACTAGGGAGCACCCCTAGAAGGTGGAGAGGGTCCTGTGTGACCCCAGAATGGGGAATGGGAAGGTTTAGGACTTGATCACACCTCATCTTGGCTGTAATGTACAGAGGATCCTAAATTAGCAACTACTCTACAGAATCTAGCTGTCTCTGGGCAAGGCAGGGGGCTTAGAAACCCCTTTTCTGGCCGGGCGCGGCGGCTCACGCCTGTAATCCCAGCACTTTGGGAGGCCGAGGCGGGCAGATCAGAAGGTCAGGAGATCGAGACCATCCTGGCTAACACGGTGAAACCCCGTCTCTACTAAAAATACAAAAAATTAGCCGGGTGTGGCGGTGGGCGCCTGTAGTCCCAGCTACTCAGGAGGCTGAGGCAGGAGAATGGCATGAACCCGAGAGGCAGAGCTTGCAGTGAGCCGAGATAGCGTCACTGCAGTCCAGCCTGGGCAAAAGAGCAAGACTCCGTCTCAAAAAAAAAAGAAAGAAACCCCTTTTCTGAGTCCATATTCAGATAAATCTCTGTATTGAGCCTTCCGTGAGCCCCTGGCATCTCTGAGAGCCTTGGTCTCCTGCATGTTGCATTGGCTCTAGATATTTGGGAAGATAATCCAGTCCTTCCTGGCTCTCCAAATCCAAGTAGAACCCTGGAGAGGACTGGGTGGTCCCTGGGGTGGGAAGGGTGGGAAACGCTCATCCCCTGGCCTCTGTGTGCCTTGTAGATGGAGAGACAGATTTCCACAAGCAAGATGGGAAGGCTGGACTCTTTTCCCAAGAACAATATGAGAGAAACAAGTCTTCTTCCTCCTCCTCCTCTTCCTCCTCATCCTCCTCATCTTCTTCATCCTCCTCCTCCTCAGGTATAGCAGAGATTTAAATATATGTATATTATTCAAGAAAAAGATTTACATGGGGAAATAATCCCCCATACTTGAAGTCATTGAAGTACTTGAAACTCCAATACCGTTTCTCCACATTCTCTTCTAGAGCCGATCTGTCTACATGTGCTTCTACGTACACAGTTATCATTGATCGTATAGGCAATTTTGTCCTCCATTTAAAATTTTCCCCATCTTATCCTAAGCTTTTAGCCATGTTGTTCTGTAATATCGCTGTAGCTATTTTTAATGTTTACTGAACAGCCCCTCAAGTGGCTGCATCTCATGTAAAGTAACATTTAGGTTTATTAGAGGCACCCCAGTGCCATAGTCAAAGCGTGTGTTACAGGTTCAAATCCTGTCTCTACCACTAAGTAGCTACACGTCCTTGGGTAAACTGCTCAACCCCTGGCGCCTCAGTGCCCTCATCTAGAAGATGGGGATGAGAGCAATACATAATACCTCATGGGATTCTTGTGAGGATGAAATTCGTTATACAGGTAAAGTCTTAGCATGTAGCACATATTAAAAGCTCTAAAAGTAATTGTTGTGTTATGGTCTTCCCCTCCCAGGTTTATCATGCTCATGAGCATCCTTGTGCGAAAGCTTTTGCCTTTTGAATTTTTGTGCAAATCATTCCTAAGTATTGAGTCCTTGCAAGTACTTTAGTGGGTTTAGAGGAACAACATCCAATAGCATCTTTTTTTTTTTTTTTTTTTTTTTTTTGAGACAGAATCTTGCTCTGTTGCCCAGGCTAGAGTGCAGCGGCGTGATCTTGGCTCACTGCAACCTCCGCCTCCTGGGCTCAAGCGATTCTCCTGCCTCAGCCTCCCGAGTAGCTGGGATTACAGGCATCCACCACCATGCCTGGCCAAATTTTTGTATTTTTAGTAGAGATAGGGTTTCTTTATGTTGGCCAGGCTGGTCTTGAACTCCTGATCTCAGGTGATCTGCCCACCTCGGCCTCCCAAAGTGCTGGGATTATAGGGGTGAGCCACTGTGCCTGGCCTCCAATAACATCCTGATTACAAATAACCACATTATTCTCCAAGAAACAGCAGAATGTTCTTTCATTTGTATTCTTTTAATTCAAAATATGAGGCTGAATTTATAGTAGTAGCACCAGCAATATTTATTGAATGCTTACTCTGTGCTGGGAGCTGTTGTAAGCACTTGCATGTAATAACTCAATTCTCACAGCAACCCATAAAGGAAGGTACTATTATTATTCCCAGTTTACAAGTGAGAAAACTGAGGCACAGAGAGGGCAACTGACCTGCTCTAAGAGAGCTCAGTAACCAACTTGGGATTCCCCGGAGGTCTTTGTGGGATCCGGGAGGCTAATCCTCCTCAACCAGAGCTCCTGCACTATGATCTCTTTTATGGTGGGCTTGAGCTTAAGACTTTATTTAATGAAAGGTCTCTGGGCTGGAAGGAAAAAAAAAAAAAAGCTCTGGTCTTATGTCCTCATGTTGCAAATGCTGAGACCAAGGCCCAAAGCCACAAAATCAATGATCATTTCAGCAGGCGAGGGAGAGTGGTCGGTGGGTCCCGTGGGTTTGTTTGTAGCCAGTCTCCTCATGGCACTGGAAAGGAAGCCATCGCCCCATTTAAAAACAAAAAATGAGAAAACACACAAGCCCACCATGTATGAGGTTTGGCTCTGGAAGAAGAGCTTCCAGGTGCAGGCAGGGGGCTGTTTGTTGCCTCTCCTTTTGTTTCTCCTCCCTGGGCAGGAAGGAGTGTTCCGTCCTCTGGTTCTGGTTGTCTCTCAAGGAGTGCTGCTCCTCCGAAAATGTCCCCCATGTGACCATAATCCCTGGCACCCAGACACCCTGGAGTCTCCACCTCACACATAGGACTGGCTGAAATTAGCCAAATGGAGCGCTAAGAGAAAGCAGCGGGAGAAAGCCAGAGTCCTAGAAGCATAAAGACAGGCTGACATTCAGGATCCTGGTCCCTGATCCTACGGTGACTGACCTGCTGCCAGAACATAGCCGCCTGTTTTTCAGGCGCGGACAGTGACCCGCTACCCTAGAAGGCCCCGAGCCTGGGTGCCTCACCGCAGCCCTGCCGTCCTCACATGCAGGACCCTCACTCATAGTCACATCCACCATCTCTCTCCCACATACCTGTTTTAATCCAGTTAATTTTAGATGCAGTTTTGTTTTCAACTGTAAAAGATTACACACAGGTACACTGTAGAAAATATAGAGCATATAGCGAAACAGAAAATATGAGAAAACAAATCATCCTTTGCCCCATTACCCAGAGATAACCACCCAAAACATATTAGTGTATTCCTTACATTTATTTAACAAATATTTACTGAGCACCAAATATGTGCCAGTCTTTGTGATGGGTACTAGGGACTAGCAATGAACAGTGAATCTTTCTGCCGCGGTTATTATTATTATTTTTTAATTTATAAAGAAAAGAGGCTGGGCACAGTGGCTCACTCCTGCAATTCCAGCACTTTGGGAGGCCGAGGCGGGCAGATCACCTGAGGTCAGGAGTTCAAGACCAGCCTGGCCAACATGGTGAAACCTCGTCTCTAATAAAAATACAAAAATTAGCCAGGTGTGGTGGTGGGCACCTGTAATCCCAGCTACTCGGGAGGCTGAGGCAGGAGAATCACTTAAGCCGGGGAGGCAGAGGTAGCAGTGAGCTGAGATTGCACCGCTGCACTCCAACCTGGGTGACAGAGTGAGACTCCGTTTCAAAAAAAAAAAGAAAAAGCAAAAGAAAAAGAAAAGAGGTGTATTTAGCTCACAGTTCTGCAGTTTGGGTAACTTTTTAAATAACTAAATCAGAGAGCATATACAAAAATAGTCTTCATTTTAAACAGCATATATTCCATAATACCTTTTATTTAAAAACTTGTATTAGGCTGGGCACAGTGGCTCACGCCTGTAATTCCAGCACTTTGGGAGGCCAAGGTGAGTGGATCACTTGAGTCCAGGAGTTCGAGACCAGCGTGGGCAACATGGGGAAATCCCATCTCTACTAAAATACAAAAAATTAGCTGGGCATGGTGGCACATACCTATAATCCCAGCTACCCAGGAGGCTGGGGCGTGAAGATCACTTGAGCCTGGGAGGTCAAGGCTACAGTAAGCCCTGATTGTACCACTGCACTTCGGCCTTGATGACAGAGTGAGACCCTGTCTCCAAAAAAATTGTATTATGAATATATCACAGAGAAAGCTAAAACAATGTTCATTCACACATTGATGGCAGTTGTCTCTAGCTGATAAAATTTGGAGTAATTGCCAGGTGTGGTGATGCACACCTGTAATTCCAACACTTTGGGAGTCCAAGGTGGGTGGATCACCTGAGGTCAGGAATTCACGACCAGCCTCACTAACATGGTGAAACCTCGTCTCTAGTAAAAAAAAAAAAAAAAAAAAATTAGCCAGGTGTGGTGGTGCACGCCTGTAATCTGAGCTACTTAGGAGGCTGAGACAAGAGAATCGCTTGTGCCTGGGAGGTGGAGGTTGCAGTGAGCTGAGATCACGCCATTGCACTTCAGCCTGGGCAACAAGAGCAAAATTCCGTCTCAAAAAAAAATTGGAATAATTTTTACTTTATTTTCTATATTTCTTTATTTTGCAACATGCATTATCTTTTTAGCAATAAAAAGTCATTTTTTGCACTGATGAATATTTGTAAAATATAGAAAAGAAGAAAATAGAAGTCACCCAAAATCCTCTCTCCTGAGATAAACACCACCGTTGTTATTTTGTTGAGCTTCCCAATCCCTCTTCCTCCTTATCCAGTTGAGATCACAGATGCACTGATGTTTAAACACAATTAATTTGGTTTCCTGGAATTTTTTAAATTGACCCATGACTGACTGGGAGGTCCCCACGGTCCTGTCTTGGGATAAAGGAGTCTTCTGGACCTGGAGCCAGAAACTCCTAGACCTGAATTCTTGGAATGCTGACTGGCCAAAGAGCACAAATGACAACCATTTTCAAGTCTTGATCAAGCTCCTGTTCCTAGCTGGGCACCCTTGCAGGGTGGAGAACCCAGGTCATGTCCTTCAGGAGATGAAATGGTTGGAGAGAGGCACATCACAAGACCGCTGGCCCTCATGTCCACTGAGTCAAGCACAGACAGCTGGTGCTATAGAAACCCCAGCAGGGAAAGGCAAGACCAGTGTGAGCTGGGGCAGTTGGCAAAGGCTTTCTACAGGAGGTGTGACATCAGCTTAAGCTTCTCAATAACACAGACAAACAGGAAGGATATTCCAGGGGGGTGGGAGACACAGCAAACATCCAGAGCCAGCATGATGGGTGGGGAAACAGAGATGACACAGCCCCTGCACTTGGTGGGATGGAAGCCATCTCAGTACTATGATGCCTCATGGGACCTTATCTTATCTTCATGGAAGTCTTATGAAGTAGGCAAGGCAGAAGCAGAAATATTATGTAGACACGAAATCAACAGAAATATTAAGGGATTTGTGCAAAGTCACACCTAAAGGGAGTGGCAGGTCTCCTACCTCCAGTCCCCAAATCAGAGTTCCTCCCACCAAACCACACTCTTCTCATAAACTAAATTCTGAGAATGGCCACCAGAATGAACGCATTCCCAGCTTGTTCCAGGCTGAGCTTCTCCTACAGCTTGTGTTTGTTACCCGCAGAGAGCAATGATGAGGACCAGCAACCCAGAGCAACCGGAAAACATCGACGGAGCCTGGGGGCTGGATACCCCCACGGGAACGGCTCACCCGGTAGGAAATAGGCCTTACCATTTTTCTTTTGCCCACTCGCTCACCGTTGAGTTTCTCCGTGGGACTGAAGTGTGATGTTCTTCACAGCATTGTTTATGGCAGGATAAAATAGGAAATAGCCTGACAGCAGCAGAATAGATAAAGGATGCTACACCCTGCCCTGGTGACAGCTCTGCTCTTCATCTATCGCTGAACTGAAAAAGAAAGATGCCAAATCATAGAATCAATTTGATCTCGTTTATGCTTTATAAAAATTCAGACATATATGGTTATAATCAAGACTAGAAGGAAAAATGCTAAAATGTTAATAGTGGTTATCTCAGGATGGTGGAATTATAAGTGATTTTTATTTTCCCTTTTTTGAACTGTCCTATACTATAAATAATTTACAATGAGCATGTTTTATTTTTTATTTTATTTATTTATTTTTTGGAGACAGGGTTTCGCTCTTGTTGCCCAGGCTGGAGTGCAATGGCGTGATCTCAGCTCACCACAACCTCCACCTCTGGGGTTCAAGTGATTCTCCCGCTTCAGCCTCCCAAGTAGCTAGGATTACAGGCATGCGCCACCATGCCTGGCTAATTTTGTATTTTTAGTAGAGACAGGGTTTTACCATGTTGCCCAGGCCTGTCTCAAACACCTGGACTCAAGTGATCTACCCACCTTGGCCTCCCAAAGTGCTGGGATTACAGAGGTGAGCCACCGTGCCTGGCCGAGCATGTTTTACTTTTACAACCAGGAAATAATTTTTGCAAAAGAAATAAACAACAAATTTCATAAGAAGGAAAGAGCATGGGGAAAAGGGGTGAATTATTGTATAGTACAGAACCTGCCACACAGAAGGTGTTTAATAAATGCTGCCCATGAGGCTAGAGCTGAGCCCTGGGTTCTATTTCTGGATATAAACATGATTAGGAATGCAGGCTTTGGCAACAGACCTGGTAGAGTTGCCACTTGCTGGCTATATGACTTTGGGAAAATAATTTAACTATTTGAGCCTCAGTGTCCTTATCTGTATAATGGGTGGGGTAGGTACTAATACCTTCTTCATAGGATATCCGTGAGGAGCAAATGAGGTATTAAATATAAATCACTTAGTACAGTGTTGGTGCATGCTAGTGCCCAGTATATACCCACTATTAACCTTGAGCAAGGTCCAGGTCCTCTCAGGTCTTGAGTGCTTTCTGAGTGTGGTCACCTCTGGAAGTTCTGGGGGCATCAGAGAGGGCAAAGGGAAGGTACTTGTGCTGCCTTGCCTCCTGAAGACTGCCCCCCACCTCACCTCCAGCACAAGGACTGTGGTACTTCTTAAGCGTCGAAGCCATGGGAGAGGGAAGTGGCCTGGATCACTGTGTTTGGGGAGTGCTGACTAAGGGGTTTGTCTCCATCCAGGTCCTGGGCATGGGGAGCCTGACGTTTTGAAGGATGAGCTTCAACTCTATGGAGGTAATCAGTTGCCCAGTAGCTTTGGAGAAAACAATTAGACGAAGGAAAAGAGGGCTTTGCTGGGCAGAAACAAGGTCATGAGGGTGATTCATGAGCTGAAAAGTCCCAGCCAAATACAGGAGATGTGGCCAGTTGGGTGGTTATAACATTGGCAGGTGGGGAGGCGGGCATGAGATTGTCTTGGGGAAATCCTACATTTTCTGGGGTTTTTGTTTGTTTGTTTTGAGACGGAGTCTCACTCTGTCGCCCAGGCTGGAGTGCAGTGGTGTGATCTTGGCTCACTGCAACTTCCACCTCCCCAATTCAAGTGATTCTCCTGCCTCAGCCTCCCGAGTAGGTGGGACCACAGGCGCCCACCACCAGCCCAGCTAATTTTTTGTATTTTTAGTAGAGACAGGGTTTCACTATGTTGGCCAGGATGGTCTCGGTCTCCTGACCTCCTGATCCGCCCGCCTCGGCCTCCCAAAGTGCTGGGATTACAGGCGTGAGCCACCGCGCCCGGCCAATTTTTTGTATTTTTTAGTAGAGACAGAGTTTTGCCATGTTGCCCAGGCTGGTCTCGAACTACTGAGCTCAAGTGATCCTCCGGCCTTGGCCTCCCAAAGTGCCAGAATTACAGGCGTGAGCCACTGCACCTGGTCCTTCTTTCTTTCTTTCTTTCCTTCTTTCTTTTTTTTTTTTTTTTTGTTACAAAAACAAGTATAATCTGGTTTAGAAAAATGCGTTTAATTACTCAAGTAATTTAAGAAAGGTTTCACTGGGTATAAAATAAGATAAACCTTTATGTTTATGTGTATTTTAAAATATTTTTCTCATTAAGTAATTCATATTCACTGTAGAAAATGTAGATACATTCACTTATTCATGAATTACTTCCTTCCCCCAGACATTGGAGGTGCTTGGTAAATTACATTGCTTGAGTTCTCATTTCATGTTGTCCTTGGTATGCTCTCTGCACTCTCTGTATTGGCCCCTCTGGTCACTTTGCATATAGTGTTCAGTGTGCTGAGTGCCTGTTGTCACATGCTAAGTGCCTCTTGTGGTGTTTGTGTCCTGGGGCTGCCCTGAGGGACAGGAAACTACAGAAGTCGGGGCCTGATGATTGGAAGATCATACAAGTGCCTGTCTGCCCTTGAGGGGAAGAAGATGACAGGCTAGGAGCAAGGTCACCAGGGAACTAGAACAGGCACCAAGAACCACATGGTGAATGGTATGGGAAGGACGCCCAGGACTGGAATAATGCAGAGGTGGCAGCTCAGGTCTGTAGGGCTCAACTCACCCTCAGCAGCCCAGACAAGTGGCTCAACAATCATGGTGGGAGCCAAGGATCGAGGTGTACAAGCCAGCTTGGCTCCCACATGCTCAGAGCCTGGTAGGTCTAGAAGCCAGCAAGATGGCATGAGCTTGGAGTTGCCTGTCTAGTCCAGAGTTCTATGGGTAAAAGGCAGCAGGTGTCATCACATGCATCTGGATAGCCTGGAGCAGGCATGTGCAAATGGGTGGCCCATGTGGGCAGATGCTTTTTATCTGGCTCACAGAATGGTTTTTTGGGGGGCAGGGGAGGGGGAGGTTTGTTTTTCATTTTTTGTTTTTTTTGGGATGCTGTCTCACTCTGTTGCTCAGGCTTGAGTGCAGTGGTACCATCTCGGCTCACTGCAACCTCCACCTCCTGGGCTCAAGCGATTCTCCTACCTTAGCCTCCTGAGAAGCTGGGACTACATGTATGCGACACCATGCCCAGCTAATTTTTGTATTTTTGGTAGAGACAGGGTTTTACCCTGTGGCCCAAGCTGGTCTTGAACTCCTGGACTCAAGTGATCTACCCACCTCGGCCTTCCAAAGTGCTGGGATTACAAGAGTGAAGCATCGCACCTGGCCCACACAGAAAGCTTTTTTTTTTTTTTTTTGGTATTTTTAGTAGAGATGGGGTTTCACCGTGTTAGCCAGGATGGTCTCGATCTCCTGAACTCGTGATCCACCCGCCTCGGCCTCCCAAAGTGCTGGGATTAGAGGCGTGAGCCACCACACCTGGCCCAGAATGCTTTTTTAAAATTATGATTGTGTGGCCAGGCGCTGTGGCTCATGCCTGTAATCCCAGCACTTTGGGAGGCTGAGGCAGGTGGATCACTTGAGGTTGGGAGTTCAAGACCAGCCTGGCCAACGTGGCAAAACCCTGTCTCTACTAAAAATACAAAAATTAGCCAGGTGTGGTGGCACCCGTAATCCCAGCTACTCAGGAGCCTGAGGCAGGAGAATTGCTTGAACCCGGGAGGCAGAGGTTGCAGTGAGCTGAGATCATGCCGCTGCACTCCAGCCTGGGTGGCACAGTGAGACTCTGTCTCAAAATAAATAAATAAATAAATAAATATTATAAATATATAATATTTATAATTTGTGTTATATAATATATAAGTATATTATATATAAATTTATATATATTATATATGTAAAATTATGATTGTGAGAGCCAGACATGGTGGCTCACACCTGTAATCCCAGCTACTTGGGAGGCTGAGGCAGGAAGATTGCTTGAGCCCAAGAGTTTGAGACTGCAGTGAGTCATGATTGCGCCATTGCCCTGCAACCTGGATGACAGAGAGAGAACCTGTCTCTAAATAAATAAATTTTAAAAATAAAATTATGAATGTGAATATATTTCATCAATTCTATACCACATTTTTTTCACATTTGAATATTTCTGAAATCAGGATGCATCTTAAAAATCACTGGCAAAGTTAGGCATAGTAGTTCATGACTATAATCCCAGCACTTTGGGAGGCCAAGGTGGGAGGATTGCTTGAGCCCAGGAGTTCAAGACCAGCCTGGGCAACATAATAAGACCCTGTCTCTATTAAAAAAAAATCACTGGCAGCCAGGCATGGTGGCTCATGCCTGTAATCCCAGCACTTTGGGAGGCTGAGGTGGGTGGATCACGAGGTCAGGAGATCGAGACCATCCTGGCTAACATGGTGAAACCCCGTCTCTACTAAAAATACAAAAAATTAGCCAGGCGTGGTGGCGGGCGCCTGTAGTCCCAGCTACTCGTGAGGCTGAGGCAGGAGAATGGCATGAACCCGGGAGGCGGAGCTTGCAGTGAGCCGAGATTGCACCACTGCACTCCATCCTGGGCAACAGAGCAAGACTCTGTCTCAAAAAAATATATATATATATCACTGGCAACTTACAATTGTAAATGTCAAGGGCTTTTCTTACATAGTAGTACATAAAATAATGTCATGTCTCACAAGCAATGGCATTTTGATTCATGGAGTACAAGAGTTACCAAACTTTTTTTTTTGTTTGAGATGGAGTATCGCTCTGTCGCCAGGCCGGAGTGCAGTGGTGTGATCTTGGCTCACTGCAGCCTCTGTCTCCTGGGTTTGAGCGATTATCCTGTCTCAGCCTCCCGAGTAGCTGGGACTACAGGTGTGTGCTACCATGCCCAGCTAATTTTTGTATTTTTAGTAGAGACGGGGTTTCACCATCTTAGCCAGAATGGTCTCAGTCTCTTGACCTCGTGATCCGCCCACCTTGGCCTCCCAAAGTGCTGGTATTACAGGCATGAGCCACCGCGTGCGGCCCAAACTTTTTCATAATTGGGAAGTTTACCTGAAAACCTGGCTTCTCTGGGGAAATTGACAGACCTGTAAGAGTGGGTAGGCGTTCCTACAGCAGCTTTCTGTGGCTGGTGGGTGGTGGCTGCCCCTTTAGTTGGAACAGGAACCCTCCAGCCGGCTCCATTCCCCACCTGGCCGACTCCAGATTAAGTGGGAAGTCTCCGAGCAGGATCCACCTTCCCTGAAGCATGACTTCTCCCCCCCCAGAGGATCATGGGTATATGATCACTGATTTCCTTTCTGTGCAGATGCTCCTGGAGAGGTGGTACCCTCTGGGGAATCAGGTGAGTGTCCAGTTAGAGGAGAGAGGTCGTTGGTGCTGGTATTGAGCCAGGTCTAGGCATCACCTCTCCCCCAAGAGAGCCAGCACCTGTTGGGATACCTGGCTCTGAGAAACAGGAGCCCCAGGTCCACTTAGCCTAGGCTCATCAAGCAGGCTGGGCCAGCTGTGGCATGAAGCAGGGAGCCTGGGGAGCTTGGAAGGCTGTCCCAGCAAGACCCCAGGAGATTACAACCAACCAGCCATCAATAGAGAGAAGGATACCGTGGGGGCTGCAGAATTCCATGGGGACATTTTTTTAGGTCACCTATAGCCTTCCCCAGGGTGGAGGCACCTGTTAAGGACCCCAAGCGGGGTTGGGCACTAATGTTGAGTTTCTTGTTTCCAGGACTCCGAAGGAGAGGCTCTGACCCAGCAAGTGGTAAATACACAAGCTCAAATAGGAGAGCCAGAGCGGGTGTGGATTCCAGACGATGGGTTGGGTCCTCAGACAGCCTGAGAGGGTGGGTTAGTCCCAGCAGGGATGCTGTCGCCAGCCAGTGTCACTATGATTCAGAAGGGGGATCTCCAGTGCAGGGGAAATGGAAAGGAAGGCAGACTCGGGCCTAAGGAAGGAGGAGGAAGTCAGTGGGGGTTCCAAGGACAGTACCCCCATCTTCACAGTTTGACTGGTCCTGCAGTGAGTGCCCTCTGACCCAGGAAGATATACCCAGGATATTAATTCTCAATGAGGCAGGGAAAAGAAAATCCCACCTCCCGTCCTGCATCAAAGTTAAATATTCATCTCTCTCTTGTTCTTAAGGAGAAGTGGAGGCCTCTCAGTTAAGAAGACTGAATATAAAGAAAGATGGTAAGGAACTTGGTGTAGCAGAGCTGCTTTTTCCTGTCTGGCTAGATTTCTAGGGGTGAAATGCAGCTGGTGGCCTAGCACAGCAGTAATCATAGCCCACCTCTGTCGTGTGCCCTGCAGTTTACACATTACTCAGCTCAGAATCACCTCAACAGGGTGGGACAATGGTTCCCATTTTGCAGATATGAAAACTGAGGTTCAAGGTTGGGGAGTGGCCTTACAGCTTGTGAGTGGAGTGGCCTGAGCTTGAGCCCTGGTCCTCTGCTCTTTCTGCTATGCACAGTCACTAGGATGGTAAATACCTTCCAGGTCTTGTGGCCAGGATGGGGAACTGGAGGGTCAGCTGAGCTGAGAAAGTTGTAAGGTTAGATTAGACCAGAATCGGAAAGGAGCAGTGAAAATGGGAGCAACTTCCCTGCTCCAGGCCTGGAATCCATGGGGACTTCTAGGAGGAAGGGGAGGGCAAGAGGAAAGACCATGGTGCTCCACACAGAGATTTTTTGTAATTAAAAAAAAAAAAAAAAAGAGGCCAGGCATGGTGGCTCACAGCTGTAATCCCAATACTTTGGGAGGCCGAGATGAGAGGATTGCTTGAAGCCAGGAGTTCGAGACCAGCCTGGGCAACATAGCGAGACCTTATCTCTACTAAAAATTTTAAAAATTTGCTGGGTGTGGTGGCATGCACTTGTAGGCCTTGCTGCTTGTGAGGCTAAAGCAGGAGAATTGCTTAAGCCCAGGACTTCAAGGCTGCAATGAGCTGGGATCGCACAACTGCACTCCACCCTGGGTGACAGAGCAAGACCTTGTCTCCTCTGCCCAAAAAAAGAGAGAGAAAGCAGCAGATAGTGATTGCCCACCCCTGCCTTCACAGATGAGTTTTTCCATTTCGTCCTCCTGTGCTTTGCCATCGGGGCCTTGCTGGTGTGTTATCACTATTACGCAGGTGAGGGGAGGTGCCCTGGGGAATGCACAAGGGGGATGGCATGGGGTGGTGCAGGGGGCAGGGGCGTCAAGACCTGGAGGCTGACCATTCCCTCCCTCACTGCCCTTCCAGACTGGTTCATGTCTCTTGGGGTCGGCCTGCTCACCTTCGCCTCCCTGGAAACCGTTGGCATCTACTTCGGACTAGGTAAGCCCCTCCCCCAGCATGGACACACACACAGTCTCTTGGAGGGGTCGTGGGTAGAAATATTCATTTTCATACTCATTCAAGTATGGACCAGAGAGTCACAATCTACACTTTTAAAAAAATTTTCTGGCCAGGCGCGGTGGCTTACGCCTGTAATCCCAGCACTTTGGGAGGCTGAGGTGTGTGGATCACCTGAGGTTAGGAGTTTGAGACCAGCTTGACCAACATGGTGAAACTCTGTCTCTACTAAAAATACAAAAAATTAGCCAGGCCTGGTGGCGCATGTCTGTAATCTCAGCTACTCGGGAGGCTGAGACAGGAGAAGTGCTTGAACCCAGGAGGCGGAGGTTGCAGTGAGCCAAGCTTGTGCCACTGCACTCCAGCCTGGGCAACAGAGCGAGACTCTGTCTCAAAAAAAAAAAAAAAAATTTCCTTATGCTCATGTTTTCTTCCTCACCACTTTCAAGGTCAATGTAAGGTCACTGGCAAAACCCTGTGGGAAAAACAGGCAGCTCCATACAATGCAACAGCAACAGTTTAAAGTGCCAAAGAGGCCGGGCCCAGGGCACACGCCTGTAATTCCAGTTACTCAGGAGATTGGGGCAAGAGGATTGCTTGAGCCCAGGAATTCGTTCAGCCTGGGCAACATAGCAAGACTCTGTCTATAAAATAAATAAATAAAAGTGGCAAACAAAATAGAACTAGCCAGATACTGAAAACAAGTTAGTTAATGGAGTTGGGAACTGAATTTGGTGAGTGAGTTTCCTGCCACTACTTCTGCTGTTCGTGGTTGTTGTTTTTAGTAATAATAACTCTAGTACCATTATCTAAGCTTAACCTGCTGCCTGAAGTTCCACCATCAGAGCTTTGTTTGCATGAGTTAGGCCCTTGTCCAGTGGTGGCCTGGTGTCCCTTGTTGGGGCACAAACTTAACTTACTTTTTTCTTTGCTTCTGAGCAGTGTACCGTATCCACAGCGTCCTCCAAGGCTTCATCCCCCTCTTCCAGAAGTTTAGGCTGACAGGTAACTTTTAAAGTCTTCCTGTGTTCACTCATTTTCTCCCTAGCAGGGTCTTCATTTAGAAAGAGGCTTAGCATACAGGAAAGAACACAGCCTGGAGGCAGAGGACCCAGGTTTGAGTCCTACCTCTGCCAGTTTACTAGCTCTGTGACCCTGGATGAGCCGTGTAGCCTCGGTTTCCTCAACTGGAAAATAGGTGTAATACTTTTCTGCTGCACAAGTGTGTTGTGAAGATCAAGTGAGGAATGGATGCAAAGGCCTGAAGTGTGAAACAGTAGAAAAATGGTCTGGTTAGTCTTCATTCTCTTATAGAACTTTACACTTCCCCAAACGCTGTCTTCTCCATGGCTGTACTTGCCTAATAGCAACTGGGGAGGTAGGCTTTAGCAATGTTACACTTGACCAATAGGAAAATGAGGCTCAGAGAGGTGGAGTGACTCGCCCACAGTCACACAGCTTTAGTGGCTGGGCTGGGCGAAAGCACATCGTCTTTCTTGACTAACAGCTCTGTGACCACCTTATGCCTCAGAATGGAGAGGCCAAGTGGCTGTGTGGCTGTGCTGGGGAAATATCTGTCTCCTTTAATCCATGTAATGAAGAAAAAGAAAACTAGCTATTATGACTGTGGTTCATTGAGACCCATGGCTTCTGGGGTGACTACATCATGCCAGCTGTGAGGGGTACTTGGGCATCTGAGGTGATGGTGGGGATGAAGCCTGGCTGCCTTCAGAATCCCATGCCATCCTGTGGTCTTTGCCTTCCAGGGTTCAGGAAGACTGACTGAGGCCACTTCCAGGTGGGCAGCAGAGGCAGGCCCCAGTGTGACCACCACTGCGACCCCTGAGCCCACAAGGGCAGAGCAGCATTCTGAGAGACGCACAGGAGACCAAGCCAGACCAATAAACAGAACACTTTTCCTTCCATGTGGTCTGAATGTTGGCACCAGCCCGGGCAGGGGCATCTCATTTGGGCAGTACTGCTGTGCAACCCAGCTGCAAGGATGGAAGGCAGAGGGTGGGTGTGGGGCCTGAGGCTTCACAGTACCTGGACCAGCAGGAAGATTCTGGGAGGTCACTGCTCTCAGAGGACAGCAAGGGACCCTGAGCTCTGCAAGCTGTGATCTGTCTGGGTTCATGGTTTTTCTCAAATCCCAGGCTATCTGCATGCGCTCTCAGGTGCTACCGAGCCATCCTGGGAGAGATGGATGGTCCACTGCTTTGAGGCAGGGAGCCATCGGGCTGGGGCCCCTTGGTGAACCTGATGCAGGTAAGATGCTGAGGACTAAAACCATTTTTTTTGCACCCAAAAAAAAAGGCAGGAAAATGATCATCAGAAACTAAATGGCAGCCAGGCATGGGGGCTCACAACTGTAATCCTCGCACTTTGGGAGGCTCAGGCTAAGGGTCGCTTGAAGCTGAGAGTTCAAGACCAACCTGGGCAACATAGTGAGACCCCCATCTCTACAATTTTTTTTTAATGACCAAATGTGGCGGTACATACCTGTACATACCTGCGGTTCCAGCTACTCAAGAGGCTGAGGCAGGAGGACTGCTTGAGCCCAGGAGTTCAGGGCTGCAGTGAGGTACGATCAAGCCACTGCACTCCAGCCTGGGCGACAGAGCAAGATCGTTTCTCTAAAATTAAAAAAAAAAAAAAAAGACAAATAAAAATTGCATGTATTTGTAGTGTACAACATGTTTTGAAATATGTGGAATGGCTAAATCAAGCTAATTAACATATGTATCCCTCACATACCCTTTTTTTATGATGAGAACAGTAAAAACCTACTGTCAGCAATTTGCAAAGTATACAATACATTGTTATTAACTATGGTCACCATGCTATGTGATTGATATCCTGAACTTGAACTGAGTTCTTGATGGTCACAGACATGCTGTTCTCAAAACTCAGAAGGGTAACTTCTGAGGTTTTGATTTCAAGTACTTGTATGTAACCTAATTTAACGGGAGCCCAGAGTGCACAGATCAGATATTTATTAAACATATAAATAAAACACAGTTTTCACGATAGAAGTATGAACTTACTGACTTGGGAACAATGTGGTTAGCCTCATTTTATAGGAATGATGGGTCCCTGTGGCCAGCTCTGCCACTGCCTGGCTGTGATTTTATTTTCTTTCTTTCTTTCTTTCTTTCTTTTTCTTGAGACAGAGTTTTGCTCTTTTGCCCAGCCTGGAGTGAAGTGGTGTGATCTCAGCTCACTGCAACCTCCACCCACCATATTCAAGTGATTCTCCTGCCTCAGCCTCCTGAGTAGCTAGGATTATAGGCACCTGCCACCACACCTGGCTAATTTTTGTATTTTTGGTAGAGATGGGTTTTCACCATATTGGCCAGGCTGGTCTCAAACTCCTGACCTCAGGTGATCCACCTGCCTCGACCTCCCAAAGTGCTAGGATTACAGGCGTGAGCCACCAATGCTGGCCCTGGCTGTGATTTTGGTCAAGTCCTCCCCTCTCCCAGCCTTAATGTTCTCATCTGTACAATGGGGAGCATAACAGTGCCCACCTCACGGTATTATGTTGAGAACTGCATGAGATAATTACATAAAGTCTTATGCACAGACTCTGGCACATAGGTGATGCTCAATCAATGGGCGTTATTACATTAGACAGGAGCACAAATCAGATCCCCTTAGGGTCAGGCATACAGAGTCAGCAAGATGTAGAAAAGTGGGGGCTGGGTGCAGTGGCTCACACCTATAATCCCAATACTTTGGGAGGCCAAGGTGGGTGGATTGCTTGAGATCAGGAGTGTAGTAGCGTGTACCTGTGGACCTAGCTACTTGGGAGGCTGGAGTGGGAGAATCGCTGGAGCCCAGGAAGTCAAGGCTGCAGTGAGCCATGATCATACCACTGCACCCCAGCCTGGGTGACAGAGCGAGACCCGGTATCAAAAAAATAAAAATAAAAATGAAAAAAGTAGGGAGCAGGAAGAGGGGAACAGAAGAGCATATACCTGACCAAAGGGGGCAGCTGCTGTCTAGCAATTCCAGGTGAGAACACCAGCTAAGTGGGATCTGTCAGCCAAGCGAACGAAAACCACACCAGGTGCTTTAACAGAAAGAATTTAATAGAGGGACATGTTAACCAGGTGCAGGACTACTAGAAACGCAGAAAGGGACCATAGTATCACAAAGTGTAACTGAGGGAACTGCCTAGGGCTAGAGAGAAAAAGGAAAGAGGTTGTAGCTATTAGAAGTGAGAGGCCGGGGCCAGGTGTGGTGGCTCACACATGTAATCCCAGCACTTTGAGAGGCCGAGATGGGCGGATCACAAGGTCAGGAGATCAAGACCATCCTGGCTAACATGATGAAACCCCATCTCTACTAAAAATACAAAAAATTAGCCCGGCGTGGTGGCGGGTGCCTGTAGTCCCAGCTACTTGGGAAGCTGAGGCAGGAGAATGTCATGAACCCGGGAGGCAGAGCTTGCAGTGAGCTGAGATCGCACCACTGCACTCCAGCCTGGGAGACAAAGCAAGACTCTGTCTCAAAAAAAAAAAAGAAGTGAGAGGCTGGGTGCGGTGGCTCAGTCTATAATCCCAACACTTTGGGAGGCCAAGGTGGGCAGATCACCTGAGGTCAGGAGTTCGAGACCAGCCTGGCCAACATGGTGAAACCCTATCTCTACTAAAAATGCAAAAATTAGCCAGGCTTGGTGGCGGGCACCTGTAATCCCAGCTACTTGGGAGGCTGATGCAGGAGAATCACTTGAACCTGGGAGGTAGAGGCTGCAGTGAGCCGAGATCATGCCACTACACTCCAGCCTGGGCAACAGAGCAAGACTCCGTCTCAGTAAATAAATAAATAAATAAATAGCCGAGCGCAGTGGCTCATGCCTGTAATCCCAGCAGCACTTTGGGAGGCCGAGGCGGGTGGATCACGAGGTCAGGAGATGGAGACCATCCCGGCTAACACGGTGAAACCCTGTCTCTACTAAAAATACAAAAAATTAGCCGGGCGTGGTGGCGGGCACCTGTGGTCCCAGCTACTCGGGAGGCTGAGGCAGGAGAATGGCATGAACCTGGGAGGCAGAGCTTGCAGTGAGCCGAGATAGCGCCACTACACTCCAGCCTGGGCGACAGAGCAAGACTCTGTCTCAATAAATAAATAAATAAATAAATAAATAAATAAATAAATAAATAAAGTGTGAGAAGATTGAGAGAGGGTCCTCCAGAGCTGGGACCCAGACCTCTGGGGAAAGGGCACTGCTTAGCTGGGGAGGTGTCTCTGAGGGGCCTGAGGAGGCTGGTTCTGCAAGTGCAAGACCATTGGGGTCAGACCTCCAGTTTCTTAGCAGAAGCCCCAAATCTAGAGTTTGGCAACTATTTTTTTTTTTTTTTAAATTTCCACTTCTGCTATGGAAAAGAGTATAGTGATTCCTCAAAGAACTAAAAATAGAATTACCATATGATCCAGCAGTTCTACTTCTGCACATATGCCCAAAGGGGACTTGAAGGGATCTCTGTACACACATTTTCAAAGCAGCATTATTTCCAGTAGCCAGAAAGGGGAAGCACAAGCGTCCATCAATGGGCGAATGAATAAACAAAGCATGGTATATTATCAGTTTTTAAAAAAGGAAATTATTTGAGACTTCACAAAAAAATAAAAACCAAAGGGGGAAAATATGGAAATTCTAGCCAGGCATACTGGCTCATGCCAGTAATGTCAGCACTTTGGGAGGCTGAGGTAGGAGGATCACTTGACCCCAGGAGTTCAAGACCAGGCTGGGCAACACGGCAAAACCCCATCTCTGCAAAACATAAAAACATTAGCCAAGCGTGGTGGCACATGCCTGTGGTCCCAGCTACTTAGGTGACTAAGGTGGGAGGATCACTTGAGCCCAGGAAGTGGAGGCTGCAGTGAACCATGATCATGCCACTGCACTCCAGCCTGGGTGGCTGAGTAAGACTCTGTCTCTAAGAAAAAAATAAAAATAAAAAAAAAGAAATTGTGACACATGCTACCACACAGATAAACCTTGAGAACATTATGTTAAAAGGACAAATACAGTTATGATTCCATATATATGAGGTACCTAGAGTAATCAGATTCATAGAGACAGAAAGTGGAATGGTGGGTGCCAGAGGCTGCGGGACGGGGAATGAGAGTTAGTGTTTAATGGGGACAGAGTGTCAGTTTGGGAAGATGAAAACAGCCCTAGATATGGATGGTTGTGATAATTGCACAACACTGTGAAAGTATTTAACGCCACTGAACTGTACACTTAAAAATGGTTATGGTGGTTAATTTTATGTCTATTTTACCACTTTTTTTTTTTTTTGAGACAGAGTTTTGCTCTGTCGCCCAGGCTGTAGTGCAATGGCCCCATCTCGGCTCACTGCAACCTCCGCCTCGCAGGTTCAAGCGATTCTCCTGCCTCAGCTTCCTGGGTAGCTGGGACTACAGGCACGTGCCACCATGCCTGGCTAATTTTTTGCAGTTTTAGTAGAGATGGGGTTTCACCCTGTTAGCCAGGATGGTCTCGATCTCCTGACCTCGTGATCCACCCGCCTCAGCCTCCCAAAGTGCTGGGATTACAGGCGTGAGCCACCATGCCCGGCCACTTTTTTTTTTTTTTGAGATGGAGTCTCACTCTGTTGCCCAGGCTGGAGTGCAGTGGCACGATTGCAACCTCTGCCTCCCAGACTTGAGGGATTCTCCTGCCTCAGCCTCCCAAGTAGCTGGGACTACAGGCACCTGCCACCATACCTGGAATTTTTTTTTTTTTTTTTTTTTTTTTTTAGTAGAGACAGGATTTCACCATATTGACCAGGCTAATCTTGAAGTCTTGACCTCAAGTGATCCGCCCACCTTGGCCTCTCAAAGTGCTGGGATTATAGGCGTGAGCCACTGCACCCAGACCACTTTTTTAAAAAAAAAAAAATTCAAATTATCAGTGGTTAAATAAAACTGGATCAGGCCTGCGGCCCACAAGCTTACAGCTGCTTTGTGGAAGGCTTTTTATCATGTCAAGCTAAAGGCGGGAGCTAAAAGTGGTGCACGCAGGGGTCTGGTTACACCTCAGGCATCAAGTGCATTCCTGGAGCCCCAGTCCAACGTGTGGGCTAAAAATAAAGCATTGAATCTTGAGCCCAGGAAGGCAGCGTTGAAAAGTGGAGGGGTGAGGAGGAGGTTATGTGGAAGGGGATGGGCTTTGGTCTTTGGCTGTCCTGGATGCTGTGTGCTAGATTTCTGCTTTGATCACAGTGGAGGGAGGGTGAGAGTACAGATTTCAAAACCATACAAGCCAGCTTGTGCCGGGAAGATTTTTTTTAATTCAATTTCAACTTCTGCTATGGAAAACAGTATAGTGATTCCTCAAAGAACTAAAAATAGAATTACCACGTGATCCAGCAGTTCTACTTCTGCACATATGCCCAAAGGGGACTTGAAGGGATATCTGTACACCCATTTTCAAAGCAGAATTATTTCCAGTAGCCAAAAAGGGGAAGCACAAGTGTCCATCAATGGGTGAATGAATAAACAAAGCATGGTATATTATCAGCTTTTAAACTAATACTTCTGCACATACGCTTCTGCGCATATGCCCAAAAGGGACTTGAAGGGACATCTGTCCCTTCAAGAGAAGTCCGAGAGGACTGTGGCGGTTGTTTATCCTGTTCTCCCGACACAGCCCCTGGAATCTTCTGTCTACTCTAGAGGATCTGGGCCTGTACCAGAGATGGAGCGAAGGGACGCTGCTGACTAAACCTAGGAAGCTGAGGGAAGCACTTAACACTGGAGCTGGGAGATGTAGGGAAGGGCTATCCAGGCAGAGGTCACAGCATGGGCAAAGGCGTGGAGGAATAAAAGAGGATAGCACGGCCGGGCGCGGTGGCTCACGCCTGTAATCCCAGCACTTTGGGAGGCCAAGGCGGGTGGATCACTGAGGTCAGGAGTTCAAGACCAGCCTGGCCAACATGGTGAAACCCTGTCTCAACTAAAAATAGACAAAAATTAGCTGGACGTGGTGGTGGACGCCTGTAATCCCAGCTACTTCGGGAGGCTGAGGCAGGAGAATCACTTGCACCCGGGAGGCAGAGGTTGCAGTGTGCCAAGATGGCATCACTGCACTCCAGCCTGGGCAACAAGAGCGAAACTCTGTCAAAAAAAAAAAAAAAAAAAGAGGATAGCACGTCTCAGAGCAACAAGGGGTCAGCCCAGTGTAGTTGAGGCATCCAAGATCTGAGTAGGGCCGAGGACAGGTGGGCAACAGAGCACAGAGGTTAATTGCTCCCCTCCCCCAGCAGGACCTTGATACCTGAGATAAAGAGCTGAGACACTAGCCTAAGGACCATAAGGACAACAGGGAGCCTTGGAGGGAGTTCGAGCAGAAAAATGGCATAGTGAGACTGCACTTCAGAAAGATCACTGCACTCCTCTGGTAGCCCTGTGGGGGCTGTGGAGGGATGAGAATGAGCCTCACAGGCCTCCAACTCTAGGGATCCTAATTGACCAAGCACTGCTGTACTCTGTTTGCAGCAAGGACACAGTTCCCTTGAGATGCCCCCACCTGATGACTTTGCCAAGAGTGGGATGCTAAGGCAGGCCCATTCCTAGGAGACATGGGATTTCTCTGAGCTGACTTTGGCTTAAGGACTCCCCGACACCCTGCCAAACCCTCCTTAGACTGCATGGCCAACTAGGACCCTTCTACCCAACCCTCTTTCCCTCTCTTCCTCACCTGGGGCTGGACTTACATCCCAACCCTCCCAGCTCCCTCCCCGTTTCCCTGCTACACGTGTTTTCTTTAATAAAATCCTAGCACAATTTAATCTTATCCTGGTATTTGCTTCTTGGAGGACTCAGACTAATGGGGTGAGATTAGAGGCAGGGGGGACCGGTGGCCACAGGAAAAGATAGGAAGGGTAAACTTGAAGACATTCCAAAGGTCTAATCCACAGTATGACTTGAGGTGTGTGCTCACCATCAGCCCCCTGGGCTTTCCCAGTGGCTGGAGTTCCTAACACTCAGCAGAGTAATTGCCTATTTCTTTTTTTTGAGCCAACTTTCATTCTTGTCTCCCAGGCTGGAGTGCAATGGCACAATCTCGGCTTACTGCAACCTCCGCCTCCCAGGTTCAAGCGATTCTTCTGCCTCAGCCTCCTGAGTAGCTGAGATTACAGGCACATGCCACCACACCCAGCTAATTTTTTTGTATTTTTAGTAGAGACAGGATTTCACCATGTTGGCCAGGCTGGTTTCAAACTCCCGGCCTCAAGTGATCTGCCCGCCTCAGCCTCCCAAAGTGCTGGGATTACAGGCATAAGCCACCACGCCCAGCTAATTTTTGTGTATTTTTAGTAGAGATGGGGTTTCACCATGTTGGCCAGGCCAAAGATCGTGCCACTGCACTCCAGCCTGGGCGACAGAGCAAGACTCTGTCAAAAAAAAAAAAAAAAAAAAAAAATTAAAAGAATTGAAAATAGGGACTCAAAGAGGTACTTGTACACCAATGTTCATAGCATCAGTGTTTATGATAGCCAAAAAGTGGAAACAACCGAAGTGTCCATCAACAGATGAATGGGTAAACAAAATGTGGCCTATCCATTGTATGCAATATGATTTAGCCATAAAAGGGAATAAAATCCTGATTTCTGCTACACCATGGATAGACCTTGAAAACATAATGCTAAGTGAAATAAGCCAGACACGCACACACAATATTGTATGATTCCACTTATGAACACCTAGAATAGGCAAATTCATAGAGACAGAAAGAAGATACCAGGAGCTGAGGGAAGGGTGAGATAGAGAGTTATGCTTAACATGTACAGAGTGTTTTGTTTGCAGTGATTAAAAAGTTCTGGAGATGAATAATGGTGATGATTTCAAGACCTCGTGAATGTACTTATTGTTGCTAAATTGCACACTTAAAAATGGTTATAATTTTACATTTTGCATATTATATCCCAATTTTTTAAAAGGTAAAAATAAATAAAACCTGTACCCAGTGAGTTTTGGGAGGGTTGACCCCACCACTAGCCCAAAGGATGGGTCTTGACTGGCATTTTGCCAATCAGCCTATTCTAGTCATTGATTCATGAGCACAAGACAGAAGCACTAGCTGTCCGCCAGAGTCTATTCTTCCTTCTCCCATTTTTGGGTGTCTTTGGCACAGCAGCATAGTCTGTAAACCAACTAATTCAGGCTCAGAACTGAACAGAACCAACAGGTCATCAAATAGCTAGTCTCCAAAGATGAAGCCACCAATCTCCACTCACCTTGGGTGCATGTGTTGCCCCTGCCATCAAGTGGCAGTCAGCTTCCTCTCCCCTTCAATCTCAGATGGAATGGTGACTTGCCTTGACCAACGGACTATAGCACAAGTGACATGCGACTGTCCCAGGCGGGCCTTTAAGAGGCCTGACAGCTCCTGCCTCTCCTCTTTTTTCTTCTCTTCCCCAGTGTCCTGCTTCTTCTTTCCCCTTTCCCCACCTTTGTTCCCCACCTTTTCCTCCACTTTTTGCCACTGTCCTCTCTTCTTTCCTTTTTCCCCACCTTCCTCCCCATTTTTCCCCACTGCTCCCCTTCTTTCCCCCTTTCCACTTTTCCCCTTTCCCCACCCACCCCTTCCCCAACTTTTCCACATTCCACTGTCCCTGTTCTTCTGTCCCCTTTCCCCACTGTCCCTCTTCTTCTTTCTCCACCCTTGCTCTTCAACCGCACAGCTGCGCTCAGACCCCATTGAAGAATCATGAAAAACAGCAAATTGCTGTGTTTTAAGCCACTAAGCTTTGCAATGGTTTATTACACTGCAATAGATCATTGAAACGGAGACTTTTGCTGGGGCTTCTAAGAGAAGCAACTACTTCTCTGTTGCATTTCATGATGCAAGGCTGTGAACTTTGGCATCATGGCCACCATCTTGCTCTATATAGGGGCCAGTCTGAGAATGAGTCTACAGGAAGTGGAGTAGAACCCAGAGAAGCTGAGAAACCAAGCCCTGATGACAATGTTACCTTCTGGATCAAGCTGCCCATGAAGTTAACCCTATTTTATGAAGCAAGAAACTTCCCTCTTTCTTTCACCCAATTTGAGTTGGAATTTCTGTTCCTTACAGCCTAAGAAGCTTGTCATACAGCAATGACAGTATGTTCTTTTCTAAATGTGGATGGGAAAGCAGGTTTGTGTGTAGATTAGTTAGGAATAGACCTTTCAGCTTTATGACAAAGAGATACAAAAATACAGTGGCTTAAATAAATTAGGACTTTGTTTTTCTTCCAGTAGCATTCCAGAGTTGAGCAGTCCAGACTGGTGGGATAACTCTGCTCCACATAGTCACTCAGGGACCCATCTGTGGCTCAGTTGTGTCTTAGAGGGTTATCTTAGTCTGTAGGATCAAAGCTAAGTGGTCACTCTGTCTGCGTTCCGGTCTATGGGCAGGGAGATGAGAGGACATAGAAGATAAGAAAATTCTTTTTAAGCAAGGACACAGAAATTGTGTACATCATTTTAATTCCCATTCTACCATAAGAACTTAGTCACTAACCACCCTTAACCGCAAAGGAGGCTGGGAAATGTAGTCTCTAGTGGAGTGCCTGTGCTTCCAACCTGCCTCCAGTGTCATGAAAGAACAGAATGTATTTGGGGAGGAACATCTGGAGCACATGACACATTCTATCTTGGATGTGATGATTTTGAGGTATTTAAGGGACATGTAAGAGGATGCACGTCTCATGCAGTTGGATATATGGGGCTGGGAAACAGGTGAAAAGCCTCACAACACTCTAGGAGTTGTGAACACCTACCTGAACAACAGGAAATCAATACATATTTGAGTTCCTAGTATGTGGCGGCCATTATGTGAGGTGCTGGGGACCAAATGTGGAATAGGAAGAGAATAGGGCTGAAGATCAAACTTTGAAGACCCTCAGCATTTAAAACTCAGGTTGAGGAAAAGAAAACCCAGAAGGTGTGGACAGGAAGACAAGAAGCAAACAAACAAACAAACAGGAAGAAGGGGTTCACAGAAGCCAAGGGGAAGAAATGGTTTAAGAAGAAGAGGTGGCCGGGCGTGGTGGCTCATGCCTGTAATCCCAACACTTTGGGAGGCCCAGGTGGGTGGATCACCTGAGGTCAGAAGTTCGAGACCAGCCTGGCCAATATGGTGACACCCCGTCTCTACTAAAAATACAAACAAACAAATGAACAAACAAAAATTAGCCAGGCATGGTGGCACATGCCTGTAATCCCAGCTACTTGGGAGGCTGAAGCAAGAGAATCACTTGAACCCAGGAGGCAGAGGTTGCAGTGAGCCGAGATTGCACCATTGCACTCCACCCTGGGTGACAAGAGCGAAACTCAGTCTCAAAAAAAAAGAAAAAGAATTAGCTGGGTCTGGTAGTGCATGGCCTGTAATCCCAGCTACTCAGGAGGCTGATGTGGGAGAATCGCTTGAACCCAGGAGGTGGAGGTTGCAGTGAGCTGAGATAGCGCCACTGCCCTCCAGACTGGTCAACAGAGTAAGACTCCATCTCAAAAAAAAAAAGAAAAAAAAAAGAAGAGGTAAGTTAGTTGTGTCAAGAACTTCTGAGGAATAAAGTAAGTGAAGAATGAAAAATGCTGCTGAGTCTTGTCTCATGCATGCATTGATCAGCACTCAGCTGAAGACATGAGCAGGACCCTCTGGAGATGTCCAGGGATCGCTCTCTCTCTGCAGCAGTGTCTGCTGTGGTGGTCGGCTCTGAGAACTTCAGTGGCCTTCACCTCCCCAGACCCCCATCTCTTCAATCCAGTAAGATCATCGGACCATGCCTGGGCTACTCTTTTTAGTCTTCTCAGGCTGCCATAACAAAATACCATAAATTGGAAAGCTGGATGTGGTGGCACATGCCTGTAGTCCCAGCTACTTGAGAGGCTGAGGTGGGAGGATCACTTGAGCCCAGGAATTTGAGGCTGCAGTGAGCTATGATTGTGCCACTACATTCCAGCTTGGGTGACACAGCATGATTCTGTCTCTAAAACAAACAAAAAACAAAATACCACATACTGGGTGGTGGCTTAAACAACATAAACTTATTACTCATGGTTCTGAAGGCTGGCAAGTCCAAGATCAAGGTGTCAGCATGGTCAGTTTCTGGGGAGAGCTCTCTTCCTGGCCTGTAGATGGTTCCCTTCTCACTGTGTCCTCACATGGCAAAGAGAGAGACAGAAACAGAGACAGAGAGAATGTCTTTCATCGTCTTTTTTTCTTAGAGACAGGATCTTACTCTTTTGCTCAGGCTGGAGTGTAGTGGTGCGATCATAGCTCACTTTAGCCTCAAACTCTTGGGTTCAAGCAATCTTCCCACCTCAGCCTCCTGAGTAGCTAGGACTGCAGGCACGTGCCACCACATTCTGCTAATTTTGTTATTTTTTGTAGAGATAGGAACTCACTATGTTGCCCAGGCTTAGAGTCTCTTCTTTTAAGGGCACCAGCCCTATCAGTTTAGGGCCCACTTTTTTTTTTTTTTTTTTTTTTGAGACACAGTCTTGCTCTGTTGCCCAGACTGGAGTGCAGTGGCGTGATCTCGGCTCACTGCAAGCTCTGCCTACTGGGTTCATGCCATTCTCCTGCCTCAACCTCCTGAGTAGCTGGGACTACAGGCGCCCGCCACCATGCCCGGCTAATTTTTTGTATTTTTAGTAGAGACGGGGTTTACACTGTGTTAGCCAGGATGGTCTCGATCTCCTGACCTTGTGATCCACCCCCCTTGGCTTCCCAAAGTGCTGGGATTACAGGCGTGAGCCACCGCACCTAGCTTAGGGCCCACTTTTATAACCTCATTTAACCTTTATCTCCTCATAGGCCCCATCTCCGAATACAGCTACATTGGGAGTCAGGGCTTCAGGGTATGAATGTGGGGGACACACTTCAGTCTGTAGCACCTTCTCTGCACTGCAGCCTGTAGACCAGGGCAACTGTGGAACTCACATCGTTTGCTTCCCCTCTCTGGGGGTCACAGCCTTCCACTGTCTGATGTCCAATGTCTAAAAATGGTTGTTTCACATGTGTTGTCCGATTTTTAGTTGTTTCCAGTGGGAGGCAAACCCAGTCTCTGTTACTCCATCTTTGCAGTGCTGATGGGTTTCATAACAAGGAAGCCACTGGTGACTTGATCCAGAGCAGTTTCAGGGGAGTGCTAAGGGCAGAGTTCAGGGTGGAGTCAAGTGAGCGAGCCTAGTTGGTGAGGGAGTAGAAACATGTAGACATGGAGTGTAGAAAACTTTTTCAAGTTATTTGGCTAAGAAAGGTGTCCCAGGGGAACCTTGACAAGATCCCTTTCTTTCTTTTTCTTTTCTTTTCTTTTTTTTTTGAAACTGAGCCTTGTTCTGTTGTCCAGGCTGAAGTGCAGTGGTGTGATCTTGGCTCACTGCAACCTTCGCCTCCTGGGTTCAAGCAAGTCTCCTGTCTCAGCCTCCCGAGTAGCTAGGATTACAGGCACACACCACCACGCCCAGCTAATTTTTGTATTTTAAGTAGAGATGGGGTTTCACCATGTTGGTCAGGCTGGTCTCGAACTCCTGACCTCAGTTGATCCGCCTGCCTCGGCCTCCCAAAGTGCTGGGATTATAGGCAAGGTTCCTTTCAATTGACCTCAAGCCTATATTCTTGATGAATTTCCCACACCAACACTCTTTGGTTGGAGTAAAAACTAAAGGAAATAATTTGGTAAGATTCAAAGGCAGCTGTCAACCCTTGAGGTCACTGTATCACTCATTCAGTGAGTCATTTAGTCACTCATTCAATCAGTCACTTATTCATTCAGTCAGTCATTTAGTCATTCATCAAACTTTTTTTTTGAGACAGAGTCTCGCTCTGTCACCCAGGCTGGAGTGCAGTGGCATGGTCTCGGCTCACTGAAACCTCCGCCTCCCGGGTTCAAGCGGTTCTCCTACCTCAGTCTCTTGAGTAGCTTGGACTACAGGCACGCACCACCATGCCTGGCTAATTTTTTGTATTTTAGTAGAGATGGTGTTTCACCATGTAGCCCAGGCTGGTCTCAAACTCCTGAGCTCAGGCAATCCGCCCACCTCGGCCTCCCAAAGTGCTAGGATTATAGGCATGAACCATGGCACCCGGCCTCATTCATCAAACTTCTATTGAGACTTCACTCTGTGTGCCAGGCTCTGCTGAGACTGAGATGAGTAAACACTTACTGGCTACCTGACTGTGTTTTAGACAAGGGGTAAACAAAGCCAGCCCAAAGTCTTAGCAATTCTCAGTGAGGTGATTTTTGCCCTGGCCACCATCCTGCCGCACCACCAACCAGGGAACATTTGGCAATGCCTGGAGACACTTTTAGTTGTCACAACCATGGTGAGGAGGGCGCAACTGGCATCTGGTTTGTAAAGGCCAGGGATACTCCCAAATGCCCTGCAGTGCACGGGCTAGGCCTCCATAACAATGAATTCTCCAGCCTCAGACGGCAATAGTGCTGAAGCTGAGAAACTCTGTTGTAGCTTCAACTCTAGTGGAGGAAGATGGAGGTAAGAAAAATGTGTCAGAGGGTGCTAAGTGCTATGTAAGAAGAGGGGGCTGGGCACAGTGGCTCACGCCTGTAATCCCAGCACTTTGAGAGGCCGAGGAAGGTGGATCACCTGAGGTCAGGAGTTTGAGACCAGCCTGGCCAACACGGTGAAACCCTGTCTCTACTAAAACTACAATAATTAGGTGGGCATGGTGGTGGGTGGCTGTAATTCCAGCTACTTGAAAGGCTGAGGCAGGAGAATCGCTTGAACCCAGGAGGTGGAAGTTGCAGTGAGCACTCCAGCCTGGGTGACAAGAGTGAAACTCAGTGTCAAAAAAAAAAAAAAAAAAAAAAAAGCAGGGGACAGGGAGTGCTGGGGAAGTGCTCACTGAAAAGATGACGTTGGGCAAAGGAAGTGAAGGACTAGCTATGCGGCTGTCTGGAGGAAAAGTGTTTCAGGCAGAAGGAATAGCAAGTACGAAGCCCCTGAGGCAGAAACAAGCAGGGCAAATTGGAGGAGCAGCCAGAAAACAAAGAAAATAAAATATTAAAAAAGGATACATACATACAGGTAATAAAACTGTAAGGAAAGTGAAAAGATAAACACCTGCTGGGGAGAAGGAGGGAGAGAAGCAGGGCCAGTGTCTAATGCGCTGGCAATGCTTTGTTTTTGTAGGTGGTGGTTACACAATAGATACACAATATCTATTTTCCAAGCTGTATGTATATCCTAGATACTTTTCTGTATGTTATATTTCACAATAAAGACGATTTAAATCATGTGTTAGTCTTTACTGTTTGCTCAACTGTGGGTGCTATTACAGGGCATAGACACAAGAGGGGGCGCTAACCAATGAGCAGCGGCAAAGCAGTGTTTCCTAGCAACGGGGAAAACGTTGAAGCAGAAACTTCCTTCAGAGTGGTTAACTGATGGATTCTGGCTGCTGCCCCTGACAGGTCGGCCAGAGTCCACTTCGCACCCTGGAGGCGTCTCTGCAGGGTCTGGAGTGTCACTGACTTTTGTGGGGAGTAGAGCTCTTCTCCCAAATGCGAAATCGGGTCTGCAGAACACGAGAGGTTGCTCCCTTGTGCCGCGGAGCTTTCTTCTCCTGCCAATGTTAGATAATAACGACGTCCTCATTAACAGATGCCATTATTAATATCATTAGTAACAGAGGGCTCTTATCCGTAAGACTCCAAACAAGTCGTAGTGTTTCCCTCGAAAAACGGAGGAAATTAAAGAATGGAAAGGAGGGACCTTGCCTCCAGCCTTCTAAGACCTCAGGTCTTCTAAGACCTCAGGTCTCTCTCTCTCTCTGTCTGTCTCTCTCTCTGTCTCTGTCTCTCTCTGTCTCTCTCTCTCTCCTCTCTCCTCTCTCCTTCTCCTCTGTCTCTCACTCCTCTCTCTCCTCTCTCTCTCCTCTGTCTCTCACTCCTCTCTCTCTGTCTCATACGCACACAAAGAGAGAGAGGTTTTTCAAGATTTGGGATGCGGTGGAAGTTTTCAAGATTGCTGGCCGGTCATGGTGGCTCACATCTGTAATCCCAGTATTTTGGGAGGCCGAGGGCAGATCACCTGAGGTCAGGAATTCAAGACCAGCCGGGCCAACATGGCAAAACCCCGTCTCTACTAAAAATACAAAAATTAGCTGGGCGTGGTGGTGCGCGCCTATAATCCCAGCTACTCTCAGAAGGCTGAGGCAGGAGAATCACTTGAACCCGGGAGGTGGAGGTTGAAGTGAGCCAAGATCATGCCGCTGAACTCCAGCATGGGTGACAAAGTGAGACCCCGTTTCAAAAGGGGAAAAAAAAAAGATTATTGACAAAGCAGAAGGTTTTATGATACACAGGTAAATATTAGGTAAATTTGAGGCTGAGTGGGATTATGGTAATGAATACCTACACTGTTAAAAGAAGTTACCCCAGACTTTATCTCACTTGACTTTACAATCACTTTGGTACCACTCCATTTTGGAGATGAAGAAACTGAGGCTTAGAGAGGTTAAACTGTGAGCATGCCAGAGCTTTCCTCCCAATCCAATTTACTAAAGAAGAAGTATTAACTAGCTTTTTTTTTTTTTTTTTTTTGAGGCGGAGTCTCGCTCTGTCGCTCAGGCTGGAGTGCAGTGGCGCTATCTCGGCTCACTGCAAGCTCCACCTCCCGGGTTCACGCCATTCTCCTGCCTCAGCCTCCCGAGTAGCTGGGACTACAGGTGCCCGCCACCGCGTCCGGCTAATTTTTTGCATTTTTAGTAGAGACAGGGTTTCACCGTGTTACCCAGGATGGTCTCGATCTCCTGACCTCGTGATCCACCCGCCTCGGCCTCCCAAAGTGCTGGGATTACAGGCGTGAGCCACCGCGCCCGGCCTTAACTAGCTTATTTTTAAGGGGTGGGGGAAGCTGTTAATTGTCTCTCATGCCTGTAATCCAGGACTTTGGGAGGCTGAGGCAGGCAGATCATGAGATCAGGAGTTCAAGACCAGCCTGGGGCCGGGCGCGGTGGCTCATGCCTGTAATCCCAGCATTTTGGGAGGCCGAGGCGGGTGGATCACGAGGTCAGGAGATCAAGACCATCCTGGCGAATACGGTGAAACCCCGTCTCTACTAAAAATACAAAAAATTAGCCGGGCAAGGTGGCGCACGCCTGTAGTCCCAGCTACTCGGGAGGCTGAGGCAGGAGAATGGCGTGAACCCGGGAGGCGGAGCTTGCAGTGAGCAGAGATCGTGCCATTGCACTCCAGCCTGGGCCACAGAGCAAGACTCCGTCTCAAAAAAAAAAAAAAAAAAAAAAAAAAAAAAAAGACCAGCCTGGCCAACATAGTGAAACCCCATCTCTACTAAAAATACAAAAATTAGCCGGGCGTGGTGGCTGGCACCTGTAGTCCCAGCTACTTGGGGGGCTGAGGGAACCCGGGAGGTGTAGGTTGCAGTGAGCTGAGATCGTGCCACTGCACTTCAGCCTGGGCGACACAGCGAGACTCTGTCTCAAAAAAAAAAAAAAATTGTCTCTCATAACCAAAGAAAGTTAAAACAATGGAGAGGTAGTTTATTTTCTCATTAAAATAGCAAAACTATTTTCAATCATAATACCTCACACTAGGAAGGCCTAGTGGAAACTGGCAGTCTTGTACGACGCTAACGGCAGCATAAACCAGTAGCCACTCATCGGGAGAGCAGTCTGGCAACACCCAGCAGAAGCCATAAAAATGTTCCTACCCTTTGATCCAGCAACCCAGGTTCTGGGAATCTATCCTAAGGACATAATTTGAAATTTAGGAAAAGGTGTATGTGCAAATATTGGTGGCAGCATTATTTATGTTGGTGAAAAATTGGAAACAACTAAGGGAAATGGGTGATCAAGGGCACAACTCTATTAAGTAACCTGAATGTCTCCTTTTTAAAAAAATGATGACTGCAAAAATTTTGAAAATTACCTGGGTGTGGCTGGGCATGGTGGCTCACGCCTATAATCCCAATACTTTGGGAGGCTGAAGTGGGTGGATCACTTAAGGTCAGGAGTTCAAGACCAGCCTTGGTAACATGGCCAAACCCTGTCTCTACAAAAAATATAAAAAAAAAATTAGCTGGGTGTGGTGATGCATGCCAGTAGTCGCAGCTACTCCAGAGGCTGAGATGGGAGGATTACTTGCACCCAGGAGTTCAAGGCTGCAGTGAACTGTGATCCTGCCACTGCAACTTCGGCCTGGGTGACAGAATGAGACTTGTCTTCTAAAAACAAAAAAAAAAATATATATATATACACACACACACACACATACACATATATATACATATATACACTTATATACATATATACACATATATACATATATACACATATACACATATATACATATATACACATATACACATATATATACATATATATACACACATATATATCTTATTCTGAAGACTGTGACATCATGGGAAATGCTGCTGTGTAATGTTTTTTAAAGTTTAGCTAGACTTCCCTCATACAGGAATGCCGTGCAATACTAAATGAAAACAAAAGCAGCTACAAAATAACAGGGATATCAATCAACCTCATAAGTACATACCATTCCATTCATGTGGGGAGAAAGCTAAGGCAGGAGAAGAAACTATGTTGGGGAGATAAGAATGCTTTTTTTTCTCTTGTTTTTTGTTTGTTTTCATAACTTTTTTCTCCCCTTTCACTTCTACTCGGGATCTTCTTCCTTCTTCCTTCTTGTTTCTTCTTCTTTTCTTTTTTTTTTTTTTTTTAGATAGGATCTTGCTCTGTCATCCAGGCTCCAGTGCCTCTGCCCAGTCACAGCAAACTGCAGCCTCAACCTCCTGGGTTCAAGCAAACCTCAGCATCCCAGGTAGCCAAGACTAAAGACACAGGCCACCAGACCAAGCTTTTATTTTGAAATGGGATTTCACTATGTTCCTCAGGCTGGTTTCAAACTTCCGGTTTCAAAAAATCCTCCCACCTCAGCCTCCCAAAGAGTTGGGATTACAGGTGTGAGCCACTGTGCCTGGCCTACTTTTTCTTCTTTTCAAAATAAAATTTTAGTAGGTATTTCTTATATCAGTTGGTAATGTAATCTTACTCCAGGAAAGCCAGGAAATATAAGAATATTAAGTCCAGGCACAGCGGCTCACAACTATAATCCCAGAACTTTAGGAGGCTGAAGCAGAAGATTGCTTGAGCCCAGGAGTTTGAGACCAGCCTGAGCAATATAGCAAGACTCCATCGCCACAAAAATCTTTAAAATTGCTAGGCACAGTGGTACCCACCTATAGTCCTAGCTATTTGGGAAGCTGAGGTGGGAAAATGATTTGAGTCCGGAAGTTGGAGGCCCCAGTGAGCTGTGATTGCACCATTGCACTCCAGCCAGGATGACAGAGAGAGACTGTCTCTAAAACATATGTATTAATATATTCATACTCTCACTCATAAACAACTTCTAGTAACAGTGGTTAGAGCAGTGATTCCCAAACTTGAATGCACTTGAGAGGCCTAGGTGGGCGGATCACTTGAGCCCAGGAGTTTGAGATCAACATAGGCAACATGGTGAAATCCTATCTCTACAAAAAATGGGCCGGGCGCCATGGTTCATGCCTGTAATCCCAGTACATTGGGAGGCCAAGGTGGGCAGATCACGAGGTCAGGAGTTCAAGACCAGCCTGGCCAACATGGTGAACTCCCATCTCTACTAAAAATACAAAAATTAGCTGGGCATGCTAGTGTGTGCCTGTAGTCCCAGCTACTTGGGAGGCTGAGGTGAGAGAATCCACCTGAGCCTGGGAAGTTGAGGGTACAGTGAGTCATGATTGCACCACTGCACTCCAGCCTGGGTGACAGAGCAAGACTTTGTCTCAAAAAAAAACCAACCAAACAAAAATAATCCAGATGTCTGTGTCCCACCCTGGAATTTCTGATTCAGTAGATGTGGGATGGGGCCCAAGAATTTACATTTTTTGACAAGTTTTCAAATGACACTGACGCTGCCAGTCCCTGGGCCACACTTTGAGAACCACCACCTTAACGTATAGTCTTATCAAATCTTTCTGTATGTCACACATGTAGATTCTTCACCAAAAAAAATGATGGACATTTAGACTGTTTTTCCAAGAGCCTTCTTTTACCTAAATATCTGGTGCATTCTTAATTATCTGAATAGCTAAGAATTTTTTTTTTTTTTTCTTTGGGACGGAGTCTCGCTCTGTCACCCAGGCTGGAGTGCAGTGGTGCGATCTGGGCTCACTGCAAGCTCTGCTTCCCAGGTTCATGCCATTCTCCTGCCTCAGCCTCCCAAGTAGCTGGGACAACAGGCTCCCACCACCACGCCCGGCTAATTTTTTGTATTTTTAGTAGAGACAGGGTTTCACTGCATTAGCCAGGATGGTCTCAATCTCCTGACCTCGTGATCCGCCTGCCTCGGCCGCCCAAAGTGTGGGGATTACAGGCATGAGCCACTGCGCCCGGCCCTGACTAACCAAGATTATCATAATCATTAATTTACTCTAAATTACTAAAGTTATTAGGATTAAGTTTCCATTTTCAGAAATGGAATTGTTGGATCAATAGACATGCATGTTTTTCAAGCTTCAATATGTATCATCAAATCGCTACCATAGAATCTTTTTTTTTTTTGAGACAGGAGTGCAGTGGTGTGATCTCAGCTCACCACAACCTCTGCCTCCCAGGCTCAAGTGATTCTCCTGCCTCGGCCTCCTGAGTAGCTGGGATTACAGGCGTCCATCAGGTCTGCCCAGTCAATTTTTATATTTTTAGTAGAGATGGGGTTTCATCATGTTGGCGAGGCTGGTCTCAAACTCCTGACCTCAAATAATCCACCCACCTCGGCCTCCCAAAGTGCTAGGATTACAGGCGTGAGCCACTGCACCTGGCTTATAGAATCTAATATTTACCATACACCATGTAAGTACATCATCTCATTTAATCTTCAAAATTCATTTATTCATTCATTCAGCATATATTCTTTGAATGCTACTTTGTGCCACATATTTTAGGGACTCAGAGATGAGCGAGACATAGCAACCCTCTGAGGTAGATACTATTATTATTCAGATAATTATTATTCAGATAAATTATAAAATAATTATAATAATAAAATATACAAATATATATTATATATTATATAATTATTATTCAGATATTATTATTATTCAGATAAAGAAACTGAGATCCAGGCCAGGCATGGTGGCTCACATCTGTAATCCCAGCACTTTGGGGGGCCGAGGCAGGTGGATCGCTTGAGCTCAGGAGTTTGAGACCACCCAGGGCAACATGATGAAACCCCGTCTTTACTAACAATACAAAAAAATTTACCGGGTGTGGTGGTGCACACCTCTAGTCCCAGCTACTTGGGAGGCTGAGGCAGGAGAATCGCTTGAGCCCCAGAGGCAAAGATCGCAGTGAGTCGAGATCACGCCACTGCACTCCAGCTTGGGCTACAGAGTGCGGCTCCATCTCAAGAAAAAAAAAACAACTGAGATCCATGAGGTGACTTGCCTAAGGACACACAGAGAGCCATTCCTTGCACTGCTTCATTTGCACAAAGTTGATCCTCTGGCTCTCAACAGCCTCATGCTGCTTTGCTCCATATGGAAAGGGATATTTTAGTTTTGGGTGGCAACTTTTTTTCCTCTTTCTTTTTCCATTACAATTCTGGAAAAATTAAATGAGGAAACATCCTGGCATATAGTTTAGGAAATACAGTTTGTCTGAAAGCTGCCAGGAATAAAAACTAACACTTTCTCCACTGAGTTTTATCTCCCACTTTTTTTTTTTTTTTTTTTTTTTTTTTTTGAGACAGGGTCTCGCTGTGTCTCCCAGGCTGGAGTGCAGTGGTACGATCACAGCTCACTGCAGCCTTGACCTTCTGGGCTCAAGTGATCCTCCCACCTCAGCCTCCCAAGTAGCTGAGACTACAGGTATGTGCCATCATGCCTGGCTAATTTTTTTGTATGTTTTGTAGAAATGGGGTTTTGCTTTGTTGCCCAGGCTGGTCTCTAACTCCTGGGCTCAAACGATCCTCCCACCTCAGCCTTCCAAAGTGCTGAGATTACAGTCATAAGCCACTGTGCCCAGCATTATCTCCCACTTTTAATAAATTAGGCAGAATTGGCCCCTTTTGATCTGAAAATTAGACTTGTTAATAACATTTCTAACAAAAAACATGATGGAGTTTTATGGACATGTAGCAATTTAGTCATCTCTTTTTCAGTTTCCTAAATTAACTCTAATTACAATTATTGGCTGGGTAGCTTAGTGATTAAGTAAAAAGCTTGTGAGTCAAACAGATTTGACAAAAAAAAGTTTTACAATAAATATTTGTAAAACTCTCTAAACTTCAGTTTCTTTGTCTGTAAAATGCAGCTGAAACTACTTCTTCATTGAATTCTCTAGAAGATCTCAAAGATTCAGGGGTCGTGGTCACCATCTACCCCCCATTTAATTCACTAAACTGACTCCTGCAAGAATTGAATGGATCCTGGAGGATGATGGAGGACTACTGCAAACTCAGCCAAATAGTAATTGTGATATGGTTTGGCTGTGTCCCCACCCAAATCTCATTTTGAACTGTAGCTCCCATAATTCCCATGTGTTGTGGCAGGGACCTGGTGGGAGATTATTGAATCATGGGGGCGGTTCCCCCCATATTGTGCTCGTGGTAGTGAATAAGCCTCATGAAATCTGATGGTTTTATGAGGGGTTTTCCCTTTCACTTGACTCTCATTCTCTCTTGTCTGTCGCCATGTAAGATGTGACTTTTACCTTCCGCCATGATTGTGAGGCTTCCCCAGCCACATAGAACTGTGAGTAAAATCTTTTTTTCTTTATAAATTACCAAGTCTTAGGTATGTCTTTATCAGCAGCATGAAAACGGACTAATACAAGCCCCAACTGAAGTTGCTGTGTGGAGATGGTGTCTTCCTAGATCTGATTAACATTGCTTCAAGTCTGTGGTGTCCAACCATTGATTTGGCTTTCCCATCCCTAACAAGAAAAAGGACCAAAAATAGCTCAATATATGTGGGGACAGACAACAATATACATTTACAGTCTACCTCAAGGCTATGTTAAGTCTTGCCGTCTGTCATAACATGGTGTAAAGGGACTGGGCCATCTGGGCATCCTGCAAAACATCATATTGATCCAGTCTATGGGCGAGATAGTGTTAATAGGACTGGATGAACAGGACATGGCTCCAGAGAGTTGGAGATAAACCCTATAAGAATTCAATCCTGGCCAGACATGGTGGCTCACGCCTGTAATCCCAGCACTTTGGGAGGCTGAGGCAGGCGGATCACAAGGGCAGGAGATCGAGACCATCCTGGCTAACACAGTGAAACCCCGTCTCTACTAAAAAAATACAAAAAATCAGCCGGGCATGGTGGCGTGCACCTGTAGTCCCAGCTACTCGGGAGGCTGAGGCAGGAGAATGGTGTGAACCCGGGAGGCGGAGCTCACAGTAAGCTGAGATCGCGCCACTGCACTCTAGCCTGGTCGACAGAGCGAGACTCCATCTCAAAAAAAAAAAAAAGAAAAAAAAAGAATTTAATCCTAAGCAAATTAACACAGGAGCAGAAAATCAAATACCACATGTTCTTATAAGTGGGAGCTAAACATCAGGGGCTGATGGGAATAAAGACAGCAACACTAGACACTGGGGACTACTAGAGCGGGGAGGAGAGGAGAGGGGCAAGGATTGAAAAACTGTCGGATACTATGCTCAGTACCTGGGTGACTGGATCATTTGTATCCCAAATCTCAGCATCACAGCATCACGCAATGTATCCAGGTAACAAACCTGTACATGTACCCCTTGAATCTAAAAGTTGGAAAAAATAGCAAATAAACTAGGAAAAAAAAAAAGAATTAGAAGGACTCCAGAAGTTTAAGAGGCTCACCACATCATGAGGTTTTTAGGGATTCAATGGTCTGGGGCCTGCTAGGACATCCTCTCCAAGGCAAAGGACAAGTAATTACACCTTGTTCCTCCTTAAGAAGATAGCAACACTCTGCTGGGCGCAGTGGCTCATGCCTGTAATCCCAGCACTCTGGGAGGCCAAGGTGGGTGGATCACCTGAGGTTAGGAGTTCAAGACCAGCCTGGCCATCATGAAACCCCGTCTCTACTAAAAATACAAAAAATAAATTAAAAAATTTAAAAAAAATAAGCTGGGCCTGGTGGTGCACGCCTGTAATCCCAGCTACTCAGGAAGCTGAGGCAAGAGAATCACTTGAACCCGGGAGGCGGAGGTTGCAGTGAGCCGAGATCATGCCATTGCACTCCAGCCTGGGCTACAAGAGTGAAACTCCGTCTCAAAAAAAAAAAAAAAAAGAAGAAGACAGCAACACTTTGTAGACTTCTGCAGCATATTTTACTTTATTTATTTATTTATTTTTGAAATGGTGTTTCACTCTTTTTGCCCAGGCTGGAGTACAATGACGTGATCTCGGCTCACTGCAACCTCCGCCTCCCAGGTTCAAGTGATTCTCCTGCCTCAGCCTCCTGAGTGGCTGGGACTACAGGCACTTGCCACCACACCCAGATAATTTTGTATTTTTAGTAGAGATAGGGTTTCACCACATTTGCCAGGCTGTTCTCAAACTCCTGACCTCAGGTGATCCACCTGCCTCGGCCTCCCAAAGCACTGATATTACAGGTGTGAGCCACCGTGCCCGGCCTGTGGCGTATTTTATACTTTGGAATACTGCTCCAACCCATTTTCTTAGGAACATGGAAGGCTGACAACTTTGAACAGATCTCAAGGCAGAAAAGAGCTCTCTGGCACAGTCAGGCTGTAGTACAAGCAGCTCAGCCTCTGGGGCCACATAACCTGGAAGAACCTGGGCTATTAGAGGTATCTGTGGTGGGAAGAGATGCCATATATTTATGGCAAGCCCCAATGAGAGAATCACCACGTAGATCCCTCAAGTTCCAGAGCAAAGCCATTCAGTCTGCAGCAGAGAATTATTGCCATTTGACAAATTACCTGTGGGTGGCCCTCGTAGAGATAGAGGGCTTGACCATTGGACATTAAGTGACCCTTGCAGCCAGAACTGTCCATCCCAAGCTGGGATCTGTCAGAGCTACCAAATGACAAGGTCAGATGGGCTTGACAGCAATCCATAGTAAGGTGGAACATCTGGGATCAGGCACAAGCAGGGCCAGAGAGCACGAGTAAGCTGCACAAGATCCCCATGGTGGCCAAGACCCCCATGTCATCCCCCAGTGTGACACCTGCATGCCTCCTTCGGCTCACCCTGGCAGCTGCTTTTGGGCTCCCTTATGACCAGCCAGCAAACAGGAAAAAGGCCAAGCTTGATCCACAGGTGGGTGCATTCAGCATGGCAGTGCAAGTTGAAAACAGAGAACAACTGCACTGCAGCCTCACTCAGCAGGGACCCTTAAAGACACTAATGAGAAGGAATCTTCCCAACAGGCCGAACTTTGGGCAGTGCACATGCTCAACCACTTCGTGGCCAAGAGAAATAACCTGAGGTAAGTTACAGACATATGGGCAGTGGCAAAATTAGGAAGGATAAATATAGGAAGATTAGAGACAAGGAGGTCTGGGACACAGGGATGTGTGGACCCATGGGAACTGGCACAAAGTGTGAAAATCTTTGCATCTTATGCTCCTGTCCCCCAGACAGCATCTACCGTGGAGAAGTTACCATGTAACAAAATAGGCAGAGAGACTCAGTCCATTCAGCAGTCAGCCTCTGTCACTGGCCACCCCAGTTCTGGCACAATGGGTTTACAAATGGAGAAGCTATGTGGCGGGGTTAGAGGTTCTGCATTCACTAAGAATGCTCTAGCTACTGTCACTGTTGAATGTCCAATCTTCCAGCAACAAAGATTAACATAGAGCCCTCTTCATCCTTCATGTGATGTATGAGAAAAAATAATTAAAAAAAAAAAAACCTCAACATGACAACCATCCTTCAAGGAGCCCCATCAGCCCCTTGGTGGCAAGCTAGTTACATCAGACCTCTTCTACCTGGAAGGGGAAGCAATTCATGTTGACTGCAACTGACACATCTTTTGGGTGTGTGTTACATTTCCTGGCTACAACGCCTCGGCCGATCTAAGGACTTGCAAAGCACTGATCCACTAACATTTGGTCTCAGATAATATCACATTAGACCAAGAGTCTCAGATAACTCCCATTAGACCAAGAGACAGCAAAGGTGGTACAGCCTTGCTTATGACTGTGACATCCACTGGACTTACCACATACCACCTTGCCCAGAAGCAGCTGGCCTCAATGACCCTGGAGGACTTTGGTGCTGTTGCCTACATCCAAACAGTCAAACTGGGCCCCAGAGGAACAATAGACTGGGTCTTTCCCAGCCCCAAACTGGAAATATCATTTCACGTCTCCCTGTAGACCTGTAAAAGGCAGGCACTTGAGCTCTTAATTCTTTCCCATTTGAGTCCTTTCTCTCTTCCACACCTGCAATAAGTTCTGCCTGAAAGCTATTTTTGTACCACAGCACTCCCTGGAGTATGGTTCACCCAGTGCTGCTTCCCACAGGAGTCGCTGATCTGCCTTGAGGCTTTCTTGGTCAGTGCCTGGCAAGGCTCCAGCCCCACTGGACCAAAGATTCTGTCATCCCTTCCCCTTCCCAACTCTGAGCAGATCCACGCCAGCTTTCTAGAGTCATGGGCAAGGAATTCTGGCAGAAGGCAGACTAACGTTCAACTTCTATTCTTCTCCCAGGTGCATTTTTAACTCTTTTCTATCCAACAGTGTCTGGAAAATTCTATCTCCAAAAGACATGATCAGCAGAATGCAGATGAATGTCTCCTCTCAGTAACAATCACCTTCCTATTGTCTCCTAGCTGGATTTGGCTTTCCCTAGAGGTTGCAGTGATGTCATGTTGGAGGGGACTACAGCACTTAGGCCACCCTAGAGTGGGCTGTAAGGCCCCTACGGCTCTGGATGCCTTGACTTGTTCTCTGCTAAGACCGTGTTCTCATGGGCAGCAAGCGGGATTGCAGGTGAGGGAAATAGTCAGGAGCCTGAAAACCTTCCTTTCTCCCTCCCAAGACCCTTCCTTTAACTGCTTTGTGGCTGCTGCTGTGATTTGAGTTGATAGATTAAAGAATTTCTATATTAAAGATGTTTGGCAAGTCTAAAAATTTAAAAAGCACTTTAGTGGCCGGGTGCAGTGGCTCACACCTGTAATCCCAGCACTTTGGGAGACCAAGGCAGGCAGATCACTCGAGCCCAGGAGTTCAAGACCAGCCTGGGCAACATGGTGAAACCCCGTCTCTACTAAAAATACAAAAAGCTACTACAGGTGAAGTAACACACACCTGTGGTCCCACCTACTTGGGAGGCTGAGGCACAGGAATCATTTGAACCTGGGAGGCAGAGGTTGCAGTGAGCCAAGATCATGCCACTGCACTCCAGCAAGAGTGAGACTCTGTCGCCCCCAAAAAATTAATAAAATAAAATAAAATAAATAAAAAGCACTTTAGTTAGAAAAAAAGAAATGCAGCCAAGGCATCAATCTGGAAATGACACTGCAAGGATACAGCACCATCCCCCAGGATGCAGTATTCACCCTGAATCAACAGCCATTTATGAGTTGTTGATTAAGAGCTCAAGTGCCTGCTCTTTGCAGGCCTGTAGAGAGACATCAGATGGTATTTCCAGGTTGGGGCTGGGGCTGTCTTGTCGAAGTAGAATAAATGGATCTGGGAATCCGGGGGTGGAAGTATGAGTGGCTGCTCTCACTGTACTCCCAGTGAGCTGCTGGGAGAAATCAGTCCTTTCATCTGTACAGCTCTAGGCTCTATAGGTCTAGAAGTCCTCATTCCCAGCAGGAGGATGCTTCCCCCAGGAGGCCAATAAAATTTGTCTTATCAAACCAGCTGCCACCTGGTCACTTCAGGCTCCTTACACCAACAGACCAGCAGGCAAAAAAAGGAGTCATGTTCTTGGCAGGTTAAATGATCACCAGGAGGAGGCAGGGCTGCTGTTGCACAACAGGATGGGGAGGGACTCATCTAACACTCCAGCAGATCTATTGCGGTGATTCTTGGTTCTTCTCTGACCAACTTTGATGGTTAATAGACAGATGCGGCAACCATGACCTGAGACAAGCATGGTGACCATGGTCTCAAACCTCTCAGGGCCATCTCACTAGGTAAGCCACCTAGACCAGCAGAGACGCTGGCCGAGGGTGAGGGGATCTAGAATGCACAGGAGAGGAGGGAGAAGAAGACTATCAGCTGTGCCCTGAGACCAGCTGCAGCGTGACAGCTGCCATTCATTCCACTAACCTTCTCAAACTTCCCCAGAAAAAGAGATGAAAAAAGAAAAGAAAATGGCCAGGTGTAATGGCTCACACCTGTTATCCTAACACTTTTGGAGGCAAAGATGGGAGGATTACTTGAACTCAGGAGTTTTCAACCAGCCTGGACAATATAGCAAGATCCTGTCTCTATAAAAATTAGCCGGGTATGGTGGTGCACACCTGTAGTCCCAGCTACTTGGGAGGCTGAGGTGGGAGAATCACTTGAGCCCAGGAGGTCGAGGTTGCAGTGAGCCATGGTTGCCACTGCAACTCCAGCCTGGGCAAAAGAGTGAGACCTTATTAGAAAGGAAAAGAAAGGGGAAAGGGAAAAGAAAGAAAAAAGGAGAGAAAGAAAAGAGGGAGAAAGAAAAGAGAGAGAAAAAAGAGAAATAAAAAGAAAGAAAGAAAGGGGAAGAAAAAGAAGGAAAGAAAGAGAAAAAGAGATGAAGCAGAATCCTGGAGAAGCTGTTCTCAGATGGGTTTAGCTTATTTTATGAAGCAGGGGGATCCATGTGGTGCAGGACTGTAGTGGATGCTGTGATGTGTTAGATCTCCCTCTTCAGGACCAAGGCACTCACTCACTTCCCAGGTGGCAGGAGAGCCCTCTAGTGGAAAAGGTTGCAACCACTCTTTGGGTGCAGTTCCAGCCAATGACTGATCAACAGAGGAGTATAAAGGCATGATGCCCTTCTGTCAGTTCAGGACAACTGTGAAGGGCCATCCCAGTTTCAGAGCTCCCAGTGACAGAGGTCTCTGTTACAACTCTAGCACAGTTCATCCTCTCCCTATGGGAAATCCTGATTCCTCACTACCTCATAGGTGCTATTTCTAAGGGCATTCCCCATAAAACCTCTGCATGCCAACACCCTCCTCAGTTTCTCAGGAAACCTGGCTTAACACACTATGCACATCCTCAACCACACTAGTTAATGTCAAACTGTTCCCAAGATGGTTATATCAACTTGCATTCCTACCAACAGCACCTGAGAGTTCCACTTGCTTAATACCCCTGCCAAATTCTAGTATCATTAGGTTTTTTATTTTTAGCCAATTTAGTGGGCGTAAAATGAAAGCTCATTGTGGTTTTAATTCACATTTCTCTGGTGACTATTGAGGTTTGGCCCCTTTTCAAGGGTTTGTTGGCCATCTGGATTCCCTCTTTGGAAATAGCCCCAGCTCTTCTGCTGGCCCCATTTTATGGGCTCACTCATTTCATGCTGCCTAATAAGGGAGTGAGTGCTCACTTTAGTGAGCCCCAGAAAACTGGAATGGCTTTCCTGAAGGCCACCAACCTCGATGGATCCTTTGGTCCTATCTGTCTGTCTGTCTGTCTGTCTATTTATTTTTGAGACAGGGTCTTACCATGTTGCTGGTCTCGAACTCCTGGGCTCCAGTGATCCCCCTGCCTCAGCCTCCCAAAGTGTTGGGATTACAGGTGTGAGCCACTGCACCTGGCCCTCAGTTCTCTTCTGACTTGACCTCTGAGCAGTGTAAGATGTCATTGACTGCTCTCTTCTATCATCCTCTTTTCATGTCTTCCCTGACATTGCACAATCCTCATTTTTTATCCTACCTCTCTGGTTGTCCCTTCTCTGTCTCCTTTGCAGGCTTGACTGTTAAATGCTTGGGTTCCTCAGAGCTCAGTCCTTGGCCCTCTTCTTATCTCACCCCGGCCTTTCGCTCTGGGCAACTTCACCCTCAGCTACAGTTCCCAGCTTTGTACGCTGACGGTTCTCACATTCCTCTCCTTTGACACTTCCATGTGAATGTCCCAAAGCCTCTCAACCTCTATATATCCAGAATAGAAATCAAGCCTTTCCCCCCAAAACATGGTTGTTGTCTAGCCATCCCTGTTTCAGCAAAGGTCTCACAATCCTTCCAATTCCGAATGTCACAAACCCAGGAATCCCTGTCTCTTACCCCATATCTAAGCCTTCAGGACCAGTGTTAGTTATCTTCAGTTCACCCCTCCAGATCCACTCCTCACCCTTCTCCATTCCACTCTCTGCTTCTGGAGGATGATTATAAGCACACTTTTCCTGGGCTTCTTGTTCTTTAATTTCTGATTGGATTTGGCCAATGGCATTTTAGCTGTTTACTGCTGTATAACAAACTATCCCAAAACTGAGTGGCTTTAAAATATCACCATTGACTGGGCACGGTTGCTCACACCTGTAATCTCAGCACTTGGGGAGGCCAAGGTGGGTGGATCACTTGAGGTCAGTAGTTCAAAACCAGCTTGGCCAACATGGTGAAACCCTGTCTCTACTAAAAATACAAAAATCAGGCCAGGTGCAGTGGCTCACACATGTAATCCTAGCACTTTGGGAGGCCAAGGCAGGCGGATCACGAGGTCAGGAGATCGAGACCATCCTGGCTAACACGTTGAAACCCCGTCTGTACTAAAAATACAAAAAATTAGCCAGGCGTGGCAGCGGGCACCTGTAGTCCCAGCTACAGGGGAGGCTGAGGCAGGAGAATGGTGTGAGCCCGGGTGGCAGAGATTGCAGTGAGCCGAGATTGAGCCACTGCACTCCAGTCTGGGCGACAGAGCAAGACTCTGTCTCAAAAAAAAAAAAAAAAAAAAAAAATTACAGGTGGCAGGCACCTGTAACCCAAGCTACTTGGGAGGCTGAGGCAGGAGAATTGCTTAAACCCAGGAGGCAGAGCTTTCAGTGAGCCAAGATCACACCACTGCTCTCCAGCCTGGATGAAAGAGTGAGACTCTGTCTCAAATCAAACAAACAACAACAACAACAACAAAAAACCACACACACTAAAAAATATACCACCATTGTATTCTCTTCTCATGACTCTGTGGGTTGACTCAGGTAATCTGAGGTCAGTTCTGCTCTACACGATATCATCCAGGGACTCAACTCTGCTAGAACATCCAAGATGGCATTCTCATGTCTGGCAGGTTGGTGGGGTGGCTAGAGGTGTGAACTCAGCCAGACCAGAAAGGCTGCACCTGTCTTTTTCCAGGTGGTTTCAGGGCTTCTCCCCTACCCAAGGCCTTTCCATGTGGTCTTATGAGCACAAGGTAAACAGGCTTCTTATATGGTCGCTCAGGGTCTTCCAAACAGCAAAGGCTGACACTAGCAGGCCACCTTAATTCTTAGGTCCAGAGCTGGCATGGCATCCATCACATCTGCTGCCTTCTGTTGGTTAAAGTAGGTCACAGAACCAGCCCAGATATGATGTGGGAGTGGACTGCACAAAGGCATGCACATAGGGAGGCATGAGTCATTGGGCCATCTTTGGAGACCAGTCACCATAGTCTACTACCTGGTCCCCAAAGCCTCTCTCACATGCAAAATGAACTTCCCTTTACCTCCCGTAACTCCCAGAGTCTCACCCCAATTCAGCCTCAGGCCTAGGCTTGAAGTCAAGTTACTCATCAACTAAATCTCAGCCAGTTGTTGCTGAGGCCTTTGGGTGTGGTTCCTCCTGCTCTGAAGACCTGTGAACTAAAGAGACAACAAGTTCTCTCCCCCTATAGACCCAACGTAGAATGGCAAAACAGGAACTCAGGCGCCACAATACACGCTCCCATTCAAAAACACGAGACCTAGGGTAGTCACAGGTCCGTGGCCATTCTGAAATTCCACGGGATACAATCCTCCCTGCTCCAAGGGTAGAAAACATTGATGAAAGCCCCGGGTCAGCTTCCTGGGAATGGTCCTCTTAGGCTCTTGGCTCCACCCTCTGAATCATCCTTCTTTTCCATAAGGTATGACCATGTTTGCTGGCTTCCTGCACTTAGGGAGCTGGGGCCACAAAGGCTACCTTTTGTTTTAAAATGACTCTGTTCCACCGGGCATGGTGGCTCACGCCTGTAATCCCAGCACTTTGGGAGGCCGAGGTAGGCGGATCATGAGGTCAGGAGTTTGAGACCAGCCTGACCAATATGGCGAAACCCCCATCTTTACTAAAAATACAAAAATTAGCCAGGCTTGATGGCATGCACCTGTAGTCCCAGCTATGCGGGAGGCTGAGGCAGAAGAATTGCTTGAACCTGGAAAGTGGAGGTTGCAGTGAGCAGAGATCCTGCTACTGCACTCCAGCCTGGGCAAGAGAGTGAGACTCTATCTCAAAAGAAAAAAAAAAGTCTCCATTCCTTTCAGTCAAGCAAGTACAATTAAAAATGTTGTGTTTCCTGTGTATCTGATTACAATCCACTGCATTAGACAAAAGCCACCCTTAGTTTCTTTCGGAGACAAGCCTTTTCTGCTTTGGACCCTGCATCTACTGCTGAGGAACAATGCCCTAAAGATTCTTAGAGGCCTTTTTATCTAGCTGAGAGGATCCACCTGGCAAATGCTTAAATCTTTCTGAAATATCAACAAAAGGGTCTTATAGCTGTGTCACTGATTTGGTCTTGACCCGGAGGCCACGTTTTACTAGAAGTTCCCTGGATTTGATCTTTAGCACCAGGTTTCTCCCCTACCTCCACATTTTTTTAACTTTTTTTTTTGAAACAGGATCTCACTCTGTCCCTGCCAGGCTGGAGTGAAATGGTGCAACTGAGGGCTCTCTGTAACCTCAAACTCCTGGCCTCAGGCGATCCTTCCACCTAGGCCTCTCAAACTGCTAGGATTACAGGCATGAGCCATCACATCTGGTCATCCCTTCAGGTTTTTGTTTTCTGGGAGAATTTTTACTGGGCTGTTAAGGTTAGGAACAAGAAACAGTTGTTTTTTCCAATCCAGCAAGTTTCTAGTGGGGCTAGAAACTTTTTCTTTAGGTTCTGCTTGGATCCTGAACAATTCCTTCTTCAATTCATCTGTCTATCCATACCTCCTGCTATGCAGTTAAAATGAACCAGTTGGCCGGGCGCAGTGGCTCACGCCTGTAATCCCAGCACTTTGATAGGCTAAGGTGGGCGGATCACCTGAGGTCACGAGTTCGAGACCAGCCTGACCAACGTGGCAAAACCCCATCTCTACTAAAAATACAAAATTAGCCGGGTGTGGTGGCGCATGCCTGTAATCCCAGCTACTCGGGAGGCTGACGCAGGAGAATTGCTTGAACCAGGGAGGCAGAGGTTGCGGTAAGCTGAGATCGCACCATTGCACTCCAGCCTGGGCAACAAGAGCAAAACTCTGTCTCAAAAAAACAAAAAACAAAAAACACGAACCAGTTGGTGCCATCAACATTCTGCATCAGCCAAATCAGCAAGTTCATGAGGTATGTTTTAGTGCCCACATTATCACAGGGAACAGTTTTACTAAATTATTCTGCCAGTGAATTAGTTGGGTCCCCTTTACTCAGCCTCCAATAACAATTTCCTCATTCAGCTGTCTTCACAGGGTTAACAAGAATTCTGGACAGAAATATAGTTATAATTAAGCATTAATCAGGCTGCACTTTGACCCACTTGAGATAGATAGGATCTCTGACATAAGAATCACAAAGCTTTTATTTAAGAATTGCTTAAGCAAGGTGGGGCGTGGTGGCGCATGCCTGTAATCCCAACTACTCGAGAGGCTGAGGCAGGAGAATTGCTTGAACCTGGGAGGTGGTGGTTACTGCGAGCCGAGATCACGCCATTGCATGCCAGCCTGGGCAACAAGAGCGAAACTCCATCTCAAAAAAAAAAAAAAAAAAAGAATTGCTTAAGCAGCCGGGCGTGGTGGCTCACGCCTATAATCCCAGGACTTTGGGAGGCCGAGGCAGGCAGATCACCTGAGGTCAGGAGTTCAAGACCAGCCTGGCCAACATGGTGAAACCCCATCTCTACTAAAAATACAAAAAATTAGCCTGGCGTGGTGGTGGGCGCCTGTAATCCCAGCTACTCGGGAGGCTGGGGCAGGAGAATCGCGTGAACCCAGGAGGCAGAGGTTGCAGTGAGCCGAGATGGTGCCATTGCACTCCAGCCTGGGTGACAGAGTGAGATTCTGTCTCAAAAAAAAAAAAAAAATTGCTCAAGCAGATCCTGACTTCCAGTGGAACAGCTGACACCAATCAGTTTGAAGACCCCCACGGAGGAACCAGACCAGTATGAAAACAGCTTCTTCATCTCCCTGTCCCATGACTTCTCCCTGCCCTCTTCCACCAATTGACAATCTCCACACTTTGGCCCACTCCAAACCCCTTAGAAACCCTATCCTTAAATTCCTTGGAGAGACAGATTTGAGGTTTCCTCTCATCTCCTCATTAGCCAGCCATGCAACTAAACCTCTTTCTCTGCTGCAACCAAGTGTCTCAGCATATTGATCTGCCCTGTGTCAGGCAAAGGCCCTATTACAGTTACGTTCACAGTCCTTCCATGTTCCAATAACAATCCCCTCGGGGCCTGTCTAGCCTCTGCCCACTGCTCTGTTTCTAAGCCAATGGCACATGTTTTTGGTGTTGATTATTGGAGCCCTCCTACTCTAAATAGCAATTCCTGTTTTTCTTATCCCCAAAGTTCAATGGCTTAAAACAATATCCATGCTTTACCTCTTGAGATTCTGCATTGACCAGGCTCAGCTCCACGTGCCATTGGCAGGAACAGCATTATCCAGGGGCTCACTTGGGCTGGACTGTCCAAAACAGCTCACGCACATGACTGGCACCTTGTTGGGGACAGCTCAAAGGCTGGGCTCAGCTAGGGCACTGGGACATCAGGCCTGTCTCTCGACCTGGCTTCTCCATATGATCTCTTCTGTGATCTCTTCAACAGGGTAGGAAGACCTAGGACAAGTTCTGTAAATGCTCTGTCCCTAGGTGTTCCCGTTCCTCAGCTGTTCCTGTTACCTCAAGAAGTCTCCGACTCTGTATCCTTCTAACAGGACAGACGTCTTAAAGATGGCTTAAAGCCACCATTTACTGACCACTTAGGAACTGCCTGTTCTGTCTGGTGCCAAGCCCTGTGCTAGAGACTTGACATGTATTTTCTTCCTTAGGCCTCAAGGCTAACCCAGTTAGGTAGGTATTGCTCCCTCAATTTATGATGTCCAGTGACTTGCCCAACGTCATAAGCTGGACTGGAATCCAGTTCCATCTGACTCCACAGCCTTTGCCTTCTTCAGTCCACTGCCCATGCAGACCTCCAGGGTCAACTAGTGGGTCCTACCGCAAGGTCACTGTTGGCTGAGGAGCTTATGGACTTTTAGGTGTAACATACAGATGGTAAACTTAAAGTGCGTTTATTTTCCACATACATCTCAGAGATGTTTACATCTTGCAAACCCCTGCAACAACCACTAATACTAAGATTTAGAACACCTCCAGCCCCCTGACAAGCTTGCTCGTGACTCTCTCCCATCCGTATACCTCTGACTTCTACCATCAGCAATTAGTTTTGCAAATTCTTGTCCTGGCCTTAGTGTGAAGAGACAGACCTGGAATCACACAGTTCACCACTAATTCCTAGTCGTGTGACCTTGGCCAAGTTAAGAACTTCTCTGATCCTCAGTGTTTATCTGCAAAATTGGCACAAATAACCCCTACTTCACAGACAGTACATCTTCTGGCACTTGGGTGCTGACCAGGGTGAAAGGCATGGATTCAGTAAAAGTTGGCCCCTTTTCCTTTTTCCTTTCTTCAGCCAATTATTCATGTTCCTGAAAAAAAATGTGCTACTCAGAGCGAAAGACGACTTCAGGAGGAGCATTGGCTCTCCACTTTAGCTACACATCAAAATCACATGGGGGCTGGGCATGGTGGCTCACGCCTGTAATTCCAGCACTTCAGGAGGCTGAGGCCAGCGGATCACTTGAGGCCAGGAGTGTGAGACCAGCCTGGCCAACATGGCAAAACCCAGTCTCTACTAAAAATATAAAAATTAGCTGGGTGTGGTGGTGAGCCTCTGTAATCCCAGCTACTCAGGAAACTGAGGCAGGAGAGTCGCTGGAACCTGGGAGGCAGAGGTTGCGGTGAGCTGAGATTGTGCCACTGCACTCCAGCCTTGGCCACAGAGCGAGACTCTGTCACACACACACACACACACACACACACACACAAAATCACATGGGAAAATTTTTTGATATAACAATGCCCAGTCCCTACCCACAGAGGTTCTGATTTAATTCATCTAGGTTAGTCAGCAGGCATTATTATTTTTCCAAAAGTGTCCAGGTGATTCCAATGTGTAGCCAGTGTTAGAATCACTGTGCTAAGTAAGGAATTGCCTATGTGTTCATTTGAGAAGCTGAAAAGAGGGATATGGTGACCAACCATCCCAGTTTGCCCAGGACTGTGCTAGTTTTAGCAGTGAAAGTCCTGCATCCCACAAAATCCCTTAGTCCTGGGCAAACTGGCACGGTTGGCCACCCATCAGGGAGCTCATATGCCAATGTTTGATATGTGTTACTTAAATTTAGGATTTCCTTTCCATTCAAGTTGAGGTTTAAGTCAAACTACTTTTGAACTTAGGGAATAAACACTAGAAAGCTGCTAGTATACCCAGCTCATCTGGGGCATGTCAGCACAAAGTTTGAAATGCACAGAGAAAGCTATCAGCTCTGCAGTCCCATCACAAAAAGTAGAAGAGACTGAGGTCAGGAGAGAAGGAGTTCATTTGCCACAGGCCTTAACCCTCCCAAGTCTTGACAGCTGGGGTTGCTTTGCCAACTCCCACTCCTGCCGGGCCCTTGGTGGCTTTCCCTGTATCTCCTTGCCTTTCCTTGTCACCAAGGAAGTACTTCTCAAACTTTAATGTGCATGAGAATCATTGCAGGGTCCTATAAAAGGCAGTTTCTGATCCAGCAAGTCGGAGGGCAGCCTGAGATTGTGCTTTATTTTTTTGAGACAGAGTCTCGCTCTGGAGCCCAGGTTGGAGTGCAGTGGCACTATCTCAGCTCACTGCAGCCTCCGCCTCCCGGGTTTAAGCGATTCTCCTACCTCAGCCTCCCGAGTAGCTGGAACTACAGGCACGTGCCATCATGCCAGGCTAATTTTTATGTGTTTAGTAGAGGCAAAGTTTCACCGTGTTGGCCAGGCTGGCATCAAACTCCTGGCCTCAAGTGATCCTCCCATCTTGGCCTCTCAAAGTGTTGGGATTATAGGCGTGAGCCACCACGCCTGGCTGAGATTGCGCATTTCTTTTCTTTTCTTTTTTTTTTCGCGACAGAGTCTCGCTTTGTCGTCCAGGCTGGAGTGCAGTGGCGCTATCTCGGCTCGCTGCAAGCTCTGCCTCCCGGGTTCACGCCGTTCTCCTGCCTCAGCCTCCCGAGTAGCTGGGACAACAGGCGCCCGCCACCACGCCCGGCTAATTTTTTGTATTTTCAGTAGACACGGGGTTTCACCGTGTTAGCCAGGATGGTCTCAATCTCCTGACCTCGTGATCCGCCGGCCTCGGCCGCCCAAAGTGTGGAGATTACAGGCAGGAGCCACCGCGCCTGGCCGAGATAGCACATTTCTAACAAACCCCCAGGTCACTTTGATGCTAACTAAGGTCTAGGGATAATTTTTAGATTATAAGTTTTGGGTGTGAGATGCAACTTCTCTCTTACAACCCATGTGGCTTGGAGGAAATTCTTCTTGCAGACCTTCTGGTTTATCAGCTATAAAATGGGAATAATACCTACTTCACAGGTAATACTCAGGAAATTCCATATAGTTTAGAAAGTGGGTTGTTGGCCGGGCCTGGTGGCTCACACCTGTAATCCCAGCACTTTGGGAGTCCAAGGCGTGCGGATTGCTTAAGGTCAGGAGTTCAAGACCAGCCTGGGCAACATGGTGAAACCATGTCTCTACAAAAAATATTAAAAAAGCTGGGCGCAGTGGCTCACGCCTGTAATCCCAGCACTTTGGGAGGCCAAGGTGGGTGGATCATGAGGTCAGGAGATCGAGACCATCCTGGCTAACACGGTGAAACCCCATCTCTACTAAAAATCCAAAAAATTCTCCGGGCGTGGTGGCGGGCCCCTGTAGTCCCAGCTACTCCGGAGGCTGAGGCAGGAGAATGGCGTGAGACCGGGAGGCGGAGCTTGCAGTGAGCCAAGATCACACCACTGCACTCCAGCCTGGGCGACAGAGCAAGACTCCGTCTCAAAAAAAAAAAAATACAAAAAAAAAAAATTAGTGGCCTGGTGCGGTGGCTTACTTTGGGAGGCTGAGGTGGGTGGATCACGAGGTCAGGAGATCAAGACCATCCTGGCTAACACGGTGAAACCCCGTCTCTACTAAAAATACAAAAAAAAATTAGCCGGGCCTGGTGGTGGGCAGCTGTAGTCCCAGCTACTCGGGTGGCTGAAGCAGGAGAATGGTGTGAACCCAGGAGGCGGAGCTTGCAGTGAGCCAAGATCGCGCCACTGGACTCCAGCAGCCTGGGTGACAGAGCCAGACCCTGTCTCAAAGACATAAAAAAAGAAAAACTGGCTGGCCGGGAGTGGTGGCTCACAACTGTAATCCTAGCACTTTGGGAGGCCAAGGCAGGCAAATCACCTGAGGTCAGGGGATCGAGACAATCCTGGCCAACATGGTGAAAACCCATCTCTACTAAAAATACAAAAATTAGCCGGGTGTGGTGATGCGCACCTGTAATCCCAGCTATTCAGGAGGCTGAGGCTGGAGCATTGCTTAAACCCAGGAGGCAGAAGTTGCAGTGAGCCGAGATTGCGACACTACATTCCAGCCAGGGTGACAGAGCAAGACTCCATCTCAAAAAAAGAAAAAGAAAAAGTGGGTTGTTGTGAAGATTCCATGTGCCTGGCATACAGTAGGGGCTGAGTAGGTGTTAGTTCCATCTCCATCTCCACACAACTTTTGCCCTTCTGCTTGAAGAGCTCTAATAATTTCTTAACGGTTAGCACTGTCCTCAAGGTAGAATGGGCACCTAATAGGCATTTGCTGAATTGCTCAGAGAGAAGGTGAGGGTAGGCAGAGGACTGCCAGCTAGCACAGGTAGCAGAGACCAGCTCCACCTTTAATTTAACCATTTGTGTGTCCTGAGAAGGAAAACCTCATTTCATTTAGAGATGATGTTGGTAGCCAACAGCTTTTACTTCAAGGCAAAAAAGAGAAGAAATGCCACAGAGAGAATATTTTTCCTTAATAATTCGTCTCAGAATGTTGAGGTTGGAGGAACCATTGGAGAGGGAAAGTGCTAGACTCATAAATAGCCTTAGAAAATCACAGGCTTTGGAATCAGAAACTCCTAGGTTTGAATTCTAGCTCTACCAGTCACTATGCTGTGTGACCTTGGACGAATCACTATCCCTCTCTGAGCCTCAGTTTCCTGAGCACTTTTCACATGTTTATCCTCAGGTCCATCATATGAGATAGATGGTACTATTCCATAGGTAAAAAAGCAAAGGCACAGAGACACTCCATAGATGACCCAGGGTCACACAGGTAGAAAGTAGCAGTGCTCAGATTTAAATTCAAGCAGCCTGACTCTAGAGTGTGTGTCATTAACCACCACACCACACTGCCCCACCAGAGACACTGACAGCGTTCTCCTAATTATTTTTCCCAAAATAAACTACTAGTATTTGTTTTCTTTTCTTTTTTTTCTTTTTCTTTTTTTTTTTTTTTTTTTTTTTGAGATAGAGTCTCTATCACCCAGGCTGGAGTGCAGGGGCTTGAACATTGCTCACTGCAGCCTTGAACTCCCAAGCTTAAGAAATCCTCCACCTCAGCCTCCTGAGTAGCTGGGTCTATACCACTACTAAGCATTTTTAGTGTTTACAGTTTTTCTTTTCTTTCTTTTTTTTTCTTTATTTCTTCTTCTTAAAAAAAAAACAACAAAAAACAACAACAACCAAGATGCATGTGCAGAATGTGCAGGCTTGTTACATAGGTATACATGTGCCATGGTGGTTTGCTGCACCTACCCAGCCAATTTTAATTTTTTTTCTTTTTATTGTAGTAATGGGGTTTTGCCATGTTGCCCAGGCTTATCGCAAACTCCAGAGCTCAAGCAATCCTCTACTTCAGCCTCCCAGAATGTTGGGATGATAGGCGACAGCCACCATGCCCAGCCAGTGAGCCATGATTGCATCACTGCACTCCAGTCTGGGTGACAGAGCAACACCCTGTCTCTAAAATAAAATAAAATAAAATCCTACAATGATGAAAGAATGATCCAGAGCTCACAGCCGGGAGTCATTAAGCCTGGGTTCAGATCTCCCAGCTTTTCCTCTGCTTAACTGTGTGATTATGGGCAAATGACTTTATCTAAGTTTCAGTCTTACCTTATGTAAAATGGGACTGTTCATAGCCCAACCTCATAGAGCAGGCCTAAAAATTCAGTGAGATAATACATGAGAAATGCTTAGCGTGGTCCCTGGCATTCTGTGGTGCTCAATAAAAATTCAGCTACGACTGATTATTCATGGCTGATGTATGCTCTTTAGATTTGGTGAGCCTCCGGCCCTAAGAAGATCCGAATTTTAGTGGTGGAGAGAAATAAAGGGTCTGAGGGCTGCAGCTCCAAACATGAAAGCAAAGCCTGGAGGAGCAGGAGCTGTTTATAAAGTGAGGAGGAGCAGGAGCTGTTTATAAAGTGAGGTACAGCCGGGCGTGGTGGCTCATGCCCGTAATCCCAGCACTGTAGGAGGCCAGATGGGTGGATCACCTGAGGTCAGGAGTTCAAGACCAGCCTGGCCAACATGGCAAAACCAGCTCCACTAAAAATAAAAAAAAATTAGATGGGCGTGGTGGCAGGTGCCTGTAATCCCAGCTACTAGGGAGGCTGAGACACGAAAATTGCTTGAACCCAGGAAGCAGAGGTTGCAGTAAGCCAAGATATCGGCTACTGCACTCCAGCCTGGGTGACAGAGCAAGACTCTGTCTCAAAAAAAAAAAAAAATGAGGTGCATGGTGCGGGGTGGGCTGGGACCTGTGTGTAAGTACTGGAGGTAGATGTACCGGAGCCAGCCAGGCCCTGTGATGGGTAGGAGGATTCCCTCTGTGTGTGCTCATCCACCCTGTCTGGTACAGTCACCAGCTCTGAAACTGTCCCTGCAGTCTCCTCCCTCCAAGTAAATAGGTGTTGCTATTCTAAGAGAGGCCTGTGATAAAAATAGTTGCTTTGCTTTGGAGGGTTTTTTTTTTTTTTTTTTTAAGCCATGAAAATAACAGGGCAGTAGGCTGTCTATTTTGGGTTGGGGACTTTGGCCCGCTTTCAAAGTCACAGCCCAATGAGATCTATTTAGAAAAGGTCACTGCGCACTTTGCTCACGTCGATGGCGCCTTAAAACAAGCCTGCGTGGATGCACTTAGGAGACTCTGGGGCTTACCCAAGGGACAGAGTTAGAAGGAATTGTGGGGCCACTATGTTTATGCCCCTGTGTAAATGTAAGCCCTGGCATCTCTCCGTGGGGCTTCAGTGGTCTTTCTCTCCACCGCACTTTCCCCAGCCCCCACCAACTTCTCAGGAGGCGGAGCTAGTTGCCAGCCTGCTTCTCCCTCCACCTTAGGAATCCTGCATCAGGGTGACGCTGGGTGTGGGGAATGCTCTCCTACTTCTCTATAAATCAGCCTATCATGTGGCAGCATCAGTCAGGCAGGAGCTCCAGCTGGGGCCTGGCATCTGGAACTGGGCTGGATTTTTCCATTCTCAGTGGACCAAAGCGTGACTTGGGTGATTGAGAAAGGCACACCCGAGTAGATGGCCTAAGATGACAGAGCAACTGGAGTGAAAAGAACATGAGCAGTGTGAACCTTGTCCCTAGCCCTCACTAGCTGTGTGACCTTAGGCAAGTAACTTCACTCTCTGATCCCTTGTTTCCTTACTAGTAAAATGGAGATAAAACCAACCTTATAGGACTATTGGGAGGATTAAATAAAATAATGTATGTATGTATGTATTTATACTTATTTATTTCTTGAGACAGGGTCTTGCCCTGTCACCCAGGCTGTAGTGCAGTAGCACCATCTTGGCTCACTGCAACTGCCACTTTCTGGGCTCAGGTGATCCTCCCACCTCAGCCTCATGAGTAGCTGGGACTACAGAGGCGCACCACCACACCCGGCTAATTTTTTGTATTTTTTGTAGAGATGGGATTTCACCATGTTGCCCAAGCTGGTCTTGAACTCCTGGATTCAAGTGATCCGCCAGCCTTGACCTCCTAATTGCTGGGATTACAGGTGTGAGCCACTGCACCCAGCCACAAGATAATGTATTTTAAAAGTACCTAGTATGTATAGGGTGGCTACCAAGTCTGGAAACACAGAGGATTTTTCAGAATAAATGGTCTGTTGCTAATACATACTAAAATTCTCTATACTTTCAGACTTTAACACTTATATGGTGCTTACCATGTGCCAGCCACTGTTTTAAATGCTTAGCTTTTTTTTTTTTTTTTTTTTTTTGAGACAGAGTCTCGCTCTGTCACCCAGGCTGGAGTGCAGTGGCGCGATCTCAGCTCACTGCAAGCTTCGCCTCCCGGGTTCACGCCATGCTCCTGCCTCAGCCTCCCGAGTAGCTGGGACTACAGGCGCCCGTCACCACGCCCGGCTAATTTTTTGTATTTTTAGTAGAGACGGGGTTTCACTGTGTTAGCCAGGATGGTCTCGATCTCCTGCCCGCCTCGGCCTCCCAAAGTGCTGGGATTAAAGGCGTGAGCCACTGTGCCCGGCCTAAATGCTTTGCATTTTTAAACTCATTAATTCTCCATAACAACCTTATGAGGTAAGAACTATGTTACACCCATTTTACAGAAAAGAAAACTGAGGTTCAGAAGTTAAATCACCACCCAGTGATGTGGTAACTTTCTGCCCTTCTTAGTCAAGAACATACTGAAAACACATTGGAATCAGTTAGCAAACCTTTTTTTGGGAGAGGGCTCTCTATGTTGTCCAGACTGGGCTCACACTCCTGGGCTCACGGGATCCTCTCACCTCAGCCTCCTGAGTAATTGGGACTACCGGCCTGCCACCACACTTGACTACATTTTTTGACTTTGCCCAACCTGTCAGGTGAGAAGTGGTCTCTCAGTGTAGTTTCTCTTACTATGATGGTGGCTCTCTTTTTGTATATTTGATTTACTTGTGTGTTCCTTTATGTGAATTGCCTATTCATATCCTAACTATCCTAGTCCTGACTATTTGTCTGTGGGGTTCTTTGTTTCTTCTTAATTGATTTTTGGAACTCTTTTTACATTAGGGAAACCAATCCTTCATCTGTGAATTGTATTTACTTATTTTTTTTTTTTGAGGCAGAGTCTCACTCTTGTCGCCCAGGCTGGAGTGCAATGGCGCCATCTCACTGCAACCTCTGCCTTCCGTTCAAGTGATTCTCCTGCCTCATCCTTCTGAGTAGCTGGGATTTGAGGCGCCCACCACCACACCCATTAATTTTTGTGTTTTTAGTAGAGGTGGGGTTTCACCTTCTTGGCCAGGCTGGTCTCAAACTCCTGACCTCAGGTGATCTGCCTGCCTCTGCCTCCCAAAGTGCTGGGATTACAGGCGTGAGGCACCATGCTTGGCTCATCTATGAATTGAATTGCAAATGTTTTTTCCCAGCTTATCATTTGACCTTTGATTTTGTTTAAGGTATTTATTACCATGCAGAAATTTGACTTTCATGGAGGTCAATTTATCAGGCTTTTCTTTTATGCCTTCTGGCATTCATATCATGCTTAGATATGGAAGTTTCCCCTGTACTGAAAAAAAAAATGTTTTTAACCTTCTCATGCTTTCCTGTAGTACTTCTTTTTTTTTTTTTGAGACAGAGTCTTGCTCTGTCGCCTGGGCTGCAGTGCAGTGGCTTGATCTCGGCTCACTGCAACCTCTGCCTCCCGGGTTCCAGCGATTCTCCTGCCTCAGCCTCCTGAGTAGCTGGGACTATAGGCACACACCACCACGCCCGGCTAATTTTTTTATTTTTTAGTAGAGACAGGGTTTCACCATATTGGCCAGGCTGGTCTTGAACTCCTGACCTTGTGATCTGCCCACCTTGGCCTCCCAAAGTGCTGGGATTACAGGCATGAGCCACTGCACCCGGCTTTCCTTTAGTACTCCTATGGTTTCATTTTTTGCTTTTTCTTTTATTTTTATTTATTTATTTATTTATTTTTGAGATGGAGTCTTGCTCTGTTGCCCAGGCTGGAGTGCAGTGGCGCAATCTCAGCTCACCACAACCTCCGTCTCCCGGGTTCAAGTGATTCTCCTGCCTCAGCCTCCTGAGTAGCTGAGATTACAGGCACCTGCCACCACACCGGGCTAATTTTTTTTTTGTATTTTTAGTAGAGACAGGGTTTCACCATTTTGGCCAGGCTGGTCTCGAACTCCTGACGTCAGGTGATCTGCCCGCCTCAGTCTCCCAAAGCACTGGGATTACAGGCGCCTGCCACCATGCCTGGCTAATTTTTGTATTTTTAGTGGAGAGGATGTTTCACCATGTTGGCCTGGCTGGTCTCGAACTCCTGGCCTCAAGTGATCCACCCACCTCTGCCTCCTAAAGAGCTGGGATTATGGGCATGAGCCACTACGCCTGGCCCATTTTTTACATTTAAATCTCCCTGTCATTTGGGTTTCATTTTGGTGTAATTTGCAAAGTAGAGTCACTTTGGGTCCTACTGTACATGCCCAGCACTTCCACTTTCAGCATGGAATCATTTCTGTCCAGTTCTAATTTTAATAAAAAAATTTGGCCTTAATTTGGTGTATCAGTGTCCAGGGCTACCATAACGAAGTACCACAAATTTGGTACCACAAATAAGAAATCGTTCTGGAGACCAGAAGTCTGAAATCAAGGTATCAGCGGGCCACGTTCCCTCTCAGACTCTGGGTAGAATCTTTCCTTGCTTCTACCGAGTTTCTAGCAGTGCTGGCCATCCACGGAGGCCCTTGCCTGCAGCTGCATCACTCCAGTCTCTGCCAGTGTTGTCTCTTGGTGCTCTTCCTGTGCCTCTCTGTCTTCTTATTAAGACATCAGCCAGACTGAGTGTGGTGGCTCACACCTGTAACCCCGGCACTTTCTGAGGCTGCCAAGGCAGGAGGATCGCTTGAGCCCAGGAAATTTGAGACCAGTCTGGGCAACATGGGGAAATCCCATCTCTACAAAAAATAAACAAAATAAACAAATAAATGGTGGTGGATGCCTATAGTCCCAGCTAATCCGGAGATTGTAGTGGGAGGATCGCCTGAGCCCAGGGAGGTTGAGGCTGCAGTGAGCTGAGATGGCGCCACTGCACTGCAGCCTGAGTGACAGACTGAGACCCTGTCACTCAGACCCCTGAGTGACAGAGTGAGACCTTTCTCCACTACAAGTTCACTTCAGCTTCATTGTGTCTGCAAAGACCCTATTTCCAAATAAGGTCTCATTGACAGGGAGGCTGAGGCAGGTGGATCATCTGAGGTCAGGAGTTCAGGACCAGTCTGACCAATATGGTGAAACCCTGTTTCTACTAAAAATACAAAAATTGGCTGGGTGTGGTGGTGGGTGCCTGTACTCCCAGCTACTTGGGAGGCTGAGGCAGGAGAATCCCTTGAACCCAGAAGGCAGAGGTTGCAGTGAGTGGAGATCTCGCCACTGCACTCCAGCCTGGGTGACAGAGTAAGACTCGTCTCAAAAAGAAAAAACAAAAAAGTTAACTTCTTTGTTTGTTTTTTGTTTTGTTTTGGTTTTGCTCACTTCAACTTCTGCCTCGAGGGCTCAAGCAATTCTCCTGTATCAGCCTCAGGCAAGTACCACCACACCCAACTGATTTTTTGTATTTTAAGTAGAGATGGGATTTCACCATGTTAGCCAGGCTGATCTGCAACTCCTGGCCTCAGTTGATCCACCCACCTCAGCCCCAAAAAGTGCTGGGATTACAGGCATGAGCCACCTCACCGGCCTTTTTTTTTTTTTTTTTTTTTTTTGAGACGGATTATTGCTTTATTGCCCAGGCTGAAATACAGTGGCACAATCTTGGCTCACTGCAATCTCCGCTTCCTGGGTTCAAGCAATTCTCCTGCCTCAGCCTCCCTAGTAGCTGGGATTACAGGCTCATGCCACCACACTGGGCTAGTTTTTGTATTTTCACTAGAGATGGGGTTTCACCACATTGCCAAGGCTGGAGAAGTTAACTTCTTTATCATAAAAAATAATTCTTATATACTGGTAAGAAAAAAACACCAATACCCAAATGGTCCAAGATCACAAACAGCTAAATCAGAAAACAGGGAACAGGTTGGGTGAGGTGGCTCACACCTGTAATCCTAGCACTTTGAGAGGCCAAGGTGAGCAGATCACCTGAGGTCAGGAGTTTGAGACCAGCCTGGGCAACACGGCGAAACCTGGTCTCTACTAAAAACACAAAAATTAGCTGGGCGTGGTGGTGTGTGCCTGTAGTCCCAGCTACCTGGGAGGCTGAGGTAGGAGAATCCCTTGAACCTGGGAGGCGGAGGTTGCAGTGGCACAATCTCAGCTCACTGTAACCCCCACCTCCTGGGTTCAAGCAATTCTCCTGCCTCAGCCTCCCAAGTAGCTGGGATTACAGGCACGCATCACCATGCCCAGCTAATTTTTTTGTATTTTTTGTAGAGATGGGGACTGGCCATGTTGTCCAGGCTGGTCTTGAACTCCTGGACTTCAAGTGATCTACCTGCTTCGGCCTCCCAAAGTGCAAGGATTATAGTTGTGAGCCACCACATCTGGTCTTCTCAACTTCTGTTTTTTTGTTTGTTATTTTTATTTTATTGAGACAAGGTCTCGCTCTGTCACTTAGGCTGGAGTGCTGTCATCCAGGCTCAATCATGGTTCACTGCAGTCTTGACCTCCCATGCTCCAATGATCCTCCCCACTCAGCCTCCCAAGTAGCTGGGACCACAAGCAAGTACCACCATGCCCAGCTAACTTTTTTTTTTTTTGTAGAGACAGGGTCTCTCTGTGTTGCCCAGTCTGGTCTTGAAGTCCTAGCCTTAATTGATCCTCCCGCCTTGGTCTCCTAAAGTGTGGGCAAAAGTGTTCAGCCACCATGCTCGGCCCTAACTTCAGGAACTCTATATTAAAGAAATAATCTGAAGTGTGGAAAAGCTATTTGAACAGGTAAAGGAATATTTGTTGGATGCCTACTAAATGCCAAGCTCTTTCCGTATCTTATCTTTTTTTAATTCAGTAATCTTGTAACATAGGTATTCCTTGCTCCATTTGAAGATAAGATCAAGTCTCTGTGAGGTTAAGTCGCTGTCAAGGTCACACAGCTTGTAAATGACAGCTGGGCTTTGATCCCAGGAGATCCATCTGGGCTCTCAGCTGCCCACAGCTCCATGTGACGCAGAGCACCCTGACCCCTCTTCAGGCCAGCACCCATCTGCCAAATGTGGGGGCTAGAAAGGTTTGCACTGAAAGGTCTCTAGGATTTCTCTAAGCTGTAAGCTTTCGTGACTCTTTATTGCAAGTAAACCTCAGGAAGGACAAATACAGAAATGAGTAAGAATTGTGCAGTAAATTGGCCGGGCGCGGTGGCTCACGCCTCTAATCCCAGCACTTTGGGAGGACGAGATGAGCGGATCACGAGGTCAGGAGATCGAGACCATCCTGGCTAACACGGTGAAACCCCGTCTCTACTAAAAATACAAAAAAAAATTAGCCAGGCGTGGTGGCAGGTGACTGCAGTCCCAGCAACTCAGGAGGCTGAGGCAGGAGAATGGCGTGAACCTGGGAGGCGGAGCTTGCAGTGAGCCAACATCGCGCCACTGCACTCCAGCCTGGGTGACAGAGCGAGACTCTGTCTCAAAAAAAAAAAAAAAAAAGAAGAAGAATTGTGCAGTAAATTTGATCTTGGCTCACTGCAAGATCCGCCTCCCAGATTCACGTCATTCTCTTGCCTCAGCCTCCCCAGTAGCTGGGACTACAGGCACCTGCCACCATGCCCGGTTAATTTTTCTCTTTTTTTGTATTTTTAGTAGAGACAGGGTTTTACCGTGTTAGCCAGGATGGTCTCGATCTCCTGACCTCATTATCCGCCCGCTTTGGCCTCCCAAAGTGTTGGGATTACAGGCGTGAGCCACCGCGCCCAGCCTGTGCAGCAAATATTAGACACTCTTCATTTCCCCCTTCAGCATTGTGGCTTTCAGCCAAGATTAATCTTGTTTTGGATTACCATTTTGAGTATGTTGGTGTTTTTTGTTTGTATGTTTGTTTGTGGGTTTTTTTTTTTTTTTTTTTTTTTGAGACAGGGTCTCCCTCCATCATCCAGGCTGGAGTGCAGTGGCATGATCACGGCTTACTGGATCCTTGACTTCCCAGGATCAGGTGATCCTTCCACCTCCACCTCCCCATGTAGCTGGTACCACAGGCATGCGCCACCATGCCCCAGCTAATTTTTGTATTTTTTATAGAGACAGGGTCTTTGCTATGTTGCCCAGGCTGGTCTTGAACCCCTGGGCTCAAGCGATCTGCCTGCCTCGGCCTCCCAAAGTGCTGGGATTACAGGTGTAAGCCACTGCAACCGGCCTGTTGGTGTTTTCTTAATTAAGATTAGTTATGTACTATGTTTGAATGCCTATTTATTTATTGAACAAATAAACTATAATGATTAAAGGTGCAGGTACTATGTAAGGATGTTTCTTGCATATTTTCTCCTTGTTACAAATTCTATCCAAATAGTTATTTTAGGCCGGGCGCGGTGGCTCATGCCTGTAATCCCAGCACTTTGGGAGGCCGAGGCGGGCGGATCACGAGGTCAGAAGTTCGAGACCAGCCTGACCAACATGGTGAAACCCCGTCCCTTCTAAAAATGCAAAAATTAGCTGGGCATGGAGGCGCGCTCCTGTAAGCCCAGTTACTTGGGAGGCTGGGGCAGGAGAATCGCTTGAACCCAGGAGGCGGAGGTTGCAGTGAGCGAGATCGCACCACTGCACTCCAGCCTGGGCAACAGGGCAAGATTCCATCTCAAAGAAAAAAAAATAGTTATTTTAAAAAAATAGAGGGGTGTGGAATTGGACAGCTTGAAATGGATCTACAACTCAAGCACTGTTAGCTGTGTGTCCTTGCCTCAGTTCCCTCATCTGTAAAATGGGATGATAATGGTAGCCATCTAAAACTGTTGTTATGCCCATATGATCATGTGCCTTCTGGCATTATGCCTGACATAGAGCTGGTGCTCTATTGTTGTTAGCTATTGTTGTTAATAATTTCCTTTCTATGTTTTATGACCAACCAATTTGTTTTGGAGTCATTTGGCTTCTGAAATTGTTTCTAAAAGAAAACCCTGGCTGGGCGCAGTGGCTCACGCCTGTAATCCCAGCAGTTTGGGAGGCTGAGATGGGCGGATCACCTCAGGTAGGGAGTTCAAGACCAGCCTGACCAACATGGAGAAACCCTGTCTCTACTAAAAATACAAAAATTAGCCAGGTGTGGTAGCAGGCACCTGTAATCCCAGCTACTTGGGAGGCTGAGGCAGGAGAATCGCTTGAACCCAGGAGGCAGAGGTTGCAGTGAGCCATCACATCACAGCACTCCAGCCTGGGCAGCAAGAGCGAAACTCCATCTCAAAAAGAAAACACTGATTTTCCTGATCGGACAAATGTCTACAGGATGCCAACATTACTATAAAGAATCTGAGAGGCGGGCACGGTGGCTCATGCCTGTAATTCCAGCACTTTGGGAGGCTGAGGCGGGTGGGTCACGAGATCAGGAGATCAAGACCATCCCGGCTAACATGGTGAAACCCCGTCTCTACTAAAAATACAAAAAAAAATTAGCCGGGCATGGTGGCGGGCGCCTGTAGTCCCAGCTACTCGGGAGGCTGAGGCAGGAGAATGGCGTGAACCTGGGAGGTGGAGCTTGCAGTGAGCTGAGATCGCGCCACTGCACTCCAGCCTGGGCGACAGAGCGAGACTCCGTCTCAAAAAAAAAAAAAAGAATCTGAGGAAGAAGATAAAACCACAGTTGCCCAGATCTATAATGAGAAAATGAACTAAAAGAAAGCAATTTCCAGAATTAATGTGCAAACCGTATTTTAGGCTGAGAAAAAGGCTGTATAGACAGGCTTGATTTTTTTCAATCTGATGACCGGAGCTTTTAGCTAAGGTTGACCCTCTTGTATTATCCTTAAATTTTTCACTTCTAGAGAGGTAAGTGAAGGGGCACAAAATTTAAGCTAAACATCAGAGGACTGCATCTTCAGCTACTGTTTAAAGCTCAGTTCTCATGGTCTCCAAGTTATGGAAACATTGCACATTATAAGGGTTGTAAATATTGTTAATTATAAACATAATACCAGGCCGGGTGCGGTGGCTTATGCCTCTAATTCCCACATTTTGGGAGGCCGAGGTGGGTGGATTGCCTGAGCTCAGGAGTTTGAGACTGGCCTGGGCAACATGGCAAAACCCCATCTCTACTAAAAATACAAAAAATTATGCAGGCTGGTGGGGCGCGCCTGTAATCCCAGCTACTGGGGAGGCTGAGGCACGAGAATCGCTTGACCCCAGGAGGCAGAGGTTGCAGTGAACCAAGACTGTGTCATTGCACTCCAGCCTGGGTGATAGAGCGAAACTCTGTCTCCAAAAAAATAAACTACCTGCCAGGTATGGTGGCTGACACCTGTAATCCCAGCACTTTGGGAGGTCGAGGCAGGCGGATCACGAGGTCAAGAGATCGAGACCATCCTGGCTAACATGGTGAAACCCTGTCTCTACTAAAAATACAAAAAATTAGCCAGGCGTGATGGCGGATGCCTGTAGTCCCAGCTACTTGGGAGGCTGGGGCAGGAGAATCACTTGAACTCGGGAGGCGGAGTTTGCGGTGAGCCAAGATCGCGCCACTGCACTCCAGCCTGGGTGACAGAGCGAGACTCCGTCTCAAACAAACAAACAAACAAACAAAAAACCAGCCGGGCGCGGTGGCTCACACCTGTAATCCTAACACTTTGGGAGGCCGAGGCGGGCAGATTACCTGAGCTCAGGAGTTCGAGACCAGCCTGGGCAACATGGTGAAACCCCATCTCTACTAAAACGCAAACAAACAAACGAACAAAAAATTATCCGGGCGTGGAAATGTGCGACTGTAGTCCCAGCTACTCGGGAGGCTGAGGCAGGAGAATTGCTTGAACCCAGGAGGTGGAGGTTGCAGTAAGCAGAGATCGTGCCACTGCACTCCTGCCTGGCGACAGAACAAGACTCTGTCTCAAAAAAAAAAAAAAAGAGCTGGATCTCCATCCAGGCCAGAGAAGCTTCTCACAGACGGTTTTCAACTCTAAGAAATAAATTGGTTTGGTAATAAATGGCTTCTAGTCAGATAAAATATAGTAATAATAAAATAAAAATAATAATTCCAGAGTTCTCACAATGTACTGAATCTGGTCTGATGAAGCCTCTCCAACGTGAACCCCTGTGAATCCACAACAGCCTCAGAGGCTGTGGGGCAAAGCAAGCCACCTGAGGAATGAATAGCGGAAGAAAGACTAAAGGCAGTGGGCAGCCTTTTACACCCATTGGTCTTTGGGGCTCGGAACACTCCTTCAGTTCATAGACTCCCTCCTCCTGAAAGCGTGTGCATAACTCCCAGTGATTTCCACATGTGGTCTGAAGGGAACGCTCTTCAGAAGGAGAAGACATGAGCTTCACTGAATGTCAATATTCAGTTTCCGGAGAGAAAATCAACAGCTAACGGCCGGGGCATCTATTAGGGCTCTGCTATCGGCGATAGAAAAACTAACTTAATTGTTTTAAGTACAAAAAGGGGGAATGTAATCTGCATGGAACTGAAAAGCCCAGGTCTGGCTGTTGGAGGTCTGGCTGGTTTCAGTGCTCAACAGAGGTTGAAGGACCCCGCGGAATCCATTCTCGGGCCCTGTGAACTCCAGGCTCTGTTGTTTTTTTTTTTTTTTTTGAGACACAGTCTCGCTCTGTCGCCCAGGCTGGAGTGCAGTCGTGCGATCTCGGCTCACTGCAAGCTCCGCCTCCCGGGTTCACGCCATTCTCCTGCCTCAGCCTCCCAAGTTGCTGGGACTGCAGGCGCCCGCCACCACGCCCGGCTTTTTTTTTTTTTTCCTCTTTTTTTTTTTGTATTTTTTTTTTTTAGTAGAGACGGGGTTTCACCGTGTTAGCCAGGATGGTCTGGATCTCCTGACCTCGTGATCCGCCCGCCTCGGCCTCCCAAAGTACTGGGATTACAGGCGTGGGCCACCGCTCCCGACCCAGGCTCTGCTCTCATTGTATAAAGGTGGCTGAGGGCCGGGCGCAGTGGCTCACGCCTGTAATTCTAGCACTTTGGGAGGCCGAGGTGGGTGGATTCTCTGAGCTCAGGAGTTGGAGACCAGCCTGGATAAAACGGTGAAACCCTGTCTCTACCAAAATACAAAAAATTAGCTGGGAATGGTGGCGTGCACCTGTAATCCCAGCTACTCGGGAGGCTGAGACAGGAGAATCACTTGTACCTGGGAGGGAGGTTGCAGTGAGCCGAAATGGCACCACTGCACTCCAGCCTGGGTGACAGAGCGAGACTCCATCTCAAAAAAAAAAAAAAAAAAAAAAAAAGTGGCAGACACAGCTCCAGCCTTTCCTCCCCTCCCAGTTCAAGTCCATGGGAAAGCCCAGAAGGCTTATTTGGAAGCTTCCTCTAAAACCTGAGACTCACTGTGATTGGATCCGTTGAGTCATGTCTCCATCCCTCAACCAATCACAGTGGCCTGTGCCTGAGTCACAGCTTTCATTCCTGGCACCAGGGGAGAGTCCCAGCCAAATAGCAGGGTCTGAGAGTAGGGGAGAAGTGGGTCCCCAAACGTTTCTTAGGATAAGAAGAAAAGGCAAACAATGAAGTCCTCTGTAACCGACTACTTCAATTGAGGCATGGGGCCTGAGATGGATAACCCAGGTGCTTCCCAGCCCCTTCCACTGGGCCTGTATTTCACCAAACTTAGGCACTCAACAAACCAAACTACTTACATTTTCTTGCACACACACACTGTATAAGTGATCTATTGCTGTGTAACAAATTATTCTAAAACTCAGCAGCTAAGACAAGCATTTACTATCTCATGCAGATTATGAGAGTTCAATTCAGCAGGGGCTTAGCTGGTGGCTCTGGCTCAAGGTCTCTCATGAGGTCATAGTCAAAAAATAAAAGCTGAGGTTGCAGTCAGTGGGGACCATGGTATCTGAAGGCTTGATGGGCTTGAAGAATCTGCTTGTGTGACTATTGGCAAGCGGACTCAGTTCCTCATCATGTGGGTCTCTCTGTAGGACTGCCTGTGACTTCCTTCAGCACAAATGATCCAAAAAAGAAAGAGATAGAAGATAGAAGAAACAGGAAAAAATCTTGGGTGAAGTTCCTTTTTTTTTTTTGGCAGCATTGCACACAGTCTTTTAGAACTAGCCTTGGAAGTGACACAACACCACTTCTGTGGTATTCTATTGGTCATGCAGACCAACCCTGACAAAATATGGCAGGGAATTTCACAAGCTGTGAATACAGGAAGTGGGGATCACAGGCAGTCATCTTGGCTACCATGAAGAGTGCCAACTCCTGCCTCTGTGTGTATCTTTACTTGCCCTGTTTCTTCTGCCTGTCTTTCCTCATCTCCTTCCCTTGGAGAATTTCACTTTTGATTTCATTCCTGAACACACTCCTCCTCCAGGAGGCCCTCCCTTCCCACTTATCCAGTCATTCCCTCTCCAAGGAACACTGACACGTAGATAGACTACTATGTTTCAAAGCCTTGCCTGGGCCTGTAATTCATTTGTTCTTCTCCACACTGCACAATGAGGCCCTCAAGGGCAGGGACTCTGCTGGGCATCTCTACATCACCAGTAGCTGGTGTGGCCTCCAGCATGAGGGTGAACTGTAGATAATGGAGAGTGAAAGGGAGAACTGACAGGATTGTCCATATCATTTCAGCAAAACAAAACAACACAAGCACATCTTTGGTCCTGATTATCTGGCTTTCATTCTCCCTTTGGAGCCAGCCAATGTGAGCCAATGAAGGAAACTGTATCAATTTTAGACTGGATGTGGTGACAATGAAATAACCAGAAATTAAAGTGTTAGTCATCCAATAAGCCTTGTTCCTTTAAGGTTCATCTTAAGGCTAAAGCCACAGTTTCTCTTCTGTCTTAGCTAACAGTGAAATAAGTATACATTAAGCACCAACTATATGCTCAGTACTACACGCTGCGGGATGGGGGCGGTAGAATATACCATAATAAGGCCCTTATCCCAGAGACTAAGAAAGACCTAAGCCATTACATTTTTTTGAAGCTCCTGAGATTTTTTTTTATTTTTTATTTTTTTTTTAGAGATGGAGTCTTGCCCTGTTGCCCAGACTGGAGTGCTGTGGTGCAATCTTGGCTCATTGCAAACTCTGCCTCCCAGGTTCAAGTGATTCTCCTGCCTCACCCTCCCAAGTAGCTGAGACTACAGGAGTACACCACCACGCCAGGCTAATTTTTTGTATTTTTAATAGAGATGAAGTTTCACCATGTTGGCCAAGCTGGTCTCGAACTCCTGACCTCAAGTGATCCACCCGCCTCGGCCTCCCAAAGTGCTGGGATTACAGGCGTGAGCCACCACCCCCGGAATTTCCTGGTATTTTTTTTAAATGTAGAAATTCCAAAATAGGTATTAAAAAATGGTGATGGGCCAGGTGCGGTGGCTCAAGCCTGTAATCACAGCACTTTGGGAGGCAAAAGAGGGCAGATCAGGAGGTCAGGAGTTCCAGACCAGCCTGACCAATATGGTGAAATCCCGTCTCTACTAAAAATACAAAAATTAGCCGGGCGTGGTGGCATGTGCCTGTAATCCCAGCTACGCGGGAGGCTGAGGCAGGAGAATCCTTTGAAGCCAGGAGGCGGAGGTTGCAATGAGCTCAGATGGAGCCACTGCATACCAGCCTGGGCAACAGAGCCAGACTCCGTCTCAAAACAAAACAAAACAACTGATGATGAAGGCTGGGCGTGGTGGCTCACGCCTGTAATCCTAACACTCTGGGAGGCCGAGGCTGGAGGATTGCTTGAGCTCTAAAGTTCAAGACCAGCCTGGACAACATGGTGAAACCCCGTTTCTACTAAGATACAAATAATTAGCTGGGTGTAGTGGCATGGGCCTGTAATCCCAGCTACTTGGGAGGCTGAGGCAGGAGAATCGCTTGAACCCAAAAGGTAGAGGTTGCAGTAAGCTGAGATCACACCACTGTACTCCAGCCTGGGTGATAGAGCCAGACTCTGTCTAAAAAAAAAAAAAAAAAAAAAAAAAGGTGATGAAATATTTTAAAGGCTTATTTTTAAATTTTTATTTCTATTTGTAGAGAAGAGGTCTTGCTACATGGCTCAGGCTGGTCTTGAACTCGTGGCCTCAAGCAATCCTTCTGCTTTGGCCTCCCAAAATGCTGGGATTACAGGCATGAGCCACTGTGCTTGGCCTTTAAAAGCTTATATTCAACAAACTAATAACTTTTAAATTCATAATCCACCCCCATACAAACATAATGTAAATTTATGATGCTCTTTTCAAGATAAAGGATTTAAGATGTAATTCACAGATGTGGCCAATTAATACTTTTCAAAGATAGTGCAACAATAGGTCCCATCCCATATGAATTTCTGTAACCTCATCAGTCCCGCATCGAGAAGTGGATTCTGTATTTCCTCCCCTTGGCTCTGCGGGCTGTAACTGCTACAGCCAGTAGAGCACAGTGGAAGAGATGCTAGGTCAGTAGGTCATAAAATACCATGACGCATTAGTTGTTGGTGCTCTGAGTCCCCACGTAGGAATTCTGGACACCCTGAGGCCACTGTGCTGGAAGAGCCGGCAGAGGTGCTCTGGCAGATACCCTCAGCTGAGCTTAAGTTCAGGCAGCTTGTTACACAACAAAGGACAGCTGGAATAATAATCTACCACAGACAGTGTGGTCTGGTGTCAGGCTCCAGTTTAAAATTGTATGATGAGTGGTTTCTTGTTTTATTCTGATCAGTGTACCTCTATAACCTTGTTTGGGGAGAATGGCAAATTTTAAGACCCTTCCAGGCCTATATGACCCTCCTGGCCTCGCTCCAGGGTCATCTACATAATTTGTGAGACCCAGTGCAAAATGAAAATGCAGGGCCTGGCCGGGTGCGGTGGCTCACACCTGTAATTCTAGCACTTTGGGAGGCCGAGGCGGGCAGATCACAAGGTCAAGAGTTTGAGACCAGCCTGACCAACATGGTGAAACCCCGTCTCTACTAAAAATACAAAAATTAGCTGGGCATAGTGGTGCGCGCCTGTAATCCCAGCTACTCGGGAGCCTGAGGCAGGATAATTTTTTGAACCCGGGAGGCAGAGGTTGCAGTGAGCTGAGATCACACCACTGCACACTCCAGCTTGGGTGACAGGGCGAGACTCCGTCTCAAAAAAAGAAAAAGAAAAAATGCAGGGCCCGTGGCCGGTTGTGGTAGCTCACACCTGTAATCCCATCACTTTGGGAGGCCAAGGTGGGAGGATTGCTTGAGTCCAGAAGTTTGAAACCAGCCTGGGCAACATAGTGAGACCCCTGTCTCTATTAAACAGAAAAGAAAAGAAAATGCAGGGCCCTTGTTCAAAAGGCAAAAAAAAAAAAAAGTGCCATTAAAAGTTCGACTAAGGCAGGGCACAATGGCTCATGCCTGTAATCCCAGCACTTTGGGAGGCCAAGGTGGGTGGATCACCTGAGGTCAGGAGTTCGAGACCAGCCTGGCCAAAATGGCGAAACCTCGTCTCTATTAAAAATACAAAAATTAGCTGAGTGTGGTGGCGCATGCCTGTAATCCCAACTACTCAGGAGGCTGAGGCAGGAGAATCGCTTGAACCCAGGAGGCGGAGGTTGCAGTGAGCCGAGATCAAGCAACTGCACTCCAGCCTGGGTGACAGAGTGAGACTCCCATCTTGGAAAAAAAAAAAAAGAAAAAAGTTCAACTAAAATGTAGAACTTGGCCAGGCACAGTGGCTCACGCCTGTAATCCCAGCACTTTGGGAGGCCGAGATGGACGGATTGCCTGAGGTCAGGAGTTCGACCAGCCTGGCTGACACATACTGAAACCCTGTCTCTACTAAAAAAATACAAAAATTAGCTGGGCATGGTGGCGCATGCCTGTGGTCTCAGCTATTTGGGAAGCTGAGGCAGGAGAATCACTTGAACCCAGGAGGCAGAGGTTGCAGTGAGGTGAGATTGTGCCACTGCACTCCAGCCTGCGCGACAGAACAAGACTCCATCTCTCAAAAAAGATAAATAAATAAAAAATGAAAAATAAAATGTAGAAGTTTTTCTTTTCTTTCATGGTTTCTCCACCATGTTTTATATTTGCTATTTCATGTCATGTTCCTTTGGACATGGGGATGCTCATAGGGTGAATGCAGACCCCAATAGGGGCCTGTGTGTTCCCACCAGCTGGTTCCCAGGTTGCCCCTCCCACCAACTGCCAGACTGATGTGCTGAGCCCAGCTGGGGGCAGGGAAGGCAATCTTCGCTTCCCAGTAGAACACTGTCCCACCTCCTGATAGATAGTGACCCTCAAGGGATTGCAGCTTCTGTGCCAGGTAGTGTTCAGAATCTGGGTCAGGGGCGGGAGGCGCCTGCTAGGCTGCCTGCCAAATGTGTAGTGGTAGGACCACACCTGGTGGGCTTGGAGGAGTCCCACCCTGACCTTCCTGGCCCCACCCCAAGGTGGAGGGTCACAACAGGAGCTGGGTGGGGGTGAGAGAGGGGAGGCTGCCCCAGGTAGCAGTAGGGAGTGGGGTGGGGTCGGAGGGAAGTGGCAGAACACAGTGGAGCAAGTGGCTGGAACCGCCCCCCTTCCCGGGTAGGGAGGAAGTAAGAGGCTGGACCACGCAGGAGCAGAGGTCTCAAGCTCCATCGTCACATTGGACTTCACATACAAAACACAAACTCAAAGATAAAATGATGAAGAATTTCAAAACAGAGATCACAGAGCATTCAACCCCAAGTATAGGCGCTTTCTGAGCATGGAATGGGGTTCCTGTGTGACTAGCTGGCCTCATGGTCATAAAGCCCACCCTGCCCCTCTCACCACACAAAATAAGATGCTTTTTTTTTTTTTTTTTTGAGAAGGCGTCTTGCTCTGTTGCCCAGGCTGGAGTGCAATGGCGCAATCTCGGCTCACTGCAACTTCCGCCTCCCGGGTTCAAGCGATTCTCCTGTCTCAGCCTCCCAAGTAGCTGGGATTACAGGCATCCACCACCATGCCTGGCTAATTTTTTTGTATTTTTAGTAGAGATGAGGTTTCACCATGTTGGCCAGGCTAGTTTTGAACTCCTGATCTCAAGTGATCTACCCACCTAGGCCACCCAAAGTGCTAGGATTACAGGTGTGAGCCACCGCGCCCTGCCGATAAGATGTTTTAAATAGGGATCTCAGCCCTACCAAAGCCCTTGGTGGGGCAGGGGGAGGTGGGCACATCATTCCCATTTCACAGATAAGAAAACTGCAGATACATTAGCCAGTTTGCTAATACATAGAGTCAAACAGCTAATAGGATAAAGAGATGGAAATCAAAGTCTATAGCTGAATAACAATAATAAAAAAAAAATTAGCTGGGTGTGGTGACGCACCTGTAGTCCTAGCTACTCAAAAGGCTGAAGAGGGAGGATCACCTGAGCCTCAGGAGGATGAGGCTGCAGTGAGCCGTGATTGCGCCACTGCAATCCAGCCTGGGTGGAAAACAAACAAAACAAAACAAAATAAAACAAAACAAAGGCTGGGCATGGTAGCTCACGCCTGTAATCCCAGCACTTTGGGAGGCCAAGGCAGGTGGATCACGAGGTCAAGAGATCAAGGTAATCCTGGCCAACATGGTGAAACCCCGTCTCTACTAAAAATACAAAAATTAGCTGGGCGTGGTAGTGCATGCCTGTAGTCCCAGCTACTTGGGAGGCTGAGGCGGAAGAATTGCTTGAACCCAGGAGGCGGAAGTTGCAGTGAGCAGAGATTGCGACACTGCACTCCAGCCTGGTGACAGAACGAGACTCCATCTCAAACAAAACCAAACAGAAAACAAGTCTATAGCTGGTTGTGCAGCTGTAGTCCCTGCTACACCTGATGCTGAGGCAGGAGGGTCCCTTGAGCCCAGGAGTTTGACGCCAGTCTAGGCAACATAGTGCAACCTTGTTTCTATTTTTTTTTTTTTTAAGATGAGTTTTGCTCTCGTTGCCCATGCTGGAGTGCAGTGGCATGATCTTGGCTCACTGCAACCTCCGCCTCGGGGTTCAAGTGATTCTCCTGCCTCAGCCTCCTGAGTAGCTGGGATTACAGGTGCCTGCCACCACGCCTGGCTAATTTTTTGCATTTTTAGTAGAGACGGGGTTTCACCATGTTGGCCAGGCTAGTCTTGAACTCCTGACCTCAGATGATCCACCCGCCTCGGCCTCCCACAGTGCTGGGAGTACAGGTGTGAGCCACTGTGCCTGGCCCCTCTATTTTTTTTTTTTTTTTTGGGTAGCACTACCTTTTAAATAAGTCAGATTCCAAAGCTTGTGCCTATTCTGTGATGCCTATGTGAGGCTGAGAGAAGGCAATGCACACAACGAAGTTGGGGTAGAGGTGGAGCTAGTTGCTGCAGAAGTGGTCCTCGAGCTGGGATCTAAAGCATGGAAGGGTATTTCCAACAGAGGAAATGGCAGGAGCTGCTTCACCAAGCTGCTCTGGGTCTAACACCCTGCAAGCGTAAAAGGAGCCAGTCCTGGGACAAGAAGAATCAGACAACGCTGGTGTGAAATAGGAGAGAAGCACAGAGGCAGAGTTTCAACAGGAAGGGCATACCCTTTACCAAATGCCACAAAGGGCATTGAGGCCTGGGCTTGGGACACCCTCCTGGGATTTACTGGGGGCCTTGGAGGGTGGTTTCCGTGGGAAGAAGAGGCATTCTGGGGATGGCTGTGGAAGGCCAACTGTCACGGCTTAATGCAGGGGTGGGTGAGAAAATTCAGCCCGAGCCTAGACCATTTTTTAGGTTAATTTGGCCCTAAAGGGGAGGAATTAGGGTACCAAGTACAAGGGGCACATTGGTGTTTTTTTCTTCAAGACCCAGTCGACTTGTCCATGTAGGGCAGAAAGCAGTGAGTCAGGGAGAGGTTGGGGAGAGGGGGAGGAGCCGCGCTTTCTGCGCTCCTACTGTGTGCTAGGGACTGTGCTTTCCAGTTTTGTTTCCTCCCAGCAAGGCTTGAAGGCAAGTGTTTCCTACTTGACCTGAGGGAGAGGCCAAGAATCACAGGGATGAGGGGCAGGCTGGGGTTTGGTCTCCCAGCTGTCTGACTCCAGAGTCCAGGCCAGCCCCTCTGTGCAGAAGAGAGAGGAGGGATTGGGCTTATCAAGGAGAAAATGCATGTTCTCCTCAGGAGCTGGATGAAGGGGTGGCCTGCCCCTCCACACCTGTGGGTGTTTCTCGTCGGTTGGGATGAGAGACTGAGAAAAGAAAGAGACACAGAGACAAAGTATAGAGAAAGAAAAGTGGGCCCAGGGGACCGGCGCTCAGCATACAGAGGACCACGCTGGCATAGGTCTCTGAGTTCCCTCAGTATTTATTGATCATTATCTCTACCATCTCGGAGAGGGGGATGTGGCAGGACAATAGGGTAATAGTGGGGAGAGGGTCAGCAGGAAAACATGTGAACAAATGTCTCTGTGTCATAAACAAGGTTAAGAAAAAGGTGCTGTGCTTTGATGTGCACATACATAAACATCTCGGTGCATTAAAGAGCAGTATTGCTGCCAGCATGTCTCACCTCCAGCCGTAAGGCGGTTTTCTCCTATATCAGTAGATGGAATAATACAATCGGGTTTTACACCGAGACATTCCATTGCCCAGGCACATGCAGGAGACAGATGCCTTCCTCTTATCTCAACTGCAAAGAGGCCTTCCTCTTACTAATTCTCCTCAGCACAGACCCTTTAAAGGGTGTCGGGCTGGGGGACGGTCGGGTCTTTCCCTTCCCACAAGGCCATATCTCAGGCTATCACATGGGGAGAAACCTTGGACAATACCTGGCTTTCCTAGGCAGAGGTCCCTGCGGCCTTCCGCAGTGTTTTGTGTCCCTGGATACTTGAGATTAGGGAGTGGTGATGACTTTTAACAAGCATGCTGCCTTCAAGCATTTGTTTAACAAAGCACATCCTGCATAGCCCTAAATCCATTAAACCTTGAGTCGACACAGCACATGTTTCTGTGAGCACAGGGTTGGGGGTAGGGTTACAGATTAACAGCATCTCAAGGCAGAAGAATTTTTCTTAGTACAGAACAAAATGGAGTCTCTTATGTCTACTTCTTTGTACATAGACACAGTAACAGTCTGATCTCTCTTTCTTTTCCCCACACTGCTAAAGTAGGAATATGGCATAATAGGGCTCCTATTGAAGGTGGGTCTTCAGCCCTGAGGTGTTTCCAGGGCTCAGAGCAAGTGAGTCTTCCCCCTCCCACCCCCAAGTGTTCAGGTTTATTGAGGCCATGAGGAGCTACAAGGAAGCCTTGAGTGTCTGGGATATAGCCTGACATCAGCCTGGACAGTGGCCCAGATGAGGTCTCCACCATTTGGGTTTACTTGAAATGTGACTCTCAGCTTCACCTCGCCCAAAGCTTTTGGGCCTGAACACAGCGAAATAGCAGAGGTGGTTGCAATAGGGCTTGCCTTCATGCTCCGGGTGGCCCTTGGAGGTCGGTGTCTTTCCACACTTCCACACTTGAGGCAAGGTCAATGCCAGTCCTTGCCCTGGGAGGTCACCTGTTCAGCAAAGACCATTTTATTTATTTATTTTTTTGAGACACAGCCTTGCTCTGTCCCCAAGGCTGGAGTGCAGTGGCGTGATCTCAGCTCACTGCAACCTCCGTCTCCCGGGTTCAAGCAATTCTCCTGCTTCAGCCTCCCGAGTAGCTGGGACTACAGGTGTGTGCCACTATGCCCGGCTAATTTTTGCATTTTTAGTAGAGACAGGGTTTCGCCATGTTGGCCAGGGTGCTCTTGAACTCCTGACCTCAGGTGATTCACCCGCCTTGGCCTCCCAAAGTGCTGGGATTACAGGCATGAGCCACCTCACCCAGCCAAGTACACCTTCTTGTTGCACTTAGAGCGCTTGGGGATGGCAGCACTGGGTCCGGTGCAGGCAGCTGTGGCTGCAGCAGGAGTGGACTATTAGTGCGAGACTCACATGTGAATTGTGAGGGAATGCTGTGGGCAACCTTCCTCTAGAGGTGAGCCATGGAGGTGGTGGGGGAGGTGGTGGGCCACCGTGCCCGGCTCATGCATGTAATCCCAGCACTTTGGGAGGCCGAGGCCGGTGGATCACGAGGTCAGGAGTTTGAGACCATCCTTGCCAACATGATGAAACCCCGTGTCTACGAAAAATCCAAAAAAAAAAAAAAATTAGCTGGGTGTGGTGGCATGTGCCTGTAATCCCAGCTACTCGGGAGGGTGAGGCAGGAAAATCGCTTGAACCAGGGAGTCGGAGGTTGCAGTGAGCCGAGATGGCGCCATTGCACTCCAGACTAGCGACAGAGCGAGACTCCGTCTCAAAAAAAAAAAAAAAAAGATTACAAGCAATTGCAATGTGGCAAGGAATAACCTGTTTGGACATAATTTCACACCTTTACAAGTATATCTGTAGGATAAATTCCCAGGAGAAGAATTTCTAGCACAAAATATACATGCATTTATAATTTTGATATTGCCAAATTACCTTCCATAGAGATTGTTCCAATTTTTTTTTTTTTGAGACGGAGTCTCGCTCTGTCACCCAGGCTGGAGTGCAATAGCACAATCTCAGCTCACTGCAATCTCCGCCTCCCGGGATCAAGCGATTCTTCCGCCTCAGCCTCCCGAGTAACTGGGATTACAGGCACCTGCCATCATGCCTGGCTTTTTTTTTTTTTTGGTATTTTTGTAGAGATGGGATTTCACCATGTTGGCCAGGCTGGTCTTGAATTCCAGACCTCAGGTGATCCACCCACCTCGGCCTCCCAAGGTGCTGGGATTACAGGCGTGAGCCACCATGCCTGGCCGATTGTTCCAATGTATATGCACCCCAGTAATTTATGAGAGAGCCCAGGTCTTAATTTTTAATTGTTTTCCAAGATGGCTGTACTAGGCTTTCCTGCAAATGACACCATAGCATATATTGTGGTTGCCACCCCAGCAACCAGGCCCTCACCCTCCATCATGGGCTGCCCATTATGGCATGAGGGGGATTGACACTGGGCCAGGTATCTTTTGCCCCTCTAGGATTCCCCTTCATCATTCTCTCCATGCCGTCTGCCCCAGGAAGGCGATCTCCAACCTCAGAGACCTGCTTGCTGTTTCCCAAACTTATGCTAATCACACCTCTATGCCTTTGCCCATACTGTTCCCACCTCTTGCCCTGCACTCCTTCCCTTCTCAGTCTGGAACATTCTGAAGTTGTCCTCACAGGATTAACAAGAATTTTGGACAAAAATATATTAATAGTTATAATTAAGCATTACTTAGGCTGCACTTTGACCCACTTTCTTGTAACTGAAAATTACAGGGCACTAGATACTGACCATTTGCATCCCCATTGTTCCTACAGATAGGTTTTTTTTTTTTTTTTTGACAAGGTCTCACTCTGTCACCCAGGCTGGAGTGCAGTGGTACAATCATGGCTCACTGCAGTCTTGACCTCCCACACTCAAGCAATCCTCCCGCCTCAACTTCCTGAGTAGCCCAGTCTACAGGTGTAGGCTACCACACCTCGCTAATTTTTAAATTTTTTTGTAGAGACAGGGGTCTCCCTATGTTGCCCAGAATGGTCTTGAACTCTTGGGCTAAGAGGTCCTCCCACCTCAGCCTCCCAAAGTGCTAGGATTACAAGTGTGAGCCGCCACCACACCTGGCCTATAGATCAGCTTTCTGATGCTAGAATAATAAGCCTTTTATTTAAGATAGGTAGAATCTCTGACATTAGAATCATAAGGTTTTTGTTTAAGAATTTCTTAAGATGTTTTTTAGATCCTGAATTCCAGCAAGACAGCTGACCTCAAATAGTCTGAAGACCCACTGACCCCTACAGAGGAATGGAATCAGCATGAGAATACAGTTTCTTCATCTCCCTGTTCCATGACTTTGCCCTGTGCCCTTTGAGCAATCAAGGATCTCCACACTTTGGCTGATTCCCAAACCCCTGAAAACCCTAGCCCCAAACTCTGTGGAGACGGATTTGAGGTTTCCTCCCATCTCCTGGTTCAGCATCCCTAGAAATAAACCTCTTTCACTGCTGCAATGTGGTGAATTGACTTGCCACGTGCACCGGATAAAGGACCTATTATGGTTACAATTCCACTCATCCTTTAAGATAGCTTATATGTTGTCTCTGGTCACTGCCTCCCTCCTCTTGGTGCCCCTCGCACAGTTATCCATGAGAGCACATTTGCGTCACCTGCTGGGGCAACTGTTTGTTTACATGGCTCTGTCTCTCCCAGCACCCAGCCCAGGCCAGCCCCACACTTCAAAGTCCCTGCAGGGCAGGATGGCATGGAAAGGTCACAGGTTTGGGAGTCAGACTGAATATGACTCCACCCTCTGTCCTCAGCCTCATCTGCTCCCCCAGTTTTCTGTGCTCTAACCACACTGGCCTGCACTCCTGTCTCACTTCATGGCCCTTATACATGCTGTTCCAACTGCTTAGAATGCTCTTCCTCTGGCTCTTTTTCATCCTTTCGTGCCCAGCTTAACTATCACCTCCTGAGACAGGCCTTCCTTGACTACTGAATCTAAAGGCACACCCTCTTCCCATTCTGTCATTCTCCAGCAATTCCCTTCATTGATTTGCCACAACCCTAATTATCATATTATTCATTTACTTGTTTGCTGCTTGTCTCCCCTGCTAGAGCTTAAAGTCCTTGAGTACATACAGGGACTTTGCCTTGTTTACTGCTATAGGCCCAGCTCTAACACAGGGCCTGGCATATATTAAGTATTAAAAAAATTTAATTTTAGCTTTTTTTTTTTTTTTGTGAACGGAGTTTCGCTCTTGTTGCCCAGGCTGGAGTGCAATGGCACGATCTCGACTCACCGCAACCTCTGCCTCCCGGGTTCAAGCGATTCTCCTGCCTCAGCCTCCCTAGTAGCTGGGATTACAGGCATGTGCCTCCATATCTGGATAATTTTGTACTTTTAGCAGAGATGGGGTTTCTCCATGTTGGTCAGGCTAGTCTCGAACTCCCGAACTCAGGTGATCCACCCGCCTCGGCCTCCCAAAGTCCTGGGATTACAGGCATGAGCCACTGCAAGCGGCCAATTTTAGCTTTTTTCAGACAAGCTGGAGTGCAGTGGCATGATCATAGCTGACTGCAGCCTCTAATTCCTGGGCTCAGCTGATCCTCCTGCCTCAGCCTCCCAGGAAGCTAGAACTACAGGAATGTGCCACCACCCCTGGCTAATTTTAAAAATTTTTGATAGAAATGGAGTCTCACGATGTAGTCCAGGCTGGTCTCAAACTCCTGGTCTCAAGTGGTTCTCTCACTTTGGCCTCCTGAATTGCTGGGATTACAGGTGTGAGCCACCAGTCCACCAAGAAATTTTTATTAACTGAATGAGGAATGAACAAACAAAATAGATCCAAATCCTTGCTCCACTACTTACCACCAGATTTGTGTCTTAGGACAAATTACTTACCCTCTCCTCATGTGAAGATGAGGCCTCTCATGGGTTGTGTATTGGAAACTGTAAAAATGCCTGATACGTGAAGACATTCCATAAATGGCCGTTATTTTTTCTTTCCTTCATCTGAAAAATGTACCCTTTTTGCCAAGCATAAAGACCTTACTGTACATCTTTACTTTTTCTTTTCTTTTTTGTTTTTTGAGATGGAGTCTCGCTCTGTAGCCCAGGCTGGAGTACAGTGGTGTGATCTTGGCTCACTGCAAGCCCCGCCTCCTGGGTTCACGCCATTCTCCTGCCTCAGCCTCCGGAGTAGCTGGGACTACAGGCATCCGCCACCACGCCCAGCTAATTTTTTGTATTTTGTTTAGTAGAGACGGGGTTTCACTGTGTTAGCCAGGATGGTCTCGATCTCCTGACCTCATGATCCACCCGCCTCGGCCTCCCAAAGTGCTGGGATTACAGGCGTGAGCCACCATGCCTGGCCAACGGTACATCTTTTTTTTTTTTTTTTTTTTTTGAGACAGGGTCTCCCTCTGTCGCCCAGGCTGGAGTGCAGTGGCACAATCTTGGCTCACTGCAACCTCCAACTCCCCGGTTCAAGCAATTCTTGTGCCTCAGCCTACAGAGTAGCTGGGACTACAAGCATGCGCCACCATGCCCAGCTAATTTTTGTATTTTTAGTAGAGATGGGATTTTGTCATGTTGGCCAGGCTGGTCTTAAACTCCTGACCTCAGATGATCTGCCTGCCTCAGCCTCCCAAAGTGTTGGGATTACAAGCGTGAGCCACTGCGCCCGGCCTATTTTCCTCCTCTGATCTGACATCATGGGCATGTCTATTCTTCCTTCAAACCATTTCAGACTCATTCCTTCCTCCTATTACTCTTCTGAGACCTTTCCTAATAACTTTAGCACACTTGACCTCTCCTACCACCAAACCAGAGGTATCTAAAGTAGGGGATATGCAACCCAGCATGTAACACACATGTTTTAGCACACACGATGCCCAAAAAATGGAAACAGCCCAAATGTCCACCAACAGATGAATGGATAAACAAAATGTGGCATAAACTTACAATGGGATATTATTCAGCCATGAAAATGAATAAAGTACTGACACATGCTACCATGTGGATGAACCTTGAAAACATTATGCCAGGTGAAAGAAGTCAGTCACAAAAGGCCACATATTGTGTGAGTCCATTTTTATGTAATATCCAGAATAGAAAAATCCATAGTGACAGAATGCATATTGGTGATTGCCAGACGTTCAGGGGATGGGGAAGAAACTGCTTGATGGGTAAGGGGTTTTACTTTGGAGTAATGGAAATGTTTTGGAACTAGGGGTGGTGGCTGTAAAAGACTGAATGTACTAAATGCCACTAAATGTTCAGTTTAAAATGGTTCATTTCACCTCAATAAATTTTTTAAAAAATGAAGTAGCCATTCTTCCAGGTGAGCTGAAAAGTTTGAATGAGGCACAGGCTCCTTAAATTTCTTTTTTTTTTTTTTTTTTTTTTTTGAGACGGAGTCTCGCTCTGTCGCCCAGGCTGGAGTGCAGTGGCGCGATCTCGGCTCACTGCAAGCTCCGCCTCCCGGGTTCACGCCATTCTCCTGCCTCAGCCTCCCGAGTAGCTGGGACTACAGGCGCCCGCCACTACGCCCGGCTAATTTTTTGTATTTTTAGTAGAGACGGGGTTTCACCGTGTTAGCCGGGATGGTCTCGATCTCCTGACCTCGTGATCCGCCCGCCTCGGCCTCCCAAAGTGCTGGGATTACAGGCGTGAGCCACCTTAAATTTCTAAGATGTAAAGTGCTGGGCAAATATCAGCTGGGGATGCTGAAGGAAGGAATAATCAGAAGGTCAGCAAGTGTGGCTTCGAAACTCTGCCTCAAGTAATAATGATAATGATAATTAGAGATAGTTATAATATTGACTTCTTTGGTTTCCTTGTAAACCAGTGTTATTTTAGAAAAAGAGGGAGATAGCTCTAGTAATTACAGCTAACACTTCTACAATGCTTAATATGAGGAAGGCACTGTTCCAAGTACTTTACGTCTAAAACTTACTAAATCCTTACAACTCTAAGAGGTAGTATCATCACATTTCCATTATAGATGAGGGAATGGAAGAATTGAGAAGTTTAAATGAGTTCTCCAAGTCACAGATAAGGAAATGGCAGAGTCCAAATTTGAACCCAGGCAAGTCAGACTCTAGGCACTGAAGTCTCAACCACCAGGCTCTGCACTAAGTGCTCTCCAGGTTTTATCTCATTTAATCCTGCAAGGAAAGTGTTATTATTCCCATTTTATTTTATTTATTATTTATTTATTTATTTATTGAGACGGAGTTTCACCCTTGTTGCCCAAGCCAAAGTGCAATGGCACAATCTCCGCTCGCTGCAACTTCTGCCTCCCAGGTTCAAGCAGTTCTCCTGCCTCAGCCTCCCGAGTAGCTGAGATTACAGGCCACCATGCCCGGCTAATTTTGTATTTTTAGTAGACATGGGGTTTCTCCATGTTGGTCAGGCTGGTCTCGAACTCCCAACCTCAGGTGATCTGCCTGCCTCAGCTTCCCAAAGTGCTGGGATTACAGGCATGAGCCACCGTGCCTGGCCTATTATTCCCATTTTAAAAATCCCCCTCATGCTATCCACATTCCACACCTTCTAGTCTTTCTTTTTTTTTTTTTTTTTTTTGAGACGGAGTTTCGCTCTGTCGCCCAGGCAGACGGAGTGCAGTGGCGCCATCTTGGCTCACTGTAAGCTCTGCCTCCTGGGTTCACGCCATTCTCCTGCCTCAGCCTTCCGAGTAGCCGGGACTACAGGCACCCGCCACCACACCCGGCTAATTTTTTGTATTTTTAGTAGAGATGGGATTTCACCGTGTTAGCCAGGATGGTCTCGATCTCCTGACCTCGTGATCCGCCTGCCTTGGCCTCCCAAAGTGCTGGGATTACAGGCGTGAGCCACCGCGCCCGGCTTTTTTAAAAATTTTTTTATTTTTTTTATTTTTAGTAGAGACCGGGTTTCACCGTGTTAGCCAGGAGGGTCTCTATTTCTTGACCTTGTGATCTGCCTGCCTCGGCCTCCCAAAGGGCTGGGATTACAAGCGTGAGCGACCGCGCCTGGCCAGTCTTTCTCCTACATTTATTTTTACGTTGGTCCACATACTCCTGTCATTCTCACTTTGCTTCACTTTTCCTTTCTTCTTCTTTTTTAAGAGACGGGGGCTTGCTATGTTGTCCAGGCTGGAGTGCAGTGAGGCAATCATAGCTTATGCCATCCCCAACTCCAAGTGATCCTCCAGCCTCAGCCTCCTCCCTAGCTGGATTACAGGAGCATGTCACCATGCACACTAATTTTCTTTTCTTTTTTTTTTTTGGTAGAGATGGGGTCTCATGTTGCTCAGGCTGGTCTTCAACATCTGGGCTGAAGTGACCCCCCTTCCTTGGCCTCTCAAAGTGCTGGGATTAGAGGCTTTGGCCACCACATCCAACCTGAATTTTATTATTTATATTTTCTTTTAATCTCCCATTACTAGATGGCAGGGATTTTGATTACTGTTAATTTTCCAATATCCAAAATAATGTGTGGTACCTAATAGGCTCTCAATATCGAAAAGTAATAGTGCACATGGCATTCTGTAGTATTAGGTAGGTATCTTGTGTTCCTGTGTTTGCGTAAATAAGATCATACATTATGTTCTGCTTTTTTAACTTAATGGCTTTTTTTTTCCTTTTTTTGCGACAGAGTCTGGCTCTGTCACCTAGGCTGGAGTGCAGTGGCGCTATCTCGGCTCACTGCAACCTCTGCCTACTGGGTTCAAGTGATTCTCCTGCCTCAGCCTCCTGAGTAGCTGGGATTACAGACGCGCACCACCACACCTGGCCAATTTTTTTTTTTTTTTTTTTAGGCGGAGTCTCACTCTGTTGTCCAGGCTGGAGTGCAGTGGCGCGATCTCAGCTCACTGCAAGCTCCGCCTCCCGGGTTCATGCCATTCTCCTGCCTCAGCCTCCTGAGTAGCTGGGACTACAGGGGCCCGCCACCACACCCGGCTAATCTTTTGTATTTTTAGTAGAGACGGGGTTTTACTGTGTTAGCCAGGATGGTCTCGATCTCCTGACTTCGTGATCTGCCCGCCTCGGCCTCCCAAAGTGCTGGGATTACATGTGTGAGCCACCGCACCCGGCCTATTTGTTTTGTATTTTTTAGCAGAGACAGGTTTCACCATGTTGGCCAGGCTGGTCTCAAACTCATGACCTCAAGTGATCTGCCCGCCTCGGCCTCCCAAAGTGCTGGGATTACAGGCGTGAGCCACCACGCCCAGCCATGTCTTTTTTTTTTTTTTTTTTGAGACAAGAGTTTCGCTCTTGTTGCCCAGGCTGGAGTGCAATGACGCGATTTCGGCTCACCGCAATCTCCGCCTCCTGGGTACAAGCAATTCTCCTGCCTTAGCCTCCCGAGTAGATGGGATGACAGGCATGCACCACCATGCCCAGCTAATTTGGTATTTTTATTTTTTTATATTTATTTATTTTTTCGAGACGGAGTCTCGCTCTGTCGCCCAGGCTGGAGTGTAATGGTGCGATCTGGGCTCACTGCAACCTCTGCCTCCCGGGTTCAAGCGATTCTCCTGTCTCAGCCTCCTGAGTAGCTGGGATTACAGGCGCCCGCCACCACGCCCGGCTAATTTTTGTATTTTTAGTAGAGACGGGGTTTCTCCATGTTGGTCAGGCTGGTCTCGAACTCCCGACCTCAGGTGATCCGCCTGCCTCGGCCTTCCAAAGTGCTGGGATTACAGGAGTAATCCCAAAAAAAGCGCCGGGCCCTTTTTTTGTTGTTTTTTAAATTCAGTAACTATCTAGTTCATTCTTGGATGGATGACAACCCAGATTGGATGTGTAGCAGCGTTCTCTTAACCAGTTTCCTATTAATCTTCATTTCATCCCCAGTGTTTCTCCAGAATGCAAATAATATGGCATTAAATATCTTCACACATAGCTTTTTGTGTATGTGTATACTTATTTCTCTAGAATTAGTGTCTAGAAGTGAAACTGCCGGGAGGAAGGATATATACTTTTAACATGTCCAAGTTCCACTGTGATAGCGCTGCGAGGGCACACAACAGGTTTCAATATACCTTGGACCAAACCGGATATTATCAGTTTTTTTAACTTGTTGCTAATGTGATGGGGGAAAAATGAACTCGGAATTTACACACAAGGAAAAGACCGTTTAAGGTTCAGGGACTGTCCACATAGCTGTCAAGTGGCGGAGCCGTGATTTGGTATTAAAGTGCCCGGAGAGGACGCGTCAAAGTTGGACACTGTGCCCTGTGTCCTGAGGCACGTCTGGTGATCGCTGGGCCTTGCAATGCTGGGCAGGCAGGCCTTCCTCTCCCCTTCTAGGCCTCTGGCCACTCCTGGCTGGCCGAAAGCCGGTTCTTCTCGATTACCGAGTGCCTCTCCTGAAAGCAAGTCAGCGTCGCCTAACCTCTTCAGCTTCGAAATGGCGGCCACCAGATCGCTAGGCCACGCCCCGGGGGCGGGGCCTGAGTTCAGGCCAGAGCGATGGATGCCCGAGCCAAGTTAGAAGTCGACTGCCAGTAGGGCTCGCGCAGAATCGGAGAGCCGGTGGCGTCGCAGGTCGGGAGGACGAGCACCGAGTCGAGGGCTCGCTCGTCTGGGCCGCCCGAGAGTCTTAATCGCGGGCGCTTGGGCCGCCATCTTAGATGGCGGGAGTAAGAGGAAAACGATTGTGAGGCGGGAACGGCTTTCTGCTGCCTTTTTTGGGCCCCGAAAAGGGTCAGCTGGCCGGGCTTTGGGGCGCGTGCCCTGAGGCGCGGAGCGCGTTTGCTACGATGCGGGGGCTGCTCGGGGCTCCGTCCCCTGGGCTGGGGACGCGCCGAATGTGACCGCCTCCCGCTCCCTCACCCGCCGCGGGGAGGAGGAGCGGGCGAGAAGCTGCCGCCGAACGACAGGACGTTGGGGCGGCCTGGCTCCCTCAGGTAGGTGGCAGGACCGGGTCGTGGATGCCGGGGGAGCCGGGCGGCGGGGCTGAGGGATCGGCTTCCAGGGCGACCGGGCCTGGGTGGCGCTGATGGAGCGGCCCCGCGGCTGCCGGGCAGAGGGCTTGGGCCAGGCCGTTGTCACCCTGGGGTAGCGTTGGGCGGGGGCCCCGGAGTCCGGTGTCATGGCCGGCGAGCCGAGTTCCCACATCCCACTCAAATTTCCTTGTGTTTGGCGGAAACGTGCCAACGCCACCCTTATGCCATGCGCATTCCTCATATTTGGCAGTGGGAAAATCCGCCCAGAGCTGCCCCATATCTGTTGTCACTTGGATGGGCCAATTCCTTTTCTCTTGGGCCGCCGAATGTGGGACCCGGGCTTGCACCCTTTCTCAGGGTACTTCAGTCAAGTGACACCCTTTTAGAGACGACGTGAGGAATCGGGTAAGAGAGGAGGAAACTGGCCAGTGCCCTACCACAAAGGCACAGGGGCCTCTTCTTGGGTATCAGGACTAGCCTTGGGTATCAGGACTCTGGGTTATTAATGAAAGGTTTGGGATACTTATAGAGGATTGGCCTCAGGACGCTTTGGAATGAAGAGCCAGGGCTGTCTTTTGTGTGACGCGAGAGCCGCCGGGACGCTTCAGCTCTGCAGCTGCTGAGGCTCTGCGAGCGAGTCGATGCCCAAGAGAGAGGGGTTTGGACGTCGTGAGAGGCGAGGCGGCCGTGTTCATTCATTGTTCTCGTTCTAGGGCTCTGGGTGTGCCCCTGGTATTCATTCTGTGGTGGGAAGAAGGAATGGAACTTAGTGTATCCTTGAGATGTGAACGGGTTCTAGGGGGTCACTTAATCTAAGTGGAAAATGAATTCAAGGCACGTTCATTGAGCGTTTCTGCTTGCCTGGTCCTCTGTGGGCTGAGTGGAGAGACTCTGCCCTCCCTGCGCTCCTAAGGCGTGAAAACAATGCAGTGTGATAAGAATTGGCTTATCAAGTGTTATGGGGATTTAGAACAGTTAGTTTTGCTTGGGGAGGAGTTGAGGAAGCTTCTACACTCGAGGAGACTTCTGAGTCGAGTTTTGAAACACCTGTGAGTAAGTGCTCATCGGGTGAGGAGGAGCTCAGGGAACAGCTGGTACAAAGGCTTAGAGCCATGTGGGAGTTGGGATGAGTTTGGGGAGCAGCAAATTGCCTGGGGTGCAGGAAGGAAATGGTGAGAGATGAGAGTAAAATAAAAGTTGCTAGAATTGTGAGGGGGCTGTCTTTGTTGTAGATAGTGAACTAGTTGAATTTGGATTATTGTACATGGGTTGCCGAGTCTTCATTCTTGCTGATAATTTTCTCCCTTTGTTGATGTTGAAGCTGATAGTGATTGAACATATTTAGTTTAACTTAGTTAATGACTTTTAAATTTTTTTTTATTTTTTCAGAACAATGCAAACTTTTTTTTTTTTTTTTTTTTTTTTTTTTTTTTTTAAAGGAACAGGATCTCACTCTGTCGCCCAGGCTAGAGTGCAGTGGCATGATCATAGCTCGGTTGCAGCCTCTAACTCCTGGGCTTAAGCAGTTCTCCTGCCTTTGCCTCCTGAGTAGCTGGGACTACAGACAGGTGCCACCACACATGGCTAATTAAAAAAAAAATAGTAGAGATGGAGTCTGGCAGTGTTGCCTAGGCTGGTCTCAAACTCCTGGGCTCAGGCGATCCTCCTGCTTCCACCTCTCCCTCCCAACGTGCTTGCTGGGATTACAGGGGTGAGCCACTGGCCAGGCAGAACTTTTTTTTTTTTTAAATAATAGAGAGGGGGTCACACTATGTTGGCCAGGCTGGTCTTGAACTCTTGGGCTCAAGTGATCCTCCAGCTTCAGCCTCTTAAAGTGCTGAAATTACAGGTGTGATCCACTGTGCCTGGCTAGCAGAACATTTTTGATAAGTGTTTTATATCAAATGTTTTGACTTACACAGTGGTGAATGAATTGAACTCATATATTCCTGGGGATTCTTGCAAAAAATTCTCTTAAAGTTATACTTGCTCACAAAAATGTTAACTTTATAAATGTAGAACACTCTCCTACTAATTTTTATTTTATTATTCTATTGTTTTTTATTTTTTTGCGACGGAGTCTCACTCTGTTGCCCAGGCTGGCGTGCAATGATGCGATCTCGGCTCACTGCAACCTCTGCCTCCTTGGTTCAAGCAGTTCTCCTGCCTCACCCTCCTGAGTAGCTGGGTAGGCACACTCCACCACGCCCGGCTGATTTTTGTATTTTTAGTAGAGATGGGGTTTTGTCGTGTTGGCCAGGCTGGTCTCGAACTCCTGACCGCAAGAGATCTGCCCACCTCGGCCTCCCACGGCCTCGCTGGGATTACAGGCATGAGCCACTGTGCCTGGCCTAAATTTTAAATATAAGTAATGTACTCCCCAGTCTTACAGAAATTGGACGACTATAGAAAACAAACATCAAAAAAAGTGTAGAATGTGAGTATTTTTAGTTTAATAAGTGTATTTTATAAACTATTTATTTGTATTGACTTCTCGGATAACAACCTGTTATAAAATCTTTATCCCCATAAACATAATTTTCCTAAAATAGCTATAATATTGTGATTAATGTTTATGCTAAAGTGACTATTATGGAATTAACAGACTTCAGTTGCAGTTTCTAAATCTTGCTTTGGTTGTGATGATTATATACCACTGAAGAACATTCAGGATTATTTTGGCTTGTTTTTACCCTTATCACTCAAGGGCTAAGCTGTTTAAAATGCAACATAAACATTTGACCCAGTTGAATGCTGGGATACTTGGAAAAATAAACCTGTTACTGTTTCTGTACTAAAGGCTTATCTTTTAAAGATATGTGGTGTTTTTTTAGCGCAGTGGTGCGATCTTGGCTCACTGCGACCTCTGCCTCCTGGGTTTAAGCATTCTCCTGCCTCAGCCTCCTGAGTAGCTGGGACTACAGGCGCCTGCCACCACGCCTAGCCAACTTTTATGTTTTTAGTAGAGACGGGATTTCACCATATTAGCCAGGCTGGTCTTGAACTCCTGACCTTGTGATCTACCCGCCTTGGCCTTGCAAAGTGCTGGGATTACAGGCGTGAGCCACTGTGCCTGGCTGATATGTGGTGTTTTGTGATTATAAATTGTAGTGGAGTTCCTTAGTTTTGTTAAAGTCTTGTCAGTAGTTGTAAAAACATCAGCCAGTTGTGGTGGCTCAGGCCTGTAAGCCCAGCACTTTGGGAGGCCGAGGCTGGTGAATTGCTAGAGCTCAGGAGTTTGAGACCAGCCTGGGCAACATGGTGAAAACCTGTCCCTACAAAAAATACACACACACAAAAAGAAAAAAATCAGCAGGGTATGGTGTAGTATGCCTGTAGTCCCAGCTGCTTGGGAGGCTGAGGTGAAAGGCTCACCTGAGCCCAGGGAGATTGAGGCTGCAGTGAGCCATGTTCATGCCACTGTACTCCAGTGTTGGTGATGGAGTGAGACCCTGTCTCAAAAAAAAAAAGTGTGCCTTCAATAGAAGGCTTGAACGTATTTTATGGGATTTGGTTTAGCTGAAAAAAACAGTGAGAAGCAGATTAAGCTGGTAATTTCTGACAAAAAGTATCTAAAAGATGAAGTGAAGAATGTTAAACATCAAGTATTATATTACAGTTGCTCTTAGACTAGTAGCTTTTAGTTTATAACATGTCATTTGTTTGCTCTGAAGATTAAGCAAGTTCATACTTCTTGGAAGTTAAATTTGACTTTTCCAGAAGCACTGGATTATTTACGAAATAAAAAATATAATTGATAACTTTAAACTACTATTTCAGGTAGTCTATTACTAGTAAATGTATGATTCTACATTTAAATTTCAGGTAAATCTTTGTTAGTAACCTACTGCCTAAAAAAATGTTACATGAGGGAGTACTTTTGTTTGCATGTTAGGATCATAATAGGCCATACATAATAATCTTGAGCTTGGGAGGAGCTTGTTAGCCAAACAGCATGCCTTAATGTTGACTTGCAGAAGACAATTTTAAATATTGCCTTTGAAAGGCAGTGGATAATGTGACAGTGAGGGGGTTTATGAAACCATAAAATTGAGCTTTTTGACTTAGTTTTTGTTTTTAAGTTGTTCAGATCTTGGGAGTCATTTCTTCAAAACAAATGACTATGAGGTGGAAAATTACTTACCTTGAATAAATTAATTGGAAAATCAGAGAACACTGGGTTTATTTAGGATGAGGTTGTTTGGTATGTGTATGGGAGGGTAGAATTCCTAATTGCTCATCTGACTGGGTTCAAAATGTAATACTAGATATTTGTGTTGCAATTCAGTTGGTACTTTTGGTATAGGGCTAACTTATCTTGCGTGTAATTTTTTTTTTTTTTTTTTGAGATGAAATCTGGTGCTGTTGCCCAGGCTGGAGTGCAGTGGTGTGATCTTGGCTCACTACAACCTCCGTCTCCCAGGTTCAAGGGATTCTCATGCCTCAGCCTCCCGAGTAGCTGGGATTACAGGCGCCGGCCACCTTGCCTGGCTAATTTTTGTATTTTTAGTAGAGACGAGGTTTCACCATGTTGGCCAGGCTGGTCTTGAACTCCTGACCTCAAGTGATCCACCTGCCTCGGCTTCCCAAAGTGCTGGCATTACAGGCTCGCTCAGGCATCTTGCCTTGTAATTCTCATGATAGTAATGGCTATTTTTTTCTTGCCTTAGAGTTGTAAGTAAAAATTCCTTAATTACACATTAAGGTTTGATCTTTAATTTTACAATGTTTGAGTCATTTTGTTACTTCTTTTCTCCCAGAATGACTTGCGTAGCTCTAAATGATTTTAGTTAATTTCACATCTGTTTGCCTTTCTTCTAAAATGACCCCTAGAATCTCAGCTTAACTAAGGAAAATGTCAAGTGGGTGTTGTTTCTTTGTTAGTGGTTTTGGCCTAGACTATCTAAAGTTTGGCAAATTACTCACAAAGTATGTTAATTGGCATCACATTCCAATCAGTGTACATAGCATTTTTTGAGGAACACTTGACACACGGTTTTATTTTTAGACCAGATTCTAAGGGGTTTTACTGGGTGGGGCTTAACAATCCTAAAGCTAGTTTACGGTTTTAAAATCTTTATGATTTAGAGGTTGTTTACATTTTTTGTTAATAAATGGGAAGCAGCAGGCAGTGGCAGTCAATTTTGTTTGTTTCTTTTTTTGTTTTTTTTGAGACGGAGTTTCGTTCTTGTTGCCCAGGCTGGAGTGCAGTGGCATGATCTTTCCTCACCACAGCCTCTGCCTCCTGGGTTCAAGCGATTCTCCTGCCTCAGCCTCCTGAGTAGCTGGGATTACAGGCATGCGCCACCACACCTGGCTAATTTTGTATTTTTAGTAGAGACAGGGTTTCACTGTGTTGGTCATGCTGGTCTTGAACTCCCTAACTCAGGTGATCTGCCTGCCTCAGCCTCCCAAAGTGCTGGGATTACAGGCGTGAGCCACCACGCCCAGCCCTCACATAACTTTTATGATATTATGTTCTTATAATTGTTCCATTATTAATTATAATTAATCTCTCACTGTGCCTAATTTATATGTTAAACTTGATCATGGGTATGTATGTACAGGAAAAAACATAGTGTATACAGTATAGTATACTGTTCTTGCTTTCAGGCATTCATTGGTAGTCTTGGAACATATTCCAAGTGGATATGGAAGCACTACTATGTGATGGAATGTTACTCAGTAATAAAAAGAAAGGATGTACTGGTGTATACTACAACATTGGAAACATATTAAGTAAAAGAAACCATGCAGGAAAGACCACATATTGAATTATTCCATTTATATGTAATGTCCAGAATAGGAAAATCCTTAGTGACAGAAAGTAGATCAGGGGCTGAGGGATGTAGGGAATGGTCAGTGACTGTGATAGGGTTTTTTTTTGTTTTGTTTTGTTTTGTTTTGTTTTTTTTTTGGGTGATAAAAGTGTTCTACAATTATGGAGATGGATCCACAACTGTGAATATAATAAAAGCCATTTTATTGTGTACTTTTTTTTTTTTGAGATGTTTTGCTCTTGTTGCCCAGGCTGGAGTGCAGTGGTGCACAATCTCAGCTCACCGCAACCTCTGCCTTGGGTTCAAGCGATTCTCCTGCCTCAGCCTCCTGAGTAGCTGGGGTTACAGGCATGCACCACCATGCCCGACTAATTTTGTATTTTTAGTAGAGATGGGGTTTCTCCATGATAGTGAGACTGGTCTCGAACTCCCGACCTCAGGTAATCTGCCCACCTCGGCCTCCCAAAGTGCTGGGATTTACAGGTGTGAGCCACTGCGCCTGGCCCCTGCCTGGAAATTCTTAAGAATTAAATATTATTTTCTTTGAGTAAGTAATAATGTCAGATGTCACAAAATTTAAAGGATATAGAAAGTTATGTTGTGCATAGTTATTCTACGTTCTCCTTTGTTCTCTAGCTACCCAGCTTCCTTTCACAGAGGGAAATGTGAATTCTTATGTATCCTATTTTGTGACGACACAAAAATATTTAAGGGTAGATGTGCTGGCCTTACTTTCTTGCTCAAATCTTCCAGGCTCTCCCTGGCTACCAGACTAAGTATATACAATTCTTGCTTCTGTGTCTTGCTCACATGGCTTTCTCATAGTAATAGTATGTTTAGTGGAAATCAAAAGCCAGTATTTTTAGGCCCCTGTAGGTGCAGGCCAGTGCACTTGGTGCAGCATAAGGCAAGTTCCTACCTTCAAGGACCTTATCTAATTGAGAGAGGCTGACATTTCCTTACTTTTATCTATTCCTCTTTTTTTTTTTTTTCCCCGAGATGGAGTTTCACTCTTATCACAAAGGCTGGCGTACAGTGGCGTGATGTTGGTTCACTGCAACCTCTGTCTCCCGGGTTCAAGTGATTCTCCTGTCTCAGCTTCCCAAGTAGCAGGGATTACAGGCATCTGCCACCACGCCCGGCTAAATTTTGTATTTTTAGTAGAGATGGGGTTTCATGATGTTGGCCAGACTGGTCTTGAACTCCTGACTGCAGATGATCCACCTGTCTCAGCCTCCCAGAATGCTGGGATTACAGGTGTGAGCCACCGCAGTGGCCAAGTTGAATTTCTTGTATAGATGTCTTATGTCTCAGTTTAAAAATGAGGCATGTCTTACTCTTGCCTATATATTTCCAGTGGGGCATGTCTTATCCTTTTTTATATATCTCCAGTTCTCAAAACCTTGTCTTACACAGCAAACATTAATCAGAGGTTAATCACTTATGGATTTAGTTTCACTCTACTGCCATCTCTCCAAAATGCTTACAGTAAAGAGGCTACACTTACTAAATTCAAACTTAGAACTTTGTAACTTAGGACCTGTCTGTTGGAGGAGGTAAGTTGCTTAAGCTTCTCCCTCTATTGGGCATTATATGTAGAGTGCTCTAGGTTCTGCCTGCTAGCTCCTTGATGACATTTGCCTGCTTTAGCAGGACACTGACTCTTCAGCTCAAGCAGCTGTTACCATGCTGGCTATTTCCTTTTGCATTCATAGGTTTTAGATATGGAAGAAAGTTATACCCAGAGAGAATGGGGGGATAAATGATAATCTTCTACCATTTTTGACCTTAGTCTGGTCCAGCATTATAGTGTGATTTTGAGAGGAGAGATTGTGATTTCCCTGGCTAGTATTATCTAGTATTGCCTGACAATGCAAAATGGACCCCTAGGCTGTCTTATGTAAGTTGGAAGGGGGCGGATTGGGGGTGGGGTGTGTGTGTGTGTATCTACAATCCAGTGACATTTAACAACATTCACAATGTCTTAAAACCATCGCCACTACTCGTTTCCAGAACCTTTTTGTTACCTCAAACAGAAACAGTACTCATTAAGCAAGAACTCCTCATTCCTCCCTATGCCCAGTTCCTCGTAACCCCTATTCTACTTTCTCTCTATGAATTTGCCTATTCCAGGTACCTCATGTAAGGGGAGTCATACACTATCTGGCCTTTTTTGTCTGGCTTATTTTACTTAGCACATTTTTGAGGTTTATCCATGTGGTGGTGGCATGTATCTGTATTTTATTCCTTTTTATGGCTGAATAATATTTCATTGTATGAATATATCATTTTGTTTATCTCCTCATCAGTGATGGACACTTGGATTATTTCCACCTTTTGGTTGTTGTAAATAATGCTGCAGTGAACATTGGTGTACAAATATCTGTTGGAGCCCCTGCTTTCAGTGCCTTAGGGTAATGCACAGGAGTAGAATTACTGGATCATATGGTAATTCTGTGTTTACTTTTTGAGGAACTGCCAAACTGTTTTGCACAGTGACTGCACCATTTTACATTTCCCACCAGCAAAGCACAAGGGTTCCAGTTTTGCCACATCTTTTCCAACACTTGTTATTTTTTCTTTTTTAATTTTTAAAGTAACAATCTTGGGCTGGGCACGGTGGCTCATGCCTGTAATCCCAGCACTTTGGGAGGCCGAGGCGGGCGGATCACCTGAGGTCAGGAGTTCGAGACCAGCCTGGCCAACATGGTGAAACCCCGTCTCTACTAAAAGTACAAAAAAAATTCGCTGGGCTTGTTGGCGCATGCCTGTAATCCCAGCTACTTGGGAGGTTGAGGCAGGAGAATCGCTTGAACTCGGGAGGCAGAGGTTGCAGTGAGCTGAGATTGCGCCATTGCACTCCACAAGAGTGAGACTTCGTCTCAAAAAATAAATAAATAAAATAACAACCCTAATGACTGTGAAGTGGTTGTAGGCTTTTTGCATTTTAAAAAATTATTATTTTTACTATTTTAGAGATGGCGGGGGGGGGGTCTCACTATGTTTACCAGGTTGGTCTCGAACTCCTGGCCTCCATTGATCCTCCCATTTTAGCCTCCTAAAGTACTGGGATTACAGGCTTGAGCCACTGCGCCCAGCCCTCCTTTTCTTCTTATTGCTACTTAGATGTAATGGGCAAACCAGAACCTTTGAATTTGGCTATATTTGGATCTGATGGGTTTTTTCCTCCCTCTTAAACTTGTGTATAATGTTGTTCAAAGGGATACATTATGTACACAATTAATGACATCTTTTTAAAAAGAACACTTTCTTTCATCCTTGTGAGGTGTAAGAAGAAAAATAAGCAAAAAAAAAAATGAATAAAGTTTTTCTATAAGTTGATACACACAGTTGTAGTTACTTTATACTCATACCCTTTTTTTGTGTTGTGAGTGACACAGTCTCACTCCATTGCCCAGGCTGGAGTGCAGTGGTGCGATCTCCACTCACCGTAGCCTTGACCTCCCAGGCACAAGCCATCTTCCCTCCTGAACCTGCTGAGTAGCTGGGACTACAGGTGTGTGCCACCACACTCAGCTAATTTTTGTATTTTTTGTAGAGATGGGGTTTTGCCATGTTGCCCAGGCTGATGTCGAAGTGCTGAGCTCAAGTGATTCTCCCGCCTTGGCCTCCCAAAATGCTGGGATTATAGGCATGAGCCACTGTGCCTGGCCTCTCATACTTTTTTATTCTATAATGTATTTAGGGCCAGCCTCTGTGGCTCATGCCTATAATCCCAGCACTTTGGGAGGCCAAGGAGGGAGGATTGCTTGAGGCCAGGAGTTCAAAACCAGCCTGGGCATCATAGTGAGACCCCATCTCTAAAACCAAAAAAACTAGTCAGGCATGTGGTATGCGCCTGTAGTCCCAGCTACTTGGTAGGCTGAGGAGAGAGGATTGTTTGAGTCCAGGAATTGGAGGCTGCAATAAGCTATGATTGTGCCATGGTGCTCTAGCCTGGGCAACAGAACAAGATGCTGTCTCTTGAAAAAAAAAAAAAAGAAAAAGAAAAGATGAATAGTCTGTCTGAAATGGCCGGCAGTCGCAGCTGCTGACCTGACCTGCATCTACTGTATAAGTCAAGTAGTTCAACTTTTTATTATAATGTCATGGCTTTTCTTTGCTTCTTGGGAGCGCTTCCAGCATCACTAGTGGTACTTCATATGGGACCCATGCTGTTATTCAAAGTTTATGGTATTGTACTGTACATGATGAAAAATACAGAAGACCCATGAGAGATGACTTTTTTTTTTTTGAGACATAGTCTTGCTCTGTCGCCCAGGCTGGAGTGCAATGGCATGATCTCAGCTCTCCTCTGCCTCCTGGGTTCAAGTGATTCTCCTGCCTCAGCCTCCCTAGTAGCTGGGATTGCAGGCACTCGCTACCACAACCGGCTAATGTTTATATTTTTAGTAGAGACAGGGTTTCATCATGTTGGCCAGGCTGGTCTCGAACTCCTGACCTCAAGTAATCCACCAGCTCGGCCTCCCAAAGTGCTAAGATGACAGGAATGAGCCAATGTGCCCAGCCAAGAGATATCACTTTTTACTGCAATAGGAAATGTACTGGAGAGACCAACTGCTCAGAGGGACACAAGGCCTTTTAAGTGGACACATGCAACTTGTAACACTTGAGTTCACTGCAATAGAAAGAAGAGGTGGCTATGAAATTACTGTAGTAATATAGTTTGTACAACAGGTTTGTTTTCTTTTGAGGCAAAGTCTCACTCTGTCACCCAGGCTGGAGTGCAGTAGCAAGATCTCAGCTCACTGCAACCTCTGCCTCTCAGGTTCAAGCGATTCTCCTGCCTCAGTCTCCCAAGTAGCTAGGATTACAGGCCTGTGCCACTATGCCCAGCTAATTTTTGTATTTTTAGTAGAGATGGGGTTTCACCCTGTTGCCCAGGGTGGTCTCAAACTCCTGGCCTCAAGCGATCTACCCGCATCATCCTCCCAAAGTGCTGGGCTTATAGGCATGAGCTACCGCACCCAGCCAACATCATTTAATTTTATGCAGTTATTTATTTATTTAATTAAAAAAATTTTTTTTTTTTGAGATGGAGTCTCACTGTCTTGCCCAGGCTGGAGTGCAGTGGCTTAATCTTGGCTCACTGTACTCACTGCAACCTCTGTCTCCCAGGTTCAAGTGATTCTCCTGCCTCAGTCTCCTGAGTAGCTGTATAACACCTGGCTAATTTTTTGTATTTTTAGTAGAGACAGGGTTTCACCATGTTGGACAGGCTGGTCTCAACCTCCTGACCTCAAGTGATCCACCCGCCTCTGCCTCCCCAAGTGCTGGGATTACAGATGTGAGCCACTGCACCTGGCTTCAGTTATTTAATATGCTGCAGTTATTTAATATACTGCATCTTAACATTTGTTTACATTTCTCTCAAGTGTGAATGTGTGTCTGTGCAAATGGTGTTATGTATGGTCTGTAAGTATATGCATAAGTTTTGATTTTTTTTTTCTTTGAGACCGAGTCTAGCTTTGTCGCCCAGGCTGGAGTGCAGTGGTGCGAACTTGGCTCACTGCAGCCCCTGCCTCCTGGGTTCAAGTGATTCTCTTGCCTCAGCCTCCCGAGTAGCTGGGATTACAGGCACCGGCCACCATGCCCAGTTAATTTTTGTATTTTTAGTAGAGACGGGGCTTCACTGTGTTGGCCAGGCTGGTCTCAAACTCCTGACCTTATGATCCGCCCATCTCGGCCTCCCAAAGTTCTGGGATTACAGGTGTGAGTCACTACGCCTGGCCTATTTTTATTTATTATTGTTTTTTTGAGATGGAGTCTTGCTCTGTCTCCCAGGTTGGAGTGCAGTGGCATGATGTTGGCTTACTGCAGACTCTGCCTCCTGGGTTCAAGCGATTCTCCTGCCTCAGCCTCCCGAGTAGCTGGGATTACAGGTACTCATCACCCTGCCCAGCTAATTTTTTATATCATTTATTTATTTATTTATTTATTTATTTATTTATTTATTTATTTTAGAGATGGAGTTTCGCTCTTGTTGCCCAGGCTAGAGTGCAGTGGCGCGATCTCGGCTCACCACAACCTCCACCTCCTGGGTTCAAGCAGTTCTCCTGACTCAGCCTCCCGAGTAGCTGAGACCACAGGCATGCGCCACCACACCTGGCTAATTTTGTATTTTTAGTAGAGACGGGTTTTCACCATGTTGGCCAGGCTGGTCTCAACCTCCTGACCTCAAGTGATTTGCCCGCCTTGGCCTCCCAAAATGCTGAGATTACAGGCATGAGCCATCGTGCCCAGCTCATATTTTTAATTTGTTTCCCTCCCTCTTTGAACATGTATTCTGTGATCAATTCGTGTATCTTTTTTTTTTTTTGAGACCAAGTCTCGCTCTATTGCCCAGGCTAGGGTGCAGTGGTGCGATCTCGGCTCACGGCAACCGATCTCAGCTCACTGCAACCCCCGCCTCCCGGGTTCCAGCGATTCTCGTGCCTCAGCCTCCCGAGTAGCTGGGACTATGGGCATGAGCCACCACGCCTGGCTAATTTTTTTTGTATTAGTAGAGACAGTGTTTCACCATGTTGGCCAGGCTGGTCTCGAACTCTGGACCTCAGGTGATCCACCCTCCTCGGCCTCCCAAAGTGCTGGGATTACTGGCATGAGCCACCACACCCAGCCCAATTTGTGTATCTTAAAAAATTATTGGGAAAAGAAATTATTGCAAAAAATCTATATATATTGGTATGAGATTATAAGCATGTAGGGAAACACTGAAGAATAATTGGTTATTGGGAGAAGGAAAGGAAAGATAAAACAAAGAAGGGGTTAAAAGATCCCCTCTAATACATGTAATGTTTAAGTGCTATAGAAAAAAAGCAGGGTAAACATTTTAGAAGTAAAAAGGCTTGCTATTTATAATGAGTGCCTTTGTAAAGACATTAATTGTGAATATTTAAAATAAAAGGAAACAAAGTTATGTAATAAGAAAGGCTGTATCCTTCATCAGGCTCATTTCTTTACCTGCTTGTCTGTGCTTATTCCCTGGGCACACTTTAGCTTTTGTTTTACCTCTGCGTTAGTCTGTTGAAATATTGCCCCTTTAAGCTCAAATACACAATGAAATATCCTTGTCTACCTCTTCTTCCACTCAAGCTAGAAGTGACCTTACCACATTTCAGATTCTTATAGTATGTTTCTTAAGAATCCTCCCTACCTTTAATTTCATATTTTGTTGTAGGCCTACTTGTCTTCCTGAAAGCTCTTAGCCCAGTGCCTAGCACATATTCAATTTTTGTTAAACGGTGGTGGTTTTTACTTCTACTTTAAGGGGTTCTGAAATGCAAGGACCATGTCTCCCTGAACTTTATATTCCTCAAAGCAGCTAACAGTTGAAAGTAGATTCTTAGAAATTGTTGAATGAATGGTGCTCTTTATTCTTTTTTTCCTTTCATTCCATGCTGGGTTACAGTCTATAGAGAGGCATTCTGGTTCTTTAGATTTATGTGATAGTGATTCGGTATTCATGAAAAAGGGTTAGGAAAATATTGTAATTGTTAACTTTTCTCCATTGATATTCAGCAGATATTTGAGTACCTAATTTTGTGCAATGTCCTATACTGGATGATGGATTATAACAAGATTATAGGAAATACATGTAGTTCTTCAATGCTTTGGTATATAATTATGTAGGTTATATTTTCTTTTTTGAGATGGGGTTTCATTTTGTCACCCAGGCTAGAGTGCAGTGATGCAGTCACGGCTCACTCCAGCCTCGACCTCCTGGGCTCAGACAATCCTTCTATCTTAGCCTCCTGAGTAGCTGGGACTGTAGGCATGACTACCATGCCTGATTAAATTTTTTTTTTTTTTTTTTTTTTTTTTTTTGAGATGGAGTCTCGCACTGTCTCCCGGGCTGGAGTGCAATGGCGTGATCTTGGCTCAATGCGACCTCCGCCTCCTGGGTTCATGCAGTTCTCCTGCCTCAGCCTCCCGAGTAGCTGGGATTACAGGCGCCCATCACCACACCTGGCTAATTTTTTGTATTTTTAGTAGAGATGGGGTTTCACTATGTTGGCCAGACTGGTCGCGAACTCCTGACCTGGTGATCTGCCTGCCTCGGCCTCCCAAAGTGCTGGGATTACAGGCATGAGCCACTGTGCCTGGCTGCCCAGCTAATTAAAAACAATTTTTTTGTAGAGTTGATGTTCCCCCTCAGTTGCCCAGGCTGATCTGGAATTCCTGGGCTCAAGCACTCCTCCCACCTCGGCCTCCCAAAGTGTTGAGATTACAGGTGTGAGCCTGACCCTAGGTTATATTTTTGTGTTTCATTTACTATTTTATCCTCTGGCAAAATAGCAGGGTATAATTTAGAGCTTTAATGAATTAATGGTGTAACTAACAGTGAAAACTGTGTGTGTGTGTGTGTGTGTGTGTGTGTGTGACAGTCTCTGGCCCCCATGCTGGAGTGCAGTGGCACGATCATAGCTCACTGCAGCCTCAAACTCCTGTGCTCAAGTGATCCTCCCGCCTCAGCCTCCTTAGTAGCTGAGACTAGAGGCATGTGTCACCATGCCCAGCTAATTTTGTTTTATTTTTATAAAGATGAGGTGTCACTCTGTTGACCAGGGTGGTCTTGAACTCCTTGGCTCAAGCCATTCTACTGCTTTGATTTCCCAAATTACTGAGATTACAGGCATGAACCACCATGCCTGGCCAGGGAAAAATTTTAAACATGTCTTTCTTTTGAGAAAATTATTATTGAAAAGTTGGTTAAAAGTAATTTCTGAAGAACAAATGATATTATCAGTTTTACAGGTGTCTTACTGTAACTCTTAGAAGTTGTTAAAGTTTACTATTGAGCGCACCACTAAAGACTAGGGAATTTTTCTTTTTCTTTTCTTTCTTTCTTTTTTTCTGAGACTGAGTTTTGCTCTTGTTACCCAGGCTGGAGTGCAATGGCGTGATCTTGGCTCACTGCAACCTCTGCCTCCTGTGTTCCAGCAATTCTCCTGCCTCAGCCTCCCAAGTAGCTGGCATTACAGGCATGTGCCACCACGCCTGGGTAATTTTGTATTTTTAGTAGAGACTGGGTTTCTCCATGTTGGTCAGGCTGGTCTTGAACTCCCGACCTCAGGTGATCCGCCCACGTCGGCCTCCTAAAGTGCTGGGATTACAGGCGTGAGCCACCGCATCCGGCCGATGGGAATTTTTCTATTTGAAAGCCATTGACTCCAGAAGGAAGTGTAGGGGAGCTGGCTGAATCAGATGGTTACTTTTTTTTTTTTGAAGCAGAATCTCACTCTGTCACTCAGGCTGGAGGACAGTGGTGCGATCTCGGCTCACAGCCACCTCTGCTTCCTGGGTTCACATGATTCTCGTGCCTCAGCCATCTGAGTAGGGAATACAGGTGTGCACCACCACATCCGGCTAATATAGATGGTTACTTCTTGAAACTGCTTTGGTAAGATGTAAACTTGGGGGAATACCTCTTCTCTTGAGGACACATCTCCTCTGCCAAATGAGTGATGCCAGTGTGTAGAATGAATGATTCACTTATATTCTGTGTCCTTATCTTTGAGGAGGGCTAATTTTTTTTAACCACTTGTTGAATATGCAAGATTTACTGTGAAAATTAATGCCTTTAGTATGAAAGAGAAATTAGTGTGGAAATTGTTAGTGTTTCCAGGTGATTTTTTTCCCCCTTCCTTCCTACTTCATTATGTAGCTTTTTTTTTTTTTTTTTTAACTTCGCTGTTACTTGGCTATCTGAATAATCATTCCTAAACCATATTTTATTTGTACATTGTGTGTTTTGGTACTTGTGTTAATGGTGTACTTTGAATACACATCTGTTTATTTTAAAAATCAGCAGTTGCTGACTAGATGAAGAAAACAATGACTGATTTGAAGGTGAAAAGAAAAACTCGGGTTAAAAAAGAGTCCAGACAATGTGATTTAAAATGAAAATAATTTAAGCTTATTTGTGGTGAGAGTTAAAAATAAAGTTGGCTCCAGGTATCATTTGTGGAACTGATTTGTTTTAGCATAATTGTTTTTGAACTAGCTCGTTTTTAACTTGTATTTTTAAAGTTACACTTTTAAAATGTAGGAGTCTGTTTTGTAAACTTGTACAGCCCCTGCTAACTTTTAGAAGAGTAGAGTGGCTTATTTCTTCATGTGTGTTTATTCTGGGCTGTCATCTGATGAAGTTACCAGTTTGTGGTCAGAAATTGAGAAAGAGGAGTGAGGAAACGAAAAATATTGACACGTACACATCACCTTGCAGTGCATGAGAGTGCCCTTTTGGACTGGTTAGGAAACTAACATTTGAGCATATTTGCTCAGCAGAAACTTTTTATGTGTGAAAGTTATTTTTTTTCCAGTGTTGTGACCACTTAAAATTTATTTATTTGTTTTGTTTGTTTGTTTGTTTGTTTGAGACAGGGTCTCACTCTGTTGCCCAGGCTGGAATGCAGTGGCACAATCATGGCTCACTGCAACCTGGACCTCCCTGGGCTCAGGTGATCCTCCCACTTCAGCCTCTTGAATAGCTGGGACTACACATGTGCTACACCGTGCATGGCTGATTTTTTGTAGAGATGGGGTTTCTCCATGTTGTCCAGGCTGGTCTCAAGCTTCTAGGCTCAAGCAGTCTGCTTGCCTCAACCTCTCAAAGTGCTGAGATTACAGGGGTGAGCCACCATGCCTGGCCTGAATTTCTTTTTTTTTTTTTTTGAGATGGAGTCTCGCTCTGTCGCCCAGGCTGGAGTGCAGTGGCGCGATCTCAGCTCACTGCAGCCTTCGCCTCCTGGGTTCCCGCCATTCTCCTGCCTCAGCCTTCCGAGTAGCTGGGACTGCAGGTGCCCGCCACCACACCAGGCTAATTTTTTGTATTTTTAGTAGAGACGGGGTTTCACCATGTTAGCCAGGATGGTCTCGATCTCCTGACCTCGTGATCTGCCCGCCTCGGCCTCCCAAAGTGCTGGGATTACAGGCGTGAGCCACCACGCCTGGCCGGTAATGAAGATTTTAATAATGACTTTAAAAACCAGGCACAGTGGCTCACTCCTGTAATCCTAGCACTTTGGGAGGCCAAGGTGGGTGGATCATTTGAGGTCAGGAGTTTGAGACCAGCCTGGCCAACACATTGAAACCCTTTCTCTACTAAAATCACAAAAATTAGGCTGGGCGTGGTGGCTCACACCTGTAATCCCAGCGTTTTGGGAGGCTGAGGCAGGTGGCTCCTGAGGTCAGGAGTTTGAGACAAGTCTGGCCAACATAGTAAAACCCGTCTCTACTAAATATACAAAAAATTAGCCGGGTGTGGTGGTGTGTGCCTATAATCCCAGCTACTCGGGAGGCTGAGGCAGGAGAATCATGTGAACCCGGGAGGTGGAGGTTGCAATGAGCCGATATTGTGCCATTGCACTCCGGCCTGGCAATAGTGTGAGACTCTGTCTCAAAAAAAAAAAAAAGACAAATACAAAAATTAGCAGGGCGTTGGTGGTGCGCACCTGTAGTCCCAGCCACTCAGGAGGATGAGGTAGGAGAATTACTTGAACCTGGAGGCAGAGGTTGCAGTGAGCTGAGATCGTGCCACTGCACTCCAGCGTGGGTGACAGAGGAAGACTCCACCTCAAAAAAAAGACTTAAAAGAAACCGGTAATATCGTTATTATATTTCTGCCTGTCTTAATTCTTTATCCATTTGCTGTAGATTATAATGTTAGCTGCATGAATGAAAGATTATATTTTTCCAGCTACTCAGGAGGCTGAGGTGGGAGGATTGCTTGAGCCCAGGAGTTTGAGGCTACAGTGAGCTATGATGAAGCTACTGCACTTCCAGCCTAGGTGACAAAGGGAGACTCCGTCTCTAAAAAACAAAGATTAGATTTTTGATACACCATCTATTAGTATATTATTTAATGAGTAAAAAGAAAGGATAAGTTATAAAAAAGCATTAAGAATATGACTGCTCTAATGAATTTAAGCTAAATCCTTTGTTGTTTAGAAGTGAAGTAAAAATCTCTTAAATATGAAGAAAAATTTTAATTGCTTGTGATATATAAGACATGGTATATACAGTCTTTTTCTTTCCTCCACACAGAGGTCTGATGCATTATTTACAAACAATATTTATTTAAAAGTAATGTAATAAGCCAGGCACAGTGGCTCATGCCTTGTAATCCCAGCTCTTTGGGAGGCTGAGCTGAGACGCTGCTTGAGGCCAGGAGTTCGAGACTAGCCTGGGCAACATAGTGAGACACCCCCCTCACCCCACCCCACCTCTACAAAAAAAAGATTAAATAAATACAGTACAGTACAATAATTAGGAACTCTTCTAGATAGCTCTTAAACTTCCAGCCTGGGTTTTTCTGAGTTCAGTGCCTAAAACTCTTAACCACTACATTACTGTATTCCAAAAATTAAGTCCTAGGTTTCAAAGTACAGATCAACTGTGAAAAACAAACAAAAATTTTAAAGGTAATAGTAACATCATTAAACAATAAAAATTTCAAATCCCATTGTACCATTCAAATCAGTGTATTATAATGGAAAGAGATGTAAAGTCTGAGTATCTGAATTTTTAATTTTGCTTCTCTTAAATTGTCACTAAACCTTTTGAATTTTACTTTTTTTCTTCATCAAAAAAAGGGATAGTATGAATAATACCTGCTTTAGCCTGCTTAATTCTAACAGTTCTGTGAGATAATGGAAAGATGAGCTGAATAAATTGTAAAGCTGTGTTAAATTCTGAGTTCTCTTGACTAAGTAAACTTTTTTGAGTCGGAACTACACAAAAAGCATTGCTGGGTTCTCAGAAGTTAGGTTTTAGGTAGATCTAAGAATCTCTTAAAACCTTAATACCAAAAGGCTGGCTACCTTAGATATTTTTGTCCTGCCACCTTATTTTTTTTTTTTTTTTTTTTTTTTGAGACTGAGTCTCGCTCTGTCACCAGGCTGGAGTGCAGTGATGCGCTCTTGGCTCACTGCAACCTCCAACTCTCTGGTTCAAGCAGTTCTTCTGCCTCAGCCTCCCGAGTAGCTGGGATTACAGGCACGTGCCACCATGCCCAGCTAATATTTTGTATCTTTAGTAGAGACGAGGTTTCATCATGTTGGCCAGGATGGTCTGGCTCTCTTGACCTTGTGATCCACCCATCTCTGCCTCCCAAAGTGCTGGGATTATAGCCATGAGCCACCACGCCTGGCCGCCTTAATATTTTTGAGTGAAATATAGTATTTGAGGAAAAACTCAAAAATGAGGTTTTTCAAAGTGCCTGATTATAATGATTGATTTGCTAAGGCGTTTTTGAAGAAAACTTAAAAATGTCCATGCCTGAAGTATTTACATTGTTTATTGCATGTGGGTGTTTCCCTACTCAGAAAGGGCAATAGGAAGATTTGACTGCTAGCCCTTGCTAAGCAAAAGGATAGAGCCAAGGGATAGGGCAAAACAAAGTCATCCTTAACCCTAAGTTTGTCCAGCTGCTTCTTGACTCTCTTTTGGACAGAAGTTTTAGGACTTGTAGTTCTTGTACACTTAACTCCTGAGAAGCTTGCTGCATTAGTCAGAATTGTGATAATTCTTACCACTGTCCAAAGGAATCTAATCTCATTTTTTGGGAGAGTAGTTGGCGGCAGTACAATCCATGAGAAAACTTAAGTGGGTGTTCTAGTTTGGCTTACTTCTCTAGACGTTGATAAAATAACATTTTCACTGAAACATTTATGCCTCAGATTTAGCTTTAATGTGACAGATGTACCTTAAAATATTAGGATTCAAATCACTTAAAATGATACCCTAAGTACAGGTAGTAAGTTTTTAATAATTGTAGTCTCTCCAGATTTGACTTGTCCCGAAGCTACTTCATTGTACTTTGTATGTGTGCTGCTCCCTAATAATCTTGCACCTTGAACATAGTTGTGCTTTCTTATTTTTTACAGGATATGATAAACTGAAAAAAACCAGCAAAACCTTTCCAGGGTTTTTGAAAGTTTGTTGTCTAATTTATAGTTTATTAATCTGGTACTACTTAACTTATTTTTAGAAATTCTCTGAATGCAACAATTCACCGAAGTTATTTCTAGAGGTGGACCACAGGGTGAGAAGGCTGAAATGACTGTTGAGTTGAAAATGCCTTTATCACAACCCTATATTCTTCTGGATTATGAGCATCAGAATAAATTATACAAGATTCCTATGTAAGATCACTTCTCAGCAATTTATTAGGAATTGCACAAGGAGGTAAACTGGATTTCTTTTTTGTTTTTATTTTTATTTTTTTTTTTTTGAGACAGAGTTTTGCTCTTGTTGCCCAGGCTGGAGTGCAGTGGTGCGATTTTGGCTCACTGCAACCTCTGCCTTCCGGGTTCAAGCGATTCTCCTGCCTCAGCATCCCTAGTAGCTGGGATTACAGGCGCCTGCCACCACGCCTAATTTTGTATTTTTAGTAGAGATGGGGTTTCACTATGTTGGCCAGGCTGGTTTTGAACTACTGACCTCAGGTGATCCACCCACCCCAGCCTCTCAAAGTGCTGGGATTACAGGTGTGAGCCACTGCACCCGGCTTCTTTTTAATTTTTAAACAAGTCACTTTTTGGCAAATATAGTATGGCCCCTATAGTTACTCTTTTCTTACTTTGATCCTTAACATGTTTGCATACCCAAGAGTGTTGTGCCTGCTATATAATCTGTTTCTTAGCCTGATGGTGCTTTGTGTAGATTGAGATATGAGGATTATGGGATTAGTGCTCAGAACTCTGCAAGCTCTCTGGAAATACAGTACACCTTTTTGCCTTAGCCAGCAGAATGTTTGTGAGTTCTGTGCTGAAGCCTGGGGGTTGAGTGGTAGATATTGTGCTTTTATCTGACATTTGATTTGTTGCCTGAGGACAGAGATGCAGTGTTATGGGTGGGAGTTGTGTCTTGCCTTACCAGTGTTTAGACTTTTTAAAAGATAATGGATCTTACTTCTTGAAAGAATAGGAGATGAAAACCAATGTCCTCCTGCTTCTGTTCTTCTCTTTCTTCATAGCTTTCCACTTGGCATATAGCAGAAAACTCTTTGGCTATATTTGGTGCATTTTGTTGGTGGAATTCCTCAAGAATGCATTCTTGACTTTTTTCTTTTTTTTTTTTCTGAGACAGAGTCTTGCTGTATCACCCAGGCTGGAGTACAGTGACGTGATCATGGCTCTCTGCAGCCTCAACCTCCCTGTTAAGGCATCCTCTCCCCTCAGCCTCCCACCCCCTGGCCCTGCCCCAATAGCTGGGACTACAGGCCCATGCCACCATACGCAGCTATTTTGTGTGTGTGTGTGTGTGTGTGTGTGTGTGTGTGTGTGTGTGTGTGTGTAGAGATGGTGTCTCCCTGTGTTGTCTGGACTGTCTATAAAACTTGACATTCAACAGTCTCTTGTTTTTATTCATTGAGAAACTGGCTTCATCCTTTTACTGAAATGGGAGAAGTGTTATTTATCTTACTGTTTTTTTAATTAATTAATTTTTTTTTTCCTGAGATGGAGTCTCGCTCTGTTGCCCAGGCTGGAGTGCTGTGGCGCGATCTCAGCTCACTGCAAGCTCTGCCTCCTGGGTTCACTCCATTCTCCTCCTGCCTCAGCCTCCCGACTAGCTGGGATTACAAGCGCCTGCCACTACGCCTGGCTAGTTGTTGTGTTTTTTTGGTTTGTTTGTTTGTTTTTGTTTTTTTGTTTTTTGGGGTTTTTTTTTTTTGTATTTTTAGTAGAAATGGGGTTTCACCGTGTTAGCCAGGATGGTCTCGATCTCTTGACCTCATGATCCACCCGCTTCAGCCTCTCAAAGTGCTGGGATTTACAGGCATGAGCCACTGCGCCCAGCCTAAATTAATTGATTTTTTTGAGACAGAGTTTTGCTCTTGTTGCCCAGGCTGGAGTGCAATGGCACGATCTGGGCTCACTGCAACCACTGCCTCCTGGGTTCAAGCAATTCTTCTGCCTCAGCGTCCCGAGAAGCTGAAATTACAGGTGCCTGCCACTATGCCCAGCTAATTTTTTTGTGTTTTTAGTAGAGACAGGGTTTCACCATGTTGGCCCAGCTGGTCTCGAACTCCTGACCTCAGATGATCCACCTGCCTCAGGCTGGGATTACAGGCGTGAGCCACCACACTGGGTTCCTATGGGACTATTTTAAGTTAACATCCAGGAATCTAAACTACAACTAGCATTACGTAGTTACACTTAAGAAAGCATTTTTGGGGCCGGGTACGGTGGTTCACATGTGTAATCCCAGCACTTTGGGAGGCCAAAGCAGGTAGCTCACTTGAGCTCAGGAGTTCAAGACCAACTTGTGCAACATGGTGAAACCCTGTCTCTATGAAAAAAGCAAAAATTAGCCGGATATGGTGGCACATGCCTGTGGTCCCAACTGCTTGGGAGGCTGAGGTGGGAGGATCCCTTGAACCTGGGAGGCAGAGGTTGTAATGAGCTGAGATCGCGGCACTACACTTTAGCCTGGGTGACAGAGCGAGACCCTGTTTCAAAAAAAAAAAAAAAAAAACCAAAAAACATTTTTTTTTGGGGGGGACATGTCCACCAAATATTTGGAAATTGTTATATTTCCTGTAAGTGGAACTATTTTTTCTCCATATCTGAAATCTTTCTGTACATTCTTTTTTTTTTAATACTTTAAGTTCTAGAGTACATGTGCACAATGTGCAGGTTTGTTACATATGTATACATGTGCCATGTTGGTGTGCTGCACCAGTTAACTAGTTAACTCATTGTTCACTTTAGGTGTATCTCCTAATGCTATCCCTCCTCCCTCCCCCCACCCCATGACAGGCCCCGGTGTGTGATGTTCCCCACCCTGTGTCCAAGTGTTCTCATTGTTCAATTCCCACCTATGTGTGAGAATATGCGGCGTTTGGTTTTCTGTCCTTGCAATAGTTTGCTCAGAATGATGGTTTCCAGGTTTATCCATGTCCCTACAAAGGACACGAACTCATCCTTTTTTATGGCTGCATAGTATTCCGTGGTGTATATGTGCCACATTTTCTTAATCCAGTCTGTCATTGATGGACATTTGGGTTGGTTCCAGGTCTTTGCTATTGTGAATAGTACCACAATAAACATATGTGTGCATGTGTCTTTATAGCAGCATGATTTATAAGCCTTTGGATATATGCCCAGTAATGAGATGGCTGGGTCAAATGGTATTTCTAGTTCTAGATCCTTGAGGAATCGCCACACTGACTTCCACAATGGTTGAACTAGTTTACAGTCCCACCAACAGTGTAAAAGTGTTCTATTTCTCCACATCCTCTCCAGCACCTGTTGTTTCCTGACTTTTTAATGATCGTCATTCTAACTGGTGTGAGATGGTATGTCATTGTGGTTTTGATTTGCATTTCTCTGATGGCCAGTGATGAGCATTTTTTCATGTGTCTGTTGTCTGCATGAATGTCTTTTGAGAAGTGTCTGTTCATATCCTTTGCCCACTTTTTGATGGGGTTGTTTGATTTTTTTCTTGTAAATTTGTTTAAGTTCTTTGTAGATGCTAGATATTAGCCCTTTGTCAGATGGGTAGATTGCAAAAATTTTCTCCCATTCTGTAGGTTGCGTGTTCACTGTGATGGTAGTTTCTTTTGCTGTGCAGAAGCTCTTTAGTTTAATTAGATCCCATTTGTCAATTTGGGCTTTTGTTGCCCTTGCTTTCGGTGTTTTAGTCATGAAGTCCTTGCCCATGCCTATGTCCTGAATGGTATTGCCTAGGTTTTCTTGTAGGGTTTTTATGGTTTTAGGTCTAACATTTAAGTCTTTAATCCATCTTAAATTAATTTTTGTATAAGATGTAAGGAAGGGATCCAGTTTCAGTTTCTACATATGGCTAGCCAGTTTTCCCAGCACCATTTATTAAATAGGGAATCCTTTCCCCATTTCTTGTTTTTCTCAGGTTTGTCAAAGATCAGATAGTTGTAGATGTGTGGTATTATTTCTGGCGGCTCTGTTCTGTTCCATTGGTCTCTATCTCTGTTTTGGTACCAGTACCATGCTGTTTTGGTTACTGTAGCCTTGTAGTATAGTTTGAAGTCAGGTAGCATGATGCCTCCAGCTTTGTTCTTTTTGCTTAGGATTGTCTTGGCAATGCAGGCTCTTTTTTGGTTCCATATGAACTTTAAAGTAGTTTTTTCCAATTCTGTGAAGAAAGTCATTGGTAGCTTGATGGGGATGGCACTGAATCTATAAATTACCTTGGGCAGTATGGCCATTTTCACGATATTGATTCTTCCTACCCATGAGCATGGAATGTTCTTCCATTTGTGTCCTCTTTTATTTTGTTGAGCAGTGGTTTGTAGTTCTCCTTGAAGAGGTCCTTCACATCCCTTGTAAGTCGGATTCCTAGGTATTTTATTCTCTTTGAAGCAATTGTGAATGAGAGTTCACTCATGATTTGGCTCTCTGTTTGTCTGTTATTGGTGTATAGGAATGCTTGGGATTTTTGCACATTGATTTTGTATCCTGAGACTTTGCTGAAGTTGCCTGTCAGCTTAAGGAGATTTTGGGCTGAGACGATGAGGTTTTCTAAATATACAATCATGTCATCTGCAAACAGGGACAATTTGACTTCCTCTTTTCCTAATTGAATACCCTTTATTTCTTTCTCTTGCCTGATTGCTCTGGCCAGAACTTCCGACACTATGTTAAATAGGAGTGGTGAGAGAGGGCATCCCTATCTGGTGCCAGTTTTCAAAGGGAATGCTTCCAGTTTTTGCCCATTCAGTATGATATTGGCTGTGGGTTTGTCATAAATAGCTCTTATTATTTTGAGATACGTCCCATCAATACCTGGTTTATTGAGAGTTTTTAGCATGAAGGGCTGTTGAATTTTGTTGAAGGCCTTTTCTGCATCTATTGAGATAATCACGTAGTTTTGATTTTGGTTCTGTTTATATGATGGATTATGTATGTTGAACCAGCCTTGCATCCCAGGATGAAGGCAGCTTGATCCAGCAGCACATCAAAAGCTTATCCACCGTGATCAAGTTGGCTTCATCCCTGGGATGCAAGGCTGGTTCAACATATGCAAATCAATAAACGTAATCCATCATGTTCCTGTACATTCTTTTGCATTCTACATGACCTTATGTATGTTTAAAAACACATTTTTACATTTCTTTTTTTGTATTTTTAGGCCGTGTTGGCCAGGTTGGTCTCGAACTCCTGACTTCAGGTGATCCGCCCATCTCAGCCTCCCAAAGTGTTGGGATTACAGGCATGAGCCACCATGCCCATTTTTACATTTCTTGAGCAGGAGCCCTGTAGTTTAAAAGTCCCCTTTATTTTCAGCAGTGTACATTTAAGACAAATCGGATGTGTGAGTAGGTAGAAAATATTTACCGTTTACTGTGACAGAACAGATGAACAAGAATGTATTTGGTTTTATTTGTAATATAAAACAACTGTGAAGGGAATGCCAAACAATAGTAGTGAATCAAACTTTGGAAATACCTCTGACGTAGAATTCTATAGTAGCTTTAATTGGGTATTATTATCAGCTGGTCTGTTTGGGACTTGTTTGATGAACTGTTAGATGACTGACTGCCAGCCAATCATTATCCTGGCTGCTCCTTAGCTGACTGCCAGTCAACAATTACTCCATGCTGATTCTACAGTTTTTCCACAGTTGTCAGTGTTCTAGTTCTGAGTATAGTCTCTTGGCATAATGTGGTTCATAAACGACTGCACTGATAACTTTTGTTAGAACTCACCACTTGCCAGATAGCCCAGATGCCATATGTTACTCATTCAGTAAATAACTCTTAAGAGCCTGCCAAATGCTAGATACTTAAAGGCAGTGGGTTATAAGGGTGAACTGAACTTAGCTTCTTAGAGCATACTACCTAGTGGTATAGGCAGTCAATAATCATTGAGTAGGCAAATACCTAATATTATTTCAAATGGTGATAAATTATTATGAAAACCAAAAAGCTGAGTAAAGAGAAGAATGATGGGGAAGGGTAGGATACACTTGAACCAGGGTGGTCAGGGGAGGTCCTGTTTGATGGGTAACGGGCCAGGCCATCATGAAAGGTCTTGTAGGTCACAGTTAAAGAATTCGAGTGCTAATTTGAGTGAAATAAATAATAGATAAAGGGTATTTAATAATATGTCCAAATTTGTGTTTTTTGTTTTGTTTTGAGACAGTCTTGCTCTATCGCCCAGGCTGGAGTGGAGTAGTGCAATTTCGGCTCACTGCAACCTCTGCCTCTCGGGTTCAAGCGCTTTTCCTGCCTCAGCCTTCCGAGTAGCTGGGATTTCAGGTGTGTGCCACTACACCTGGCTGATTTTTGTATCTTTAGTAGAGACAGGGTTTCACCACATTGGCCAGGCTGGTCTCGAACTCCCTGACCTCAGGTAATCCATCCACCTCAGCCTCCTGCGAGCCACTGTGCCCGGCCTCCATTTGTGTTTTAAGAACACAATGACTGTGCTCCATAGAGGACAGATTGCTTTCAAATGTTAATAGAGATGGAGGCGGGTGGATCACCTGAGGTCAGGAGTTCCAGAACAGCCTGGTCAACGTGTCGAAACCCTGTCTCTACTGAAAATACAAAAATTAGCCAGGTGTGGTGGCATGTGCTGTAGTCCCCGCTACTGGGGAGGCTGGGCAAAAGAGCGAAACTCCGTCTCAAAAAAAAAATGTTAATAGAAGCAAGACCTACAAAGATGTACATATGCATATATACAATACTCTGTATTCAGTTTCTGGAAGTTCGTGAATTCACTGAAGTTCTCAGAAGTTGAAAGATTGAAGTTAACCCGATACCCTAGTTCCTAGGTGATAATCTAGTTCCCAGGTTTACTAGTGAGTATAATACACTTAAAAATTGAGCGAGTTCAGCTTTTCACTTGAAGAATTTGTTTTACTAGCGGAGGTACACAATTTTTGCTAACTTAGAATGTTTTTTATATGCCGGACTCTAAATTAGGTACTTTATATACACTATCTTATTCATTCTTCACTGCAATTCAGTGAAGTTTGTACCATTATTATCTTTACCCTAGATCCATGGAGTTGCCCAAGTAGTGAAGCTGGATTTCAAACTCAGTACCTGTTCTTTTATCTACTAAACCAAAAGTGTTCAGTATAGTCTCCAGGGTATGTAGTATGTAATGAAACTGTTGTTGCCGCTGCTGTTCATTGATGTAGCAAATATTTTTTCTTTCTTTCTTTTTTTTTTGAGACAAGGTCTTGCTCTGTTACCCAGGCTGGAGTGCAGTGGCATGATCTTAGCTCACAGCAGCCTCCACCTCCCAGGCTCAAGTGATTCTCCCCTCTCAGCCGCCCAGGTAGCTGGGACTACAGGTGCAAGCCACCATGCCTGGCTAATTTTTGTATTTTTTGTAGAGAAGGGGTTTCGCCATGTTGCCCAGGCTGGTCTTGAACTTCTGGACCCAAGTAGTCTTCCTCATCTCAGCCTTCCAAAGTGCTGGGATTACAGGCATGAGCCACCACACCTAGCCAGTGTAGCAAATGTCCCTTTTTTTTTTTGAGCAACCATGCTTACTGCATTTTAATGTAATCAATCAGTTTTTTTTTTTTTAAAGATATACAGTCTTGTTATGTTGCCCAGGCTGGTCTTGAACTACTGGGCTTAAGCGATTCTTCCACCATGGCCTCAAGTGATTCTCATTTCTCAGCCTCCCAAGTAGCTTGGTGGTATGTACCACCAAACCCAGCTGTTTTTTTTTTTGTTTTTTTGAAATGGAGTCTCGCTCTGTCACCCAGGCTGGAGTGCAGTGTCGCAGTCTCAGCTCACTGCAACCTCTGCCTCCCGGGTTCAAGGGATTCTCCTGCCTCAGCTTCCCAAGTAGCTGGGATTACAGGTGCCCACCACAATGCCCAGCTAATTTTTGTATTTTTGGTAGAGACGGGGTTTCACCACACTGGCCAGGCTGGTCTGGAACCCCTGACCTCAAGTGATCCACTCACCTCGGCCTCCCAAAGTGCTGGGATTGCAGACATGAGCCACCACGCCTGGCCTAAAAACAACATTATTAATGTTTTTTTTTTTGAGGTGGAGTCTCGCACTTTCGCCCAGGCTGGAGTGCAGTGGCGCGATCTCGGCTCACTGCAAGCTCTACCTCATGGGTTCACGCCATTCTCCTGCCTCAGCCTCCTGAGTAGCTGGGACTACAGGTGCCTGCCACCACGCCTGGCTAATTTTTTGTATTTTTAGTAGAGATGGGGTTTCACCGTGTTAGCCAGGATGGTCTCAATCTCCTGACCTTGTGATCCGCCCACCTTGGCCTCCCAAAGTGCTGGGATTACAGGCGTGAGCCACCGCGCCCAGCCTAATAAATTTATAAAGTAATCTCTCTCTCTCTTTTTTTTTTTTTTTTTTTTTTTGGAGCTGGAGTTTCACTCTTTTTGCCCAGGCTGGAGTGCAATGGCACGATCTCGGCTCACTGCAACCTCTGCTTCCCAGATTCAAGGGATTCTCCTGTCTCAGCCTCCCAAGTAGCTGGGATTACAGATGTGTTCCACCACACCGGGCTAATTTTGTATTTTTAGTAGAGGTGGGGTTTCACCATGTTGGCTAGGCTGGTCTCGAACTCCTGACCTTACATGATCCGCCCACCTCGGCCTCCTGAAGTGTTGGGATTGCAGGTGTGAGCCATGGCCCCTGGCCTTTTTTTTTTTTTTTTTTTTTTTTTTTTTTTTTTTTGAGACAGGGTCTCCCTCTGTCACCCAGGCTGGAGTACAGTGGCAAGATCCCGGTTTACTGCAACCTCCGCCTCCCGGTTTCAAGCAATTCTCCTGCGTCAGCCTCCTGAGTAGCTGGGATTACAGGTGCACAGCCCAGCTAATTTTTGTATTTTTAACAGAGACAGGATTTCATCATATTGCCCAGGCTGGTCTTGAACTCATGAGCTCATGCAATTCACCCACCTTGGCTTCCCATAGTGCTGGGATTACAAGTGTGAGCCATCGTGGCTGCCCTAGTAGAAAGTCTTAAAGAAGTATTAAACATATACTAGCACCTAACTGAGACTTTTTCCTTATATCAGTTTTAGTTTATATCTTGTATACATATCTCTTATAATCATTTTGTAAACCATGAATAGTATATATCCCCTGCTTTGGGAAACACTGTGGTGCTATACTATTTTATTAATGTTGTTCAGCTACCTGGAGTATCTGAAGACCTAGCACAGGTTTTACCATTCACCTCCTCCAAAGGGGAGAGGATATACTTAAAGGGGCTAACTTTGAAAATATGGGCTATTTCCTTCCCTTCTCTGTTACTCCTTCCCTCTCTCTGCTCTTCCTCCAACCACTTTCCTCCCTTCCTCCCTCCCTGGCACTCTCAAGAAAAAAAGGCCATTATGTAGATGATAGTTGGAAATTGCTAGAAGGGGTCACATAATTGTGGATTCTTGTATCCGGTGCACAGTTGTCACCCAGGGATTTCCCTCCATTGGCCTTCTGGAGATTTCCTTCGCTTCTTTCCTATGCTGGATGTCCCGTTTCCTATATCCTAAGTCTTTCTCTTGCTATATTCCTGTAACAAATCCCTTGAGAAAGGAATTACGGGCCAGGCGCGGTGGCTCAAGCCCGTAATCCCAGCATTTTGGGAGGCCGAGGCGGGTGGATCACCTGAGATCAGGAGTTTGAGACCAGCCTGGCCAACATGGCGAAACGCCATCTCTACTAAAAAAAAAAAAAAAAATTAGCCAGGCGTGGTAGTGTGTGCTTGTAGTCCCAGCTACTCGGGAGGCTGAGGCAGGAGAATCGCTTGAACCTGGGAGGCGGAGGCTGCAGTGAGCAAGGTCATGCCACTGCACTCCAGCATGGGTGATAGAGCAAGACTCATCTCAAAAAAAAAAAAAGAGAGAAAGGAATCATGGAGGTTCAAATTTTTGTAATCATGAATGTCAGAAAATATCTCTCTAGTTCTGTCCCTCACTGATAGTTTTGCTGATTATTGTAAATTGGAGATAGTTTTCCTTCAGAATCTAGGAGGCTTTGCTCCATTATGTCTTCTAGTGTTGTTGAAGAGTTTGAAGTCATTCGGATTCCTGATTTTTTTTGTTTTTTTTTTTTTTTTTGAGAGAGTTTTTACTCTTGTTGCCCTGGCTGGAGTGCAATGGCACAATCTTGGCTCACTGCAATCTCTGCCTCCTGGGTTCAAGGGATTCTCCTGCCTCAGCCTCCCAAGTAGCTGAGATTACAGGTGCGCACCACCACACCCAGCTAATTTTTGTATTTTTTAGTAGAGACAGGGTTTCACCATGTTGGCCAGGCTGGTCTTGAACTCTTGACCTCATGATCCGCCCGCCTCGGCTTCCCAAAGTGCTGGGATTACAGGCGTGAGCCACTGCGCTGGGCCTGTATTTTTTTTTTTTTTTTAACTGTAAAAGTTTATAGAATCTGGTCCTCCATTATTGTGATATTTAACGTGTTAGGCATTCGATAGGCTATTTTAATCTGATAGTTCAAGTTCTTTCATTGTGGATTTTTTTCTTTTTTCTTTTCCTTTCTTTTTTTTTTTTTTAATTTCCAGACAGGGTCTCCCTCTGTTGCCCAAGCTGGAGTGTGGTGGCACAACACAATCACAGCTCTTGGCAGCCTCGACCTCCTGAGCTCAAGTGATCCTCCCACCTCAGCCTATACCTGGGAGTACAGGCGTTCGCCACTGTGTTGGAATAATTTTTATAATTTTTTGTAGAGATGAGGGTCTTACTGTGTTGTCCAGGCTGGTCTTGAACTCCTGGGTTCAAGTGATCCTCCTGCCTCACCCTCCCAAAGTGCTGGATTACAGGCCATTGTGGGTTTTTTTCTCTGTGTGTTTTGGTCTTTATCATCCATATTCGAGGGTTTCCTAAAAAGCCTGATATTCCTTTGCAACCTCTTTATTTTTTTAAAAGATAAGATTAAAAACAAATTGGAATCTTTGGGTGCATGGATGAGATTTGTTGTCTTTGAGCTTTATTGTAAGGTAAGGGAAACTAAAGATTTTAGTTTCTTTGAGTTTGGTTGCCCCACTGGGGAAAAGGGGTTTCTGCAGTCAAGGATTCAGTAAGTGTAGTTTGCAGAACAGTATTCATACTCTCAACTGGGTCTGGAATCCTCCAGTCAAGAGATCCTCTAATTTACCTTCTCCAGGAATATAAGCCTGGGACTACTTTTTTTTGTTTTTTCCTCTTCACGTCAGATGGGTAATGTGTCCATGTCATTACAAGGTTTGAAGAAGGCACATCTCACACATGAGTGTGAAAACTCAATCATGCTTATAAACTACAAAAGGATCAGCCTGGGACTGAGTTTTAGAGAGTTTCAAGAATTTCAGAAGAGTTTCAGAGAGCTCTTCGGGAACTAGGTTGTTGAATTCTACTTTTTGTCAAAGGGGTATAAAAAATAGAAAATAGTCTCTTTCTTTTAAGTTGCTGATGGAAAGCTGACTAATGTGGAATTCTTAGAAAGATTATACCCACTGTTGTTGGTTGCCTTTATCAATCTGTATCTTTACCTTCTCTAAACTTTTAGAAGGCTTTGTCACTTAAGAAAGATGAAGTAGTAGCACAACCCTCCTTTTCCAGGTTAAACCTACTTCTCCCTGCCCCAAAAGATCAGAAAAAAACAGACAGTGATCCATTGCTTCAGAAAATAAGTTTATTTTGACAATTCACCCAAGCCTACTCTTTTTTTTTTTTTTTTTGAGACGGAGTTTTGCCCTTGTTGCCCAGGCTGGAGTGCAACGGTGCAATCTCGGCTCACTGCAACCTCTGCCTCCCGGGTTCAAACAATTCACCTGCCTCAGCCTCCCGAGTAGCTGGGACTACAGGCATGCGCCACTGTGTCCAGCTAATTTCTGTATTTTTAGTAGAGACAGGGTTTCACCATGGGCCAGGCTGGTCTCGAACTACTGACCTCATGATCCCCCTGCCTTGGCCTCCCAAACTGCTGAGATTACAGGCGTGAGCCACTGTGCCCTGCCAAAATTAAATAATTTATTATCAAACATTTAAAATTAAATTTGAAGGAGAATATTGTGATACAGTATTTGGATTGAGAGTGTAATTGTGTAAAAGTACATGGGTATGTGGAAAAGGATTAGGGCCACAGCCCCAAAGTCACCATTACTAAATAGAAAAAGGTCAATTTTGAACAGATGTACCTCTGCAGAGATGTAGCTCAGCTAGCAGGAAAACTTCTACATGTGAATTAGAAGGATCCCCATCCTTCATGCTTATGCTGTCTGTATACTAGACACATGGCCTAGCAAGTGAAGCATGAGCTGAATTTCCACCCTCTCTCATCTCCTGTGGTGGGTGTTCTTCTGTGGGATAGAAGCTATAACAGTATCGTTTACTCTGTGTTAGGTGCAATGCTAAGTGCTTTACAAACACTACTGAACAATTGTGTTTTGTTTTGTTTTGTTTTTGAGATGGAGTCTCACTGTGTCGCCTAGGCTGGAGTGCAGTGGCGCGATCTCGGCTCACTGCAAGCTCCGCCTCCCGGGTTCATGCCATTCTCCTGCTTCAGCCTTCCGAGAAGCTGGGGCTACAGGCGCCCGCCACCACGCCCGGCTAATTTTTTCGTATTTTTAGTAGAGACAGGGTTTCACCATGTTAGCCAGGATGGTCTTGATCTCCTGACCTCTTGATCCGCCTGCCTTGGTCTCCCAAAGTGCTGGGATTACAGGCGTGAGCCACTGCGCCTGGCCACTATTGAACCATTTAGTAACAACTCAATTAGATAAATAATATCTTTATTTTACAGTTCTTCTGCCCAGACATCTTCTGAACTTCATAATTCTATATCTAACTGCCTATGTCATTTATTTTTAATATAGTGAGCCACCACGCCTGGCCAGTTTTTAAATTTTTTTGTAGAGACTGAGTTTTGCCATGTTGCTCAGACTGGTCTCGAACTCTTGGGCTCATCCGCCCACCTTGACCTCTCAAAGTGCTGGGGTTAGAGGCATGAGTTAGTGAGCCTGGAACAATCCTTTTAAGATTTAAGCCTGGCCAACACAGTGAAACCCCATCTCTACCAAAAAAATACAAAAATTAGTCAGGCGTGGTGGCACGTGCCTGTAGTCCCAGCTACTCAGGAGGCTGAGGTGGGAGAATCGCTTGAACCCAGGAAGCAGAGGTTGCAGTGAGCAGAGATCGTGCCACTGCACTCCCTCTGGGTGACAAAGTGAGACCCTGTCTCCAAAAGAAAAAATCTAAGGTAGATTGTGCCTTTTGTGCCTTTCCTCTGCTCAAGACCTTTCAGTGGCTTCCCACTTCACTCAGTAAAAGGCAAAAAGTCCTTTTAATAACCTACAAGGCATTATGTTACCCACATTGTCCCTGCTCCCCTACATTGTACTCAAGTCTATGATCTTTTTACCATTCCTTGTACAAAGGATTTTCACTGGCTGTTCTTTCTGCCTGGAATGTTGTTCTCTCAGTTATCTGCAAGTCAGACTCACTGATTTCCAGGTCTCAGCAGTTACCTCTTCGTTGAGACCTACTGTGACCTCACTATGTAATTGCAGTCTGCCTCCCTTTCCCCAGCACTTATCACCCACTATCATGGAATTTACTGTGAATGCCTCCAGCAGAAGATAGGCTTCTCTTATGATCATGGATCCTTGTGTTTTGTTCCCTGAGGTAGCCCAAGCATCTTGAACAGTGCCTGGTACATAGTAGGCACTCAGTAATGTTTATTGCATGAATAAGTGACGAAAATTGGTATATGGGAAAGGTAAGCAATTTGGTGAAAGGCCAGGCCATACAGCTAATAAAAGGTGGAGGTAGATTTTGAACTGATAGTTATTTATTGTGCCTCTAATATTAGAAGATGATACCCAAAAAAATGTGTTAGGATTAGTAAAATTGTGAGTAACTTCCCCTTTATCCTCCTTCCCAAATTTAGTTTTTGTTTTATTGTAAGTAAAAATATAATTAGGCCAGGTGTAGTGGCTTACGCCTATAATCCTAGCACTTTGGGGAGGCTGAGGTGGGAGGGTCACTTGAGGCCAGGAGTTCAACACCAGCCTGGGCAAGATAGTGAGACTTCGTCTCTACAGAAAATAAAAAATTAGCTGGACTCAGTGGTGTGCACCTGTAGTCCCAGCTAATCAGGAAGCTGAGGCAGGAGGATTGCTTGAACGTGGCTCAAGGCTGCAGTGAGCCATGATCATGCCACTGCACTCCAACCTGGGCAACAGACCCAGACCGGTCATGCCTTAGAAAAATAAACAAATAAAAGTATAATTAGAAACAGATTATCAGAGTAGAGGAAAGAGCCAGATACCAGGAAGCCAGAGTAGGCTGCCACAAGGTTGAAATCTGTCACCTCATCTTAGGAACCGCCTCTCCCATGAATGCACGGATCTTAACATATGTGATGGTGTGATGAAACCCTGGTGAGATTTGTGAATATTCTGAATACCATGTAACCTTGGACATTTTTACTTAACCTTTATGGTCCATAGATTCCTCACTCTAAAATGATAATTTCTCTTATAGGGGGTTGTTGGGAGGATTAAAAGGGATATTGTATGTAAAGAACTGATACATAATAAGCATTCTGTATTAGCTAATACATTAGCTAATATCATTATTGTTGCTGCTGCTTAGTTGGTACAGAGTTTTAAGAAATTTATTTTTTGGTGGATATATCTTGTTGCCTAGTGAGTTTTAGCGAGTACCAAAATAGAGAGCAAACACTTATTGTTTTTGTTCAGATAGCCAAACAAGCTTTGTCAAGTGTTTGTGTTTTTTCATGGACACTTGCTTGTGGTTCTAATTTTATATTACATCTTAAACAATAGCCAACTTTTTGTAATTATTTACATAAATTTTAATATTTAACATGTGGATTCTACAACTACCATTGTTTCGTTGGTTTTGCATTTTTGGTTGACTTCTATGGGTCAGTTGATTTAAAATGATCCATAGGAATTATGATACAACTGTCATGATATTTAAAAATTAGTGAACTGGCTGGGTGTGGTAGCTCATGCCTATAATCCCAGCTGAAGACAAGCTGGTGAATCACTTGAGGTCAGGAGTTTGAGACCAGCCTGGCCAACATGGTAAAACCCTATCTCTACTAAATATACAAAAATTAGCCAGCATGGTGGCTCACACCTGCAGTCCTAGCTACCTAGGAGGCTGAAGGGGGAGGATCACTTGAATGTGGGAAACAGAGGTTGCAGTCAGCCAAGATTGCACCACTGCCCTCTAGCCTGGCCAACAGAGTGAGACCATGTGCCCCGCCACCCCCCCCCCCCAAAAATAGTCTCAGGTTCATCATACTTATATGAATAGAAGTTACTGCCAGTGTATCCATTAAAGTATCTTCTACTTTAAAGTAGAAATTTGAATGATAAATAAGGTCACAAAATAACTTACAGTGCCTGAGAAAAGAATGATAGTATAATATACTGAGATTTTTTTCTTATTAACACGATAATGAAATACATGAAAACTAGTAGAGTTGAGTTACATGAAGTAGGAAAAATGACTTTTTAAAAACTTTTTTTTGTAGAGTAGGTGTCTAACTGTGTTGTCCAGGCTGGTATTGAATTCCTGGGATCAAGTGATCTTCCAGCTTCAGCCTCCCAAGTAGTTGGGGCTACAGGTGCATGCCACCACACCCGGCTAGTTTTTAGATTTTGTAGAGATGAGGTCTCACTATTGCCAAGGCTGGTCTCAAACTCCTGGGCTTAAGTGATCTTCCTACCTTGGTCTCCCAAAGTGCAGGGATTAGCCCAGGCTGGTCTCAAACTCCTGGGCCTAAGTGATCTTCGTACCTCGGTCTCCCGAAGTGCAGGGATTACAGGCATGAACTACCGCACCTGGCCAGGCTGTAAGCCCATTTTATAACTTGAATGTAGAAATAGTTTTACACTCTAACATTTTAATTTTTGAGACGGAGTTTCACTCTTGTTGCCCAGGCTGAATGAAGTGCAGTAGCTCACTACAACCTCTGCCTCCCAGGTTCAAGCGATTATCCTGCCTCAGCCTCCCGAGTAGCTGGGATTACAGGCACATGCCATCACACCCGGCTAATTTTTGTATTTTTAGTAGAGACGGGATTTTGCCATGTGGGCCAGGCGGGTCTCAACCTCCTGACCTCAGGTTATCCACCTGCTTCGGCCTCCCATAGTGCTAGGATTACAGGCGTGAGCCAGTGTGCCTGGCCACACTCTAACTTTCTAAAAGAAATATTCACATAGGGAATAAATGCAGTTGAGAGATTATAGAAAGATACGGCTTTGAAGAATTTACACCATAACAGTCATGAATTGCTTGATTTTAAAGCAAATATATCCTCAAAGTCCAGGTGGCAGAATGATGCATGAAGCTAATAAAAGGCAATTTTTTTTTGGTGAACCTAGGGAACCTACCACCCTCAGAAATAATGTCGACCAGAAAAAATAGTTGTAGAGAAGTTTATATAAATTCATGATTGATAGATATAGAGTAGGTGACTACAGAAAGCTAAGATAACTGGCAATTATGAGTCATCCCTTTTTTTCTATCCTAAAACGTCCCCTGGTATCTTTCAGAGACTGATTTTGGGGTTAGGCCCATGTAGTAATTTTTTAACGGAATAGTAGCCAAAGTAGAGGAAGGCAAAACAGAGTAGAATCTAGGCCTTTTGATTTTTGAAGCATTCTGTGATGATTGGTAGGGGTGACCAGGGGAAGTCAGGAATCCAGAGAGAAGTAGCTTGGAACCAGGTAAACCTAATTTCTGTACTAGACTAGAATAATTTGTATTAAGTAAATTGTAGGCTTCTGAAATAATTTGTATGGTTTAGATATCATGATAAATTATGAATACACTATGTCTTCTCTGGCATGTGAAAGGTAAATGTTTGCCTATAGAATACAAGTTCCCAGACTGTCTTACCAAATAAATGTTTAAAGCCTGGGAACTTTCGTGGTAATAAAAGTTTTTACTACTATTTTGTATATATGAAGAGTTTTTTCTTTTCTTTTTTTTTTTTTTTTTTGAGACAGAGTCTCGCTGTCACCCAGGCTGGAGTGCAATGGCACAGTTTTGGCTGACTATAACCTCTGCCTCCTGGGTTCAAGCGATTCTCCTGCCTCAGCCTCCTGAGTAGCTGGGACTACAGGCGTGCAGCACCAACCCTGGCTAATTTTTGCATTTTTAGTAGGGATGGGGTTTCACCATGTTGGTCAGGCTGATCTCGAACTCCTGACCTCAGGTAATTCACCTGCCTCAGCCTCCCAAAGTGCTGGGATTACAGGCGTGAGCCACCCCGCCTGGCGAAGTTATCTTTAAAAAACAACAACAAAAAAAACTTTATCATTGAGCAGAAATGTGATTTTACAATTAGTTTCCATATAAACTTTTTGTTACCAAAGTATCATCAAATTACATACTTAACAATATTCTTTTTTTAAATGCCTTTTTTTTTTTTAGACAAGGTCTCGGTCTGTCGCTTTGGCTGGAGTGCAGTTGTGTGATCGTGGCACACTGCAGCTTCGACCTCCTTTGCTCAAGTGATCCTCCCACCTCAGTCTCCCAAGTAGCTGGGTCTACAGGTGCATGCCATGACACTCAGCTAATTTTTGAAATTTTTTTGTACAGACGGGGTCTTGGTATGTTTCCCAGAGCTGGTGTTAAACTCCTGGGCTCAAGTAGTCCTCCCATCTCAGCCTTCCAGAGTCCTGGGATTTGCAGGTGAGAGCCACGGTGCCCAGCCCATGAACAATTAAAAAAAATTTTTTTTTTAATGTTTGGTTTACTTTTTTTTTTTTTTTTTGAGACAGAGTTTTGCTCATGTTGCTCAAGCTGGAGTGCAATGGCGCTATCTTGGCTCACTGCAACCTCCACCTCTTGAGTAGCTGGGATTGCTGGGATTACAGGCGCGCACCACCACGCTTGGCTAATTTTTTGTATTTTTAGTAGAAATAGGGTTTCACTATGTTAGCCAGGCTGGTCTCAAACTCCTGACCTCAGGTGATCTGCCTGTCTCAGCCTCCCAAAGTGCTGGGATTACAGGCGTGAGCCACTGCGCCCGGCCTACTTTTTTTTTTAATGCTTATCTATTTCCTGCAGTATGGTTTACTTTCGATATTATACTACGCATATAGTACTTGGAAGTATTAAATTGTATTGGTATTGGTGACAGGTGACACTGACCTTATTCTTAAATTATGGAAAATGACTCGTGTGTGTGTGAAGTGATCTCACTGTGTTGCCCAGGTGGACTTCAGTGGCTCTTCACAGGTGCAGTCATGCACTACAGCCTCGAACTCCTGGCCTCAGGAAATCCTGAGTAGCCTCTTAAGTAGCTGGGGGTAAATATTCTTTCACTTAGACCTTCAGCTAATGTACTGGGGGCAGTATTCTTTCCTGGGAGGTCTTGTTTTTAAACCAGTCCTGCCTTAAATTGTTCCAATTTTAGTTCTGTGGCTTTGAGTCTGAGGTAATTTTCAGTTTATTGGTATTAGAAACATTCCTGTGTTTGTGTAGTGCTGGGTGTGAAATGTGAAGTTAAATCTTTAAACAGTTAATAGATACTATTAGATTGCTGTACTTCTGTGGTTTATACTCTTCACTGTGAGAGTAGAATACTTCAAATGCTTGTGCTAGATGTTTTGCCTTTTTAATTTTACAAATCTGTCTGGGCACAGTAGCTCATGGCTGTAATCCCAGCACTTTGGGAGGCTGAGGTGGGTGGATCACCTGAGGTTGGGAGTTCAAGACCAGCCTGGGCAACATGATTAAACCCCATCTCCACTAAAAACACAAAATTAGCCAGACATAGTGGCGCATGCCTGTGATCCCAGCTACTTGGGAGACTGAGACAGGAGAATCACTTGAACCCAGAAGGTGGAGGCTGCAATGAGCAGAGATTGCGCCACTGCACTCCAGCCTGGGCAACAGAGTGAGATTCCGCCTCAAAAAAATAAATAAAAATAAAATAAATTTTACAAATTGATAAAAAATAGTTTTTATATTTGTGTTTCCCTACTTTATATATAAACATATATGTTTGTTGGCCTTTGTATTGCTTTTCTGTGAATTTAATTTCCTGTTTTTTTTGCAATGGCATTGTTCATCTTTTACTAATTTTTAGGAGCTCCTTGTTTTTGTTTTTGTTTTTTTTTTTTTTTTTGAGTTGGAGTCTTGCTTTGTTGCTCAGGCTGGAGTGCAGTGGCGCAATCTCGGCTCACTGCAGCCTCCACCTCCTGGGTTCAAGCAATTCTCCTGACCTCAGGTGATCCATCCACCTTGGTCTCCCAAAGTGCTGGGATTACAGGGGTGATCCACTGTGCCCGGCCAACATGTCTCTCTTTTTAAATGATTGATCTTTTCCAACATGACAAATTTCTCCATTCATAAGAGACTGCATTTGATTTTAGAACTTATCTGTGGAACTTTAAAAGACCTTTCACATGCAGAAGCTGATTTTCACTTTGGCTTATCTAGTTTTAGTGTGTGTCTAGGATGTGTGTGTATGTGTGTCTGTATATACATTTTTTAACATGGGGCCTTTAGTCAGAGAAATTACAGTATTAAAAGCTAGATCTATGCTTATATTTGAAGGTAGTATCAACAGGGTTTCTGATTATCTCCATTTAAGATTGAAGTATGTTGCTGCTGTATGATTTTTTTAGAAGATGCTTTTTCCTCCTTGTTTTCAGATGTCTGCCCTGATTTTTCAGATGTTTGCGTTGATAAAGGAATACCTTAGTAGAATTTTCTGTGATTAACAGGTTAGAGTTGTACCTCTCTTCCCTGAGACAACTTGTAGGGCCCTTGAAGCAGCATTGTCTGCGTATTTCAGCATGTTCTGCAAATATGACCTATCGTTTGTATGAGTATGTGCCATGAAAATGGTTAGGAAGGCCGGGTGCAGTGGCTCACACCTGTAATCCCAACACTTGGGAGGCTGAGGCGGGTGGATCACCTGAGGTCAGGAGTTCAATACCAGCCTGGCAAACATGGAGAAACCCTGTCTCTACTAAAAATACAAAAATTAGCCAGGTGTGGTGGTACATGCCTGTAATCCCAGCTACTTGGAAGGCTGCAGCGGGAGAATTTCTTGAACCTGGGAGGCAGAGGTTGCAGTGAGCCAAGATCGCGCCACTGCATTCCAGCCTGGGCAACAGAGCAAGACTGTCTCAAAAAAAAAAAAAGAAAAAAGAAAAGGGTTAGGAAACATTAACTTAGCCTGCCTCTTTTTTTTTTTTTTTTTTTTTTGAGACAGAGTCTCGCTCTGTCGCCCAGGCTGGTTGGAGTGCAGTGGCATGATCTCGGCTCACTGCAAGCTCCGCCTCCCAGGTTCATGCCATTCTCCTGCCTCAGCCTCCTGAGTAGCTGGGACTACAGGTGCCCACCACCACGCCCGGCTAATTTTTTGTATTTTTAGTAGAGGGGTTTCACCCTGTTAGCCAGGATGGTCTCCATCTCCTGACCTCGTGATCCATCTGCCTCGGCCTCCCTAAGTGCTGGGATTACAGGCGTGAGCCCCCGCACCCAACCCTTAGCCTGCCTCTTAAGCTGTAAGTGGTCTTGATATGGAGATAGAAAATAAAATACTATGAATGACAAATAATCTAAAACTTGAATTAAATAAAGTAGGTGTATTTTTATTTTGTCACTTTTTATTAAAAGTTATTGCAGTATATTCTCTACTGAGTACCAGCACTATATTTTGAGTGCCTGCAAGACTTAGAATTCATTGTAAAATTACTGTTCTTGGACTGAGGTTACATTTTAGTCTTATCAGTGGATTCTTCACCAATCGATTGGAATCAGTCAATTCCAATACAGTCTTCCCCCACAGTTGAATATAGAATAAAATCTATTGCAAGCTGGGTGCAGGGGCACAAGTGTGGCAGGAGTGCTTGAGCCTAGGAGTTCAAGACCAGCCTGGGCAACATAGTGAGACCTCATCTCAATTGAAAATATATATCTATATAAAAAATAAAATTTATTACAGTTCATCTTGCTGGAAAACAAAATACTGTTTTTGTAATTAAAATTTTTTTTTTAAATTTAGAAATGGGGTCTTGCTGTGTTGACCAGGCTGGTCTTGAACTCTTGGCCTCAAGCTGTCCTCCCATCTGGGCCTCCCAAAGTGCTGGGATTACAGGTGTGAACAACTGCGCCCGGCTGACAAAGTATTTTTTAAAGATGTACCACTAAATGGAGATTTGATTCACATTTGATAGTTTTTGACAGGTCTTTTCTATTTAAAAACATTACTGTTTTTGTAGCATTATTCTGGCTTTTCCCTTAATTTAGTAAATATTTGAGTGCCTTTGTATTCCAGATACTGAGCAAGATTGGCAGGGTTCTGCCCTTATGGAGCAGAAGGAAGGTAGGGGGACTGACTAAAACTTGAAAACTGTCTAACATAAGTACCATGCAGAAAATGAAACAGTATTAATTGGCAGAAGGAGAGCAGGCTATTTTGGCTAGTGTGGTTAGGGAAAGCCTCTCTAAAGAGATGTCTCTTGGGTGGAGACAAGATGTGAAAAAACCAGCTTGCCTGTTTTTGGGGTTTCAGCCTTGCAGGTGAAGAGAAACACGAAGTTCAGAAGTCTTGAGGCACAAAGTCTGGCATGTTACGAAAGAAGGCCTTTAGACGCCTTGTCAGGGAGTTTAGATTTTATTCTGAGTTTTAAAACGGGAGTGACACAATGAGTTGCATTTTAAGCCTGTTCAGGCTGTTACATGGATTATTAGGAGCTGTATCATTTCAGGCTAGTGAGATGCTCAGATGAGTCTGCCTTCTGTCTCTTCCGTCATCTATTTCTCTCTTATCTGGTCTTAAGCTCCTCCATCTTTTCCTTTTTAGTTGGAAAAAAACTCAAAGATCTAGAAAAAAGAGGAGCTGTATGTACTCCTAAAAAGGGACCTCATAGTAACCTGGGGATAGAGTTATGTAGGAGTGAGTCAGGGCTCAGGTTGAGGCTTTAGAGGCAGGAGGCAGCGAGATCTTGTTCTGTCATCCCCTCTTACAGAAATAAAATATGCCGATAAAAGTTTATAGTGTAATAGTAAAATATAAAAACAAAAAGTAAGTAATGTAGAAAATAAAAACCCTTCACAGTCCTGCTGAAATGATTACTGTTAACACTTTAATTCTAGAGTTCCCCATCCATTTATTTATTTCTAGATTTCCCTCTTTGTAGATTAATATTAAAGGGTTCAGACTTGTTCATTTTTTGTTGTCTTGGATATCTTTTCCCACCTCTGTATATATGGATCTACTTTATTTATCACGTGGATATTAACATGGTTTATTTAATTCCCTATTGTTAGGTATTTGGTCTTTACCACAGTTTTTCAAGGGTATGAATAGTGCTGCAAGGAATATGCTTACACATGTTTTTATACACTTGTCTTAGGCTTCTGTAGGACAAATTTCTGGAGTAGAATACTAGGTCATTCTTTAAGAACATTTCAAACTTTTAATAGATATTACCGTATTCTTTCCCAAAAAGAATGTACAAAGACTGTATGAGAATAACTCCATGTTGTGATCTTAAGTTGTCTCTAAACCTCTTTGGTTTTCTTAGCTGTCATCTAAGAATACTAAGTATCTAACCTCCCTCTTGATTTGGGCATGTGATGTGATTTAGCATATAGTGGATATTCAGTTAGAAACTTTTGGTTGAAAACAAGGTTTGGATTCTGTGGTCTTTAATTCTAGGCCATTTCAGCTCTGACTAAAATGATTTGAGTGTTAGTGTTATATATGGGAAGGTAAGGGCTATGGAGTCAGTGCAGCCCAGTTCAGAATCCCAGTTTGCCACTTACAAGCTGTGTGTGTGAGAATTTTCTCAACTGTAAAATGGGGACATAATTCCTACCTAGAGTAATACTGTAAGTATTAAGGTGGATAATGATTGGAATGTATGCTGTGTATCCTGCCTCATAATAGTAAGCTTTTAGTAAATGGTAGCTACTGTTAATAATAAAACAAGTTTCTGAAGGAGGAAGGCTTGAAAAGATGGGATTCCTTATCAACCTCAAAGTTTTCTAAAGGAGGAAACCCTACCCCCCTTACTTCTGCATGGTTTCTGACCATGAACTGAACTCTGAACTCTGAATGAACTGAACTCTGAACTCTGAATGAACTGAACTCTGAACTCTGAATGTTATGGTAGAAAATTCATGGACTTTAAATTTAAACAGATAAAGAATCTGGTTATTTTACCCACTGCTGGGGTGTTCTTGGGCAAGTAGCATGACTTCTGTGTCCAAAAAAGAAAGGGTTTGCAGTGACTGAACCTGTAATCCCAGTACTTTGGGAGGCTAAGGAGAGTGGATTGCCTGAGCTCAGGAGTTCAAGACCAGCCTGGGCAACATAGTGAGAGCCTTTCTCAACAAAAAAAACTGTTCTTAAAAATTAGCTGGGCATGGTGATGCACGTCTGTGGTCCCAGCTATGTGGGAAGCTGAGGTAGGAGAATCATTTGAGCCTGGAAAATTGAAGCTGCAGTGAGCTGTGATCATGTCACTGCACCCCAGCCTGGGCAACAGAGCAAGACCCTGTCTCAGAAAATAAATTAATTAAAAAGAAAGTGTGGATGGAGGAAGGGATTAAAAATCTGGCTGGGCACGGTGGCTCATGCCTGTAATCCCAGGCGTGATTTGGGAGGCCGAGGCGGACAGATCACGAGGTCAAGAGATTGAGACCATCCTGGCCAACATGGCCAACCCCATCTCTACTAAAAATACAAAAATCAGTCGGGCGTGGTGGTGCATGCCTGTAATCCCGGCTACTCGGGAGGCTGAGGCAGGAGAATCGCTTGAACCTGGGAGGTTCAGTGAGCCAAGATCGCGCCACTACACTCCAGCCTGGCAATAGAGTGAGACTCTGTCTCAAAAGAAAAGAAAAGAAAAGAAAATCTTTGGGGTTCTTACACAAATTAAATGAGATAATTTATTATTATTATTTTTTTTGAGATGGAGTCTTGCTCTGTCCCCCAGGCTGGAGTGCAGTGGTGCGATCTCAGCTCACCGCAAGCTCTGCCTCCCGGGTTCACGCCATTCCCCTGCCTCAGCCTCCTGAGTAGCTGGGACTACAGGCGCCCGCCACCATGCCTGGCTAATTTTTTGTATTTTTAGTAGAGACAGGGTATCCCTGTGTTAGCTAGGATGGTCTCGATCTCCTGACCTTGTGATCCGCCCATCTCGGCCTCCCAAAGTGCTGGGATTACAGGTATGAGCCACCATGCCCGGCTTGAGATAATTTATAAAGTGCCTAAAATACATCCTAGAAATATTAGTTTTTCTTCCTTGAAGTCATAAATTATGGCTTACACTTTTTTTCAGGTATTTCTCATAGTACTAATGTGTTGCTCACACTCAAGGGTAGTAGTTGCTTAGGAAGAAGAGAAATGTAGTTGAAAAAGTAATAGACTAGAAGTCTTGAGACCTGGGCTCATGTTCCAAGTTGGCTTTTTTTTTTTTTTTTGGGAGATGGAGTCTCGCTCTTGTCCCCCAGCCTGGAGTGCAATGACACGATATCGACTCACTGCAACCTCCACCTCCTGGGTTCAAGTGATTTCTCCTGCCTCAGCCTCCCTAGTAGCTGGGATGACAGACACCCACCACCATGCCTGGCTAATTTTTGTATTTTAAGTAGTGACAGCATTTTACCATGTTAGCCAGGCTGGTCTTGAACTCCTGGCCTCAAGTGATGCGCTGGCCTCGGCCTCCCAAAGTGCTGGGATTACAGGCATGAGCCACTGTGCCTGGTCCCTTGCTAAATGTTTTGTTTTGTTTTGTTTTGTTTTTGAGGTGGAGTCTTGCTCTGTCACCCAGGCTGGAGTGCGGTGGCATGATCTCCGCTCACTGCAAGCTCCGCCTCCCAGGTTCCCGCCATTCTCCTGCCTCAGCCTCCCGAGTAGCTGGGACTACAGGCGCCCGCCACCACGCCCGGCTAATTTTTTGTATTTTTAGTAGAGATGGGGTTTCACCGTGTTAGCCAGGATGGTCTCCATCTCCTGACCTCGTGATGCACCCACCTCGGCCTCCCAAAGTGCTGGGATTACAGGCGTGAGCCACCGTGCCCCGCAGTTGCTTGCTAAATCTTTTAACTGCTGGTCCCATTTTCCTCATCTATGAAATATTTAATGGAAGTGTACTATTAAAGAAACTTTTCTTTGCTGATGAATGCAGGAGGTATCATTAAAAACCCACATAGTGCTATTTTCATAATTACTCTTTATGTATTGTGTTCTTGGGTTGAATACTTTTGTTCTAGAGTTACAATTATTTGTGTTTCTTACCAGGTTTAAGAATTGTTTAAGCTGCATCAATGGAGCACATACAGGGAGCTTGGAAGACGATCAGCAATGGTTTTGGATTCAAAGATGCCGTGTTTGATGGCTCCAGCTGCATCTCTCCTACAATAGTTCAGCAGTTTGGCTATCAGCGCCGGGCATCAGATGATGGCAAACTCACAGATCCTTCTAAGACAAGCAACACTATCCGTGTTTTCTTGCCGAACAAGCAAAGAACAGTGGTATGTGAACATTCTACTTAGGAAATTTAGCTATTTATCTGCCTGTGGAGCACATTAAGGATCATGTTCAACTTAAAGACAGGCAAAATATTCATTGTCATTTAGGGTCTTTATTTTTTTTTTTCTAACTGCAGATTTATTTTTTTATATTGCTGTTCCTTCCACACCCCCTATTTTTTCCTACCTCTTGGCCTTCCTTCTGTTACTCTTGCCTGGAATGTCTTCCTTTGTGCCACTTCATCCAAACAAATAGTACATTCTTATGGGTATATTTCAAAGACTTTTCTTTGAGAAGTCTCTAGGCCTTTCCAACTACTTATTTTAGAAGACATTTTATTTCTTCTATTAAAATATTCACCTAAAGCTTTTTGACTATTACAATCAAGTATAAAGAAGAAAGTAAAGTTACATAGAAAAGATTATTTTTGTATATTTCATAGGCCCAGGACCAGTCTGGAGGCAGCTTAGAAATCATAGAATCTTCTTTTTCAGGGCACTGACACCAGCCACTTAGTTCTGCGTAGTTTATTTTTTCAGTGCCAGTGACAGGTTCATATTGGCATCATGGCAGGACACTGCCACTAGGTTTTCTGATAGAAAATTTCTTTTTCTTTTTCTTTTCTTTTTTTTTTTTTTGAGACGGATTCTCACTCTGTCACCCAGGCTGGAGTGCAGCTCACTGCAACCTCTGCCTCCTGGGTTGAAGTGATTCTCCTGCCTCAGCCTCCCAAATAGCTGGGACTACAGGCACACACCGCCACGCCTGGCTGATTTTTGTTTTTTGTATTTTTAGTAGAGACGGGGTTTCACCATGTTAACCAGGCTGGTCTCAAACTCCTGACCTCAGGTAATCCACCTGCCTCGGCCTCCCAAACTGCTGGGATTACCAACATGAGACACCACGCCCAGCCTGATAACAAAACTTCAATTTTTCTAAGAATTTAGCTCTCAAAAAGTTTTCTGGCTGGGTGTGGTGATTTATACCTGTAATCCCAGCACTTTGGGAGACCGAGGTGGGCAGATTGCTTGAGCTCAGGAGTTCGAGACCAGTCGGGCAACGTGGCAAACCCCATCTCTACAAAAAAAAATTCAAAAAAGTAGGCCTGGTGCAGTGGCTTACGCCTGTAATCCTAGCACTTTGGGAGGCTGAGGCCAGCTCATTACTTGAGGTCAGGAGTTCGAGACAAGCCTGGCCAACATGGTGAAACCCCATCTCTACTAAAATTGCAAAAATTACAGCCAGGCATGGTGTTGCACGTTTGTAATCCCAGCTACTTGGGAGGCTGAGGCAGGAGAATCACTCGAACCCGGGAGGCAGAGGTTGCAGTGGGCCAGGATTGCGCCACTGCACTCCAGCCTGGGCGAAAGGGTGAGACTATATTAAAAAAAGAAATAACAACAAAAATGTAGCCGGGCGTGGTGGCACACGTCTGTAGTCCCAGCTACTCGGTACTCGGGAGGCTGAGGTGGGAGGATGGCTTGAGCCCAGGAGGCAAAGGTTGCAGTGAGCTGAGATTGCACCACTTCACCCCAGCCTGGGTGACAGAGAGCCAGACCCCTTCTCAAAGAAAAGAAAAACAAAAAAAGTTTTCTACTATTATGGATAAAACAAACAAAACCAACCACCTGGCCAAAACAGAAAAGTGAAATTGCATTGGTTTTGCTTGGTGGAACTTTTGAGAAAACTTGGGTTCAAAACTTCCATGCCTCTTCCTTTCCCATCCTCTGTTCTTTGTGTAAAATCAATGCATTGTGTTTATTCCATATAGTCAGGTGAAGCAAGGTTCTGAGGTGGGGAACCCCAGTCCAGAGTTTTCTGTTTGCTTCTAACAGTTCCACTCTTCCCAATTTGTTAATAAATTGTTTATACTTTTTTTGTGAACCTAAGGAGCCTCCCAAGTGTAGTGTTGAATACTTAGGTGCATTTTGAACTGAAGGCAAAACTCAAAAGTCTAACTTTAATTAAAGTTTGAGTAAGTTTATCTTTGTCTCTCTTCCTAAAAATGAAAATTTTATGGCTGGCAAAATAAGCAGTAATAATCCCCTATATCTGAACAATGGTCTTCCATTTGCAAAGTAATTTTGCCTACTGTTTCTCATTAATTTTCTTTGTGACCTTAAATTGAGAAGTCAGATAGGAAGTGTGTGTTATGAGAAGCTGAAGACCATTTGGTGCTTCTTCAAAGTGTTATTGAGACTATCTTCTCCATCCCCATCTGCTACCAGTTTGCCCAGAAGGCTGGGAAACTTAATTTGGCATAGTGATTAAGTGTATGAACCTTTAAAACAAGAAAATCCCAATTTAAATCCTCATTGCCTTTTATTAGCTGTATCATTTAGACAAGTTCTGTACTTTTTTGATCCTCTTTCCTGACCTTTATGAAATGAGGCTTGTACTTAGCACAGTGGCTGATTCATAAGTGAAGTGGTAGCTATTATTATTATTATTATATGTATTTTTTTTAGATGGAGGCTCTCACTGTCACCCAGGCTGGAGTGCAGTGGCCCAATCTCGGCTCACTGCAACCTCTACCTCCCAGGTTCAAGCGATTCTCCTTGCCTCAGCCTCCCAAGTAGCTGGGATTGCAGGCACCCGCCACCACGCCTGGCTAATTTGTTTGTATTTTTAGTAGAGACAGGGTTTACCATGTTGGCAAGGCTGGTCTCAAACTCCTGACCTTCTGATCCGCCTGCCTCGTCTTCCCAAAGTGCTGGGATTACAGACATGAGCCACTGCACCCGGCTGCTATGATTATTTCTTAGCTTTTTATACATCTATGTAGTCCTTGATCCCCTCCATTTGAGCACAGCTGGTGGTTGGAAGCCAAGCTTGACTTCTCCTACAGCTTATGAGAAGGTTGTAGCCTAGGTTAGTTTTGCCTGTTTCTTTGGGTAAAGATGAACTAACTGTGGAAGAACTAGCTGCTTTCACCAGGCACGCAGCTTGAGGAAAGCGGTAGAAGAGGGAAGAGTTGCTTAGCTAGGCCAGCACCATCAGTCAGCTCTTTTTACTCCTCCCCAGGTTGCTTTACTTCCTGAACCCAGAATGACTCTCATAATCACTCAGTGGGTTCTAGAAATTATTTAACTGATTTCAGCATGTATCCATGGAGGGCTGTAAAGAGGAGAATGAGACAGAGGACGCGTATCTGATTTAAATAATTTTAGATGTGATAATTAGGTTTTTGAATGTTTCTTGGAATTTTTATTTTCTAAATGTGTGCCTCTTTGACTTCCTCCTGCTGCTGTTGCTGCTATTGCTGCTGCTGCTACTGCTTCTAATTATTATTAGATAAGTGATTGACTGGAGCCGAGGACCACTACTATTAGAGTCAGCTGACCAGCAGGTTAAAATACAGATTCATTCTGTATGAATGGGCTTTATTCCATACTAACTGAATCAGAATCCTTGGATGTGTTGGACAGGTAGATGGAATCTATATTTTCTCAAGCTTCTCTGAGGATTCTAATGCCAGCTACATTTGGGAATCTGACTGGATTAGATGATATTTAAAGAACTGTCCAGCTTGCAGTATGATTTAGTGAAGACTGATAATGTAACAGATATCACTTTATAGCTTAGAAAACATTGCTATACAGTATTTGATGCAGGTCATGATTCCGTTAGGTATGTTTATTACTCTTTGTTTTCCTCATTCTTAGTGTCTTAGTAGTTCACATCAGTATAGCTTACTTGTTTTGTTTCTGAAAAGCTGGAAGTTGGTGGGTATCACTGCGTCAAGAAACTTTTAAAATAAACTTATTTTGGAACATTAAAAAATATATACAGGCTGGGTGCAGAGGCTCTTCCCTGTAATCCCAGCACTTTGGGAGGCTGAGGTGGAAGGATTGCTTGAGCCCAGGAGTTTGAGACCAGCCTGGGCAATATAGTGAGATCTTGTCTCTACAAAAAAAAAAAACATTAGCTAGAAGTGGTGCTGCCCACCTGTGGTCCCAGCCGAGGCTGAGGCAGGGGGATCACTTAAACTGGGGTGGTAAAGGGTACATGTGTCATGATCATGCCATTGTATTCCAGCCTAGATGACAGAGCAAGATTCTGTCTCAGTATATATAATATAGATTTTACACACACACACACACGCACGCACGTAGAGAAAATAACAAATCTGATGTACCCCTTACCCACTTTCAACACTTAGCTAACCATGGCAGGCCTGCTTAATCTGTTTTCATCCACTCCTTTCCCAGTGTTTTGACACAAATCCCAGGTATCATTTGTCTGAACTATTTTGGTATGTACAAGAAACTTTTAAAGAATGCTAATTTTATTTATTTTTAAATAGGTAAAGCATTCATATGAGCCAAAAGTCTTGGGTGACCCCTGCCCCTGTATCCCCATTTCTTTTCCTCAGAGGTTTCTTATGATCAATCTTTATCTATTCGAAGAATCAGTTGGTTTCCCCTTACCCTGTTGTTCACGACCTTTCCTTTCTTCCACATCTCTGAAGGAGAGGAAAAACCATCGGTAGCTAAGGAGGCTATCACAAACTCCAAAGGAACTTTTTTCGTTTGGAGAATCTTTTCCTTCTCCCAGATGATTGATCCTCCTGGAGAATATTCCTTCCCCACTCCCATCACCTTCTCGACTAATCTGTTACAAGTTCAAATTCTTCTATACTGTACTCTCAATGTGGAGTCCATCTTTGGGCTTCAAAGAATGATTACTGGGCAGATAAGTCCCCTTCAGTCCCTGGTGATAGCAAAATAAAGCCTTGTGAAAAACTTCTTACGTTGCCCCTCTCTGATGTTTTCAAATTCCTTATGCTTACATGCATTCCCTTCTTTCCTAGATTGTTTTCTCTGCTTTGCATCCACATACTATGCCCTAGTTTGGAGCCTGGTAACTAGAAGGGCCCAGATAACTATGTCCTCTTTCTTAAGACTTTTTTCTGTTGTAAACCAGCTAGAGAAGGTTGGCTGGATTGGCATTGAGGTGGCTGGAGTAAGAGCCAAGATTAAGAACACTTTGGGCCTTTTGCAGCCCTGCTTTACTTCCTTCCCCCTCCCCGTGTACCCACATAGGTAGATATATGCATACACTCACCACCTTCTGGGGGCGGGGTGTGGGGGGGGATGGCGGGGTGGGGGAGCGGTTGGCTGGCTGCTGTCAGCTGTTAGCACTTTCAATCAGAGGAGGAACCTGGTAGGCAGTTCACAAGCACTGCAAATCTCTGTTTTGCCCTCCTTGCTGGCCATACTGACTCTAGTTACCTTACTTTTGATTAATTCTTGGCTTTGAAGTTAAACATGGAGGGCTTTTATCAAAACTCTGAAATTTTCATTCAAATTTTTTTACAGCTGCCATTAATTGTGAGTATCCTGGGCACTCACACTTCCCAGTAGGGTTCTGAGTACCTGCCTAGCTTTTTGAGGATTGAGTACAGGGGAATATAGAGAAGTATGTGCCACTAAGGCTGCTTGGTATGGTGTGCACATATATTTAAACTAAGATTGGTGTTTGTCCCTACAGCAGGGCTGGAGTTCTATATCTTCCACTTCCTGCTTTGCCTTCACTAGTGTTAAGTACTTGTGAGATGGAATTTTTGTTAGAATCATCAGTCATTTTTGTTGAAAGAGGTTGAAGTACAAATTTTGATCATAAAAACTCGTTTGTTTATAGATCAGATTGGCTTATTTCCTCTCTAATGAATCTAGTGAACATATATGTGTATACATTCTAATCACACAAAATTAGAGACGTATAAAGGAAAAGTTTATCATTTTATCTTTCTTAACCACTTTCTAACCACTTTCTTAACTGTCTCTTGATGTGAACAGCTAGGTGTAAATCTTTCCACTTGTATAACATATACAGATTTCTTCACTTTTTTTTTTTTTTTTTTTGAGACGGAGTCTCGTTCTTGTCACCCAGGCTGGAGTGCAATGGTGCGATCTCAGCTCACTGCAACCTCTCCCTCCTGGGTTCCAGCAATTCTCCTACCTCAGCCTCCCAAGTAGCTGAGATTACAGGCGTCCACCACCATGCCCGGCTAATTTTTGTATTTTTAGTAGAGACGGGGTTTCACCATGTTGGCCAGGCTGGTCTCGTACTCCTGACCTCAGGTGATCCACCCGCCTCGGCTTCCCAAAGTGCTGAGATTACAGGCGTGAGCCACCGTGCCTGGCCTCTTCACCTTTAAAATAATCTTACTCTATTATTCTGAAGGATATTTTCCCCCAATTAATATATCATGGACTCCTCTCCATCCAGGTCATTATAAGTAATATAATAGCTGCATAATGTGACATAATACAGATGTCTCACACTCCATTCAAGTACTTTCCTATTGCTGGACATTCAGGTTGTTTCGTATATGTGTGTGTGCGTGGGCCATCACAAGCAATACAGACTGGTGCATTTATTTCTGTGCCCACCTTTCCAAGGGGTGCTGCAGCCTGTGTTGGTCCTAAAGGTGGTCCTTTGTTTGTAGGTCAATGTGCGAAATGGAATGAGCTTGCATGACTGCCTTATGAAAGCACTCAAGGTGAGGGGCCTGCAACCAGAGTGCTGTGCAGTGTTCAGACTTCTCCACGAACACAAAGGGTAAGAGCTCAAAAGTCAATTGACTTCTTCAGACTAGTAAGGATCTTCTAGCTTCAAATAGCTATGTTTGTATTAAATTGTACTAGCTTCCTATAGAATATTGTATATTTCTATACCTTTCTTTATAAAGAGATAATTCAGAAAAATAGGTATTAAGAAATTGAAATTATTGCTTGGACATTCTCTTGAAAAGTTAAATACACGTTAAGCTGGGCCTGATGACCAATACCTGTAATTTTTTTTTCTTTTTGAGGTGGAGTCTTGCTCTGTCGCCCAGGCTGGAGTGCAGTGGCGCGATCTCGGCTCACCGCAAGCTCCGCCTCCCGGGTTCACGCCATTTTCCTGCCTCAGCCTCCGGAGTAGCTGGGACTACAGGCGCCCACCACCGCGCCCGGCTAATTTTTTGTATTTTTAGTAGAGACGGGGTTTCACCGTGTTAGCCAGGATGGTAATACCCGTAATTTTAACACTGGGAAACTGAGGCAAGAGGGTTGCTTGAGGCCAAGAGTTCAAGACCAGCCTGGGCACATAGCGAAGGCCCATCTCTACAAAAGATTTTTAAAAATTAGCCAGGCATGGTGGTGCGGCCCTGTAGTCCTAGCTGTTCGAAAGGCTGACGTGAGAATATTGCATGACCCCAGGGGCTTGAGGCTGCAGTGAGTCATGATTGTGCTACTGGACTCCAGCCTGGGCTGGAGCAAGATCCTGTCTATTAAAAAAAGCCAAAAAACAAAAAAACAAAAACAAACACATGTTAGGTATTGATAATGTTTCCATGGATGGAAACAGTGATGTTAGATGCTGTGTTTTTTTGAGACAAAGATTTTTCTTTGTGTTTACTCTAATGCATTATATAGACTGGGCACTCAGAAAGTGCATTATTTTATATAAAGAATGCTATCCTCGGGAGATTGACTTTTCTCATTCACTAATTTTTTTTTTTATTCAGTTAAATGTGTACTAATCCCTGCTGTTTGATAGATTGTTTAAAGATGCAGAAGCATTTCTGCTTCAGGGAAGATTCATGGTTTATCCTATTCCTAATGGTGGTGGCAAGATAGAGGCATCCCCTCAAAGGCTAGGAGTAATACCTCAAAGCAGCAGAGCTGTCCATAATTATCCATTATCCATTATTCCCTCCACCCCGAAAATATAGGGAAACCTTTAAAGGGTTCTTTTTTACCCTCTTCTTGGAAAGCGTCACTTATGTTATTCATCGTTAGCTTACATTTTTTCATGTTTCAAAGAGTTCTGCAGTTTGGGAGAATAGCCCAGGGAATGAATCTACTCGAAGGGGTGAGTGTAATTCTCAATTTAGGAGGCGTTTGTTGAAGTGCAAATCTTTGAAGCAGACGTTAACTTTTGCTGAAGGTAGCCCAGGTTGGGTCCCTAAGCCAATCCATAGTGTTCCTTAAGGACTAGAGAGATTCTGAGACAGGGAGGGCTTGGTCTACTCTCATCCAAGGCTGCACTGGTTTGGAGCTACTCTGGAGTCTCTAGGACAGACAGCAGATTGTCACTAGGATCAGTCTGCAGATTGATGAGAAAATAAGGCTTGTCCTCCTTCTCTTCATAAGGGCAAAATAGTCCTTTGGAGTTATAGGAAGTTTTCCAGGTGCTGTATAGGTAATTATATTAAGGAATGTATTGTTTACTGTTGGATAGTGAGAAAAATGGCTTGACTAGGCTTCTGGTAGATAATGGAGAGGCTTGAATGGTGCTATACATGTTATTTTCTCTTTACCTGAGAATATTCTTCCTTTGGAAAATGGGCCAGATTAACTGGATAAAACATAAGAAAGGAATTGGGCATTACTTTTTACTTATGTATCTATTTTTTGTCTTATTTATACTGTAGGCACAGAAAGTGTGGTTTCAGAGTAGATTTTAAGACAGTTAAGTTTCTCATTGACTTATAGACCCTACAACTACAGATTTGAGTCTGTTATTAATTAATAGAAAAGTACATTTTTCATTTGTGGTTCCTTTCTATTTATCTAGATTGAAATAGGCTACTGAAGACTAAATTTTGTACTGCAGCAATATTTATAATCCATTTTACAGGATTTGGGGATTTTTGTAAGATTTTAGTGTTACAAATTCCAATTTAACGTATATTGACTTTATTGTGAGATTTTATATATCATTGTTTAAAGAAAACTTTATTCTGGCCAGACATGGTGGTTCACACCTGTAATCCCAGCACTTTGGGAGGCTGAGGCAGGAGGACCGCTTGAGGCCAGGGATTCAAGACCAGCCTGGGCAACACAGCAAGACTCTCTCTCTACCAAAAAACATTTTTTTAAGTAAATAAAGAGAAAACTTTATTCTGAGAACATGGGCTTTGGAGTTCAACAGACCTAGATTCCAACATAGGCCCTTAAACTTGCTGTGTGGCCTTGAGCAAATTACCTTCTTAGAGTCCCAGTTTTCTTATTTTTCAGATAGAAATAATACCTACTTCATAGGTTTGTTGTATGAATTAAATAAATTATTGTTGTATGGATTAAATAAAGTTGTGTTTATATGGCATGTGATAAATGGTAGCTGTTGTTATTTCTATTGAACTTTGATCTTGTTTAAACATTTCATGTTTTTTTTAAATCCTTTCTAGTAAAAAAGCACGCTTAGATTGGAATACTGATGCTGCGTCTTTGATTGGAGAAGAACTTCAAGTAGATTTCCTGGATCATGTTCCCCTCACAACACACAACTTTGTAAGTTGCAGATCTCTTCTCTTTCTGGCATGTTGAGGGCTTTGCCAGGCATAACAGAGATTTCTCAGGTAATATGCGTATGTATATATATATATAGTTGGATTGTTTAAAGTTCTTTATGCTGTTGTTTACAGTAAGGCAATTTAGATTTCATTAGTCAGAGATATACTCTAATTTGTGATTATGAATTCTGTACATGCTGGAAGTATGATTCATTTTGTAAAAACTTTTTTGGAGGCCAAGAAATGAAGTTGTCTTTTGTCATCTTTTATTTATTCAGCATAATTTACACCTGTGTTCTTGTTGTAGGCTCGGAAGACGTTCCTGAAGCTTGCCTTCTGTGACATCTGTCAGAAATTCCTGCTCAATGGATTTCGATGTCAGACTTGTGGCTACAAATTTCATGAGCACTGTAGCACCAAAGTACCTACTATGTGTGTGGACTGGAGTAACATCAGACAACTCTTGTAAGGCATTGTTCTTTTATCCAAGGAAGATAGGGATGAGGAGTATACATACTTTAAAGGGTATTTGTTGTAGATTTTGACTGACAGGTCTGGATTCTAGACTCATTTAATGAATTGTGATCCAGAAACTACTTTAGAAACAGTGATAATTCTGAAACTAGCTAGGTTTGGTGGCATTCATACTCCAGAATGAGCAGGTAGGAGTAGGACTTGTTATCTGTCAAATTGAGATTGACATACTGTGACTGTGATTCAGTAAGGAAAGGAGCAAAAGGATATGAAAACAAGAAGATTTTTTGCTTTTCGCTCTTAATAGTATTATCTACTGGGGTTGCTAGTAGACACTGCTCTGTATTTTGTTGAATATGCTGAATGAGCCTTTGACATTGAGAAGGAGCAGAAAGCACCGTTGATGCTATTTTCTTCACTTCAAACTGGAGAAAACTTAGTTGTTTGGACTTAAAATTGTTTGAATATAAAATCTTGAAAGATTCTTGTTTCTTTCAGGAGACAATATATTTCATATAGATAAAATGTTATTAAAGAATTTAAAGTTTACATTAAAAGTACATGGTCCAAACTGCCTTTTAAAAACTGTAACTAGGTATATGAAAAGTTTAAAAGTTTTGTCCTTTTTTGACAGTACTAGAGAAACCAAGGGAGTGTTATTATTAGACCATGATGAAAATGTTTTTGCTTTCATGGTCACTTACGTATTGATTTTGTGATGAGAGCTTGAGTAGCACAAATGGCACAAGCTTTTAAAATTTATCTTATTTTTGTCCCCCACCCTTTTTTTTTTTTTTTTTTTTTTTTGGAGACAAGTCTCTTTCTGTCATTAGGCTGGAGTACAGTGGCATGATCTCGGCTCACTGCAACCTCTGCCTCCCAGGTTCAAGTGATTCTCCTGCCTCAGCCTCCCGAGTAGCTCAGACTACAGGCACACACCACCACGCCCAGCTAATTTTTGTAGTTTTAGTAGAGATGAGGTTTCACCATCTTGGCCAGGATGGTCTCGATCTCTTGACCTCATGATCTGCCCACCTCGGCCTCCCAAAGTGCTGGGATTACAGGCATGAGCCACCACGCCCAGCCTTTTTTTTTATTATTATTTTTTAAAGACAGGGTCTCGCTCTGTCTCCCACAGTGGAGTGCAGTGGCATGATCACAGCTCACTGTAGCCTCGACCTCTCGGGTTCAAGTAATCCTCCTACCTCAGCCTCCTGAGTAGCTGGGACTACAAGTGTATGCCATCATGCCTAGCTAATTTTTGTATTTTTTCTAGAGACGGGGTTTCAGCATGTTGCCCAGGCTGGTCTCGAACTCCTGAGCTCAAGCAATCTGTCCGCCTTGGCCTTCCAAAGTGTTGTGGTTACAGGTGTGAGCCACCGCATCCGGCGGCACAAGCTTTTGAGTCTAACAGACATATGTCAAAATCTCAGTGTTGTCATTAACCATAACCACATCTGAGTTTTCGTTCATGCATCTGAATAAAGGGGATATTACCTTCCTTGCATTGTTCTTATGAGGCTTGCTGACATAACCTGTGAAATTACTAAGCACAAGTGCCCACCTCATGGAAAAAAGGTGCCTAATTACTCACTTTTCTGTGATTTATTCCTTCTATTTTAGTCTTTTATCTATGCATTTTCAAGATGGAATGTTTCCAGAGAAGCTGTGTGTGACATAGTTTGTGAAATGTTATACTGTAGTTTGAAAAATATTATTTTGATATAGCTAGACACAGGACCAGTATTTCCTAGAAATGCACACTGGGCCGGGCGCGGTGGCTCACGCCTGTAATCCCAGCACTTTGGGAGGCCAAGGCAGGTGAATCACCTGAGGTCAGGAGTTCGAGACCAGCCTGGCCAACATAGTGAAACCCCGTCTCTGCTAAAAATACAAAAATTGGGGGAAGGGATAGCATTAGGAGAGACACCTAATGTTAAATGACAAGTTACTGGGTGCAGCACACCAACATGGCACATGTATACCTATGTAACAAACCTGCATGTTGTGCACATGTACCCTAAAACTTAAAGTATAATTAAAAAAAAAATACGAAAATTAGCTGGGCATGGTGGTGTGTGCCTGTAATCCCAGCTACTTGGGAGGCTGAGGCAGGAGAACCCGGGAGGTGGAGGTTGCAGTGAGCCGCCATTACACCTCTGCACTCCAGCCTGGGCAACAGAGTGAGACTCCATCTTAAAAAAAAAGAAAAAGAAAAAGCACACAGGAGCCTGTATGTTTATTGGCAGGTCAGTATTATTCACATTCAATAATCATTCAAATCCAGTTATTTGGAATATTGTTCCCTTTATTCTAGGTAATGTAAAACAGTTGAGGAAAATGTGACTGGGAAAAGTTCAGTTTTAGTAGCTCTGAGTTTGCAAAAGCAAGGCATGCTGATTGTCTCTGTAAGATTACTGCAAGCCTAAAAACCAGTCTTTCCCTGCTTTTGTTTAGATTGTTTCCAAATTCCACTATTGGTGATAGTGGAGTCCCAGCACTACCTTCTTTGACTATGCGTCGTATGCGAGAGTCTGTTTCCAGGATGCCTGTTAGGTAATTTTTTACCTATAGCTTTTCTTTTAGAAAGTTATTTGGGGTGGTGGGGTTGGAAGCTTGAAGACAAAAAATAAGAGTTTCTTCGCATTCCCTCCTCTCTACGTGGAAACCCCTTGCTGCTTCTGTGGAACTTGATACTGGTGGTACAGAAAAGGTAGAAATTTCTGTTTATGGACCTGTAGGTCTTACATTCTGGAAAGTGACTTTGACTGTAGCTTCTTCTGTTATCATAGCATATTTCTTAATATGTCATTACATTTTAAAGAGCTTGAGATTCTGCTTTCCTCAGTATGTACTGAGTTCAACCTCAATGGAAAGGGTCCTAAAACTTAATACAGTGATTTGATAAAAATAAAACCCTTAACTTTGAAATGCATGTTGTGGCCGATGCATTTGCTAAAACCATGTATTTAAATAGACTAGTGTCTTTAAAAACATTTAATTAGATTTTCAGCATAAATATTGTTTCTCATGTGTCTCTGAGTTTGCATATAACTTGTCTTTCTTTACTCTGTTTTCCAGCTTTATAATCAGTTTTGTTGCGTTTATCTACTGCTCAGTGTTAACACACATGAATTTGAAACCTAAAGTAAAATCTACATCCAAAATATCTTACTTTAGGCCAGGCACGGTAGCTCACACCTGTAATCCCAGCACTTTGGGAGGCCGAGGCAGATGGACCACTTGAGGTCAGGAGTTCCAGACTAGCCTGGCCAACATGGTGAAACCCCATCTCTACTAAAAATACAAAAAACTGGGTGGGTGTGGTGATATGTGCCTTTTGGCCCAGGTACTTGGGAGGCTGAAGCAGGAGAATCTTGAACGTGGTAGGCAGTGAGCTGAGATGGCACCACTGCACTCCAGCCTTGGTGACAGAGCAAGACTCTGTCTCCAAAAAAAAATATATTATGTATACACACACACACACACACACACACACACACACATAATGTGTAATCAGATAATGTTTAATGTGAAAATACTATGGAAATATTAAACGCAGCATATCTTAGAATAAGGAATTTGCATATATCTGGATATATATTTCTGTATGGCTTTTATTTTTCTTGATAATTTGAAAAGCAAATCTGACCAAGAATTTGTAGTTACCTCTGAAGATTAGAAGAAACCAGGCCTCTGAAGCCATAAAACAGAGGATTATGTGGGAAGGCATTTTTTTCAAGACAATAGAACAATTTCCCTTAGAAAAGCTGGCCTTTTTCCCTTTAATTCATACATGGGTGTTACCTGAATCTGAACAAACCTCGAACGAATCTTTAGAGCAAATAATGAAAATGTTATACCTCTTAATGCATGTTCCCAGTTTGGTTGGTGGGGGTTGGTGGTGACTGGAAGAGGCCAGTGGTTAATTTCACATTTAGGTATTTCCATCTAAAAACTGAATTCCCATTTATTTACTTTGTTTGCTGGTTGTAGCAGGTAAGGACAAACAGAGGGTAAAATCCTGGCCTTTTTACAGACATGCTCAGCACGTCTACTTATCTGTTTAAATAAATTCTCAAATTTAGTCTCTAAACTGGGCGTGTTCCAACTAGCTTAATAGGTGGTAGCGTGGTTGTCAAATGTTAATCTGTTCTTTCCTGGAGATGTTGTAAAAATTTGGAGTAGAGTGGTGCTTTATTTAAAAAAAGAAAACTTATAATGCACTCTCCTTTTCATTGAATTCCCAATACATATATTATTTCCTGTTCCAAATTTTGTATGCAAAAGCACCTAGACTTAAGATAATTTTTAGATGTCACACATTTGAAAGAATCAAACATTTTGTCAAAGGTTGTACAGGTAGAGTTTGCCCTTAAGCATCTTACTTAGTCAAATATGTACTTGAAAGACTTCACCAGTATGAAAGCCTAAGTGCCAATCATGGAATTTTCTTTCTCCTCCTAGTTCTCAGCACAGATATTCTACACCTCACGCCTTCACCTTTAACACCTCCAGTCCCTCATCTGAAGGTTCCCTCTCCCAGAGGCAGAGGTCGACATCCACACCTAATGTCCACATGGTCAGCACCACCCTGCCTGTGGACAGCAGGATGATTGAGGTAATAGGGCACCTTGGGGGTGGTAATGTCAGTCAATTAATGGGGTGAGGTTGATACTTATTTCAGAGTTTTGGGTTTCAAATCTGATCAAGGAATGTTGCAACACTTTCTCAGGTCTCTGGACTTTTACAGTTTATTTTATATCCATAATATCTTCAGACTGGCTGAATAGTCTGGTTAGTATATCATTCAACTGGAGAACTAAAACTTCCTGAAAAAATGTTAACATTTGAACTCTTCCCATTATCAGATTTGAATAGGCTATTAATGAACAAGTGTCTAAGATATTTAAAGAGCAGTTTAGTTTTGGTGTGGGACAGAAATTAACAGTGATGGAGAACTACAGATTCTCTGGAAGACTTTTGTGATTTTATTTAGAAATAAAAGGGTGGAGTCCTAGGACTTTAATAAGCAGGTGTTTGGGGAGATGTCAAAGTGCCCAAAGCTAGTGTTTTTGAACTGCTTTTTCTTCTCTTGGCTTTTTGGTTATGTCCTATTGGTTTAATTTGCTTTCTGCTTCATCTTTAATAACAACTGAATACACTTAAATACTTCCTTTGTTCTTTATTCTTCTTTATTTCTCATTGCTTTGGACTAGAATAACAACCTGAGTGCTTCTCCCAGGGCGTGGTCCAGACGATTTTGTTTGAGGGGAAGAGTAGGTATTTTTCTTCATGCCTTTGCTTTCTTGTAATTAACAGGATTGCTAAAACTGTCAGACAGCAGACTACCAAAAATGAAATAGTTGCTAAGTTAAATTTATATTTCTTGTCACTTGTTTCCATGTTTTCTTTTTCTTTCTTTCTTTTTAAAATTTTTTTTGGCAGTAGAGTATATAGAAGTAAAAAAAATGTTGTATGTGGTATTGATGATAGGTGAAATGAATTTCTGAAGTTAGGCCAGGCATGACGGTGTATGTCTGTTGTCCCAGCTACTCCAGAGGCTAAGGCAGGAGGATCACTGGAGCCCAGAAGTTCTAGGCTGTAGGGAGCTACAATTGTGCCTGTGAATAGCCATTGCACTCCAACTGGGGCAACATAATAAGAATCCACCTTAAAAACAAACAAAAAATGTTAAGTTAGATTTTGAGGCCAAGGGCATTAAAAAGTTTTTTTTTTAAATCAATTCCAACCAAAGGCTAATGTTAGACTTACTTAGTTGGTGCTCACAGCATTGGTATTCTGTTTATACATTAGTAACCAAATGTGTTTTTGGTTGATAAACCCTAGAATAAATATTCTTTATTGAAAGCTTATCAGAGACAACTATGCTCTCTCTCATCATGTAGACACCTGCTGCCTTAGGCACAGTTTATCTCATTCAGACCTCAAATCACTTTCAACATAATTGTCCTGCCACTATTGTGAGGAGATCATGTATAAGCTATAAATTTTATTATTTTGACTTTATCATTATGATTAGTCCTGATAATACAATAATATACCAGTTACTGCTACTTCTATTAAATGGTTTGTTCCTGTATGAACACTGTAATACTTACAGGGAACAGTAAAGGTCAGAATTGGCTGGGTGGGAAGATCACTTGCGACCAGGAGTTCAAGACCTACCTGGGCTATATGTAGCAAAACCCCACCTCTACAAAAAAAAATGTAAAAATTAGCTGGGCTTGGTGGTGTGCACCTGCAGTCCTAGTTACTCAGGAGGCTTGGGCAGGAGGATTACTTGAGCCCAGGAGTTTGAGGTTGTAGTGAGCTGTGTATGATTGTGTCAAGTAAGAATTTTTGAGTTTTTATTATAAAAGAATTAGCACAATTGTTGTGCCTAATCATTTTTTACTTTAGAAGCAGGGTAAATTTTGATTCCTGTTAATTTAATCACATATAAGTCAGCATTTTTAAAGTAGACTAATTGTTGCTTTATTCAAATTATTTGTGGGTCTCAAATTATTCATAGTTCTCTTGAGTATTTAGACTCCAGGAACAATAGGAAAATTCTTTCTAGAATAAATTGATCCAACTATAGAAATTAGCACAGAATAAAATATGGGATATTTAATTGATACAGGGAAGAAAATTACCATAACATTAAGGAAAATATTCTGCTACATAGGAATATAATTGTGGTTAATAAAAATAAATTGTGCTTTGCTTTAAAAACAAAGAACAGCTTAGTTGGATAATGAAATTACAGCTGCCGATTTCTATTGAAATCCACATTATTTTTTGCCAGTGTTTTGCCCACCTGGCAGTTATCCTGCTGTACTTAAAAACACACATTCCTGGACTTCTCACATTCCCCTCCAAAACATGCTCAGTCAATCGTGGGTCGGGGATTAGGGGTGGATCTTCATTCTTCTTTCCAGAGTCAGAATCACTCTCCAGGTAATTCTGAAGACTAGCTAGTTTTGGGAACCAGAACTAGGCTTTCTTGTTAAATTCCGAATTATGTTTTGGGAGCAGGGGAACAGCTTGGTTTGATTCTTTTTATCTAATTATATAATTAGATATATAATTTTATCTTTTTATATAATTGAGTGGGAGCATTCTAGTAATAGTTGTGTGGAACAAGTATCTTGTCTATACTGTAGTTACACAAAGAGAATATAGTAGGACTTCCCCCCAAAAAATGTCCTTTTTTAGGATATGGGGGCCAAGTGGTTTTATATTATTCTATTATACTGTTCTATTCCAAGCGATGAATTTTAGATTGGGGTTTAGGTCTCATAGAGCCCTCTGCAATTTAAACTATTTTCCAAACAGTTTCTAATAAATTCTAAAGATAGCCTTTGCTTTCTCCCATGAGGAGAATGTAACCGATTTCCAAATTTACCCATAAGGCAGTGTTTTGTGGTGAAAGAGCTGAGGGCTGAGATCCATATATGATGGTTTCTGGTTCTATTTCTGCCACCTACTGGTTCTGCCAAGTGACCCTGCCAAGTCTCTCTACCTGTTCAGATGTGTTTTCTTATATGTAAAATGTAGGTTTTGAACTTGGATTTGTGGTCTTTCCAGCTTTCTGTGATTTTAGGCTTGGATAAAGTATATAGGCTGCTTACCTTTTTCAAATCCAACTTCTAGTCAATTTAGCCTAACTCCTTGTGGAGTAAGAGTGAGCTTCCCCCAGAATCCACCTCCCCACCCTGGCTTTTTAAAAAAAGTTTTGAGCCTCAGTGGAACAAGAATCCCAATCTTTGGAAGGGTCTCAGCTGAGAGTAACTTTGCTAGCTTCCCTTGAAAGAGTATGTTTGTTGTGTACATTGCTTTCTTTTGAGAAAAAGAATGTGGTTTTCATTATATATGAAAAACTAATACCAGGCTTGGCACGGTGGCTCACGCCTGTAATCCCAGCACTTTGGGAGGCCGAGGCGAGAGGATCACCTCAGGTCAGGAGTTCAAGACGAGCCTGGCCAACATGGCGAAGCCCTGTCTCTACTAAAAATGCAAAAATTAGCCGGGCGTGCTGGTGCACACCTGTAATCCCAGCTACTCGGGAGACTGAGGCAGGAGAATTGCTTGAACCTGGGAGGTGGAATATTAAATCCTTCTAATATTTAATGAAAAATCAGCCTTGGAGATACTGGCCACTGATATTTGCTGAATTTAATCAAGGAACGTTGATTAGAGTATGTTTAGGATTTCTATGGTTTTTAGAGGTTTTTATAATCTATTTTGTTCTTGCACATCCTCCTCCTCTTTTTTCCCTCCCCCAGAGAAAATCTTTTGTGTGTAGGAGTTGACCAGCTTTCCTTTTCTGTTTCAGGATGCAATTCGAAGTCACAGCGAATCAGGTACTTTTCCATAGTCATTTAGCCAACAATAATGGGCTTTTTTTCTTTATGCGGTGTATCTTCTGTTGGCTTATCCTTGTGTGGCTTCTGTTTGTCTTGTCTATTAAGCCTCACCTTCAGCCCTGTCCAGTAGCCCCAACAATCTGAGCCCAACAGGCTGGTCACAGCCGAAAACCCCCGTGCCAGCACAAAGAGAGCGGGCACCAGTATCTGGGACCCAGGAGAAAAACAAAATTGTGAGTATAGACAACAGTACCTCCTGCCAATTAGGGTTCAGTAAGAAAAACCTCGTTGGAAATTAGAATACTTAAACTTATTTTGGGAGAAGATTCTAATAAAATACATTCAATGAAGGAGATTATAAATGTTACTGTCATTTTTGGCACACTTGCATCAGACAGTTTGCCAGTGCTATAACTAAAATGGTATTTCTCAAAAGACAAAAATTGGAAGTATGGTTAATATGTTTATCTTTAAAAGATATGGAAACAGATGACATGGGTTGATCCTTTGATGCCCTCATTATCAAAAGATTATTACCATTGCATGGAGTATAATAATGATCTCTACTTGTTTCAGAGGCCTCGTGGACAGAGAGATTCAAGCTATTATTGGGAAATAGAAGCCAGTGAAGTGATGCTGTCCACTCGGATTGGGTCAGGCTCTTTTGGAACTGTTTATAAGGGTAAATGGCACGGTAAGCTTGGGGCCCTCCCTTTACTAACTGCAGGGCTTTGGTGTGAAGTCAAGTTTCAGCCCAGGGGGCCAGGAGGAGGAGAGGACTGAGTGCTCCTGGGCTTATAGCAGTACTCTCCCTTACATACTTGATTATACCTGAAGATTGAACTTAATTCTTTTTAGACTAAGTTCTTATAAAGCTCCCAGGATAATTAGAAATTAGTGAATAAGACTTGAGCCCTATAATCAAATGTCAGGAGTACTTCTCCTTTAAACTGATTAAATACAGTCTGCACATGGGTCATGCTTGGAAGCTCCTTAAGTGAGCAAGAGTCTGCTGCTATGGAGGGAGCATGGGTTCTAGAAACTTTAAGCTGGAAAGGACCTTAGAGATTGAAATGGGGACTGATTTGCCCATGGTCATGCAGTTAGGCATAGGAAAGCTGGAAATCTCCTGAAGTAACTTCTCTTTGTCCTGCCCTAGGATTAGCTGTGGGTGTCCCTATCAAACAGGGAAGGCATTGACTTAATTCTTGAATCTATGTGGAATATTAATGTTCTGATTTTAATGGAAACACTTTGTCACTTGGAAGAAAGGTACTATTTAACTTATGTAGTTACAGCTTGTGTATTTTGGCAACACTGAACATTTTGGCAACATACTTAGCATTTCTCTGTTAGGTTTTTAATGCCTCTGGCTTTAGGACTTTGGGAAATAATAGGTATTTCCTTGAAAATGCTGCATGTTCCCAAAAAGTCATCTCTTCTAAATTCAGATTACAATAAAGCAAAAATCACAGAGTCCCTTGGTGCCTATACTACTTTGGATGACACTGGAATTATCTTTAGAGATAAATGTGCAAAGATTGAGAGAAGTTAAAAGCATCAAATGAATGGAGTATTAAAATTCAAGGTACTGAAAATATCAAACACCTCCAGTTTTGAGTACTTGGTGGTTTTTTTTTTTTTTTTTTTTTTTTTTTTGAGATAGATTCTTGCTCTGTTGCCCAGGCTGGAGTACAGTGGCACAATCACAGCTCACTGCAGCCTCCAACTCTTGGGCTCAAACAGTCCTCCTGCCTAAGCCTCCCAAGTAGCTGGGACCACAGGTGAATGCCCAGCTAATTTGTTTTACCTTTTGTAGAGACAAGGTCTCACTATGTTGCCCAGGCTGGTCTCCAACTCCTGGACTCAAGCAGTCCTCTTGGGTCTCTCAAAATGCTGGGATTACAGGCATGAGCCACTGTGCCCAGCCTTACCATGTGCTCGTTAATGCATGGTTTTTACCACTTGTAATTAATCATCTGACCAATTTCTAGTTCCTTAAGAGGATTGGCACCCGACTGAACATTTGTAAAGTACATGTGGAATGATTCCTTTTCCTTTGAAAATTGCATCTGGCTGGGCAGGGTGGCTCACGCCTGTCATCCCAGCACTTTGGGAGGCTGAGGCAGGCAGAACACTTGAGCCTAGGAGTTCAAGAACAGCTTGGGCAACATCGTGAAACCCCATCTCTACCAAAAATTAGGTAGATGTGATGGCACTCGCCTGTAGTCCCAGCTACTTGGAAGGCTGAGGCAGGAAGATTGCTTGAGCTCAGGAGGCGAATGTTGTAGTGAGCTCAATACAGTGAGTACACACTACTGTACTCCAGCCTGGGTGAAAGGGCAAGACCCTGTCTCAGAAAAAAAAAAAAAAAGGAAAAGAAAATTGCATCTAGTATGTACTACTGGGCTGTCTCCTGGGTCCCAGAGAAATGATACTGTTGTAGAATATTTATTTATATGTATTTAGAGACAAGATCTGGCTCTGTTGCCCAGGCTGGAGTAGTGGCACAATCTTGGCTTACTGCAGTCTCTGCCTCCTGGGCTCAAGCTAGCCATCCTCCTGCCTCAGCCTCCCAAGTAGCTAGGACTACAGGCACATGCCACCACACCCGGCTAATTTTTGTATTTTTTGTAGAGATGGGGTTTCGCCATGTTTCCTAGACTGGTCTCGAAATCATGAGCTCAAGCGATCCGCCTGCCTCGGCCTCCCAAAGTACTGGGATTGCAGGTGTGAGCCACTGTGCTCAGCCAGTTGCAGAATATTTTAGATGGCATAAATATCTCCAGGATTCCTTAGGAAAGAACACAAGCACTTTGTGGGATAGAGCACTTGTGTCTGAGATAACAAGGCTGCTAGTAGTTGTAGGAGGCAGAGCAATGGATATTGCATTTATTGCTTCTGTTAGCATTAGAACATTTTTATATCACATTTTAAAAGCCCCAGCTAAAAGCCAGCGGATGAAGTTTTAAGTTGTACCCAAGTTTAATTTTCCTCTGGTTGCGCACTTTCATTTGGGGATTCATAATTTTTCAAGGCATTGGTACGTGGTACTGCTTCTGAGCTTTGTCTTCTCTCAATAGAGTGAGCTTTCAAACTGTGATAAAGATTATTTGTTACAGTGTTACTTCCATAAAGACTGCTATTAGAATGGAGATAACTTGTTTTTAAGATTCTAGGTTTTTTAGGCCAGGTGCGGTGGCTCACGCCTGTAATCCCAGCACTTTGGGAGGCCGAGGTGGGTGGATCACGAGGTCAGTAGATTGAGACCATCCTGGCTAACACGGTGAAACCCCGTCTCTACTAAAAATACAACAAATTAGCCGGGCGTGGGGGTGGGCGCCTGTAGTCCCAGCTACTTTGGAGGCTGAGGCAGGAGAATGGCGTGAACCCGGGAGGCAGAGCTTACAGTGAGCCGAGATCGTGCCACTCCACTTCAGCCTGGGTGACAGAGCGAGACTCCGTCTCAAAAAAAAAAAAAGATTCTAGGTTTTTTAAGTCAGAAAGTCTCAAAAGTCAGAGGAGTGAGGAGCAGTGGACTTTTATGCCATGCTTTCAGAAAGCAAGCTCTGGTCTATGAATGAAGAAGAAAAATGAGTGGTCCAGGAAACATAACTTCTAGATTGTTTTGTGCAATACTTTTTTCCGCCATATTCTGGTTCCTGTATACAGTATATCTGTTCAGTATCTTAAAAATTACAACTGTTTTCATGATTTTGATTGAAGATTTTTTTAACTCAGCCCACCCACTTATGGAAGTAAAGCAGAAAGGGTCTCAAAGCAACTCAGAAGCCTCAGGTGCATGATTTAAAACTCAACATATTTATTTAAAGCAGCATCTGTCAGGCCCAAAGCTCACAACCTCCTTTTGGGCATTAAATTTGGCATCAAGGCTGGGTGCGGTGGCTCATGCCTGTAATCCCAGCACTTTGGGAGGCCAAGGCAGGGAGATCATTTGAGGTCAGGAGTTCAAGACCAGCCTGACCGACATGGTGAAACCCTGTCTCCACTAAAAATAAAAAAATTAGCCGGGTGTGATGGCATGCGCCTGTAATCCCAGCTACTTAGGAGGCTAAGGCAGGAGAATTGCTTGAACCCAGGAGGCGAGGTTGCAGTGAGCCAAGATCATACCACAGCACTCCAGCCTGGGCGACAGAACGAGACTCTATCTCAAAAAAAAAAAAAAAAAAGAAAGAAAAATTCTTTCTATAGGCCAGGTGTGGTGGTTCACACCTGTAATCCCTAGCACTTTGGGAGGCTGAGTTGGGAGGATCACTTTAGCCCAGGAGATCGAGACCAGCCTGGACAACATAGTGAGACCCTGTCTCTACTTAAAACACAATTAGCTGACCATGGTGCTGTGTGTCTGTTGTCCCCGCTACTCGAGAAACTGAGGCAGGAGGATCACTTGAGCCTGGGAGATAGAGGCTGCAGTGAGCCGTGATAACACCACTGCACTCCAGCCTGGGCAACAGAACAAGACCCTGTGTCCAAAAAAAAAAAAAGAAACTTAAGGAGTTTATATTCTAGTGGAGACAGTAAACAGGAAAAGTAGAATATATAGTATGCTGTAATTGCTAAGGAGAAAAATGGAGGAAAGGAGATATGGAGTGGCAGTCCCAGTTCAATGTTTTTAATAGGTTGGTCAGGGAGGAATCTGCCAAGAAAGTGGCATTTGCATGGAGGGCGAGGGTGGGTGGTGCAGATATCTAGGGAAGCAGTAACATCAAGTGCAAAGTGGACCACTCACCTGGCCTGCTCCGAGAACTCAAGGAGATCTTATGGCTTCATTTAGAGTGAGTGAGAGGTATACTAATAGGAGTGAGGTCCAGTGGTAGGGTGTTTTAGGGTCCTGTAAAGACTATCATTTGGGTTAAATGGGATCTGGGGTTGTACGAGACCTTTAGGAGGTTTGGCAAGCCTTTGTTTGAAAATGAGTGTGATGAGAGAGCTCATTATCTGTCTGAGAGCCCATTCTAACTCCAGGTAGTTCCTACTAGTAGAAAATAGTTTGATTGGGTGCAGTGGCCCACATCTATAACCCCAACACTTTAGGAGGCTGAGGTGGGAGAATCACTTGAAGTCAGGAATTTGAGACCAGCCTGGGCAACATGAGACCCTTGTCTCTACAAAAAATTTTAAAAATTAGGTGGGCGTGGTGATGCACACCTGTATTGTAGTCCCAGTTACTTGGGAGGCTGAGGTGGGAGGATCCCTTGAGCCCAGGAGTTTGAGGCTGCAGTGAGCCGTGATGGTGCTGCTGCACTCCAGCCTCGGTGACAGAGCAAGAGCCAGAGTGGGGCGAGGGGAGGGCATGGAATAGTTCTTTATTAGAGTTGAAATCCGTTTTCCTATAATGTTTGCTCATTGATCCTAGCAGACTGAATGAATCCCTTTCATGGCAGTCCTTGGGTTATTTATATGTAAATGAGGGGAATGCTGCAGTATAGAACATTCCTTCTGGATTTCATAAGAAATTGCAAATAATCTGTTACCATAACTGTGTTAACGAGAGCTGGCTGGCAGATGGATCCCTGCAAGTACCATGGGCACTGTCTTTGGTTGACCCTGTTCAGTCTTCCCATCAGTGACTTAATCAGAGGTGTGATATGTATTTGCATAGTAGTGAGGATTTAGAAAAGCGAGAAGAGTTCAACTGGCTAGGATGATGGAAAAAAGAAAAGATCACCTTTTAACAGAGATAAGTCATATTCATTGTTCCAAAAAGTAGAACTGGAGGGGGAAGATGTGGCTTAATGATAACGTGTGTGGAAACTGCCAAGGAAGTTCAGCCGACTGCAAGGTCAGAGTAAGTCACTGCGTGGGCTTGGCTCTGAATTCTGAGGTTATATTACTGATTAGGGCCAGAACAGGTGACACCAAAGGGTGGGTTCAGTGACAACTAGAGCATGCCCAGAGGAGAGCTATAAGAAAGGGAATGGACTACAAAACGAGGTCCATGAAATAGGAAGGTCCTTAGAAGCAGTTCCCCCTGAGCGATCATCCAGCATCTCCCAAGCCACATGCCTGAACCCCTAGCCCTGTCCTGTCCCCTCCCGTTAAAGGCTCTGCCCTTTTCTGGGTCCTGGAGCCTGGGTCATAGCGTTGGCCATTTTCCCAGCACTTCCACTCAGTTGACTGCCTCATTGGGTCAGTTTACCTTCACAGGATTTCTTACCTTCATCCCTTCTTTCTGAGTCCCCACAGTCAACCATTCTTCTTGTACCTTTCCTGAGCTATTGCAGCAGATTCCTCTCTGGTCTCCCTCTTTCTCTCCTACAGGTGTCCAAATCCTACCCTAGAGTTTACTAAACACAGCTCAGGTTTCTCTCATCCCCCTCACCTCACCTTTATTTCTGATGTGCCCAGTCTGAAACATTCTCTGTCCTATTTACTAAAATCCTTCCCTTGGTTTATAGCCCATTTCCTTCAGAAAACCTTTCTGTATTCTCTTTGAAAAGAGATTTACTTAGGCACCTGTAGTCCCAGCTGCTTGGAAGGCTGAGGTTGGAAGATTGCTTGAGCCCAGGAGTTTGAGGCCAGCCTGGGCAACATAGTGAGGCCCCATCTCTAAAAAAGAAAAAAAAAAAAAAAAAAAGGATTTACTCCCCCATCTTGGGGAACTCCCCTTCTGTTCCAGCACTCCTGTCTTGGCTCCAACTGTACCAGAATGGACACTTATGCAAATGATTGTTGTCCTCCTACTCAGGGCTGGTTATACACGTTTCCCATATGGTGTCCCATATGGATCCATTTTTCTAGATAGAAGGTAGCTCCAAACATAGTGTGGATCTCTCCCATCCAGTCAACAGCACCTTCACCGGCAGCCCATGGCAAACACATGTGCAGGTTAACTGGATGAGAGCCACTTTGGAGGCTGCTGTTAAAACATGGGGACTCGTTGAAACTTTAGATGATAAAACCAGAGATCACAGGGAGACAGTTTGGGCCTATCGTGAGGACCATCTCTCTACCAATTTTCTTCCCAAAAATGAAATGGGGAGGGCTGGGTGGGGTGGCTTACGCTTGTAATCCCAGCACTCCAGGAGGCCGAGGCAGGCAGATCATTTGAGGTCAGGAGTTTGAGACCAGCCTGGGCAACATGGTGAAACCCCATCTCCACCCAAAAATACAAAAATTAGTTGGGCATGGTGGAGCATGCCTGTAATCCCAGCTACTCGGGAGGCTGAGGCAGGAGAATCGCTTGCGGAGGTTGCAGTGAGCCAAGATTGTGCCACTGCATTCCAGCCTAGGTAACAGAGCGAGTCTCCATCTCAAAAAAAAAAAAAGGAAGGAGGAAGGCTCCAACAGAGAGGCTCCAGAAACACTTTTGAAAGTGGCTTTTGGCCAGGCACGGTGGCTCATACCTGTAATCCCAGCACTTTGGGAGGCCGAGGTGGGAGGCCTCACAAGGTCAGGAGATCGAGACCATCCTGGCTAACATGGTGAAACCCCGTCTCTACTAAAAACACACACAAAAAATTAGCCAGACGTGGTGGCGGGTGCCTGTAGTCCCAGCTACTCGGGAGGCTGAGGCAGGAGAATGGCGTGAACCTGGGAGGTGGAGCTTGCAGTGAGCCCAGATCACACCACTGCACTCCAGCCTGGGTGACTGAGCGAGACTCTGTCTCAAAAAAAAAAAAAAAAAAAAAAGTGGCTTTTAAATTTATAGCACTCTAAAGTGGAATGGATCCCTGGATGTGTCTAAAGTTATATCAAGAGGCTGGTTTTACAGTGCTTGACAATCAGTTGTCAGTGTTATAGGTAGAATAGCAATTGGAGTCAGACTGGGGTTTTGATCCTGGCTGCAGCGTTCTTTGTTTTTTGGCTGTATGACCTTGGGCAAGTGACTAAACTTCTCAGCTTGTTGTCTGTGAAGATAAATTATTTACGTCAGAGGGCAGCTGTGAGGATTAACAGAGATAAAAGTATACACAGTGCCAGGATTCAGTATTATTAGAATTACTTTTTAATGGTATTGAAGGCAGAGAAGCTTAATTTCAATATATATCTCTGAATTTTTACTAGGGACCATCTTAGGTCTCACTGAAATGTGGATTCAGAGTTCAGCCTCAATAGTTGCTAAATGGCCTGCTTCCTTACACCAGCAACCAGCCCCAGTCATTCTGTATTTGCCAGGCCATTCATATGTATGCACTGATTTCATCCCCACAGGACAAGGTTTTGACCTGTCACACATGACCTCACCTCTGTGGCTTGCCAGGGTTGGTGTGAATAGTTTAACCAAGGCTATCGAAGGCCTAACTGTAGCGATAGCAGTTAACCTATGTAACTTTTTTGAGTCATTTGAATTATGTAGAGATTGGACCTATAATCCCAGCACTTTGGGAGGCCAAGGTGGGAGGATTGCTTAAGCCCTGGAGGTCAAGGCTGCAATGTGCCACTGCACTCTAGCCTAGACAACAGAGTGAGACCCTGTCTCAAAAAAAAAAAAAAAATTGGAAATTTGCCGTATCTGTGTAGGTATGTGATTCTTTGGATAAATGATTCACTGTATCTTCCTCAAAACTAGGTTATTTGAAAGACTGAGATCATTCAACTGATTGCACTGACTGCCAACTAATTTTGCAGGAGATGTTGCAGTAAAGATCCTAAAGGTTGTCGACCCAACCCCAGAGCAATTCCAGGCCTTCAGGAATGAGGTGGCTGTTCTGCGGTGAGTAGAAAGCTGGCGGTCCAGTCCCTCTGGAGTGCTGGAGTGGGGAGTACAAGGACTGTAGAGTTAGTGGACTGTGCCGCAGGTTGGGACGGGCAGGCAGTTAGGACTCACTGTGGAGTTTCTGTGGTTGGATGCTCCTCCCTTGAGAGCAAAGGGATGTTTCCTTTAGTTTATGTGGTTGTCAAGCCTTTCGAAGAGCCCCTTTTTAGGAGAATACCCTCCTCTGGGCACAGTAAACTCAATAGCCCAATTTCTGTCTCTGGGTTTTGGTTTGAGGTGGGCAGAAATAGGCCCTATTTTTACCTTTATTTCCCAGAACCCTTTTTTTTATAGCTGAGTTGCCTTATTTTAGACTTCAGAACAGTCAGCTTTCCAATCTTTCAGTCACTATTTAGACTTGTAGGAATAAGTCATATAATGGAGACTTCTACAAGGAGTCCTTGTGACCTCCACAGGAGGGTCATGGAGTGTACATTGATGAAAGAGAATGTCCTCTCTGTAAGCAAGGCTGGCACTGAACTGATGGCCCAGTGAACTAATGGTGGGCTTCTCTTTGCTCAGAATGCCACCCGGGTTATCAGCCGTGCCATGTGTTTGTTTTTGGGACTGGGGGTGGTGTTGGGACTGGGGGTGGTGTCGACAGCACAGAACCCACTGTCCACGGGAAAGCACAGTAGACCTCCCTGAGCACTTTCCTCCTCCCTCTCCTCTCTTCCCCTCCCCTCCCCAGCAAAACACGGCATGTGAACATTCTGCTTTTCATGGGGTACATGACAAAGGACAACCTGGCAATTGTGACCCAGTGGTGCGAGGGCAGCAGCCTCTACAAACACCTGCATGTCCAGGAGACCAAGTTTCAGATGTTCCAGCTAATTGACATTGCCCGGCAGACGGCTCAGGGAATGGAGTGAGTAGATGGTCTGATGCCTCTCTGGGACCCAGGCATCAAATTTGTCCCTAAATTGGAACCAGGATCAGGAAAAGCCTTCTAGTCCATTAAGCGATTCTGTGATATCTTTGCACAAGCCTCTGGCCTGGGCTGGAGGGGCCAATTATCAGGAATGAGTTGTTCAGGTTCCAGCTGGGTGGGGTGGCTCACACCTGTAATCCCAGCACTTTGGGAGGCCAAGGCCAGTGGATCACTTGAGGCCAGTAGTTTTGAGACCAGCCTTGCCAATATGGCAAAACCCTGTTTCTACTGAAAATACAAGAATGAACCAAGTCTGGTGGCACATGCCTATAATCCCAGCTACTCAAGAACTGGGACAGGGAGAATCGCTTGAACATTGGAAAGCAGAGGTTGCGGGGAGCTTAGATCACGTTACTGCACTCCAACCTTGGCTGCAGAAGCGAGACTCTGTCTCAAAAAAAAAAAAAGAGAAGTTCAGGTTCCTCCTTGGGACTGAACTTCCCCCTTGGGGCTCAGCTTTGGGCTCTGCCTGCTACCCTGGCTTTATCAGAAACCTGAGAATATAGTGGGGTGCATGTACCTTCTGCTTGGACAGCTGTGGCAATGCCTTCTGCTCAGCTGTCTGAGGCATGGCTGTCCCACATGAGGGTTTAAGCAGATGTTGTTTTTGGGATAATTTTTTTTTTTTAATTAAAAACTTTTTCCTGGCCAGGCACGGTGGCTCATGCCCATAATCCCAGCACTTTGGGAGGCTGAGGCGGGTGGATGACGAGGCCAGGAGTTCGAAACCAGCCTGGCCAATGTGGTGAAATCTCATCTCTACTAAAAATACAAAAATTAGCTGGTTGTGGTGGCAGGCGCTTGTAATCCCAGCTACTCGGGAGGCTGAGGCAGAAGAATCACTTCAACCCGGGAGGCGGAGGTTGCAGTGAGTGGAGATTGTGCCATTGCACTCTAGCCTGGGTGACAGAGCCAGACTCCATCTGAAAAAAAAAAAAAAACCCAAAAAAACCACACTTTTTTCCTTAGAGACACAGGTTCTCACTCTGTCACCTATGCTAGAGTGCAGCGGCGCAATCATAGCTCACTGCATCCTTGAACTCCTGGGCTCCAGCTATCCTCTTGGCTCAGTCTCATAGGTTGCTGGGACTGCAGGCACATGCTACCGTGCCCAGCTAATTTTCGTGTATTTTGTAGAGTCGGAGGTCTCACTATGTTGCCCAGGCTGGTCTCAAACTGGACTCAAGTGATCCTCCCACCTTTCCTGGCTAGCCTAGGGTAGTGCTTCTCAAACTTCTCCTCTGAAGTAGAGGAGCTCCTCGTACCCCTAGACATCTGGGAGTTACTAAGCTATAGCTGTGCTTGCAAGTCCTACATAAATTCTCACACTGTCTTTAAAATTCATATGGAAGTTGCCTTCTGTGTATTTTAAGAAATGGAATGACTTTTCAGAAAAATTGAGATATAATTCATACATCATAAAATTCCCCCTTTTAAAATGTACACCTACCTCAGTGTTTTTCTGGTATTGAGTTGTGCAGCCACCACCACTATCTAATTTTAGAACATTTTCATTATCCCGGAAAGAAACACATGCCCATTGTATTAGTCTGTTTGGGTTGCTCTAAAGGAAGACCTAAGGGTGGGTAATTTATAAAGAAAAGAGGTTTATTTGACTCGGGGTTCTGCAGACTGTACAAAAAGCATGACACCAGCATCTGTGTCTGGTGAGGCCCTCAGGAAGCTTTCACTCATGGCAGAAGGCAAGGGGAGCCACGTGTGATGTGGTGAGAGAAAGGAGCAAGAGAGAGAGCATGGAGGGAGGTCCCAGACTCTTTAATAACCAGGTTTCATGTGAGCTAATAGTGTGTGAACTCACTCGTTACTGCAGGGAGGCCACCGAGCCGTTTGTGAGGAATCCATCCCCATGACCCAAACACCTGCCACTTAGGTCCCACCTCCAACACTGGGGATCACATTTCAACTTGAGATTTGGAGTGGACAGATATCCAAACAATATACCCATTAGAGGTTACCCAATACCTCCCACCCACTTGCAGTCTACTTTCTGTTTCTATGGATTTTGCCTACTTTATAGTTCAATATAAATGGAATCATGTAAGATATAATATAGTCAGGTAACATATAATGATGTTTCGGTCAATGACCACATATAGGAAGGTGGTCCCACAAGATTATAATACTGTATTTTTACTGTGCCTTTTCTATGTTTGGCTATGTTTAGAGACACAAATACTCACCATGTTACAACCAGCTACAGTATTCAGTACACTGAGGGCCATACAGTTTTGTAGCCTAAGTGCAACACGTTATACCATTTAGCCAGGGTGTGTAGAAGGCTGTACCTTCTTGGTTTGTGTGAATACACTTTATGATGTGTGCATGATGACAAGTTGGCTAACAACACATTTCTCAGAAGGTATCCCTGCCGTTAAGTGATGCTTGGCTGTATATAATACATAAGATATGGTATTGTGTGCCTGGGCTCTTAGACCTAGCATAGTATTTTCAAGGTTAATGTGTAGCATGAGTCACTACTTCATTCCTTTCTGTGTCTGAGTAACATTCCATTGTATGGATATGCCACATTATTCATTCATCATTTATGGACATTGGGTTATCAGAATTACTTTAGAGTAAAACTGATGCTTGAAGAAGTGTCAGCAATGGTCAGGCGCCAGGGGCCCATGCCTGTAATCCAAGCATTTTGGAGGCCAACATGGGAGGATCACTTGAGCCCAGGAGTCAAGACCAGCTTGGGCAACAGTGCAAGACCCTGTATCTACCCAAAAAAAAAAAAAAAAAAAAAAAGGCGGCATGGTGGCACATGCCTGTGGTCCCGGCTACTGGGAGGTGGGAGGATCACTTGAGCCCAGGAGGTTAAGGCTGCAGTAAGCTATTGACTGCACTCCAGTCTCCAAAAAAAAAAAAAAAAAGGTGTAAGCATGTTTGTGCTGTGGCCTCACCTTCAGGTAAGCAGTGATGTGAACCAGGCTGAACAGCACAGGGTCTATCCCTGTGTGTAACACTCCTTGGAGCCAGGCCTTCAGTGGCTTTACTTCTTAGCTGTAGTTTAAAACTGCTTTCTACTCATGCCCCTCAAACTTATTTTTAATAATTTCTTTTCCCTTCACAGCTATTTGCATGCAAAGAACATCATCCATAGAGACATGAAATCCAACAGTATCCTTTGGTTGTTGAGTTCATTTGACTGCTCGGTTCTAAATTTAGGGAAACAGAAGGGAGGCTTTCTATCACAAGTGGCTCTCGGTGCCAGGGGATATCTTTTTAAGGAAAGAGGCAGAGGACAGGAAAACAGAAAAGTCAGAAAATTAGTAGGCTTGGCCTGTCCCTCAGCAGCTTATGCCTCACCTGGACTGATGAGAGCGATGTTTAGGTTAGGTTCCTTTCTGAGTTTATCTCAGCAAAAGTGATTTGGAGAGATTTCCGTAAGCTTGAAATAGGCATAATTTTATCACACTATTAGTAAATGTAACCTGACGGGGATTGGGCTTTTGTCTTAAGTTTATTTCTAGTTTGTGGCCAGCGTGTGTATGTCTATCTGCTTGTTATGTGGATAGCAAGTAGCTACAAGCCAAATGTTGAAAGGTTTCCAAAATCACTAATTAAAATAGTCTTTCTTGACTGGGCGTGATGGCTCACACCTATAATCCCAGCACTTTGGGAGGCTGAGGCAGGTGGATCACTTGAGGCTAGGAGTTTGAGACTTGCCTGGCCAATGTGGTGAAACCCCATCTCTAAATTTAAAAATTAGCTGAGTGTGGTGGCACGTACCTATAATCCCAGCTACTCAGGAGGCTGAGGCACGAGAATTGCTTGAACCTGGGAGGCAGAGGTTGCAGTGAGCTGAGATCACGCCACTGCACTCCAGCCTTGGGGACAGAGCAAGGCTGTGTCTCAAAAAAATAAATAAATAAAATGGTCTTTCTCAAAGGTACATAAGTGGGTTCTTCAGAAGTCACTATTAGAAGAGGAGAGGGGTTGTTTTTATAGAAGAGTAAATGAAGAAAGGTATTTTTAATGCTGTGAGGCGTGAAATTTAACAATTTTGAATCTGCCACCCTCCACGAGCCTTTCCTTGTGAAAGAAAGATGGCATTACAACCCACGTTTTGCCTCTTGAGCAGTGAGAGGCATGATAGTTGTGTTGGATTATGGGACATGGCCTATTTTAGGTACATGTCTGAGGTGTGGAACACCTTTCAGTGGTGGGGTTTTTAGCAGCCAAACATTATACCATGAAAGCAGACACCACAGATTTAAGGAGGTGTGAATTCCTGGGCACCAACATCACAAGTTACTTTGTGTGTGTTTTGTTTTTTAATTTTTTGTTCTTTTTTAATTTTTTTTTCCTCACAAGTTTGACTTAAACTGTATGACTTCTTTACCCAGAAGCGAGCCGACTTCAGTTCTCATTTTGAAGTCACTGAGTGGTACCGATTCTAGTGAGGAATTTCTTACTACAACATTGAACACTCAGTAAGGGATTTGCTATTTTGTTAACCACTCAAGTTTCAGATGGTGATTTGAGGGCAGAATACAGGCAGAAACGACTGTAAGCTGTCAGGCCATCCTTGGCCCTCTGGGGAGCACTGGAGTGTGGCCTCTGCTCATCCTGTTAGGGTTTCAAGTACCTGTATTATGTGGAAAGGTCACAAGGCCAGAGACCCAGCACCTAGATGTGCAAATGGGGAGAAGAAGCAGGGAAGAAACGCTGGCTTGCTTTTGGCTAGGGCCAAATAATCTGGCACATTGACCAATCCCTGCCTGTCTTCTGGAAGAAGGTGCATTTCAAAAGCACTTTAAAGAACTTCAGAAACCTTAGGAAGTTCAGTGCAGAGAGGCTGTGACAGAGGTAAGGTGGAGAGATTACCGTGTTATAAAGAACTTTGGGATATTTTTCAAAATTAACCTGACCATTCTTTTGAAACCAGAGTCCTTAACAAGCATTGAGATATATTTCTCCATGAAGGCTTAACAGTGAAAATTGGAGATTTTGGTTTGGCAACAGTAAAGTCACGCTGGAGTGGTTCTCAGCAGGTTGAACAACCTACTGGCTCTGTCCTCTGGATGGTGAGAATCTGGGCTCCCACCAGCAGTCTCTGGTATAGGGCAAAAGGAATGCCTTGGAGATTTATGTGCAAACTTAAAGCGTTTCTGTACATTTCCCCGAAATCCACATGACCCCTAGTGACAGCCAGCCTCAGGGCAATTGTAGATTTTCTTGAGGAAGCTGTTGATCAGAACCACTGTGAAGCTTAGTGTGGAGAGGAGTTAATAAGCTGGGTGACAGAAATGCTGGGTCTTGGTCCTTTAAAGACAAGGATTCCTGAGCTGTTTTAACCAGTGCCTGAGTTGGAGTCCTTTGGGGGAAAAGCTATGTGGGGACTGAAGAATGGACTCATTCATAACTAATGAAAGGGACAGCCTGGCCCCTAGATGTCTGTGAGGCCTGTCATATGGTGATAAATGCACTTTTGTCATATGGTGATACATGTAGGCCCCAGAGGTGATCCGAATGCAGGATAACAACCCATTCAGTTTCCAGTCGGATGTCTACTCCTATGGCATCGTATTGTATGAACTGATGACGGGGGAGCTTCCTTATTCTCACATCAACAACCGAGATCAGGTAAGTCTGTGCTGGTGCGAAAGGACCCAACTCGTGGGAGCCCCTGGGCCTCCGCCAGCCTAAGCAGCTAGAGGGTTAGGACTTGTTATTATCTGTTGTTCATTCACCCCCCATTAGCTCAGCTGTTTTCTTTCCCTTAGATCATCTTCATGGTGGGCCGAGGATATGCCTCCCCAGATCTTAGTAAGCTATATAAGAACTGCCCCAAAGCAATGAAGAGGCTGGTAGCTGACTGTGTGAAGAAAGTAAAGGAAGAGAGGCCTCTTTTTCCCCAGGTAAGGCTCAGGGCTGCTAGAATGTGATTAAAGCATGGGTTGGTTCGTAAAGATGGCAATATAAGGTGGGAGTGTTTTGTTTTGTTTTATAGGGAGGGGACCCAGGTCCTCTACAAGATGGTGGGGGGCAGGGTACATCCTGTGTCTTTGAGACACAGCTAATGAGAGCATTCTTGGGCTTTGTTTCAGATCCTGTCTTCCATTGAGCTGCTCCAACACTCTCTACCGAAGATCAACCGGAGCGCTTCCGAGCCATCCTTGCATCGGGCAGCCCACACTGAGGATATCAATGCTTGCACGCTGACCACGTCCCCGAGGCTGCCTGTCTTCTAGTTGACTTTGCACCTGTCTTCAGGCTGCCAGGGGAGGAGGAGAAGCCAGCAGGCACCACTTTTCTGCTCCCTTTCTCCAGAGGCAGAACACATGTTTTCAGAGAAGCTGCTGCTAAGGACCTTCTAGACTGCTCACAGGGCCTTAACTTCATGTTGCCTTCTTTTCTATCCCTTTGGGCCCTGGGAGAAGGAAGCCATTTGCAGTGCTGGTGTGTCCTGCTCCCTCCCCACATTCCCCATGCTCAAGGCCCAGCCTTCTGTAGATGCGCAAGTGGATGTTGATGGTAGTACAAAAAGCAGGGGCCCAGCCCCAGCTGTTGGCTACATGAGTATTTAGAGGAAGTAAGGTAGCAGGCAGTCCAGCCCTGATGTGGAGACACATGGGATTTTGGAAATCAGCTTCTGGAGGAATGCATGTCACAGGCGGGACTTTCTTCAGAGAGTGGTGCAGCGCCAGACATTTTGCACATAAGGCACCAAACAGCCCAGGACTGCCGAGACTCTGGCCGCCCGAAGGAGCCTGCTTTGGTACTATGGAACTTTTCTTAGGGGACACGTCCTCCTTTCACAGCTTCTAAGGTGTCCAGTGCATTGGGATGGTTTTCCAGGCAAGGCACTCGGCCAATCCGCATCTCAGCCCTCTCAGGGAGCAGTCTTCCATCATGCTGAATTTTGTCTTCCAGGAGCTGCCCCTATGGGGCGGGGCCGCAGGGCCAGCCTTGTTTCTCTAACAAACAAACAAACAAACAGCCTTGTTTCTCTAGTCACATCATGTGTATACAAGGAAGCCAGGAATACAGGTTTTCTTGATGATTTGGGTTTTAATTTTGTTTTTATTGCACCTGACAAAATACAGTTATCTGATGGTCCCTCAATTATGTTATTTTAATAAAATAAATTAAATTTAGGTGTAATGGCTGGCTGTTACCTCCTTTTAAAGTAATTCTGAGCTCACAACTTGAATGCCCCATTTGTTCACCCTCTTCAGGAGCAGAATTCAAGAACAGGAAATGTGCCCAGAGCCTAGGCTGGGAATGAATTTGTAATTTAACCTTTGTACTCTTTGTAAACCTCTACTGAAGAGTTAAGTATAAAAATTAATTAAGCAGAAAGTACTCTAAACTCAGCTAATACCTTAAGTAATACATTTTATAAACTATTTATTTATTTGGTAGGTACAGCTTTTTTAAACACAAAAATAGATTAGATAAATTCCAGCTTGGAACAAGCTAGTGCTGGTTCACAAGGTTATGCTCACCCTTCAATTAAAATCAAAATGACTACAAGACTTGCCATCAGCTCTCTTCAGGACCACTGCTGGGTCAGAATCAGAAACCTTGGGTGCCATGAAATTTTTACAAAATTTCAAATCAAAGCCAGGCTTTGCAGCTAGATAATAGATCACTTGAGTACGAACCACACATGTAAGTGCACGTATATTTGAGTTCTCAATACAATTACCCTGATGGGCAAGAACCCACAGGTGAGAGCAGAGGCTTGGTTCCCCTAGAGGGCCCTGGCTGGAGGCCCCAACACCAACCAGACGACAGGAGGGCCAGACTGCTACCCAGTACTGTACCTCCTGCTCCTTCAAGAGCCTCCCTAAGGGAGAAGAAGATCTATACTTCCACTTTGTTTGCTGCACATGTGGCAACAAGATTGCTACCCTGATTTGGGACACTTGAGAGAACTTGAAAAAAATGACCACCCTTAAAGCCCTAGAAAAAAGTTGTATGTTTGTTAACAGCTATGCTGCGCTCACTTTGCATTGTGTGTTCTTGAAAGCTCTGTATAAATCAAAATTTTGACGACACACTAAATACACTAGAGAAATACACTATAGAGGAATCCTTTTATAGGGCTGAAGACTCCTTTGGTAAGAAAAATATGCTGCATTAGGGGCAGCTGCAAGTTTACTATTTCTGGGGAAGAAAAGATCAAAGGTAAGAGCCAGGTTTGTTTTTTAAAGCAATCAATCCAAACAGTTTGGGTGTTTGTTAGTTGTTACCCCTGAGGGGCTTGAGGTGTAACTATATCAGCTATAAAAATAGCAATTCCATACATTTAATTAGGTTACTTTATATCTTTCACTCTTCCCCATGGCTGTAATAATGGAGATTGAATGAGACTAAGGCTAAGCCCAACTCCACTCAAATCCAAGTCACACGTCACCTTGGCTGCAGTACAGGGAAGCTCCGCACACCCTGGCTTGGGAAAGTTTCGGCCGATGGAGCCCAAGATGCAGGGCAACCATCTACTCTTTAGGGTTCTGATGATTCCACTCCAGAAAGGTGCATGAAGAGGTCCCCGAGCTCTGTCATGTCGACATCTTCATTGTTGGGGACATGCCGGCTTTCTCGGTTCTCGATGAAATCCCAGAGCCGCACTGAATTAAAGAACTGCAAAAACAGCCAGTGGACATGCCTGGTTACTGCTAAGAGCAACAGGAAGGCTGCGTTCCTTGATCGTTCTTTTGCCTACCCCATTTCTCTGCCAGGAACGGTACCTGGAAATGCCCACAGCTGCTAAGTGTCCCCAACTAGAGATGGCTAAAGTCCTTACCCTCACAGTGCCTTGAGAACTGAGCTGTTTCCGAGGTTTCTCAGGCTCTGCTAGCCGCCCATCGGGGTAAGCATGGCGATAAAGACATTTGCTTCCAAATGGGCAGGTCCCCTTGCCTTGCTCAAAGTATTTACAGGCTTTTTTCCTGAAAAGCAGAAAGAAAAAGTCAAGAGGCTGGTGGGAAAATGAGGGGTCCAAACTGGGCCACTGCCTGCCTCCATCCTTACCACCCTTACGCCAGAGGTAGGTCAGCCTCACATTCTAGGTGGGGCAGCTGAGGCTGGGAGAGGTTGAGTGATTTGTCTCAGGTCACACACAGCTGGGATTCTGATTTCCAAGCAGGATAGGAAGTATCCCCACTTACCTGCAGCCTTGCAAAGGATATTAACCTGCCTGGGGACTTGCTGTGTGGAGACTGCAGTGCTCCACAGGCCCTCCGGCAGCTCCAGAGCACCTCCTGGGTCACCACAGAGCTAAGCCAGGCCTGGTCACTCCTCTGGGCACTAAGCTCTGAAGCTGGGCCACTTGTCTCTGCTCAAAGTTCCCTAGGTACCCCACCAAGCCAACTCTCCCCTTCCTCCTGGCCGCAGTGCTGTCAAGGTGGCTACAGGGAAAGCAGAGGGTTTTAGCAACTGCCTAAAGCCATAGGTCTCCTTCCAGTTTTCCTGTCTCCAACCTCGGCACCAGGGAGGGCTTCTTCACGCCTTATGTGCTTTGGACCCCTTCTCTGAACAGTGTTTTTCAATGCATAAAACATGGGTCTACAGCATACAGTGACCAAACAGTTCAAAATGTTTTCCCTCTCTCTTAATTCTACCATTCTCCCCACAGACCTCTATGTTAAGAACCCTGCCCAAGGAAACTCAATCAAATGAATTCCCATTTTGCTCAAATGAACTCTGGTTTATCCAATCATAAAGGATCCCAAACTGAAGTTAAAAAAAAAAAGATACCCAAGAATCCAGAGGGCCATCTCGGAGTACAGAGGAAGGGGAAAGTCACAGAAATAAAGCCAAACAACAGAAAGGGCACGCTGCTGTCAGGGGCAGCTGGGGTGTGTGACAGCGGGAGACAAGAACAGGGAAAGGAGGCTCCTGAATCCAGTGGTTTTCCGTCTTGTCAGATGGGATGGCCGCAGGCCGGTGGTGAAGTTCTCTGAGGACGGCTTCATAGCAGCATAAAGAAAAGCCCTCTGGCCGGGTGTGGTGGCTCACACCTGTAATTCCAGCATTTTGGGAGGCCAAGGTGGGTGGATCACTTGAGGTCAGGAGTTTGAGACCAGCCTGGCCAACACAGCGAAACCCCATCTCTACTAAAAATACACAAATGAGCTGGGTGTGGTGGCTGGCACCTGTAATCCCAGCTACTCGGGAGGCTGAGGCTGAGGCAGGAGAATTGCTTGAACCCAGGAGGTGGAGGCTGCAGTGAGCCAAGATTGTGCCACTGCACTCCAGCCTGGGAGACAGAGTGAGACTTCGTCTCACTGGGGGTGGTGGCGGGGGGGTAGGGTGGGGGGAGAGAGAACAAGCTCCCTGGCCAGCTGATCTGATTTGAGCACAGGTGGCTGGAGAGCAGGTGTGTGGACGACACATCCTCCAGGCCCCTGCTTGCCTGGAGTTCTGAGCGGACTTCAAATGACCGTGAGCAGTTTGCTCTCACCAGAGCCTGCTGGACAACTCCAGAGCATCCTAGCACACTGGCTATGAACTCGATCAGGTCAAACACATTATATACTGGTCCCCCACTCTCACAAGAATATTACTCTTTTTCCTCCCCCAGGCTTATCTGGTCACCAAGGCCAAAAGCCTCCAGTTCACTCTGACTCACTCTGTGTCCTCGGCTCTCACACCCAACTGTGTTCATTCTGTTTACAAATCACTTCCCAATCTCCCCTTCCTTTGGGTTCCCACACTTGTGGAAGCCTCTGGGGCCTGCCTGCCAGGGCCACTTCCTCACTGGCCTCCCTCCCACTCCCACCAGTTTCCACCTTCAGAGCAGCACGGAGGAGCTTCCCAACCTTTTTTTTTTCTTTAAAGAGATGAGGTCTCCCTATGTCTCCCCTGGACTTAAGCAATCTGCCCTCCTCAGCCTCCCAAAGTGCTGGGATTACAGGCATAAGCCACTGCGCCTGGCCCCAACCTGTTCTTAAAGACCATGGTCACACTGGGATTCAAGTGTCCCTTAGATTCCAGTCTGTAGGTCCCACCACATCCTTCTACACACCTGTTTCAATGCCAGGAGCCACTCCCAGTGTCCCCCAGACACAAAACCTACACCCTTCTGTGCCCATGTCCTTCCATCACTTCCCCCTACAGACAGGTGCTTCCTGCTTCATGGTTCAGGCTCCCATGCTGCTTCCCCTGGCAGCCCCCGGTGGATCCAAGTGCTTTCTCTGTTGTGATAGATGGTCCCTCATGAAGAACTGGTCACCAGCAAACCTGTATCATAATTGCCCTTTTGCAGTTTCCCATGAAGTTGTCTTACTTGGCGGGGCACAGTGGCTCACACCTATAATCCTAGCACTTTGGGAAGCTGAGGTGGGTAGATCATCTGAGGCCAGGAGTTCAAGACCAGCCTGGCCAACATGGCGAAACCCCATCCCTACTAAAAAAATACAAAAATTAGCTGGGTGTCGTGGCGCACACCTGTAATCCCAGCTACTCGGGAGGCTGAGGCAGAAGAATCACTTGAACCCTGGAGGCGGAGGTTGCAGTGAGCTGAAATCATGCCACTGCCAGCCTGGGTGACAGAGCGAGACTCGAAAGAAAAAAGAAATTGTCTTACTAATCTCTACATCCCCCAGTGGTGCTTAGCTAGAAGGTACCTGACCCATAGTGAGTACTCAGTAAATGTTTGTGGATTGCAAAAAACACAGTCATTAAAGGAAAGCAAAGCAAGGAAAGATCCAAATAGCAATAACAATCTCCAGACTGCTTTTCAGCAGAGCCCCTTTCTACAGGCTGGGACCCTTTTCTACAGGCTGGGGCCCTTTTCTACAAGCTGGGACCCCTCTGCTTGCCACGCCTTGCCCTCTTGTGGACACACAGGAAGATTGTATGAGGAAAAAATGGTAAAAAAAAAAAAAAAAAAAAAATCAAGCTTTAGTAAACTAATATGCAACATAAAGGAACCATTAAAAAAGGTAATGCATAGTTTCACTTTTAGTATGACAAGTAAACGCCTGCCATACCCAACCCTCCTGCAGATAAGTCTTAACACAAATATTTCAAGAAGACCTGAAGGCACCAGAGAATGAACAAACGCAGTTAGATTCTTTGGAGGAGTAAACACAAAGAAGAATAGCAATGGCAAAGGCTAAGTTACCTTTTTTAAAAAAGGTAGCTTTTGTGGCTCACATCTGTAATCCCAGCATTTTGGGAGGCCGAGGCAGGTGGATTGCCTGAGCTCAGGAGTTCAAGACCAGCCTGGGAAACACAGTGAAACCCTGTCTCTACTAAAATACAAAAATTAGCCAGGCGTGGCGGCATGCGCCTGTAGTCCCACCTTCTTGGGAGGCTGAGGCAGAAGTGCTTGAACCTGGAAGGCGGAGGTGGCAGTGAGCTGAGACTGTGCCACTGCACTCCAGCCTGGGCTACAAAGCAAGACTCCATCTCCAAAAAAAAAAAAAAAAAAAAAAAAAGAAGTAGCTCTTATCCTGGAGCAGGCCAAAATCATAACCACATGGGGTGGCTAAAACTCCAAGGGGAAATCCAATCTTTCTGGCCTGAAGAACTAAAAGACAAGAGTTCAAGGAAATCACAGCCATTGGAAAGTGAGGAAGCAATCCCACAAAGTAAGGGGCCTGTGAAAAAGTGCTCAAAGGCTGTGTATAAACTCTGCCCAAATCTGACTAACTCCCAAACCACACAGGAATGCGACAAAGTCAGCTACGAATGCAAAACCAGAACTGAGATCTGAACTGCTACCTGGGTTTGAGTTCAAACAATTTACCTGCCTGTTAAAAACAGCAACACTTGGCCAGGCGCAGTGGCTCATGCCTGTAATCCCAGCACTTTGGGAGGCCGAGGTGGGCGGATCACCTGAGGTCAGGAGTTTGAGACCAGCCAGGCTAACATGGTGAAACCCCGTTTCTACTAAAAATACAAAAAATTGGCCAGGTGCAGTGGTGCATGCCTGTAATCCCTGCTACTCGGGAGGCTGAGGCAGGAGAATCGCTTGAACCCGAGAGGCAGAGGTTGCAGTGAGCCGAGATTGTGCCACTGCACTCCAGCCTGGGCAACAAGAGTGAAACTCCGTCTCAAAAAAAAAAAAATCATCACTTTACAGATAAACCATAACAGAATCCTAAGTCTCTCTACAATGTAATATTTACAATGTCAAGGATAAAATCTAAAATTACTAGACATACGAAGAATCAGGAAAATGTGATCCATTCTTAAAAGACAACAGAGGTCAACTTCAAGATAACAAGGATTTCAAAGTAGCTGCTACAACTATGTTCAAGGAGATGAAAAGAAAAAAAGATTGAAAAAGAATGAATATCCCCAGAGATCTATGAACAATATAAAAAAACTATCATAAACGGAAGTAGAGTCCCAGCAGGAAAAGAAAAAAACAAGACAGAAAAAAAGTTAATGAAACAATAGCTAAAATTTCGCTCATCTTGGGGAGTGACATAAGCGTAGAGAAAAACCACTCCACTCCTAGGCAAAATATCAACATGCTGACAACCAGGATAAAGAGGAACATTTGAGGCCGGGCACGGTGGCTCATGCCTGTAATCCCAGCACTTTGGGAGGCCGAGGCAGGAGGATCACTTGAGCCTAGGAGTTCAAGACCAGCCTGGGCTACATGGCGAAACCTTGTCTCTACCAAAAAAAATTAGCCAATTAGCTGGGCATGGTGGCGCACACTACTGGTGGCCCCAGCTACTCAAGAGGCTCCTGCTTGAGCCCAGGAGGCTGAGGCTGCAGTGAGCTGAGATTGCACCACTGCACTCCAGCCTGGGCAACAGAGTGAGACCCTATCTCACCGAAAAAAAAAAAAAAAAAAAAAAAACACCAAAACTAAACAGGTCCACATCACCATGTCCTTGCTCATTGCTGCATCCCAGAGCCCAGCATGGTGCCTGAGAGAAGGAAGAGAGGAAGAGGCCCCTAAGACCACACTCCTGGGAAGGAGAACGAGGACACGGGCTGACAGCAGAGCCAGGCAGGCAGCAGGGGCACGTCGAAACTCAAAAGCACTTACCCCATCCCCTGTTTGAAAGCTTCAATCAACTCGTTCTTTTTATTCTGATCTTCCACCCAATACACACTTGGAATTACAAACTCTGATATCACACGGCATTCTGGACAAGACCTGAAATAAGAATTAGATTACTAAGGGAGAAGTCATGTTACGAAGCCTGGGCACACTCTCTGCTAAACCTCTTGCTCAACTGCCTCACCACTACAGGCATTTCCTTCACCAGAAATTCCAAAAGATGAAATCACAATCATCCAAGAACCTTATTTACTATTAACAAAATAGGGTTTCCCAATGAGAACACATGGACACATGTGGGGGAACATCACACACCGGGGCCTGTCGGTGCAGGGGCAAGGGGAGGGAGAACATCAGCACAAACAGCTAATGCATGCATGGCTGAAAACCTAGGTGATGGGTTGAGAGGTGCAGAAAACCACCGTGGCACATGGATACCCATGTAACAAAGCTACACATTCTGCACATGTACCCCAGAACTTAAAGCAAAAAAAATACACACACACACACACACACACACACACACACACACACACATATATGGTTTCCTCAACAAAAAAGACAGATGAAATAACCCTCATACATTGCTGGTGAGAATGTAAAAGGGTGCAGCCACTTTGAACAGAGTCTGGCAGATTCTCCAACAGTTTAATGTAGAGTTATTATACCATAAAACCTAGCAATCCCACGCCCAGGTGTATACCCAAGAGAAATGAAAACACATGCCCACATGCTGTGTTCACAAATGTTGACAGCAGCATTATTCATAATAGTTGCAAAGTTAAAACAGCCTAAATGTCCACTAGCTGAGGAATGGATAAGGGAAATGTGCTGCGTCCATACAATGGAACATATTCCGCCAGGAGAAGGGGACTCTGGCACATGCTACAGTCGGGATGAACTCTGACAACACTATGCTCAGTGAAAGGGGCCAGGCACAAAAGGCCCCAAATTCTATGATTCCATTTATAAGAAGTGTCCAGAATAGGCAACTCTGTAGAGACAGAAAGCGGATGAGTGGTGAGTTAAATTGTGGGCTTTTATCTCAATAGAGCAGTTGTTTCACCACACGATTTTAGGCAAATTACTTGACCCCCGCACCCCAGGCCTGTTTCCTAATCTGTAACTGAGGAGGGTCTTTGAGGGAATGAGATGAGCGGACAGATGTGGAGTTCTGAACAGTAGAACGCGTGCAGTAACCTCTCCACATGCCAGCTCTTCCCCTGTCCTGCTGGAGAATTTGAGACTCCTATGTTGGCCACATTGAGCACATCCCATGTGCCAGGCATCATGCAGAATGTTTTACATGCATTATTCCACTTCATCCTCAAATAACCCTATTTTCGTTTTTGGTGGGGGGAAAAAACGAAGCTCAAAATGATTAACAGGCAACTGGGCTACAGGCAGGTACTACTGGATTTCAAACACAAGGCTAGGAGATGAAAACAGGTCAGTGCCATTTAACACCTTTTTACACAGATCATCTTTGCTGAGTTCCTCCCCAACACCCAGAAAGCTTGGTAGGAATTGTTGCCCATCTTTTATAGGAACAGGCACTTAGGCTCAGGAAGAGTAAATGACTTGCTGAAGTTCATGCAGCCAGGGGCCAGAACTCACCAGTTACTCTTGAGGGTAACGGAGGGCTTAAAAGTGGACGGAATAAAGTCTCAAATCAAACATTCTCCTAGCTCCCACAGCTAAGACCCCTGGCTGTACTTACTTAATGATTGGGTTTTCAAACTGTTTGGCACACCGCCACTGCCGGATGCAGGACAAACAGTACGTGTGATTGCAATTGGAGAGAATCCCAAATCTCCTCTCAGAAGCAGAGGCCTTCTCCAGGATCACTTCCATGCAGATACTGCACACTTTGTCCTGGCTTGCCTGGAAGGCAAAGGCCTTTTCCATCTCGTGTTCGAACGTCAACATGCAGATCTGAAGCACAGACAGGAAGGAAGGCTTTGGTTGTGGGCCACTGAGGAGTGGCAGGAGCCCTAGGAGTAGCTGCAGCCACACTGCCACAGCTGAGATCAGGAAGGAACACTGACAGCGACTGCTGTGAGCAAAGGCCCAGGCTCCCCCAAGTCAGGACACTGACATCTCCCTCAGACCACACAAAGGACTTCAAACCATCACTGGTCCAGCCCCTTGCTTTCCTAGGAGGTGACATGGTCACCACCCATTTAGGACTGAGAACACGGAGATCCAAAAAGGTTAAACTGCAGTGGAGTCAGAGTCCGTAAGGACTGCGGCCCTAGTCCCCCAGCTCCTCTGGGCACTGTTTCCCCCGACTCTGAGCCATGTCTACATCAGAGATGCTGACTCGTCCTTACCATGAGGCTTGAGGCTGGCAGCCTAGTCCTATGTAAGAAGCACCACTTCTCCCCAAGAAAATGATTCAATGAATTCATTCATTCACTAGGCATGCCCTGAATTCCTTCTATGTGCTGGCATTTGAGCAAGAGTGAGAAGACCTAGGCCCAGCCCTTGTAAGCTCAGTCTGTCCAGATCTGAGACAAGCCAACACTCACCGCAGAGACCTCACACACTTGCATAAAGAAGACAGCTCTAACCCTCTGCTTCCCTGGAAGACAATGGAGAGTGTCTCCTTGTCCGCTGCCACATGGAGTCAGTACTAATTTACCTCTTGATTATCTAGGAATACGCTGTCCATTTAAACATGCCTTAGGCCAGGTGCAGTGGCTCACACCTGTAATCCCATTACTCTGGGAGGCCATGGTAAGAGGACTGCTTGATCTCAGGAGTTCAAGACCAGCCTAAGCAACATAGCAAGACCTCACCTCTGAAAAATAAAATAATTTTTTTTTTTTTTTGAGACAGAGTCTCTCTCTGTCGTCCAGGCTGGAGTGCGGTGGTGCAATCTCAGCTCGCTGCAAGCTCCACCTCCTGGGTTCAGACTATTCTCCTGCCTCAGCCTCCCAAGTAGCTGGGACTACAGGCGCCCGCCACCACACCCAGTTAACTTTTTGTATTTTTAGTAGAGACGGGGTTTCACCATGTTAGCCAGGATGGTCTCAATCTCCTGACCTTGTGATCCGCCTGCCTCGTCCTCCCAAAGTGCTGGGATTACAGGCGTGAGCCACTGTGCCCAGCCAAAATAAAATAAAATTTTAAAAGTTAGCCAAGCCACCACACCTGGCATTTTTAAATTTTTTTATTATTATTTTTCTTGAGACAGGGTCTCACTCTTATTGCCCAGGCTGTAGTGCAGTGGCACAATCTTGGCTCACTGCAACCTCTGCTTCCCAGGCTCGGGTGATCCTCCCACCTCAGTCCTGCCGAGTAGCTGGGACTACAGGTGTGCACCACCACACCTGGCTAATGTTTGTATTTTTTTTTTTTTGTAGAGACGGGGATCTTACCATGTTGCCCAGGCTGGTCTCAAACTCCTGGGGTCAAGCAATCTGCCTGCCTTGGCCTGCCAAAGTGCTGGGATTACAGGTGTGAGTCACCATGCCTGGCCCTCCCCCGCCTCTTATCCAGCTTCGTACCCTCTGCATCATGCATAGGGCCTAGCATAAGGCAAAGCCTCCCAAAACACTGCAGACATTAATGACTTTAAAAGGCCCTTCCAACAAGTGGCTCCTCAGATTCTATGATTTGGGCTCAAATCTTCCAAAACTTCACCTAGCTGGATCCCAACCATGAGGAAGTGTGAACCCAGGGAGGGAGGATGCTGTATCTGCATGTGATAGAGACATACACACAGACGACATACCATGGTCCTGAGCTAGATCTGTTCTTTGAACTTAGCATGATTTTATATTTCAGATACGACTTCTTTTTCTCTTTATTCTGAGTAATTAAAAATTGGCAAAATAGGCCGGGCATGGTGGCTCATGCCTGTAATCCCAGCACTTTGGGAGGCCAAGGCAGGCGGACAACTTGAGGTCAGGAGTTCGAGACCAGCCTGGCCAACGTGGTGAAACCCCATCTTTCCTAAAAATACAAAAAGTAGCCGGGTGTGGTGGTGGGCGCCTGTAATCCCAGCTACTCGGTGGGGCTGAGGCAGGAGGATCACCTGAGCCAGGGAAGCAGAGGTTGCAGTGAGCCGAGATTGCACCACTGTACTCCAGCCTGGGTGAGAGGGAGACTCCATTAAAAAAAAAAAATGGCAAAATGACTGCAGGAAAAAGAACCTGAAAACAGGATGTAAATATACCAGATACATAATATGGGTATTACTGGCAGGGGGATGCCTGTGGAAATACCAACAATTCTGTCACTTAGTACATTTCAGATTTCTTGAGTGTATATGGATGGCCTTCCGTGTCCTGTTCAGTACATTTCAGATTTCTTAACATGAGTTCATGCAAAGGTTTGTGACTTTACCTTTTCATGAGCCTTCCTCTGCTCTGGGTCGAATGGGTGCAAGACTTGCAGCCTACAGATTTCACACACCTCCCCGTGCAGGTAGACACAGGCATCCCCAAACCGGCACTCCCCAGCAGCTGCGTAGGGGCACAGCTGCTGCTCGTTGCTGTAGGAGCTGCTGGCCTCCACGTCATCAAGGCCACTCCTGATGGCATCCAGGTAGGAATGCGGCTTCATCTCGGGGCTGGGCTGGGGGTCGCTGCAGCTGCCTGGATTACTCACCATGCTCGGCTGGGTCTTCCTTTCAGCCATGCCAGAGAGATCTGAAAACAACACACAGCACACATGCACATGAAAATGGCCCCATTTTTCTGGTATGCCGTTAGCCAAAGCCTAACATATTAAGCTACTCTGACCTAAGAATTCCACTCTTGAGAACATATGGCAAAAAAAACACACCGAAGGGGAAAAATAAAAGGAATAGTATAAAATGTTCATAGTGACATTACTTATAATTACTTAAAAAAACAAAAAACAAAAAACAAAAATGGCAAGACAGGGAAATAGCAAAACAATAGGATATACTTATACAAAAGAACACTAAAGCCGTTTAAAATGGCAAATATGGAAATGTTAACACATGGACCAGTTAACACTAAAACAAACAAAAAAACAGTGAGAGCACTAGAACACAGTGTTTCCTTCATACCAGCAAAGGTAAAATCATTTTAAGTGAACTAGAATAGATGTCTAGAGCAAATCTGTGGGTCCTGAGGCCAGTGTAAACTGCCCCATGGTCACCCCTTCTCACGCCAGGAGCTGCTGCCTTCCCACTGCACACCTCCGAGCTTGTTTAGAGGTCACGTATTCTCACAGGATTACTCATTTGCTGAGGACAGAATCTGCCTACCTCATGGTAGCCAATTCCAAGAACTAGAAATCTCTTCACCTGGTGAGGACCAGCCAATAAAAACAACTTTTATGGCCAGGTGCAGTGGCTCTTGCCTGTAATCCCAGCACTTTGGGAGGCCGAGGCGGGCGGATCATGAGACCAAGAGTTTGAGACCAGCCTGGCCAACATAGTGAAACACTGTCTCTACTAAAAATACAAAAATTAGCTGGGCATGGTGGTGGGCACCTGTATTCCCAGCTACTCAGAAGGCTGAGGCAAGAGAATCCCTTGAACCCGGGAGGTGGAGATCATGCCACTGCACTGCAGCCTAGGCGACAGAGCGAGTCTCCATCTCCAAAAAAAAAACAAAAACAAAACAAACAAAAAACACAACAAAAAAACTTTTACAATTTGTAGCTTTCTTCCTCATCAAACCCTGTTTTAAGGCACAGACCATGCCCCAAACCCTAGTGTGCTATTCTTTTCCCAAAGGTGCAATCTAAACTGTCAAACACTGTCAGCATAAAAACTAAGACCATTCACTGGCCTAAAAGTCAAACAGTGAAACATGCTCTTTAGCAAAATATTTAGTTTTCTTTTTTTTTTTTTTTTTTTTGAGAGGGAGTCTCACTCTTGTCATCCAGGCTGGAGTGCAGTGGCGTGATCTCAGCTCACTACAATCTTTGCCTCCCGGGTTCAAGAAATTCTCCTGCCTCAGCCTCCCAAGTAGCTGGGATTACAGACACCTGCCACTACACCCGGCTAATTTTTGTATTTTTAGTAGAGACAGGGTTTCTACTAAACCATGTTGGCCAGGCTGGTCTCGAACTCCTGACCTCAGGTGATCCACCCGCCTCAGCCTCCCAAAGTGTTGGGGTTATAGGTGTGAGCCACTTTACCCAGACAAAATATTTACGTTTGAAATGAAGAGCTTGATGCTTCTCACCAGCTGGACAACCACCATATGAAGATGGAAGTTACATGTTGACAAAAAGATTGTGTTTTTATGTTTTACCAGGCCAGTCTTGGAGCTCAACCCAGCCTTGGGCACGAGGGCGAATGTATCATTTGAATGATCTGCAGCCACATGGAGCCTCTTCAGAACAGTTCTGAAGTCTCTCCGCGCAGACAATCTGGAGGTGTATTAGGTTAGGAGTCCTCTTGACAAGAGGAGGCTAGAAAGGAGCACCAAGCATTAACAAGAGTGCTATGCAAAAAGACGCAACAAAAGGCTTCCGCTTACTCACTTCGGTCTCTAAGAACCAATGTTCTCTTTTCACGCTTTCCGGGTTCATGTGAGTTAGTTTTCACAATGGATGCAGTGACCTCGGAAGGAGGGTGAGGACTGTGGAAAGCTGGGGAGGGCACACTGTGGGCCATGGTGCCCACAGCACCTCCAGCTGCAGCAGAGGGCCTCGTGTGGTCATATCTAAACAAAACACACAGCAGATGCATTACAGACATGCCACCCACACACATCTCCCACACTCCCCAGATGCCAATGGCCCTCCTTCTGCTGCACTTGTTGAGGTGAAGAAGGCGGCCATCTTTTCCAATATTTAAACTCTAACAGGATTATCGATTATTAACAGATGCTTGGCAATTCATTGTGAGGGGGACATTTGCTATCTATCACCTATGCTTAAGTGTCTCTGTGGGACTTGAGTGGGACAGACACACAGCACCAGACCACACAGAGAACCTGAAAGTTCCAAACAGATGTTGAGCTAAAATCTCCTGATGCCTGACTGACCCAGTATTCTTTTGAGCAGGAGTCCCCAAAATGCTGACAAGGGCCAATGATCTCTCCCTGACTGTCTCTCTTGGCACTCATTGACAGGGGAAGACCAACGTGGGCCTACTTCCATCATCTCCCACTGCACTGCAGAGAAAAAGGAGGGAAGGAAGCTTTGCAGTCTAGAAAGAAAAGATCGGCTCTTTGCTACAAAAGCATGAACAAGTTTCCGGAATTGTGTACAATTTTATAACTATATATTCATAAGAATAAGGCTGAAAAGTAGTTTTAAAAAATGAAAATTAGGCCAGGCACGGTGGCTCACGCCTGTAATTCCAGCACTTTGGGAAGCTGAGGCGGGAGGATCACGAGGTCAGGAGTTAGAGACCAGCCTGACCAACATGGTGAAACCCCATCTCTACTAAAAATACAAAAAAAAAAAAAATCAGCCAGGCGTAGTGGCAGATGCCTGTAATCTCAGCTACTTGGGAGGCTGAGGCAGGAGAACCCTGGAGGCGGAGGTTGCAGAGAACTGAGATCGCACCACTGCCCTCCAGCCTGGGCAACAGTGAGAGACTCTATCTCAAAAAAAAAAAGAAAAGAAAATTAGTTTTAGGGTACTGAAACTGAGGTTTTAAACTTATTTGCCATACTTTTTGTGATGTTGCCATATTACTTTTACATTAAAATTTCCCCCTTATCAAGACCCATTCTCCAAATGAAATCAGTGTCACAGCTGGAATCTGTTGCAGAGTCCTTGCCTGCACCGAGTTCCATAGGCACAGTAGCCCTTCTGGTAGTACTTGCAGATGGTGGACGGTTTGCTGTTTGCCAAGTCATGTGAGAATAGGCACTGACTTCCTTCCCGACACACACCATGCATAAAATACCTGCAGAGACAAGCACAGGCATACAACTTTTAGAAGCACATTTTGCTTTATAAAATCAGCTTATTCTTGAACTTAGCATACAAACATTTACCAGGCATATATTATGTATAAAGGCTCTATTAGGCACTGGAGAGAGATCTATATATTTCCTTGATTCTACAACAGTGATTTCAGAGGCACTACAACTGATTCAATGACAGCTTTTCTGAAAGAAAAACAAATGATCCCATATATTTCTATGTGAAGATATATCTTCCTGATTTGAGATATGTTCAATGTGAGCCACATAATTGAGAAAACACTCTGTGAAAAACTGTTCTCTCTGTTCTCAAGGAGCTTAAAGGGCATGACTAACGAAACCAGAAGATCTGGGCTCAAGACCCAGCTCTGCCACTTAAGAACATGTCACAAAACCAACTTCCCTGGGCCTTGCTACCTTTCCCTATAAAATGAAGATTATACTACCCACTTAACTGGTCGTGGTGAGGATCAAATACCATAGTGTGGTATCAAAAGATATACACAGATGCTCCTTGACTAATGATGGAGTTACATCCCAATAAAGCCACTGTTTTTTGTTTTTTGTTTTGAGATGGAGTCTCTCTGTCACCCAGGCTGAAGTGCAATGGCACAGTCTCAGCTCACTGCAACCTCTGCCTTCCGGGTTCAAGCGATTCTCCTAGCTCAGCCTGGGCTACCTTACTTATGCTTAGAACACTTACATCAGCCTACAGTTGGGCCAAATCATCTAACACAAAATCTATTTTACAATAAAGTGTAGAATAATCTCATGCAATTTATTGAACACCGTACTGAAAGTGAGAAACAGAAAGGTTGTATGGGTACTTGTAGTTTTTAATGAAAGCTGTTTCTCATACATTGTTTCAGATGTTTCAGAATATCAGATGTATCACATGTTCTGTATCAGAATATTCCACTGAGATATCAGATCCTGGCCTTGAAGAATAAGTGGTACAGGAATACCTGGGAGGCTAACTCTGTCCAGACAGGGTAGAGAGACCTGAGTGAATACTCAAACAGTAGAGACCCTAGATGAACATGTCTTGATATTAAAGATAAACTAGGCTGGGTGTGGTGGCTCACACCTGTAATCCTAGTACTTTGGGAGGCCAAGGCGGGCGCATCACCTGAGGTCGGGGGTTCCAGACCAGTCTGACCAACATGGAGAAACCCCGTCTCTACTAAAAAAAATACAAAATTAGTCAGGAGTGGAGGTGCATGCCTGTAATCCCAGCTACTTGGGAGGCTGAGGCAGGAGAATCGCTTGAACTCAGGAGGTGGAGGTTGCGGTGAGCCGAGATTGCGCCATTGCACTCCAGCCTGGGTGACAAGAGCAAAAACTCTGTCTCAAAAAAAAAAAAAAAAAAAAAAAGATAAACTAGCCAGGGCAACAAAGGGAGACCCTAAAATTTAAAAATTAGCCTAGCATGGTGGTATGCACCTGTGGTTCAGCTACTCAGGAGAGTGAGACAGGAGGATTGCTTAAACCCAGGAGTTCAAGGCTGCAGTAGCCATGATTGTGCCACTGCACTCTAGCCTGGGTGACAGCAAGATCCTGTCTCACAAAAGAAAAAAAAAAAGTAAACTAGTGTTAGAGTAGAAGTATTTTAGACACACCCTAATAAGGCTTAAAAAAAAAAAACACAAGCTGATAGCAAGTATATAACTTACTGTCAGCCAAAACAAACTTTAAAGGAAGACAATACAATCCAAATGCTCAGAAACTCACAATGCTTGGCATCCAATCATAAATTACTAGATATGCCAAAAAGCAGAAAATAATGTGACCTATAACCAGGAGAAAAATAAAGAACAGGAATTACAGAGATGATGGAATCAGCAAAATAAGACCTTAAGAACAGCTATTATACATATGCTCAATATGCTGAAAGATTTAAAGAAAAACATAAACATAATGTGGAGAGAAATGGATGATTTAAATAAGACCAAATACTAGGTGTGGTGGCTCACGCCTATAATCCCAGCGCTTTGGGAGACTGAGGTGGGTGGATGACCAGAGGTCAGGAGTTCGAAACCAGCCTGGTCAACATGGTGAAACACCATCTCTATTAAAAATACAAAAATTAGCCAGGTGTGGTGGCAGGTGCCTGTAATCCCAGCTACTTGGGAGGCTGAGGCAGGAGAATCACCTGAACCCTGGAGGCGGAGGTTGCAGTGAGCCAAGATCGCGCCATTGCACTCCAGCCTGGGCAATAAGAGCGAAACTCCACCTCAAAACAAAACAAAACAAAAAACAAATGAAACTTCTAGAAGTGAAAAATACAATGTCTGAAATGAGAATTACATTAGATGAGTTTAGTAGATGGGATACTACAAAGGAAAATATCAGAATACTTGAAGACACAGAATAGAAACCATCTGAGAGAGAGAGAGAGAGAAACAAACTTGCTTCTGACTACCAAGGAGCATGGATCTTGGCTTCTCACTGTAAAAAAACAAAACAAAACAAAACAAACCCAACTGAAAAATGAAACAAAATATGTGAAACAACTGCTTTCAGACAATAGAAAAAAGGACTGGTCCTTAAGAGAAGGGAAACACAGGAAGTAAGCCCCACATTTAGTCTGACTTCCTACCTGGAGGCATATTCTAGGTCTTGGTACTGGGAGTAGAACCTCAGGCAAATCACAGAGATTGAGTTTAGGGAGGCTGCAGGGATTCTTTAAAGATCCATAAATAGTCTGGGCTCAGAGGCTCATGCCCGTAATCCCACCACTTCAGGAGGCCAAGGTGTGAGGACTGCTTGAACCCAGGAGTTTGAGGTCAGCCTGGGCAACATGGCAAAACCCAATCTGTATAAAAAATACAAAAATCAGCCGTGCATGATGGCTACTTGGGGGCCTGAGGTGGGAGGACTGCTTGAGCCCAGAAGGAGAGAGCCTGCAGTGAGCTCTGTTTGCACCACTGTACTCCAGCCTGGGTGACAAAGCAAGACCCTGTCTCAAAACAAACAAAAAAACAAACAAAAAACCCTGTAAATAGAACCACACATAGGCCGCATGCAGTGGCTCATGCCTGTAATCCCAGCACTTTGGGAGGCCAAGGTGAGTGGATTGCTTGAGCTCAGGAGTTTGAGATGAGACTGGGCAACATGGTGAAACCTCGTCTCTACCAAAAAATATACAAAAAATTAGCCAGGCACGGTAGCGTGCACCTGTGCTCCCAGCTACTTGGGAAGATGAGGTAGGAGGATCGATTGAGCCCAGGAGGCAGTGGTTGCAATAAGCCAAGATCATGCTGCTGCACTCTAGCCTGGGTGACAGAGTGAGACCCTGTCTCCCAAAAAAAAAAAAAAAAAAAAAAAAAAAGGTAAGTTGGGGAAAGAATCTTTTCAACAAATGATGCTGGACCCAAAATCGACTTGGAAAAAACTTAAATATGTACCTGCTGATATGACCCAAAATGAAGTATAAAACAACCTATGACGTATTCTAGCCAGAAACAATTAATTTGAATCCACAAAACTCCAGATCTAACATCCAGTTCATAGAAAATACAGGAGACTGGGGACAACCTATGAAAGACATCTCGAGAAAACAACCAAATAAATACAAAAGAGGCTGTACGTGGGACCTAGGCCTACTGTCTTTATAAGTGCCATGTAACTAAAGGAGGCTGAGTTTGGAAGACAGTTTGACAGTTTCTTAAAAAATGTAAACATAAATCTACCATATGACCCAACAATTCTACGCCTAGGTATGTACCCAAGAAAATGAAAATCTATGTCCACACAAATACTTGTACATGAATGTCCAAAGCAGCACTATGCATAACAGCCAAAAAGTGGAAACAATCCAAATGTCCATCAACTGATGAACAGACAGAGAAAATGTGATTTATCCATACAATGGGCTCTTATCCAGCCATAAAAAGGAAAGAAGTACTGGCACACACTACAACATGGGTGAACCTTGAAAACATTACGCAGAGTGAAAGAAGCTGGACACAAAAGACCACATGTTGCATGATTCCATTTATATGCAATGTCAGAAAAGGCAAATCTACAGAGACAAAAAGTAGATTAAGTGGTTGCCTAGGGTTGGGAGGAGAGAAGTGAGGGTGACTGTTAATGGGCACAAGGGATCTTTTGGGGGTGATAGAAATGTCCTAAAATTTAACTGTGGTGATGGTTGTACAACTTTGTAAATTCATTAAAAAGTTTTGCACTGTACACTTCAAACAGGTAAATTTTATGGTATATAAGTTATACCTCAGAAAAAGCTGTTAAAAAAGAGAAAAAAGGGAAGGGACAATGCTAGGTTAGCAGACAGAACACAAGGGACATAACCAGATGCAATACTTACCTCTGGACTAGAATCTGGTTTCAACAAACCAGATACAAAAGACATTTTTGAAACCAGATATTTTGAAAGATATTTTGAAATAAATGTGAGTATGGACTAGGTATAAAATGAAAATTTATTAATATGGAAAGTTAAACACAATTAACTGAGAAGAGTAGATTATAAAACAGCTAATGGTGCAGCTTCTATAGAAAAACAGTACGGAAGTTCCTTAAAAAATTAAAAATATATTTACCATATGATCCGGCAATTCCACTTCTGGGTATAGACACAAAATAATTCAGGCCAGGCCCAGTGGCTCACGCCTGTAATCCCAGAACTGTGGGAGGCCGAGGTGGGTGGATCACCTGAGGTCAGGAATTTGAGACCAGCCGGATCAACATGGTGAAACCCCATCTCTACTAAAAATACAAAAATTAGCCGGGCGTGGTGGTGGGCGCCTGTAATCCCAGCTACTTTGGGGGCCGAGGCAGGAGAATCACTTGAACCTGGGAGGGAGAGGTTGCAGTGAGCCAAGATCACGCCACTGCACTCCAGCCTGGGCAACAGAGTGAATCTGTTTCAAAAAAAATAGAAGACTTCAAAGTAGGGACTCAAACAAACATTTGCACACCCGTGTTCATACCAGCATTATTCACAATAGCCAAAAGGTGGAAGCAACTCAAGCGTGCGCTAATGGACGAATGCATAAACAAGATGTGGTCTATCCATACAATCAAGCTTAAAAAGAAAGGTGATTCTGGCCGGGTGTGGTGGCTCACACCCGTAATCCCAGCACTTTGGGAGGCCGAGGCAGGCGGATCATGAGGTCAGGAGTTCAAGACCAGCCTGGCCAACATGGTGAAACCCCGTCTCTACTAAAAATACAAAAAGTAGCCGGGCATGGTGGCAGGTGCCTGTAATCCCAGCTACTCGGGAAGCTGAGGCATGAGAATCGCTTGAACTCAGGAGGCGGAGGCTGCAGTGAGCCGAGATCGTGCCACTGCACTCCAGCCTGGCGACAGAGTGAGACTCCGTCTCAGGAAAAAAAAAAAAAAAAAAAAAAGAACTAGACAACAGGAGGGAATGGTATGCAAGGAATGCCAGGGAGGCCCGAGAGGCCCAGACTGCTGGTGTCTCCAGAGAAAGGGTACTAGTGAACATGCTGCACATCCGCCCCAATCAGAAACCTCTGACTTCTCCACCTGTTTCTCTCCCCAAAAGCAGAGGAAGTGCTGACCAGACCTACCTGACAGTTTATTTTTTTCCCAGGGAAATTATAAAAGGATATTCTAGTATATAAGTCAGTCTCTCATGCGTTTGGCTAGTATGAGCCACCTCTATGTACACCAACAGAATCAAATTTCTGAGCCTACAAAATGAGAACTGGACCTCATGACTTAAGTGACTATACAATGGTGCCATCCTACAGCCTTTGCTAGGTAGTCAGCTAGGCTTTCCCCAGGAAACACCCTCTTGTGGCCTACCATTAGATCAGCAGTCCCCAATCTTTTTGGAGCCAGGGACCAGTTTTATGGAAGACAATTTTTCCACGGAATGGGGGGATGGGGGATGGTTTCAGGATGATTCAAGCACATTACATTTATTGTGCACTTTATTATTATAATATATAATGAAATAAGTATACAACTCACCATAGTGTAGAATCAGTGGAACACTGAGCTTGTTTTTCTGCAACTAGATGGTCCCATCTGGGGGTCATGGGAGACAGTGACAGTTCATCAGGCATTAGATTCTCATAAGAAGCACACAACGTAGATCCCTCACATGCACAGCTGACAATAGGGTTAGTGCTTCTATTAGAATCTAATGCTGCTGCTGATCTGACAGGAGGTGGAGCTCAGGTGGTAATGTGAGTGATGGGGAGTGGCTATAAACACAGATAAAGCTTTGCTCACTTGCCCACTACTCACCTCCTGCTGTGTGGCCTGGTTCCTAAAAGGCCATAGACTGGTTGGGGACCACTGCACTAGATCAGACATTGTGCAGTAATTTGCCATAAGGCTGTTAAAGTTTTATTTTTTAAAAAGAAAAAGCACAAACAGAAGCTGGGAAACTTTTTGTTAGAAACTTAGAGTTCCTGTTATTTACAATACCGATTTTATAAATGCACAGAAGAGAGTTACACAGCAGATGTGAGACTGCTATCCTTAGGAAGGTCTGCTTCCAAGGCTGCCCCTTGCCTGGCATCTGGGAACTTGGCTAGTAACAGTTCTCTACACAGATACAAAATTTTCCCTAAATGATGGAGAGTGTCTCGCTGTGTCTAAACTGATGTACAATGTAGTTCATGCTGAAAACCTGCTTGCCTTCTGGGAGTCTGGAATTTTGGTTCATGCTAGGCAGAGGGTGCCTATGTGACCAGCTTGGGCACTGAATCCCTAATGGGCTTCCCTGGACACATGTTGCTGCATTTTCATTGCTGTGTGGCCCTCTCAGGGAGGGACAGATGTAGGAAGCCTGCACCCAGGCTCCTCCAGACCCCCCATGTCTTCTGCCATCATGATCTGGCTGTGACCCCTTACTAGATATGGTAATAATCTCAGCCTTGAATACAGCTGTATACTGGGACCCACTTGTCCTAGTTCTAGACAGTCTCTGGATTTGGGGTGGTCTTGGAGATCCCAAACACAAAAGTAGAGTATACATCTAAGCAGTTTGAGAATTATTTTTGAGAAATGCTACTCAAGACTGCAATATTTCAATTGTCCTCAGACATGGTAATCTTTGAAGGTATAATAATTTAAAAAAAAAAGTCAGTGCCAAGAGCCAAGTCTGAATGACAAAGAGGTATCAGGATTAGTAAACTCATAAATACTGAAAGAGGACAGGTTCAAAGTGGCAACATAAGCAGTTAAACAAAAGTGATATCGAATAAATACTGTATAGTTTCTTTCCTTTTCTCGGGTAGAGACAGGATCTTGCTATGTTGCCCAGGCTGGTCTCAAACTCCAGGGCTCAAGTGATCTTCCTACCTCAGCCTCCCCAAGTGCTGGGATTATAGGAATGAGCCACTGCACCAGCCAATACTGTATTGTTTCTTTTGAAGCAATTAGAACAGAAAATTTCCTGAAAGAACCAGGGTGGAAGACTACCACAGGCCCTCTACCAGATACTATTTGTTAACAAGGCAGACAAGAAGAAAGACTTTTTTAGGTAGTGGTCTCCTGCAAGGATGCCTTTTATAATTCTACCTCCGCCTTCCATACGTCCTATCCAGAAAACTTGCCTTCCAAACTGCACTAATTATCTCTTCCACTAAAATACAAATATTTAACTGCCAACCAGAGCTTCTAGTTAATTTTGCCATTTATAAGCTGGTGACTTCATAAAAGCCACTTCACTTCTGTAAGTGACTGAGCTGAGATTTAAACAGATTCAAAAATAATTTCTAGACCACCATCACTGCCTTCAAGAAAGGAAAGTATGAAATGAGAGTTATGTAAGAGGTGAAGTCAGCCCAGTCCTATTTTTGTAGCATATGTCACCATTTCCACTCCCCAGTGACAAGCACAAAGCCACCTAGAGCACATCCTGCTTGTCCTTTGGGGCATCTCTGTCATGTGCTTATAGTCACTCCTCTCCATCTATGTTATACTGATCTTACTCCAAGCCTCTTTCATGTTGCGCTTTGTAATGAATTTCCAACTGCTCAACCTTTCTGATGGACAAACCGCCCCTCATATCTTCCAAGAGAGACGACTGAGACATGAACTGGAGGAGGGGAGAGACGACTAGGTGGGTGAAGTGCATAGCTGGAGACTCAGAGCAGGTAGGTTCTTTCTGGGGGACACTCCAAAGGGGTGTTACCCTGGGTAAACCCAAAAGACTGTTTCAGACAGTATGGCTATTATACACTGCAGAGCATATCAGGTTCACTGCTGGCCACAGAACCACCAGCAGCTCCAGCAGCAGCAGTGCTAAGCAAAACAATCAATCTGGTTTCTTACAGGCCCTTGAATGTTGCCTGTTTAGCAAAACGCTTTTGCAAATCACTTCCAAGTATACAGGTAATTTGCATCCTCAGTGTCTTTTTTTTTTTTTTTTTTTACATTTTCCTACATATTTTCACAGGCTAAAATTTTACGGCTATACTCCTTGTGACAGCAGATCCACTGAGGGGGAAGGAAGCAAATGGTAGGCACTGTGGCAGGCTTGCAATAAATGTACTGATTAGAGGCGGGAATGAAATGAAGTACAGTGTGGTGGTGAAGACACTGAAGTCAGACTGCTTGCTATGTGAGCTTAAGCAAGTTATTTAAGTCACTGAGCCTCAGTTTCCCCATCTGTAATGTGATTATAATAACTGCACTTACTTCATAGACTGCTATGATAGACTACTGGGACATTTAACTGAGAAAATGCATGTAAGTGCTCATCCTAATACAAAATAAATGGTTTGTTGCTATTATTTAATTTTTAAACAGCCCTGCCGGTTAGGCATTACCATCCTCATTTCACAGATGAGGCAGTTGTTGCACAGGTGGTACCAGGATTAGAATCCAGAACTGCCCAACCCTGGGGCTCAAACTCTTCCTACCACCTGCCAGCTGAAAAGATCCCCCATGTTTTGTGACTTTCAAAGAATCAAAAGCCCCCTAGGTTTGACTATCTTAGGACAATGAAATCCTGTGTCTTCTAATAGTGATTATGAGATGCAGGGAAGCTCTATCACAAGAGGAGAAGGTGAAATAAACTGGTTACTAAGCTATAATAAGGGCCTCCCCCAGGGCTCCGAAAACAGACTGGAAGACAGGGAGATGGTTGTGGGGGAGGGGAATCAGCAAAAAGGCACAGATTGAGATTCTGGATAGAGCGGCATGTCAAGGAATCAGAAGAGCTGACTGACAGCATAACTGTACGAGCAGTCATTTTTACCACTCCAGGCAATAAAAACATGGAGTGTCTTTGTCATTAGGTTTGAGACTCCTAGCATTTGATAAGCAACTCTTGGAGATACATAATATCTAACAGATTGGAAGCAAAACTGACATTATTCTGCTGTCATTCAAAATAAACATGTACATCACATCCCACAGTCAGGAAAACAAACCTAAAACTTTGTGACCTGAGATTAAAAAAAACAAAAAAACAAACAAAACCCACAAAAAACCGCACACGCTGCTTAGATCTGGTCCCCAAAATAAATCATACCTTGAACATTTCCTATAAATTATCAATGTCTAGAGACAAGGCTTTTGTTAATGAGATAATAAAGTGAGAAAAGCTTTTGGTAGATAAGCTGGTAGAAAAGTTGATGGTAGATAAACACACTAATGTAAACTTGGTACTCTTGGTCATATTGGTTTTTTCCCACTTAAAACACCTGTTATGTTTTTTATTTGGCAAGGCAGTCATCGGGAGCCCTGACTCCTTTACACCCTTTTGTGAGTAAACTTCTTTGCAGTTTTACATATCCTTGTATGAGTTTCCTTTCATGGGAACACATTAAAAGCTTTGATAAGTCCTGCAATAAATAAATTTTAATTTAGCATTTCAAAACTTATCTGGAGGCCCTACAGTCTATGAGGGCATGAACTTTGATTTCACACCTCTGTCACTTGGAAGCTAAATGACCTTAGGCAAGTCGCTTCAATGCTGAGGCTCAGTTTTACGATCTGTGGAAGAGCGCTGGTTGCTGGATTATACACTACAGTACCTAAGAGCCGCAGCACATTGTAAGTCCCCAACAAACATGACTAAACACTTAAACAGAAGTGATCCCTTCTCAACATTCCAACCCAATCTTCATTTATATGGAGCAACATCCTACAGAACACCCCTGTTTGGGAAACAGAATTAAAGCTTTCAAGTCAAGCTATCTCCAGGTATACAAGGAAAAAACCAAGATGATCCTGATTTAGGTCCTTGTGCCTCTACTAAGGTGTAAAATTTTAGGCAAATTTCAAGTCTTTCTGAGCATAAGATTCCTTATTTGTAAAATAAGATACTACAGAGTTGAGATTCAATTATAAAGCATTATTACATAAATGTGTACTGTTTTGTGGACACTTCTTAGATGAGGTACGGGAATAAATGGTAGAATTAAACCATAGAGCGAGGGGAGGAATACAGAGGTTTTTCTAGGAGGCTACAAGCTGCTTTACAGTGCACAATGACCTAGGAATACTTCCTCCAGCAGGAGAAACTTTATACAAATAAAAATACGTAAACACACACAAACCCGTCTTCACAAAACACCTTCTAGTACAAATAACCTAGTAAAAGTCTTTTTATAGACACTAGGTGCAAATTTCTGACAACAGCTTAACATAAGCCACCTGGGCCTTGGATAAATTGAACAGTAAATGTACACTAATGCTAACAGAAAACTTACTACACAGTCACGTCTCAACTATTCATACCAATGAAGAGAAGTAACAACATAGAAAATAAACTGTTTATTACACAAACTCTATAACTGTTTTTAAGCAATGTTTCCCATAAAAATTATTAAATGAAATTTGCATTTTCCAAGCATACAATTCAATTTGCGTTTTCCAAACATACAATTCAATAGGACTAGACTCCATTACCAGTAAGCCACAAGCTGACCAAGCAATGAGGGTGTTACACAACCACACTATTCTATTTCATAGGAGCAGTCGTAGTGTAGCTATCTGGCTATTTTCTACAATAAACCATCCATTACCGTCGCATTTCTCCTCGTAAATGGCTCTCTCAGTAAGATAAATGAGTGTCAACGTCTTTCGGTCTCAGTTTCCTGCACTGTAAAATGGTAATAATAACTACTAAGTTGTCTTACTGTGAAGTCTGATGATAATGAATATAAAGGACTTGGAAATATGCAGGGCGCTTCGCCGATATTCACAATATGCTACCTGTCGTTATTTTCCACACAACAACTTTTACTTGTTAACTCTCTGCAAGTTTAGATTGCATCTGGATTCTCCAAACTTTGAGGCCCTCATAATCGATTAACAAATTACTCCTATGTGGTATCCCCATTTGTAACCGTCCTCTCGGCGTCCCTTTACTCAACTTCAAATCTTTTCCAGTTAAAGCGTAAGCCCCAGAGCCTTCCCGACAGCGCCCCGGCATCCTGCACGGCCCTGGCTAGGACGTCCTTCCTCCCAGCCCACAGGGGCCACGCTTCAAACTCGGGGCGTAGCCCCCCGCGCTGGCCTCGCCCAGCGTCTCGGCCACGCATCCCCCGGATCCCCGGCTGTGGCGGCAGCGCTCGCTCTGCCTCGCAAAGCCCCGCCGCGAACAGCCGAGTAACTTTCCGAGTCCCGCTCTAGCCTCAGGTTCCCGGACCACAGCACTGGCGCGCACCGGCCCCCCTGCGGCCTGGGGGAGCGGCCCGAAGCTCCTGGCTCCAGCGCACTGACCTGCAAGTGATCTGCTTGGTGCTCATGGTGGCTGGGCTGAGGGACCGTCGTCGTGCCGCCGCCTCTCGCAGCCGCTGCCGCCTCGGCCTTGGCCCTGGCCCGGCCCATCCCGCGTAGCCGCGTCACGCCGGCGCACGCCGGCGCACGCCGCCCCTCCGGTGTGGCACCTTTGTAGCGCCGGCGGGTAACCTAGCCGTCGTCACAATTGGTTCCGCACCGGGGATCGGGCCGGCTGTCCCGGCATCCCTGCTCTCGGTGTCCCGCACTTCCAAGCCTCCGGGGCGGAGCCTGGCTGGCATCTTAGTCCTGCCAGTCTTATCCCGATGCCTACTGTTAGTGCCTGCGATTCTGCCCCGATCGCCAAGAGTATTCCTTAGGGATCTCCCGCCTCCTTCGAGGCACTTCACCACTCCTGGGGAAACTCCAGCCTCTCCTCTTAATCCCGGATGCCCCTATCCATTCATACTCGCACTCACTGGGCACCCTTCTCAGGCCCTGCCTCAACTGTTCCCGCCGGACCTCGCCTCCCACTTAAGGAAATTCCTTAGCTCTCTCCCAACTGCTCTTTCCCCAAATCTCTACTTCCACAAGTTTTAGTCTTCATTTTCTTTCCTGCCAGTCTTGTGCTGCTCGTCTTCCATTTCCTATGGTGGAAACCCCAAAAGTTATTTTTGACACTTCCCTCTAGCTCTCTATACCCTGCAGATTCTGCTCCCACACCTCTGTCCAATGCGTCCTCTTCTGCCCCCTTTCCACCGTCCCTTCTACCTAGCACCATGCGATACCTTTTTTTTTAATTATTATTATTTTATTTTTTATTTTTTTGAGACGGAGTTTCTCTCTTGTTGCCCAGGCTGGAGTGCAGTGGGGCGATCTCGGCTCACTGCAACCTCCGCCTCCCGGGTTCAAGCGATTCTCCTGCCTCTCAGCCTTCCACGTAGCTGGAATTACAGGCGTGCACGCCTGGCCAGCCATGCGATAGCCTTTTAACTGGTCTTCTGGCTTCCGTTCCTGGTAAAAATCTATTTTTAAAACATAAATCGGATCATGTCATTCACCTTTTAATCTTACAATGGTTTCTCATTGCTTAAAAACTCGAGATACATAACATGCACAATATAAGTGCACCAAACACATTCTATGAATTTTTGCACATGCATACACTCATGAAACTACCACCCAGATCAAAATAAAGAATTTTTTGTTTTGTTTTGAGGCAGGGTCTTGCTCTGTCGCCCAGGCTGGAGTGCAGTGGCGCCATCATAGTTCAAGCAGTCCTCTGCCTTAACCTCCCCAGCAGCTGGGAATACAGGTGCGCGACACCATGCTCGACTAAACTTCAAAATGCTGGAGTAAGGAGAGGTTGAGCCGGAAGGATCCTTTGAGCATAGTTCACTGCAGTCGAGGCTGCAGGGGGTGGGTGGGGGCTGGATATTATCGACACCCCAGAAGGGCTTCCTTATGGTCCTTCCCAGGCAATACTTTACAAAGGTCATTGCTTGGGTTCATCTCTATCACTATAAATTAGTTTAACTGTTCTTGACTTTCATATAAATAATAATTCAGTACCTACGCTTTTGTCTGCCTTCTTTTGACCAACATTTTATCTGTGAGATCTTTCCATGTTATGTATGTATAGCTGTATGTTCTTTTTTTACTTTGCTATAAAAATATTGAGTCTTCCAATGAATGAGCATGGTATATACTTCCAATTATTTAGAACTTTTGAAATTTTTCTCAGGAATTTGGAAGTATACTGGAAATTTTGTTTTCAGTGTCTTGAATATTGCATTTTAACTCATAACACATTTGATCCATGCAATTCATGCTCATAAAAATTACACGTCTTTTTTTTTTTTTTTTTTGAGACGGAGTCTTGCTCTGTCACCCAGGCTGGAGTGCAGTGGCATGCTCTTGGCTCACTGCAACCTCCACCTCCCGTGTTCAAGCGATTCTCCTGTCTCAGCCTCCGGAGTAGCTGGGATTATACAGGCGCACGCTGCCACGCCCAGCTGATTTTTTGTGTTTTAGTAGCGACGGGGTTTCACCCTGTTGCCCAGGCTGGTCTCGAACTTCTGAGCTCAGGCAATCCACCCGCCTCGGCCTCCCAAAGTGCTGGGATTACGGGCGAGAGCCACCGCGCCCAGCCCATGCCACTTATTTTTAAAATTCAGCTTATCTCATTCTTTATGGAATACATTCACGATCTGAACGTTATTATGTTCAAATATTTTAAAAGCGTAAAGTGAAAAGTCTCAGTCTCCTGTCAATTTAGTTCCCGCCTCTTCAAAACAAAAAGCAGAAACATTTTTTAAAACCTCAAAACCTGGCCACTGTTATCAAATTTGTATACATCTTTCCAGAATTTCTTTAAATATACACAAGTAAATACATATATATTATTTTCTCCTTTTTGTAGAAAAGATAACATAACGTACTGTTCTGCACAGCGTACATAATCAGTGGAGATTTTTCCATATCAGTACATAGAGCCTCTTCCTCCTTTCGTAGAACTGTATAGTATTCCGTTGTACGACTATGCCATAAGTTATTTCATCAGCCTTGTACTGCTGGTGCCCTTTAGGGTGTCTGTGCAAATAAAACACTGGATCGGGCACATGTTCTCAGGATCTCCTGAGGTCTGTGTCATGGGCAATATATATATATATTTTTATATTTCATATATATTTCATATATTTCATATATATTTATGAAAAAATAATACAACACTGGATCAACGACAGCCAGTGTGCACTTCCACAAGCTGTACCCAACAGCTTGGTTCCTGCCACTGTCATGGTACTTAGCACTTAGACTTTTCCCGAAGGATGCAAGCAGTCTCCACTTGGGGTTCTTCCGGCGTTATCTGGCGCTGGGCACTAAACACCAAGTCCTGCCCCACCCGGGACGTGGAACTCACTTTCCTCACCCCCAGGGAACCCGCGCTGGCAGAGAAGGCAGGGCCACTCGCTCCTGCCCGTAGCAGGGGCGCGTAAAACTGCGTCTGCTTGCTAACCACCAGCTCCCGTTCTCGCCCCTTAGGAAAAGCAACTTTGCTACCAAACACTCGGGAGAAAAAGGCTATCAGATAGAAGCGGGTGAAGAAGCTGAGAAAACAGAAGAGAAGGGTGGCTGCCAGCTCGGGACTCAAAATGGCCATCTGGGCGTAGAGACACAGAGACCCTTTGCGCAGACGTGCGCCGAGGGTCTTGCAAAGCTTTCGTTTTCTTTGTGTGCCGACCTGCCCCTAGAAGCGGTTTTCGATGCTATTTTAAATGATATTCCTAAAATTTCCGAATTGCTTGTTGCTTATATATAGAAATACACTGGATCTTTGTATACTGACTTGGGATTCAGCTCCATGCTAAATTTTGAATTAATTCTAATGGTTTATTTGTAGTTAGTTATCGATTTTCTATACACAATCACGCCATCAGCAAATAATGACAGTTTTGCTTCCTTTTCATCTTTGTATCTTTTATTTCTTTTCCTTGCCTTATTGCATGCACTGTCTACAGCCTTCAGAACAATGTTAAAGAGAAGTAGTAATAGTGTACATCTTATTTTGTTCCTGGATTCAATAAAAATATTTAATATTTTACTTTAAAATTATTTAATATTTTAATTAAAATGTTAGCCCTAGATTTTTTTAGGCTATCCATTGCCAAATTAAGAAAGTTTCTTTCTAGTTTTATTAGCATTTTTACCATGAACACATCTTGACTTTTATCACTTTTTTTTTTGCATGTATTGAGAAACCTATATTGTTTTTCCCTTTTATACTGGTAATGTATTGAATTATACTGATTGATTTTTAATGTTAACCCTACCCAATTGCTCAGGATAAACCCCACATGGCCATGATATATTTTCTATAAATCATCTATTTGTTAAAATTGTGTTTAGAATTTTTGCATCCTTGTGTATGAGAGATATTAGTCTGTAGTGTTCCTTTCTTATAATGTCCATGCCAGGTGCTGGTATCTGGGATATGCTGGTCTCATAAAATGAGTTTGGAAGTCTTTCTTTTCTATCCTCTGGAAAAGTCTGTGTAATATGGGTATTAATTTTTCCCTTAAACATCTGGAAGAATTTACCATGGAAGCCATCTCAGCCTGCAGTTTACTGTGCAGGAAGATTTTTTTTTTTTTTTTTTTTTTGGAGACCGGGTCTCACTTTGTCACCCAGGCTGGAGTGCCGTGGTGTGATCTTGGCTCACTGCAACCTCCACCTCCTGGTTTCAGCCCCTCAAGTAGCTGGGGCTACAGGTGTGCGCCAGGCATGCTCCACCACTCCTGGCCAATTTTTGTATTTTTTGTAGACAGGAGATCTCACTATGTTGCCCAGGCTGGTTTCAAACTCCTGAGCTCAAGAAATTTGCTCACCTTGGCCTCCCAAAGTGCTAGGATTACAGGCATGAGCCACCATGCCCAGCCTGCAGGATGATTTTTAATTAAAGATTTAAATGTGGGGCATGGTGGCTCACACCTGTAATCCTAGCACTTTGGGAGGCCCAGGTGAGCAAATCACCTGAGGTCAGGAGTTCAAGACCAACCTGGCCAACATGGAGAAACCCCGACCCTACTAAAGATACAAAATTATTCAGGTGTGGTGGTGCATGCCTGTAATCCCAGCTACTCGGGAGGCTGAGGCAGGAGAATCGCTTGAACCCGGGAGGCAGAGGTTTTGGTGAGCTGAGATGGCGCCATTGCACTCCAGCCTGGACGACAGAGTGAGACTCCGTCTTAAAAAAAAAAAAAAATTAAAAATTAAAAAAAATTAAAATATCTAATTGCTTTCTTATATATAAAGCTATTCAGATTTCATTGTTTTATGGGAGTTTTGGAAAGCTTTTTTTTTTGAGATGGTCTTGTTCTGTTGTTCAGGCTGAAGTGCAGCGGCACGATCTCAGCTCACTGCAACCTCCGCCTCCAGGGTTCAAGCAATTCTCTGCTTCAGCCTTCCAAGTAGCTGGGATTACAGGCGCCCACCACCCCGCCCAGCTAATTTTTTGTATTTTTAGTAGAGACAGGGTTTCACTATCTTGGCCAGGCTGGTCTTGAACTCCTGACTTGGTGATTCACCTGCCTCGGCCTCCCAAAGTGCTGGGATTACAGGCGTGAGCCACCGTGCCCAGCCTTCTTTGTTTTTTGTATCGGAGCATTTAGTCCATTTACACTAAATGTAATATAGCTGGATTTAAATGTATCATCTTGATTTTTTTTTCTTTTTTCTGAGACAGAGTCTCACTCTGTCTCCCAGGCTGGAGTGCAATGGTGTGATCTCAACTCTGCAACCTCCACCTCCCGGGTTCAAGCGAATCTCCTGCCTCAGTCTCTGGAATAGCTGGGACTACAGCCATGTGCCAACACGCCAGGATAATTTTTGTGTTTTTGTATTTTTAGTAGAGACGGGGTTTCACCATATTGGCCAGGCTGGTCTCGAACTCCTGACCTCAGGTGATCTGCCCAACTTGGCCTCCCAAAGTGCTGGGATTACAGGTGTGACCCACTATGCCTGGCCTTGATTTTTTTTCTTAATAAATCCTTCATTGAAATATGTTTATTTTCTATTCACATAATCTGTTATTTGTTCTTTATTTATCCTTTCGTGTATTCCTTTGGATTATTTTCCATTATTCTACAGTTTTTTCTTTATTGGTAATACACTTTTTTTTTTTTTGAGATGGAGTCTTGCTCTGTTGCCCAGGCTGGAGTGCAGAGGCACAATCTTGGCTCACCACAGCCTTCGCCTCCCAGGTTTAAGTGATTCTCCTGCCTCAGCCTCCCGAGTAGCTGGAACCACAGGTGCGTACCATCACACCCGGGCTAATTTTTGTGTTTTTTGTAGAGATGAGGTTTCACCATTTTGGCCAGGCTGGTCTCAAAACTCCTGGCCTCAAGTGATCCACCCACCTCAGCCTCCCAAAGTGCTGGGATTACAGGCGTGAGCCATTGTGCCCGGGCTTTTTTTTTTTTTTTTAATAAAGTGTAATGACAGAGGGGTGGTGGTGCTCATTTTGTGGGTCTTGGCCACTTGCTGTCAGGGCAGGAGGGTGGCTCCTTGGGTTGGTGAAAGCGGTATGTAACCAAGTCCAAAGGAGACAGGGGCAGGATTTTGCCTCTGTCATGTCCCACCGATGGGTGGATTCCTATGCAATCTGAAAGAATGAACTAGACCTGTATTACTGATACTGTAAAGAAACTGGTTATTTTACCAAAGCTTTGACTGGAATGGTACACTTTCCTTTAAGGAATCAAATGGATATGTACCCACTAGGGAATGTATTCGAGTCACACAGCAAACTATGTTAGTAGAGGAAGTTATCTGAGTTACCCAACACATATAACCCAACATAACAAAATATGTTACCGGTGGCAGGTGTCCGAGTTACCGGCAGTGAATCCGTACCGGCCTGCAGCAACCTCAATTCTTGCCTCCTCAGAAGAAAGAATTCGACTGAGGGGCATAAGGCAGAAAAAGAGACTGAGGCAAGTTTTACAGCAGCAGTGAAAGTTTATTAAAAAGCTTCAGAGCAGGAATGAAAAGAAAGTAAAATATACTTGGAAGAGGGCCAAGTGGGCATTTTGGAGGACAAGTGCCTGGCTAGGTTTTAAAAATTTTTTTGTAGAGATGGGGTCTTGCTATTTTGCCCAGGCTTACTCTATGGGTTTTGACAAATGTATAATGACATATTACAGTAGTTTCACCGCCCTAAAAATTCTCTGTACTCTGCCTATTTATCCCTCCCTTCCGTCAACCACTGATCTTTTTCCTGTCTCAGCAGTTTTGCCTTTTCCACAGTTTCATATAGTTGGGAGTCATACCGTATACAGCCTTTTTAGATTGGCTTCTTCCACTCAGTGATATGCATTTAAGTTTCCTCCATGTCTTTCATGGCTTGGTATCTTGCTTCTTTTTGGCACTGAACAATAGTCCCTTGTCTGGATGTACCAGTTTTTCCATTCGCCTGCTGAGGGACATCTTGGTTGCTTCCAAGTATTAGCAATTATGAATGAAGCTGCTGTAAACGTCTATGTGCAGGTTTTTGTGTGGACGTAGGTTTTCATTCATTTGGGTAAATACCAAAGAGCACAATTTCTGGGTCATATTGTAAGAGTTTGTTGAGTTTTGTAATAAACTGGCAGACTATTTTCCAAATCACTATACCATTTTGCATTCCCACCAGCAATGAGAGTTCCTGTTGCTCCACATCCTCTCCAGTATTTGGTATTCTCAGTGTTTTGGATTTTAGCCATTCTACTAGGTGAGAGTTCATCACTAGAAAACTTGCCCTATAAGAAATACTAAAAGGAGTTCTTCAAGCCAAAATTACAGGGCGCTACCTATAATCCCAGCATTTTGTGAGCCTGATGTAGGAGGATCACTTGAGTCCAGGAGTTCAAGACAAGCCTGGGCAACATAACAAGACCCTGTCTCTATAAAAATTAAAATTAAAATATTAGCCAGCTGTGGTGTTATGCATCTGTAGTTCCAGCTGATTGGGAGGCTGAAGTGGGAGGATCCCTTGAGCCCAGAAGTTTGAGGCTGCAATGAGCACTGATTGCACCACTGCACTCCAACGTGGGTGACAGAGCAAGACCCTGTCTCAAAAAATAAAATAAAACAAAACAGGCTGGGTGTGGTGGCTCACAACTGTAATACCAGCACTTTGGGAGGCTGAGGTGGCTGGATCACTTGAGGTCAGGAGTTTGAGACCAGCCTGGCCAACATGGTGAAACCCCATATCTACTAAAAATACAAAATTAGACAGGTGCAGTGGTGCATACCTGTAATCCAAGTTACTTGGGAGGCTAAGGCAGGAGAACCGCTTGAACCCAGGAGATGGAGGCTGCAGTGAGCTGAGATTCCAGCCTGGGAAATGGAGCAAGACTCCATCTCATAAACAAACAAACAAACAAATAAATAACATAGGCCAGGTGTGGTGGCTCACTTCTGTAATCCCAGCACTTTGGGAGGCCGAGGTGGGCAGATCACAAGGTCAGGAGTTCAAGACCAGCCTGGCCAACTCTATTAGAATATAGAAACCCCATCTCTATTAAAAATACAAAAAATTAGTCAGGTGTGATGGTGGGTGCCTGTAGTCTCAGCTACTTGGGAGGCTGAGGCAAAGGGATCGCTTCAACCTGGGAGGTGGAGGTTGCAGTGAGGCAAGATCACGCCACTGCACTCCAGCCTAGGCGACAGAGTGAGATTCCGTCTCAAATAAAATAAAATAAAAAATAAAATGCCTTTAAAAATCTTTTAAAAACTACAATTTATGTAGTTTTCTGTGTCTATGTTTTATTTTATAACAAGATTAAGATAGAGAAAAGGTAAAAAAGGATTGAAGATGCTTGTGTTGAAAAAAAATGCTGGTATATTTAAAATGTTTATTAAAGCATGGTGCCTCAATCCCTTTTCATGAGATTAACAATACCTCTTGGTGTTGGTGTCAGAAAGATTATATTCTCAATTTAAAGTGGCTTGGGTCACTGAAGCAACCTAACAAACAATACCATGTGGTTTATTTATGTATTTATTTGAGACAGAGTTTCGCTCTGGAGCCCAGGCTGGAGTGCAATGGTGCAGTCACAGCTCACTGCAACCTCCGCCTCCTGGGTTCAAGCGATTCTCCTGTCTCAGCCTCCCAAGTAGGTGGGACTACAGATGTCTGCCACCACGCTCGGCTGGTTTTTTTTTTTTTTTTTTTTTTTTTTTTTTTTTTTGAGACGGAGTCTCGCTCTGTCGCCCAGGCTGGAGTGCAGTGGCGCGATCTCGGCTCACTGCAAGCTCCGCCTCCCGGGTTCACGCCATTCTCCTGCCTCAGCCTCCCGAGTAGCTGGGACTGCAGACACCCGCCACCGTGCCCGGCTAATTTTTTGTATTTTTAGTACAGACGAGGTTTCACCGTGTCAGCCAGGATGGTCTCGATCTCCTGACCTCGTGATCCACCCGCCTCGGCCTCCCAAAGTGCTGGGGTTACAGGCGTGAGCCACCGCGCCCGACCGGCTAATTATTGTAATTTTAGTAGAGACGGGGTTTCACCATATTGGTCAGGATGGTCTTGAACTCCCGACCTCAGGTGATTAACCTGCCTTGGCCTCCCAAAGTGCTGGGATTTCAGGCGTGAGCCACTGCGCCCGGCCGTACCATGTGGTTTGTATTAATAATGAACAATCTCAGGTCTTTGTCACCTGAGCTGAGTGTCTAGCTATAACCTCTCTGCCTTCACTGTAACAAGAGAAGGTTGGTTGAAATGATTTCTGAGGTCCTTTCTAGTTCTGTGAGTCTGATGATCATTCTCATGTTATAACACTGGAGATGCACTTTTCTGCATTTCAGCATACTGTAATTTATTTAAATGTACATTGTGAAATACTTAACCCTCCTGAAGTGCCTTTACCTGCCATGACACCTTCTCTGTGGGTCTCCCCCTTAAGACTGCTTATCTTTGGAATTACAGGCATCAATTAGGCCTTGGTTAAAGTGTAGTACAACCAAAATGTGGGTTCCCATGAAATCTGAAATGAACTAGACCTGTATCACTGATATTGTGGAAAAGTTTCCAAGATGAGGCAAAAACACAAATTTCAAAACAGTATACAATATAACAATATTGAGGGTTTTTGTTTTGTTCTGTTTTTCTCTTGTCACCCAAGCTGGGTACAGTGGTGTGATAATGGCTCACTGCAGCCAAGACCTCATGGGCTCAAGCAGTCCTCCCACCTCAGCCTCCCAAGTAGCTGGGACTACAGGTACACACCACCAAATCTGGCTAATTTTTGTATTTTTTGTAGAGATGAAGTCTTGTCATGTTGCCCAGGCTGGTCTTGAACTCCTGGGCTCAAGCGATCCACCTGCCTCAGCCTCCCAAAGTGCTGGGATTATAGGTGTGAGCCACCATGCCCAGCCAATATTGAGCTTTAAAAGAATCTAACATACCATTAATTTTCTCCAGAAAGTAGAATATGGTGGGTGGAAATGTTATGTGAGAAACAAGGGGCATTACTTTTTTTCCAAATATTTTTATGGAATTGCTTATTTTATTTATTTATTTATTTATTTAGAGACAGGGTCCCACTCTGTCGCCCAGGCTAGAGCACAGTGGGATGATCTTGGCTCAAGGCACCCTCGACCTTCCAGGCTCAAGCACTCCTCCCATCTCAGCCACCTGAGTAACTGGGACTACAGGCGTGCACCAGCACACCTAGCTAAAAATTATTTTTAAATTGTACACCCCATCTACCCTGATGTGATTATTGCACATTGTATGCCTGTATCAAAATATCCCATGTAGGCTGGGTGCGGTGGCTCACGCCTGTAATCCCAGCACTTTGGGAGGCTGAGGCAGCAGGATCACCTGAGGTCAGGAGTTTGAGACCAGCCTGGCCGACATGGTGAAACCCCATCTCTACTAAAAGTACAAAAATTAGCTGGGTGTGGTGGCGGGCACCTGTAATCCCAGCTACTCAGGAGGCTGAGGCAGAATTACTTGAACCCAGGAGGCGGAGGTTGCAGTGAGCCGAGATCACACCACTGCACTCCAGCCTGGCGACAAGAGTGAGACTCTGTCTCAAAAAAAAAAAAAAAAAAAAAAATCCCATGTACCCTTTAAATATATACACCCATTATGTACCCACAAAAATAAGAAAATTAAAAAATTATTTTAAAATTGAAAAATTATATACTGCATATAATAAAATGCACAGCTTGATGATTTTTCACAAATGGAATACTCCCATATTATTAACACCCAGATGAGTCACAACAGCCCTGGACCCGAGAAACCACCTCTGTCCTCTCCCAGTCAGTATCTCCCTCCTGTAACCGCTATCCTTATTTCTAACAGGGCTGTTAACTTTTTAAAAAAATCCCCAGAACATTCTGGATGTTAATTTTTTTATAAGCAAAATTACTTTTATAATATAAAATGTCAAAATAAAATAGCCTTAAATAAGGATTTATTTATGCAACAACAAATGATCTAACCAATTCTGGGAACACAAAAGTAAAGGTCTCCAATTTCAAGAAGCTCACAGACTAACGGGAGAAACAAAACTAAATGATTAAATAACAGTTCTAGGCTTGGTGCAGTGGCTCATGCGTGTAATTCCAGCTCTTTGGGAGGCTGAGGAAGGCCTCTTCAAGTCCAGCCTGGCCAACATGGTGAAACCCCCATCTCTACCAAAAAACACAACAATTAGTTGGGTATAGTGGCGTGTGTCTGTAGTCCCAGCTACTCCGGGAGGCTGAGTGGGGAGAATCACTTGAACCTGAGGGTGGAGGTTGCAGTGAGCCAAGATCGTGCCACTGCACTCTAGCTTGGGTGACAGAGTGAGACCCTGTCTCTAAATAAATAAATAAGAGTTCTGACGGAAATATGAATCCAGCGCTGCCACTGCAAGGGAAGACTGGGGGAAGCTGACAAAACTTCCACAGAAAAGTGAGGCTTTAAAGGATGAATAGGAGCTGGCAGTTATCAGTTACCATAAACAATGGAAATAAACAAATAGAAACTAGCTCTTTAAGATACAGTCTATGGGGAGGCCTGGCTACTGGTTAATCCTATCTGGTTTGGCTTCTGAAGCCATCAGTCAGGATGACATCACCATTGATCAGGTTCCTTGGGGCGGTGTGCATTCGCCAGGTGTATAATGAGGAAAAGGAAGTCTCCGGAAACCTCCCCTAGCATTCCAGGAGGCGAAAGCTATGCACTGCGCAGAGGCTGGGAAGGCTTTAATTAAATTCAACCACTGTGAGAAATACATCTACAGCTTCAGTGTGCCCCAGTGCTGCCCTCTCTGCCAGCAGGACCTGGGCTCGAGGAAGCTGGAGGACGCACCTGTTAGCATCGCTAATCCATTTACTAATGGACATCAAGAAAAATGTTCATTCCTCCTCAGACCAACTCAGGGGACATTTCTTAGGTACAGTGTTTTTTACAGTGTTAAATTGCATTGTGCAAACTTTTCCTTCTGTTTTAGTCACTAAAGTTTCCTTTTCTTAATACATAATGTGTGAGGTTTGGTGGACAATTTTTTCGGTGCTTTGGCTTTAAATCCTGAGATGCAGTCCTACTGGCTTCATAAAAACAGATGGTGTGCATATGTTCCTGCAGTGACAAGTGCAAGAATATATGTGGAATATATGAAGAGTAAACCTGCTCATATGATTTTCAGAGAGAAAAATATGTGCTCAGAGGCTAACCAGGAAAATGACCCAGCAGCTAATCTTATCTAAATAATACCTTTACTGTCAGTTAATTTGTAGTTTCAGTGACAAACAGGTACAACCTACAGGGCCCGATGAACGGGCACTTGCAGACTATTTTGTATGGAGGCAAATTAAACTGAAGACTAGAACTGATCTATTTCCACTGTAGACACCACCTGGCTTTAAGAACAAATTCAGTTCTCTCTTGCTGAGAGCGCTAGCATAAACAAAAAGGATGAATTAGAAAGCAAAAGAAAGGATTATACCTTTTTTTTTTCCCCGAGACAGAGTTTCGCTCTTGTTGCCCAGGCTGGAGTGCAATGGTGTCTCAGCTTACTGCAACCTCCACCTCCCGGGTTCAAGCGATTTTCGGGAGCCTGCCTCAGGCTCCCGAGTAGCTGGGATTACAGGCGCCCACCACCACACCCGGCTAATTTTTGTATTTTTAGTAGAGACGGGGTTTCACCATGTTGGCCAGGCTGGGCTCAAATTCCTGACCTCAGGTGATCCACCTGCCTCAGCCTCCCAGAGTGGTGGGATTACAGGCATCAGCCACTGTGCCCCGCCAGGTTTATATTTTATTGTCCCCGTGGAGTTTACCAATAGGATTAGGATCGGCCCAGCATAAGCCAGGCTTTAGGTGAGCATGGGTCATAGAATGTTGGTGTATGCTTTAGGAAATATGTTCAGCTCCTGCGTATCATTAGTCTAATGCTCCCTAGAGTTTACCCTCCTAACTTCCTGTCCCCTCAAGAGTGCTGGTTTTGAATAAGAAAATGGGAGTTGACTACTCACCTTCCTGCCTACTAACTTCCTTAATTTCCTTCTGGTCCCTATGAGGATTAAATGAACCAAAGTATGTAAAAGGTTTTGGTCATACTGTTAGGTGCTAAATAGACAGCATCCCTGGGCCTTGCTCAGGGAGGCAGCCAACGCAGAAAGGACATTACAGGCTCTGGCGTCATAAAGCCCCTGATTCCTATCCTGGTTCTTTTAACCAGCTCCAGGTATCTCTGGTTCCTTATCTGTAAAACAAAGATTAAAACTGTTATTTTTTTTTTTTTTTTTGAGACCAGGGTCTTACTCTGTTGCCCAGGGTGGAGTGCAGTGGTGCAATCTCGGCTCACTGCCACCTCCGCCTCCCAGGTTCAAGCGATTCTCGTGTCTCAGTCATCCGAGTAGCTGGGATTACAGGTGCCCTCCACCATGCCCAGCTAATTTTTGTATTTTATTTTTTAGTAGAGACGAGGTTTCGCAATGTTTTCCAGGCTGGTCTCGAACTCCTGGCCTCAAAAGATCCTCCCACCTCAGCCTCCCAAAGTGCTGAGATTACAGGCGTGAGCCACTGCATCCAGCTGGCTCTATTTATTTTCTTGGACAGACTCTCGTTCTATCCCCCAGGGTGGAGTGCAGTGGTGCGATCATGGCTCACTGCAATCTCCACCTCCCGGGTTCAAGCTATTCTTGTGCCTCAACCTCCCGAGTAGCTGGGATCACAGATGCACACTAACACACCTGGCTAATTTTTGTATTTTTAGTAGAGATGGGGTCTTGCCATGTTGGCCAGGCTGGTCTCAAACTCCTGGCCTCAAGTGATCTGCCCGCCTTGGCCTCCCAAAGTGCTGGGATTACAGGTCTAAGCCACTGTGCTCGGCATCCTCCTACTTTAAATGCCAATTCTTCATGCCAAATACATGCAAACCAAAAAAAAACAAACCTTGTTTCTTTCAGAGAGTATGATGGAAGGTCTGATCTTCATGTTGGAATAACTAACACAAATGGTAAGTGCAGTTTTGTAGCTTAAAAAACCCCTACTACCCAGCAAAAGGAAAGCAGTATTTGTGGAGATTTGATTATGGCAACATCTAATAAGTGATTCCATTGTTCACTGGGTTCTTGTACTGCACCATGAGGTAGGCATTGCCCACAAATGAGAAATATTTGACTTTATGGCAAATTATCACTAACAATACAAAATATTTGAAAGCTCTTTAACGTTTTCTCAGTGAGGAGCCTCACAAACCTGTACATTTTTTATTGGTTTTTAAAAGAGGAAGAAATAGATGTCCAGTGAGATTGACTTGCCCAAGACCTCCCATCTTGTGTCTGAAGCAGAATTTGGAACCAGGCCCTCTGACTTCCAATCCTATGCTCAGCCGACTACCACTGGGTCCCCACATTCTAGGGACGTCAGGAGTAAAGCAGGATGTGGTGGGGCCTGCAGTGTTTTTTTTTTTTTTTTTTTTTTTAAGGAAAGTGAAGATTAAACAAAACTTCCTTTGGCCACCTATAGCTCTGAGGGCAGTGTGCAACCCTTCAGCCAGAAGCTTTCTTGTCTGCAGGAAAAGGTCCTGGGTGGAGCCACCTGCAGGATGTGTAGCCTGGATATGGTGAGGCAGGTGAGGCACCTACCCAGGCCTCACAGGTGAAGTCTAATAACAGCCTTTCCTTACCCGCTGAGGCAAGAGAAACTGATACTGTGATCAGAAACCCAGAACAGTTCTGGACTTAGTTACCCACAAGAACAGTCATACTTACCACTCATCTTTAGCAGGTGGAAATTTATTCCTGATTTAAGGAAACAAGATTGACCCATTGGTAAATAGAGAACTTCAATAAAAATATTGGAGATGATGATCCTGGTGCCTATCATTGTCTCTGTTTCCTGGGGGCAACTTCACAGCCCTCAACAGCAGGTAGAGCTAGAACTGGGTTTCTCTCAAGGAAATGATTGCTGATAACAGGGAAGGCTACAAAAATCCCTCCATGACTGTAGGCAAATCTAAATCTCATTAGGTGGATGGAAGATTCTAGAACCTCCACCCTGGATTTATGTTACGTAAAGTTACCACATGGCTACTGTCATTTTCTGATGTCTCTTTTTCACAGAGGTGTGTGTTTCCTTGGGGCTCCACATGACTTTGGTTTTGATTTGCAGGGGTTGTGTATAATTACAGTGCACATGGTGTCCAGCGAGACGGAGAAGGGTGGGAAGAGAGCATAAGCATCCCATTACTGCAGCCCAACATGTATGGAATGATGGAGCAATGGGACAAGTACCTGGAAGACTTCTCCACCTCGGGGGCCTGGCTGCCTCACAGGTACACGACTGCAAATGCTGCCCCCTCGCTGACACTCACATGCTATGCAAGTGGGATCCCCGTGTAGCCTCAGCTCACAGAGGACTCAGCAGCACTTAGCTTCATGTTGAGCCGATACAGACATATTAGCATCTCTAACAGAATTTAAACAGAGGTTGAACTACCCTAGGTTTTCTGCAGAGGTGGGTCAGCATACACATACAACAAAATCACAGCGTTGTAAGAGCTGAAAGGTCTAGAACCTGTATTCAGTTATTTTAGTTATGTGACAAGGTATTTTTACACATAAATAGCAAGTCACGATATTATATTTCCTTAAAAATTAAAAAAAACAATATTCAGGCTGGGCACAATGGCTCTCGCCTGTAATCCCAGCACTTTGGGAGACTGAGGCAGGTAGATCACCTGAGGTCAGAAGTTCGAGACCAGCCTGGACAACATGGTAAAACCCCGTCTCTATTAAAAATACAAAAATAGCCAGGCGTGGTGGTGGACGTCTGTAGTCCCTACTTGGGAGGCTTGGGCAGGAGAATCACTTGAACCAAGAGGCGGAGGTTGCAGTGAGCTGAAATCACACGATTGCACTCCAGCCTGGGCAAGAGAGTAAGACTTCGTCTCACCAAAAACAAAAAAACACAAAAACCAATGTTCAAAATGTAAAAGCTTCTTTTTTGTAATTTTAGCAATTTCCAGTTAATTTCTCACTCTCAACATTTTGTAAGACGTATAGCATGTTTGTGGATTTAAATTATTTGGAGGTTTCCCCCGAAATAAGTTTAGATACTATGGAATATCATAAAACTCATATGGAATTCCATCTCTAAACTCTAGAAGTTCAATAAGTTCCCCAAATTGGTAGTTAACTTGCAACTGAGTAACCACTCTGAACATCTGGGTGAGTCTATGCCAATCTGCAGCAAGCAGAAACGGCCCAAGAGACCAAGCATCCCCCAGAATTGCATTTTTTTTTTTTTTTTTTTTTGAGATGGAGTCTTACTCACTCTGTCACCCAGGCTGGAGTACAGTGGTGCGATCTTGGCTTACTGCAACCTCTGCCTCCCGCCGGTTCAAACAATTCTCCTGCCTCAGCCTCCCAAGTAGCTGGGACAACAGGCGTGCACCACCATGCCCAGCTAACTTGTATTTTTTGTAGGGACGGGGTTTCACCATGTTGGCCAGGCCAGTTTCGAACTCTTGACCTCAAGTGATCCTCCCACCCTCGCTTCCCAAAGTGCTGGGATTACAGGTGTGAGCCACCGCACCCGGCCTGAAGTGCACATCTTGAAGCTTCTTAACCACATAAGCCAGCACATGCAGGGGCCTTGCTTGCTGAGGCACCCGATTTCAGTTAGGAAAGGCCTTCAGTAGCTTGACAGCCTGTTCTGAGCAGCCTTTTCTTCTCAACACCCTTATTCTCCTCCATAAGGTATGAAGACAACCACCATAACTGCTACTCTTACGCACTCACGTTCATTAACTGCGTTCTGATGGCAGAAGGTAGACAGCAACTGGACAAGGGTGAATTTACGGAGAAGTACGTGGTCCCGCGGACAAGGCTGGCATCCAAGTTCATCACACTCTACCGGGCGATACGGGAGCATGGCTTCTACGTCACTGACTGTCCCCAGCAGCAGGCACAACCCCCTGAGGGCGGCGGTTTGTGCTGAGAGCTATGTAAGCGCAGCCTGGACGCTGGAGGGTAGGGTGGTTGCTACCTTTAATCAGTACTATGGATTTCTAAATGCATTTAACTGTGGTTAATAAAAGCGTGTATGGGCCGGGCATGGTGGCTCACACCTGTAATCCCAGCACTTTGGGAAGCTAAGACAGGTAGGTCACCTGAGGTTGGGAGTTTGAGACCAGCCTGACCAACATGGAGAAACCCCGTCCTTACTAAAAATATAAAATTAGCTGGGCATGGTGGCGCATGCCTGTAATCCCAACTACTAGGGAGGCTGAAGCAGGAGAATCGCTTGAACCCGGGAGGCGGAGGTTGGGATGAGTTGAGATCGTGCCATTGCACTCCAGCCTGGGCAACAAGAGTGAAACTCCATCTCAAAAAAATAAAAAATAAAAAATAAAAACGTGTATGGCTTTCCTTCAAGCATATGTCAGCTTACTACATCATAAGACTTCATAAAATAAAAATTGCCCTAGGTTTTAAAAATTATATGCATTCCAACAAAATTATTTTCATATCAATGAGGTTTTTAAACTAAGAATCCATTTACAGCATAAAGTGGTAGCACATTTTATTCACAGAGCAATGAAAATTATTCCTATAAATTAATGTGAGCTGAACAAATTCACCTTCCAATGTGCATACAGAAAGTGGGGATGTGAAGACAGCAAGGTGGGTGAGACACAAGTTATGAAGTAATGAGTACCTTCTCCTCGTGGTTTTTACTTTAAAAGCACATGCTAAGAGCTGGATGCAGTGGCTCACGCCTGTACTCTCAGCACTTTGGGAGGCCAAGGCGGGCAGATCACTTGAGGTCAGGAGTTCCAGACCAGCCTGGCCAACATAGTGAAACCCCGTCTCTACTAAAAATACAAAAATTAGCCGTGTGTGGTGGTGCGTGCCTGTAATCCCAGCTACTCAGGAGGCTGAGGCATGAGAATCGCTTAAACCCAGCAGGCAGAGGTTGCAGTGATCCAAGATCGCAGCATTGGACTCCAGCCTGGACGACAGAGCGAGACTACATCACAAGAAAAAAAAAAAGAAAAAAGCACATGGTAAGCTCATGATAGTGAACAACAGTAAAAAAAACCAAAAACCCCCTCAGAATCTAAATCAGGAAATGGTCACTCCTTTTAAAGGAGCTCTTCTGAGTCTATTTGCACAAACGAGCCCAGCAATGACTGAAATCAGTAAAATTCCAGCCTGTGTCAATTTCATTTTGCCTGACCCGACACATGGAGGCTCAGGGGTTGGGTTTGCTGCTACAAAGCACTTCCTCTGCCCACTGAAAAGGCAGAGTTCAGAAAGCACATGAAGAGAGGGCTATCTTCTTTCTCTGACACCTTCACAGGAGGCTGGGGAAACTGGGATGAGAAACTGTAAAGAAATGAGGTAATTTTTAACAAGTATGTTGGAGTTTGTGCACTGAAACAATCATCGAACTTCAAAAGGCCAACATGCAAAACATTCCCAAATTCCTCTTTGGAAACTTCTTCCAGAACTTGGTTGTTTTTGACCAAATGTGATGTACTACTTCACTTAATCTTATTCCCCAGCCTTGGTACTAACTGATGTCTAATTTCCAAAAATGAAACCCATCTTAAAGGTACCAATAACCGCCTCGTGTTAAAATAACTTAGGGGGAAGCCATTACACCGAGATGGATCCAACACCCAGTTCCAAATTAAACTAAATGAAACTTCAGATCAGCCAATCCTAAATGGCCAACTGAGCGTTAGTTACACAATCAGATACTTGCCACTGGGATAACCTAAATAAGACAACTGCTCAAACTTTAACCAACCAACTTCTCTCCTGTGCCTCCTCACACACCCTCTAAAAGCCTCCCTTCACACCCTCTTTCGGGAGCCCGAACCACTTCAGTTTTGGTGCGGCTTGATTCACGAATGGCTGTTTGCTCAAATAAACTTTAATGTGTTTTATCCTTTAACATTAGTAATAAAGATATTCAGAAAACTTGCTACAGATCCTTAAAGCTTGTTTCCAAATAGGCATTTAGTCCATGTTTCAGCACAGTTAACGTCAATGGGAAAGAATGCATGGCATAGCGACATTTGCATTTACAAGCTCAGGTACTTTCCTTCAAACACAAAACTGCCCACCCAGAATTTGATACCATTTTAAGCAGAACTATGACTAGTATTCCATGGTGTTCAAGAAATCAACAAAACCCCAGAGGGTAAAGATGAAAGAATTCCAATTTGCCCCCATTTCTTCACATTTTATACTAGGATTCAGCTTCTCTAGTCTAATTCTTTACTCATTATTAGTAGTAACGGCAGCTGCATTTAATGAGTATTCATAAAGGACTCCCCACCAGAAGAAACACTTATTCTTCCTTGTCAATCCTCAAGACCATCCTCTGAGGTGGGTCTTAACATTATGCTTCTTTTATAGATGAAAAGGGAAATTGAGGAAATGTCCAAAGTCATACAGTGGCAAAACTGGGGTTCAAACCAGGGTTTGACCATGAAAGCTGTGCCCTTAACCCCTGGGCCACACTGCAGTGGTCAAGAGGACAACCCCAGCAAATCGAAAGGGACCAACTGTACCTAGTATGTGCAGAAACTGGGTCAATACTTTGCCATCATTAGAGAAGAAAAAGGAGAAAATGAGGATTTGCTTTTATCAACATTCAAACATGGAAAGGAGGTAAACAATAAAAGTCAGCTAAAATAAATAATATAAGAAATGCCTATTTCATGCTAATTTCCCTTAGGGGCTGCAGCTCTTTTCTTTTTCATTTATTTATTTTCTTGGAGACAGGGTCTTCCTCTGTTGCCCAGGCTGGATTCCGGAGGCACAATCACGGCTCACTGCAGCCTCAACCTCCTGGGCTCAGGCAATTCTCCCACCTCAGCCTTCCCAGTGGCTGGGACTACAGATGCATGCTACCACACCCAGCTAATTTTTTAAAATTATTTGTAAAGACGGGGTCTCACTATGTTGCCCAGGCTGGTCTCAAGTGATCCTCCCACTTAAGCCTCCCAAAGTGCTGGGATTCTCACCCCTTAATTTTCAAGGAAAGCTTTAGATGGTCCCCATTTCTTATTTTAGGGGGTGCTCTCCAACCTGGAGGTGACATTGGCAAGAGCTGGCCTCATATTTCTTCTCTCTCACTTCAGCAGGCTACGAATTCCTTTTTTTTTTTTTGAGACGGAGTTTTGCTCTTGTTGCCCAGGCTGGAGTGCAGTGACGTGCTCTCAGCTCACTGCAACCTCCCACCTCCCGGGTTCAAGTGATTCTCCTGCTTCAGCTTCCTGAGTAGCTGGGATTACAGGTGCCTGCCACCACGTCCGGCTAATTTTTTGTATTTTTAGTAGAGACGGGGTTTCACCATGTTGGCCACTCTAGTTTTTGAACTCCTGGCCTCAAGCAATCCACCCGTCTCGGCCTCCCAAAGTGCTAGGATTATAGGCATGAGCCACCGCGCCTGGCCCCCTCCTCTTATAAATAAGACCACATACCAATCTATAGGTTTTGCCCCTAATAAAGGAAATCAGCCATTGATTTACACCAACAGATGGCAATGTTGCTCAGTCTGTAGAATTATGAACTGAGACTCCTTAGATTAAGTTTCCTTTATCGTACCAGCTAAATGCTAACTGAAGCACTGGCAGCAACTCTGTTCCCCAGATGAAATCCCAAGTTTCTTCCCAGCACCTCCTGAGATGTGCTTCTTTATTCCATTGTTCAGCACTCCCCGGAGCACACATCTGGGACTCAATCAATGTTCATGGGATGACCACCAGGATCCTTTTCACAGCAAGTGCCACAGTGTTTCCTATCTGAAACACTAAAATGATCTATACAAAGGTAATCTTCCAAAGCCTCTACAGCATGCATGAATTACTCCTAGAACCAGGAAAACCTACCATTACTAAAAAACAAAACAAAACAAAACCCCACAATGGCTGCATCTAGCTCCCTGTGTATAGCAGGTGCTTACTACAGTATTGCCTCTCCTCCCAATCTCCTCTGCTGTCTTCACTACTTTACCTCCAGCTATTTTTCTACCACCTTCTTCTCCTCCACTGACTCACCTACCAGGGCATAAAATAGGCTTTGCACTTCCTAGAGAAAATAAGGATGGCAATGCTTACACTTTGTCTGAAAGGGGAAAAGTACACCTACTGTGTGCCAGACGCTTTTGTATGTCATCTCATTTCATTCAGTCTGCAAAGCAACTGAGGAGGTGGTAATTATTCTTATTTTACTGTTGAGGAAACCAAGGCTCGGAGTGATCAAGCAACGTTTCCAACGTCGCCCCTGTTTTCCCAGTGGTGATTTGAAATGTGGACCCGAGTTTTCTGATTCTACTTTACCAGAATGTGCCATTTAAAAGTTAGGAAAATCCCAGCACTTTGGGAGGCCGAGGCAGGCAGATTATCTAAGGTCAGGAGTTCGAGACCAGTCTGGCCAACATGGTGAAACCCTGTCTCTACTAAAAATACAAAAATTAGCCAGGCATGGTGGCGGGCACTTGTAATCCCAGCTACTTGGGAGGCTGAGACAGGAGAATCGCTTGAACTCAGGAAGTGGAGGTTGCAGTGAGCCAAGATCTCACCACTGCACTCCAGCCTGGGCAACAAGAGCAAAACTCCATCTCACACACACACAACGTTAGAAAGAACATTTGCCTTTGAAATACTGTTTATGAAAATATAAAGACTCTAAAAATTTTAAATGACAGAAACCTTTCACTTAAGAGATCATACTTGCAATAAAAATATTGCCTCCTAGTTTAACCATTTTACAAATATGACTTTTACATCATGTAAAAGGCATCCCTATATTTCACAAAATTAGATAGACTCAAATTTTCCAGTTTTAAGATCAACTTTAGAAATGGGCCTCGGTTATAGTGTTAGGGGAGTTAACATTCATGGGATGATTATTCAAGTCTGTAATGAGATTTTAAAAATTCAATTCAGTTAGTAAAATCATACATGGGAGGTGGGTGGTGGGGAGGAGAGAAAATTTGTTTCTTTTTAATCCAAGTAATTCTCCACAAGGGTGAAAATAAGAACCACATTCAAGTAAATAGAATTTTTTTTTCTTAAAAAAAGAGAAAGCAAATACGTTGTAACAATAAAGGTAAAATGATTAAGACAAATTTTTTTAAATTATCAATTTAAAGTTGTCAATAAGTAACAATGAAACTTCAGGTTTTTTTTGTTTTTGTTTTTTAATGGAGTCTCACTCTGCCCCCAGGCTGGAGTGCAGTGGCTTGATCTCGGCTCTCTGCAACCTCCACCTCCCAGGTTCAAGTGATTCTCCTGCCTCAGCCTAAGAAGCTGGGATTACAGGTGCCACCACCACACCCAGCTAATCTTTTTTTTTTTTTTTTTTTTGAGACAGAGTCTCGCTCTGTCGCCCTGGCTGGAGTGCAGTGGCGCGATCTCGGCTCACTGCAAACTCCACCTCCTGGGTTCATGCCATTCTCCTGCGTCAGCCTCCTGAGTAGCTGGGACTACAGGCCCTGCCACCACGCCTGAGCTAGTTTTTTTGTATTTTTTAGTAGAGACGGGGTTTCACCGTGTTAGCCAGGATGGTCTTGATCTCCTGACCTCGTGATCCACCCACCTCGGCCTCCCAAAGTGCTGGGATTACAGTGTTTTTTGGGCTCTCCTTTACCCACACAACCACACGATTAGGTAAACATCATTAGCCACATGCTAGAAATAAGAAAATTGAGGTTATCAAGGGCAAGTAAACTGCCCAAGGCACACCACCACAGGGAAGCAGAGCTGAGATTTGAAGCATTCCTTTCTAGAAGGTTCATTTCACTACTCAGTTTTCAGAATTCTCTCTGGGGAATTAAAAGCCAAGTACCACACACTGCACCAAGGTTCTTACCCTTGGATCCATAGGTGGTCGTCATGGAATCTTTCTGACACTGTTTGCAAAATCACAGGCATAACCAGTAAGTAAGGGGGCTTCAGGCTGCACCCCACCCGAGGTAGAGGACTGTGTGGGAGCACAAAGCTGGCCCTGCCCGATGTGGTGGGTGGCCTTCCTTGTTAACCACCACCACCACCAAACAGGGCTCTATTTCTGACTGCATGCAATTTTTAGGATAGCGCCATTTCAGCTGAGATAGTGATCTCAGGTCCAGTCCTCCACGTGCATGACTGGTAGTGATGCACACCCGCCAACATCTCTGAGCTTCAAACACCCCTCTGTGGGTCCCTCCTCCTGAATTCACAAGGCTGCTGCAGGGATAAATACACAGGCATCTGCCGCATCTCAACTCCCACTCTCCAAATGTTTGCTATCACGGTTTGCAAAATATTTTACCCCATATTGGCTATCCAAATTAAATATAACAAACATGTAAGGGTTTGCAGCAATATCATTCAAGTAGTGTCTGGACCCATTAAGAGGATACAGCTCAGGCTACCACCTTAGCCTAAGTATTCTACCACCGAAGAGCAAGTATTCCCCCTTCCCATTTCCCCACCACCCACATTTTTTTTTTTTTTTTTTTTTTTTTTTGAGACAGGACCTTGCTCTATTGCTCAGGCTGGATTGCAGTGGCACAATCTCCGCTCACTGCAACCTCTTCCTCCTGGGCTCAAGCGATCCTCCTACCTTAGTCTCCTGAGCAGCTGGAATTACAGGCATGTGCTACAATGCTTGGATAATTTTTGTTAGTAGAGAGGAGGTTTCACCATGTTGCCCAAGCTGGTCTCCAACTCCTGGGCTCAAGCGATCCATGCGCCTTGGCCTCCCAAGGCCTCCCAAGTGCTGGGATTATAGGTATGGGCCACCATGCCCAGCCACCCATCTCCCTCCTCTTGCCACCAGATGCCCTGAGGCAACTTAAGTCTTCATGACTTTCTCACCAATTACAAAAAGGCTTTATTATATTTTGCCAAATGTTAATCGCTTTCATTATGTCTCCAAACATTATTTCACCACTCATTTTTATAACAAGTGCAGTGAAGATATGCTTATCGAATATTGTACAATACTGTTGTGTTCTGTAACACTCTTTCGGGAACAGCTTAGATGTAGGTAACAAGAGATGCCTGCGTATGAAAGTGCTTCATAAACTGTACTGTATAAATGTAAACTACTACCATTTTCAGGTAAAATCAGAGAATAAATGTCTCTTGTTGGAAGTGTCCTCTCAGGACTCCTCTAGTCCAATCTCCCCAGTGAGTGGATGAGGGAAAAGACTGACGCCAGAGGCAGGAGGCTCTGGATTGGAGAGTTAGAGGCCAACGCAAGTATAGAATCTGCAGTCCTAGCACAGGGATCTTTCTCCTCCCTTGTGTAATTTATCTTTAAAAACACTGATAGTTTTCTGGTGCTGGGAGCACCATGCCCTTTAAAACTTATGAATTAATGGACGATTACAACAAAAAGAACTTTTTACCTAGCCCTCAATAAATAGTTGTTGGTGAAATTAGAAATTTGAGGTTGAATTGTTAAAGATCGTCTTGGTCACTCCTCTCTCGTGAAGAAACCCATCGACTCAGAATCACCTCCTACAACCAATAAAAAAAAAGACCATTTCTTAAAACAGAAATGTAAGACCATTCTGACACCACAGCTGACACCACAGCTACATTTCACAAAGGGCGGTCTATATAATGATGATACTGTTCCCACCTTTAGAACAGAAACATCTGGAGAAAATGAATGTAACAATATAAACCTTACAAGCATACAGTATCTACTTTCACCAGGCAAAGATTTTAACAGCTAAGCTTGCCTCTGCTGTGGTATTCTACTAGCACATTTCAGAAACAGGTGGGCGGGATGAAAGCTAGCATTTTACATTAGAGCTAGGTCTGTGATGGCATTGCTGTAACGGGGCCAGCTACTGAGAAGGGAGAAATGAGGTTGATGAGCATTTTATGAGAAACTAGCCTAGTGGAGATAAGTGGGACCAACTGAAGGGAAGACGTGCTGGGGCCCTGGAGACCGACCAGCAGGTCTGCAGGGGCAGGGTGGTGTGAAAAGAAGACAGGACGACAACAAAGACATACTGGATGTTGGGAGGAGCCAATGGCAACGTTAAGGCTCTACACACAGAGGGAGGGAATGCAGAAACACGGACACACACTAGACAACTCGGCCAGACCAGAGAGAAACAAGCCAAGATGACAGGAGGCGCCTTGGTTCAATACAGAAGCCCAGAAGCAGGAACAAGTCAACAGGGACACCTCTGGTCTCTGGGAATGAGACCTGTGAGAAGTCCTGGCCTGGCCAGGGGGTCACAGGCCACCTGTAAGAGAGCAGTTTCAGCTGAGTGATGGGGACATCACAGGTAATAAAGTGGGGAATTAAGGAATAGAGGAAGTCAGCATAGATTTCGTGTCCAATGGGTTCAATGGGGAAAAGGTGAGAGACTTAAGAGCCTGCCTGAGAAGGCTCTGTTACCAAGGCAAAACTGTATTCATGTATTTTCTTGGGACCACATGTTCCAGATACACTATGATTCACAGAATCTTTGGGATGACATGAATTTCTCTGAGTTTACCCACCTGAACTTTAATCCTTTTCATACATTCTGGTGACTCCATTTCCTTGTCAGTCATAGTAGAGGGTTTAATCAAATAGCACAGCATAAGTTCCTATTGAGAAATGAAAAACCACTTCTGTATCCTACAAAATAATAGTACAAATTTGGGTGCATCAGCAGGAAATGCAGGTGGTCTCCAGTCCCTCTCACTGTGCACTCCAAGTGGAAACTCACAGAGCACATCAGTTTCCTCCTGGGGAAACCATAACTGGGATTTACGTTCTGACTAAGTACCTGCCGTTTAGTAATCACTGAACATGGCAACAGATATAAGCAGATACATTGATTATAAACACAGCATTAAGAATACTAAATATAGTAAGTCCTCAAATGTCCTTGATAGGTTCTTGGACACGGACTTTAAGTGAAATGATGTTGATACGGTTTGGCTGTGCCCCCACCCAAATCTCATCTTGTAGTTCCCACAATCCCCACGTGTCATGGAGGGACCTCGTGGGAGGTGATTAGATTATGGGGGACGGTCCCCATGCTGTTCTTGTGACAGTGAGTTCTCATGAGATGTGATGGTTTTATAAGGGGCTTCCTCCTTCACTCATCCTCTCATTCTTGCTCCTGCCACCCTCTGAAGAGGTGCCTTCCACTATGATTGTAAGTTTCCTGAGGCCTCCCCAGCCACATGGAACTGTGAGTCAATTAAACCTCTTTTCATTATAAATTACCCAGTCTCAAGTATTTCTTTATAGCAGCATGAGAATGGACTAATACAGATGTACAGCAGGTCTTCAAATAAACTTCAACATTGTTTTCTTGAAATGATGAGAAGAAAAAACGGTTTTGTTATACGACATTAAAGTTGCAGTTTCCAAGAACATATCAACAATGTTAAGTGAGGACATATTAAGTATATGCTACAAGTCCCCTAAAATGGGCATAAAAATTCTAGAAACAGTATAGGCTCCCTAATTTTCTATAGGACCAAGCTAAAGCCTAGGCAACCTAACCTGCTCTAAAGGGCAGTCATCTCTAGCCCTGCAAGACCCTCTGGCCTCAGCCCCACCTCACCTCCAGCAGCATGAGGATGAAATTAGAGGGTATCTACAATTTGTTTTCAGCCAGCAAATCACTGAGTAATGAGAACACACACAGCTTTCTTTCTTGATAGTCCTTGTGTAAGCTGAGTCCCTCCTATCTCTGATGGCAACACGAAGGATATAGTGAAACAAAAGCCAGGGAGCCAGAGAGCTGTGGGTTTGGATCCCGAGTATGCACATGAGCTGTGTGATCTTGGATTAGCCACTCAACGGCTCCAACCTTGGTTTCTCATCCTCAGGATGAGGATAACAACAGGGTGGGAAAGTGCTTAGCAACAAATATCAAGTCCCTTCCTCTCTAAGAGATCTGCAAACTTTCAATGTTTTGACTCCTTTGTGAATATGTGTATGAGTGAATGTTAAATTGCAGTATAAAACAAGTCACATAGCAACGATACCCCTGGGAAGAGAAGCAATGCCTACCCAGATCAGATCACCATGGGACACTCCAAAGCTCCGTCATTGGAGCTCAGCAGCAGTTGGGAGGGAGGGGACAATAAAATGTAACATGAGGGGAGGACAACTTCTAGCGCAATAAGGGAAGGGTACGAATGACCCCAAATCTTCCAGCATGTCACTGGCAGGAATGTTATGAAGTTTCTACAACTAACTTTTTTGATTCTACTACATTTAAGAAAAAAAAAAAAACTGAACCATTTAAGTGACACTCCAATGGCAAAGCTGATGTTGTGTTACCTTAGAGACATTAACGGAAACTCTGCTCAAGGCAGCCAGGGACTTCCAACTGAGAGGCCTGCGGAGAGAGCCTTCAAAATGGTCATCAACTAGCTCGATAATGACAGAATAACTGGAAAATACAGAAAAAGCATGTTAAAAGTAATCATGAAATAAATCTGTTTAAAAAGAATATTTGTCCTACCAAGAACAAATATACAGAAAATGAAATTTGCATCATCTGATTCTAAATTCCCCTAAATTGCTATTGAGAAAATATTAATGAAAAATTCATACTTTAAGTTACAAACTTTCAGGCTGATTCCAAAACTTACAGGAAAAAACAAATACTTTTCCCAATGTGAAAGCTGTAAATTCACACAACTGTTTAGGCACTAATACTAACTAATTTTTTTTTTTTTTTTTTTTGAGACGGAGTCTCGCTCTATCACCCACGCTGGAGTGCAGTGGTGCGATCTTGGCTCACCGCAACCTCCGCCTCCTGGGTTCAAGCAATTCTCTGCCTCAGCCTCCTGAGTAGCTGAGATTACAGGCGCCTGCCACCATGCCCAGCTAATTTTTTTGGATTTTTAGTAGAGATGGGGTTTCACTATCTTGGCCAGGTTGGTCTTGAATTCCTGACCTCATGATCCACCCACCTTGGCCTCCCAAAGTGCTGGGATTACAGGCGTGAGCCACCGCACCTGGCCTAAGTGATGTTAAAATGAACAATTACGGCACAGATTAACTCAGTGTTTAACACTAGAACATATATTATCATAAACTATGCATCATCCTATATATAGTATAATGACATTAGTGTGTAAGGAGGCATGAACATATAGCATCTATTCGTATCAGGCCAGGAAGAACATGACTTTTGTTCCTATGGCACCAAAAAGTTAAATTAGAGGCCAGAAATTCCTTGTGTCCCTTTAACCCATTAGTTTATTTAAAAATCACTCCGAACCTTGCATGGTAAAATGGAGGGCCTTTCCGATATAGCACTGCAAAGAAGAAAGAAAAAAAAGAAGTATAACCACTCAAAATAATGAGAGAGGAGTAAGACTCAACAAAAAGCTTGCTTTATTAACTTTTCTTCTCCAAAAGGAAGCAAATACTCAATAATCTATATGTAGACAGATCATCTGCAATATGCCTGTGGTCTATTTTTTCAGACAGGGTCTCGCTCTGTCACTCAGGCTGGAGTGCAGTGGCATGACCATGGCTCACTGCAGACTTGCCCTCTTGGGCTCAAGCAATCCTCCACACTCAGCCTCCTGAGTTGCCAGGACTACAGGCGTGCACCACCACACGCAGCTAATTTAAAATTTTTTTTTAGCAACAGCATCCCACTATGTTGCCCAGGCTGGTCTTAAATTCCAGGGCTTGAGTGATCCTCCTGCCTCAGCCTCCCAAAGTGGGGGTTTACAGGTGTGAGCCACCACACCCAGCCACCATCATCTATTTTTAAAATCCAAACTATTTTTTTCCTGAAACAAAGTACAATTAGTAAAGAAATCTGTTGCCAAGACCCTAACACCTCGTTTCACCCTACAAATAAATTCCAAAGTCAAAGTACAGGCAATCTTGCCTTGCCTCTTGTCTTACACTCTCCAGAGTGAGTGTGAATCATACTGAGAGGTGTAAAATTCATAGAATGTGGATCAATATTTTGTTATTGATTTCAGATCAACGTAATGCAAAGTGTCTGACTCACTACTCTGGCCAGCTACTGTGACAGGGGTTGGTAAAAGAAGAGGAATAAGACTCATGCCTATTTTTAAGAAATTCAAAGTCAAGTGATAGAAGTCATAACCATACATGCCATTCAAGTATCAGTTTGCTCCATTACTGAGGACCTGAAGAAGATGGGGGAATTCAGTCTGTGGAGGTCGAGAGCTACTCAGTGAAGGAGCCTGGGGCCAGGGACTCTGACACACAGACTCTGGAATCTGGCAGGGAACCCTTCAGAGGCACATGGTCTGTGGCAGGGACTGGCTAACTGTTCACCAAATCCAGTTATTTCTCCCCCAGGTGCATGGCCAGACCACAGCTCTCAGTCTCCCGTACAGTTAGGTATGGAACGTGACCTTGGAAGCTGTGTGCTGAAGACTGGGAGCCACCAGGAAGCAGTTACTAAAGCATCTTTTGGAGTTGATTGGGCCGCCAATCAGAGACAGCCGTGTTGGATTTCACATGAACAAAAATGAACTCTTATTGTTAAGCCCCTGAGACTTAGGGTTTATATACAACTACAGCTATGGGAATTGCCATAACGACACAATTACATCTGTAAGCTGTTAGCTGTCCTCTGTGCTAAAACCAGCTCAGAAAAGTTCAAGGCCGGGAGGCGGAGCTTGCAGTGAGCCGAGATCCCGCCACTGCACTCCAGCCTGGGCGACAGAGCGAGACTCCGTCTCAAAAAAAAAAAAAAAGAAAAAAAAAAAAGAAAAGTTCAAGGAAAAGTTTTGTTTCCCTTGAGGAATGGATAGAATTTTCCTTTTTGGACACATCAATCCTGTAACTAATCATGTTTCTTTTTGGCTCAGGAAGCTCAGAGCCAAATTTGTAGCATGACTTTAGTAACCATATAGGGCCCCAAGGACGACACAGTAACCCTTCACTTAGTCTTGTTTTGCGTCTGTATTTTCCATGGTCACATTTCCTTTCTGTATTTCCTATTTAAGTTGTATTTAAAGTACTCAACAAGTCAGCTCAAATTCACTGAGGCACAAATGTAAGTAAATATCCAAACATACAATTTTCAACTTTTTGAGATGGAGTGTACTGGAAAGAAACCATGTACTGGAACAAAAGTGAACTTGGGAGTTTTGTTCCCTGCCCAATCTTTGCCTCTTCAAGTTGTGTGCCTTTAGGCAAGTTATTAACTTCCCTGAGCCTCCGTTTCCAAAATCCTAAAATGAAGACATCAGGGGAAATTGAGATCTTTTCTAGTCCTCAAATGACATTACCTGTAATCAAACACACATCTTTAATCCAATATGCACCTGGAGCATTACACAGCTTCAAAGTAGCTCACACCCACAAGGCAAGTAATTTCTGATGATGGGCTCCGACACAGCACAGCTTAGTTTAAGCAAGAACACTGGCAGCAGATGGACCCAAGGTCAAGTCAGCAGTGCCAAGACCATGGGACAACTCTTTATGTCAATTTCCTTATAAAAATGGGGATTATGGTGAAGGCAGAAGTATTAGCACGGTGTATGGCATACAGTAAGCATCACAAAGTTACCTATGCTAGTAACAATTACAGTCTGTGTGGCTTAATGATGAGGATACGTTCTAAGATATGAGTCCTTAGGCAATTTCGTTGTTGTGTAAACATGGTAGAGTGTACTTACACAAAACCTAGATGGTACAGCCCACCACACACATAGGCTATGTGATATCACTTATTGCTCCTAGGCTACAAACCTGTTCAGCACGTGACTGTGCTGAATCTGTAGACAATTATAACACAATGGTTAAATATCTGTGTATCTAAACATAGAAATGGTACAGTAAAAATACGATATAAAAGAGAAAACCCGTATACCTGTATAGGGGACTTATGAATGCAGCCTGCAGGTCTGGAAGTTGCTCTGGGTGAGTGAGTCGTGAGTGAATGCGAAGTTCTAGGACAGTACTGTGTGCTACTGTACTCTTTATAAACACTTTTTTTCTGTCTTTAGATTTTTTTATACACATATATAGAGAGAGAGACATGGTCTACCTATGTTGCCCAGGCTGGTCTTGAACTCCTGGGCTCAAAGGATCCGTTCGCCTTGTCCTCCCAAAGTGCTGGGATTACAGGTGTGAGCCGCCATGCCTGGTCTCTTTCTTCAATAATAAATTAACCTGGCTGGGTGCAGGTTAACATACAATGAACCATGATGGATATGACCGTGGTCCCATAAGATTATAACGGAGCTGAAAAATCCCTATCACCTAATGACATCGTAGCCATCATGCTGTCATAGTGCAACGGATTATTCGCATGTTTGTGGTAATGCTGGTGTGAACAAACCACCGGGCGCGGTGGCTCACACCTGTAATCCCAGCACTTTGGGAGGCTAAGGTGGGTGGATCATTTGAGGCCAGGAGTTTGAGACCAGCCTGGCCAACACATTGAAACCCTTTCTCTACTAAAATCACAAAATAATAAAAAAAAATTAGCTGTGGTAATGCATGCCTGTAGTCCCACCTACTTAGGAGGCTGACGCGGGAGGATCATTTTAACCTAGGAGGTTGAGGATGCAGTGAGCTGAGATTGTGCCACTGCACTCCACCCTCGGGGATAGAGTGAGACCTTGTCTCAAAAACTACATAAATAAATAAAAGTAAAAATAAGGTCTGAAAGAACAGGGAGTATAAAAGGAAAACTCTTTCTTACAGAAGAATGCTAGACAGAGGTGTGGAATGAATGACAAAACCAGAAAATGATTAGTGCAATAATTAAATCAGACAACTATTATAATTATTAGATTATACTTATGGTATCTACTTATGGTATCACTTATGGTACTTATGGTATCACTACTTATGGTATCACTCCACAAATGACTTGTTTTTTACAAAAGAAAAACTGTAATTATATGACAGACATTGACAATGGCCACCATCAAACTTAGCATCACCACAGCAGGAAAACCTGACTTCATGCACTTCCTGACACACTCCAATAAGCACACACATCACCTACGTGTGCTAAGAGAACCCGAGCTTGAGTCTGATCATCAGGAACAATCAGACATATGGAGAATGGGGAACATCCTAAAAGACTTCGAAAAAAGTCAACATCATGACAAACGAAACAAGAAGGTAGAGTGACCATGTCAGATTAAAAGAGGCCAGGCACGGTGGCTCATGTCTGTAATCCCAGCACTTCGGGAGGTCAAGATGGGTGGATCACCTGAGGCCAGGAGTTCGAGACCAGCCTGGCAAACATGGTGAAATCCTGTCTCTACTAAAAATACAAATGTTAGCTCAAGCACGGTGGCAAGCATCTGTAATCCCAGCTACTTAGGAGGCTGAGGCAGGAGAATCACTTGAATGTGGGAGGCAGAGGTTGCAGTGAGCTGAGATCGCGCCACTGCACTCCAGCCTGAGCAACAGAGCGACACTCTGTTTCAAGAAAAAAAAAAAAAAAAAAGAGACCAAAGAGATTGCAGTAGGTTTAATGGCAGCTCCCAGAAAGATATGTTCATGTCCTAATCCCTGACTTGTGAATGTGACCTGGAATGTGGAATGTGACTTGGAAAAAGAGTCTTTGCAGATGTAACTAAGTTTAGAATTTTGAGATGAGATCATCCTGAATTAGCTGGATGGCCCCTAAATCTAATGTCAAGTGTCCTTATAAGAGAAAGGGGATTTGACACAGACAGACAAGGTAGAGACTGGAGGGATGCAGTAACCAGCCACAAAACGCCTGGGGCCACAAGAATCTGGAAGAGACAAGGAATGGATTCTCTCCCAGAGCCTTTGGAGGGAGCCTGGCCCTGATGACACCTTGATGTTAGACTTCTGGCCCCTAGAACTGTGACAGAATGAATCTTTGTTGCTTTTAAGCCACCCAATTTGTGGTAATTTCTTATAAGCCCTAGGAAACTAAAAGGTAGATATAATAATCAAATGTGATTGTAACAAGAAAATCAAAGCCAGGGGCCTGCATGGTGGCTCACGCCTGTAATCCTACACTTTGGGAAGCCAGGCAGTAGGATGGCTTGAGCCCAGGAGTTTGAGCCCAGCTTGGGCAACACAGAAAGACCCCATCTCTATAAAAATTACAACCAAAATAGCCACAAAAGACATTACAAGGACAACTGGAAAAATTTAAGTATAGACTGGATATTTGGATGATATTAAGTAATTCTAATTTTTCTCAGGCATTACATGGTATGTAGGAGAATGTCCCTATTCTTTGGAGGTACACATGAAAAATACTTACGGATTAATATGGATTATGTACGTAAACGTGAAGAATATTAACAAAAATATATCAAAAGTTTGACTAGAAAAACAAGCCAGGAGGTGGCTTAGAAATGAATCAAAGGCCCGGATGCCACGGCTCACGCCTGTAATTCCAGCACTTTGGGAGGCCGAGGCAGGCAGATCACTTGAGGTCAGGAGTTCAAAACAAGCCTGGTCAACATGGCAAAACCCTGTCTCTACTAAAAATACAAAAATTAGCTGGGTGTGGTGGTGTGCGCCTGTAATCCCAGCTACTTGGGAAGCTGAGGCAGGAGAATGGTTTGAACCTGGGAGGCAGAGGTTGTAGTGAGCCGAGATCGAGATCGTGCCACTGCACTCCAGCCAAGGCAACAAAGTGAGACTTTGTCTCAAAAAAAAAAAAAAAAAAAAAAAAAGAATCAAAGAGGAAGATGAGGAGAAGACACATCTTCTTGTTCTGTGACAAACAGAGAGCTGCTCTGTTGACCTCCATTCACGGACAGAACTGTTAGTCTCTGGGCTGGACGTCACAACAGGTCATGGTTTCTTCTGGGTCTGGAAATTCTATAACTCTGCTAGCTTTCAATGGCTCCCACCATTCCATTTCTGTGCTGGGACTTCAAATTGGCAGAAAGCTCAGAAATCATACTTATCAGTCAATGCAAATCCCTAACTAGGGTTGGCTGGGAAGGAGGCTTAGGAGTAACCAGACCTTTGGGTCACACCAAATCAAATCAAACCATAACTGTGTACATAAGACAATATAAATCCTGCGTTAGTTTTCGGCTTCTTGGCAGGCAACATGACTTAGGTATGGTAGGAAGATAGGGAGGATAGACCCACAGAGCCCTAATCTGTGTACTTAACGAGCTGTTAAGTACTCCAGCAACTTACCTAACCCTTCTAAACCTCAAACTCCTCTGCTACAAAAGGAAGCTACTACTACAGACCTCACAGGAGTGTGAAGATTAAATGAAACAACAGAAGAAAACACCAAGGCAAGGTGCCTGGCTGGCCCTAGGAGCTGGCAGCCAGGGGAGCTGCTGAGTAGGGAGTGTAAGGAAAGGCTCCCTCTTGGCTTCTGGCCTGGCTTCCCCAGTAGGCAAATAAGGTCAACTAGGTTGGCAGCTGCACTTGATTTGAGAACCATATCACCTCTTCCAAATACTGCTCCTGGAATGAAATTTGATTGACAAGATTTATTCAAGGGAAAAGTTTCCCTGATAAGGTGTGAATTTCACAATGGTCTTGTATTAGGAGTCACTAGCTCTCTAAGGAAAAACAATTGTTAAGAGTTTAGCCTATGTTGGCAGTTCTAGGCTTCATGTGACTAGGTCATTGGCCTTTGAAATTAAAATAATATCGTTAAAAAGCAGCAGGAACTGTGCAGCCATGCCTGAAGATGAGGTAGAGTTTAGGAAGCCGCTCCTCATATCCCAGACTAGCACTGCTCAAGAACCTTTGCTTATGCAGAGAATGTGAAGACACTTTTAACACTGATGCTGGCCCAGTCTGACTCTGTGTGTGGGTCAGAGACCTGGTCCCACATTAATTGTACAATTAATGTATTAATTGTACATCTGTTTCTAGATGATATGTCCCAGTGAGGGCAAAGGCCTCCAGGGGAGTTGTAAACTGAGTAGTTTATCTTTTTTGTTTTCAAAATTCTATTTATCTGTCCATCCATCTATCCATCTGTCCAACCATCCTTATAAGGCAGAATATCTTTAAATTAAGGAAGCTTCCCCTATGCATCATCCAAAGTATAACTTGATCATTAAAATAAAGTTGCAGACAAAAGAACCACAGTATGAGATTAAGAACATTAATAAAATGAACAATTATAACAATACACTATAATGAAAGTTATGAGAATCTGATCTCTCAAAATATCTTAATTTTTATTTTTTATTTTTATTTTTTATTATTATTTTTTGAGACAGTCTCACTCTGTTGCCTAGGCTGGAGTGCAGTAGCGCAATCGGCTCACTGCAAGCTCCGCCTCCTGGGTTCACGCCATTCTCCTGCCTCAGCCTCCTGAGTAGCTGGGACTACAGGCACCTGCCACCACGTCTGGCTAATTTTTTGTATTTTTAGTAGAGATGGGGTTTCACCGTGTTAGCCAGGATGGTCTCGATCTCCTGACCTCATGATCAGCCCGCCTCAGCCTCCCAAAGTGTTGGGATTACAGGCGTGAGCCACCGCGCCCAGCCTATTTTTATTTTTTTTTAAGAGACTCTTACTCTCTTGTGCAGGCTGGAGTGCAGTGGTGTGATCTTGGCTCACTGCAACCTCTGCCTCCCAAGTTCAAGAGATTCTCGTGCCTTAGCCTCCCAAGTAGCTCAGATTACAGGCATGCACCACCACACCCAGCTAATTTCTGTATTTGTGCTAGACACAGGGTTTCACCACGTTGGCAAGGCTGGTCTCAAACTCCTGACCTCAGGTGACCCACCTGCCTCGGCCTCCCAAAGTGCTGAGAATCCAGGCGTGAGCCACTGTGCCCAGCAGATATCTGAATCTTTTTGACTACAGTTGACCTTGGGTAGCCTTGACTCTGCTTCTTCTTACAGTGCTTATCTGTTGCAGAAACTACGTCATGTAGTTATTTGCTTGTGTGTCTCCCCCATCCCCCTAGAATGTAAACTCCATGAAGGCAGCTCTGTTTGTCCTGTTCACTTCTGTATTCTTGATGCCTCAAACAGTACCTGGCCCACAGCAGACCTTTAGTCATTATCTGCTGAATGAGGAACTCACCTACTCCAGACCCTCACTTTAAGATTGGGGGATGCAGTGGAATACTAGGCAGCCACAAAAATGGACAAGATCGTGTCTTTTGTGAGAACATGGATGGAGCTGGAGGCTGTTATCCTTAGCAAACTAACACAGGAACAGACAACCAAATACCACATATTCTTACTTGTAAGTGGGAATTAAATGAAGAGAACTTATGAACACAAAGAAGGGAACAACAGACGCTGGGGTCTACCTGAGGGTGAAGAGAGGGAGGAGGGAGAGGAGCAGAAAAGATAACTACTGGGTACTAGGCCTAGTACCTGGGTGATCAAATAATCTGTACAACAAACCCCTGTCACATGAATTTACCCATGTAACAAACCTGCACATGTACCCTTGAACCTAAAAATTTTTTTTTTTTGAGGTGGAGTCTCTGTCACCCAGGCTGGAGTGTAGTGGCGTGATCTCAGCTCACTACAACCTCTGCCTCCCGGGATCAAGCAATTTTCCTGCCTCAGCCTCCCAAATAGCTGGGATTACAAGTGCCTGCTACCACGCCCAGCTAATTTTTGTATTTTTAGTAGAAACGGGGTTTCACCATGTTGGTCAGGCTGGTCTCAAACTCCTGACCTCAAGCGATCTGCCCGCCTCGGCCTCCCAAAGTGCTGGGATTACAGGCGTGAGCCACCGCACCTGGCCCTAAATTTAAAGTTAAAAAAATTAAATAAGTAAAATATTGATTTAATTAAAAAGAAAAGATCAAGGGAGGCAGTACTGTCAGACATTTCTAAAAGCGTGGGCTTCAGAATTCAAAGTGCAGCTTTGCAAGTTACTGGCCCTGGAAACTATTATGGGCAATGACCTACTTTTTCTAAACTGTAGTCTCCCTATCAGAAAATGAAGACAATACGGCCGGCATGGTGGCTCACACCTATAATCCCAGCACTTTGGGAAGCTGAAGTGGGCAGATGACGAGCTCAGGAGATCGAGACCATCCTGGCTGGCACGGGGAAACCTTGTCTGTACTAACAATACAAAAAATTAGCCGGGTGTGATGGCGGGCGCCTGTATTCCCAGCTACTCGGGAGGCTGAGGCAGGAGAACGGCGTGAACCCATGGGGTGGAGGTTGCAGTGAGCCAAGATTGTGCCACTGGCACTCCAGCCTGGGCAACAGGGCGAGACTCCGTCTCAAAAAAAAAAAAAGACAGTAAGCGTCTCCACTGCATAGGACTACTGTAAGGATTAAACAAGATGATGAATGTAAAATACTTAGTAAAATGCTTGGCACATGGCAAGTGCTCAATGATGGCTGTGGCGATTATTACAATTATATGATTGTTCTCACTTGGCAGATGAGGCCACTGAGGCCCGGGGATAAGGGACTCTCCCAAATTACCCGATCTCATGGCTAGAGACGTGGGGGTGGGTGCTATAGAATGCTTTTTCTTTTTTTTTCCTTTTGAGACGGAGTCTTGCCCTGTCGTCCAGGTGGGGTGCAATGGCGCGATCTCGGCTCACTGCAAGTTCTGCCTCCCGGGTTCACGCCATTCTCCTGCCTCAGCCTCCCGAGTAGCTGGGACTACAGACACCCGCTACCACGCCCAGCTAATTTTTTATATTTTTTAGTAGAGAAGGGGTTTCACTTTGTTAGTCAGGATGGTCTCGATCTCCTGACCTCGTGATCCACCCACCTTGGCCTCCCAAAGTGCTGGGATTACATGCGTAAGCCACGGCGCTCAGCCAGAACGCTTTTCTAAGATCATAGAGCAAACAAGAGGGAAAGCCTGAACTGGCGTTGCAAGCTTCTACTCCTAGGCCTTCTCCCTAGACTGCCTTTTCTCTTTTTGCACTTACCCTTAACCCAATCCAAATATCCAATAATCTTATCTAAACCCAAAGGATACCTTCTTAGAAAACATCATCAACAGCACACAAGATCAATTTGATATTCTAGGGTGAATCTGATATAAACTCTATTCTCACACACACCACGCCAAGAATTACTTACGTAAATCTGTCCCGTACTTGAGTCCCACTTTGGGCACCCAGCCCTTGCTTCGAAAGTAATGGTAGGCCATGTAGGTGGTTCTGAACGTGGGCTGAACTACAGTGAAAGCTTTCCAGAGCTTCACTATCGTTAAAGGCTCCTAAAGTTATTTACAAAAAAACAAAAAGCATTACTATGTATGCATTCACTCTCCGTTCAGCCAGGGCACCAACATCTATACTAAGTGTGGAGCTGAAGCAGTGAAGAAAATGCAGTTCCCCCAGCAGAGCAATTTATTTATTTTATTTTTGAGACAGAGTCTCGCTCTGTCACCCAGGCCGGAGTGCAGTGGCGTGATCTCGGTTCACTCCCAGCAGAGCAATTTAGCAAGAAGGTCTGGTCCTGCCCTGTCCAGTGGGGCAGCTGCCAGCCATACATAGCTAGTCTGAACTGAGAGTGGCTCTAAGTGTAAAATATACACTGACTTCCTACTCAGTATGAAAAAAAAAAAAAAGAGAGAATATAAACTATTTCAATATCTTTGAATAAGTTGGGTTAAATAAACTGTGTAATACTGTATTAAAATACCACCTGCTTTTTAAAAAATGTTTTTAATGTGGTTACCAGAAAATCTGAAATTATACACATGGCTCCCATCTGAGGCTCTCACTGTCCTTCTATTGCACAGCACTGCTCCAGAGGACTTAGAAAAGGCAGCATTTGAGCATGACAAGTAGTGAGGGAAAAGGACTGGAGGGGGTGGTGGTGGGCTGGGAAGGACATTCCAGGCAGAGGAAGCAGTGCATGCAGGGGGCTCACTGTAACAAGCCCACCAAGGCTGGAGCACAGTTCGTGACAACATTTCACAGACCCTTAGTGAGTGGCTACTCTATGTCAGCTCATGTTCAGAAGAACAAAAAACACTTTTATAGTAAAACTTAAAAACAAACAAACAAACCTCCATTTAGTGTTTGAAACTAGAGAATTTGTTATCTGATGGCACAAACTAATAATTAACTGCTTAAAAGACAATTTTGTTTTTAATGTGGGAGTCAAAGAGAATGAGAATAGTTTGGTCTAGAGAATATTCTGATGTATCATTACCAAAAATACAATGACAACAAAATAACTAGGTAAGTTTGGAAAATTTTTGCTTTATTTCAGTAGTTACTGAAACAATCAAGTCTTCAGCTGATTTAAGGCTCAGTCACTCAGTGAGACTGGCTCAGTTTGTCCCAGCCTAAGATTATAATACAATAGACTAGAGTTGTTTTTTTTTTGCAGTTGTTCCTAATGCAAAAATTCCATACCTGTGTGACCTTGTGACCCCAATGTGAGTAACAAGCAACAGCCTTATAGAGAAGGCTGAATTTCCAACACAGCCCAGTGTTGTTCAGATGTTGAGGCTTTTATGTCACAGCTGTAACGTTCTGACACATTTCAGCTAAGGCCCGCGAGAGGAAGCAGGGTGGGGCTAAGAATTGCCACCATTTGGGAAAATGAGCCATTTGTCAGGCAGACATTGCTTCCAAACGGCTGGAATACCCATGAACGGTATTTATGCAATCAGAATTTGATGACTGATTAAATTATGTGCTCCCAAGAGCCAAACAGAATATACCTTATCTGCTCCATTTACTGTTCTGTTTACTTTTCTCTTTTAAATTTTATTTGAATTATTTTACAATTATCTCCCTTCCAAAGGCAGCAGGCAACAACAGCACAAAGTCATGGGCTTTGGAGTTACTTGGACATAGGTTCGAATATTTATTCTAACCAGACTAGCTGTGTGACTTTGGGTACATTATTTATTTTCTCTGAGCCTCAGTTACCTTATCTGCAAATTCTTTTTTTTTTTTTTGAGACAGAGTCTCGGTCTGTCGCCCAGGCTGGAGAGCAGTGGCGCTATCTCGGCTCATTGCAACCTCCACCTCCCAGGTTCATGCCATTCTCCTGCCTCAGCCTCTTGATTAGCTGGAACTACAGGCGCATGCCAACACGCCCGGCTAATTTTTTGTATTTTTTTAGTAGAGACAGGGTTTCACCATGTTAGCCAGGATAGCCAGGATGGTCTCGATCTCCTGACCTTGTGATCTGCCCGCCTCGGCCCCCCAGTGTGCTGGGATTACAGGCGTGAGCCACCGGGCCCGGCCCCTTATCTGCAAATTCTAACCAGGTGGAGATAAGGACTGGAAATATTGCGTGTAAAGTACCTAAAATATAGCTTTTACCATAGTAGGTGCCAAATACGGGTAACTTTTATTTTTGTTAATTTTTAATACTGTTCTGACACAGATTTCCTAATCATTATCCAGTACAAGATACTGTACTTCTCCTAGTTTTGAGGAATGAAATGCAATCTAAAAGGGTCAAAGATGCCTTTTGCTCGAACAGTCCCACCTCAGGACCCAAATCCAAAACTTTAGAGAAAAATTCAATTCCTATTTTATTCAGTAAGAGTAGAAACATTTGTATTAATGCAATATAGAAATTAGTACAACCTGCTTTTAACAACAGGGAAATTTTAAGTGGGTTGTATGTAAACAAAGCATCTTACCTTCTCATAGTAAATACTTAAACATCCCAGAGCATAGACCAAGAAAAAGGCCTGAAAATACAGCAAGCAGAAAATGCTCATTACAAATAGTTTCACATTCTTGTGAAACCATTTTACAGACTGATCTCTTTTCACCTCAAATACAAATGCTCTTAAGTCATCATCAAAAAGGTCACACACACACACACACACACACACACACACACACACACACATATATTTTGTTTGTTTGTTTTTGAAACGGAGTCTCACTCTGTCGTCCAGGCTGGAGTGCGGTGGCACATCTCCGCTCACTGCAAGCTCCGCCTCCTGGGTTCACACCATTCTCCTGCCTCAGCCTCCCGAGTAGCTGGGACTACAGGCGCCCGCCGCCACGCCCGGCTAATTTTTTGTATTTTTTTCAGTAGAGACGGGTTTCACAGTGTTAGCCAGGATGGTCTCGATCTCCTGACCTCATGATCCACCTGCCTCGGCCTCCCAAAGTGCTGGGATTACAGGTGTGAGCCACCACACCTGGCCAAAAGTCACATATTTTTAATATAAATGGTTCATTCAAATGTCTTAGATTTTTTTAAAAATCTAAGAAAATACAAATGTTACAAACTGGCTTAAATCAATAAAAATAAAAGATTTTTATGAATGTTTCCATATTTATTCCCTAAAAAACCTATATAACTGAAGAATGATGTTAACAGCTATAGCAATAGAAACTGTTGCTCATTGGAGTTTCTCCCTGTAAAATTAAATAACCATATTTAAATTGAGAAAAATATATCAACAAAAAAAAAAGGTGTGAAAAGTGTGGGGCAGTGCTGATTTTGCTTACCTGACAAAATACTAGTTTCCCAGTCATCTTTGGTGAAGTGATTTTCTAGAACCCTATGTTTGCACTGACCTCACATAATGATATATTTTACTGTGTGGGGGGAGGCTGTAGGAATGGCAAAGAAAATTGGCTCCAGTTGAATATAGTCACACTTAAATGGAAATGAAAATGGCTTTCTGTTAAAGTAATACACTGCCAAACACTGACACCACCCAAAGAGCCATGTGTTGTTGGCTTTGCCTGTCCAGGGCGCTTAGGGTCTACAGATACCACTGAAGGGATTCCCATGAGATTGGTGCAGAGCAGGTAGTGACCAAATGGTAGCCAGTGGTAAAATGGGGTCACATTTCTTTTTAAATATGAAGGTGAAAAATTAGATTGATAACCAAACATCAAATATTCTGCTTCGGCTCTCACTGCTGCTTCCAGCAGACACAGACGAGGAGGGCCCCTCTTGTGCAGTGTGGGAGCAGAAACATAATCCCCTCCCTGTCATAAGCTTTGAGGCTTGTGTGCAGCAACAACGCACTGACAAACTGCTCACTCAGCTTCTTTCCTCACTGTCCTTCCACCCCACCACTAACCCGGCATACACAGAACAAAAGACAGCACAAGTAATATAGGTGGAAGGACTTCCAAGCAGTGAATACCCTGTCATTCTCTGCCTGGCTATCTGATGACATCTGTCTTCATAGCAGCAGTTCTCAAAGGGTGGTCTGGGGATCCTGGGATCCCCAAGACCCTTGCAGGAGGTCTCAAGGTCAAAACCACTTCATAATAATAACGTGGTGTTATCTGCCTCATTTGTGCTCTCTCCAGTGACTATAAGACGTGTGATGGCCCAAGACTGAATCAAGAAGCAGATGCAAGAATCTAGCTGACTTTCAGGAAATTAGACCTTAAAGCGACTTGCAAAAATGAAAAACGAAGCCTCTTCCAAATTTTTTGTTTTGGAAAATTAGTTATTTTTCATAAAAAACTTACATTAAAGTATTTATGTCAAGGTATGGGTTGTTGTTGTTGTTGTTTTTAATATGGAAGGCTTCACAAACTTGTGTCATCCGTGGGCAGGGGTCATACTAATCTCTGCATTGTTCCAATTTTAGTATATGTGCTGTTGAAGACATCACTATTATTATTTTTAAATGTGTTAAACTGATACTCAACATTTTTGTTTTAATTTATAATTTGATAAACACTGACAGATACGAGGGACCACTACTTTAGTTTTACCCAAATCCTAATCTAGAGCATTTCTGGAGATGAAGGTGGTCACCTTCTATTCCACTTTTTCCTATTGCCTTCTTGGTCCCAAGTCTGTGGGTGGCTCCTTCCTGCCTTCTGTGACACCCTCCCTGTTCTGAGCCCTCTACAGTCCACTCTCCATAGCATCCAGATTCATCTTCTTGGCACACGAAAATCACGTCGTTCCCCTAATTAAAACTTTCCAAAGAGATTTCACTGCCCTTAGAATAAAGTCCAAACTGCTTGCCACCAGCTCCAGGTCCCTGCATGATCTTACCACTGCTCTTTCCAGCTGTCCTGGCTGCACTTCTGTCCCCTGAAGACACTAAGCTCATTCAGGCCTTTGCCTCTGTAATCACTACTCCTACTATCTGGCATGTTCTGCTCCAGACTCAAAGGTCACTTCTTGGAGAGGTCTTCCCTGGCCACCAAGTCTAAGTAACCCCCATCCTGATCATCTCCAGAGCACTTACTTTTGTCTGAAAATCTTCCTCTTACATGTGTTCCTCCGACTAGAATGTAAACTCTGGCAGAACAGAAACTGCCTGCTGTTCCCTTGGCCTAGAAGGGGGTCTAGCACATGTTGGGTGTTCAATGCTTGTGTTGAAAGACAAAAAAGACAGGTCCCCAGTCCTGCCCTTGGCTTAGGCCCCAACAGCCAGAGCCACCCTACAGCAGGTCTCTGCACCTCACTCAGCTCATCTCTTCTCAGTGTGAACATTGCGTTCCATTTCTTTCACAGCTGTTGACAGCCCTGCCAAGTGGCCCACAATCTTATTTTGACCTTTTCTCTTTCCATCACTCACTACTTATTAATACAGAATACTGCTGTTTTTCAGATGGACTACCAGCCAAAAGGTACAATGGAAAAGATAAAGTTGTTTCCTTAAATGGCTGAGTCCCTTGCATTTTACCACAATTTGCACTTCTTGGTTCAGAACAGTGTAACACAAAGACTGAAGTTTGAGATCTGACAGACCTGAGCTCAAATTGTCATTGTTAGCTAGGGCCTTGGAAGTATCACTTAAATTCTCCATGCCTCATCTATACAATGGGGATAATAATGCTTTCTTAGCTAAATATTTAATAAGATCAAATCGTACAAAGATTTAATAAGCTATGAAAAGCACCTAAAAGCTCAATTAATTTTAGTTTTCCTCCTTTCTGGAACTCCTGACCTCAGGTGATCTGCCCGCCTCGGCCTCCCAAAGTACTGAGATTACAGGCATGACCCACCGTGGCTGGCCTTAGTTTTCTTCCCTTTCTAATAACTGGATAGCACAGCCTGGAAAAAAAGGTTCAATCCCATCCTTGCCTAATAAGAGATTCTTTCTTGATATCTGCTAAAATGTAAGTTCTTCAAAAACTGATGTGTTTTCATTATCAGCAAGCATACATTTCCCCAAGAGTGAATGAAACCAATATCTCATTTTTATTGGCCTAAAATGGTGACTGGCTTTGATCATCTATGCAAAATGCGACTAGGCACTTACTACAGATGGAGGGGATCTTAATTCAACTGAGTTGGTTTTATTTAAAATTAAATTATCAGTAGACTGGAGAGGTCTGTAGAGGTTGACAATCACATCCCCTGCAATCTCATTAGTAAGTTTTACTTTCGCAGTACTAATAAGATGGAAGGATAAGTTTAATGATAGTTTTTAACATCATACTGCTAAATGTAGTTAGGGCCCTCAAGTGTTGTAATGGAAAAATAGATCTCAATAACAGATCCCTATGAAACAATGGAATACATTAGCTAACTGGCATGGCAATCTAATTATCCCTGAAATGAATACTCGCACAGACTGAACATTAAATCATCACCATGACCGGTTCACAAAAAGTATGGGTTAAAATGTCACTGGCTAAAAGCAGAGGTAAGGAAGATGTTGCATGTGGAATATGCCATGTGGCATGTGGGAATACAGTTGTAGGTGCCTAACCAGGAAAAAAGTGTATTCTACTAATGTGATCTAGTCACTGTGTGTGTGAAAGACCTAGTCACTGTGTAATACTTTCACCATTTAAGTAAAAGATCTATTTTGTGATCATTATCAACAATTTAGAGACAGAGTATGTATCTGCTACCAGGCAGAGAATAAAGGCAGGAACCAAACGAGCACCTATTACATGTGCCAGGAACTGTGCTGGTCGTTGTGTATACATCACTGAATGTCATTAGCTGTTATATCAATTCAAGCAAAAATAAAGCACAATTTCCAAGAAGTGTTTTTTCATGTGAGTGCTAGCCCTCCCTCAGCACACACGTCTTTCTCCAAACTGCCCATAAAAAACATTGCATTGAAGTCCATTTTAAATTTACAGAAAATATATTCATTTAAAAATATTCTGCCATTTTGTGAACTAAAGCTATGTCTTCACTCCACCCAGGGAAGTTGGCTAGCTTGAAGAGGGATGCGACACAATGAGGAACATACATTGCTAAGTGTCTTCCAGGACAGAGACCTCACACATATCACACTACATTCAATCTTCACTATCTTCCTCTGAAGGAGAACGTTACATCTGAGGAAACTGAGGAATGCCAAGAACACTGTCTATTGTGTGTTATAGTGCATGCTGCAAATATTTTCTTCCCATTTCATCTTTTGCCTGTAATTTTGCCTTTGTCTTTAACATAGAGTTTTAAATTTCTAGGTAATGAAATCTATATATTATGGCCTCTTAGAAGAACTTATCCATATCTCAAAAATATATAAAACCTAGGCAGGGTGGCTCACACCTGTAATCCTAGCACTTTCGGAGGCCAAGGCAGGTGGTTCACTTGAGCCTAGGAGTTTGAAACCAGCCTGGACAACATGGAGAAACCCCATCTCTACCAAAAATACAAAAATTAGCTGGGCGTGGTGGCATGTGCCTGTGGTTCCAACTACTCAGGAGGCTGAGATGGGAGGACTGCTTGGGCTCAGGAGACTGAGGCTGCAGTGAGCCAATATTGTACCACTGCACTGCAGCTTAGGTGACAGAGAGAGACCCTGCCTCAAAAAAAAAAAAAAAGCATAATTATCCTTGTTTTCTATTTCAAATTTCCCTTTATATCTTTAATTGACCTGAAATTTATTTTGGTTTATGTTAGGAGATGGGATTTTAGCTTTGTCTTTTTCCAAATGGCTAATCAGCTGTCTCAACACCATGAATCTTTTCTTCACTAATATTAAGTGCTATTTTTATTGTACCCTGAAATCCCATCTATAAATGGGTCTGTTTGTAGACTGTGGCCCAATCTTTCCTTTCCTATACCAAGACTATATTGTTTTAATTGTTACTTTATGTTTTATTAACAGCTGCAGTAAGATCTTTTTTTTTTCTTAGCTACTCTAATGATTTCAAGTGAACTTTAAAAATTAATAACGCCCTACAGCCATGCTACTCTCAATGTGCCCGATCTTGTCTGATCTCAGAAGCTAAGCAGTGTTGGGCCTGGTTAGTACTTGGAGTGGAGACTGCCTGGGAATACTGGATGCTGTAGGCTTAAAACAAGGATCAATGAAACAAATGGCAAAACTGCAGTTCTTTTCTCTCCTGCCCACCAGCACACAAAGGCTTTTAAAACAAAACCTGATCCTCAAAGCAGTTCACCTGAAGTTTCCTGTGTGTCTGGGTATATATGCAGAATATAAATATATTTATAGAGAGAAATTAGAGTAGTTTTTCAAACCTTAATCAAAAGGCTCTGCTGTAAGTATATATTCTTGCTAAAAGGACCCAAACTGTCTCACAGTTGAAGTCTCTGGAAAATTTTCAGAAGTTTAGATAGAAGGAAAGTCACTGACCTATTGCAGGGGAGGGAGACTAGTCAAACAACGTAGCAGTAAAAAAATAACCACAAAATTCTAGGGAAGAATCTTAGACATTCTAATCACCAGATTCTGATACTTGGAATCCATATTATGGACACTAAGCACGGGAAAAGAAATGTGGGAAAAACGGGTGAGGTACAAAATGGAAGAGCCGGGCACAAGACGATGCGTAAACGAGATCTGACTGAGACTGCTGCTGTCAGGCACGAGGAGAGCTGTCGCCCGACCCTGGTGTGTCCCTTTGTTTCCAAGCATTCCCACCTGGTCCTCCTGTGTGGGGACTATTGTCTTTATTTTCTAAATAAGAGAAATTTTCTCACGCACTTTAAAAGCTTTATAAGTATATACGAACAATACACAGAAGTACCAGTAAGGCAGCCTCTAAAACTGGAGTTAGACTAAGAAATCGACATGTATCAACAAACTCAGAGCCACAGCTGAATGATATCAACACAGTTAAAGAATGTGACACAGAGTGAGTGAGGAAACTCAGCAAATGGGGAGTCTGGTGACGGTGGCAAGGTCTTCGCACTGCGCACAGGATGGGACTCCGACCCAAGGGTTCGGTGGCAGACCAATGCATGCACCACACTGCCTCCAGTCTAGATGTTAGCAGCTCTTTGATATACCTCAATTCAATGGTGGCTTTTCAAGAAAAAGAATGCATGCTACCACATTAAGTAAAATAATTAATTGAAAGTCATACAACAATCTTAGAATCTTCAGTATCAAGTAAAAAACAGTTTATACCTCCTTGGGGAGAAGG